>NC_000012.12:49960128-51210128 GCF_000001405.40 Homo sapiens
ACTAAACCCTCAAGGGGCTTTTAAAATTAACAGTCACAACGTAAGGAGACTTTACTGAGCCTTACTCTGTGCCAGGCACTGTGCTAAGGGCTTCTCTAACACACATGGGGATGGGAGTCTTTAATGCAGCTCCTCTCCCGGGATCCTGGGGGTGGGTCCTCCCCCTCTAAGCCCTAGAGAGCCCTCCAGCCTCGTTCTCCACATGCCCGACCTGGAGTGGGTGGGAAGAGGGAGAGGGTGGTGTGCGAGGAGGCAGCAGGTCACAAAGGGGTTACAAGCTCAGAGGGAAGGGGGATGGGAACTGGAAGAAAGTGTCACCCAGACCAGGGGTAGAAGAACTTGACTTTGGGGAGACTGAGAAAGACCACATGTAAGAGAGAGAGACATGGAAAATGAGGTAGAAACAGACAGAAACAAAGAAAGGCACAAAAATTAAGAGGCAGAGGAAAGGTGAAAATAGCCAGGAGACAGAAACTGCAGGATGAGAGAAATGAATAGAGAGAGACAGAGAGACTAAGACAGCAAAAGGCAGGAAGGAAAAACAGAAAATGAGAAGGTGTGAGAGAGAGAGAGATGGAGAGGTGGAGAACAGAGAGACTGAAATGAGAAAGAGACCTCTCGGAGAGAGACCGAGAGGAAGAGGCTGGCAGAGGGAGAGGGTCAGAGACCAAAGACAGAGACAAAAAGAGAAATAGGGTTTTGCAAAGACTGACTGACAGAAACAGATTTCGAGGGGAGAGAGATCAAGACCAAGTGAGGGTTTGAAGGAGACTTAGGGGAGGTGGAGGAAGAGAAGGAGAGTCTTAGATCCAGGGTGAGGGGCTTCTAGCAGGAAGAGGGAAGACGCCAAGACCGCGCTTGGGAGGTCAGTGGTGCGTCTCTACCCCCCCTGCTCCCCCACTCCAACTCCCAGAGTCTCAAGGCCTCACGTCACACCCCCGTCCCGTCCCGTCGACAAGGGGAACCCCGGCCTGGGAGAGGGCGCCTCCGGGGATCCGTTGCCTAGTCCAGGTACTGCCCAGCTACCGGGCGTCGAGGATTGCGAAGCGTCGGGGCAGGCTGGCACGGTGCCCACTTTTCCCAAAACGCCAGCCTTCCAAGCCCAGAAGCTCGCCCGGCCCAGGCCGGGAGCGGCCCACGTCGGACGGCCGGACCGCCCTGCAGGACCCAGCCCGGCCGCCCGCCCCCGCCGCCGGCGGTGAGGGAGGTGAGCGGCGCCGACCTGCGGGACGAGCATCACTCCGACCCAGCCGGGGGTGAGGCGGGTCAGGATGCTCCGGTCGCAGGAGGAAAAGGAGGAGCTGGACCAAAAGCCCGAAGAGAAGAAAAGGGGAAGGCCGCGCACGGAGCGCGGTAAAGGCCGGCGGAGCTAGACGCCCCGAGGTCGGAGTGAAGCGCCGGGACCGAGCCCCGTCTCCCAGGGAGTCCGGGGCGCACGGCACCGAGGAGAGCGCGGGAGCCAACCTGGGCGCATCATGCGCAGGGCCCGGGACGCTGGGCCGGTCTACACCGCCGCCTGGGTCACGTGGCCCGGACGGGCCGGCGGCTGCCCCGGCCGGGGGGCGGGGGTCGCGCCGGGGTTGCGCTGGACGACGGAGAGCGGCGGGCCCGCAGCGGCCTGGAGCCTCCCAACCCGCGCGCCGCGCTGGCCCCCGAGCGTAGGAGCCGCCCCCTGCCCCCCCGCGCCGGCCCCGCGCCCGGCCGCCCGCCCCCTATATAGCGCGCCCCAGCAGGGCCCGCGCCAGGCCGCCAGCCTCGGAGTGGGCGCGGGACAGTGCGCGGCGCCCCGCAGCCAGGCCCCCGCCCCCGCCGCATCCACCTCCTCCGCCGCCTGCGACCCAACGGGCGCCCCCCGCCGCGGCAGCTGCCGCCGGGCCCCCGCGGCCACCATGAAGAAGGAGGTGTGCTCCGTGGCCTTCCTCAAGGCCGTGTTCGCAGAGTTCTTGGCCACCCTCATCTTCGTCTTCTTTGGCCTGGGCTCGGCCCTCAAGTGGCCGTCGGCGCTGCCTACCATCCTGCAGATCGCGCTGGCGTTTGGCCTGGCCATAGGCACGCTGGCCCAGGCCCTGGGACCCGTGAGCGGCGGCCACATCAACCCCGCCATCACCCTGGCCCTCTTGGTGGGCAACCAGATCTCGCTGCTCCGGGCTTTCTTCTACGTGGCGGCCCAGCTGGTGGGCGCCATTGCCGGGGCTGGCATCCTCTACGGTGTGGCACCGCTCAATGCCCGGGGCAATCTGGCCGTCAACGCGGTGAGTGCCCTGGGGGGGGGGTGGGAGCCTCGACCCTGGGGTGGGCTCAGGACCAGGCCTCTTACCCCACCTGGAAAAAAGGGGTGCCGCAGAGTGGGCCAGCCCACACCCTTCACCAGGAAGGCAAGAGCCTCCCAAGGCCAGGAAGGCAACTCTCCAGGCTGATATGTGCTCCCTTCCTGCCCACCTCCTCTCCCCCTCCCCTCATGCTGGCCCACCCTGGTCTCTCTCCAATGCCTGCTACCCCTCCTCTCCTGCCAGAAACTTCTGCCTCCTCCTGTCTCACCTTTGAGCTCCACCTTCCTCCTGGGCCCCTCACCTCTCCCATCACCTCAGTGGAGCGGTTGAGTAGAACCACCAGAGAAAAGCGGGCTGTCATCACGGCTTTGGGTGACCCTGGCCTGTCTGTGCTTCATTGTTCTCAGCGCCTCCATGGGGATGGTTGTGTCTGCCACAGCAGGTGTCAAGGGGCTCACATTTAGAAACCGTAGATAGGAACCCCCTAATGTGGGGCCAGTGCAGAGCAGTTTCTGTTGAGTATTGGTTCCCTCTTTCCCCAACCTGTGCTCCTCCCCTCAACCCCGCACCCCTGCCTCCCTCCCACCTCCTGCAGCCCCAGAGTCAGCCCCCAACCCCATGCAAACTGGGTTCATTAATCAAACACAGAGGAGGATTTGCTTGGCCATTGTCAAGCTGTGAGTCAGCCGCACTGGAGAGACGGGTTTAAGGCTGGCACTGGCATGGGGCCAGGCACGGGCAGGAGGCCGGGATGGGGTGTGAGGCAGGCAAACCGGGCAGCTGCCCACAGGATGGAGGGTAAATGCCAGCTTATGGGGGCTGGGGGTTGGGCAGAGCCATTGATAGGCCCGTGTCCAGGAAAAGCTACCCTGACGCTCTGCCCTTTGGCCACAGGCCTGAGCTTCAAGCCTGTGCAAACTATGAAATGTACAGTGTCTTTAACAAATGGCTTCGCTGGGGCGATGTCCACAGGACTTGGCTTCCAGGTGCCAAGGTGCTCTAAGTGTCCCTGGAGGCCAAAAGCCCTACTCCCCGAGCCCCTGGCTATACAGCCAGAAGGTGGCCGGGGTCCTAACCCGCTATCCCCTTGCAGCTCAACAACAACACAACGCAGGGCCAGGCCATGGTGGTGGAGCTGATTCTGACCTTCCAGCTGGCACTCTGCATCTTCGCCTCCACTGACTCCCGCCGCACCAGCCCTGTGGGCTCCCCAGCCCTGTCCATTGGCCTGTCTGTCACCCTGGGCCACCTTGTCGGAGTGAGCAGTACCGACATTGGGCTGGGGTGAGGGTGGGGCAGGCACTCAAGGCAAATAATGGAGCCCTGGAGCGGAGCCCACTTCAGATGGATGAGTCCAGCAGAGTTTAAGGCCTGGATTTAGGGCTCCTGGACTCTGGCCCTACTGGGCCCCAGAATTGATCCCCCCAAAACCTCTGGGCTGAGGAAAGATGGGAGTAAGTAGGAGGTGGGATGGGACAGGAATCAAACCCAACCTCAGAGCAGAGAAGAGAGGAGGGCGTAGTTAAGGGTCCATGGTTAACCAAGCAGCTGGGATCCTTGGAGGGAGAGGTTGCCAGCCTGAGTTTGAGACCTGGCTGAGCCCCTGGACTGCAGTGTAACCTTGAGAGAGTCCAGATTCTGTGGGAGTGGACCAGGATGTTGCCTTTCTCTCCACCGCCCTGTCTCTATCCAGATCTACTTCACTGGCTGCTCCATGAACCCAGCCCGCTCTTTTGGCCCTGCGGTGGTCATGAATCGGTTCAGCCCCGCTCACTGGGTGAGTCTGTCCCTTCCCCTGGCTCCCTGGAGATGAGGGCCTGGAGACCCAGCAGTGGCAGCTCAGAGCTCACCAGACCTGGATTCTGTGGGTCTAGAGCTTGGGGGTGGGCCACGGAGTGGTGGCTGACAGAGAAAGGGACACAGTAGGGGATGGGATTCAGCTAGAGGGGCAGAGGTGGCTTTGTATGGCCTGAACCGCTGGGGACAGGGAGTCTGAGTATCTATCCGCTTATGGAAGAGGCTCTACTGAACCTGGAGGTGCAGAGGGGCTCTGTGTCAATTCCCTTGAGGATTTGGTGTCCGTCCCCCTCGGTGTCTGCGTGCTGGTCCTCTCTGATGTTTTATTTATCTGTCCCTGTTGAGGGGGTTGGGAGAGTCTTCCTGTGGGTCTGTCCCTGTGGACAGTCTGTCTGCCCCCCCTTTGGAAGCTCATGGTCACTCTCTCCAGGGTCTGCTTCTATCCCTGCGTGGAGGGGACACGCGCTCTGTTCATCCGTCTCTCTGAGGACCCACGTGTCCCCTCTGAAGGTTTATTTGCTTCTCTTTCCGGTGTGGTTGGAGGGAGCCTGTCCCTCTGGGAATCTGTTTGCCTTCTTTGAGGGTCTAGGTGTCTGTGGTCCATGTCTCTGTCCCTGGGAGTGGTGTGTCAGTATATTCGTCCCCGAGGTGGGAGGAAGTCTTTCTCCCTGAAGGTCTGGAAGTCTGCATGTCTGTCTCCTCTCAGGGTCCGTGGGTCTGTCCTCTGTGGGGTGGGGGGCATGTGGTCTTCAAGGTCTGGGGCTCAGCGCCCTGACTCCTGCCCTGTCTCCACCAGGTTTTCTGGGTAGGGCCCATCGTGGGGGCGGTCCTGGCTGCCATCCTTTACTTCTACCTGCTCTTCCCCAACTCCCTGAGCCTGAGTGAGCGTGTGGCCATCATCAAAGGCACGTATGAGCCTGACGAGGACTGGGAGGAGCAGCGGGAAGAGCGGAAGAAGACCATGGAGCTGACCACCCGCTGACCAGTGTCAGGCAGGGGCCAGCCCCTCAGCCCCTGAGCCAAGGGGGAAAAGAAGAAAAAGTACCTAACACAAGCTTCCTTTTTGCACAACCGGTCCTCTTGGCTGAGGAGGAGGAGCTGGTCACCCTGGCTGCACAGTTAGAGAGGGGAGAAGGAACCCATGATGGGACTCCTGGGGTAGGGGCCAGGGGCTGGGGTCTGCTGGGGACAGGTCTCTCTGGGACAGACCTCAGAGATTGTGAATGCAGTGCCAAGCTCACAGGCTGCAAGGGCCAGGCCAGAAAAGGGCGGGCCTGCAGCCTGCACCCCCCACCTTCCCCAACCCTTCCTCAAGAGCTGAAGGGATCCCAGCCCCTAGGTGGGCAGAGGCAGACCCTCCCCAGAGCTCCTTAGGAAGAAGACAGACTGGTTCATTGAATGCCGCCTTATTTATTTCTGGTGAGGATGCATGCGTGGGGCTGCTGGTGTTTAGAGTGGGGGCTACCCAATAAATCACTGATACTCACGTTCCACCTCTGTCTCTCCTCAGAGTGCCTTGAGACACTCTGGCCCATTGCCTCTCCTCTTTGTCATCCCACATCCTCCACCACGATCTCCACAGGGTACCAGGGGACCCCAGGACAAGTGCTCTGTGGGAAGAAAGGGAGACTGTGACCATGGGAGGCCCAGAGAATCAGAGAGATGGGAACAGAGCAGGGAGAGACTGAGAGAAGACCGAATATCAAAATAGAGCTAGAGGCCAGGAAGGAGGGGTCCTCACTGCAGTCACCCTCCACCCCTCCCCCTCAGCCATGTCAATCAAGTCCCTGCCACTTGAGGAGGGCTTGGCTGGCACTTGAGGGGAGTACCAGGGTGTGACAGGCAGGGCGGAGGAGTGAGCCAACCGCAGCCCCTCGAGATGGCAAGGGGGTGACCAGCCAGGTTCCATCACAGCCCTGGGCTCGTTTCTCTGCACCTTGGTCTTTCAAAAAGGTGTCCTGCTGGGAGCCTGTGCCCAGAGGGAGCAGCCCCCCGACCCCCCCAGAAGCCACATGTGGCCCAGCCCCCTTTTCCAGGGCTTCTCATGCCTTGGCCCACCAGTGTCCCCACCGTCCTCTCCTCTGGGCCTGAGCTCTGTCCTAGCCTGCTCTTGTCCCACTGTCACTGACACTCCTTAGGTAACCTCCTTAAACTCTCAGAGCCTCCCTCTCTTCATCTGTAAAATGGGGATAAAATATCACTTTCCTCACAAGATAGTTGTGGGGACCAGATGAGGGCATGAGATGCCTGGGACCAGTCAGCTTTCTGTGAGGAAAAGGCGGGGGGTCATGCAGTGAACAGCTCCGCATAGCCCAGCTTCGCAGTGAGCCCAGCCTGGAGTCAGTAACTACCCTCATTCCAATCTGGCCGTGAAACTTGGGGCAACATAAGCTCTCTGAGCTTTAAGGACCTTATCTGCAAAACAGGGGTACTTTTCCCGACCTCATGTGCTATGTGCTGTCGTGAGGAGAAAATGAGACCACGCCTGGAGGTAAAACGCTTGTACAAATGGTCAGGCGCCTTGGAGTGAGTGCTCAGTATAGTCGTGTTAATAGAAACCCACACGTGCCTGCCTAGTCTGAGGCCCCAGCCACATGCTTCTGCCCTCCTGGGGGTGTCTGGACCTGAGCGCCTGTCCAGCGGGGCCAGGAGACGGACTGAGAAGGGGTAGGGGAAGCTGTAGTTCTTGGCCAGCGAGAGGCAGTCCCAGGGGCTGGGGTGAGGAGTGGCAGACCCCCCAGCCTTCTCCACACTTAGAGTCTAAGCATCTACAAGTGAGAGGTCAGCCACTCATGTCCGCCCCATAGGCTTACAGTAAACACCACGTGGCATTGCGTGTGAGAACCCCGGGAGCCCAGGGAAGGAGCAGCCCCCCACCCACCGTGTCCCTTCCCACTTCTTCCAACCTGCCCCGGGCTGGGGGAGCCGGGCTGCAAGTGCCAGCTCTGGCCAGCAGAGGGCGACGTCGTCCACCGAATCCACAGCGTGGCGCCTCGTCGTCCACAAGTCCTGGGTCTGGGCTCTAGCCAGATGGGGGTGGAGTGGAGGACACAGGGAGTCCCTCATGCTTGAGTCCCCTGGGGCCACCTTGAGGCAGCCTATCCCAATGCATCCCCGCCCCGCTATCCGGGTGGGGCGCAGAAGAGAGGGGAGCCCTTCTCCGCTCAGTCTCCAGGAGACTCAGGTACAGACACAGCCATGACCAGGAGGATGGGCTCTTCCTCCAGCCCAATGGGGGCCACGGCAGGGTGGACAGTGGACCCTTGGGAGACAAACCCGCGGGGGCAGGCAAGGCACTAAGTCAGAGGGGGCTACCGGCCCTGAGCTTCCTGCAGGTTGCCTCGCCTGGCCCTTGGGCAGGCTTCCAGCTAGGGCTTGGGGCTGACAAGCGCCGTGGTTGGGGCGGTGTGGCCAGCAGGGGTCGCTGTGTCTGCGTGTCGGATCTTGCAGGAGCGGCAGGTCTGCGGGCTCACAAAGTCCCGTGCACACGCGCGCACACACACTGACCCCACACAGTCCGGGGCTCGCGGCCACACACTGACCTCAGTCGTGCCCGAGGGCTGCATGTTCCGGGTGTGTGCGTCTCCTTTCCTCCGCACGTTCATTCGAATGTGCAGAGCCACATCAGCCCTCCTCCAGCATTCGCTCACAGGGCCACCGCCGGCCCCACCGCGGGCCCAGACCTATGAGCCTGGCTCCACGGGTTCTCAGAGGCACACCTGTGTGCTGTCCAACGCAAGCACACACAGTCCCCGTCACCTCTGCTGCACCTAAAGATGGAACCCAGGGAGAGTCTGGATTCTCCTGTGGGAGGCTCCCTTCCCCTTCCTCCCTCTCTTCCTCTCCCCAGGGCCTGCCAGTTCTCACCAGCTGGGAGGTGGACAAGGTGATATGGGGAGAGATGGAAGAGGACCGGGAGGAGAGGTGGAGAGCGGACAGAGGGGCTGGCTGTTGAGATGGGTGGACAGGAGGAAGGACATCTGGGAGGACCAGGTCTCTCCGCTCCTCTTGGCCTCATGTGTCTCCGTCATGTGTGGATGAGGACATCAGACCTCCCTACCTTTCCAGGTTTTGTGGGGATCACTGAGATGAGGCACGGGAAGCCATCTTGAATTCCCTCCCCATCAGTTTGTGTTCTCCCTCCTTTTCTCTCCCGGTACCTTCCTCCTTCCCCTCCCCTTCGCCCCCCTTACTTTCCCCAATCTCTAATAGGACTTCAGTCAGAGCTGCATTGACAGGCAGCCCTAGGCAGCCAGATAAGGAACCTCGGCAAAAGGTTTTTGAGCATGAATGAGCTTAAAGCTTGGCACTAGAGCCCAGTGCTGGCTGGGTTCGGGCACGTGCTGGCTAGGACAGGAAGCCAGGCCTGGAGCAAGCCCTGGTCAATGGCTACCTGGCCTCAGGAGGTGAAGGACCTTGTCCCAGGCTGGGCAGAGGTCAGGAGACTCAGCCCCGAGCTAGCTGGGGACAAGGGCTGCCACTGCACTTAGCACTTTCAGGCTCCAAGGCCCAGGGCAGGTGCTGAGGTGCCTGTCTTGGAGCCGCCATGCAGCCCCGTCCCCACAGCTGTCTAACGGCAGGGGGCAGGGAAGTTACAATCCTAATCATTCACATTTTCTGACTTGGAGGCCCTCTCCTAGGTATCAGCACATTTACTCCTAACTACACACAGGGAGGAGGGAATTATTAGCATCATCCCCACTGCATAAATGAGGATCTTGAGGTTAAGCAACTGCTTAGGGTGCAATACACATGGCAGTGTTCACAATCCTTTCAGTGGCCTCATCAGCAGCTCTCAACAGGTAAGCATTGCTGCCACGTGGCGCCCATTTAACAAGGGCAGAAACTGAGGCTAGGTCAGATGAAAGTGCCTGTCCACCAAGCCCTCTACTCGCCCTGCCTGAAGTGAGGGAAGCAGACAAGTGCCCTTGAGCTACCCTGGGACAGCCCCCAGCCAGGGAACCCCCCGTGCCAGGGAGGAACAGTGCCCACGCCGCCCCCACAGCCATGCCCAGTCATCCCTTGAGCATTTATTGAATGACCCCTCTATGCCAGCCAGGGATGGATGTCTGTGCTGGAACAGTGGAGGCATTGAGGAGGCAGAGGCCACAACCAGCCCCTGGCTTTGCTCAAGCCCTGCTTCTCTAAGAAGCTTGCCCTGATTCTGCTGGAGAGGGAAATGAGGGCAGGCTTCGCAGAAGAACAGCACTTGAGCAAAGTCTTGAGAGACAAAAAGGAGAGGCATCCAAACTCCACAGCAAAGGGCTCGTTCTGGGGAAATATGTCTGGCCTGTTTGGAGTAAAGGGTGCAGGGTGGGCAGTGGAAGGGGAGCCTTCCTTGCATGTTAAACATGGGTATTCAGACCTGATTCTGAGGCAATGGGGAGCCATTGAAAGCTTTAGAGCAGAGGAGTAACTTGATGAGCTTTGCATTTTGGAAGGATCTCTCTGACAGTGAGTGGAGAGGAGAGTGGTGTGGAAGGGCACAACATAGTCTGAGAGCCCAGGAAGGAGGTTAATGCAGTCATCCTGGAGAGGTGATAAGGGCTGCACTGGGCCAGTGGCAAGTGGGGATGGAAAGAGGTGTCAAATATGAGAAAGAGCTACCAGGAACCTGGTACAAGGAACCTATTTGCTATGGGCTGGGGGAAGGGGAAGCACCAGATGCTTCCTGTGTTCTGGCCTGGGCAACTGAGTGAGAGTAGGGTGAGGAGGAGCAAGCCGGAGGGTCCAGTGAGAGGTGAGTGGGTCTGGAGTTTAGGAGAAAGATCTGGGCCAGAGACAGTGTTGAGAGTCGACAGTATCTGCAGGGTGTGGAAGTCACAGGTGGGAACAGGGCTGCCCAGGCACACTCATCAGGAGTGAGGGGCCATGGGCCAGGAGTAGACAAGTCCTGGGCTTAAGGATCAGCAGAAGAGGAGCCAGCCATGGAGGCCACGTGGCAGAGTTGCCCTCACAGAGATGGGAGGACAGCCAGGAGATGTGCCTCAAAGGCAGGGAAAAAGAGGCGTCAGGAAGATGGCCGGCAGCCCATGTGCCACAGTGGGCTGGAGAGGAAATCATGCTGGCCTTTGCCAGAGCGGTTTCGGTAGCCGGGGGCTGGGGGCTGTTGTGCAGTGGATAGGTGGCTGGAACCTTGACTCCAAATCATGATCTTTCACTGCTCCGCGACTACGCAGGCACGTTTATAGGGAAGAAGTCAAGAGAAGGGGAAGCCTGAAAGCCACAGGTGAGACTGGGAAAGGCCAAGAGAGGGTCCCAGTCACTCAAAGGGAGCCAGAAGTCCAAGGAGGGTCCCCCGACCCCGACTTGTACACTGGAGAAGGGCTGCCCCTACTTCAAGGCCACAGGGCAGCTGCAGGTGAGTTTGGCTGGGAGGGAGGATGGGAAGAAGTCTTGCCTGGTAGCTTGGCTTTCTAGGTAGGGTGGGAGGCAAGGGTGGGTGCTCTGCTGAGAGAAAGCCAGAGTGAGTCGAATACTTGAAGAGAGTGGGGGAGGTTTAAAGAATGAGGGGAGAGCTGTGGAAGGATTGCTGAGCAGAGCTGCGATCCCTACTGGGGCCAGAGACCATGAACTTGTCATGGTAGCAGTCTGCACGACTGGGTGAGTTTCTCCAGCAGTGCTCAGCAGCGCAGATGGGGGGCAGAAAGGCGTGGAAGAGGATGAGAACAGAGACACGCAGCAGGGACGGGGTGGAGAGGACAGGGAGCCAGGACCACGGAGCGCTGGCAAGAGCCTGCTCAGGGTGAGATGCCCAGGAGTTCCCTGGAGAGGACATGGTGAAGTCGAGACAGCAGGGAGAACAGAAGGAAATGGGTGAGGGATGTTACTGGGACTCAGACAGGGACTGGGGAGGAACAGAGCCTGTAGTCCAGAGTTAAGATGTTTCTCTTGAAGATATCAGAGGGCTCAGTCCCAGTTGGGGGAAGGTATGAGTATGAGGCTGAAATGCAGCAGACATAGTCATCTGCCCCGGGAAGTCAAGAAGTTTTTATTCATTCATTCAACAAATATTTATTGGGCAGTTACTGTGCCAATCTCTGTGCAAGACACTACATGCAGGGGTGAACAAAACTTGGTTCCCGCCCCCCAAAGGCCTCCCCGCCTTGCCTCACTGGGGAGACACATTCACACCATGACAACACCCTGTGGTGACTGCAGTGTAGGAGAATGCCCAGGTGTGGTGGGAGCACGCAGAAGGGTCCCCACCCAGGAAAGGAGCAAGCGACGTCAAAGCTGAGCCTTTGGAATGGGAGTTACCCAAGCAAAGGGAGTGCAAGGGATCTCCAAGAAGAGGAGAGAGCTTTTTCCAAGGAGAGGCCAGCAAGAGTGTGCATTTGGTGAAACCAGAGGGTAACAGAGTGGGGAGAGGTGAGGGAGAGCTGCAGGGTCCCTGAAGGCAGGCACAGAGCTTCCAGAGGGATGGGAGGCTTGGAAGGGATTTTAGCAGGGGAGCAGCATGATCAGATTTGCATTTTAGCACTTGGGCTGCAGTATGGAAAATTGATTGAAACGGAGCAAGGGAGCAGACAGAGAGACTGGTGAAAGGCTGCAGGGCGGCAGGGGTGGCAAAAAGAGGGCACAGTCAGGAGATATTTAGGATTGAAAATCAGCAGGACTTGATGCTTTTCCTGGATGGGGGAAGGAGGGAGAAAAGGGTCAAGGATGCTTCCCAGATGCCACCAGCTGAGCTGCAGAAAACAAGAGGAGAACATGGGGGTTGGGGGGGGTACCAGGAGACAGGAGGATCACATCTGGAGACAGATTGCGTTTGAGGAGCCTGAGAACAACCAGGGGACATCTGTAGGCAGGTAGATATGCCAGGGATGAGGTCAGGACACCCAGCTACGGTGAAGAGGGGAAGACTGTTATTTCAATAGCTTGGCAGACTCTTCTTAGGGAGGAACACTTTTGTTTGAGAAGATACCTTGCTATCTGCTAGGGTTAAAAGGGGAAAGCCTAGGGCATGGGTGACCATAGGGCCAGGGAAAGCCTAGGGCATGGGTGACCATAGGGCCAGTGCAGCCACAAAAAATGGTTAAGCTGCCTTGTGTGAGAAAGGAGTGAAATCTGTTTGGCCCCTGAGAGGAGGAGAGCAGAGACGGAGGAGCCAAGAAGGGAGGGGAGCGCGGGGGAGGGCAGGGAGGCAGGAGGAAGTGAGTGAAGGGCCAGTGGAAATTTCCCCTGGTGGACAGCAGAGGTGCCCATGGCCTTGTGTGATCTGACGCGGTTTGAGTCGCTGTGGAATAAACCCCTTCTCCACCCGCCCCTCTGCAACCCCACAGGCCACAGTGTCCACAGCGTCCTTGGTAAAGTCGACTGTATTCACATCTGCATTCTGTGAGTGCGGGTATAGGTGGGAGTGGAGGAGGGAACTTACTTTCTGGGTTTACGGGCACGGTGTGGTGTCAGCCCATTTGGAAGCAAAGCCTAGATATGGAGGGGGCCAGACGAACAGGACCTGGGAATGCACAGGACCCCCTGAAGCAGGCCGGGGATCTGAGTGATCTTGCTGTATCTAAGCTGACATTGGAACATGAACAGTCTGAAATCCCATGAGCCCCGCTGCCCTGCACCTGCGACCCTCAGGCTAGACCTTGGACTGTCTACAACACGAGTCAGGCCCAACCCGCCCTGGAAATCATCGTAGGAGGTTCCAGCTCAGTGCCCAGAGACAGCCCCCACATCCCACCCCATCAGGTCAGCTCAGGCTGGAGCAGGCATATGAGCAACACCCCTCATTCCACCCCCATACACATGCATAAGCCCATCCGCCTGCGCCCTGCCAGTCTGACCAGCACAGTCCTGGGGACAGGAGCGTGGTGGAGGAGCTGCAGGTGGGGGCCAGAGAAGCCTCCACAGAGAGCAAAAGCCAGGGTCAGCCAGAGACAGGACACCAGAAGAGACAGGAGATCAGAGACCAGAGGAACAGAGAAGAGGCCCCAGAGCAAGGCAAGGAACGGCCAAGGCACCAGGACATGGATGCAGTGGAGCCAGGGGGACGTGGCTGGGCCAGCATGTTGGCGTGCAGGCTTTGGAAAGCCATCAGCAGGGCGCTGTTTGCAGAGTTCCTGGCCACGGGGCTGTATGTGTTCTTTGGCGTGGGCTCAGTCATGCGCTGGCCCACAGCACTTCCCTCCGTGCTACAGATTGCCATCACCTTCAACCTGGTCACCGCCATGGCTGTGCAGGTCACCTGGAAGGCCAGCGGGGCCCACGCCAACCCCGCCGTGACGCTGGCCTTCCTCGTAGGCTCCCACATCTCTCTGCCCCGTGCTGTGGCCTATGTGGCTGCCCAGCTGGTGGGGGCCACGGTGGGGGCTGCTCTGCTTTATGGGGTCATGCCGGGAGACATCCGAGAGACCCTTGGGATCAACGTGGTAGGTGCAGGGAGGGGCACCTGGAGGGCCAGGAGGCGGGAATGCGCACAAGTGGTGAAGGTGGAGGCCAGGACGGAGGCGAGGGAGCAAAGGAGGAAACAAGTCAGCTGCAGGCTCCACATCCTCCCGGGCTGGGCCCCAGGACCCAGAGGACTGAGACTTTGACCTCAGTCTAGGCAGAATAGAAATGGGATAGTGGCGCGAAGAACAGGTGGAGAAGGAAGAGGCCACATAAAGGAGAAGGAATAGAAGGACCAGGCGTTTAAGGGTAGATGCGGCCAAGGGAGTGCGGGGCCTGTGGGTAGAGAAGGGGACCCCACGGGGACTTCATTTTTCTCCCAGGCTCCACCCACGTCCTCTGCTCTCCGACTGTTCCCAAGTTCTTCCCTCCACCTCGAGGCCTGCCTCACTCGCCCCTTCTCCATTTCGTAACCATCTGTGTTCCACCTTCTTCCCCCAAATCTCCTCCTTCCACACCTGCTGCCAGTCTCCTCTCAAGCAAGCCTCCTGAACCACTGGCCCCAACCAACCCACTGGTGGGGTGGGAGGAGCACCACTCACTTCTGCAGGGAGCAAGGGTCCAGAGCAGATATGGACCCCTCTGCACAGGCCTCCCGAAGTCCTGAAGCTGGGCGGCAGTGAGGTGTCACCCCCCTCCAGCTGAGGAGACCAGGCCCAGTGGCAGGGGTTTCTCTGTCTGTCCGTGGGCAGAGCCCGCGTCTGGTCCAGAGTAACTCCCTCTGTCCAGGTCCGGAACAGTGTCTCAACTGGCCAGGCGGTGGCAGTGGAGCTGCTTCTGACCCTGCAGCTGGTGCTCTGTGTCTTCGCTTCCACCGACAGCCGTCAGACATCAGGCTCCCCGGCCACCATGATTGGGATCTCTGTGGCACTGGGCCACCTCATTGGGGTAAGGAACAGAGGGGACACCGTGCACATGCACACACCGGGTCCGTCCCCGGGGAAACTGTGGAGCCCTGAAGGCCAGGCAGTGTCCCTCCCTGAGCCCCTCGTGCCTTGGAGCCAAAGTGGTACCCCCTGCACTCTAGGCCCAGGATATGGCACTACAGAGGCCGTGGCTGGGGCTAAGGCTCTGAGCCAGGACTGAGAAATGGTCCCCTCTCAGGCCTGCCTTAAACCTTCTCCCACCCTGACCCTGCACTTGCTCCCCAGATCCACTTCACTGGCTGCTCCATGAATCCAGCCCGCTCCTTCGGCCCTGCCATCATCATTGGGAAGTTCACAGTCCACTGGGTGAGCCCCTCTGCTGGCAGCCCTGGGGAGGGAAGGGAGCCTGAGTTGCCTGTAGACGGTGGGTTTCACTTGCAGCTTCCCTAAGCTCAGAAGGCCAGGGTGAATGTCTTGGCTGAGACTTCCTTTCTTTTCGGCTTCAGTTGCCCAGGATACCCAGTGGACTGGCAAGAAATGGGCCAGGGCAGGAGCTGCAGCCTTGGCCCAGACTTTTAAGTCCTGGCTGTTTCCTTATTCACTTTCTCCAGCTGGACCAATTTTCAAACTTGGATAAAGAAAAAGACAAACAGAAATAGACACACACACCAGCAGAGACAGAAACAGCAATAGCCAGGACTCCTGGCTAAAACGGGGGAAGTGAGAGGAAAGAGGCGGGGGCGGGTGAGGAGACTGGCCCCAGGCCCCAGCCACGGCTGCAGAGCCTGGGCTCAGCCCCAGGGAGGGCAGGGAGAGCAAGGGGCAAGGTCCCCTTACCTTGTGGGCTTGGGAAACACGACTCGTGGTTCTCAAATTTAGCACCTTACAGACAGTTGAGGGAGACCTGGGAGATCAAGTCGGCACTGGGGAAGCAGGCAGCGGTCCCAGAGCCACCCTGTGGTCCTGATAGCTCCTGGGTGGGGTGACGACATCCTTCTCCTCAGGTCTTCTGGGTGGGGCCCCTGATGGGAGCCCTCCTGGCCTCACTGATCTACAACTTCGTCCTGTTCCCCGACACCAAGACCCTGGCGCAGCGGCTGGCTATCCTCACAGGCACCGTAGAGGTGGGGACAGGGGCAGGGGCAGGGGCGGAGCCCCTGAAGAAGGAATCCCAGCCGGGTTCGGGAGCCGTGGAGATGGAGAGTGTGTGAAACAGCCTACGCCTGGCCGCGCCCTTGGGCTTCCTGCCTTGCAGGACCTGCCTGGAGGTTCTCCCTGGGGGTGGCGGGAGGGGGAGGCTTGACCTTTTGTCCTGACCAGGTGGGCTGGAGGGGACAAGCCCTATCCCTGGCATTACGTTTCTAGGTAGAATCTGGGAGTGAATTTGTCCCATTCCCTCTCTGTAGGGCTTCCCCACCTCTCGGTGGGACAGAGCAGAGGAAGGCAGGGGATTTAGGATCGCCCTCCCATCCTCTCACCCACTGGACCCCGTAGGAGTCCTGACCCCAGATGCCCAAGTCTTGGGGGAGAAAGGAATGGGAGCCCAGACAGCCACTCTGCTTAGACATGGGAGCTATAGGGACCTCAGGGAGCCCCAGCTTCTTACCCACCCAGGAAACCCTTGGTCCAGAGAGGACAGGCTTTCTGGAGGAATCAGGCCCTGGGACAGCCTCTGAGCTCCTGGGGGTGTTTCTCTGACCTTGGGTGTGGTTTTGGGGGCTATATTTCCTCCTTCAGACTGGGGGCTTCCTGAGGACAGAGACTGCTCTACCAATAGATCTTTGTTTGTTTTGAGACAGAATCTTGATCTGTTACCCAGGCTGGAGTGCAGTGGCATGATCTCGGCTCACTGCAACCTCTACCTCCTGGGTTCAAGGGATTCTCCTGCCTCAGCCTCCCAAGTAGCTGGGATTACAGGCGCCTGCCACCACGCCCAGCTAATTTTTTGTATTTTTAGTAGAGATGGGGTTTCATCATATTGGTCAGGGTGGTCTCAAACTCCTGACCTGAGGCGATCTGCCCACCTCGGCCTCCCAAAGTGCTGGGATTACAGGCGTGAGCCACCGTGCCCGGCCTCTCCCAATAGGTCTTTATTCCTCAATCCTCCAAATGCTCTGGAGAGGCCCCCACCCTTGAGAAGAACTGACACAGAGAAGAACATTTTCTCAGGCTCGTAGAGAGGTGGGATAGAGGAAGGGAGGTTTGAGCCAGACAGGCCTTTCCCAGGGAAGCCTCCTCCCAGGTGCTTGCCCCAGCTCCCACCCCACAGCCCACTCTCAGGCAGGAACAATCCTCAGAGGGGAAGTGCCCATCTAGCCATTGACTCATGACCTGGGTCAAAGAAGCCGTCTCCAGGCTCTCTGTCAGCATTACAGGATCCCCAGAAAGCTGTTGAATAAGCCCTAAGGGTGGTAGGAACCCAGGAGGGACCCAGGAAACTAAGATTTGAGATTCAGTGCCTCTGAAAGACTACCAAAATCTAAGTTGGTTTAATAGTTAAAAGCTGCTGTAGATTTATTCTGCCCACAACTTGGGGGTCCTTTCTGGATCTCGGCTTCTCCAGCTGTAAAATGGACACACAATCCTCCTCCAGGGACTGCTGTGAAATCAAGAAATCGGAAAATACTTTCAGAAGTTAAAATGCTAGAAAAACAACCCCAATAAATGATGATTATTGTTGCTGTTACTGTAATTATTGGGTATGAAGACAATTGCTGTTGGTAATGAGAGGGAGGAGGGGAAAAGAGAGAGAGAAAGATGATTGAGAGGGAGGGAAGAGAGACTGGGTTTTCTCTCACATCATTGGATCTACTTAACCAGGGACCCTGTGTGCTCTTCTCCTGGGTCTGCTGACCTTGAGGCTTTGTGGGTGTGAGGGGCTGTGGGAGGGCCCTGGAATGAAGAGGCGAACCAATAAAATCAGTTCTTCTCATCTCTATGACGCCCATCACCATGGTACCCTAAGATGCAGCAGCCAAATTCATATAAAAGATGGGTCCTGGCGGCCAGGCACGGTGGCTCACGCCTGTAATCCCAGCACTTTGGGAGGCTGAGGCGGGCAGATCACGAGGTCAGGAGATCGAGACCATCCTGGCCAACATGGTGAAACCCTGTCCCTACTAAAATATAAAAAATTAGCCGGGCGTGGTGGCGCGTGATTGTAGTCCCAGCTACTTGGGAGGCTGAGGCAGGGGAATCACTTGAACCCGGAAGGTAGAGGTTTCAGTGAGCCAAGATCACGCCACTGCACTCCAGCCTGGTGACAGAGCAAGACTCTGTCTCAAAAAAAAAAACAAAAAAAACAAAACAAAAGATGGGTCCTGGCCTGGTGCAGTGGCTCCCACCTGTAATCCTAACACTTTGGGAGGCCAAAGTGGGAGGATCGCTTGAGGCCAGGAGTTCGAGACCAGCCTGGACAACATGGCAAAACCCTGCCTCTACAAAAAATTAAAAACTTAGCCAGGCATGACGGCTCAAACCTGTAATCACCAACATGTTGGGTGGCCCAAGCAGGAGGATTGCTTGAGGCCAGGAGTTTGAGACCATCCTGGGCAGCATAGTGAAACTTCATCTCTATTATTTAAAATGAAAAATTAATTAAATTAAAATACAAACAAAAGATAGATCCTTTTTAGTGATGTCTCCTGAGGGACTGGGGATGGGGGAAAGGCTGCCCAAGTCTTCCAAGGGCAGTGTGGCAGGCCCAGCCTGTGACCAGTGCAGTAGCTGAATCCCTGGTGCTCATAGCCCCAGTAGCTGTGCTCAGCGTTCTGTAATATCAGCGCAGATACTACTCACATCTCTCCAAGCTGGGCCCCACTCATCCATCTTCACAATCTCTCAGAGTCCAAGGCTGCCTGTGTCCTTTTATGAGCAGGGAGAGCTGGGTGTCTGTATGTATGCATGTATGAGAGCGTATGTGTAAACAGAGGACATGATTGACTTGCTCAAGGTCACCTGGTTCAGGAGCACGAACACTTAAGGTCTCCCCAGCTCCCAGTTGAGAATTTTCCAAAATAGAGCTCCTGGGGGGTTCATACAAGCTGCAGCCCCAGGAAGGAAGGAAACAGGAACTAGAGGATTGAAGGGGATGGGGGCGTGGAGCTCCTATGGTAGGCTCTTAAGCTCCTTGACAAATGATCACTGCTTTTTGTCCCCAGAGCCAAGCACACACTGGGTGCTCAATATAAGTTTGATGAATGAATAAGGCTGGGCAGTTGGGGAGGATGGGAGGCAGTAATAGATCAAGAGGAGAAAATTTCAGGAGTTACAGCTCCAAATAAGCCAGTATGACAGCAGCTGAGAAGCCTATGCTTCCAGGCAGGGGCTGGGGAGAGGGTGCATCGCCAGATATTTGCTGTTCCACCCACAATTTCAGAGCAGGCTTCACAATGTCTGTCCCAGGAACATACAGGCCAAAATATGAGGGGTTGCCTGAAGAGAAAGCTGAGGGGCTATTTTCACTAACAGTTCTTCAAAGCAGTTCTGTCAGGACAGAGCAGGAGGAAATAAGTTTCCTGAGAAGTGGGGAATTAGGTTAGCCTCTGAAGAGCATCCAAGGTTAGACGTGGAAATAAGTAACCAAAGGTTCGCTTCCCCTCCTCTGGAGCCCTTTAATAGGACAGCAGGCCATCTGTTTGGATGAGGGAAGGGCTGGCCTTTGGAGAGCTGAATCTCAGTAGCTCCAGCTGGGGGAAGCAGGCTTCATTGGCATAGCCCCTGGGCCTGGGTGGGGGCAGGGGACATGGGGAGGACAGAGACCCAACCAGGCCAGCCCTTGGTGTGCATTCCCTTCCTCCTGTTTGTCAGGGAAGTTTTTAATTAATGGTGTATAATCTGATCTGACCCTTCTCCCTGCTGAGCACTGCCTTCAATCAGTGGAGCCATCTGCAATTGCAATTCATAATTCTCCCCAAAGGGAGGGGGACTCGGGCCGGGTGCCTTGGTGATTAATACAATTAGCCTTTTATGTTGATGATTGTCTTAGCAGGAGCAGATGATGCTGTGCTGGGAGCCTGGGCGGTCGCGTCCCGATTGGCTGGCAGGAAGCCCCTCTCCGCTTCCCACCCCCACTTTTCATCTTCGATCTACTACCTCCAGGTATAAAGAGGACAGGCCTCATCTGGGGTCATACTGTGCAAGGGGGAAAAGGCCAGGAAGGGGTAGGGCTCTGAGCCACATTTGGTCTCCTAGGACTGAAGGAAGAGTAGAGTCACACCATGATCTGGGCGCTTTTACATTCCAAAGAAAATCACTTTCACCTAAAGGATTGTGCGGACCAAAGTTAAAAAAAAAAAAAAAAACTACATAAACATAGATCGGGAGTTGACAGAGTTTAAATACAGGCTCAGGCACTTAGCAGCTGTGTGAACTTGGGCAAGTTACTTAAGGATCCTGAGCCTCACTTTCCTCATCTGGAGGATGGAGTACAGTCAAAAGGGAGCTGGAAGAACTACATGAGATGTGTGTGTGTTTCACACCATGCCTGACAGGCAGTCAGATCTCAATCAGTGGTAGCTATTTTTACCACCATCATGATCGCGGTATTGCATTCTGTCTACCATAAGTTCAGCTACTTCCCCTGCAGTTTCTAATGAGGCCTGGGCTATTACTAAAGAAGGGATCACATCCTTCCCATACCCCAGGCTTAGCTTGAGCTGAGGGGGGACGGGGGGAGAGAGTTTATGAGTGTATTTGGGGGAAAGGGGGAATCACAGAAGAGGAGTCAAGAATTAAAACATAAGAATTAAACACAAGAAAGAGGCCGGGCTCTAACCACACACCTGTAATCCCAGCACTTTGGGAGGCCAAAGCGGGTGGATCACTTGAGGTCAGGAGTTTGAGACCAGCCTGGCCAACAAGGTGAAACCCCATCTCTACTAAAAATACAAAAATTAACCAGGCGTGGTGGCACATGCCTGTAATCCCAGCTACATGGGAGGCCGAGGCAGGAGAACTGTCTGAACCTTGGAGGCAGAGGTTGCAGTGAGCCGAGATCACGCCACTGCACTCCAGCCTGGGCGACAGAGCAAGACTCAGTCTCAAAAGAAAAAAAGAGAGCGAGAAATAAGGGCCTTCTCATAACGGAGAAGTGGAGCACTGAAGTGATCACACTGGGAGAGTTGGGAGACTCCAGGAATGGAGGTAAGAAGTCTGGGTGGGGTGGAAAAGAGGTGAAAAGAAGCAGAGCTTTGAAGATTAGGAATTTCACATGAAAGCTAAGTAAACAAAAAGGGAGCTGACATCAGAGCTGAGAGTTAAAGGGGTAACACAGACCAAAATCACTGTGATCGATAATGAGGTCAAGGGATCTGAAACAAGCAGATCTGGGTTTTGATGGGAGACTCCACCAGGTCAGGGGAGGGGATCAGCTAAGTTCCTCTGGCCCCACAGTGCTGTTTTCTGTGCCCCGGAGCAACCCCAGGGAGTGCCGCGAGAAGAGAGATCGATGCTTGATACTAAGAGGGATTTTAACTGACAGCTTAGTGCCAGGCCCTCTCAATGTCAGAGAGGAAGATGGGGAGGGAAGAAGGGAGGGAAGAAGTTAAGGGCTAATCAAGATGAAGCATCTGGCCAAGCTGTGACCTCTCTGGGCAGCTGTGGCAGGGGGTCAGCATAGCCAAGATCCGTAATCACTTCTCAGGGAGCGGCAGCTACACTACAGCGCAGTCACATATTTAGCAAAAGCTGGGGAGGCAAGGCATGGTTAGTGAATGGGGTTTATGGGAGTGGGGAGTCCAATAGCACTAATTAATAGGCTGCAGTTAATTAGCAGAAAAGGGGGAAATGAAAAACAATGTTTCAGAGCTCTGATTGAAACCCATAAAGGGGCAGCTATTGCCAGAGCTGCAGGTGGAGGAGGCCAGAGACAAAGGCAGGGACAAATAACTCCCGCTCCACCCCCATGGACAGATGAAACAAGCTCCAGCCAGGCCAGCGTGTGGCAGGCCAGGTCTCACTAATGCAGGCCTCCATAACAACTGTTTCAGTACTCACTGAGTGGTTAAGTTAAATATTAAAAGCTAAGACAGCCAGTGCCCTTATACAAAGGCTGGAATATAACAAACGGCCACCAGGAGTTTTGCCTAGGTTGCTAGGAACGGTGGCTCACGCCTGTAATCCCAACACTTTGGGAGGCCGAGGCAGGTGGATCACGAGGTCAGGAGATCGAGACCATCCCAGCTAACACGGTGAAACCCCGTCTCTACTAAAAATACAAAAAATTAGCCAGGCATGGTGGCGGGCGCCTGTAGTCCCAGCTCCTCGGGAGGCTGAGGCAGGAGAATCGTTTGAACCTGGGAGGTGGAGGTTGTGGTGAGCACCACTGCACTCCAGCCTGGGCAAAAAGAGCGAAACCCTGTCTCAAAAAAAAAAAAAAAGAGTTTTGCCTAGGCCTTTCCTAGAGCTTAAAGCATGACAAAATAACAAAAGAATTATTAACAGGGCCTGTTTAGGATTAAACAAGTTTATTGGGGGTCTGAAGGAACTCCCCAAACCTCCATGATTTAGCAGGAGACAAGGGTAATCACCCCATCACCTGGACCCATTTAAATTAAGTAAATTTACTGAGGTTCCAGAGGAAGGTCTTCAGGCCTCAGATCTTAGTTATAGATTAAAAGAAGTTATGTCTTTAGATGAATGCACACTTACACACAGACATCTAGCTTGGAAGGTATCTAAGCTCTGGAAAACTTTGTAGTTTTGAGTTGGTGTGGTGATAATTTCCAGGCCTTCTCCCTGTAACCGGTTACAGAAATGAAAACTCCCTTCTTTCCCAGTCCACCTGTGTCTCATTATTGGGCCACGAAAATAAGCATCCTGACCCTGGGTTTGATCCGGGAACAAGGGTCCAGCCTGTGGTGAGGGAAGAGGCCAGGACAGCAGTCAGGGGCGTCTGGTTCTGGAGCAGCAGGCTGGAGGGGCTTTCTCTGGAAATACGCTCTGTCCCTCCCTAACTGCCTGGCACAGCCCGAGTTCCAGCTCTCATGTCAGGACCTTAAGGCTCTGTGAGCTCCCCCAGCACTCTGCACCACCTCTATCCCAGCACTGAACACGTGACTTCATAGTTATTTGAACATCTGCCTCTAACAGGAATATCTCCTTAAACAAAATGATATTTTTAGTCTACTTCTAATTTCAGGGCAATATGTTCCTTATCTTTACTGTCTGTCCTATGAGACAGGCTTCCTTTTTTTGTAGGTCCCCAAATCATGGCCTTTCATTTTCAAAAGAAGAAAGAACTTCCTCTGATATTCTTGATGAGTGAGGTGGTCAAAGGATTGCAACACACACTCCCAAAACCCAGCCCAAACAGAATGTCTAAAACCTCCCATCTCTCATGTGTTAAAGCAGCCTGGTGTCCACCAGGATGTACTGTTATTTTGGTCAGCTCATCACTGATTCACAGTGGCTTTCCCCTAACAGCTCTGGGGTCATGACTGGGTCCAATCTTGATCCTGCCCCACACATTGCTTGTCTGCTTCTTCATGCTATGTGTCTTGGACTGAGCCTTGGTTTCTCTGCTTTTCCTATACTGTAGCTATCTTTCAGACCAGGGGGAACCTCCTGTTTTAATCTCTCTTTGACCACAGCAAAGTCGCTGTTTTCTTGGCCTGCACAGCTGGTCCATCCAACAGCCTATCTCACATGAATAGCTAACACTTCCAACCCAAATAACATTGATTACAAGATGCACTACTATTTTATGAGCTACTGAGGAACATTGCATTATATTAGTAAGATGCCATTGATTATAAGATGTCCCAATTCTCAGAGATATTAACAATATTTTCCAAAGTGCATCTTTTCAATCAATGAAATGATAATTTCTCTTTCTTTTTTTTTTTTTTTTGAGATGGCGTTTCACTCTTGTTGCCGAGGCTGGAGTGCAATGGCACAATCTTGGCTCACCGCAACCTCCGCCACCTGGGTTTAAGTGATTCTCCTGCCTCAGCCTCCTGAGTAGCTGGGATTATAGGCATACGCCACCATGCCCGGCTAATTTTGTATTTTTAGTAGGGATGGGGTTTCTCCATGTTGGTCAGGCTGGTCTTGAACTCCCGATCTCAGATGATTTGCCCGCCTCGGCCTCCCAAAGTGCTGGGATTACAGGTGTGAGCCACTGTGCCGGGTCTGAATCTTGGCTCTTTACATGGGGTTTTAGTGAAAAGAGGAATGGAAGGCTGAAGTGGGGACCATCTTAGGTGTCTTCCTCCTCCCAGGGGGATGGATACATTGCCCCCATATGCTCTCAACTCTGCACATCTCTTGCTGTACCAGCTTTTAAGTACCCAGGCCACCCCTCACAGTGAACGTCTCCTCTCCCTCAGTGCCAGGGAGTCCACTGAAGAGAAGCCAGCCCCCTATTTTCACAGAGGCAAAACAAACACAAACCACACCAAGCTGGGACCACAGTTTTAAGGAGCTAGAGCCTAGCACTCCAACACCATTTATCCAACCACTTCCCAACCCACTGGGTTATTTTCCCCGGAGCCTCCAGAGCAGTGTCAAGAGAAGATGCAGAGATTAGTCATTTCCTCCTAATCGGGCTAAGACTGCTCTGCTAAGCTGCCGACTGCAGGCAATTCCTGATACCGTTAAAGCAAAGCAGCTGGAAAGGGCTTAGCCCTTTAATGCCGGCAGCTGTATCTTCACAGTGCGGCTGCTCTGCTGAGGGGCTGGACTCTGTCCAGAAGCACCAGGCGTTTAGCCCCATTCAATGTATATTAACCTAGGAGGAGAGAGCAGCCACAGCCAGCTCCCTGGGAGGAAGGGAGGTGGTTCCTTTAACCACCTCCACCCCCGGGCTTTGCTTCCTAATGAGAAAGAAAAATCCCAGCCCCTTTGAATATCTCTCTACCAAAATCTGGACAAACTATCATCTCACTGGCAGAAAGAGCTTTCTCTGTGGTGGGAGCAACTCCATTTTAAAAGCTAACCTAATAACAGATCCACTTGTTAGTTTTGACAACAAAAAGACTTTAGGTCACTAACCATGGAGGCTCATTCTCCCTTGAGCTGGTTTTTTTCCTTTGAGGTCTAAAGTAGTCTTCAGATCCCAGGTATGCATATGTGTGGACACAGCACACTGACCTCCCCTTCCTGGAGAGCACTGGGCCCTAGGGTTGATGAGGCAGAGTGCTGCACAGCCCTCGGAAAGCCCAGGCGCAAAGCAGGCTGTGAAGAGAGATCACTCGAAGACTCAAAGCCAGATGGTGAGCATGAGACAGGGTGAGAGCTAATGCCACTTAGGGGGAAAGCCAGTCAGTTAATCAGTTAATCCACTGACACGTTTCTAGAAGCAGGCTGATGGCTCTGGCTCCGAGACTTGCCTGTCCTTGGCTCTGAGCATCAGAGCACACAGGATGCACAGGGGTGGCCTGAAAACAGACTGCCACCAGGAGCAACCTCAAGTGCTCACACAACTCATCTTGCTCCTTCCACACAGAAAACAGCCCTACATCACCAAGCCCAGGTCTTCCATTCTCCCAGACAACCATTAGGAAATTCTGCCCCACGTGCCGTCTCCAGCAGTTTGGGCCTCCCTGCTCTTTCTGGGTCATCTGCTGAGAATGCATAATGAGAATGCATACTACATCCACATACATAGAGTCCTCAGTGCAATCTGCGGCTCTAGGTTGGGTGTGACTTACCAAGTTCTTAGGATAATGGAGAGAACTCCTGCAAAGTAAGTGATCATCTCTTTCTACAGCGCTGCTCATTTTATAGTTGCTCACTTTGCAGAACAAGATCCTTCCTTGCATGGAATGTGAATAACACTGGCTCCAAGCAAAGGCCATTTACTAGTACTTAAGTACCTAATAATACACTTAGAGGCCCCACAATGCTCTCTGAAGTCTGAAATAGCAAGCACCAGGGCTAACCTTCAGACTAAGCTGTAACTCCCAGATTCTAACCCCAGGTAAGCTACACATTAGTTGGTAGGAGTTTGAGCCAAATCACCTCTCTGAATTTGTTAACTGGGATAGTATCACCTGTCCTGCCCCACCTCCGGTGGGTGAAGTGAGATCAAGTAAGACGATAAATGAAAGCGCTCTGTATATGGTAAATCACCATATTAAATTCCCTAGAGACTTTATGGGGAATCAGTTCCTAATTCCATCTTCAGTGATGACCAGAGAAGATTTAACTGGTGCTTTATTATAAGTCTAAATATCCATTTACATGTGTTTGAGCCTAGCACAGAGATGGTACCCAACTGTGTGAGATATGAGAGTAATGCTGCATAAAAAACAATGCAGCTAAATGAAGCCTGGCAAGAGTTACAGAGGGAGAAAGGTAGACAAAAGGAAAAATTCCTGCTTCCAACTAGGAGTCCCTGAAAAGTAGCCTCCTTCCCCATCCCACGCAATTGCAGAGGACAAAGCTCCCACATGCTACAAGGTTATTCCTGGTGACGTCAAACTGTCTTCCACCTGACTTTGTGAACACAAACCATCAACAAATATAGCTCTGAGAACCAGTGTGTAATAAACTACCCAAGTTAGGGACCTCCTGGCCTGGTGCCTTCACTTATTTACAAAATATACCCGCTACAGGGGGCATATTAAAAAATTACCAAGTTCTTAGGTTAAGTGGCCATTCTCCAAACCCTGTTTACACTAAAAGCACAATGGCTAACATGCCCCAACTCTGCATGCTTGAAAGCTTTTTCCATCAGTGGCTGAAACCTGAGTCATCACTCAGACTATCATCAAAGCACATTGATCAAGAACGTACTGTGTGAGCTGTGCCACCCTCACGTCTCACATCTGGGCATCCACACCAGCTCTTGCCCTGCTCGTGCTGAGAGCCTAAGAAAAGGTGATGCACGATTGAACCCCTTGGCATGCCAGGCATAGCAGTGGGGCCTCTAAATGCTTTTCCAAGAGGAAATCACTTACCAAGTGTAATGTACATATGTGTGTATGTATGTATCTATGTATTATTCCGTTCTCACACTGCTAATAAAGACATACCCAAGACTGGGTAATTTATAAAGGAAAGAGGTTTAATTGACTCACAGTTCCGCATGGCTGGGGAGGACTCAGGAAACTTACAATCATGGCAGAAGGGGAAGCAAACATGTCCTTCACATGGCAGCAGCAAGAAGTGCAGAGCAAAAGGGGGAAAAGCTCCTTATAAAACCATCAGATCTTGTGAGAACTCACTATCACGAGAACACCATGAGGTTAGTAATCATCCCCATGATTCAATTACCTCCCACTGGGTCCCTCCCATGACACGTGGGGATTATGGGAACTACAATTCAAGATGAGATTTGGCTGGGGACACAAACCATATCAATCTATCTGAAGCTAGATAGGTGTGCAGGTAGACCCTACCATAACAAAACAAAAGCAGCAAGCCTGGTATCTTTGCTCCCTGTACTCCCTCAGCTCTCCTTGTCATTTTGTGCTGCCTAATAATTTAAGCATGCAAGAACTGGCTGGGCACAATGGCTCATGCCTGTAATCCCAGCACTTTGTTGGGAGGCTGCAGCAGGAGGATCACTTAAGTCCAGAAGTTTGAGACCAACCTGGGCAACATCGTGAGACCCTGTCTCTATAAAAAATTTAAAAATTAGCTGGGCATGGTGGGGCATGCCTGTTGTCCCAGCTACTTGGGAGGCATAAAATAAATAATAAAATAAAAAGAACACAAGACCAATTTCAATGCCACAGGCTCAGTTCATAACCAAAAATGAGTACTTTTTTCCCCTGGTAAATCAATTGCGCACCCTAAATGTCCTCTGACCAAAACTCACATTCCTTCTTCTATCTCTGCAAGCAATGAATTCACCCTCTTAAGGAAGGATAAGTTGTTAAACACCCAGTAATAAACTCAAATTGTTGCAGCTGAATCCAACCATGTAATGCTTGCCCAGTTAGATAAACATCAAACTAGGGAGTCTTACATAGATCAGGGAGAATAAAGGTAAATATCACAACTTAAAGATTCTGTTTATTAGCAAGTGCGATAGTAAAATTAAACTGCATTAAAAGAGAGGAATGTCAGAAAGGGTTAGGAGTAAGAGATGGACTGATGGCTACTCCAAAGCACTGGACCCCCTTCCACAGCCCTCACATTGAGGAGGTATAATTAAGAAGGCCCTGGAAAGTCAGGCTGTTCCGCAGGAAGTACTGTTAAAGAAGTTGAAGGTGGGTATATATTTCCCTTTGCTATTATCAGAATTATTTTCATGGCTAAGGTCTCTTGGCCTAGCCCAAAAACTGAGCAAATGGTTGCCAACATTTGACACACAGGACCATTTCCTTTTTCGTTAATGGACCATTGGTTCCTGCATAGGGTAGCCTTGCCTTCACTAATGTTACACAATCCATTTACTTCCTCTACATTAGTGACTGAAAATGCACCTTGGGGAGATACTACAGAACAGCAAATATGGAACCAGGCCAACGCTAGGATTGCAAAGACATAAGAAAAGAGGTAGCATCTAGGGCAGTTTTAAAAAACAAGGCCTAGCAGGCGTGTGTGAAAGGGGGTATGGGACCCATCCTCTGTCAATTTGCTGAGGCAGATGGGCCCTGCTGTGAAGCTGCCCCCTCCTGGGAAAAAAGCCAGTAGGTTGCCTCCTCTCTCCACAGTTACATATTAAGCCTACAACTGTTTACGTTCAATCTCAGATACATTCTGTTCACCAGCTTCAGAGTTCCAAGTGCAGGTGCCCTCAGTTAATCATCCCAGCTCACTCCAAAGTCACTTCCAGCAGTGAAGGATGTTCTAGGCAGTCAGCCAGCCAGAGGCAATTTTTTTTTTTATCTGCACCATTCTGGTCCCTAAAGACTTGTTTAAAAAGTTGTTGTTGTTGTTTTATTTTTTAAGTACAGTCACACACTACATAACGTTTTGATCAATAAGGGATCCCATATACAACAGTAGTCACATAAGATTATAATAACCATAGTTTTACTGTACCCTTTCTATGTTTAGATACATAAATACTTACCATGCGTTACAGCTGCCTACAGTGTTCAGAACAGTCACATGATGTACAGGTTTGTAGCCTAGGAGCAATAGGCTATACCATACAGCCTAGGTGTGTAGTAGGCCACACCATCCAGGTTAGTTTAAGGACACTCAGGTTCACACAACAATGAAATCACCTAATGAAGCACCTCTCAGAATGTATCCCTGTCATTATGCAACTCATGACTGTGGTTTCTTTAAACAAGACAACAGGCATAGGACAACTCTACAACTCCAGTTTGGACAAAGAGAGACTGGATGAGAAATGAAGAAACAAACTCCCGGTGGTGGTAAGCCTGGGGTGGGTCCAGAGAGTGGGAAATGGGGATGAACAACAGAGTCAAGACACTTTGAAGGAAGTAATTTTTTCTTTTTTTTTTTTTGTGACAGGGTCTCACACTCTGTCACCCAGGCTGGAGTGCAGTGGCACGATCTCAGCTCACTGCAACCTCTGCCTCCCAGGCTCAATTTTCCCACATTAGCTTCCCAAGTAGCTGGGACCACAGGTGTGCACCACCACGCCCAGTTAATTTTGTATTTTTTGTAGAGACAGAGTTTGGCCATATCTCAAACTCTTGACCTCAGGTGATCCACCTATCTTGGCCTCCCAAAGTGCTGGGATTAGAGGCATAAGCCACCAAGCCCAGCCCCAGAAATGATTTTCTAAAAGGCATTGAAAATTACCTTGCAAGACAAGAAAACCAGCCTCATGTTCATTTTGAAAAAGCTATTTACTTTTTTTCCAAATATTATCCCAAATAGGTGTTTTACAGATAAGGGTCAATACGAAGTCAAACATTCTACAGAAGAAAATCGTTTTTACAGACATTAAGAATAATTTTAACAGAAGAAAAAGCTCACATCTATCTAGATGTGGCTATGTTCCATGGGAAAAATTTCAGCATCCAAAGTGCAAAGAAAAAATGACTGTAGCTTTTCTTACCACAAAATATTGACAATCTTCCCTTATAGCCTACTCTTTATTGTTAGTTGGGATGCCAAAGGATGATATATTGACCTTTAGAAGTTGGGCTCCACTGGACAAGGTTGGGGGTATGGGGGCCAAGCATCAGAATGAATTCAATTTTAAAAGAAAAACTGGCTTTGACCCCAAATGAACCCAAAGTTCAGCCAGCAGCACATCAGAGATAAATACGAGTTGTACTTTCACATTTACAAGGTTGTGCCACTCAACACTATTAAAGACCTAATCATCCAAATCAAAGCTACGCATACTCCCATCACTAGTTCTGTCCTCAATGCATCCCATTTTTATGAAAGCTCCATATTATAGCTCAGTTCATAATGGGGAATGAGAACTTCTGGTTCTTAGAAGGAGGCATCCTAAATCCTCTGGTCTAATCCTTTCTTTGCCCTGCCCTCCCACTTCCCACCCTGAGACAAGCTAATCTTATCAGATAGGTAGGGTTTCTGTCATTGTCTCACGGAAATCAGTTCTAAATGAAACTAGAGAAAGATCATTCTATGAGCAGCATTTGGCTTTAAGCCAAAGGAACAATAACCCCCTTCCCCAAAAAGAATCACAACCAATTCCATACTAACCCTTCTACCCCTGGAAAGATGTCTCATCTAAAAGCTCCCAACAATGACCAGCACAAAGTGCTGATATTATGTGACTTGAGGAGAAGGAAGGGGAGATATATATAGTTTTAATAAAACCCTCATGCACAATTAAACTTGAGTAAAAGCCTGGAGAATGCTAAAAGTAGTAATGAGTACAGGAGGCTGCAGAGCAGAGTACAGATGTGTCCTTTCTTATAGTCAGTCAATGCTGGGAAGTAACAGGCAGATGTGACTTCACTTGAGCATTGGAGAAGCAAAAAAGTTGCCTTGTCGTCCTAGGTTAGTGGCAGACTTGCTTTTGCTCCCAAATCTACAATAAAAAGAGAATGAACTGGAAAAATATTCTATAAAAAATGGTTGAATAAACAACTATAATATTACTTGATATAACCCATTATAAGTAGGAAACCCTAGACAACTATTTTGCAATAGTTGCTTAAGTATTCTTAGTCACCAACAACGAGAGAGGGGAAATAGTAAAGACTTTCAGAACCTTTTTAAAGAAGGAATCCTTATAGCCCCACGTTCCCTTTTAAAGTCTAGTTGCTAGCTAAAATCGAATGCAATTTTTCTTTCAATAAGCTTCAATATAATAAGAAGTCTAAGAAAGTAGTTGTTTTTTATTTCCTAGGAAGGCCAATTCTGCATACCTAGGAGTGTTCTTGGTGAGGGTGGAACGGACTCTCTGTGACAGGGAACTAGATGAAGGAGTCTTGAGAAGCTGATGTTCAGGAGTGGTCACAGGTCCCAGTAAACTCACTTCAAAGTTCAGACATATTTTTAAGAGAGGTGGGAAAAAAGAAGGCATCTTTTTAGATGGCTAGTTTTAAGCTGATTACCCTCTGAAGCACTTAAGAGCTAAGGTTAGACATCTAGCAAAGTCCCAGAGATCATTTTTGTCATCATTCTGTAACACACTAGTGTATCTTTTGAACTCAATGAATAGCTGACACGTCCTGATTTAGGCCATTCTCTAACTCCACACTTCACAAATCTAACATCTAAACATCTGACTTTTAGCTATACTAGAAGAAGCAATATGCTCCCTTAGAAGGAACTTGCAATAATGAAAGAATGGGTCTCCAATGCCAGTGAGACTGGAGTGAAACCAGCCTATTCATATAAAATTGTTGGTTAGCAATATAAATTGGCAAAAGCCTATAAGAAATTTAATAAATCAAGTTGGTAAAACATACCAAGACACATAAAAATGTTCAAGCCATTTAATTCAGTGATCCCACTCTTAGGAATTTATCATTAAGAGAAATGCTATATTGACTATAGCATTACTTGTAATTATGAAAAATTGAAAAATAATGTTAATACCTACTAGAACATTTAAGTAAATGATAAATAAGATTATACATGAGAAAAAGTTCTCACAACATGCTAAGTGAAATAAGAATGAATTATATTTAAACTATTATATATATATATATATATATATTTTTTTTTTTTTTTTTTTTTTTTTTTTAGACAGAGTCTCACTCTGTCACCAGGCTGGAGTGCAGTGGCGGGATCTCAGCTCACTGCAAATTCCGCCTCCTGGGTTCCAGCAATTCCTTGTGCCTCAGCCGCCCTGGTAGCTGGGATTACAGGCATGCGCCACCACACCCAGCTAATTTTTGTATTTTTAGTAGAGATGGGGTTTCACCATGTTGGCCAGAATGGTCTCAATCCCCTGACCTTGTGATCCGTCCGCCTCAGCCTCCCTCCCAAAGTGCTGGGACTACAGGTGTGAGCCACCATGCCCAGCCTATTATATCTATATTTAAAAAACATATATCCATATGGATAAAGAAAGGAGAACATGGAAAAGCAAAAAAAAATTACGATGGTAGAATTATACAAATTTTCCTTTAATGTTAGAATTTTCAAACAGCTCTAGCAAAGGCAGGAAGAGGTCATATGACTAAAACTAAAGAGAGAGTCAAGTCCCTGAAGAAGCACATCTTGGGCCTTACCTTTAATATCTGGTGTCTGTGGTGTTGAAAAGGCATTTGAGTTTTCAATGACATGTAGGGGGTCAATGTTCTCTTGCTCCACCATCATGAACTGACTCCAATACTCCAGAGGCAAGGAAAGCAGGCGCTCAACCACCTAAAAGCCAGCAAATCTGTTAGCAAACTTCCAAAGCTCAGGGCTTCTCAACTGTCTTTCAAGTTATCACATTACACAAGTTCACATACACACACACACGCACCTGCCTACCTTGGGTTGACGCTTGATGTCCTGTAACATTGTCACTGGGTCTGGATTGGGCACAGCATGGGCCACTATTGTAGGGCCAAAGACTTTAGCCAGATTGGCAACATCCATTTTAGTATGTGGACTCTGAGCCACTCTAAGCAAAAGAATATTAAATTAGAAGTCTTGCTCCTTGCTTAAATGCAGACCAAAATATAAATTCTATAAGAAAACAATTCATCCCTCATACTCCCAAACACTCAACCCACATTATCTTCCCCTTGGAAAAAAATTCCCTAACTCCCAGAACAAGTTTCTGCTGTACTCACCTCTGCAAGTGAATCATGAGGAAAGCTAATGTGTCCCTGTTGGCCTGGGGCAGTTCACCAACAGCTTGGTACATGGCAGCTATGCTGTTGTCTTCATCTGTGATTTCTGTAATTGAAAAGAAAGCACCAAGAGGCCTAGACTTCTTTCCCTTGACAGCGGGCTTCCAAGTTATCGACCACAAAGTCTCATCTATACAGTAAGCTTCTGAAACTCCTGATTAGTTCATGACTACATCAGACTCTAGTTTCATTAACAAGCAGGATACTGGCCAACAGCTCAATATTAGAAGTCAAAACTTTTAAAAAATCGGCCTTTGCAGTTAGGGAAAGCAGTTGGCAACTGATGTGCTAGGCAGACAGGCATACAATTGCAGTGACTACAATTACCAAGAAGGTATTCATTCATGAGACATATTTAAGGGCCTACGATGTGCCAGGTACAAGTGCTGAGGATAAAGCAGAAGTAAACAAAGCCCTTATCTTATGGAACCTACATTCTATTGGTGGAGTCAGTCAAAAAGCAAATACCTATCAGGTAGAGTGATACATAAATGAAGAAAACAAGGCAGGCAAGAAGCTAGAAAGAAATGAGAGCTGTTAATCTAGACAAGGTTGTCAGGAAAGGTGTTTCTGGGGACAAGGTATATGAAGAGAAATATGAAAGAAATAAAGGAGCAAACCATACTGTATCTAATGTAAGAGCATTCAGGTTGAGACAACAAATGTGAAGGCCTTAAGGTAGGGAGTAAACTTGGTATATTCTAAGAATTGAAAAAGCTCCAACCTAACTGGAGAGGAAGGAAAGAAAGGAAGAACACTGTACACAATAACGTAATGAGAAAGCAAGAGGATAGGCAAGGGTGACACGCATACAGTTACTCATCCATCAAACTACTTGAGCACCTACTATGTTTCAGGCATTGTACTAGGCAGGAGCTAATAAAAAGAGGAAGGTGGCCAGGTGTGGTGGCTCATGCCTGTAATCCCAGCACTTTGGGAGGACAAGGTGGGTAGATCACCTGAGGTCAGGAGTTTGAGACCAGCCTGGCTAACATGGTATAACACCGTTAACGCCTGTAATCTCAGCTACTCAGGAGGCTGAGGCAGGAGAATCGCTTGAACCCAGGAGGCGGAGTTTGCAGTGAGCCGATAGCGCCACTGCACTCCAGCCTGGGCGACAGAGAAAGACTCCGTCTTAAAAAAAAAAAAAAAAGAGGCTGGGCACGGTGGCTCACGCCTGTAATCGCAGCACTTTGGGAGGCCGAGGCAGGCAAATCACAGGGCAGGAGATCGAGACCATCCTGGCTAACATGGTGAAACCCCATCTCTACTAAAGATAGAAAACATTAACCAGGCATGGTGGCACACGCCTGTAATCCTAGCTACTCAGGAGGCTGAGGCAGGAGAATCGCTTCAACCTGGGAGACGGAGGTTGCAGTGAGCTGAGATTGCGCCACTGACTTCAGCCTGGGCGAGAGTGAGACTCTGTCTAAAAAATAAAAAATAAATAAAAAAATAAAGAGAGTAAGAAAAACTACTGCCGTGGAGGAATTCATATTCAAGTATTACATCTGCCCTTACCTGCTGCTTCCATAAAGGCTCTGTTAAGGCGAAAGGTCAGAAGAGGTTCTTTGAGGTTTCGAAGAAAGTCTTTTAGAAGGCTACAGATAGCATGGATATCATCCACTTTGCTGAGGAGGGGTACAGTTTTCACTCTGAGGAATTTCTCTTTCAGCTCTTTTACTGTGCGGTCACAGCCAGAGATCCTATACAGGCCTGTCTATTATCAAGATGACATTTTTATTTAAAAACCTCCGAATTAACACAAATAACAAATTCACCATCTCCTACAGTTGACTCTTACCTCAGTCAGACCTCTTTGCTCAATCTCATTTACACAATGCACAACAATGGAGGGGATCATTGGAGAAGTCTGGGACACAAAGTCTGCCAGCATTCCCTGGAAAAAAAAAAGAGCTTTAAATTATTATTTACGCCATGTAGACCAACAGATGAAGACCACATGCGAAGAACCACCTCCAATCTTATTCTCAAACTGGGACATCATGTCTACTTTTACATTCCTATTCCCAAAGCATATATTAAAACAGAGACTCTCAATTATTTTTCCTACCTCCACACCAGGACTGATTTATTATCATATATACCACACTTTTTCTTTTTCATATATACACCACACTGTTATGTGAACAAGGAATAAGACCACCAGCTATAATTACCTCCTTCTCATCCACTCAAGGACAGCAGAAAACAAGCAATAATGAGGTTACAGGTATAGCCTTTAATATAAAATAATTTATTACTCTAAACAGATTTTTTTTTCTAACAGAAGAAAGCTGGAACAAGAGAAAAAAATTGTGTATACTTTCATTATTCTCAGTAAAAAAAATTATTTAACATATCTTATCAGTTGATTATGACACAAACCTACCTGTAGGGGAGAACTCCATGGTTCTATATTAGAGTACAGAACATGTGTAAAAAAAATGTACAGGCGGCCAGGTGCGGTAGCTCACGCCTGTAATCCCAGCACTGTAGGAGGCCGAGGTGGGCGGATCACCTGAGGTCAGGAGTTCGAGACCTGCCTGACTAACATGGAGAAACCCTGTCTCTACTAAAAATACAAAATTAGCCAGGCATGGTGGCGCATGCCTGTAATCCCAGCTATGAGGGAGGCTGAGGCAGGAGAATCGCTTGAACCCAGGAGGTGGAGGTTGTGGTGAGTCGAGATTGCGCCATTGCACTCCAGCCTGGGCAACAAGAACAAAACTCCCTCTCAAAAACAAAACAAAACAAAACAAAACAAAACAAAATGTACAGGCATGGATAAGAACTTGTAAGATCAGGGGAAAATAATATTTGATTTGCTGAAGAGTAGGTAGGAAGATAGTCATTTTGATTCTTGCTAATGTTACTTACATAATAATTTTTTTTTTTTTTGAGATAGGGTCTTGCTCTATTCCCCAGGCTGGAGTGCAGTGGTGTGATCACAGCTCACTGCAGTTTCAACCTCCCCACCTCAAGCAATAGTCCAACCTAGCCTCCTGAGGAGCTACAAACACAGGCGCACACCACTAACCTGGCTAACTTATTTATTTATTCTTTGTAGAGATGGAGTCTTGCTTTGTTGTCCAGGCTGGTCTCAAACTCTTGGGCTCAAGTGATTTTCCTGCCTCAGCCTCCCAAAGTGCTGGGATTACAGGCATGAGCTACCACACTCAGCAATAAATAATTTCTTAATGGATTTAATCAGTTTGGATTAAACTGGTTAAATATTTGGAAATAAGCAACTTCATTTTGATAACCTATTATGAAGTATGTCTAACATAAGAGCAAGAATAAAAGATAATTTTATCACAGATAAAATTATATGATAGCTGAGATTTGCTTCCAAGTAATTCATTGGACAGAGTCAGGAGGAGGCAACGACAGTATTGATAAATCAAGAACAGACATAAAGGCTGGGTGCCATGGCTCACACCTAGAATCCCAACACTTTAGGAGGCCGAGGCAGGCGGATCACTTGAGGTCAGGAGTTCAAGACCAGCCTGGCCAACATGGCAAAACCCCGTCTCTACTAAAAATACAAAAAAATTAGTTGAGCATGGTGGCACATGGCTGTAGTCCCAGCAACTTGGGAGGCTGAGGCATGAGAATCACTTGAGCCCAGGAGACAGAGGCTGCAGTGAGCCAAAGTTGCAACACTGCAATCCAGCCTGGACAACAGGGAAACTCTGTCTCAAAAAAAAGAGAGACATTAAAAAAAGAATGGACATGACCAGGCGCGGTGGCTCACGCCTGTAGTCTCAGCACTTTGAGAGGCTGAGGTGGGCGGATCACTTGAGGTCAGGAGCTTGAGACCACCCTGGCCAACATGATGAAACCCCATCTCTACTAAAAAATACAACCAAAAAAAATTAGCCGGGCATGGTGGTGGTACATGCCTGTAATTCCAGGTACTTGGGAGGCTGAGGCAAGAAAATCGCTTGAGCCCAGGGGGGCGGAGGTTGCAGTGAGCTGACATCCTGCCAGTGCACTCCAGCCTAGGCAATAGAGCTAAAAAAAAAAAAAAAAAAAAAAAAAAAAAAAAAAAAAAAATGGACACAAGTTAGTAATCATGGAAGTTAAGTGATAAGAACCAGGGGTTAGTTATACTAATTTCTCTAGTTTTATATATGTCTGAAATTTTCCAAAATGGGATGAAGGGGAGGAAGGAAGGAAGAAGAGGCAAGGAGAAGCAGGGAAGAGCAAGAAGGAAAAAGGGGCGGGGAAAGAAGTTTGGTTTAGAAAGGTATTAGACAGACAAACCCAAACAGGACTCTTCTACAAGTAAGTATCTTACAATTCTAGTCATTATTTGTGGAAAGAAATATATTTGAGATGATTAATTTTAGAACAAAAACTGACACTAAGCCTTTGAAAGGCGAATAAAGAGGCCATAAAACAATGACGGCTTGCATAAGTCATACCTCTCCAATCTTGACAGGTGTTCCTATCAGGGTAGGAATGCAGGGAAGGGGACAGCGGTCCCGACATTCTGGATGAGAGACCACACGACAGTCTCGACACTTCAGAGATAATTTGCCAAATTTTATCCGCTTTCCACATGGAACACAGGATTCAGGTTTAATAACCTGGGATAAAACAGGGCAGAAGGAACAGAGTGATATGAATTAGAAAATTATCATCATAATCAACTAACTTTTTTTTTTTTTTTTTTTTGAGACCGAATCTCACTCTCTCGCCTGGGCTGGAGTGCAGTGGTGTGATTTCAGCTCACTGCAACCTCTGCCTCCCAGGTTCAAGCGATTCTCCTGTCTCAGCCTCCCGAGTAACTGGGATTACAGGTGCCCACCACTACGCCCAGCTAATTTTTCGTATTTTTAGTAGAGACAGGGTTTCACCATGTTGGCCAGGCTGGTCTCGAACTCCTGACCTTGTGATTCACCCACCTCGACCTCCCAAAGTGCTGGGATTACAGGCGTGAGCCACTGGGCCTGGCCTTTTTTTGTCTTTTTTTGAGACAGAGTTTCGCTCTTGTTGCCCAGGCTGGAGTGCAATGGCGTGGTAGAGGTTGGCTCACTGCAACCTCCACCTCCCGGGTTCAAGCGATTCTCCTGCCTCAGCCTCCCAAGTAGCTGGGATTACAGGCATGCGCCACCACGCCCGGCTAATTTTTATATTGTTAGTAGAGACGGGGTTTCTCCATGTTGGTCAGGCTGGTCTCGAACTCCCGACCTCAGGTGATCTGCCTGCGTCAGTCTCCCTAAGTGCTGGGATTACAGGCGTGAGCCACTGTGCCCAGCCATAATCAACTAACATTTATTGAGCACTTAGTATGTGCCAAAAAATTTTCTAAGCCCTTTAGACATATTTACATATGTAATTCTCACAGTAATCCCATAAAATAGGTTTTGTTTTCTTCATTTTAAGATGAGGAAACAGAAGCAAAGAGAGTTTAAGTAACTTGTTTAAGGTCATCCCACTGGAAGGCAGCAGTGTGTGATAGTGGAAAGAACTTGTTTACAAAGAGCAGAAAACTTGGATGTTGGCAGGGCATGGTGGCTCACGCCTGTAATCCCAGCACTTTGGGAGGCTGAGGCGGGAGGATCACCTGAGGTCAGTAGTTTGAGACCAGCCTGGCCAACATGGTGAAACCCCATCTCTACTAAAAGTACAAAAAATTGGCCGGGCATGGTGGTGGGCACCTGTAATCCCAGCTACTCGGGAGGCTGAGGCAGGAGGATTGCTTGAACCCGGGAGGCAGAGGTTGCAGTGAGCCGAAATCGCACCACTGCACTCCAGCCTGGGCAACAGAGTGAGACTCTGTCTCAAGAAAAAAAAAGAAAAAAAGAAAACCTGGATGTGAAATCTGTCACTTACTATCATGTGGCTCAAAAATGTCAGTTAACTCCTCTGAGCCTCAGTTAATTTGCTTGGATTTTTATAAGGAAATAAAATGGTACAAAAGCAAAACATTTTGAAAATCTTAGGTGATATATTCAAGAAAAAATGTAAACATGTGTCACTAAAAAGTACTAACAATGGGCCAGGCACAGTAGCTCATGCCTGTAATCCCAGGACTTTGGGAGCTGAGGCAGGGGGAGCACTTGAGCCCAGGAGTTCAGGACCAGCCTGAGCAACATAGCAAGACCAAGTCTCTACAAAAAATTTAAAAATTAGCCGGGCGTGGTGGCACACATCTGTATCCCTACTACTCAGGAGGCTGAGGCAGGAGGATTGCTTGAGACTGGGAGGTTAAGGCTACAGTGAGCTATGATTACACCCCTGCACTCCAGCCTGGGTGACAGAGTAAGACTCTGTCTCAAATTAAAAAAAAAAAAGTACTAACAATTGCTTCAGAAAAGTTGGTCTCTTTAATTTAGTATTACTCACAGAATGGAAAGAAACTTACCTCTGTAACCAATAGTTACTTCTGGAGAGTAAAATTGGAATGAGGAAGGAAATTTGACATTTAACTTTATAACACTAAAGTATTTAACTTTATTCCTGGTATTTATTACTTTCACAATTAAAAAATTAAAACACAAACAACAATCACAGATTTACCGTCTTAGAAACAAAGTCATGCAGGCGCATCCCTCCATTACTCTGTGGCGTGCCCACACTGTCTGTCTCAGTTCTTGGCTCCAGCTGCCTGCTGTTCAGGGTGGAGTCACTGTTCCAAGGTTGTAAAGTACCTAGAAAACAAGCAACTTTTAAGCTTTGTGTCTTAAGTATTTTGCTCCTTCTAAATTTTAGCTCCAATTTTAACTGGGAGATAAACAGTAATCTGTTATCATAGCCAAAAGTGAGAACTAATGGCTATGTAAAAAAACAGTTTCAAGAAAAACTAAAGTTATGCCAGTGGGCTAGCAATTCAAAGGTAAAGCATGACACAAGCAGTTCTCTGGTCCTCGGTATGCAGCAGTAAGAAACTACCCAATACATCCAATCCCCGCCTCCAGAGGGTTCTAAGAAACCAACTCTCCAAAATTTTGCTAGTTGTTTTACACAGGCCAGTTTAGTCACAAATTCAATGGACCTGTTTTCCTTCGGCTCCTGGTCCAATATGGCACAGTCTCAATAGTGGACACAGCTTCGATGGGCCCGCCATCATTGGGAACAGTCACTGTAGTTTTTGCAACTATGGATTCATTCCCCTGCAACAAAAGTAGTAATGAGGAAAGACAAACAAAGAATCTAACTTACCCTCCACTATAGGGTATTTTGGAGCAGGTAAAAAATTCCTTAGTCTTAGTCAAGACTTAAGACCCCAGTCTGATACTTTTTTTTTGAGACAGAGTTTTTCACTCTACCGCCCAGGCTGGAGAACAGTGGCGTGATCTCGGCTCACTGCAACCTCCGCCTCCCAGGTTCAAGGCATTCTCCTGCCTCAGCCTTCTGAGTAGCTGGGATTACAAGCATGCGCCACCACACCTGACTGATTTTTTTTTTTTTGAGACGGAGTCTCGCTGTGTCGCCCACGCTGGAGTACAGTGGCCCAATATCGGCTGACTGCAAGCTCCACCTCCCGGGTTCACGCCATTCTCCTGCCTCAGCCTCCCGAGTAGCTGGGACTACAGGCGTCTGCCACCATGCCCAGCTAATTTTTTGTATTTTTAGTAGAGATGGGGTTTCACTGTGTTAGCCAGGATGGTCTCAATCTCCTGACCTCGTGATCCACCCGCCTCAGCCTCCCAAAGTGCTAGGATTACAGGCGTGAGCCACCGCGCCTGGCCGACTGATTTTTGTATTTTTAGTAGAGACGGGATTTCGCCATGTTGACCAGGCTGGTCTCGAACTCCTGACCTCAGGTGATCATCCACCTGCCTAGGCCTCCCAAAGTGCAGGGATTACAGGCGTGAGCCACCACGCCTGACCTGAAACATTCTTATGTTGAAATCTGATGTTTGGCTGGGTGCAGTGGCTCATGCCTGCAATCCCAGCATTTTGGGAGGCCAAGGTGGGAAGATCACTTGAGCCCCGCAGTTCGAGTCATCCTGGGCAGCAAGGAGAGACTCCCCCTCTACTTTAAAAAGTAAAAATAAAGAAATCTCGTACCTAAGAAGATAAACATAGGTCATGGGGGTATATATTCAAGCAACTAAGACTCACTCTGACAGTTGTTTACTACATCAGAGTAATTCCATTCATAGGGATAAGGATCCTACTGCATAGAAAAACTTTAACCAAAGGCCAGGCACGGAGGCTCACGCCTGTAATCCCAGCACTTTGGGAGGCTGAGGCAGGTAGATCACCTGGTCAGGAGTTCGAGACCAGCCTGACCAATATGATGAAACCCTGTCTCTACTAAAAATACAAAAATTAGCCAGACGTGGTGGCATGCGCCTGTAATCCCAGCTACGTGGGAGGCTGAGACAAGAGAATCACTTGAACCTGGAAGGTGGAGGTTACAGTGAGCCAAGATGGTGCCATTGCACTCCAGCCTGGGCTACAAGAACAAAACTCTGTCTCAAAAAACAAACAAAAACTTTAACTAAACATCATGTCTCTCAAAACAATGCTGCAATGCTGACTCAGAGAAGTTTTAATGCTTGGGGCCAGTAATCTCTGTTACCTTGGCCTGACTATTCTTACCTGGTCTACTGCAGAGCCAATGGAACGAGTTTTCTTTACAGGTCCAGGGGGACCATCAACAAACTGTCGGCTAGTAGAGCGCTAGAAAGGAGACAAAGACCCGTAACTTTAATGCCAAGCAGATCTGAAGCACAGAAGATAAAATTATTCCATCAAACAACTTGGATACAGGTCCTGGGGATTAGGGCTACAGTAAATAACAAACAATGTGTTCTCTCTCTCTCTCTCTTTGCCTATTTCCACATGAAGAATAAGCTGTTTCAAAAGAATATGTTGTACAAAAATGCTCTCAGTGCCCTAGAAAAAATGAGCAAGCTATGGAGAAATTTAGATGACACCACCAGAAAAAGTACAGCTGTAATCCTAACTAAGGACATGAAGTCTTGGAAACACATTAAGTACCCTAAACAAGCATACACAGATAGATCTCTATATATCCCATTATATGAAGCTTATATTAGAGCACAAAAGTTCTGTGTAAAAATTCATATGACAATTCAAAACAAACTTAAGTTTATCCTTTTCCACTGTATGAATGAATTGAAATGCAGCCTAAACAGTGAAATGGACAGGATTCTGTCCTAAGTTACTACTTCAAAGAGTACCAGTACTGGTTGGGAGCAGTGGCTCACGCCTGTAATCCCAGCACTTTGGGAGGCCGAGGCAGGTGGATCACCTGAGGTCAGGAGTTCAAGACCAGCCTGGCCAACATGGTGAAACCCCGTTTCTACTAAAAATACAAAAATTAGCCAGGCATGGTGGCAGGCACCTGTATCCCAGCTGCTTGGGAGGCCGACGCAGGAGAATTGCTTGAACCCGGGAGGCGGACGTTGCGTTCAGCCGAGATCGCGCCATTGCACTCCAGCCTGGGAAATGAGCAAAACTCCGTCTCAAAAAAAAGAAAAAAAAAAAAAAAAAAGAATATCAATACTGTCCCCACAGCATGAATTCATCTGTAGTATGTGCTTAACAATGGCTAGAGCAACATGACAGGAATGCAGTATCATGGCAAAATTTCCAAAAATAACTCCATTATTACTTTGTTTTAAAAAAAGACTAAACAAATCATACATACCCTCTTTTCTCTCTTCTTCAGTTTGAAAGTCTTCACCAAAGAAGAGTCCCAATCCTGTTGACAATTACACTGTATTAATTTCTTTTTTTGGTTAGGCCATCCCTAAACCCTGTGCAAATAAATTTACAGAGAACTTTAAAGGCTTCTTCAGTCAGGCTACCTAACGTACAATTCGGGGAGGGTTAGAGAAGGGAAGGTCTCAAGTGTTGTAGCTATAGAGCTATAGTAAGTTAATGTGCTTTCTTTGAAAAATTGAAGCTATTATAATAAAATCAGGAATCAATACCACAGAGGCAAGAAGAGGTTAAAGAATCAAATTCTGCCATATTTCCAGTGGCTGATCCTTTATTTCTGATTATTTTTGTAATTAGTTTTAGAACTTACAGAATGTTAGGCACTATACTGATTGTATTAGATGTGATTCTTGCCCCCAAGGGATTGCCACTGTCTAATCAAATGCTCTGCATAATATTGCCACTTCACAAGTTCCACAGTTGCCAGGCGATGGCTCATGCCTGTAATCCCAGCACTTTGAGAGGCCAAGGTGGGCGGATCATGAGGTCAGGATATCGAGACCATCCTGGCTAACACGGTGAAACCCCGTCTCTACTAAAAAAATACAAAAAAATTAGCCAGGCGTGGTGGCGGGCGCCTGCAGTCCCAGCTACTCTGGAGGCTGAGGCAGGAGAATGGCATAAACCCGGGAGGCGGAGCTTGCAGTGAGCTGAGATTGCGCCACTGCATTCTAGCCTGGGTGACAGAGTGAGACTCTGTCTCAAAAAAAAAAAAAAAAAAAAAGTTCTACAGTTTAGGAACTTAGGCCCTAAAACGTGTCCACCACTGAAGAACTATTTGTCTTTTATTGTGGTCTCATTTCAATTCACCTATTTTAACTATTTGCATTCATTTTAGTAGTTACCTGTGATTTCCTTACTCCTGATCATCCCTGAAAACAGTATCTAGAAACAGTGGTATACAGCAAATAATAGCTTAGCTAAATAAATTTAACTTCCCCAAGTCATGGTCCAGTAATTTAGTTACTGGTTGTTTGATTCAGCTTCAGTTACAAGAAATATCGTATCATAGGTCTAGCTCAAAAATCAACTGATAATATGATCTAGTTTTATTATATATTCCAGACCTCCACTATATCATTCCCTATTTGAGAAAGGTGATGCCTAATATTTTTATCTATAAAATGGCCGTATTTTCCCTGGTCAAACACTGAATCTGAACAGAAAACTCCTAGCCATGTAACAAATAGTTGTCACCTGTTTTGCTATACCAGAAAACCAGTCACCAAAAACTTCCTGATTTGTTTTGTTTGCTAGTTTTCAGCTAGTAACAGAAAAGATGCACAAATCAATGAACTATATCAAAGACTGTATCAGGAGATGACCTTTTATGCAGAAGCATCACTGTAAGTTAAAAGAAGTGTGCCGCCCCATAAAAGCAGGGCAACAAATAGTTTAACATGTTAACCATTGTTGATGAAAGCATTATATAGTGCCTAGAAACTCTAATCACACTTTTCTGGCTGAAATCCCAGGACCTTGGTTTCCTTCTAATTGTGAAGTATGACTATGCTTTCCCCAAGAACCAAACTAATTCAGAAATAAGGCACAAGTCTATTTAAGAGCAGCAAATAAACCCTGACGACATACAGTCTTGCTAATATTTTTATTATTAGCTGGGGCTTTAATAAGTCAAAATATAATCAGTTAGTACATGTGGCACACAGAGATCTATTAAATGAACTCAACTTATGCCAAATTCTGAATTATATATTCTCACTTCAGAAACTAATATATAAGCCAGCCTCTTATAGCTCATGTGGATTTATATTTTAAATTGCTAGCTCAGAATCTATAACACATCAACTAATAAAATAGTAATATAGGATGTTCAGAAGAGAAGACAGGAGAGATATTCCTGGGGAAGCAGAGGTAAGAAAAGTAGGTAATTCTCAGAGATCAAATGTTTATTACCAGTGATTCATCAGTCTTGTCAAAGCTGATATCTGATAAAATGGAACCAGATTCATCAATGGTTGATAGTCTAGATCAGTGAAACAATACAACGTTAGACATGGTAGACTGTGGAATGTAAAATTCACCAACATTCAGAACAAGTCCTACTGGTCAGGTAACATCAGTTAATTTCATAGCAAAATCTTCACTATAGAGACAATTACAATCTCAAACCCTGTGGTAGGCTACTTTGTATGGTTTCCACGGAGGAGTGTGTGTGCATGAGTACAGGTGCAACACAGTTGCTTTTTCAGCAAAGACCTTATAAGGGCAGTTGAAAGTTAGTCAGGGTTATGGGTGCTATTCTCTACCGAGTTTGTATTACAGGCTACTCCAAATTCACAAAATCAAGGGAATGAAGTTTAATTTGATCCCAACTGTGCTGGTTTCTACAAACAAGAGTATTACCCAACACTGACTTTTTAAGAAATTAAGCCTGTACATCTTCTTAGTTATAAAGATTCCCCATAAAACAACCAGGCAACAAAATAAATAGCTGACCTTTCCCTACATATTGTACTGGGGATGTTAAATTCAAAGCCTGGTTGAGACTATTTTAAACAGTGGTGCAGTGGAACCAAAATTATTGTCTGGTCTTGGCTCACAGAGGCCTTTCTAAACCAGAAGAGCTGTAAGAGCTCTCTGGAGAGTAAACACTGAAAGTATTGCTGAACTGCCACTTTCACCTTTGGGTTTCTTAGCAATGCACAGGATTAGTTATTGATGTGCAATTTAGCACCAACATCAAAATTGTATCCATGGTGAAACAACATCCTTAGGAAAGATTTAAAAATAAAATAAAATAAAATATACAGGGACATCCCTGTGCCTTTATTCCCCACCTACTCTCCCCACAAAATCTTTTTCTGCTTTTTTCAGCACACATTCTAGAAGAAGTATATTTAAGAATTCAGATAACAAGAATATCTGACAGCCTGTGTTGCTTGTGATAGGATAACAACAGATGCAGTTCCTCCACCTTTTGTTCCCAGCATTGCTGCTGGATGGTTGGCCTCTGTTGAGAAAAGCCAGAGCTGATTTTTGCTCCTCGCTTAGTTGAATGCTGCCAGATGTGTCACACATGAGCATCTCTCGAATCAGCTGAATCTGTCGTTCCTACAGACCAAAGCAAAGTAAAACATCATAACTAGCCAGGGGAGAAAGCTTCACCTCAAGTTTATGGGACAGGCAGACCAGAAGACATTAAAATGCAGCATTATGCAAATGGACCTTCAGGAAGGCTGCTACACCAATAGCATATTAATTCACATCAAACCCAGATTGTGTCTCTGATTTCTGACTGGTAAAATGAACTACATCTAGAACAGCGAAGTTTCTGCTACAAGACTTTTGGATTAACCTGCTAATCCAAGAGGAGAATAATGCAAAATGAGAGTCCCAAAATAGATTTCACATAGCAAAAACACTTTAGTGTCATTTTATCAGGACAAATATTGGCTTCTACGGATCAAAGCAGCCACCCACCTCTCAAAGTAGTGGAGCAAAATGCATTAAAATGGATACAAAGCTATAATGCACTGGAACCAGACAATTTGAGTTTACTGAGGCATCTAACACTGTATACCAAGATGGATTAGTCCCTCCCAGTAAAGGCTTTCCTTTGCATTATGACCCATCCTGGCACATCAAAATGATAGTGTTCTGTGTCAGTCACATTGCTCAACTGGTTGAATACATCTAGCCTTTTACCCTGAATTAGAGAGGGGTGATGAAAAGAAGAGTCACAGTTGTCTTGCCTGTATGTATGACAAAGTACCAGCTACTCATGTAAGGATGGATATTCCGGGTAGCACTTAAAATAAACAATGAAGGATGGCCAATAACTTGTGACAGATCAAGTACGTTAGGATCTCCCTCCCTCCCTTTTCCTCTAATTCTTTAAGTTCTCATTTGAAATCTGTCTGTTAAGTAAGTTTCAAGTCTAAGTGACAAAAACATTTAAATTTCAAATTATGAAGAACAAGATTCCTAGTCTGCAATTTCAGCTCTAATCATGGGCAAGCTGTTAAAGAACAGGTCACTTTCAGTTCTTTAATGTGGAAGAAGAAACTAGGTATATTTGGCAAGTGGAAACTGTCAGACAATGCCTTCCCCCTCCTGCATCATCACTGTTCTAGCACGGAAAACAATACACACCAGCTTTTCGCAGTCAGCCTCAGCTCTCTGTCTCCGTTTGATCTCTACATCCACCTGATTACGTGCATGCTTCAGCTTAACATCCAGAGCACTTCGCTCAGTCTCTGCTTTCATCAAAAGATCCTTGTATTTCCCCAGCTCATGGTCAGTCCTCTGCCACTTTTTACGGAAATCCTCAAAGTCCTTCGCCAACTGGATAAATTCTGAGGAAAGGGGGAATCTTTAATAATTCAAGCACCAAACAGAGTATAACTGCTCTAATAAATGAGTCCTACGGTTAGCTTTATTTGAAATTCATAATTAAGGAACCAGCTGAACTATGGGCAAATCCAGCTGAAAATAACTAGGAGCAGATCCTGGATATGTTTGTCACTCTGATGAGAACTTTGTGGGTAGCAATTCCTATTCAATAGGCCACTTACTTTTGGCTTAGCCAGTGGCATCTGCTATGGAATATGTAACTCATTAGTCACCTGGCTCCAGATGTAACACTAACACTGAAAGCTCCTGAACAGAAGGCAATCAAAGGGGGATACCTTTGGGGCAGCTGTCATGCACCAGGACAGTTACAGCTATAAAACAAAAACAGTTTCCTTTACAGTCACGCATTGCTGCACCAGAGAGATGTTAAACAGCAAATTCAAATGTAACTGCTGTAATATGCTCCAGTAGATGTAGATTAATATTACAGATGTCTAGACCTACAATTCCATTTGGCTATATAATTATACAAATATTGATTTGAAAGTAAAAAGCCAATTTGCTTTTGCTGTTTAACACTGCCCTGAAGGGTATGTAAACATTCCAGTTGAAAAAAAAAAAAACAGGAAGAGAAGATCAAACTAGCTTTTGGAACATCCCTGATAGCAGAATGTGAAGTCTCTTCAAATGTCTGCAAAGAGAACATCACTTCCAAGGCAGCATCTCAAAGGAAGAAGATAACCCTGTTGGCATTCATTCTTATCTCCTGCTATTGGCAAAGCTGTTCTGCAATGTATTTGCAAAAGTGCCTTACAATTTTCTAGTTAACCTCCGTCTATCTCTAAGGATCACTCTCCACCAACATCAAGGAAGAAGGTCTCAAGGTGTACATCTGCTGCTGGTCAAACTAACCCAGTTAAAACTGAAACTAGGCCAAATTCACACACAGCTAGCAGATTCTTAGGTAGTAAGGGCACTTTTCCCCTATGAATTTAACCTAAAAGCATAGAAACAATACATAGTCCTTTTTAAACAATTTTAATCATTTGACCAAATATCAAACTTACAAATCAGGATACCAATTTGTTCCAGAAAAACCAAGTAATAAGGAAACTTTAGTTTTTACAAACCACAAATTTCAGCAAAATAGGTTATTATGACCTAGTTATCTTAAACAATGCGGATATCAACAATTAAAAAAATATTACAATTCAAATAGTTTTAAGAAATAATATGCTGGGTTAGTCTGGAACATACTACTTTTTTGTGGGTTTTTTTTTTTAGCTTAAAGAAAAAAACATATATGTTTGCAAACTAAATACCGTATGCATACACACTCAAAATATTTACCGAACTGAAAAACAATTTTGAGAATAAAAAGATTTTCATCTGACCTAATTTTGCTGGTTTGTTTGTTCTTTAGGATACTCCTTTTATTAAATTACTGCTTCAGCTTAGTTTAAGTCAGACCCAAAGCAGAACATTTACATACCTGATTAATATATTACTTTTTGTGTGTGCAGGTGAGAAATGTGAAAAAAAAAAAAAAAAAAAAAAAAAGATATTACTTTTTTTTTTTTTGAGACAGAGTTTCACTCTTGTTGCCCAGGCAGAAGTGCAATGGCGCAATCTTGGCTCACTGCAATCTCCGCCTCCCAGGTTCAAGCAATTCTCCTGCCTCAGCCTCCTGAGTAGCTGGGATTACAGGTGTGTGTCACCATGCCCAGTTAATTTTTGTATTTGTAGTAGAGACGGGGTTTCACCATGTTGGCCAGGCTGGTCTCAAACTCCTAACCTCAGGTGATTCACCTGCCTTGGCCTCCAAAAGTGCTAGGATTACAGGTGTTAGCCACTGTGCCCAGCCTACTTTTCACTTTTGAGACAGTCTTCCTCTGTCACCCAGACTGGAGTGCAGTAGCACAATCTTGGCTCACCGCAACCTCCGCCTCCCAGGTTCAAGCAACTCTCCTGCCTCAGCTTCCTGAGTAACTGGGACTACAGGCGTGTGCCATCACACCTGGCTAATTTTTGTATTTTAACTAGAGATGGGGTTTCACCACGTTGGCTAGGCTGGTCTCAAACTCCTGACCTCAAGTGATTGACCTGCCTCAGCCTCCCAAAGTGCTAGGATTATAGGCATAAGCCACCATGCCCGGCCGAAAGATACTATTTTTATGTACAATTCTGCTATGAGCAAAGTTTGCTGGGATTGGGTCAGAAGGCATTTTGGGCCATAGATCAGAAACAATTTTGATGTTGAAGACCAATAATCATGGCACTGTTTTGGTCAGTTGGTGAATCACAATTCAGCTTGGTACCAGCCTGCCATGAAGTGCACATTAAAAGCTTTATAAAATTCAGGCCGGGCACGGTGGCTCATGCCTGTAATCCCAGCATTTGGGGAGGCTAAGGCAGGCAGATCACTTGAGGTCAGTAGTTCAAGGCCAGCCTGGCCAACATGGTGAAACCCTGTCTCTACTAACACAAAAATTAGCTGGGTGTGGTGGTGTGCGCCTGTAATCCCAGCTACTCGAGGAGGCAGAAGTCGCAGTGAGCTGAGATCGTGCCACTGCACTCCAGCCTGGGCAACAGAGTGAGATGCTGTCTCAAAAAAAAAAAAAAAAAAAAAGATTTATAAAATTCAAATTACAGTACCTCCTTTAAAAAGTTACGTACACCCTAAACTATGAAGTGCCCCTATCAAAAAGGAGGAAAGAGAAGGGAAATTTCCTCAAAACAAATTGAGGGTGATCTTTGATTTATTTAAAATTTAAAAATCAGGATTTGGTTCATAGCTCAGCAAGCAAATTTAAGTGGGTCCAGAAATCCTGATTTTTTTTTTCCATTTACTCCCGGAGGCCTTTGAACAGGCTCTTCCATTTGCCTTCCCTACTACCCTCTCTAAGCTTCTTAAAGACAAAGACCCTATGTCTCCTTTGCTCTTTTATCTCCAGTGTTGTAACCTGCCTAGCACACAGTAGACACTTGAAATAATCTGTTGAACAAATGAATGAATGAAAAGCCGCTGTTCAAATTAAATTTACCAGCATCCAAGACCACCTTACCAGTTTAATCAAACTTACCTCCCACCACTATGCAATAAATACCCCTCTAGCTAAACCAGTCTGTCCCTGCCCCCAGAACAGAGGCATTCCTGCCTTCTCACTTGTGACCAAGCTATGCACTCCAAATGGAATGCCCTACCTATTACATACCCATTTACCAAGTCCCATCTGGTCTGTGAATCTTTTCCTAATCAGTTTGCTACACACTAAATTTTTCTAGATTACCCAAAAGCATATATTTTGATACTTGTACTATCTTCTGTTTCATGAGAAAAAAATCCTGTCTCTGAAACTAAAATACCATAATCTTCTTGAAGACAGGCAATATGTCATATATACTTCATTATTTCCTACTATGCATAGTGTAGCACAAACCTAGTATGTCACTGGCACACAACAGGCACCTGATAAATGTTAAATTATACTTATTCCTAATTTATACACCAATGATTTTTTTTAAAAAGCTCAGGCAGCTTATGAAAAATTAAAAATAGAACATAAAAACTGTGTGGACTGGAGAAAACAAGACAACAAAATATGCTATTAAAGTCATCTTTTTTAAAATATTAACTTTCATTCTGATCTTCCTGTAACTTGGACTTAGCTCTCTTTTTTTAACTTTTTTTTTTTTTTCTTTTTTAAGAGATGGAGTCTCACTCTGTTGCCCAGGCTGTAGTGCAATGACATGATCTTGGCTGACCACAACCTCCACCTCCTGGGTTCAAGCAATTCTCATTCCTCAGCCTCCCAAGTAACTGGGATTACAGGTGAATGCTACCACGCCCGGCTAACTTTTTGTATTTTTAGTAGAGACGGGGTTTCACCATGTTGGTCAGACTGGTCTTGAACTCCTGACCAAGTGATCCACCTGCCTTGGCCTCCCAAAATGCTGGGATTACAGGTGTGAGCCACTTTGCCCGGCCCGGACTTAGCTTTTTAAAAAACAATACAGGCCAGACACCGTGGCTCACGCTTGTAATCCCAGCACTTTGGGAGGCCAGGACAGGTGGATCATCTGAGGTCGGGAGTTCGAGACCAGCCTGACCAATATGGAGAAACCCCACCTCTACTAAAAATACAAAATTAGCCAGGCGTGTTGGCACATGCCTGTAATTCCAGCTACTCGGGAGGCTGAGACAGGAGAATCACTTGAACCCGGGAGGTGGAGGTTGCAGTGAGCCGAGATCTCGCCATTGCACTCCAGCCTGGGCAACAAAGAGCGAAAAATTCTGTCTCAAAAAAAAAATGAATACAAAAAAGAGAAAGAGGAATGAAGTTAATGATGAAAGGCAAGAGTAAGGAGTCAAGGGATACTTGGGCATGTGGGGAATTCCTAAGGATCTAAGAAGAGTACAGGCTGGGCACAGAGGCTCACGCCTGTAATGCCAGCACTCTGGTGGGCCAAGGCAGGTGGATCACTTGAGGTCAGGAGTTCAAGACCAGCCTGGCCAACATGGTGAAACATCGCTACTAAAAATACAAAAACTAGCCAGGCTTGGTGGCATGCGCCTGTAATCCCAGCTACTTGGGAGGCTGAGGCAGGAGGATCACTTGAACCCACGAGACGGAGGGTGCAGTGAGCTGAGATCACACAACTGCACTCCAACCTGGGCGACAGAGTGAGACTGTCTCAAAAAAAAAAAAAAAAAAAGAAAAAAGAGGACAGACACTGGGGTGGATGCACAAACCTGATTCTAGTGTCTAAAAAACACAGGGTCACTTTAGTTCCTCAAAAGCCAACATTTGCCCAGGTGCGGTAGCTCACACCTGTAATTCCAGCACTTTGGGAGGCCGAGGTGGGAGGACCGCTTGAGCCCAGGAGTTCAAGACCAGCCCAGGAAACATGGCAAGACCTTGTCTCTACAAAAAATAGAATTAAAACAAAAGTAGTGTTTATAGTAGTTTGGGAGACAAAATAAATAATAAAAATTCAAAATAAAATAATCAAAATAAATATAAAAATTAGCCGGTGTGGGCCGGGCATGGTGGCTCATGCCTATAAATCCAGCACTTTGGGAGGACGAGGCAGGAGGATCATGAGGTCAGGAGATCGAGACCATCCTGACTAACACGGTGAAACCCCGTCTCTACTAAAAATACAAAAATTAGCTGAGCGTGGTGGCGGGCGCCTATAGTCCCAGCTACTTGGGAGGCTGAGGCAAGAGAATGGCGTGAATCTGGGAGGCGGAGCTGGCAGTGAGCCGAGATCGTGCCACTGTACTCCAGCCTGGGCGACAGAGCGAGACTCCGTCTCAAAAAAAAAAAAAAAAAAAAAAAAAATTAGCTGGTGTAGTGGCATGAGCCTATAGTCCCAGCTACTCTGGAGGCTGAGGTAGGAGGATTGCTTGAGCCCAGGAGTTCAACGCTGCAGTAAGCTATGATTTCACCACTGTACTCCAGCCTGGGCAACAGAGCGAGACCTTGTCTCCAAAAAAATAAAAACTAGGCTGAGCATGGTGGTTCACACCTGTAATCCCAGCACTTTGGGAGGCCAAGGCGGTTGGATCACCTGAGGTCGGGAGTTCAATATCAGCCTGGCCAACGTGGTGAAACCCTGTCTCTACTAAAAATACAAAAATTGCCAGGCGCGGTGGCTCACGCCTGTAATCCCAGCACTTTGGGAGGCTGAGGCGGGTGGTTCACGAGGTCAGGAGATTGAGACCATCCTGGCTAACATGGTGAGATCCCGTCTCTACTAAAAATACAAAAAAATTAGCCAGGCGTGGTGGCACATGCCTGTAATCCCAGCTACTCGGGAGGCTGAGGCAGGAGAATCACTTGAACCTGGGAGGCAGAGGTTGCGGTAAGCCACGATTGTGCCATTGCACTCCAGCCTGGGTAAGAAGAGTGAAACTCCATCTCAAAAAAATAAAAAAAATAAATAAATAAATAAAAATAAAAATACAAAAATTAGCCAGGAATGGTGGCAGACACCTGAAATCCCAGCTACTCAGGAGGCTGGGGCAGGAAAATTGCTTGAACCTGGGAGGCAGAAGTTGTAGTGAGCTGAGATCGTACCACTGCACTCCAGCCTGGGCAACAGAGTGAGACTCTGTTTCAAAAAAAATAAAAAATAAATGAGGGCCGGGCGCGGTGGCTCACCCCTGTAATCCCAGCACTTTGGGAGGCCAAGGTGGGAGGATCACTTGAGGTCGGGAGTTCAAGACCAGCCTGACCAACATGGAGAAACCCCGTCTCTACTAAAAATACAAAATTAGCCAGGTGTGGTGGTGCATGCCTGTAATCCCAGCTACTCAGGAGGCTGAGGCAGGAGAATCACTTGAACCTGGGAGGCGGAGGTTGCAGTGAGCTGAGATTGCGCCATCGCACTCCAGCCTGGGCAACAAGAGTGAAACTCTTGTTTCAAAAAATAAAAATAAAAAATAAAAAAAGCCAACATTCCAAATTAGAGATCTGGAGAAGGAGGTAAAATGTACCTCTGTTTTATAATAGAAATAAATGGGAAGGTAAAAATTTGCTTATACAATAAAATCAGGATTTCTGTAAAAATAAATATCTTGGGAGATTTTTGGCATAATCATTTCCCAAAGTATTTTCACAACTAATATCTCAATTTATGCCCAAATCCTCATAGCACTCCCACAAAGAAAATAAAGATGTTTAAATTCCTATTTTATAGGTGGAAAAACAGACACAGAAATAACAGGTAAAAGCCAGCACTAGTTATCAACACTCTTAAACCACAGATTCTTCCCTCTGCCCCCATATTCTATCAGCTGCCTCCTTCTACAGGTCTTATTATCACAATCTCTTCTACCCATTTCTCCCTCCTTCCATCTTCATAACCACCATTCCAGTTAGGGCTGTTATTGCCTCTTTCCTGAGCTATGACAACCATGTCATTCCTAGTCAGTGTACCAGCATCCACCTCTAATGCAGACTACACCTCTGCCAGGGTAATCTTCCCAAAGCACGGTTCTGATTATGTCACACCCCCTTACTCCTATTTCCCTCAAGTCCCACACCCTCTTGCTCTGCTCAGGCTGTCGCCTGATCTAAAATACCCCCTTTCATCTCTGCCTCTTGGGATTCTACCCTACAGCTAAAGCTCAGCTCAAACCCTTTCCTCCATGACACCATTTAGTCATCCCTTTCCCTCAACTCAAAAATGCTAGAAGCCCTGATAGGTTCTCACAAAATATTTGCTGAATGAATCTGAGTTTTAATATCTCTTATTCCCTACTCTAGTCCCCACCACACTCTGATCCATCTTCTGAGATGATGTGACCTCAAAGAGAAACCTAATTAGTATGCCATTGTGGTTACTGAGCTGGTACCAGATGACAGGGTCATGCAGCAGCTATTAGAGAGAGAAAATAGAATATTGTTTTGAAAGGCCTGTAAGTGGATAAGAGCTATTAAAAACATCAATCAATTCAAAAAAAATATTGAATGGCATAAGCAAGATACCACAAGTAAGTACTATAGAAATAAAAAAAGTTCAAGACACAGTTCTTACATTAACACCAGTGAGGCTGACTTGAGAGCAACATTTACTAAATTAGGTATTAATGAAAATCTGAAATAGGACAGGATGGTAATACAAAGAGAAGCTGGTATAGAATAATTCCCTTGGATCACATGTCAGTACCATCATCCCCATTATTCTTTCTTGCTAATTTATTTCCCAGACTGTTCCTTTCTTAGCACCTCCTTTTTCTCCCCAGCTCACCACCCCATCTCAATTCTCTTTATTATTTCCCCCCAGGAATTGAAGTCTCACTTTCACCCAGGCGGGAGTGCAGTGGCACAATCATAGTTCACTGTAGCCTCAAACTCCTGGGCTCAAGTGATACTTCAGCCTCCTGAGTATCTGGGACCACAGGCATGTGTCACCACACCCAGCTAATTTTTTTGTTTTTGAAACAGGGTCTCGCTCTGTCCCAGGCTGGAGTACAGGAGTGTGATCTCAGCTTACTGCAACCTCTGCCTCCCCAGTGATCCTCCCACCTCAGCCTCCCAGGTAGCTGGGATCACAGGAGCATGCCACCACACTGGCGGGTTTTTTTGTTTTTGTTTTTTTTTCTGTAGAGATGGGGTTTTTGTGGCCAGGTGCTCATACCTGTAATCCCAGCACTTTGGGAGGCTGTGGTGGGCTGATCACTTGAGGTCAGGAGTTCAAGATCAGCCTGGCCAACATGACAAAACCCCATCTCTACTAAAAATACAAAAATTAGCCGAGTGTGGTGGCGGACACTTATAATCCCAGCTACTCAGGAGGCTGAGGCAGGACAATTGCTTGAGCCAGGGAGGTGGAGGTTGCAGTGAGCCGAGACCACACCAGTGCACTCCAGCCTGGGTGACAGAGTGAGATTCTGTCTCAAAAAAAAAAAAAAAAAGAGAGAGATGGGGTTTTGCCATGTTGCCCAGGCTGGTCTCAAACTCCTGGACTCAATCGATCCACCCATCTCAGCCCTGCAAAGTGCTAAGATTACAAGCATGAGCCACTATGCCCGACCGCTAATATTTTCAGAGACAGTCTTGCTATGTTGCCCAAGCTGGTCTCAAACTCCTGGCCTCAAGTGATTCTTCTGCCTCAGCCTCCTGAGTAGCTGGGAATACAGGTGCAAACCACCAAACCTGGCTCTCAATCCTTAATTATTTAGCATCAAATATATGAAGTAGGTGAAAGCAAATGCCTAGTATCTCCTTCAAAAAGAAATTATGGACTGGGCCTGGTGGCTCATGCCTATAATCTCATCACTTTGGGAGGCAGAAGTGAGAGGACTGCTTGAGGCCAGGAGTTGGACACTAGCCTGGGTAAAATAGGGAGACCTTATCTCTACAAAAAATTTTTAAGGCCAGGCGCAGTGGCTCACGCCTGTAATCCCAGCACTTTGGGAGGCCGAGGCGGGCAGATCACGAGGTCAGGAGATCGAGACCATCCTGGCTAACACAGCGAAACCCCGTCTCTACTGAAAATACAAAAAAATTAGCCGGACGTGGTGGCGGGCGCCTGTAGTCCCAGCTACTCAGGAGGCTGAGGCAGGAGAATGGCGTGAACCCAGGAGGCGGAGCTTGCAGTGAGCCGAGATCGCACCACTGCACTCCAGCCTGGGTGACAGTGCAAGACTCCATCTCAAAAATAAAAAAAAAATTAAAAAAATTTAAAAAAAAATTTTTTTTAAAGTAGCTGGGCATGGTGGCGCAACCTGGGTGACAGAATGAGATTCTTAAAAAAAAAGAAAAAAGAAGAAATTATGAATTTTTCCCACTTCAACTGAAAATGCTTTATAGAACACAAAGAAAATCCAGGATAAAAAAAAGACAACTACTACTCTAAAGAAAAAAGCAACATCCTAGTAAATTTTTCCCAGTTCATGGCACAGAAAATAGTGCCAACTATTCAGTGGAAAAAGAATCTTGATAATAAAAAAGCAGCCGGGCACGGTGGCTCACGCCTGTAATCCCAGCACTTTGGGAGGCCGAGGCGGGCGGATCACCTGAGGTCAGAAGTTCAAGAATAGCCTGTGCAACATGGCAAAATCCCGTCTCTACTAAAAATACAAAAAATTAGCCGGGCGTGGTGGCGTGTGTCTGTAATCCCTGCTACTCGAGAGGCTGAGACAAGGAATCGCTTGAACCCGGGGAGCAGAGGTTGCAGTGAGCCGAGATGTCGCCACTGCACTCCAGCCTGGGTGACAGAGAGAGACTCCATCTCAAAAAAATAAATAAATAAAGATAATAAAAAAGCCTGGCTAAAACCTATTAAGAGCAGCTATAGAAAAGAATTTTAGTGACCATTTAGAATGAGTGCCCATTAGGCTTTGACCACGTAAGTGATCACTGCTTTCTTTTTAGGTAACCCAAATGGAAAACAACTTTAAGATTGGAAAATACTTCAGCTTTGTAAAAATCCCAAATTTGAAATCTGTTTTTCCTTTGGACAGGCCAGCTCAGAATGACTTACGGACTTCATTTCCTTCACTGAGAATCTCCACCCGGCGCACAAGCTGCTCAAACAGATTCCGCACATTCAGCATCATAGTATCCATCTTTCTGCCAAGAAATCAAATATACATTAGGGGTCCTGCCTTCTCGCCCACAACAAAAGATTCTATAGCAATCCAGCCATTAGTGACCAACATCTGGACTCTTCCATTTATAACTACCATTATAAGAATCTCAAGCTAACAACAGATGTTTTGTGTGATTCTTATTATAAAAACAAACTTGGAATGTTTAAGACTCATCTGAAAATTAGAAAACCATTTCAGACCTTTGAATATAACAGCCCCTCCAATCACTTGGAGCAGAAAACAAATAGGAAAGAGCATGTCAGTTCATTAGCAAGTGACTGACCAACAAGAAAATGTGGTTCTTCAAGTCAAGCCTATTGATTAATATAATAATTTTGCCAGTTTATTCCTTGTGGGCTTTGAAGACCTACAATGTAACTTAAAATATCTATTTTTAATTTCATTTTTAGCTAATGCCCCTGTTGCAACTGCCTTTTAAAATGCAGGACATGGTCAGCACATTTCCTACCAAAAGCACAGATGACGTCACATGAGTGATTAAGTGGGAAAATCGCCAGCTCAGCAGCACAAGAATTATTTCTGTAATACAGGGCTCTCTGCTGGGCTGCGTGCAGGAACTACGTCTAATAAATTTATACTAAGTAGAGGCAAAGGATTATGTTGTACCACATTCTGGCATCAGAGAGACAATACAGCACCTTCACAGTTCGAAGGGCAAAGCAAAAATCATTTGCTACTGTGTCCTGTATAGTGAATTTCAGACTTTGTATTTCCCCTCAAAGGCCTGCTGATACTATAGAAAAAACAGTGTCGTTACAGGCGGTTCTATTCCAAATAGACTTTAACTGGGAACACTTTGAGGAAATAAGATCTTCACTTAACAGTCAAGAAAGAAAGACATTAACTGGATGTTATGAAAACTATCAAGGAAATGAAATAAAAAGTCAAATTTTATTAGAAATTTAATGTCCTCAGAAATACCATTAAAGGATTCTTGTGTTTCTCTTAACCAATGCTTCAACATTCTAGTCCAGGTCCTTATTTCCTAAATAAAATTTTAAGAACTCTTATGAAGGGTTAGTGATTTTGCAATGTTTACAAGATTGCACCACAAGCTATGAGAGCAAGAAAAAATATATAAAAAAGCACAAAGGACAAAGAATATATGAACATAGGCTGGGCACGGCAGCTCACGCCTGTAATCCCAGCACTTTGGGAGGCCCAGGCGGGCGGATCACTTGAGGTCAGGAGTTCGAGACTAGCCTGAGCCAACATGGCAAAACCCCGTCTCTTCTAAAAACACAAAAATTAGCTGGGCACAGTTATGTGTGCCTGTAATTCCAGCTACTTGGGAGGCTGAGGCAGGAGGATCGCTTGAACCTGGGAGGCAGAGGTTGTAGTAAGCTAAGATGGTGCCACTGCACTCCAGTCTGGGTGCCAGAGTAAGACTCTGTCTCAAAAAAAAAAAAAAAAGAATATATAAACATGAAGATATTTTATATATTAAATGCTGCAGAATTATACATTTATACTCATATGATAATTGCTATAATAGAAAAAAAGTTCTCAGTTCCAAGCCTGGATGCAACATATACCTGAATCAGGGCCGGAAACCAAGATTTTCAAACGGCAAGTATCTGTTCCAAGCTACATAATCACAGCAAGCTGCTAAGCAACCAGACCAACAAATTTATTACAAAGATCTTTCTCTAAACTAAGAACAAAACTAAAAGGATAGCATTAAAACCGGCAGGAAGAGCTGTGGAATTCATGGAGATGCCATGGATTTAACATATAATGAAATAGGCAACATACCCTAAGTGCTACAGGACAGAAACAGGGGCAGGACATTGGGTAGTCAATTCAAATGTTGATTTCCTTTGGCTCTCCTGAGGTAAAAATGGAAGACTCTAATCAGTAGTTTTAATATAAGGTATTACTTTCTATCATCTCGGCATTCACTTATATATCGTGAGACTATAAGACAGCTCAATACCACGGCAAAACTTCTATCTGTCCAAGAATTCAAAAAGGAAAATTTCATGGTGCTAGGATGTTGAAAACTGGTTGTTTAAAAAAAAGCTTTTTTAGGGGGGGTTTTAAGTCTTAAATTACAATATAACCTGTTCTCTTGTCCATTTTTTTTTTTTTAATTTTTTGAGACAGAATCTTGCTCTGTCCCCCAGGCCAGAGTCCACTGGCGCCACCTCAGCTGACTGCAACCTCTGCTTCCCAGGTTCAAGTGATTCTCCGGCCTCAGCCTCCTGACACTGTTCTACTCTTCCTGTTCATGTCCATCAACTACGCTACTCACTGACCTACCCTATCCCATACCCTACTGACTTCCAATTTTGATTTCCCTATTTTTATCATTCTCTCAGTCGCTCAGTTCCAAACTTCAGAATCACCTCTGGTTCCTCCCCTTCCCACAGCATAATCACTAAACCTTGTGTACTCTTCTCTCATGTATCTACCATACCCACCCCCTTATCACTTGCAGGTTGTCACCACTCACTTCAATTGCACTCCCTTCCTCCAGTCCTTCCCCTACTGCTTCAGGCAGTTGCCACTCAGATACAAACTCTTTGCACTTGAATTAAACTTTACCATATGATTCTGCCCTGTGTCCCAGCTAGAATATAAATTTGAGGGGAGAAACCTTACATGCGGCACTACTATATTACACACACAAGCATGTAGCATTTAATATGATGCTCACAAAAAAAAATTGATAAGTGTTAATTCAGAGAACAAACACACACATATCTGTGATGCTATGGTCAAAAGAATTTCCATTCTACCTCAACATCAACGTGTAATATAGTTTAAAGCAAAAAGAACAGTTAAAAGCGGGAGAGGGAGCAGAAGTCCTGGGACAAGATGGGTGTGGTGGTGCGTGCCTGTAGTCCCAGCTATTCAGGAGGCTGAAGTGGGAGGATCACTTGAGTCTAGGAGTTTGAGACCACCCTGATCATCACAAGACCCCCTTCTCTTAAAATAAATAAATAAATAAATAAATAAATAAAAAGGTCCTGGGACAAACCTTTAGCTCTTCTATCTACCAGTAGTATAATCTTCAGTAAATCACTTAAATTCCATGACTCATCTATAAAGTGAAAACAATAACACTTGCTCTATTTACCTCATAGAATATTACAAAAATTTTAAAATGTATAAGTTTACAATCTCACTACCAAAATATAAGGTATCTTTTAGTTGGTATGAAGTGAGTTTCTTTTGTTTAGGTTTGGTTTTGGTCTGATAGTTGTTACTTCCATCCTAAAACAGTGATTCTCAAATCTAGGTGTTTTCCCCCCTAGGCTGTCTCCAAATAAGGATATCAGTAAATTCAGAATTTTAGACCATTTTTAAAAATAATACTATACAATTAGAAAGAAAAGAATCCAGTATTTACTAGGTGCTTTGAAATGATTCGGGCACTAAACTAGACACTTCACGTACACTTTTTCTTTAAGTGAATTTGACTTTTTTTCTGAGACGGTGTCTTGCTCTGTCACCCAGGCTGGAGTGCAGTAGCACCATCTCGGTTCACCGCAACTTCCATTTTCAGGGTTCGAGTGATTCTCCTGCCTCAGCCTCCCGAGTAGCTGGGATTACAGGTGCCCACCACCAGGCCCAGCTAATTTTTTTTTTTGTATTTTTAGTAGAGATGGAGTTTCACCAAGTTGGTCAGGCTGGTCTCGAACTCCTGACCTCTAGCAATCTGCTTGCCTCGGCCTCCCAAAGTGCTGGGATTACAGGCGTGAGCCACCATGCCTGGCCTCACTAACTTAATTATCTCCATTTTACAGACAATGGGCAACTAAGTCCAGAAACCTTAAATTAACCAATAAATGTCGAGTTCTCATTGAAACCCAGGTCTGAGTCCAAAATCTATATTCTCTCCAACCCAACACATTGAAGAGATAAGTTACAAAAATATCAATTAGACCATATATGTTGCAGACCTACTCAGAGACCTCCTGCAAACCATAACATGTCATACAAACAGCAACACATATAAAACACAAATTATAGCTGGAACCCAGACCAAGAAGAATCAAGGAAACAGCAAAATTTGGCCAGGTCTAGGCTTTTAAACAAGCTGTTCTAGATGAGGTTTGCTGCTTCTGAAGAGTTATTTTTTCCTCTAACATAGATTTACTTAGGGTAATCCAAAAATGGCACTAGCAGAATATAATCCTCTTCTCTTTATATGCTAGGGGACCATATATTTTTATTAACATTCTACAGAAGTGACTCTCAGGAATTATTTATAGATGACAAAAATATCTTTCTATATCAGTACTAACTCTGATATCTCAGCCAAATTGTAACTCAAAAAGCTAAAATTTACTCACCCTATTCAACGTCAATTGAAAATAGTTGTAATTTTCCTGCTGGGTCACATTTTCACCCTCATGAATACTTGTTTATTTCCCCCCATGTATTATTTAGTCCATAGCTAGGAGATACACTAATGTGAAAGGAAACAAAAACAAAGTCATATTGTAGTACATTGCTTTTGCAGCTGTAAAACAGCTGTCACTTTCCACAACAGAGACTGCTGCCTTTTCGGGAAAGCTGAAACGATCCCTGCGTGCAGCAAGAAACTCAGTTTGTGGAGCACTTTAAACCAAAAGGTGCTAGAGAATCTCAGCTGTTATTGATGGGGAACCCCAGAGGTGGAGAAGTCAGTATGTTACAGATTCCCAATCTGTGAGTATCCCTAAGGGAGCAATCTGGAAACACCATGAAAGAGTCTCAGCTGGATGTGATTGCTTTGAGCCCCCAATTTAATTTCAATCACCCAGCCAAGAGGTAGATATCATCCTTCAGAAAAACAGACTATTACAGATCTTACTGCAGGGTATCCTGGGAAAAGTCTCTATCCTCTTCTTCCTCCTCCTTCAAACAACATTATTAAGAGACCTATATATCAGGTTTTTTAGATGCATCAAGGGTGTTAAATACTTTAAGACAAAGCAATGAAAGGTTGCTGGAGTTTTTCAGGAAAGTGTTTTAATGAAAAACTTTCCCACAAACATTGCTAAATCTGGAGATTTCCAAGAAATCAACAATATAGATTCCCTGCTGTCAAGGAAAACCATTCTCAAAGATAATCTCAGTACTTTAAGATCCTTTCATAGGAACACATTTGAGGACAATGTGAGGACAATTCTTTTCCTGAAATGTCCAGCTTCTGCTTCACTGTATCGAAAGTCTCTAATACAACTGGCGGACAGAAGGATTATCTTGAAACCAAATGTTCTTTATAAGCAAATCACTTGCAGAGAGTAAACAAAATGTTCTCAATCCAACATGAAGACTAAAATAAGGAAGGGAAGATTTGAATTGTGATTTTTCAGAAAATTACTAGAAGTTCAGCATACTGAATACCTCTTTTTTTCCCTGTGAATTCTTCCTATTCTGGTCTTCCATCCTTCAAGGTCTAGAATAAGTCTCACCAATTCACTGAAGCCTTCCCTAACCATTTCAGTCCAAAATGATTTCCTTTATTATCTATAACATTCATTTAGCAGATACAAAAATACTGTTTATTATTAATCTTCTATGTTCAAAAAGTTAACAGTAAAACAGGCTAGGTGTGGTGGCTCACGCCTGTAATCCCAGCACTTTGGGAGGCTGAAGCAGGTGGATGACCTTAGGTCGGCAGTTTGAGACCAGCCTGATCAACATGGAGAAACCCTGTCTCTACTAAAAATACAAAATTAGCCAGGCATGACGGTGCATGCCTGTAATCCCAGCTCCTCAGGAGGCTGAGGCAGGAGAATCGCTTGAACCCGAGAGGCAGAGGTTGCAGTGACCCAAGATGGCGCCATTGCACTCCAGCCCGGGCAACAAGAGTGAAACTCTGTCTCAAAAAAAAACAAAACGAAAACAAAAACAAAAAATTAATAGCAAAACAAAAATCTCACTATCCTAAACAACTATATGTACCATCTGATCTAATCTTTGCCCATTTTACACTCTTATTTCATGGTGTTACAATCATACATTACATATAATTTTGTGTTTTGCTTCTATCATGTTTCCATTAAGTTCTAAAGAGTTGATGAACAACTATTTAACTATTCTCTTCTTTGGACGTTTAGGTCATTTCCAGTTTTTCACTTACCTCTGCCTGGAATCTCTTGCATGGTCACTCTCTCACCTCAAATATCTTTACTCAAATGCTGCTTTCTCAGTGAGGTCTTTCCAACCATCCTATTGTAAACTGCAGCCTTTCTCTAACATTACCCTGCTTTACTTTGTTCCAAAGCACTTCTCTCCATCTAACATACTTACATATTTATTCAGTTTATTGTCTGTTTCTCCTCTAGCTTAAGTTCCAAGAAAGCGGAGATTTTTGTGTTTTCTTCCCTGATGCCTAGAACAGTACCTGACATTTGGTAAATGACTAATAAATATTTGGTGAATAAATGAATTGAGCATTCCTATGGACAATATTTTTCTTCAGGTGACTGTTTTCCTTAGACTAGATTTCCAAGGCTAGGAGTGCTATATTAGGGTGTAAAAACATTTTATGGCTCTTAATAGTGCCAAAAAGTTTTCTAAAAGGGATGTACTAATGCACAGTACTTTCAACAGTGTATAGGCTTACCAGACTCACCAGTTATCTTTTTAAGTTCTGTTACCCCAAATTAACTGCACATTCTTTAAGACCAAATAAGACTGTCTTCTACTTACACTTTGCACTTAAGAAATACCTATTGAATGAAAGTAAACAGGCCAGGCATGGTGGCTGACGCCTCTAATCCCATCATTTTGAGAGGCCAAGGCAGTCTGATCACTTGAGGCCAGAAGTTCAAGACCAGCCTGGCCAACATGGTGAAACCGTATCTCTATTAAAAATAAAAAATTAGCCAGGCATGGTGGTGCACACCTGTAATTCCAGCTACTCCGGAGGCTGAGGCAGAAGAATCATTTGAACCCGGGAGGCAGAGTTTGCAGTGAGCCAAGATCGCACCACTGCACTTCAGCCTGGACCACAGAGCAAGACTCCTTCTCAAAAAAGAAAAAGAAAAAGAAAAAAAAAGTAAACTAGTACAACCTTTATGGAAAACAGTATGGAGACTTCTCAAAGAACTAAAAATGGAACTACCATTCAATCCAGCAATCCCACTAATGGGTATAAGGGTAAGAAATCAGTATATCGGCCGGGCGTGGTGGCTCATGCCTGTAATCCCAGCACTTTGGGAGGCCGAGGTGGGCAGATCAGGAGGTCAGTAGATCAAGACCATCCTGGCTAAAACGGTGAAACCCCGTCTCTACTAAAAATACAAAAAATTAGCCGGGCGTGGTGACGGGCCCCTATAGTCCCAGCTACTCGGGAGGCTGAGGCAGGAGAATGGCGTGAATCCGGGAGGCGGAGCTTGCAGTGAGCCGAGATCGCGCCACTGCACTCCAGCCTGGGCGACACAGCGAGACTCCGTCTCAAAAAAAAAAAAGAAATCAGTATATCAAAAAGACCCCTGCATTGATATATTTATCACAGCAGAATTTACAGTAGCAAAGATACGGTATCAACCTAAGTGTTCATCAACGAAGGATTGGATAAAGAAAATGTAATATATAGACAGACATACACCACAGAATACTACTCAGCCATAAAAAAGAATGAAATCACGTCTTTTGCAGCAACATGGATAGAACTGGAGGCCATTATCCTCAGTGAAATAACTCAGAATGTCAAATACCGCATGTTCTCACTTATAAGTGAAAGCTAATCAATGGGTACACAGACATACAGAGTGGAATAATACACACTGGAGAATACAAAAGATGGGAAGGTGGAGGGGGCTGAGGGTTGAAAAACTACGTATTGGGTACAATGTTCACTATTTGAGTGATGGGGACACTAAGAGACCAGACCTCACCACGACGCGATATATGCATGTAAGAAATCTGCACTTGTACCCCCTAAATATACAAAAATTTTTTTAAGTCCCCTCCAAAAGATAAATACTTATTGAATGATTAAGCTACAGGAAAGGCGCCTTCTCTAAACACCTACAATAACTCGGAAAGCTTATTTACCCGACACATTAGAAAGATAATGCTTTCTTAAAAAAAAAAAGGGCTTATCTACCCACCTACCCCCACTTTCCGACACACACCTCTCGGCCTACGGATGAAATCCTGTGAAGAGAAATGTACGTGAAAGTGTACAAGTAAGGCCTCGTTGTTACTGAGGGTAAGAATCAGGATGAGAAGGACAAGATGTCATTGCCTTGCCTTGCCTCCCTAGACATACGAGACCCACGAAGTAGAGGGGCTCCACTGCAGGCCGCCCGGGCCTCTCAAACACCAGGGCTCTTCCCTTCGAAAACGATGGGGTGTCACTCCAACCACTCTTAAACTCGTATCTGACTGAGAGACTCTTGTTTAGGATGACTCCTGCCCTGGTCCAGCCACCACCTCAAAAAGACGCCCCCGGCTTTCCACAAAACCCGGCGCCAAGACAGAAGCCCCCGACCCTCCCAGGCCGCGTCCATTCGACCTGCCACGACCCCCACCCCAGAAAAGCCCGAGTGGAGAGGCTGTGGCTGCCAGCCTGTCCCGCTGTCCCGCTGTCCCGGACCCCCGCGGCGGCCACGGCTCACCACACGAACACTCTGCTTCCTATCACAATCCAGCGGCAGACGCACCTGGTCTGGCACCCCCACTACTCACTTCAGTCAGCCTGGCCCCACCTGGGCCACCCTTCACTTCGCTCCGCGCCTCACCCAACGGCAGAGCAGCGCCGCGCCCACAGCTCCGGTTTGAAAACCTTCACCAACCAATCACAGAGAAATTTATTCCTCCCGCGCCGTCCCTCTACGGTGTGACGTACGCGTCAGGGCCACGCGGAGGTGACGGGAACGGGAATGAGCATGCGCATTCTGACAAAGCGAAGCCAAAGGTGGCCATTTTGACTAATGTCAACGGTTTTTCGGTTTTTTTTGTTTTTTTTTGCGGTGCCCTTTCCGGAAGTCATTCAGGATGCCATATTGACTAAGGGCAAGTGGTACTTCCTGAATGCGAATTATTCTTGGTCTCACTGTCTGCGGGACTAGGGCCCTTGGAAACGATTAACTGAACAATGTCAGCTCTCACAGTAGAATCAGAAGAATACCAGGAGTTAGAACAGCAGTTAGTTTCAAGCACATTCACTGAGCTATATTATCCCTTCCATTGATGTATCCATTCAGACTTTTATTTGACACACATTGAATGAGCCCACATCATCACAAGCACTCCACTGGGAATCGGAAAAATAAAGATGGTATGGTCTCTACTGTCCAGTAGCTACGAATGGAGGCGATAGCTCTAGAAAACAAAAATAAATACAAAATGAAAATAAAATACTATAATTCCATTTAATAAACGTTATTTAGAACTTGGCATTGTGCTAGCACAGGAGCTTTCATGCTTTTTAAAAACTCTGGACCCACAGTGAGAAATACATTTTACGTTGCAACCGGGTAATGAAAACTCTGCTCATCCTTACTACATGCAAAGTACCCAGAACTCACTACTCAACAACGCATGGCTACCCGCAATTTGGAAAAATACTGGCTGGAGCATACAAGAAGCGCTGTGGTTTAAAGGAAAGATCACTTACTGTCACATTGGTCCTTAATTTAAAAAAAAAAAAAGAAAAGAAAGATCACAGATTTGGGGGAGGGAGATTAGGGAGATGTTGGTCAAGAGATATAAAATTTCAGTTAGAGGAAAATTTAGATCTATTGTACAACACAGTGACTGTAGTTAATAACAAAGTATAATGCATTTGAAAATTGCTAAGAGTAGATCTTAAATGCTCTCACCACACACCTCAATAAAGTATGTGAGGTAATGGATATATTAATTCGCTTGATTTAGTCATTCCACAGTGTATACATACATCAAAACATCACCATAAATATATAAAATTGTATTTTATCCAAAAATCACATCACAAATTTTGTAACCCGAAAATTTGACTCCACTTTTATTTTAGAGACAGGGTCTTACTCTGTCACGCAGGCTGGAGTGCAGTGGCACAATTATAGCTCACTGCAAATATGAACTCCTACACTCAAGGGATCCTCCCTCATACCTAGGACTACAGGCACATGATCAAGGTAATTCTTTTGCTTGTTTGTTTATCTTTTGTAGAGAAGGGTCTCACTATGTTGTCCAGGCTAGTCTTGAACTCCTGGCCTTAGGTGATCCTCCCACCTGAGCCTCCCAAAGCACTGGGATTACAGACAGTAGCACTCCACCTGGCCTTGAACAATAGCAGGCGTTCGGCTGACCCACCCATATTATCACTTTTTAATACTTCTGTACTTCACTTCCTCCAAGTATAATGTAGAAATAATAATCCCATCTCTATCTCACAGGTTTATTCCCAGATCGACTGAGACACAGTGTGGTACACTATCAAAGTTTATACTTGGTAAACTGCAATACAGATTATTATTAATATTATTAAGAAAGGGATGAAGAAAGAAAATATGAACTGTGCATTTGTTATCCCATTTAATCCTCCTAACAACCTTTCAAGGTCAGGAGCATTCATTGATTGCATTAGCCTGTGCCTGCTTAGATACCTATAATAAAATGAAATAAGTAGTAGGACAAAGACATGTATAAAGTACTTTAGGAGCACAGACAAGGAAGCAATTAATCCTATCTGGGGAGTGGGAGTGTTAAAAAAGCCTGCAGAGACTGATCTGAGCTGGGTCTTGTGTGAATAGGAATTTACAGGAGAGAAGGGAATGGAAAATTACTGGCAATAGGAAGATCATGTGACCTCTGAAGAATGAGGCAAGCATATATTTAATAAATACACAAGGCCAGGCACAGTGGCTCATGCCTGTAATCCCAGCACTTTGGGAAGCCGAGGCGGGTGGATCGTGAGGTCAGGAGTTCGAGACCAGCCTGGCCAACATAGTGAAACCGCATCTCTACTAAAAATACAAAAATTAGCCAGGCGTGGTGGCAGACGCCTGTAATCCCAGCTACTCGGGAGGCTGAGGCAAGAGAATCGCTTGAACCCGGGAGGCAGAGGTTGTGGTGAGCCGAGATCATGCCACTGCACTCCAGCCAGGGCAACAGGGCGTGACTCCATCTCAAATCAATCAATCAATCAATCAATCAATACACGAGAAAGCGTTTATGAAGGTTTAGGCTGTGAAGGAACATTTACCTCAACTTTCAGGTGATGTTGGGGGTTAAGTGAGTGTGATGCTTCTTGAGTAGCTTTGGCCTGAGAAGGAAAAGGAGAGACTGGCAAAGTAGGATGAGACCACACTAGGAACGGATTGGACTTGATCCTGTAACGGACTCAATGACAAGACAATGGGACTTGGACTGACTTGACTGATTTGTCTTTGGATAGAACATATGCTAACATGGCAAGCAGGATTGTCTGGAAAGGGAAAAATGTAAAGGTAGACTCTCTATTTAGGCCAGTGGCAGTGGGATGACAAGGAGGGGACAGGTGGGAAAGATATTTATGAAATCAATCAATGAAATGAAATGGACTTATTAAATGATTGGACCTCAGGGGTGAGGGAGAGAAGCAGGGGAGTGTAGAATGCCTCAGCTTTCTCTCTTTCCCTTACACCTCAATTACTGAGTGAAACTCCTAAGTACAGATCTCTTGTGTGTGCCCACTTTTCTCCTTCCCCCTGTCACTACCCTTGTCCAATCTGGTAGTCCAACCCCAGTGAAACTGTTTGCCCTCCCTTGCATTCTTTACTCCTCAAGTGATCTTTTAAAAATGCAATTATGGCTGGGCGAGGTGGCTTACGCCTGTAATCCCAGCCCTTTGGGAGGCCGAGGCCTGTGGATCTCTTGAGATCAGGAGTTCGAGACCAGCCTGGCCAACATGGTGAAAACCCGTCTCTACTAAAAATGCGAAAAAAATTAGCCAAGTGTGCTGGTGGATGCCTGTAATCCCAGCTACTTGGGAGGCTGAGGCAGGAGAATTGGTCGAACCTGGGAGGCACAGGTCGCGGTGAGCTGAGATCATGCCATTGCACCCCAGCCTGGGTGACAGAGAAAGACTCTGTCTCAAAAAAATAAAAATAAAAATGCAATTATGGCCGGGCACAGTGGCTCACACTTGTAATCTCAGCACTTTGGGAGGCCAGGGCAGGCAGATCACCTGAGGTCAGGAGTTCAAGACCAGCCTGGCCAACATGGTGAAACCCTGTCTCTACTAACAACACAAAAGTTAGGCCGGGCACAGTGGCTCATGCCTGTATTCCCAGCACTTTGGGAGGCCGAGGTGGGCAGATCACGAGGTCAAGAGATCGAGACCATCTTGGCCAACATGGTGAAACCCTGTCTCTACTAAAATACAAAAAATTAGCCAGGCGTGGCGGCGTGCGCCTGTAGTCCCAGCTACTCAGGAGGCTGAGGCAGGAGAATGGCTTGAACCTGGGAGGCAGAGGTTGCAGTGACCCGAGATCGCGCCACTGCACTCCAGCCTGGGCGACAAAGTGAGACTCCATCTCAAAAAAAAAAAAAAAAAAATTAGCTGGGCATGGTGGTCTGCACGCCTATAGTCCCAGCTACTCAGGAGGCTGAGGCAGAAAAATCACTTGAACCCGGCAGGCAGAGGTTGCAGTGAGCTGAGATCGCGCCACTGCACACCAGCCTGGCAACAGAGCAAGACTCCATCTCAAAAACAAACAAACAAACAAACAAACAAACAAAAAACAGCAGCCGGGCATGGTGGTGTGTGCTTGTAATCCCAGCTACTCGAGAGGCTGAGTCAGGAGAATCGCTCTTGAACCCGGGAGACGGAGGTTGCAGTGAACCGAGATTGTGCCACTGCCCTCCAGCCTGGGTGACAGTGCGAGTCTCTGTCTCAAAAAATAAAATTTAATTTAATTAAAAAAAAATTTGAGGGCTGGGCACGGTGGCTCACGCCTGTAATCCCAGAACTTTGGGAGGCCGAGGTGGGCAGATCACGAGGTCAGGAGATCATGACCATCCTGGTTAACATGGTGAAACCCCATCTCTACTAAAAATACAAAAAATTAGCTGGGCGTGGTGGCGGGCGCCTGTAGTCCCAGCTACTCGGGAGGCTGAGGCAGGAGAATTGCTTGAACCTGGGAAGTGGAGGTTGCAGTGAGCTGAGATTGCGCCACTGCACTCCAGCCTGGGCAACAGAGCGAGACTCCGTCTCAAAAAAAATAAATAAATAAAAATTAAAATGCAATTCTACTACAGAAATGATGACTATGTGAAGTGATGCATAGCTTAATTAATGAGCTAGATTTGGCCAGACAAGCTGTGGCTCATGCCTGTAATCCCAGTGCTTTGGGAGGCTGAGACGACAGGATCACTGGAGGCCCGGAGTTCAAGACCATCCTGGGGAATATATCGAGACCTCCTCTCTACAAAAAACTGAAAAATTAGGCTCCTGTGCCTATGGAGTAGCCACTCATTTATTCCTTTACTTTCTTAACAAACTTGCTTTCATTTAAAACAAACAAACTAGCTGAATGTAGTGGGCTTGGCTAGTCCAGCTACTTGCAAGCCTGAGGCAGGAGGATCACTTGAGCCCAGGGGTTCAAGGCTGCAGTGAGCTATGATTGCACCACTGCACTCCAGCCTGAGTGACAGAGCAAGACCTTGTCTCAAAAAAAAAAAAAAAAAAGCAGCTATATTTAATCATTCCATAATATATGTACAGTCTGAGAGCACGTGGTAGCTCACACCTGTAATCCCAGCACTTTGGGAGGCTGAGAAGGGTGGATCACTTGAGGCCAGGAGTTTGAAAACAGCCTGCCCAACATGGTGAAGCCCTGTCTCTACTAAAAAATACAAAAATCAGTCGGGCGTCGTGGCACATGCCTATAATCCCAGCTACTCAGGAGGCTGAGGCAGGAGAATTGCTTGAACTCAGAAGGCAGAGGTTGCAGTAACCCGCGATTGCGCCACTGCACTCCAGACTGGGCGACAGAGTGAAACTCTGTCTCAGAAACAAAACAAAACAAAAACCATAATATATATACATTATACTTCAAAACATCATGTTGTACATGATAAATATGTTCAATTTTATGTCTTTTGTGTGTGTGTGTGTGTGAGACGGAGTTTTGCTCTTTCACCCAGGCTGGAGTGCAATGGCGTGATCTCGGCCCACTGCAACCTCCGCCTCCCAGTTTCAAGAGATTCTCCTGCCTCAGCCTCCAGAGTAGCTGGGATTACAGGCGCCCACCACCATGCCTGGCTACTTTTTGTATTTTTAGTAGAGATGGGGTTTCACCATGTTGGCCAGGCTGGTCTCAAACTGGTGACCTCAGGTGATCCATCTGCCTTGGTCTCCCAAAGTGCTAGGATTACAGACGCCACCGCGCCCGGCCAATTTTTAAAAATAAACTTGAAAAAAAATGTTAAAGTAAAAATGTGATTCTAATCATATATCTCCCTTGCTTAAAATCCTTAATGACTTCAACTTGCCTTCTAATAAAGACTAAAATTCTGCCGTGCGCGGTGGCTCACACCTGTAATCCCAGCACTTTGGGAGGCTGAGGCAGGCGGATCATTTGAGGTCAGGAGTTCAAGACCAGCCTGGCCAACATGGTGAAACCCCGTCTCTACTAAAAATACAAAAAAATTAGCCGGCCATTGTGGTGTGTGCCTGTAATCCCAGCTACTCAGGAGACTGAGGCAGGAGAATTGCTTGAACCTGGGAGGTGGAGGCTGCAGTGAGCCGAGATTGCACCACTGAACTCCAGCCTGGGCAACAGAGCAAGACTCCATCTCAAAAAAAAAAAAAAAAAAAAAAGACCAAAATCCTTTACAAGGCCCTCCTAGGCTGCTTTTGCTCGCCCTTCTAGCTGCACTGCCCAACCCTCGTTTGCAGTTCCTCCACGCACCTGGCTACCATTTCCACCTGGGGCCTTCAACCTTCCCTGTGCGCCAGCACTCTCCGGAACTTCCCGAACTTCCAGTGCCTCTTCACCAGGATAAGTTCTACTCACCCTCTAGACAGTTTAAACTTAAACGCTGATGCCTGGGTCCGTGCCTTTGGCATAAACTCCCGCAGCACTGTGTTCTCTCCCTTTCATACTCCTGATTTGTTTAGGCTTCCTGGTTCTTCCAGTCACTGTTACACGGCCTTTCACAGGTCAGCTGTGGCTTGACTTGCTCATCTATAAATGGAAATAATAATAATAATAATACTGCACTTTGGGAGGCCAAGGAGGGTGGATCACAAGGTCAGGAGTTCAAGACCAGCCTGGCCAACATGATGAAACCCCATCGCTACTAAAAATACAAAAATTAGCCTGGTGTGGTGGCACGTGCCTGTAGTCCCAGCTACTTGGGAGGCTGAGGCAGGAGAATTGCTTAACCTGGGAGGCAGAGGTTGCAGTGAGCCAAGATTGTGTCACAGCACTCCAGCCTGGGTGACACAGCGAGACTCTGTCTCAAAAATAAATAATAATAATAATAATAATAGTTATTTCCTAGGGTTGTCGAGAGGAATAAATGAGTTATCCTTATAAAACACTTAGCACAGTTCCTGGCCCACTGTAAACACTCTGCAATGCCTATTTTCCCTACTAGACTATGAACTTCCAGAGAAGAAGGGATGGTACTCCTTCCATGTACTAGTCTTGCTTTTGCAGCTCCAATAAATAGCTGTGTAATGGAGGTGAGTTAAGTTCAATAGGACGGTGTCCCAAATAATGGATGGGGGTTGGAGATGCTGTCTCTCTTACACCTGCCTCTACCCAAAATACCACCCACCCTTCCAATTCCTCTCAATCTCCTTCCCTGCTGCACCCGCCCCAGCGAGAAGGCAGCAAAGGAAAAGGTGAGTGTGTGTGTGTGTGTGTGTGTGTGTGTGTGAAGCGGGGTGGCGTGGGGGCGCGGGTTCCTAACTCCCTTTCTTCCCAAACTGTAGCTTCCAGAGTAGGGAGGGATCCTGGGGCTGCACTTGTAACCGGAGAAGCTTGAGAGCTTTGAGAGCTGGTGCCAGAAAGCTTGGGTTCGATTCCCCGCTCTGCCACCTAGGAGAGGTGCAGTATCCGGTTATTTAATCTCCCATGTCCGGCGAGACGCGCGCTCTGAGTGCTTCCGAGGTGCGGGAGAGGTCAGGCTGGAACGCGCCTGTTATCCCGCGCGGGGGCGGCAAGCGGGGGCGCCCCCCTCCCACGCGCTCCCCCGCGCCCAGGCACCAATGATGGGGTTGGTGCTGATAGGTGGTTGCGGGTGACCTCCCGAGCGCGCCCGTACCCCACCGGCCCTCACCTCCCCAGGGGCGGCCGCCTGATCCGATGTCCCGACAGGCGAACTGTCATCGACGATCCCTGGACGCGGGCGTCGGGGGCAGGGAGGCTTGGCTAGGTCCCTGGCTGCCAACCGTCTGGCCACAGCCCGATGCGTGTCTTCATTCTCTCGCCTTCGCTGGGTTCCGCCTCCCATGGCCTTCTCACTTGCCCTCTGGAGGTCTGGCTCCCTACCTCCCATCCAGGATTATCGTTCCCCCTGTGAATTACACCAAGAAGCTTTGAGCCCTTCTGCCTTCCAGGCTGTGCGCTAAGCCCAGGGGCGGGGGTGGGGCGATGCGGGGTGCAAGGCCAGGGCCTGCAGCGCAGAGTGCGGAGGTGGGGGCTGTGTTCTGGGGGTCCAGGGAGGGAGGGCCCACCTCTGGCTGGGACTCAAGACTGTCAAAGAAGAGACCTCTGAGCTGAGCTTTGAAGGATGAATAGGACCCCAACAGGGAGGAGGCTGGGGACTGAAGTAGGCAGGAAGTGCTGAGAGAAATAGGGAAGTCAGTCCAGCCTGACTGGAGTGAGAGGATCTTGGCTGGGGGGCGGGTAAGGCTGGGAGGACTTTTTTTTTTTTTTTTTTTTTTTTTTTGAGACAGTGTCTCGCTCTCTTTCCCAGCCTGGAGTGCAGTGGCGCGATCTCGGCTTTCTGGAACCTCCACCTCCCAGGTTCAAGCGATTTTCCCACCTCAGCCTCCTGAGTACCTGAGATTACAGGCGCGCACCACCACGCCCAGCTAATTTTTGTGTTTTTAGTAGAAATGGAGTTTCACCATGTTGGCCAGGCTGGTCTCAAACTCCTGACCTCAGGTGATCCTCCCATCTTGGCCTCCCAAAGTGCTGGGATTACAGGCCTGAGCCATCACACCCCACAGGCTGGAAGGACTTTTGAGAGCAGAGCTGAGGTACCTTGAATGACAGGCCAGATAAATTCAGTGTAATTCCTGAGGGACTAGTGAGCCATTGAAGGTTTTCTTCCTATTTCTCTAAGAGAAACAATAAGCACAGTGGGTAAACACACAGGCCTGGAGTTATTTTGGCCCTGGGTGAAGGTCTACTTCCACCATTTATGACCTGTGTAGTGGGCAACTTAACTTCTCTGTCCCTCCATTTCCACATCTATTAAATGGGGATGATAATAATAGTGTAAAGCACTGTTGGGAGCAATAAATGGGTGTTTGCAAAGCTCTTAGCACAGTGCCTGCCACATAGTAACTCCATGAGTATTACTTATAATTATTTTGTATCCCTCTGTCTTCCTCTCTGTAGAAAGTAAAAAGTTCCTCTTCAAAGTTTCCCTTCTTGTTAAAAAAATAATGTTAGAAATAATAGTTTATTTTAAAGACTAACTTGCTTTAAGCCTCCTTATTTTATGGTAATAACTCTTTGTTGGGCCCTATCCTATGTAGCTGTTAAACACACTCACAGGCATATAGTACATTCTATGTCCTTGTACCTTAAACCAAAATATTTGTGCTGGACATGCTCACAGGCAGGTACCAGCTCGCAGCCTATGCCCCTTCCCTGTTTGGCATAAGCAACTTCCTCTTTTCCTTTATCCTTCCATTACTTTTACCTATTTAGAAAAGTTTTAAACTGCTAGCCAATCGGGTTTTAAATTGTGCAGTCTGGCTCCAGCCAATGGAGACAAGACAGTAGCAGGGAAAAACTGCATAAGGAATAAAAATTGCTTCCCTCTTTTGTTCAAATGTGCTCTTGCCATTGTTCCATCTGCGATGAGCACCCTTTCTGCAGAAAGTAAAAACGGCTTTGCTAAGAGAATTAAATTTATGTTTAAGTGCTGTTTCTCTGTGACACCAGGGAACAAGCATTTTATTTCTAAATAAGCATTTACATATAACATTCTCTGTTTCTTTCCCCTTTTTTTTTGATGTTCTCTCTCTCTCTCATCAAAAAAAAAAAAAAAAATCAAAAACAATGTTTCCCTGCCCCATGCCTAGGAATCACCCTTTCACACTCAATAAAGTGTTGAACTAAATCAAACTGTAATAGACAAAGCAAGACTCTGTTTCAAAAAATACAAAACAAAACAAACCACCCACAAAACAACAATAACAACAAAACTCTAATAGGAACAAATAGAAACAAGTCCCCCTTTAGAAACACGCCTGTGTCTCTCCTGGGTGTCCAGGCTCTGGGGAGCCCTGCTTGGAGGAGGGGATATAGTTATTGACATGCTGAACTCATCTCTACTAGAGTCCAACCTCTTTGAAAACAGAGACCGCCGGGCACGATGGCTCACGCCTGTAATCCCAACACTTTATGAGGCCGAGGCAGGTGGATCACCTGAGGTCGGGAGTTCGAGACCAGCCTGGCCAACATGGAGAAACCCTGTCTCTACTAAAAATACAAAATTAGCCAGGGATGGTGGCACATGCCTGTTATCCCAGCTACTCAGGAGGCTGAGGCAGGAGAATCGCTTGAACCCAGGAGGCAGAGGTTGCAGTGAGCTGAGATTGCACCATTGCACTCCAGCCTGGGCAACAAGGGCAAAACTCCATCTCAAAAAAAAAATTTAATTAATTAAAAAACAAAAACAGAGACCATAGGCCGGGTGTGGTGGCTCATGCCTGTTATCTCAGCACTTTGGGAGGCCAAGGTTGGCAGATCAACTGAGGTCAGGAGCTCAAGACCAGCCTGGCCAACATGGCAAAACCCCATCTCTACTAAAAACACAAAAATTAGCTGGGCATGGTGGCATACGCCTGTAATCCTAGCCCCTCGGATGGCTGAGCCAGGAGAATCACTTGAACTCGGGGGGCGGAGGTTGCAGTGAGCCAAGATCGCCCCACTACACTTCAGCCTGGGTGACAGGGCAAGACTCTGTCTCAAAAAAAAAAAAAAAAAAAAAAAAAAAACAGAGACCGTAGCTTATTCACCCCAGCCTGTCCCCTGCCGAACAATGTGTCTGACTCACAGTAAGTCCCTGTTCTATACCAGTGCTTCTCAAACCTTAGCGTGCATCAAAATCCCCTGGAGAGCTTGGTAACATACAGATTGCTGGGACCCATCATGGAGTTCCTCATTCCATCCGTCTTCCATGGGCCCCAAGAATTTTCATTTTGAATGCATTCCTAGATGATGCTGATGTTGCAGATCTGGGAACCACATTTGGAACCACCGCTCTATAACAACATGTTGAATGGCTGTATCTGAGACGGTAAAGTAGCCTCACCGTCCCCTTCCCAAGCTCAGCTGGTCATCAGCATTGAAAATACAGGTCCAAAGCTGAGAATCATGAGGTGTAGGACTCAGAGATTTTCCAAAAATCATCTTCCCAGGTGATTCTTATGTGCAAATAGGTTTGGTATTCTACTGCCACGCACAGTCCTGTACTCTGCCCGCCTCAGCTAACTCCTGCTTCAAGCAAAGCCCACTGCCTGTCTGCACTTTATTCAGGGCACACCTTGCTGCTCTGGGTTCAAGATGGCTGGAACTATAGAGGAATGGGCTGCCAAGAGTGAGAGGAAGTAGCTGGTTCTAAAAAGCAGACCAGAGATTTACGTAAATTGTAACAAGTGCCACTTCTACTAACTGTTAATTCTGAAAGACAAGCCAGGAGCTAGTTCTCCCTAGTCTGACCTGGAGTCAAATTCAGCTCTCTTCCTCCCTATTAAACTTCCCTCCGTTTCTGTTACACTCTGCTTCTTTTACCTCCAGTGTGAAATGAGAATAACATAACCTACTTCACAGGGTTGAGCTGAAGATTAAATAAGAGGTTATGGGGCCAGGCACAGTGGCTCACGCCTATAATCCCAGCACTTTGGGAGGCTGAGGCAGGCGGATCACCTGAAGTCGGGGGTTCGAGACCAGCCTGACCAACATGGAGAAATCCTGTCTCTACTAAAAATACAAAATTAGCCAGGCATGGTAGCGCATGCCTGTAATCCCAGCTACTCAGGAGGCTGAGGCAGGAGAATCGCTTGAACCCAGGAGGCAGAGGTTGCAGTGAGCTGAGATCACAGCACTGCACTCAGGAGAATTGCTTGAGCCCGGGAGGCAGAGGTTGCAGTGAGCTGAGATTGGGCGACAGAGCGAGACTCCATCTCAAAAATAAATAAATAAATAAATAATAGCAAAGTGACTGGGGAAAGGAACTTGGCATCCATAACCTTTTTTTTCTTTTCTTTTCTTTTTTTGAGACAGAGTCTCACTCTGTCGCTCAGGCTGGAGTGCGATATCAGCTCACTGCAACCTCCACCTCCTGGGTTCAAGCGATTCTCCGGCCTCAGCCTACCGAGTAGCTGGGATTACAGGCATGTGCCACCATGCCCAGCTAATTTTTGTATTTTAGTAGAGACGGGGTTTCACCATGTTGGCCAGGCTGGTCTCAAACTCTTGACCTCGTGATTCGCCTGCCTCGGCCTCCCAAAGTGCTAGGATTACAGGCGTGAAGCCACCACACCCAGCCATCACTTTGCTATTTACCAAAACTTCTATACATATTTAATTGGGTTTTTACAACAGTCATGAGGAGTAAGAAAGACATTATGGTTCACTCTCATTTTACCATTGAGAAAGCTGAGTCTCAGAGAGGTTAAGTGACTTGCCTAGACAGGTGGATCACCTGAGGTCCGGAGTTTGAGACCAGCCTGACCAACATGGTGAAACTCCGTCTCTATTAAAAATACAAAATTATCTGGGCATGAGGGCAGGCGCCTGTAATCCCAGCTACTCGGGAGGCTGAGGCAAGGGAATCGCTTGAACCTGGGAGGCAGAGGTTGCAGTGAGTCAAGGTCCTGCCACTGCACTCCAGACTGGGCAACAGAGCAAGACTCCGTCTCAAAAAAAAAAAAAAAGTCATTTAATCTCTAGGCAAGTAATTTTTTTTCTTTTTTTTTCTTTTTTTTTTCGAGACAGAGTCTCACTCTGTCGCCCAGGCTGGAGTCCAGTGGCACAATCTCAGCTCACTGCAATCTCCGCCTCCTGGGTTCAAGCGATTCTCCTGCCTCAGCCTCCCGAGTAGCTGGGATTACAGGCGCCTGCCACTACGCCCAGTTAATTTTTTGTATTTTTAGTAGAGACGGGGTTTCACCATGTTGGCCAGGCTTGTCTCGAGCTCCTAACCTTATGATTCGCCCGCCTCGGCCTCCCAAAGTGCTGGGATTGCAGGCGTGAGCCATTGCCCCTAGCCGAGGTTAAATGACTCTTAACCTAGAGGTTAAAATGACCTGCACAGTCTGGGTATATAGGGGAAGGGGCTTTAAGCAGAGCTGGTTGCTCCTCTCCCCTCATCCTTGTATTTGTTCTTTTGACATCTCCTTCCCATAGGTCATTCTTTATGGGCATATCTTACCTGAATCTGAATGGTAAGGAAATAAGGTGGGGTTCCCTGCCCCTGTTGGAGACAGCCCTGTTCTGCTGCCCCCTCCTCCGAGCCCTGTCTGCACCTTCCTCCCTATTTAAGCCCCTGCGGTCCCTTTGACAAGCATCTATCTTGAATTCAAATTCTGGCACAACTTCTCTAGCTGTGTGAATTTTATCAGGTTCCTTCCCCTTTCTAGGCCTCATCTGTTACATAAGAAGAATATAGATCTGTGGTTCCCTAACTGTAGAAACCTTGGAGTGATCAGGAGAGACTCAGCCCCTGGCCTCCATAAAGACTGAGTAGCCCATCTGTGTGTAACTGACTGTGTAACTGTGTGATTGCTGGGAGACGAGATCCAAATGAGCTTTAATGATGCGATCCAGAACTCAATCATCATGTATTTTCTCAGTCAAAAGATAACAAAAGTACAGCTATTGCCATATGGTCATGGTCAGGGAAATTTTTTTGGAAATAGAAAGGTTATGCTGGGTTCTATAAGTTACCCAGAAGAATTAAAAATAAAAAATAAATAAAAAATTTAAAAGGTTGGGCCAGGCATGGTGGCTCACGCCTGTAATCCCAATGCTTTCAGAGGCTGAGGCAGGAGGATCGCTTGAGGCCAGGTATTCCATCGCAGCATAGTGAGATCCCATCACTGCAAAAAAATTTTAATTATTATTATTGAGACAGAGTCTTGCTCTGTCGCCCAGGCTGGAGTGCAATGGCGGGATCTCGGCTCACTGCAACCCCTGCCTTCCGGGTTCAAGCGATTCTCCTGCCTCAGCCTCTGCGTAGCTGGGATTACAGGCAAGTGCTATCATGCCCGGTGAATTTTGTGTTTTGAGTAGAGATGGGTTTCACCATGTTGGCCAGGCTGGTCTGGAACTCCTCAGCTCAAGCGCTCCGCCCACCTCAGCCTCCCAAAGTGCTGGGATTACTGGGTGGGGTGAGTCACCGCTCCTGGCTTAAGTTAAAAAAATAAAAGAATAAAAAGGTTGGAAGCCCCTAGTGTAGATATCCTCTAAAGGCCTTATCAGCTGCCATCCTCCGCAGCCACCTGGGAGAAAGGACTTTGGGCCACCAGGGGGCGCTGCAGCCCTTGTGCAACGTGGAAGCTGAGGCCCATGGTGAACAGGCTCTAAACAGAGAGAGGGGTGAGGTCAAGCTTCTGGCCCAGGCTCTATAGACCACAGTTGAGACCTGTTAGACCTAAGTACTCTGTAAGGGAGGTGTCTCTCCAGAGCTGGGGGAGGTAAGGGGCCCAGGGTGGGGTGACCTGTCCCAGGTCCGCTGCACTGGACTCACACCTGCATGGGGGCTCCTGTGGCAGCCAGTAGTCATTCCTGTCTGGTTGGACCTTGGAGGCGTAGAAACAGAGAATTTCTCAAATTCCACCTCAGCTATCCTCAGACAAGAGGGACTGAGAGGAGGAAATGTTCCTACAAGGCAGGATGGCTATCCCAAGTGAGTGGCTTCCCATGGACCTCGCAAGTGCAGGGAATGGATGGAGACCTATGGAGTCAGGGAAGCCATTCTGAAAGTGGGGCTGGGGACAATCAGAGGAGAGAAGGAAGATCATGCCAGGCAGGGGGGTCTGTCTAGAAAGGTAACAATTCTGAGATCTTTGCTGACATGCAGGGCCTGCCTTGCCCAGCAGTAGAAGGCAGCAGCTCACTGCCAGAAGGGAGGACTGGGAGGCCAGAACCCTCCTTCCACTCCCTTCCCTCCCCTGCTGAATCCCGGGCAGAGCTCCACCCAGCTCAGACACTCCAGCCAGGACTTTCTCCCTGGGAAGGGCCAGAGAGCCTCAAAGGGACAAGGCAGCTCACACCCGCCCCTACCCACCGCCAGAGGCTGAGGCCCTCTCCACTCATAAACCATCAGGACCCAGAAAACTTTCGGGCCCAACCCGAAGATACACTCAGACAAAGGGATGCCCACCATGATGGGGCACAGGGACTCTACCCTACCTTGGGAGAGACAGACAGACAGACACACACACACACACACACACACACACACACACGCACGCACACATGCTCAGGGCTGATTTTAGCAGAACAAATGAAGTAGAATCCAGGGCCTCTGGCCTCCCAGCTTCTCAGGCGGAGCACTGGACTCTGCCTGCCTCACTCCTGCTCTGGAGGTGCCACCCTTCCCCTTCCCAGCCAAGCCCTACTCATCTGCTCTTCCCTTCTCATGGACCCCAGCTGGCTCTGAGCTTCTAATTCTTTCCCACAACCCCTCTGCCCTATCTGCCCCTCCACCCCTTGCCTGGGCTCTGGGCACCATCCCTGTCCCCCAGGCCAAGTGCCTCCCAGGACTCTTCCACCCACCCTCCCACACCTCTGATTCTCCCACAATGCCTGTCTGAGGTTTCCCAAGTGAGTGCTTCCCAGCAGAGAAGGCCAGAAGGAGAGGCAGGCAAAAGAGCAGGGCCATTCATGTTGGCAAGGCTTCCCTGGATGGCAGAGGACAGCGGGACAGGCAGGCAGGCCAGCCACTCTGGAGAGGGTGCACACACACAACCTACCCCTCTTCTCAACAGGATAGTCTCCCAAGCTTGGAATTTTGGCTCCAGCATCCACCCCCACACACCCACACACACCCAGCCTGGTCTGTTTCTCTGGGGCCCCAGGGCCTGCTTCCTTACTGCCTACCAAGCTTTTCCCATCTGCTTTCCCAGGGAAACCCTCGGGGAACGCAGAGGAACTGACTTCCTCCAAATTCGAAGTATCTTCCAGCCTTCTAGAGACGAGGCCATATGAAACCTGGAATCGTTGTGGCTGCCCCATTTACAGCCCAACCCCTGCTCCTCCCTCCCATCTCATTCCTCCTGTTCCTCCGTGCTTCCCTCCTGCCTCTGTGAAGCCTTCAAGGCTGGGAGGGAGGTCAGAATGGAGCCCATCCTGGCAAAATGAGAAAAGATTAGAGCAATACATTTGCTGTCAATGGCAGTAAGCCTGCCTGAGCAGGGGAGGAGGAATATTTGATTTCAGACTCTCCGGGGGTCTTGATGGAAGAGCACTGGCAGCCTGCAGCCCCAGGCCTGACAGAGTGAGGAGGGCTGGTCCCAGGCCCTGCCACCTGGGGACCCTGGTGTCCCAACCCTCCCATCTCTATATCGACCCCATCCTCCGCAGTCACCAGCAGAGCCCAAGCTCCTTCCTCCTCCCTTCCCCTCCTTTCTCCCTCTCAACTGCCAAACTTGTTTCCCCACAGCAGTTTTTCTACCCAGTGCAGGGTGATGGAACAGAAAGAACACTGCTCTGGGGGCTGGAGAGGAGGCCTGGGTTCTAACCCCCCTACCGCTTCCAAGTGCAGGGATTTTGTGCAAGTCACTGAGCCTCTCTAAGCCTTGGGGCAGTGCGGGTGAGGGAGAGAACAACGGCATTCGGCATCCCTAGACCCTAGCGGAGGCTCAGCCACTCGCTGCTTCACTGGTCTTGGGCAACATCATTTAACCTCTCTGAGCTCCGGTTTATTCATCTATAAAATGCGGGTGACACAAATATAAGGCCTGCGTCCTAAGGTGATAGTGAGTATCAACAAAGCCGGAGATATGAAAGTTGTAAACAATTGTGCCAATAGCATTGTCCTGTTACAAGACAATGGGATTCCTGGTGCGTTCCCTGACTGAAGGCTGGTCCTGGACATGGCTCCACAGGGTTCCTTCTTGTCTTAGGATCCCAGTTCTGGTCCCTGCCCTCCCGAAGTGGGGTGAGGACACAGTCTGTCTGGGAAAGGAGATAAGGCAGTTTCTTGGACAAACAATCCTGAACTGAGAGGAGTAGCTGTCAACTCTCCTCAGACCAATCCAGAAAGACATTCTGAAGAGGGAGGTTTGAGAGGCAGTTGGTCAATAGTGTCTCCTTCCTAACTCCTCCTACCCTTATGTCCTCCTGTGAATGGTGCGCCCCGGAGTGGTGCAGGGTGGCAGGCTTGCCTGAATACAGAACGAGACAACTTCCACCCAGCCTCCAGTGAGTGGACAAGGTGATGGAGAGGAGACGGTGGAGGGAGGCTAGGGGATGGAGTTAATATTTATTACCAGGCTGCCATGTGCCAAGCACCATGCAGATATAGGAAGTGTTTTTCATATATCTGGCCCATACTACAGCCTGAGAGGTAGGTATAGTGGATGTGGCCGTTGAATAATTGCCCGTTGTTACCAGCTGGAAGGAACCGAGACTCAGGTTGGATGGATCCCATCACTCCACACTGCCTCCCATTGGAGCAGAGGGTTGGAGGCCTCAGCCCCAGGCCTGTCTCCCCATCCCTGAGCTAAAAACTGGACAGATCTGTAAATTACTCTAAACCATAGTTTTCTCATCTGTTAAAGAGGATGGCACAGAGAATGCTCTGGGAAGTATAGAGTCATGCACAAACTTACAATGCATTATACCTTCATATGCTTCTTTTCTGGTTCCAACCTCAACTCTCACTGCTCTCCTGCTTGGCCTTCCTTCTGGTTAGATCTCCTCACTTCATTTTTCACATGAACCATCAGGCTGACTCATCTCATGTCTTCCCCTTCCTCCTCTGCCTATCCAGATCTCTTTGATCCCCTGTATTTGAGGTCCCCTCCTCCGTGAAGCCTTCCCTCCCACTCTGACCCACAGTGGCAATAAGCATAGGCTTTCTTGACTTACCATTCACTTTTTTTTTTTTTTTTTTTTTTTTTTGAGGAGGAGGACTCTCGCTCTGTTGCCCAGGCTGGACTGCAGTGGCGTGATCTCGGCTCACTGCAGCCTCTGCCTCCCGGGTTCAAGCGATTTTCCTGTCTCAGCCTTCCAAGTAGCTGGGATTACAGGCACCTGCCACCATGCCCGGCTCATTGTTTTGTATTTTTAGTAGAGACGGGGTTTCATCACGTTGTCCAGGCTGGTCTCAAACTCCTGACCTTAAGTGATCTGCCTGCCTTGGCCTCCCAAAGTGCTGGGATCATAGGCATGAGCCACTTTTTATGAATGTGTTCTAATCTCTTAACTAGAGTCCCCAGCTGATTCTCTGAGGGCACAGACTGTCTTTTGCCTCTTCATAACCTTAGGGCTTACATAAGGTCTGGGACGTATTGGATACTAGGATGAATTTTGCAGCTACTGGTGATGATTGTGGTCATGATGCTCATGATAGAATGAATCCACATTTGAGTATAAAGTAGTGGTGGTGATGGCTATGATGGCAGTTTTGGTGGTGAGTTTGAGAGCATGGTAGTGTTGGGAGTGGTAATGGTGATACTGATGATGTGAATTTGAAGATGACTGTGGCGATGGTGGCTGTATTAGTTACATATTGCTGCATAACAAATTACCCCCAAAACTTAGGAGCTCAAAACAGCATACATTTATTACCTTGCAGTTTACATAGATTAGAAATTGGAGCATGGCTTAGGGCTGGGTGCCTCTGGCTCAGGGGTTCTCACAAAGCTGCTACCAAGGTGTCAGCAGGGGCTGCAGCCTCATCTGTTGTGTCGACTGGAAGCAACCTTCTTCCAAGTTCACACACATGATTGTTGGCAGGATTCATTTCATTTTAGGCTCTTGGACCTTGATGAGTGTTGGCCTGGGGTCTTCCTCAGTTCCTTGCCATGTGGGCTTCTTCGTGGGGTAGCTGACAGCATGGCAGCTGGCTTTCCTCAGTGCAAGTGAGAGAGTAACCAAGACGGAAGCCACAGTGTTTTTGTAGCCTAATCGTGAAGTGACATCCCGTCACCTCTGCTGAAGTCTATTCACTAGAAGTGAGTCATTAAATACAACCCACACTCAAAGGGATAGGATTGCATGAATGCCATGCAATGAAGGGCATGAATGCCAGGAGGCAGGGGTCACTGAGAGCCATCTTAGAGGCTGCCTACCACAATGGCGATGGTGGTGATGACGACAGTAGAGAAGTTGGAGAGTGGTGATTAGATCAGGGATGCTAGGGTATTTGAGAGTGAAAGCATTGGTGGCCTATTAGAATTGAAAAGTGGTTCCTTCACACTGGATCTGAGCAGGGGCATTCAGTTGGCCCGAGCCAGATATATGAGACCCACTCTTCCCCACAATGTTCCAGCCCCATTCCAGGTCCAGGCCCACATCCATTCCCCTAGAGTCCTCGCTACTCATTGCTTTCTCTGCCAACCACTCTCACTCCAGGCTGCTCTTCCTCTTTAGACAATTAATGAGCTAAGTAATGGCCAAATGGAGAGCAATTACCTCCAGCAGTCCAAGGGGGATGGGGAAAGAGTGGTCAGAGGCCCAGGGGGGATGGAGAGGTGCTGCCAGTTTGGGGGCTGGACTGTGGATCCTTCAACTTGGATAAAGCCATCTACCCTATTCTATACTGAACCCCATGTCCTTGGTCTACCACACCGCTGTAGACACCGCCCACCCCACCATCACTTTATCTTCCCTCTCTCAGTCCTTCACATAGGGTTTAGATCAGAGCTTCACTGAGCCCATGGGAGCCCATAGGAGCCCATCCACTCCAGCCCCGGCCTCCATCTCCTACCTCTAATCTCTCCCTACTTCTGATGATCTTCTATTTCTTGAAATTCCCCAACACCACTCCTGGTTTTTGTTGTTGTTGTTTGTTTGTTTTTTGAGACAGAGTCTCACTGTGTTGCCCAGGCTGGGGCTGGAGTGCAGCGGTGTGATCTTGGCTCACTGCAACCTTCGCCTCCTGGATTCAAGCAATTCTCCTGCCTCAGCCTCCCGAGTAGCTGGGATTACAAGTACCCGCCACCATGCCTAGCTAATTTTTGTATTTTTGGTAGAGACAGGGTTTCACCATGTTGGCCAAGCTGGTCTCAAACTCCTGACCTCAAGCAATCTGCCCGCCTCAGTCTCCCAAAGTGCTGGGATTACAGGCATGAGCCATTGGGCCTGGCCCACCGCTGTTTTTGATAAGCACAGAAAGCGGTCATATTTTCTTTTCTTGTCCTTTTTTTTTTTTTTTTTAAATGGAGTTTTGCTCTTCTTGCCCACGCTGGAGTGCAGTGTTGCGATCTTGGCTTTCTGCAACCTCTGCCCCCAGGGTTCTAGCGATTCTCCTACCTCAGCCTCCTGAGTAGCTGGGATTACAGGCACCTGCCACCATGCCCGGCTAATTTTTTTGTATTTTTACTAGAGATAGGGTTTCGCCACATTGGCCAGGCTGGTCTCCAACTCCTGGCCTCAGGTGATCTGCCCGCCTCGGCCTCCCAAAGTGCTGGGATTACAGGCATGAGCCACCACGCCCGACCAGGACTCATCTTTTCTGAAGGTTTATCCCTGCGATGATCACCACAAGCCCCCTAATAAGACCCCAGTGCCAGGGCTTTTAGGCCTGGCAAGCCATAATAGGGACTAATTATATAGAAAAATCTCTTCAGGCAGCCAGGTGATAATGGGTAATATGGGGGCCAAGTTCTCTTGCAGTAGGGTAACCAGGGGGAAAAGGTATTAGACAAGGAGTCAAGATACCAGGATTCTAATCCCAGTTTTGTCACTAATCATGCCTGTGATGCTCTCTGGCCTCAGTATCCTTGTCTGTTAAATGATAAAGGTGAAAGATGGATTAGGCCATTTCTTTCTTTTTTTTTTTTGAGACGGAGTCTCGCTCTGTCAGCCAGGCTGGAGTGCAGTGGCGCGATCTCGGCTCACTGCAAGCTCCGCCTCCCAGGTTGATGCCATTCTCCTGCCTCAGCCTCCTGAGTAGCTGGGACTACAGGTGCCTGCCACCACTCCCGGCTAATTTTTTGTATTTTTAGTAGAGATGGGGTTTCATCATGTTAGCCAGGATGGTCTTGATCTCCTGACCTCGCGATCCGCCCACCTTGGCCTCCCAAAGTGCTGGGATTACAGGCGTGAACCACCGCACCCGGCCTGGATTAGATCATTTCTAAAGACCCTGCCAGTTCCATAAACACATGCCTGTAATCCCAGCTACTCAGGAGGCTGAGGTGAGAGGATCCCTTGAGCCCAGGAGTTCAAGTCCAGCCTGGGCAACATAGAGAGACCCTGTCTCAAATACATGCATAAATAAGGGGAGGAAGGGAAAAAAGGTTAATACTTACATAGATAACGTTGCAATTTATACCAATTTTTTTGTTTGTTTTGTTTTTGAGATGGAGTCTTGCTCTGTTGCCCAGGCTGGAGTGCCATACTGCGATCTTGACTCACTGCAACCTCCACCTCCCAAGTTCAAGTGATTCTCCTGCCTCAGCCTCCTGAGTAGCAGGAATTTACAGGCATGCACCACCACGCCCGGCTAATTTTTGTATTTTTAATAGAGATGGGGTTTCCCCATGTTGGTCAGGCTGGTCTCAAACTCCTGACCTCAAGTGATCCTCCTCCCTCGGCCTCCCAAAATGCTGGGATTACAGGCATGAGCCACTGCACCTGGTCAAAAATTTTAAGGTAAATATTATACTAGAAAAAAAAATAGGTCGGTCATGATGGCTTACACCTATAATCCCAACACTTTGTGAAGCCAAGGCAGGCAGATCACTTGAGCTCAGGAGTTCAAGACCAGCCTAGACAACATAGTGAAAGCCCGTCTCTACAAAAAATACAAAAATTAACCAGGTGTGGTGGCATGTGCTTGTAGTTCCAGCTACTCAGGAGTCTGAGGTGGAAGGATCACCTGAGCCTGGCAGGTTGAGGCTGCAGTGAACCGTGATTGTGCCTCTGCACTCCAGCCTGTGTGTCAGTGTGAGATTCTATCTCACAAGAAAAAAAAAAAAAAAGGAAGAAAGAAAGAAAAAGAAAAAAAGAAACTTCTATAATTCTGCTTCCCAGGAAAAGGGTGGAGGTTGAGCAGAAGGTGCTAGCTGCACTAGAAAGCTGAGGGCCACATGGTTAAGACAGTAGTTTCGTTTTGCAAAGGAGAGTCAAGCCTAGTCACAACAGGGTACCTTTTTTCTGTGCATTGTAGGAACCTAGGGCCACCCCAACCTTCCTTTTCTGCACCTGGCCAGGCCCCAAGTACATGAACTTAAAATTGCCAGCTTCCCCTCACACTCATCAGTGCGTCCAGTCAGCCACCATCTGCAATTTCCCCTAAGATATCCCTTTGTTTCATCAACCACTAAGACCTACAGCCCAGGTGTGTCCCAGGAGACATTCTAACACACCCAGATGGTTCCCACCTAGTTCAGGCCTTCACCACCTCCCTCCTGGGCCTCTGTAACACACTCCTGGGCCTCTGTAACTGTTCCCTTGCCTCCCACCCTCTCAGCCTAAGGGACATTCCTCCTCTCCTGTTCTTCTCCCATGTCTTTGGCCAATCTTTCTCAGGTCCCTTTGTCTTTCAGCCTCTTATCTGCGTCCGCTTTCTGTTTACCCCTTAAATTTTGATGAAACCCCGAAGGTTTCCTCCTTGACCGCTTGTACTAGTAACATAACAAAAGCCAAAACAACTAGGACTTAATGGTGCTTATAAGGTACAAAGGACTTCACGTGTTTTCATTTGATTCTATGAGGTAAGCTATTATCCCCCATTTAATAGAAGTCAATTTTGCCTTCATGGAGTGTCTGAAAACTGTCATTTCCTTTTTATTTCCATTGCCACTGCCCTAATTCAAGCTCTTAATACCACGTCTTAGACCCTTGCTTCAGCACCCTAGCTGACAATATTGTAGGTCTTAGTGGTTGATGAGAAGGAAGGGATGTAGTTCCAGTTAACCAATTGACCAAGGGCTTTCGACTTAAGTGAACCAGACCAGGCTCCACTGAGAACAGTGGTTACGTGGTGGGCTGTGCTGTAAAGATAAGGTACTCAAAACTAGAATTATTTGGAGAAAAGATTAGGGTCACACGCACACAAAACTAGAACCTATGATTGGTCTGAGCATAAAGAGGACAATTTCTGATGAAATAGGTGAAGAGCTGCATAATGAACTCCCCGAAAAATCTCCTTGGAAGCCCCACCCTGCCAGGATTTGTGTGCCCGGTCCCAAACCATCCCAATCAACTCCTTCTGCAGCCTCAGCCTGTTGGAGAAGGTAAATCTCTACTCCCTAGTTTAAGTCACAAAAAATCCTATCTCTGAAAAGAAAAAAGAATAAAAATAAAGAACATAATATTAGAAATATTAAACAGAGAAATTTAAATTCATAATGGGTGGGTGGATTTTTTTTGCAATAATTGTATTGTATGTTTCGTCTGCTTTTAAAGGTGTTTAAACCTTATAAGCGAAACTGAGGCAGGAGAATTGAGGCCAGGATTTCGGGCAATATAGAAATACCTGTATTGCCTGATTGACCTGTACTGACCGACCTGTATTGGGCAATACAGCAAGACCAACTTGGGGAATACAGCAAGATCTGGTCTCTACAAAACATACAAAAATTAGGCAGGGCGCGGTGGCTCATGCCTGTAATCCCAGCACTTTGGGAGGCCAAGGCGGGCAGATCATGAGGTCAGGAGTTCGAGACCAGCCTGACCAACATGGTGAAGGTCCATCTCTACTAAAAATACAGAAATTAGCCGGGCGTAGTGGCGCACACCTGTAATCCCAGCTACTCAGGAGGCTGAGGCAGGAGAATCGCGTGAACCTGGGAGGTGGAAGTTGCAGTGAGCGGAGATTGCCCCACTGCACTCCAGCCTGGGTGACAGAGCTAGACTCCATCTCAAAAAAACAAAAACAAAAATTAGCCAAGAGTTGTGGCACATGTCTGTAATGCTAGCTACTTGGAAGGCTGAGGAGGGAGGATTGCTTGAGCCCAGGAGTTTGAGGCTGCAGTGAACTATGATTGTGCCACTGCACTCCAGACAGGGCAACAGAGTAAGGTACTGTCTCTGAAAAAAAAAAAAAAGAAAGAAAAGAAAAACAGATTTATGAAGAGTTTGATATTTGATTTCATTTGCAATCAATGTTTAAATATTTGAGGAAACATAACCTGCTAAATTTCTGAGTTTTGATTTATTGGTTGTATAAATAGTATGGGAGTATTTGGGGAATATTACTTGAATAGAGATTAATAAATTGGACATCAAAGTACAAAAAATAACAAACATTTTTTTCCATACCCAAAAGCACCTGAGGTGTTAAAGAATTTATCCTAAGCTTCCTGTCTCTGATTTCTGGGTCTTCAATTGATCCCCATTCTATTGCTTGCATCTCTGTGACTCTATTTCCTCATCTATAAAATGGGATGATACTACCTAAGAAGGTTGTGAGGATTTAATAACTCCTTTTGAAGCACTTACTACAATGCCCAGCACATACTTGCTAAATAAATGTTGGCTGTCTTTATCTTATCCCAGTACTACCTTGATTATGCCACCTCCTGCTCAAAACCATTTAATTGCTCTCCAGTAACCCCAGGGCAAATCCAATTTCCTTTATACTTACGTCCTCACCTCTTCCTACTTCTCAGCCTTGGCCCTCACTATTTATTCCCTGCCACCTCCAGCCAACCAGACAGATTAAATTCCTCCCTATGCTTCACCCTGGTCCCCCATCATCAACATTTCTTTCATACTATCCCTCCACCTGAAATGCCTTGCCTCCCTCCCATGCCATTATGGCCATTGCAAACTCCTATCATCCTTCAAAACCCATCTCAAATATCACTTCTTCCAATATGCTTTCATGGTCATCTCCAACTCTCTCCTGCCTCTGAACTCTTTAATAGTACCTCTTTCTTGGCAAGCATCGCATTCTTTCTTGCATCAGAGCCAAACACCTATGTGTCTGGTCATCCCTGCTGACCCATAAGCTCCTTGAAGGCAGGACCCACTTCTGATTGATCTTGGGAAACACAGGGCTGCCCAGCCCAAGGCCTGGCATGTAATAGGTGCTCAGCTAACAGACGGTGGATTCTACTAGCTCTGGGTAGTTGTGTCATCTAAGCAGAAGCAGCAGGAACCTGCAGGTTTCCCAGGCCACCCTCACTGACCTGTGTAGACTATGAGGGTACAGAAAACCAACGAAGCCAGCAGTCTGTACATGCAGGGTCCACCGAGCAGATGGCAAGAAGACGGCAGAGCCAGATTCTAGGAGCATGTGGAGCTGTGTGTGCTCAGCTCATCAACATTCTCTCAGACATTTAGCCCCTCAGTCAGTCAACATTTTTTTTTTTTTTTTTTTTTGTCTATTCTGTGCCAGGCACTGTGTGAGGTGCAGCGGACACCAGCCTGGTGTCCGTTCCCAAAGAGTATGCCTATGTGCCCGGAGCTCCTGTGTGTGCACATACATGTGCCCACGTGCAAGCCCCACACGGCCTGGAGTTCCAGCTCCCGACAAGCTGAGCCTCCTGTGAGCCGAGGCTGAGAGGGCCGCCTATTACCCTGTTTCCAAACAACTCCCCTTTCTGCGCCAGCGCCGCTGCCTCTCCCGTCTGTTTGCCCCTCGCCGCCTCCTCCCTCTGTTGGGGCTGCCGCTGATGATGAAATTTGGCTTGCAACAACCTCTTCCTCCCCTTCCTGCAGGCCTGGGAGAGGATTAAGCCGCTGGAGTCTGAAATCGGAAAGATCCCAGCTTCTGCTCCCCAGCACCTCCCCTCGCCCCCTCCCCCTCCCCGCCCATGCAAAACTAGAAAATTAATCTCCCCTTCTGCCTGTGATATGGCGGGCTGCATTACAAGCTGGGCGTCGAGATAAAGCGGGGAGCCGCGGGACGGCGGCCCAGCGCCGGGGCCCCGGGTGGGGCCGGCCAGGGAGATAAGGGCCTCCCAGCCCCATGAATTATTCACCGGCACTGCCTCCTCTGGCTGGGCGGCCGCCCTGGGCGCTGAGATTGCGTCTTCCAGAGGGGCCTGGGTAGGGTGGGAGGGGGGTCCGTGGGGAAGGGCAGCAGGCTGTAGAGGGGTCTTCCTATGGGGGATGGGGAGAGGGGAGGACTGTACTTAGCTGGGGGACAGCTCAGAGACACAAGCGCCTTGAAAAGCCAACTGATGCAGGGGAAGAAGGTGTCCCCAGGCCCTGGGAAGCCCAGACCCAGCCAGAACCCCCGCAGGGGTGCTCCTTATTATACAACTCATTAAACGCTATTGAGAGGCTACAATAGCCAGACTCAGGCCAGGTCCCAGCACCCCAGAGCTAGAGAGCCAGTCCCGCCTGAGGGCGCCCTCAATACAATGCACCTACCGAATGCGGGCTGTGTTTGGACCTGGGCGCATTCCTCTCACCAGGCCTGTCTCAGCCACATTTCTCCCCCTCCGTCATCTCCTCTGGTAGTCAAGACAGCCGCTGCTCGCTCTGGGGGAGCACCCCGACTTGAGGGGGTGCAAGAGGAGGAGACAGGACAGATCTGCTCTCAGGCCAGCCAGAGCCCCCAAAACAGAGAAACCAGGGCAGGTGGTGTAGGGGGGAAGTGGGGGTCAGTGCTACCGTAGGGAGATAACCAGGGAAGTTTCCTGCGAGGGGAAATAACCCCAGGCACTATGTGAACCTTTTGTTTCTCTCCTTTCTTGCTTGTTCTCAAAGACCCAGAATTTGAAAGCAGGGAAGGACCTTAACAGTCTCTTCCCTATCTTGAAGTCTCTATCTTTCCATCTCTCCCTACCTTCTCTCTTCTCTTTCCTCTCCATCTGTCTCCACTCCTCCCTCTCACTCCATATTGTGTGTCCATCTGCCCTTTGAAGTTCTGCCTTGGCCCCGATTTCTCCACCTCTCTGTCTCTCTCTTCGAGATGGAGTGTGGCTCTGTCTCCCAGGCTGGAGTGCAGTGGCGCAATCTCGGCTCACTGCAAACCCTGCTTTCCGGGTTCAAGCAGTTCTCCCTGCCTCGGCCTCCTGAGTAGCTGGGATTACAGGCACCTACCACCATGCCCAGCTAATTTTTGTATTTTTAGTAGAGATGGGGTTTTGCCATGTTGGCCAACTCCTGCCCTCAAGTGATCCACCTGCCTCCGCCTCCCAAAGTGCTTTGGATGACAGGTGTGAGCCACCATGCCCAGCCTATTGTCTCTTTAATGATCCCTCCCTTCTGAAGTCTTGACTCCCCCAAATGGCATGTTGACACACAAATTGTAATGTGCCATAGAAGGAAGGTGGCCATCTGCTGTCCCCCAACCCCCTAATTGGGGAGAAAAAAGAAGGGTTCAACATGGTCCTGGATGTGCAGACAAACTGCTGAGACCCAGACAGAGGCAGCAGTATGGGGAGAGAGCCCCCCAGAGATGCACTGGCACAAGAAAGAGAGCCTGAGACACCGAGAGAGCCAGGAATGAGAGGTGCTGGGGAACGGTGAGGACCAGAGATCACTCCTTCAGGATTGCAGAGGCAGACACCTGCCTGACAGGCAACCTGGAACCCATGGACTCCTGTAGCAGATACAGAGCCCCATGTTCATGAACCAGTGGACAGGCACATTTGTTGAGACCCATATTCAAGTTGGAGAGGGAAAGGTGATGAATAGGAGAGGGAGAAGAGATGGGGAGTGAAGAGGGGGCTAGATTAGAAGGAGGAAGTGGGGAGGAGGAAAGGGTGAGTCCTAGAAGGATGGAGAAGACAGAGACTTGAGTGGGAAAAGGGAGAAAAGCTGAGTGGAGGAGGAGAGAAGAGATTAGAGAGAGGAATGAGAGAAAAGAGACAGGATAGCATAAGGTGGGGGAGAAAGGGTGAGGATAGCAGGTAAGTGTGGGAGTGGGGTAAGAGGAGTGTTTGGACTAGTAAAAAGAGAAAGCAGTGGAAAAGATGAGGGTTATGGGTTGGCAGGTGGTGGGGGGACAACGTTGAGTATGGAGGGTGGGGAGGCTGTGTTGCTGGGTCCCATCAGCCTTAGGTCCCCAGCCCCTTCCCAGTGCGTGCTAATTAACTCCTTAATTGTCTCTGCATTTGCTGAGCCGGCAGATGAAGTGGATGCAGACAGATTGGGGCGCGTGTGATTTCATGCACGGGGGAGCGGAGAAGAGCTGCCTGGAAATCCCAGGGGGTCTTGTCCCCCTCTTTACCCTCCCTCTTCACCCATCTCTGAGAGGCTGGAGGGCGCTTCTGCACCTAAAGCAGATGGGGCCATCTGCAAGGGAAGCATCCATGGGGAATTTGCCCCCATCAGCCTTTCAGGGATGATCATAATGCTTGCCACTATTGATGGAACACCCCCTACTGTTTGCTAGACACACATTGTTTCAACAGCATGGGCATTAGCTGGGTTTTATGGTTTCTGGAGAAAAGTGAGACTCAGGCTAGGTTACTTGCCCAGGGCCACACAGCACTGGTGTGACAGAGCTGAGATTTGAACCTAGGTGAGCACAAGGCCAAAGTCCTAAGTGGGCCCTGGCTAGATGCCTCCTGCCAGCAGAAGGAGAAATATCTTCAGGCCTGTTTCCCTCTCAGTCCGTGGTGGGGATAAAGGGTACTGAGGTCTAAGGACTGCAGGGTCCAGAGAAAACGAAGCATGGAGAAGAAGCTGGGAGGATGCTGAAGGAGCCAGTATCCTCTGTCAGGACTTGGACAAGGGGTGGGTGGGCCAGAGAAGCAGAAAGAAGTAATGAGACACTAATCACAGCCCTTGGATCCCTCAAGTGTTATCTTACTAAGGCCCTGCCAACACCAACTTCCTCTTTTCCTCATCCTTGTCCCACAAACCCCTGTCAGAGTGACTGCCCCCCTGCCTCTCTCTGCTGGCAGCCCTGGCTCAGCCTTCTATTTCACTCCTGGCCCTTGCACTAGAGTCACAAGTCAACATGTTTGTCTCTCTTTCCACACTGGGATATTTTGAGGCAAGGACTCTGCCAATCCTCACCATGTCCACAGGGCCAATCTTGGGGCTTGATCCAGGAAAACCCTCGGTGAAGGTTTGCTGCGATGTACAGGGTAGGGATGAGGGGATGTGTGTGTGCAAGGACCCATCACTTCTCAAACGAAGAAGAAACAACAGCATGAGGGATTTAGGTTGTATATAAGAAAGAACTTCCTAAGACTGGGGCCTGTGACACTATGAAACCATAATTCAGACCCATAAGTTCTGAAGAGCAAGGTTGCTCAAGATTGGCTATATGTTAAAGGCCTCAAAAAGTTGGGCGATTGTCCGGGCGCAGTGGCTCATGCCTGTAATCCCAGCACTTTGGGAGGCCAAGGTGGGTGGATCACCTGAGGTCGGGAGTTCAAGCCTACATGGTGAAACCCCCAGCTCTACAAAAGATACAAAAAATTAGCCGGGCGTCGTGGTGTGCGCCTGTAATCCCAGCTACTCGGGAGGCTGAGGCAGAAGAACCTCTTGAACCGGGGAGGCGGAGGTTGCAGTGAGCCGAGATTGTGCCATTGCACTCCAGCCTGGGCGACAGGGTGAGACCCCAACTTAAAAAAAAAAAAAAAAAAAAAGGCCGGGTATGGTGGCTCACGCCTATAATCCCAGCACTTTGGGAGGCTGAGACGGGTGGATCACAAGGTCAGGAGATTGAGACCATCCTGGCTAACACGGTGAAACCCCGTCTCTACTAAAAATACAAAAAACTTTGCCAGGTGTAGTGGCGGGTGCCTGTAGTCCCAGCTACTTGGGAGGCTGAGGCAGGAGAATGGCGTGAACCCAGGAGACTGAGCTTGCAGTGAGCCAAGATCGCGCCACAGCCCCAGAGATTCTGATTTAACTGGTCTAAAGTGGAGCCATGGCATTGCAGTTTTTTTTTTTTTTTTCTGAGACAGAGTCTCGCTCTGTTGCCCAGGCTAGAGTGCAGTGGCACGATCTCCGATCACTGCAACCTCTGTCTCCCGGGTTCAAGCACTTCTGCCTCAGCCTCCTGAGTAGCTGGGATTACAGGTGCGTGCCACCACGCCTGGCTAATTTTTGTATTTTCTGTGGAGGCAGGGTTTCACCATGTTGGCCAGGTTGGTCTCCTGACCTCAGGTGATCCACTCACCTCGGCCTCCCAAAGTGCTGGGATTGCAGGCGTGAGCCACCACGCCTGGCTGGCATTGCAGTTTTATCTTATTATTTTTATTTTTTGAAATGGAGTTTCGCTCTTGTCTCCCCGGCTAGAGTGCAATAGCACAATCTCGGCTCACTGCAACCTCCGCCTCCCAGGTTCAAATGATTCTCCTGCCTCAGCCTCTCGAGTAGCTGGGATTACAGGTGCCCGCCACCACGCCCAGCTACTTTTTGTATTTTTAGTAGAGATGGGTTTCACCATGTTGGCCAGGTTGGTCTCAAACTCCTGACCTCAGGCGATCCACCCTCCTCTGCCTCCCAAAGTGCTGGGATTACAGGAGTGAGCCACCGCGCCCAGCTGGCATTGCAGTTTTAAAAGCTCCCCAGGTGATTCGAATGTGCAGCCTGGGTTAAGAACCAGTGCCTTAGATTCTGCCCTGGTTTGGCTGCACTGGTGGTTTTACCACTAGATCCAAATGCTAATACTAATAATAGTTATTTACTTATTGGGATTTACTAGGTACATGCCAATGTACTAAGCACTTTCCATGCGTTAGCTCATGTAATCCTCGAAAAATCCTGTGAAATAAATATTATCTCTGCCTTACAGATGAGGAAACCGAGGTCCAGAGAGGTCAAGGGGCCTGCCTATGCTAATGAATGGCAGGGCCAGGTCTGGAAGCTGATTCTCCTGATTCATACCTTCTGTCTTCCCCCAGACTCCTCCTGAGGCTGCTCCTTGGCCTCAATCAGTCCTCGCCTGCCTCCACCTCACCTCATCACCTTCCCTCCACCCCCGCTGCTCCCTCAGTAACATCCCAGGTGACTGAAGCAATTGCAGCCATTTGAAGAGGCTCCACGTGTCAGTCAGCCTGCGAGCCGCGGGGAGGTGGGGAAATTACAGATGCTCCAAAATAGTGTTCCCCTCCCCCTGAGGATATTTGGAATTCAGGAATCAGACTCTGCCTGATGCTTCCTCAGGTCTCTGGGACCCTCCCAGGTGATTTCCCACTCTCAAATGCCCCCCACGAGTTGATTCTAAGTATCTGGGAGAGGGCTGCCACCCAGTGGCTGCCCGGGGGCATAGCAACCCTCCAGCACTGCCTGGTACCGCTGAACAGCTCCCCAAGACCTGAATGGAAGATCCTCCCTTCCTTTTGGCAGCTCCGTGTCCAGTCCCCTAGTAAATGGATCTCGACCTCCCTCCTCCACAATCTTAAGTCCACTCTCCCACTAGGGACCTCCAGACCCCTTCTCTGGTTTCCTAGATGTCCACTACTCCCAACTTCTCATCCAACTTCTTTCCAATGTGCCATCCCCTTCTCGTTACAGGTTTTCTTCTAACTTAAAGCCCGGCACCATGTCCTAGGAATACACCTCTCACCATCCTTCTCCCCGAGCCGCACCAGCCTGCAAGTAGAGCGAAGGAGCCACTAGAGACAGAACTCTGGTCCCCCGCACCCTCCTCCTCATCATCTGACACCATCAGACCTCAACAGCCTCTGTGCTAAGAGCCCCTAATGAGCATCAGCAAATTAACAACTTCCCCTTGATTGCTCCTTCTCTGTTAATTGGATAGGGAGGGCCCCCCTCCCCAAGGCCTCTCAGAGAAGAGGAGGGAGGCAGGGAAGGAGAAAGGTGAGAGCCACAGGAGCAGCCCCCAGGCCTGCGTTCTGTGCTGAGACTTCTGCTCCATCCCTGAGCATAGCTCCCCGTTCCAACCCTTCCTCACCCTGTCCCCTTCACTCCCTTTGCCTCCTTCCTTCTGTCCAAATTCCCTTGACCTCTGGCTATTTTTCCTTCCTTTTCTCTGCTCCTTCTTTGGAGATTTGGCAGTAAGGGGTTGCGACCATGCCCCCCACAAGCCCAAAGCTACAAGGATGGGATCTGAGTGGTCAAGGCTGCGTGTTGGCTCACATATGTGCACGTGTATATGTGTCACATGCAGGTGGGAGCAGGGATAAGAGCAGGTGAGTGCTTGCCATGTGGGTCAGGCCCCCGGGATACGTGGACATCTGTTGCGGGGGGGTGTGGTTGTGAATGGTGTGGTGTGACTCTGGTCGGTATGTGTGTCTGTCTCCATATGGGCTAAGTGCTTGAATTAGTCAAGTGTGACTCGGAGCGTGTGTGTGTATGTGTGTGTGTACGCGCGTGTGTGCCACCAGAGGAAGCAGCAGCAAGAGGCAGGAGCATCGATCCGAAGGAGACAGCGCGGGGAGAGGGACGCTAGGGGCAGACACCCTCCCTCCTGCGCGCACACACGCGCGCGCGCACACACACCACACACAGAGTCATACACACAAGCCATAGGGCCTCGCAGGCAGGGAGACGGCTCCGGGACTGGAGAGAGGCAGCGCCGCCGAAAGCGGCCGCGAGGAGGGGCGAGGCGGCGCGGGGAGCCCTGGGTCCCGCTCCCGGATCCGGGGCCCCGCGCGCACACCAGCCCAGAGACAGCCTCGCAGACACTCGTAGGCGCGCACGCGCACCCTCTCCCCTCCCCCTCCCCTCCCGCCGCCTCCCGGCCGGACGATGGATCCCTGCAGATCCCAGGGCTGAGAGCACCGCGCACCGCGCCGAGCCCGGGCAGACCGAGCCGAGGCGAGCGAGCCAGCGAGCCAGCGCGCGCGGGCGGGCGGACAGATCGGAGCCGAGCGGGGCCGGGCGGGGCGCTCCCTGCAGGGCTCTGCGCGGCGTGCCGCGGCGGCCGCGGGCTCCGGCCCCGGGCCATGAGCCCCTCCGCGACTCGGCGCTGAGCCCGCCACCGGTCCAGCGCCCCAGGACCCGCCGCCGGCTGCCGGCTTGCCGAAGCCCCCTCAGGTGGGTTTCCGATACCCCTGCCTTTGGCCGCGAGGCTCCTCGGTACCCCGAAGCCGGGACTCTCCTCCCTCTGGATTTCCCTTGCTGCTGGGGCGGCTCGGTGGCTGGGGAGGGGGGCGGGGGCCGAGCTGGGGATCTGACTGCGACGAGAAGCTGGACTGGGGGGGGCTGCGTCCGGGGCGGGGACAGCTCGCTGTCATAGGGAACCGCGCCCCCCCTCCATACATCCACCTCGGGCAGCCCGCCACCCCCCACTCCCAACATACACACAGCCTGCGCTTATGTGAGAACTGGAGACACCCGCAGGTGAGGACTCAGGCTGGGCCCCTCCCTAGATGTAGCCACCTCCCTGGGGGTTTTCTGGCCCCAGTTTAGCCCTTAGGACCACAGCCCCGTCCAGGGAATACCCGTGACCAGGACAGGAGCTCCTTACCCCGGGGTCAGCCCATCTGGGTGAGTTTTCATCTCCAGGATGGGGTGGATATTCTTGTCCCAGAGTGACCCCACATCTGGAGGGAACTCCTGCGCCTGCCTATGGGTGCATCAGGACTTCCCCCTCAACCTCGGATGACTATATCTGGGGTCTCCCCGGGCCTGGGAAGCTTCTCTGGGGAGCATTCTCTTGGCCTGACCTGACCCCCTGTGCCTCTGTATTTGGAGGAACCCTGGATGTGTCCCTTGGTCAGCCACCTCTGGGCTTGCAAAGCAGGGAAGTCTTCTGCCCGAGGAGTGGTGACCTCTGGAGATGAGGATTCTGGATGGGCACATGTGGAGGGGCTCCATGTGTACTTTCATCCCAGGACAATGATAGACTGTCCCTCCCTCCTCCCCCAGGATCCCCTCAACAAGGATGGAACTGAAGGCCGAGGAGGAGGAGGTGGGTGGCGTCCAGCCGGTGAGCATCCAGGCCTTCGCCAGCAGCTCCACACTGCACGGCCTGGCCCACATCTTCTCCTACGAGCGGCTGTCTCTGAAGCGGGCACTGTGGGCCCTGTGCTTCCTGGGCTCCCTGGCTGTGCTGCTGTGTGTGTGCACGGAGCGTGTGCAGTACTACTTCCACTACCACCATGTCACCAAGCTCGACGAGGTGGCTGCCTCTCAGCTTACCTTCCCTGCTGTCACGCTGTGCAACCTCAACGAGTTCCGCTTTAGCCAAGTCTCCAAGAATGACCTGTATCATGCTGGGGAGCTGCTGGCCCTGCTCAACAACAGGTGGGTGGCTCCCACCCTCCCTCAGCCCTGCTCCTGGAGTTGCTTGAGTTCCAGTCAGGATGTCTGCCTCCCTGACCCACCATAGAGCCCAGCCAACCCTGCCCTTTAACCCACCCCCACCCCCAAACCTGCCACTCACAGCAGAGGAGTTAGGGTGCTGCTGAGCACCCAGTTAAGGGCACCCAGCCTCCGATCCCAGCATAGTCCAGAACAGCTCGACCCCCACCCAGCCTGAGGTATGAGACATTGTCACCCTCTCTGGAGTGAGCTTTACCTTCATTCTGGCCACTCTGTCTTGACCTTCTCGTCAGTTGGGGGATGGGGACAGAACATCTTTAAAGGGTAGAAACTACAGTATAAAAGCCACAGCCCCTGCCTTGTCTCTCTGCCCACCTTATCCATGCTTCCTCTCACCCATGTGCTGGGATGGGATGCCCTGCCCCTGGGCAGCCACTACAGTTCCTCCTGTCATTTCAGACCCATGTGGTAGAGCCTCTGCATGCCCAGCTCTCCTTCCTTGCCTACACCTGGGACTGATCCCCAGGGCTGGAGGCTGCCCCCATCACCCAAGTTGGGTGCAGGACACTGATGACTGTACTGACCCGTGTGTCACTCACCCCCGGACCCCAGGTATGAGATACCAGACACACAGATGGCAGATGAAAAGCAGCTGGAGATACTGCAGGACAAAGCCAACTTCCGCAGCTTCAAACCCAAACCCTTCAACATGCGTGAGTTCTACGACCGAGCTGGGCACGACATTCGAGACATGCTGCTCTCCTGCCACTTCCGGGGGGAGGTCTGCAGCGCTGAAGACTTCAAGGTGGTGAGTCCCCTCGTGTGGGGTGTGAGTCAGCCTGGCCCACAGAGGAGGAGGAGGAGACAAGGAGCAGGCTGGGCCTCTCCGGGTGCTTGCTACTCTGGGAGAGGAAGTTGTATGTCCTGGGGTTTGCTTCTAGTAGAAGGGGAGTTTGTTCAGCATAGGGGCACATTTGCACTCACTGCATGAGCACCTGAGCCTCAGCCTTGCAGCCATGATGGCAGGAAAGAGAGCCTACAGTGCACAACACACACATATATGCACACACGTGCGTGGTCTGGCATAGCCACAAACCCACCAAGCTTACCTTCTAGGCCACAGGTGTCAGAGCTGAGCAGACAGGTGGGTAAGCTACAGCCGTGTTACTTGTAGTGAGGTCCAGGACCATCAACTGGGAGCTTGAAAGGAATGCAGGACTTTGCCACCCCACTTCCCAAACCTACTGAACCAGAATCTCCATCTAATAAGATCCTCAGGTGACTGGAGTATACACTAAAGTTTGAGAAGCACCGTGAAGCACAAGTAAGGGAAACCTTCTCTTAAATAGCCAGACAGTAACTCCCTGTGTGCCATCCGCACCCCATACATAGACACATACACTGTTTGGTTAGGTTTCCTGCTTGCCGGCAAGAGCCGCAGAGCCAGGATCTGAGGAAAGGAAGGCCATCGGGACACCCAGTCATGGCTGCCCTGGAGGCTTCCTTTGCATCTTAAAATGGAGATGCCCCACAGATGTGGCTGCCTCAGGCCAGCACCTCAGGGAGGGCATAGGGAAACTGATTTTGGCATCTGATGTGCTGGGCAACCCTGGGCAAGTCACACAGATTCCTGAGGGTTAAGACCTGGACCCAGATGGCAAAGAGACCAGAGGCTCCAGAGCCATGCAGGAACAATAACACCAAATGAATGGACAATGCTTGTAACTCTTTCAAATGCTTTCTAGGCTCCCCTCAATCCCCTTGATACATAATCACATTACCTCTGTTTTACAAATGCACGAAACTGAGACACAGGCAGAATGATTTACCCAAGCTCACACAGTTAGTGACAGGTGACAGGTTCAGGATTAGAACTCATGTCTTGTTAAGCTGAAAATGTCCTTTACTCTTTTAATTAATATTGTGGACCCTGGGGTTATTGTGTCCACTTCAAATTCTTGCCAGTCTTTTCCAGGACCCTTTGCTCTCCATGCCTACTCAGCTCTTGGATTCTCTTCCTTCTTCCTGCCTATTTTCTCCCCGCTTGCTTGCTTCCTCCTGCAGTATGGGAATATGAACTGTATTTGTGCAGAAAGGATGGCACCATAGTCATGCTTAGTGTTTCTAGCTGTGCAAGACCTCCCAATATCCTTAAGCCTTGCTCTGCAGACCAGTTTCACTGGCCTTTGTCAATCCTGCTGGACAAAGTTCACATGACTGCACTCTTTGCTGAGCCAAGCTGATGGGGAGCTTAGCCAAGATGCAAGAACCACTTCCTTCCCTCTCTTACTGCTTCATAACAGGAGAGTCCTGGATTCCCCAGAGCTTGAGACCAGAGGGTTTGCAGTCTCACAAGTGATGCTCCCAAGAGTAACAGGACTGTAGGTGAAGGTGGAAGCAAAAGCCAGAGCCGCCTCCCTCCAACACACCCAACACACAAGCAGGAGGGACCCGTGAGAAAGATGGAGAAAACGTATTTGTTTGAGTGGTTTGTAGTGTTGGATGAGGGAGAGAAGTGCTTGGCTCAATCTGAGGAGGTGCTAAGATATAAATTTGGGCACAGTTAGTCCATAGAAAGTATTCAGTTGAGGCTCCATCTGTCCATCATGTCCAGAAAGATTCCAAGTGGTGATGCTAAGATAACATTTGGTTGATGGTAATGGAGACACTGAGATGTGATTGGTCCATGCTGTCTGAGGGGACCATTCTAAGTAGTCAGATGGAGATGTGATTGGCTCACAAAGTTCTGGAGCAGTCTGAATTATTCCTCTTACTCAGGGGTAAAGACACACAGGCTAGCACCCTGCAGCCCCAGCTGTGCCCCTTCTTGCTTCTGGGTTGTCAGGGAAGACCAGGTTTTTGCTGTTTTGCAGCCCATGTCAAAGACCTGACCCTGAATTTTGCTGGACTCAAACCTCTCACTCCTCCCTCTGCTCTCTTCAGTTGGTTTCATTGCCAGCCCCTCTCCATGTCAAGAGCTCTACCCATAGGGATGTTCCCACACAGATGGGCGTCTGGCTGGAGTCCATGTCTGACACCTCCCCGGTGGAGAAGGGCCTGGCAGTCTCTCTCCTCCAGCTCCCCAGTCCTAAGGGCTCCCACACTCCTTGCCTGATACTCCATGCTCTCCCTTCTCTCCTCAGTCTTGTGATTAACATCCTTGCCATTCTCTGCTAGGCCAAGAGGTGTGTTGGGAGTGTGTCTCTAGCCCTGGGCAGATGTAGCACTGACAGGAAACACCTGTCTATAGGGTCGATCTAAGGGAGACCATCTTGGCATCTTCTGCAGCCTTCAGAGCAGAGGTTCTTCACTGAGGAAAGAAGGTAGTCAGGGAAGAGAGGCTTTGTGGTTAGGGCTTTGCTTGCTCTTTCAGTAGCTCAGGAAGAAGCTGCTGGGCCCCATCCAACAGGATTGCTGTGGGATACCACCCCCCACTGTCCAAGACCTTGCTCAATGCTTTTGCAAAGTATAGCGTGCGGGGGCACGTGTGGACTCTTTTGTAGATTTCTAAGGGCAACCCTCTTCTCAACAATAAGAACCCTGTTTCTCAAGGCTGGTTGGGGGAGGCATAAGAAGACAATTCAGGGAGGCTACTCTGGTCACTCAAAGACCCCAGCTCCCCTGATGAGGATCTGCAGTAACAGGCATTTCTCCAGATGTGCTCCTGGATCTAGCTCAACCCCAGGGAATAGTTGGTGGTCACAAAGCATTTGGCCAGGGTCCATCCCCCAGGTGTGGCTGAGTCAGCTTGGGAGGGTGGGGGTGAATATGGGGAGCCTGAGCTGAATCTGGGAGAGACTGGTTTGGAAATCCTTCGGGACTGAAGAGGGAGAAGGGCAGGGCAGGGAGTATCCCCACAGCAACCTGGCTGGGAAGGTTTCAATAGCTGCCTCCTGAGCAACCACAGTGACCCAACCACAAGGCCCCCTCTTCCCGGCCACCTCCTTTTCTTCCTGGTAGGGTGTGTTGTTGCCAAGACAATGGGGTCCATGGCTCCTCTCTCCTGCCCCACCTTGAGGCCAGCCAGGCCAAGGCAGGGCAGGGATTCCATGGAGGGGGGCTGGGGTGCAGCTGTCTGCTGGTGTCTGGGTGGGGGCCAGAGAAGTGAGCACAGTCGCAGCTGGTGCCATCCTCCAGCTGCACCTTATCTGTCCCTGGCAGTGGGAGCAGCTGATGTGGCCAGAATGCTGAGCAGCAGCAAGGGGAGGGGGCTGGCAGATGGTCACCCAGTCTGCCCTATGCCACCCCCTCCTCCGCTGAGACCTAGACCCTTTGCCTAGCGGAGAGAGAAGCAGGAATTCATTTCTGGGGCCTGGAAGAGAAGGAAGAGGAGGACAGAGTGGAAATGCTGGGGTGGACATGTGGTGTGACTCATAATCTCTCTCAGGAGGGTGAAATTGGGGGACAGGAATCCCTGGGAGGGGTCCACAGGAGTCCTTCTCAGGACCCTGGATTGGAGACCAGAATCTCCCAGGGAAGAGGTGGAGTGAATGGGGATGAGCACAGAAGCCTCCCCTGCAATCCACTGCTAGGTTCTGAAGGGGCCCGGGCATCCCCTGGAGCACCTAGGGAAGTAAGATGCTGCAATGAGAGGTGGCTGTGGGCGCCTGATCCTGGGACCCAAAGTGGGGAGAGAGAAGTCATCTTAAAGCAGGAGAGCCAGGGATGGCAGTGCCCAGCAAGAGCCAGGACTAGCATGGAGTTTATTCATCCCTAGGGCTCACCCCTCATCCCCACACCCCATGCTGCCCCATAGAAGCTCAGACCAGAAGTCCCTTGGGAGGGCCTGACCTTACTACTGGGGTCTGCACCCTCCAGCTAGGCAGGGAGTGGAGGGGCTGCTGAAGGGAAAGGCTGCCCAGACTGCCATGCAGACAGGGGAAGGGGAATCTTGGGCAGCCCCACCCAGAGGCCTGGTGGTCTTCATGGGTGGGAAGGGGGAACATGCACAGATTGCAGAGGGATAGAAGAGGCCGACCTGGAGACAGTAACTTTAGAGGAGGGGTTCATGGGGTTCATGAACTTTGGGGGAAGGGTTCCTGCCCTAGGGGTTCATGGCTACCACCTCCTGCCTTATCCTTCTCATCTGTCCCTCTCTCCTAGGAAGTGCCTAAACTGAACACAGGTGGGTGGAGAGAGGAGATGGGAGCAGAGCCCATTGCAGTTGCAGGAATCCAGTGGGTGGTCCCTGGGTTGGGGTCTCAGATGTCTCCTTTTGCCTCTCTCTCAGACACAGATACACACAAACATCCTTCAGGTAGCCCAATTTCCTCTCTCACCTCTTCCCCTTCTCCCCAGACCCCAGCCATTTCTGACTCCATCCCTCTCTCAGACAGCTATCAGCTAAGAACTACTCTAAGCTAATTGACCTGGGGGCTGTTGGCTAAAGCAATAGGGAATTCAGTAACTAAGTGCCTCTGGGGGCCAAGCCTGGAAGTGGAGGGCTGGGGAGGAGCACCTCTAAGTCTTGGGACTTTGTCACTGCCCAGCTGGTGGAGAACTCCTGGATATGGCCACTGCATGCCCAGTGTGTCCTGGAGGCAGAAGGGCAGGCCCACAGAGAGGCTTGGAATGTTCTGCTGTGGATGGAGGTTGCTTCTGAGTGTGTTTCAGTTTTGTGGAAAGTAATTTCAATTCTCTGGGGATAGCGAGGGAGACAGAATATTCAGAATGAGAAGCTGGGATTAGGGGAGCGTTAAGCTCCACTGGATTCATTCCCATAGCAGACAGTGCCACTTCCATGTGCCAGGTCCTGCGCTGGGGCAGTTAAGTGCAGCACGGAAGGTTCAGGGCTGAGAGCCATGGGGGTGGTACTAAAGGGGGCCCAGTGGGGTGGGCTTCAGAACAAGGGGGAACATGCTGGGGATGAGCAGACTCTCAACATCCAGGGGGAGTCCTCCCAATCTCCCCAGCCAAACTCAGCCTCTCGGAAAATGCCAGGTTCATAGAATATGTTGGTGTCTCCCCAGCTAACTAAATCAACCGGCCAATTCTCTCCGGCCATTCTTCCGCCTTGGCCAACCCCTGCCCACCCCCACCCCCAAGCTTTCCCTCACTTGTATGTTTGGGGTGGCCAATGCAGAAGCCTCTACCTTCTGACCTATAACGTCCCAGTCAGGACCCTTAGGTGTGCATTCTGGGAGGCAAAGCTGGAAGGAGACAGCGAGAATGAGAAGGGGTGCCTAGCTGGGTGGAGGATAGGACTGGGCATTAGGGCTCCTGGTCTCTATTTTGGGCAAAGTTCCACCTGGCCCCACTTCTTAGCTTCTAAGCCCAATCTCCTGTAAGGAGGTTGTAAAATTATTCTTTATTGAGGGGCAGTCCTTCCTCTGGGACTCTTTGGCCAAGCCCACGGTGCCCCATGTGTAATGGATGTGCAGCGCCAACCTACCTGGACACAGGAATTGGACATCTTCCTCATAGAATATTTAAAAATGATCATGAAGCTGCTGTGTATTCACTTGAAAGGGAAGTTCCCTTAAGGAACTGTAAGGACAGACACTGCCACCCCAGGCTCTCCAAGGCCACTCTCCAGGGAGAGGGAGGGTCAATTGTGATCTTTCTGAGATCCCATGAGTTCTTGGATAGAAAATGCTTTCCCACCCTTCTGCATGCCCTCTGTGTGGCTGACAGTTCTGGGGGCCCAGGAGGTTGGGCTGTGCAGCTTAGTGCCATGTGTCTCTAGTTGGTGTCACACCAGCATGCCAGGCTGAGAACATCCCTGGGGGTGAGACTGTGGCAGTGGCCTTGGCCATGGACAGCAGCCATCTCAGACTTCCTCACAACACCCTCATCACATATGCGCCCCGAGCATGCAAGCACACATGTGCACCTCTGTGTGTGTCTGCAGGGGAGTGTGAATGTAGAGTGTGAAGTGGAAGCATGTGGAGGTGTATGGGGGCCCATGCAGCTTGGTGTGTGTGGCTGTGAGAGAAAGCTTCTGTGTAGGCAAACCTCTGGTTGCATGCAGAGCACATACTAGCAAAATTAATCATCTCTTTCAGTTGTGCTTTGCAATTTACAAATTCCCTTTACTTTAGCTCACGTGATCTTCATAATTCTTGTAGGAAGGAAATTATTAACATCTTCATTGGAAAGATGGGAAAACTGAGGCTCAGAGGAGTTGTGTGACTTGCCTGAGGTCACACAGCTGGGAAATGACAGAGTGGGACCCTGACTTCAGATCTTCTAAGTCCGGGTTCTTTGTGTGTGGCTGTAGGAGTGTGTATGGAGGAGGGTGCTCTGTTGAGAAGCAGTGTGGAGAGGCAGGAAGGGCAAGAAAGGGTATAGAGAAGAGACCCTAGGAATCCCGTTCCCAAGTTGAGTAGGCCTAGTTTTTTGATGCTTTTGTCTTTTCATTGCATCATCAGGCCAAGTGCCAATCTTAGGTGAACCCACCACTGGCTTTCCCCAGGGTCACACCAGGGCAGTCAGGACCTCCCTGAGGAAGTCACATACCAGGGCAGCTTAGTATCACATTGCGTTCATGCTCAACATCCTTAAATGGGCGTGCAGTGCTGCCTGGCAACCCCACTGTGTTTTCCTGGTCAGCTTGCTCTCTCTGATGACTACTTCGAACTTCTCCACTCTTCTCAGTCACCCTTCCTAGCTCCTCTCTCACCCTCAGCGGATGACCTTGGCTACCACTTACTTCACTGAGAAAATAGAAGCCTCAGACAAGATCTTGTCCTTCTTCTGGGTACCAAGCCCTAGAAGGGAACATTCATCTTATCTAGGATAAAGTCTCAACCTAGAATTTTCATCTTATTCCCTCTGCCTTTTTAAGATCTTTCTCCTGCTAATTCTGTCTCTCCCTGCTCTACAGTTGGTCGCTCTTTCTCAAGTGAAACCCCATTGACAATGAAACATGCTGAAGATGCTCTTGTCTTAAAATACATAGCTGTAACGACAGCTAACATATATTGAGAACTTGCTATGTATCGGTCTTTGTGCTAAGATAAAAACTAAAACATGTGTCTCTCAACTCCACAGCACCTGCCAGCTCCTATAGTATCTCTCTGCTTCCCTTTACAAAGTTCCTAAAAGTGATATGTTTATTTCACTGTTTCTATTTCCTCATCTCTAACTCACTTTCTGATCCACTCCAGGCTGCCTTCTTCCCCCATCATCACCATTCCTCCTAAATGGTTCTAGCTAAGGCCAGTGGTCACCTTCATGTTGCCGAATCCAGCAAATATTTTTTTTATTATTCTTGATCTCTCAATAGCATTTAAAATAGTTGCCCACCAACTCTTCTGCTGTTGTTTTTTTTTTTTTTTTGAGACGGAGTTTTGCTCTTGTTGCTCAGGCTGGAGTGCAGTGGCACCATCTCAGCTCACTGCAACCTCCGCCTCCTGGGTTCAAGCAATTCTCCTGCCTCAGCCTCCTGAGTAGCTGGATTACAGATGCGTGCCACCATGCGCGGCTATTTTTTTGTTGTTGTTGTATTTTTCGTAGAGACGGGTTTTCTCCATGTTGGTCAGGCTGGTCTTGAGCTCCCGACCTCAGGTGATCCGCCTGTCTCGGCCTCCCGGAGTGCTGGGATTACAGGCGTGAGCCACTGCGCCCGGACCCCACCACCTCTTTTTTGAACTATTCGCTTTCCTGACAATCATACTCTCTTTGTTTTCCTCCTATGTCTACCCACTCCTCTGTCTCTTTGCCAGTTCATTTTCTTCTACTTGGCCATTTAGTGTCATCACTACTCAAGGCTCAGTCTCAAGCTTTAATCTTCTTTTAAATCATAAGAGTACAATGCACCAGCTTGAAAAATTTTTACACTGGTATGTCTTACAGTGTAGTATTTTGCATATTGCATTGGTATAAAACATTTCCAGTACCCCAGAAAGTTCCTTCAGGCTGTTTCCTAGTCAATGCTACCCCATAAGAGTTAACCACTGTTCTAACAGTATAGATCAATTTCCCTCATTCTTGAACTTCTTGGAGTATATGTATCCTCCATACAGTGTATACTCTTTTGTGTCTGTTTGTTTTGTTTTGTTTTGCTTGTGATTACGTCTGTGAGATTTAGCCATGTTGTTGTGTGTGGAAGTGGTTAGTTCTTTTTTGATGCTGTATAGTATCTCATTATATGAATATGCCACAATTGATCCATTCTACTGATGCTAGACATTTGGGTTGTTACTAGTTTTTGGCTCTTATCTATAAAGCTACTATGAACATTTTTGTTCATGTTTTTTGGTTGATATATGCACTCATTTCTCCTGGGCACATGACTAGCTATGGAGCTATGGTTAAGTCATAGGGTATGATTCTGTTTAGCTTTAGTGGATACTGCCAAATCAGACCTTTTTTTCTATCTTTTTTTTAAACTTTATATTCTATTCTTGGGCAGTCTCATCTTCACTCATCACTTCAATTACCATCTACACACTGACAACTGCCAAATTTATGTCTCAGCCCAGCTCTCTCCTCTTAGCATCAGCTCCAGTCGCCAATTTTCCCACTTAACGTCTCTACTTGGATGTCCCTAAGACTCCTCAAAACCTGCATGTGCAAAACCAAAGTCATCATCTTACCTCCCAAACTAGTTCTTTACCTGTGTGCCTGATCTAGTGAGCCACCCACTGTTCACCCCGTCATGCAAACCAGAAATCATCCCTGACACTCCATCTCCCTCACCTGCCTTGACAGGATCTGCCAATTTTGCCTCATAAACATCTCCACTCTACCCCCTGTTCCGGCCCATCCCACCACTGCATGTCTCTTTGGGCCACGGCAATGGCTCCTCGACAGGCCTTCCAGCAGCCCTTCTATATCCTTCACTCTGCAGCCAGAGTGGTCTTTTCAAATCAAAGCTCTGATCACTTGAACGCCTTCCATGGGGAGTCTTTCATTGTCCCTCAGCCAGAATCCTCACCGTGGCCTTTAAGGCCCTGAGTGACCTGGGTCCTCCCTGCCTTTACCCACCTCTCCAGCCACACTTGCCCCTTCTCATCTCTCTCCTTCCAGGCCTTTGCATACACTCAGTTCTCTCTCTGGAATATCCTCCCTCCTCCACAGCGGTAAGCGCTAGTGCGCACGTGCACACACACAAATATATACACACACACACCATTACCTAATTACTCCTCTTTATTTATTTTTTATTTTATTTATTTATTTATTTATTTATTTATTTATTTATTATTTAATTTATTTTTTTGAGACAGAATCTCGTTCTATTGCCTGGGCTGGAGTGCAGTGGTGCAATCTTAGCTCACTGCAACTTCCACATCCTTGGTTCAAGCAAGTCTCATGCCTCAGCCTCCCAAGTAGCTGAGATTACAGTCATGTGTCACCATGCCTGGCTAATTTTTGTATTTTTAGTAGATAAGGGGTTTCACCATGGTGGCCAGGCTGGTCTTGAACTCCTGGCCTCAAGTGATCCGCCCATTTCAGCCTCCCAAAGTGCTGGGATTACAGGCATAAGCCACCGCGCCCAGCCTCCTCTTTATTCTTTAGACTGTAATTCAAACATCATTTCCTCAGAGAAAGCTTCCTTAATTCCCCAGTCTGGGGCAAGTCCCTCTGTCATTCACTCTGATAGAGTCATTTTTTTTTTTCATAGCACTTATGGTTTGCAATTAGATATTTGTTTTTTTCATTTTTGAATTGAGGTCTGTCTTCCCTGTTCGACAGTAAGCTCCATGAGGGCAGGTCCATGATGTGTTCTCCACTGTGTCAATGAGTAAATGCAAGAATGAAGAAGCAAGGGATTTGGAGACAGATGACCTCATTCCAGCCTCCAGCCCACTTCTTGCTCTCCCTAAGACTTGAATAGGCTGGTGTGGCTCAGTTTTCTCACTTGTCAGATGGGAATGAAGTTACTCAAACCTGCTTATTTCACTGGGTTGTGTGAGGATCCCATGAGATAACAATTGAAAACCATGAAGCATTACACAGACATGAGGGGTGGCTGGAATGAAGAAAGGGATATAGAAAAAGTCAGAAACCACTCAGCACACACTGCTAAAGAGAAGGTCTGGGTGGGGGGCGCTGTATGCTTGGACAGAGGGTTCAGGACTGAGTGCAGCTCTGTGTGTGTGTCTGCTTGGGCACCTCTCCAGGGGCCCTCTGTGTATGCCCTTTGACACTTTCCTCATCCCCCAATTACTTGAACAAGATGAAGATGGGAAAGAATGTTAGAAGAATAAGCATTTGTTTGAACAAGCATACAGGCGATGGAGGAGAGAGGACATGCAGTTGGGTGTGTGTGTGTGTTGGGGTGTGTGCGTGTTGGGGTGTGTGTGTGTTGGGGCGTGTGTGTGTGTGTTGGGGTGTGTGTGTCGCCCCACACCAGGGCTGCGTGTCTGTGTGGTAATGTGCAAGTGTGCAGTGTGGTCTTGGTTGCTGTGGGGGAAGAGGTATTCAGTTGCACCCAACTTACTGTCCTTTGGCACTGTCTGTGCGTGCACACCCTTGTCTTTGCTGGGGCTCCCAAGCTGGAAGCTCCCGCTGCCTTAGCTGCTTCCTTCTGGAAATCAATCTACTTCCCCTTCCAAAACATCTGAAGGAGGGGGACAGTGCCCTCTAGTGGGAACGCATGGGCAGCTGCAGCTTCCTCAGCCCAAGCCTCAGCCCCACTCCACCCAAGTCTGGAAGTCCTCTCTGAAGCACTTCCTGGGGAATGCAAAGGAGGAGGCCCCTGCCCTCTGAGAGCTCAAGATCTGGCAGGCAGGAAAAAGATACACACAGGACAGGACACACAGGTTCATGCAGGAGAAGCCTGAGGACAGCAGCTGAAGGTGGGGGAGTCTCTCCTCATCTCTGCAATGACTTATCTCTGGTTGCCCTGGGTGTTCCTGGCCTTCCTTGCTTCCTGTTCCTGCACATGGTCTCTTGGTCCTGCTCTTTTGCTCTCGGTCATTACTCATAGCTGTAGGGCCTTGAGCAGAACTGGACCCTTTAGTCTATTCCCTGGGTGGGCACTAACAGCACCCTGTGGAGTCGGGAGGATTCTTGGAGGAGGTAACATGTGAGTAGGATCTTGAAAAATGAGTAGGAATTCTCCAGATGGAGTCCAGGGAAGGCACAGGACTGTGGATGAGCCTCGTGTGTCTGGGGACAGGTGGTGGTGGCTGGATGCTGGCCTGAGGTGGAGGGTACATTGCTTTCAGCTTTTTTTTTTTTTTTTTTGAGACGGAGTCTTGCTCTGTCCCCCAGGCTGGAGTGCAGTGGCTCAGTCTCGGCTCACTGCAAGCTCCACCTCCTGGGTTCACACCATTCTCCTGCCTCAGCCTCCCGAGTAGCTGGGACCACAGGCGCCTGCCAGCACACCTGGCTAAATTTTTTTGGTTTTTTTTTTTTGTATTTTTAGTAGAGACAGGGTTTCACTGTGTTAGCCAGGATGGTCTCGATCTCCTGACCTCTTGATCTGTCCACCTCGACCTCCCAAAGTGCTGGGATTACAGGCGTGAGCCACCACGCCTGGCTGCTTTCAGCTTTGTGGGGCTACAAGAGAGGACTAAATTTTGCCAGGAGGCAGTGGGGAGTGAGAGAAGGTCTTTACTTTTTTGAGATGGAGCCTTGTTCTGTCGCCCAGGCTGGAGTGCAGTGGTGCGATCTCGGCTCACTGCAACCTCCGCCTCCCGGGTTCAAGCGATTCTTCTGCCTCAACCTCCCAAGCAGCTGGAACTACAGGTGCGTGCCACCATACCTGGCTAGAGAAGGTCTTTAAGCAGAAGAATGGTCAGAGTCACACAACTCGAACTAAAGGTGGGGAGAAACTGCAGGGAGGCAGGGAGACCAGTTGAGAGGCTGTTGTTTAGGCAAAAGAGGAGGGCAGTGGCAGAAAGAGGAGGACAGTGGCTGTTGTTTAGGCCAGTCTGAGGGCAGTGGCAGAAGGATGGAGAGGGGCTAGAGCTCAAGACTCTGCTTCTGAGGCCTCTTTGTCCCTGGCAGCAAAGCTGAGGCCAAAGGTTCCACATCACTCAGTTCTGCTAGAACCTGACACCCTGCCTCACATCCCCAACACACTCTAGGGTCTCTGCAAATGGAGAAGGGAAGATGGTGGGAGCAGGGAGGGAGAAGAGAGGAGGAGGAAGGGGAACATGGCCTGGGGCTAGGGGATGCTTAAGGAATGGGGAGGCCCAAGCAGACCCACCTAGCCCCGGTCTAGCCCCACTGCTCCTCCTCTGGCCCTGCAGAGAAAGCATTAATCTGCTATACCTCCCTCCCCCGCTTCCCCTCCTCCCCTCGGGTCACCTTCTTGGCCCTGGAGACTTGGCTGATGGCTCAAGTTCCTCAACCAGTGGCCCTGAGTAATCAGAACACACAGAGGGGCCAGGGGCCTGGGGGCAGGGAATGGTAAATTAGCGGTAGGGGAGCCTCAGAGACTGAGGCCGGGAGTCTGCAAGGCTGAGGGTTTTGGTGGGAACCCCAAGTTGGTTCCCAATACTCTCTACCTGACCCAGGTCCCCCTGCCCCACCCCCAGCACTGATCTCAATTTCTTCCACCCACCAGAGAATTCCTCGAACAAACTAAACTGTTCGGGGGGCGGGGGGCAGGCCAAAAAGGGTAGTGGTGATCTGCCAGGAAGCTTTCCCACTGCAGGAGACAGGGTCCCTCCCCCTAGTGCCGGGAACTGGTCAGAAATGAGTCTGTGGTCAGTGAGAGACTGCTGCTAATGGAACCTGGGCTGGCCCACAAGCCACAGGAGGGGTAGGGGAGAGGAAAGGAACCAAAATACATCTCAGCATAGGTGGGTAGGACGAGGGCTGGTAATGCTGTCCTGAAATAGAGCTGGGGCCAGGGAGGGAGGGGAAGAGAAACAGGGTCGGGGACTGGAATTGGAGGTCTGAGAGAGTACCTGGTGGTGGGGCACGGAGGGGCTCAGGTATCCCAGAGGAATAACTGGACGAGGGAGAATAAGGGAGAGGACCCAGAATTGGGATGGGGACACTGAGGGATATGCTGAGGAACAGATTGGAGGATGACAGAGAGCATGAGTGTGTGTTGTGTGTGTCCTGGGGGGGTAGGGACTGTGGTCGCTGTGATCATCATGGCAGTGGGTGCAAAGGATGGTGCTAGGTCCCGTCTCACCTGGGAGGGGTGGGTTCCAGGAATCCCAGCCCTAGGCTTTTCCAGGGTTTCCACTCTGTCCTAAACCCTCTCTGTGCTGCCGGAGCTGGTGACAGGAAAGGGGCTCCAGCCCCCTGCTCTCCATCAGCCTCCCTTTCCCACTGCCATCAATTATTCATCAGCCCAGACACCCGCCCTCCCTGGCAGGGCAGGCTGGTCCTCCTCCCATGCCCCGCCCCAGCCACACTGCCACAGAGGCCCTGGTGAGGAAGGACGGCCAGCTGGGCTGAGATACCTGGCTGACGGGCTGGGTGGCTGGCTCTGCCGGACTCTGCCTGGAGTCACATCGCCTTCCCCTCTGGCACCTTCCCCCTTCCTCCTGCAAATCCCTGGCACCAGGAAGCCCCTGGAGAAAATGCCCATCCAGATCTTCTGCTCCATGTCATTCTCCTCTGGAGAGGAAGCCCCAGGGCCCTTGGGAGATATTTGGGGTCCCCACCACCATCAGCAGCAGCAGGACATCTCAGAATCGGAAGAGGAGGAAGAAGAGAAGGAAAAGGAGGCAGTGAGGAAGGAGGCCAGTGAGGGGCATTCACCCATGGACTTGGTGGCCTTTGCCAACAGCTGCACCCTCCATGGCACCAACCACATTTTTGTGGAGGGGGGTCCAGGGCCAAGGCAGGTGCTGTGGGCGGTGGCCTTTGTCCTGGCACTGGGTGCCTTCCTGTGCCAGGTAGGGGACCGCGTTGCTTATTACCTCAGCTACCCACACGTGACCCTTCTAAACGAAGTGGCCACCACGGAGCTGGCCTTCCCGGCAGTCACCCTCTGCAACACTAATGCTGTGCGGCTGTCCCAGCTCAGCTACCCTGACTTGCTTTATTTGGCCCCCATGCTGGGACTGGATGAAAGTGATGACCCCGGGGTGCCCCTCGCTCCACCGGGCCCTGAGGCCTTCTCTGGGGAGCCCTTTAACCTGCACCGCTTCTACAATCGCTCCTGCCACCGGCTGGAGGACATGCTGCTCTATTGCTCCTACCAAGGGGGACCCTGCGGCCCTCACAACTTCTCAGTGGTGAGTGGAGCCCCATGCCTGCCACAGTACCCCAAGAGTGTCTGCCATGGCTGTCCCTGACTGTCACCTCCTGGGGTTGGGGCTGGGGCTGGGGCTGGGGCTGATGACTGTGCTGCCCCCTACCTCATCTGGCTGACACAGGCCAGAGCTCACCCAGGAGTCCGGGGCCTGGAGCTGGGCTGGTATTCCCAGGTCCACACCAGTGCTGCTTTTCCTGTTAGAATCTTGAAACACGTCTGTCTTAGTTGGTATTTTGCTGCTGCCTCCCAACATGTCCTCCAGCTTTACCTGCCCTTCTCAAGACTTCCTCATGGTCCAGCAGGGCCCGGGACCTTGCTCCATCTGTGAGGTCAACCTTTGATCTGTTGGTGGACGCCAGTGCCTGGCCAGTTGTTCACTATTTTGACTAGCACCCATGGACTGAAGCTGGGGTGGGTGCTGCCTGGTCTCTGGTGGTACAAGAGAAGGGAGTGAAAGGGTGACAGTAGAGGGGTGGGGATATCCCCCAACCCCACCCCACCATGGCCCTTGTCAGCATCTCCTGCAGCAGGGACTTCATTGCATCTTCACTTGGTCTTCCTGTGCCCTCCTATGGACGCCCCACCCCCACCAGCTCTGTGTGTGTGTGTGTGTGTGTGTGTGTGTGTGTGTGTGTGTGTGTGTCTGAGGGTAAATAACAGGTCTCTAAATCATATCCCTCTCCCCAGCTTTAAGTGGCCAGGGACCCTCTTCCTAGGGGAAGCTCTCACTGGGAACTGTCCTTCTGCTTGGCCCCCCACCCAGGGGTCCAGGGCTTTCCCTGCTGGGGGGCCACCTGGTACCCCACTGTCTCTCCTAAGTTCATCTTCCAGGTCTGTCTGGCCTGACTGCTCTCCTGCCCCACCAGCTCCCAGATGCCAGGCCTTCCCTGCCCCACACACCCATCCCTCAGTCCTCCACCCCCTCCCTAGCGTAGGGGCAGGGGGTGTCATCATACCCGTGCATCATGGGATGACTGCAGGCATACAGGGGCCTGGGGGTTTGGGCCACTGGGCCTCAGGCCAGGAGCCATAGGAATGTGTCTACCTCTGGGCCCGAGAGTAGAGCAGACAGTTCTCACCCAGGCCCACCAGGTGGCAGCAGCAATCCACTGTACAGCAGCCCTGTCCTCTGAACCGGCGCAAGACAGGGCTGCTAGCCGGCCTCAGACACCTCTAATCCCATACAACTCCGGATGGAGTGTAGGCATGGGCATATGTCCAGCCTGGAGCCTGTGGCTGGGTGCCGCAAGACCTGGTCATGGGGCTGGGGACTAGGAGCCCTTGGAGTTCTCTCTTTGCCTCATCTCTGGACCTCACCCACAAAGTGGGGAGAGCAGTATGTCTCCTCTTCTGGAGGTCAATGGAGGAGGCTGTTCTAGGAAGGGGGAAGGGGGCAAAGACCGTATTCCCTAGTAACCTACTGCCATTGCTGCTCCAGTCTGGCCTGAAACTCTTTTGTCTCTCCCCTGCTCTGGGCTGTATTGACTCACCTTATGACCTGTTTTGTGGACTTTGTCACCATCCAGCAGTAGTAAAAGCACAGCCACCCCAACTTGGGGACATTCAAGGAGGCTGTGGGGAAAAGGCCAAGGATAACTGGTTTACTTTTCTCTTTGCAGCTTTTTAATCAGCACTGTGACCAGGGCTGCACTGGGGCATGGAGTGGGGAGAAGACTGGGGAGACAGCCCCTGGGGCTGAGATATCTTCTGAGGCCCTCCTAGTTTTGCAAAAGCATTAACGCACACACCATGCCCTGGGGGCTCAGTCCCAAGTGCTGGAAGAAGAGGTGCTGGTGCTTGGTTGAGTGTGGTCCTTGGCATGGCAACTGGGTCTACTTTCAGGTTCTGCTGATAATGGGATAATGGAATAATGATGGACCCAAGGGGCTAGGGGCTGAATGAAACCAAAAAACTGAGTTTGGCTGGGCACGGTGGCTCATGCCTGTAATCCCAACACTTTGGGAGGCTGAGGCAGGTGGATCACCTGAGGTCAGGAGTTTGAGACCAGCCTGGCCAACAGGGTGAAACCCCATCTCTACTAAAAATACAAAAATTAGCCGGGTGTGATGTTGTGCACTTGTAATCCCAGCTACTTGGGAGGCTGAGGCAGGAGAATCACTTGAGCCCAGGAGGCGGAAGTTGCAGTGAGCTGAGATCGCACCACTGCACTCCAGCCTGGGCAACAGAGCAAGACTCCATCCCAAAAAAAAAAAACTGAGTTTGGGTCTTGGGGAAAGCAGAATTTCAGATTCCCAGAGTGAAATCTAGGAGAAGAGAAGATATGTCTTGGAGGGCCTCAGGAGCTTGGGCCTGAGGAAAGTGTCCCAAGGAGGGGCCGTGTTAGGATCCTGGTGATGAAAATGTATATGTCAGGGTCCTGGCAGGAAAAAGACAGCTACTTGATGATTTAATTGAAGACTTTAACAAAGGGACTGCTGACAGAGCTGGGGGCAGGGTTAAGGAAACCAATAAGGGGGACTGAGGCAGTGAGCAGTACTAGGAAATCGTTATCACTTCTAGGCTGAAGAAGCACAAAAGAAGACAGTGCTCTGTAGGGAGCCCTGGCAGGATCTGTAATCATGGAGGGCCTAAGGCACTACTAGAGCTACAGAGGGGCGAGGGCTGGGGAAGGATTCATACCCCAATCTTTCCTCCTGCCTTCTGAGCCATTACCAATACCTCCCAACTGTCAACCCCAACTAGAAGCCCATGCAGGTGGCAAAGGAGCTCAGGCGATGCACCCTACCAGGAACAGTTTTCCAGGGCACACAGAGGGCAAGAAAGGGTGAGAAACAGGTGGGAGAGGGGAGCAAATGGAGAATGGGCTGCACGGGAGGAACCATTCCCAAAGGGTGTTGAGATTCCAACAGCTGGGGTGGCTAGGAACAGCCCTTGGTGAGTAGAGGGTGCTGGCAGGACTCTTAGGCTCTCCACTCTGCCCTCGCCAGGTCTTCACACGCTATGGAAAGTGCTACACGTTCAACTCGGGCCGAGATGGGCGGCCGCGGCTGAAGACCATGAAGGGTGGGACGGGCAATGGGCTGGAAATCATGCTGGACATCCAGCAGGACGAGTACCTGCCTGTGTGGGGGGAGACTGGTACGTCACCCACTTCAGGGGCCCCTCTGCATGGCTCTAGGCCCCAGCCTCTGCCAGGGGATTCCTGGGCTTCACTGTGAGACCTGGGCAGGGCCCGGGCTTTCCCCTCTCCCTCCAGCATCTCACCATCTCTATCACTGACTCTACCTGACTTCCACACTCACATCTCTCTGGCTCCCACTTCCTGGTTCAGTTACTCTCCAAGGTAACCAGCCATCCTCTTCCATCAACGCCGCCGCCACTCTATAAATAACTCCCTCTCTTCTCGGGCTGCCTGCCTGTCTGGTCTCGGGGGGCCTTGGGGCAGAGAGAGATGGGGGAAAAGGGAAAAAGGGAGTGGGAGAAATGGAGAGCATCTGAAACAGTGACACTCTGGGAGAAAGTATTTGAAACATCAAGATGCAGAGCAGAAGCCAGGTAAGAAAAGAAGTGTGTAGGATACAGGGGTCATCGGAGCAGCTCAGAGCTGGTAAACCCAGAAGGAGGCTAGGGGGTGGGCTAGGACCCTATAGACTTCCCCCACCCCAGCCCCAGTGCACCCTATGCTTATTTCCAGGAGAGGTAGGATGCCCCCAGGTCTGAGGGGTGTTAGGGAGTCAGGAGCCCTCCCAACCCACACACTCCTCATTCCCCTAGACGAGACGTCCTTCGAAGCAGGCATCAAAGTGCAGATCCATAGTCAGGATGAACCTCCTTTCATCGACCAGCTGGGCTTTGGCGTGGCCCCAGGCTTCCAGACCTTTGTGGCCTGCCAGGAGCAGCGGGTGAGAGGGCCATGGGAGGCTGGTCCTGGGGTGGGGTATTGAGGGGTCCAGATGGAGTGGTGGGCAATCAGTAATGGGAAGGACAGGTGAGCAAGGACCTGGGTGGTAATCTGGCTAGTCAGAAGCATGAGTGATCGAATGAACAAGAATGCTCTGTAAACTCTGAGACCTTTGGAGGCTGCAGAGGGAGAGGGGAGCAGAACTCCAGAGATCTGCATCTTGTCAGAGGAGTCCATCAAGCTGATTTGGGGAGAAGTCCCCGCACTCCCCCAGCTCCCCGGCTCTCCCAGCAGCTCATCTACCTGCCCCCACCCTGGGGCACCTGCAAAGCTGTTACCATGGACTCGGATTTGGATTTCTTCGACTCCTACAGCATCACTGCCTGCCGCATCGACTGTGAGACGCGCTACCTGGTGGAGAACTGCAACTGCCGCATGGTGCACATGCCAGGTCAGGCCTGGGGCTCCGAGCATACTCCTGGGGTCCCTGGGCCTTTGCTGCCCTTCACTAGCTCCCCATCCATATCAATCTCCCAACCCCAGTTCCAGCCCACCCCATCCCACACCCACCTGGCTCATGTCTCTCTGACCTCAGTTCCCGCCTGCACCCCCAGGGATGGGTGGGAAGGGTCTAGAAGGTATGGACCTGGAGTGGGTCACTTCTGGGGCAGCATGGGGGCCTGCCAGTCCTCCCTTCCCATCTTCTCCCAGCTTACACCTTCTAGGCCTTTGGTACTACCACCATCACCAGACCCCTTGAATTCCCATCCTGCATCATTGTCTTTTCTCCTCTGTAGGGGATGCCCCATACTGTACTCCAGAGCAGTACAAGGAGTGTGCAGATCCTGCTCTGGGTGAGCGCCCCTGGCCTGGGGCAGTCTGGGGGAGGGAAAAGGTGCTGCCAGCCACGTGCGCAGGAGTTTCAGGTCACGCTCCCAGAAGCCTCACATAACTCCTGGACTGGGCTGCACCCTCTCTTGTGTCTGACATTAAAGCTGAGAATGGTCAGTCATGGTGGCTTACACCTGTAATCCCAGCACTTTGGGAGGCTGAGGTGGGCAAATTGCTTGAGCCCAGGAGTTCGAGACCAGCCTGGTTTCATGGTGAAACCCTGACTCTATGAAAAATTAAAAAAAAATTATGTGGGCATGGTGGCATGTGCCTCTAGTCCCAGCTACTCTGGAGGCTGAGGTGGGAGAATTCCTTGAACCGGGGAGGTGAGGTTGCAGTGAGCCGAGATTGCACCACTGCACTCCAGCCTGGGTGACAGAGCAAGACCCTGTCTGAGAATAATAATAATAATCAATAAAGTTGAGAATAGCATCTTCAGAGGCCCCTATGAAAAATGAACAGAGGTCACCTGGGAATGGCCTTCATCTTCTTTCATCAGCCCCTCAGCTGGTTGACCCTGGAGGGTCCTGAGGAAGTGAGATATAAGAGTAAGAAATATCCATGGGGAGGCTTGGTGAGAATTAGCACATGGTAGACACAGCTGTGAGGGGGCAGCTGGGGTTCTCCTCACTCTCCTAGTTCTCTCCATCTACATCGTTGGTTCAGTGGCCTGCAGGGTTCAGCAGGTAAAGTCCTCAAACATGCCTCAGGCTGGATGGTGAGGTAGGATGTTGGCAGAGTTTAGCATCCAGGCAGGGTGAAGGGCAGGTCACGGAAAGAGAAAGGGGCCCAGAGTTTCTCTGGGCAGAGCTAGGATGTGCATGTGGGAAGGTGCTGGCAGAAGGGCACCACTCAACTGAGACCTCTCACCTGGCTGAGTGCAGACTTCCTGGTGGAGAAGGACCAGGAGTACTGCGTGTGTGAAATGCCTTGCAACCTGACCCGCTATGGCAAAGAGCTGTCCATGGTCAAGATCCCCAGCAAAGCCTCAGCCAAGTACCTGGCCAAGAAGTTCAACAAATCTGAGCAATACATAGGGTAAGGGCTCTGGCTGGGTAGAGCAAGGCCCTTGGGTTGGGACTGTGGAATGGATGAGTGGGGTTTGATGGGGGCGGGGGCTGGCAGGCAGGGGGAACTTGAGATAACACGGGGAAGGTCCAAAAGGCAAGCAAAGAGTCTAGGGTGGGTATGCAGGGAAGATCAAGCCAGAATAAGCAGGGAAGCACCCCTTTCTCCTCCTTCTTCATCCTCATTGTTGTAACCGGAGTCACTTTATACTTGATGCATACTGCATATGGTACAGAACATTTTTTCATATATGCCATCTCATTTAATCCTAAAAGGCAGGTATCTCCATCAGCATCTCATTTTATGGATATGGAAACTGAGATTCAGAGAGGCTGCCTTGCCAAGGTCACCTGGTTAGTAAGAGATAGAGATATGACTTGAACCTAGGTCTCCTCCCCCAATCCCTGTGCAGGGAGAACATCCTGGTGCTGGACATTTTCTTTGAAGTCCTCAACTATGAGACCATTGAACAGAAGAAGGCCTATGAGATTGCAGGGCTCCTGGGTGAGCTGCTGATGACACCTGTCCCCTTCTCATGCCATGGGCATGGCGTGGCTCCCTATCATCCAAAAGCAGGGTGCTCACTTCTGTCCCATGAGGGTCCTCCACCCCAGAGGCCCTTCCCCAAACCCTGTTGTCTTGGTAAGTGGTGAGGGAAGGGAACTGAGCCTTCTCTTAGGGCAAAGTGGAAAAGAGAAAAGACAGGCCTGTGGGCATGAGGGAGGGGTAGGCATGGAAGTGGAGACTATTTCATATGCCCCTAAACTAAGAGGGTTGTGGTATTTTGTAAACGATTATTTTTCTTGAAAAACACCTGCTTGTTTTAGAAAGGTAGAAAAACGCAGAAAAGCATAGAGAAGAAAACAAAAATTCCACCTGAATCTGGCTTTGCGATCCTTCTGTGCGAAGGCTACCAATCCCTTTGAGAATACAACTTGCCTGCCCCAGTCCCAGTAAACCCTGCTGCCCCCACGATGTCCTGACCCCACTGACCCCCCTGGCGCCTGCCCCCGCAGGTGACATCGGGGGCCAGATGGGGCTGTTCATCGGGGCCAGCATCCTCACGGTGCTGGAGCTCTTTGACTACGCCTACGAGGTAAGCGGGGGCGAGGCCCGGCACGGGGCCACGTGGGGGCGGGGTCCAGCCCGCCCACCTGCCCCGTCCCCGTCCTAGGTCATTAAGCACAAGCTGTGCCGACGAGGAAAATGCCAGAAGGAGGCCAAAAGGAGCAGTGCGGACAAGGGCGTGGCCCTCAGCCTGGACGACGTCAAAAGACACGTGAGGGAGCGAGCGAGGGCGCCCTCCAGCCCGCCTGTGCCTCCACCGCCCCAGGAACCCCGTCCACCCCCGCCCACCCGCCTCTGCCACCACCTTCTCTCCTTTGCCTCCCGAATGCCCCAGCACTACCTGAAGCCCTTCCGAGGGATAACCCGTCCCTGTCCTGTCCCCTTCCCCCAGAACCCGTGCGAGAGCCTTCGGGGCCACCCTGCCGGGATGACATACGCTGCCAACATCCTACCTCACCATCCGGCCCGAGGCACGTTCGAGGACTTTACCTGCTGAGCCCCGCAGGCCGCTGAACCAAAGGCCTAGATGGGGAGGACTAGGAGAGCGAGGGGGCCCCCAGCTGCCTCCTCACATCTGCCCTGGGGACTCCCCACACTCCGGGGCAGATCTTTCCTCTTGTCTGTGGTAAGGAAGGAGTCTTGACCATAGAGTCCTCTCTCTGCCTCTATCCCATTCTTTTTACATTTAACAAAACTAATCTAAAAAAGAACTAAAAAGGGAGAACGGGGCAAGGGACCTCAGGCTGCCCCTCTCTCCTCCATGCTGCCTCCCCTAGCTCCCAGCCTGAATTCTGTCTATCTAGCTGTCTGCCATCTGAGTGTCCATCTACATTCTGCTGCCACCAGTCACCAAAGGCCCTTCCCAGTGAGGGGTGGAAGGGATCTCTGGGGTCTGGAATTTGGCCCCAAACCAGAGAATGTACCTTAAGGGGGAGGGCTAGTGTGGGGGAGGGAGGCTTCCCCAGCCTTAAGAGACCCTCTCAGCCCAGTGACTGTCCCCAAACCCAAGTCTCCTGGCAGGAACTAAAACCTCAGCCCCACTCTCTCACACCATGTGGAATCTCGTGGGGGTCGGGGATCCCCTTAAGAAGTGGTAATGGGGACAAGATGCGGCCCTGGTGCTGTAGGCTACATCCTGATACCTATAAGTTCACCCCCACCCCACAGCTGCTGGAGAGAAATCCCAAGAGGCAGCCCTTCCTCACCATCCCATTAAAGACCGGGCTGGTTAGCGTCCAGCTCAGGGAGAAGGGCGCTAGTGCCTAACCTCACTGGTCCCTCTCCCGGAGGCCCTTGTAGAGGGCCACGTCCATAAATTTTCTTATGGAACTCTCCCACATCCTCTTCCCCAACTTCATTTGCTTCTCTCAACAACCTCATCTGCATTTTCTATTTCTATATGATACAGACTCTATATTGCTATATCTCTGTATATACTTTCCCAGCCCTGTCTGTCTCCACCCCATCCCCTCTTGTCTCTGAGAACCATTCTCCCACCCCAAGTTCCACCTTCTATGTTTCTACTCCCTCCCTGGTCTCTGAATGCCTTCGCCTGTATAAAGAGTTGGACTCTCTCCCCTGGTGTCTGTACTGTGTACACACATCCCTCTGAGAAGCACAAGGAGACGACACGCGCATTGTAACCTTTGCACTGTCTCAGTGGCGACAAAGGAAGCTGTGAATCACAAGCTCTGCCTCTTTCTGGCCTCACCCTCTCCCCCAACCCGGGCACCCTCGGCCCTCCCTGCAGCCTTAACATTCTCTTCCCCTGCTCCTCCTATCCCATTGCCCTCTGCCCAGCTGACAGTGGCATCCCCAGGGAAGGGGTTGCTGTAGAGATAGCCCCCACCCAGGGGATGGAGGTCTACCCTGGACACTAAGCCAAGTGTGTCAGAGACAGAAGGGAGCTGGGGATTGGCGACTCCTGAAGTTGGGGCAGTGGGATGCTGACAGGCAGAAGCTGAGGTCCTCAGTCAGTGGCCTTTCCTCCTTCTGGGTGCCCAGCCCCCTTTCCTCACCTGATACCCAAGCCCACCACTTTTATTTTCTGGTGAGGTGGGTTTGGGAGGAAAGAGAGGCCTAGAGGAGGAGTTGAAAGCTCTGCTGTTGTCTCACCCTATCTTAATGAGAGACAAGTGAGGTGGAGGGCCTGCCCCCCCTCCCTCCACCAGACACTCCTTCCAGGCCTGAGCCCCAACCCCTCTTCAGGCCTTCCTTCCCTAGCTGTGTCTTGGTCTTCAATCCCAGAACAGGACCTGTGAGCAGCTGCATTGGCCTGGAGCTGGAGAGTAAGGCTGTAGGATCTTTGGAATCTCTTGGTTCCTAAGAGTTTCCTCAGAGATCATACCTCCCCAGAGGGAAGCAGGAATGAGGCCAAAAAGTGTGCATTGGATAGGGGAACAGCAGGCAGGGCTCTGGGTGACGCATGCCTCTGGTCTAATAAACTGGGTTTCAACCATCTCCTCTTCAGTGTTGTTCTCTTATTTGAAAAAGTATTTAGATATTCTCACTAAGTGCCTAAAGCTGAGCTTGGTTTGGGGCCAATTAGGGGATGAGTAAGGAGAAGGTTTGAGTAGGGACACTGTGGTCCCCCTGGGATGGGACAGGCTGACCATTATATCAGGAATAGTTTGAACCACTGGGCAGGGAAAGAGGGAGAAGTCAAAGGCAACAAAGTTCCAAAACAGAATCCCCAATACAAAGGATGCTTTAGAGAGAGAGAGCAGAGTCAAAATTCAAGATAAACTGGAACTTATCATAAAATCTGGAAGCAGGCTGGCACGGTGGCTCATGCCCGTAATCCCAACACTTTGGGAGGCTGAGACAGGTGGATCACTTGCGGCCAGGAGTTCGAGATCAGCCTATGCAACATAGTGAAACCCCCATCCCTATTTTTTTTTTCTTTTTTGAGATGGAGTCTCGCTCTGTCGCCCAGGCTGGAGTGCAGTGGCGCGATCTCGGCTCACTGCAAGCTCCGCCTCCCGGGTTCACACCATTCCCCTGCCTCAGCCTCCCGAGTAGCTGGGACTACAGGCGCCCGCCACCACGCCCGGCTAATTTTTTTGTGTTTTTAGTAGAGACGGGGTTTCACCGTGTTAGCCAGGATGGTCTCGATCTCCTGACCTCATGATCCACCCGCCTGGGCCTCCCAAGTGCTGGGATTACAGGCATGAGCCACCGTGCCCAGCCCCCCATCCCTATTTTTTAATATTTAAAAAAAAAAAAATCTGAGGCCAGGCACAATGGCTCACACCTGTAATCCCAGCATTTTGGGAGGCTGAGGAGCACAGATCGCTTGAGCTCAGGAGTTCGAGACCAACCTGGGCAACATGGCGAAACCCCATCCCTACCAAAAATACAAAACAGTCTGGCATGGTGGTGCATGCCTGTGGTCCCAGCTACTTGGTAGGCTGAGTTGGGAGGATCACTTGAGCCTGGGAGGCGGAGGTTGCAGTGAGCTGAGATGGTGCCACTGCACTCCAGCTTGGGCGAGAGAGAGACAGACCTCATCTAAAAAAAAATAAAAAATAAAAAATAATAATCCGGAAGCAGGTTAGGTCAGAGAGAAAGTTAGGATGAAGTTCCCACGTGAGGTACTTATTGAGGCACTTTATCTGTGGAATGAGTCCCGGGCTATGAGCAAGGGTATCTGGAATCTTGGCTTCGGCTTTATGGCTAACTTGCTGGTTGACCTTTGCCAAGTCATTCACCTGTGAGTTCAGCTTTCCCATTTGTAAAATGGAATAAACTGTGTTTCCCTCCTCAGCCCCTGATAGTTATAGCAGTAAGAAAACGAAACGAAAAGCAGTCAAAGCGTTTTGGAAAGTTAACGCCATGCGCCAAGATGAAGCTATTACTCCAAGCCCCTCTTCATCAGAGGGCTCGAGTTGGGGTTGAGACTGGGGCTGAGGCTGTGGTCCGTCCCCCTTTCCAGGTCCTTGTCTTCCTCCCGTCGGCCTGGGGGCGCCCGCTCACGCGGCCTCTCTATTGCAGAGCTCTTCTCTATGGTTTTCCCTCCCGGACCGTGAAGGCGGGAGGGCGTGGCCAGCACGCCTTTTCCGCTAGTCGCCCCGCTCTATCCCATAGTCTCGCTGCCCTGAGCCTCCCGTGCCGGCCGGCCGGCCGGGGGAACAGGCGGGCGCTCGGGGGGCGCTCGGGGGGCGGGGGGAGTTCCGGTTCCGGTTCTTTGTGCGGCTGCATCGGCGGCTCCGGGAAGATGGCGGCCCGGGCGGGTTTCCAGTCTGTGGCTCCAAGCGGCGGCGCCGGAGCCTCAGGAGGGGCGGGCGCGGCTGCTGCCTTGGGCCCGGGCGGAACTCCGGGGCCTCCTGTGCGAATGGGCCCGGCTCCGGGTCAAGGGCTGTACCGCTCCCCGATGCCCGGAGCGGCCTATCCGGTGAGTGGGGCAGGAGGAGGGGCGCGCGGGCCGGGGGCGGGGCCGAGCGGGGACATGGGAGTGACAGGGGTGGGGGGAGAAGTAGGAGGGACTCCCTTGGGAGGGGTTCGGGCTCTGGGTGGGGGTTGGGGGAGGCAGTGCGCAGAAAGAGAGGGGGAGGCAGTTACACACCTGCTCCTAGGGGCATTGTTTCCCTGGGGAGTCGGTAGAGAACCTGGGTGGGTGAAGTGGGTCCAGGGATACCTGTATGAGGGCCGGAGTGCAAAGGGGCTTGAGCAGCTCCAGTGATCAGAGGAACACAGAACGTGTAGCTGACAAATTGAGGTCAGCTTCTAAAGAGATAGTAGCTAGCAGAGTAAATGTGGAACTGGCGATGTCCGATGTGTCCCATCCAAAATAGACTGAGAATTTGAGTATAATCTGGCTCTCGCTTAGCTTTTGGACTCTGTTTTTCTATGGAGTCACTACTGGAGCAAAGGGTTCTCCTCTCATTGTCCTCCATTCCATCCCTAAACCTTACTTCATTCAAAGATCTCAGGCGTTCCCTGCTTTTCTTTCTTGATGGGGTTTAGCAGGTGAAACCATGACATCTCTGGGTCCTCTCCCCTCTGTAGAGACCAGGTATGTTGCCAGGCAGCCGAATGACACCTCAGGGACCTTCCATGGGACCCCCTGGCTATGGGGGGAACCCTTCAGTCCGACCTGGCCTGGCCCAGTCAGGGATGGATCAGTCCCGCAAGAGACCTGCCCCTCAGCAGATCCAGCAGGTCCAGCAGCAGGCGGTCCAAAATCGAAACCACAAGTAAGATGATCCTGGGGCAGAGGGAGGGAGGGAGGGAGCCTGGGAGGACACAGGTGGTGGGAGTACCTGAACCAAGAAGTGGTGGTGCTGTGTCAGCAGATGGTGCTACAGAACTCATCCTTGAGAATGCTTGGTGGTGGTGGTGGTGGTGGTAGTTCTTTGAGAGAAGCTTTGCAGTCCCTTCACATTACTATAAATGGACGTGCTGACAGCTTATTTTCACGTTCTGACTAGTTCTGTCCCAACCTGATAATAGTATTTATTCCCAACAGTGCAAAGAAAAAGAAGATGGCTGACAAAATTCTACCTCAAAGGGTGAGTCCAGGCTATATGTCTTCTGGAAAGTGTGGTGAGTTTGAGTATAGAGATGATCATCCTAGATTTCAATTAATTTTTCTGTTCCTAAGATTCGTGAACTGGTACCAGAATCCCAGGCCTATATGGATCTCTTGGCTTTTGAAAGGAAACTGGACCAGACTATCATGAGGAAACGGCTAGATATCCAAGAGGCCTTGAAACGTCCCATCAAGGTAACACAGGAAAGTACTAGGCAGAGAGCCAAAGGAGAGGACCCAGGAACCTTCAGCAGAATTAGGATGAGAAATCAAAGGCACAGCACAACTCTCCTTGGCATTTAAATTGCATCTCTCCCTTCCGCCTACAAACTGAGAATTACATTAGGAGGATAAGAACAGAATGGCAAAGGGGGAGGGGCTCTTGATGTCTCTTGCACTACAAATATACCCTTGTCCATGTTTTCGCTGTAACTGCTCTGCTACCTTGGGAACCTGGCACCTTGCATGACTTTGTCCACCTGGCATCCCACTATATGCACTTGTACTTAGGCTGATGGCCAGTACTCCTCTTCTAAATGGAATCTTCATCCACCCACCCAAGGGACTGGGTAGACAGTAAGCCAGTCTGTTAGGAGTAATTTTGGGGTTTGGGGAGACCGTTGTCTTCAACATCAGACCACTGAAGCCCCACGATCAATCCTGTTTCTGCCTTCCTCAGCAAAAACGGAAGCTGCGAATTTTCATTTCTAACACTTTCAATCCGGCTAAGTCAGATGCCGAGGATGGGGAAGGGACGGTGGCTTCCTGGGAGCTTCGGGTAGAAGGACGGCTCCTGGAGGATGTGAGTTCAAGGTCCACAATGGTTGGCATCTAGGGTGGGAGCTGCTGGGAATGAACAGTGTTGTCTGGTCAGCAGGAAGCCTAACTGGTGCTCACAGCTCCTTTTGGGAGCAGTAAGGAGAGGGACACTGTTCCCTGCACTGAAAGACAGTGGTCCTTTGTGTTTGCCCCCACACCTTTGGCCCTCACTGGTATCATATGGAGAACCTTATTGTCCTGGGATCTGATTTGTGGTTTACCTTCCTCTTGGTGCTGCTGGCCATTGGATTTAGCCATATCTGTAGATTATTTAGTTTTTTTTTTTTAATCGAGTTTGCACTTAATTTGAGGCTGTGTTTCCTCTCTGAGTCCTTGTGGTATCTCCATCTTCTCAACTTTCACTGGAGGCACCCCACAGTTTAAGTAGGATAGATTTCTCTTGACAGGCTCTTTGTTGCTTCCTGGGGAGCATCAGCTGACAGGTGATAGTCCCCAAACTTCCCACCCCAGAAGCTCCTCGGGGAAGCTCACCTTTCTCTCATTCCCTTACATTCTCTGGCTCTTATTTTTAGCTGCTCGCAGGCAAGCTAGTTGGAATGCACTTTTGCAGGAGAACCAGGGCTCAGTGTCAGAGCCTCCTTCTCTATATAGGTCCGGTCCATCTGCTGGTGGTGTCATTCTGTCCAAATAAAGCTGTTTTTGTTCTGGCTGCTTATTGCCTGTGATTCATTTCCCCTCTAGAGTCAGACTTTTCTCTGTTCAAACTCGCTTAGTTATGTGCAATGGTTTGCTTAACTTGCCTCATTTCCCTTGGGCAAATGAGATGGGTAAAACAGTGACCCTCTATGTGTTCTAGGCTGCTTCTTCAGGGTTCTGTTGCTACTATGATTGGTTTAATACCTGCAGATGCCTACTTTGCCTATCTCTCTTAAGAGATATTCAGAAGATATTTTTTGAGTTTTTTTCCATTGTTGTTGGGGTTCCTTTTTCATAGGATTTTGTCTTGGGAAGTTTCTTCTGGCCTTTCCTAATGTGATTTTTATTTTCTCTCCTCTAGTCAGCCTTGTCCAAATATGATGCCACTAAACAAAAGAGGAAGTTCTCTTCCTTTTTTAAGTCCTTGGTGATTGAACTGGACAAAGACCTGTATGGGCCAGACAACCATCTGGTAGAAGTGAGTAGCTCTGCCTTCTAGGCTTTGACTCTGATTGGAGGATGATGGACTTGGGAGCCGTATTTTAATGTCTAAGGAGATGGGGAGGTATAAAGTAGTCACTCTAGGTGTACACAGTACCGCTCCAGGTGTACAGTTTGCACATTGACCTCTAGGTGGCACTAGCATGTTTAGTTAGGACCAAGGGCTCTTGTAACCTAACTTGTCCCATCTTTTTAATGTTACTATCCTGGTCACTGCCACCTCTTTCAAGGGAAAGTCTACTGGTGGCCTCTTGTATGTGCCAGGCCATCTCTGTATCTTGCTTGTTAATAATGGTGAGATGTAGTTATCCATTTTTCCTGGCAGCAGTTGCTGTAATTAGAGTGATTGACTGATAGGGTACTAGTACTTGCCAAGGTTACCATTATAGATCTGGGACTTCCTCTTGGTCTCTGCTCTGTTTACATTTACATTCCAATTCACCAAAAATCCTTTATTATGATGCCTGATTGCACAACGTTTTGAAGCCCATGTTAGCAACAGTATTCTTTGGGAAACAGGCAAAACCAGAATGACAGTCCAGCCAGCACTCCAAGTGAACCTAACCTGCTCCTTTCTTTGCCAGTGTAGCTGCAGCCCCTTAACCTCAACCACTAAGAGACATGGGGAGGTCTTTACCATCTAATAAGGGAAGTAAGTCATAGAATCAATAGAAACTTGTAAATATATTTAATTTTATAGCAGTAGAGTATAGTGGCTAAGAATGTGGACTGTAGAATCAGACACATCAGAGCTCAAATGGTGGCTCCGCCACTTACTGGCTGTTTGACCTAGGCAAGTTACTTTATTATGCTGAGCATTAGTTTTCTCATCTGTAAAATAAGTATAATTGTGCCTATCTTGTATAGATGTTCGGGAAGTGAGATAATCCAGGTAAATGTCTTAGAATACTGTCACACATAGTAAGTACTCAGTAAATGATAGCTATGTTACTGTTCACATGTGTATTATCCATTTTGTGGATAAAATTATCACTGGACATTGAGGCTTATTTAAATCAACCACAAACAATTAAAAGGTTAATCTACTTATACACAGACAGTAATCCCAAAGCCATATGCAGTTTTTTAAAATGCCTCATGCTATTACTCTTCTCCAGTAGCCTCAGTAATCAAAGTTGAATATTCAGTCATTACAGAAGCTCTTCCCTCCCACCCCAGCTCTTCCTCTGGGAGAGCACCCCCTGACATCTTCCTCTCTGTAGTGGCACAGGACCGCCACTACCCAGGAGACCGATGGCTTTCAGGTGAAGCGGCCGGGAGACGTGAATGTACGGTGTACTGTCCTACTGATGCTGGATTACCAGGTATTCTGTGGTGGTGTGAGGGGGTCCAGCTTTCACAGCCACATACCGTCAGCAGTCTCACTTTAAAGAGTTTATGTCTAGTTGTGAATAATTTGCCACTTTGGCACAGAGATAGAGTCTTAGTCATCTCTGAGTTCTTCCTAGAATTTTTCTGTCCCAGAAAAAGCACTACATTATTTGTTGAATAGCTTGAATGTATTGCTGCATATAGACGCAGCTAACTAGCTTCATCCCCTATACTTTGGTTCCCTGCAGCCTCCCCAGTTTAAATTAGACCCCCGCCTAGCTCGACTCCTGGGCATCCATACCCAGACTCGTCCAGTGATCATCCAAGCACTGTGGCAATATATTAAGACACATAAGCTCCAGGACCCTCACGAGCGGGAGTTTGTCATCTGTGACAAGTACCTGCAGCAGGTAAGTAATGGACCCATTCTTTTGCTAGAATCCATTAGAACACTAGTTATGCTCAAACTGCTAACCTCGTGCTTCTCCCCTTTGCTACAGATCTTTGAGTCTCAACGTATGAAGTTTTCAGAGATCCCTCAGCGGCTCCATGCCTTGCTTATGCCACCAGAACCTATCATCATTAATCATGTCATCAGGTAGGCCTGTGTGTGGGAGGCAGTGCTGTGCCGGAGCTGCCTTGTGCCGATTTGCACAAGCCAGTTGTCAAATTTTCAGGAATTTTGCAAACAGGTTGTTAAACACAACTGTTACACTGTTACTTACAATTAAATTACATAAACTTATAATTAAATATATTAGACTAAAAGTGGGTAACATATATTCAAAATGTATAACTTCCTAATTATTACATTTTATTGTATTTGTGCTTTTTTTTTTTTTTTTTTTTGGAGACAGAGTCTCACTCTGTTGCCCAGGCTGGAGTCCAGTGGCGCGATCTCGGCTCACTGCAAGCTCCGCCTCCTGGGTTCACGCCATTCTCCTGCCTCAGCCTCCCGAGTAGCCGGGACTACAGGCACCCGTCACCACACCTGGCTAATTTTTTGTATTTTTAGTAGAGATGGGGTTTCACCATGTTAGCCAGGATGGTCTCAATCTGACCTCGTGATCTGCCCGCCGAGCCTCGTGATCTGCCCGCCTCGGCCTCCCAAAGTGCTCGGATTACAGGCATGAGCCACCGCGCCCAGCCTGTATTTGTGCTCTTGAGGTTATTTTTGCCTGTTGTATCCATCTGGCGGAAATATGATATAATGATGTGCTTATGTGTTACTGTGCATCTCTTCCCATGAACAGTAATGTAATGTTGGTAGCTTGAAATCAGAATTTTTTTTTTTTTTTTTGGGATGGAGTTTCACTCTTGTTATGCAGGCTGGAGTGCAATGGCACAATGTTGGCTCACCGTAACCTCTGCCTACTGGGTTCAAGTGATTCTCCTGCCGTAGCCTCCCACATAGCTGGGATTACAGGCATGTGCCACCATGCCTGGCTAATTTTGTATTTTTAGTAGAGACAAGGTTTCTCCATGTTGGTCAGGCTGGTCTTGAACTCCCGACCTCAGGTGATCCACCCGCCTTGGCTTCCCAAAGTGCTGGGACTACAGGCGTGAGCCACCGCGCCCGGCCTTTTGTTTTGTTTTGTTTTGAGATGTAGTTTTGCTCTTGTTGCCCAGGCTGGTGTGCAATGGCATGATCTCAGCTCACTGAAACCTCCGCCACCTGAGTTCAAGCAATTCTCCCTCCCCAGCCTCCCACGTCGCTGGGATTACAGGCACCTGCTACCATGCCCAGCTAATTTTTTTATATTTTTAGTAGAGACGGGGCTTCACCATGTTTGCCAGGCTGATCTCAAACTCCTGACCTCAGGTGATCCGCCCACCTGGCCTCCCAAAGTGCTGGGATTACAGGTGTGAGCCACTGCGCCCGGCTGAAATCAGAATATTTAAAGCCCAAAGATCAGCAAATGCCACACATCTGGGCACTTCCTCCCACTCTCCTTTGGAAGATCAGTTGTTAAACATCTACCAGCTCTTCACTCATGGAAGGGCTCAGCAGCCATCTTTTCTCTGGATGGTACAGCATTCTAGTCCGAGCCTCCCAATTCCATTACCTCTGTTCACTTTTTTGTTTAGAAGCTGGAGAGCAAGGCATCTCTAGATAGGGGGTGAAGAAAATTTCCTTCTCAAAGCAGCGTGTCTCTGTAGTTGGATATAGTCTCTTTGTCTTCCTTCCTTTATTCCATATTAATTCTGGTAAGGGCTTTCTTTTCTTTTCTTTTCTTTCTTTCTTTTTTTTTTTTTTTTTTTTTTGAGACAGACAGAATCTCACTCTGTTGCACAATCTCGGCTCACTGCAACCTCTGCCTCCTGGGTTCAAGCGATTCTCCTGCCTCAGCCTCCCAAGTAGTTGGGATTACAGGCGCATGCCACCACGCCCAGCTAATTTTTTGTATTTTAGTAGAGACGGGGTTTTACCATGTTGGCCAGGATGGTCTCGATCTCTTGGTCACGTGATCCACCCGCCTCGGCCTCCCAAAGTGCTGGGATTACAGGTGTGAGCCACCACACCCGGTGGGCTTTTTTTTTTTTTTTCTTTTGACCCTGAACCTACAAGATGACAGAGAGGGAGGGGAAAAAAAGAAAAAAGATAAGACCCTGAACCTTCACTTACACAGTAGTAACTCCTCAACCTATAAATTAGGTCAGTAGAAGTTGGTCTGTCCTATATTCCTATGCTTAAAGTTAGACCACTTTTAATTTTGTGTTTGACTTTATTTTTGGGGTCAATTTTAGTTTAAAAGGGAGAAAGCCAGGCACGGTGGCACATTCCTGTAGACCCAGCTACTCCAGAGGCTGAGGTGGGTAGATCACTTGAGTCCTGGAGTTCGAGTCCAGCCTGGGCAACAGAGTAAAATCCTGTCTCTGAAACAATAAAAAAAGATTTGTTTGGCTGGGCGCAGTGGCTCACGTCTGTAATCCCAGCACTTTGGGAGGCCAAGGTGGGTGGATCACAAGGTCAGGAGTTCAAGACCAGTCTGGCTAATATGGTGAAACCCCATCTCTACTAAAAATACAAAAATTAGCTGGGCATGGTGGTGGGCGCCTGTAGTCCCAGCTACTTGGGAGGCTGAGGCAGGAGAATCACTTGAACCGGGGAGGCAGAGGTTGCAGTGAGCCAAGACTGCGCCACTGCACTCCAGCATAGACAACAGAGCAAGACTCCATCTAAAAAAAAAAAGAAAGGCTTCGTTTGTTTAAACATACAGAGTCTTGCTCTGTCATCCAGGCTGGAGTGCAGTGGCATGATCTTCGCTCTCTGCAACCGCTGCCTCCCAGGTTCAAGCAATTCTCGTGCCTCAGCCTCCCAAGTAGTTGTAATTACAGGCGTGCACCACTTTTTGTATTGAGGTTTCGCCATGTTGGCCACACTAGCGTTGAATTCCTGGCCTTGAGTGATCTGCCCGTGTTGGCTTCCCAGAATGCTGGGATTACAGGTGTGAGCCACCGCACCTGGCCAAAAAAGTTTTAAAAATTATTATTATTATTTCTTTTTTGAGACAGAGTCTCTCTCTGTTGCCCAGGCTGGAGTGCAGTGGTGTAATCATGGCTCACTGCATCCTCGACCTCCTGGGCTCAAGTGATCCTCCCACCTCGCCTCCTGAGCAGCTGGGACCACAGATGTGTGCCACCACGCCCAGGAATTGTTTTGAAATTTTTTGTAGAAACTGGGGTCTGTGTGGTGTAGGCTGGTCTCAAACTCGTGGGCTCAAGCAGTCCTCTTACCTGAGCCTCCCAAAGTGTTAGGATTACAGGCATGAGCCACCATGGCTCGCCGAATTTTTTTTATTTTTAGAGATCGTCTCACTCTGTCACCCAGGCTGAAGTATAGTGGCATGAACTTGGCTCACTATATCCTCTGCCTCCCGGGTTCAAGAGATTCTCCTGCCTCAGCTTCCCCAGTAGCTGGGATTACAGGCGTGAGCTACCACGTCCGGCTAGTTTTTAGTAGAAATGGGGTTTCACCATGTTCCTGACCTCAGGTGATCGCCCACCTTGGCCTCCCAAAGTGCTGGGATTACAGGCATAAGCCACCACGCCTGGCTGCCAAATATTTTTTTTAAAGGGAGAAAGATATATAGGAGACTGTAGCAGTGATTTCCTCTGGAGAGAAAGGAACTACTTTTCACAGGATACCTTTTGTACTGCTTGAATTTTTACCATTGACTTTTTAAATAAATCAACTTTATTGAAGTATAATTTATATATAACAAATTATACCAATTGAAAGTGTAGTTTGAAGATTTTTGCCAGATCTGTACACCATGTAGCTGCCACAATAAAGTGTAGAACATTTCTGTCACACCCGAAAGTTCTCGGGCCCTTTTACAGTTAGCCCCTTTTCTCTTCATCCTGGGTCATCTTTTTGACCCTGTGTAATTAGGTCTTAGGGGACAAGCTCTTTACCAGGCTCCTTTGGTTTCCTGTCCAGTGTTGACCCGAATGATCAGAAAAAGACAGCTTGTTATGACATTGATGTTGAAGTGGATGACACCTTGAAGACCCAGATGAATTCTTTTCTGCTGTCCACTGCCAGCCAACAGGAGATTGCTACTCTAGACAACAAGGTAGGGGTCTGTGCCCTGGATAGTTGGGTACCACCAGCCCCTATCACAGCTTCAAGGCCTCCTTTTGATTCTTAGTGTTCATTCAAAATACGGTGACACCCAGTATATGTCAGGTACTGTGCTTGGTGCTGGTTTGAGCCAGACTCAAATGAATTCTGATTGTGGGGATACTCTCAACAGCACTGAGCCTCGGTTTCTGATTTGTGGAATAGAGACCATAGTACCTTTTTTTTCCTTTTTTCTTTTCAGGAGTCTCGCTCTCTCGCCCAGGCTGGAGTGCAGTGGTGCAATCCCGCCTCACGGCAACCTCCACTTCCTGGGTTCAAGCGATTCTCCTGCCTCAGCCTCCCAAGTAGCTGGGATTACAGTCACCCACCATCACACCCGGCTGATTTTTGTATTTTTAGTAGAGACGAGGTTTCACCATGTTGGCCAGGCTGGTCTCCAACTCCTGACCTCAAGTGATCTGCCCGCCTCAGCCTCCCAAAGTACTGGGATTACAGGCGTGAGCCACCACGCCCAGCCCATAGTACCTATTTTAATCAGGTTGCTATGACGATTAAATGAGGGAGTGTGTGTAAAGACTTGAGACTGTATCTGGCACATAAAAACAACAAATGGTAACTTCTGCTACTATTATTGTTATCTGGGTTGTTATTACTAGACGCAGTCCTTGCAAATAAAGCCAAAAGTGCTTTGGGAACATGAAGGAGAAAGGGAGGCTTTGCTGGAAGAGTTGATGCCCCAACTAAATCTTTTCTTTTTTTTTTTTGAGATGGAGTCTTGCTCTGCCGCTCAGGCTGGAGTGCAATGGCATGATCTTGGCTCACTACGACCTCCGCCTCCTGGGTTCAAGCAATTCTCCTGTCTCAGCCTCCTGAGTAGCTGGGACTACAGGCACCTGCCACTACGCCCGGCTAATTTTTGTATTTTTAGTAGAGACGGAGTTTCACCATATTGGTCAGGCTGGTCTTGAACTCCTGACCTCAGGTGATCCACCCGCTTCGGCCTCCCAAAGTGCTGGGATCACAGGCGTGAGCCACCGCGCCCGGCCCCAACTAAATCTTGAAGGACAAAGTGGGTGTTAATGAAAGGGCAAAAAGGATAGTAGTGCTGGGGGCATAGGAGGCAGAAGACGTTCCAGAAAGAGGGAATAGGGCATGTAAAGGTCCAGAGAAGAGAGAGAGAGCCTGGTGTCTTAAAGAAGTACGAGCCATTTAGTATGCTAGATGCAGCATAGAGTGCCGAGGACGGGATGTTTTGGGAAGGAAAGCTAGATAGGGAGCCAGATGCCTAATTATGAAGAACCTTTGATTCAGGGAAAACTGGTTTATGTTTCATCCCGAAGACTGTGTAAGACAGCTGGTTGAGAGATCATTACCAGTGGAGGGACTGATGCTATTTGTATATAGAATGATCACTTGCAGGAAGGTGGATGGAGAATAATTTGTCAAGAGGGCAGGGCTGGAGGCAGGAAGCCCAGTTAGGAGGCTGGTGCAGTAATCCATGTGAGACGTGTTGAGGCCCTAAATTTACAGTCCCGACAGTGAGGGTGGAGATAAGTAGATAGATTTGAGAGGTGTCAAGGTGGAATTGAAGGAATTTGGCCACTGTTTGGATTATTAGAGTGAGGGATGAATGAGAAGGAAATGTTATGATGCCTCCCAGGTCTCTAGCTTGGGTGGACAGTAGTATTTACTATGACTGGGAAGAGGGGAGGAGGAGGAGCAGGTATTGGAGAAACGGTAGTGAGTTTAATGTCAAGTTTAAGCAGTTGGATTGGTTGGAGTATAGAAGATAGACTCTGGGCTGCAGACTGGGGACTCATTACCCTGTCACTGGTAATGGAAGATATACAAGTCAAAGAAATTGCCGGGAGGAGTATGCAGAATGAGAAGAGAGTTGAGAACAAAACCCAGAGATGAGAGCTTATGAGACAGCCCCATATGCCAGTCCTTTTCTTCCTGAGAACACTTTTGGACCCATTTGTGCTGTGGAGTAAGTATTCATCATGTAGCTTTGCCCATAGTGGGCAATGTGGAGACCAAAAGGAAAGCTTTCCTCACATGGGGTATACAGAGAGACAGAAACAAGGGCAAATTACTTGCTGAAAGAATGCCAAGGGTCGGAGCAGTTGGAGCTCTATATGATGGTGCCAGCTGTGGGCAGCATGGTGACTAGGTTGGAAGTGGCATGTGGAGTTGTCAGGCACCACCTGCCATTTAACTTCTCATTTTTCTAGTTTGAAAATGGTATGAGCTTCGTTCTTCCTTTCAGATCCATGAGACAATAGAAACCATCAACCAGCTGAAGACTCAGCGGGAGTTCATGCTGAGCTTTGCCAGAGACCCTCAGGGTTTCATCAATGACTGGCTTCAGTCCCAGTGCAGGGACCTCAAGGTAAAGAACCTAGGAGAGGTCTGAAGGGACTTAGGTCAGTGAGGTGCACAGCTGCTTTATTCATGTAGCAGCTGGTAGGAGACCCAGAGGAAGGAGTGAGGGGCCAGATTTTTCTTTAGCATGTTCCAGGGTCCATTTTGCAATTAAGCAGGGAAATGGGGGCAGAGCCATCAAGTGTTGATTTAGTGCTTACTTTGTCTGTCACTGTGCTTCATCTTGTCAGGGATACAGAGTGGAAGACCTGATCTCTGCTTTCAAAGCAGCCTACATTCTGTCTGAAGAAACTAGGCTAGTATAGCCGGGCATGGTGGCTCACACCTGTAATCCCAGCACTTTGGGAGGCCGAGGCCGACGGATCGCTTGAGGTCAGGAGTTTGAGACCAGCCTGGCCAACATGGCGAAACCCCGTCTCCACTAAAAATACAAAAACTTAGCTGGGCGTGGTGGTGCGCGCCTGTAATCCCAGCTACTTGGGAGGCTAAGGCAGGAGAATTGCTTGAACCCAGGAAGCAGAGGTTGCAGTGAGCCAAGATCGTGCCGCTGCACTCCAGCCTGGGTGACAGAGCGAAACTCTGTCTCAAAAAAAAGAAACTAGGCTAGTATGATACAAAGTAGTAAACCACATAAGACATTATCAGGCCAGGTGCGGTGGCTCACGCCTGTAATCCCAGCACTTTGGGAGGCTGAGGAGGGCAGATCACCTGAGGTCAGGAGTTTGAGACTAGCCTGGCCAACATGGTGAAACCCCATCTCTACTAAAATAAAAAAATCAGCCAGGCGTGGTGGCGGGTGCCTGTAATCCCAGCTACCCAGGAGGCTGAGGCAGGAGAATCGCTTGAACCTGGGAGGTAGAGGCTGCAGTGAGCCGAGATTGCGCCACTGCACTCCCAGCCTGGCTGACAGAGTGAGACTCCATCTCAAAAAAAAAAAAAAAAAAAAAGACATTATTAGACTGACCAGGACCAATAAGATGATTCAGATAAGGGAGATCAGTGAGACTAGAATCTCTGGGGAAGGCTTCATGGAAAATTTGGGATTTGAAGACGTTCCCAGAAAGGGGAGCACAGTAAGCTCAGACAAGAAGATAGGAATGGGCACAGAGTATGAACTCATCCGTTGTCACCCCTCCTGTGCTGACTGTGACGAGTTAGAGAGGCTGAGCAGAGGAGCAAGGAAAAAGGGATGCCAGGAAAGATCCCTGAACAAGGCAACGACTTGTTGATTGCAGAGGTGACTGGGTGTTGTATCAGTTTGCTGAGGCTGCTGTAGCAAACTACCACAAACTGGGCAGTTTCAAACAACAGGCTTGTCTCACAGTTGTGGAGGCTGGAAGTCCAAAATCAGTGTGGGCAGCACTGCTTCCTTCCGCGAGCTGGGAGGGAGACTCTGTTCTGTGCATCTCTCAGCTTCTGGTACCTCAGGCATTCCTTGGCTTGTAGGTGGTGGTCTCTGTGTGACTTCACGTTGTCTTCCTTCTGTATGTGTCTGTCTCCATGTCTAAATTTCCCCTCTTTATAAGGGAACCTACCGGTCATATTAGGGGGTACTCTAATGACCTCATCTTAACTTGAGCATCTGTAGAGACCCTATTTCCAAATAAGGTCACATTCACAGGTACTAGGGGTTGGTTAGACTTCAACATTTTGGGGAAGGATACAATTTACCCAATAATGGGTGTGAAGGAAGGAAACAAGCCTTTTCTCCTCTCTCTTCCTCCACCCTGCATCTCCATTTCCCTCAGACAATGACTGATGTGGTGGGTAACCCAGAGGAGGAGCGCCGAGCTGAGTTCTACTTCCAGCCCTGGGCTCAGGAGGCTGTGTGCCGATACTTCTACTCCAAGGTAAGTACATGGGGTGCACGGGGGAAATTGACAAAAGGCACGGGGTTTTCACCCCTGATGGGGGTCAGTGGTGTTAGATACCAACTTCTGGTTTGTCTCATCTTCCACTCCCTTCACTATTTTCTCCTTAGGTGCAGCAGAGACGACAAGAATTAGAGCAAGCCCTGGGAATCCGGAATACATAGGGCCTCTCCCACAGCCCTGATTCGACTGCACCAATTCTTGATTTGGGCCCTGTGCTGCCTGCCTCATAGTATCTGCCTTGGTCTTGCTTGGGGCGTTCCAGGGGATGCTGTTGGTTCAAGGACAACACCAGAATGAAGAGGGTCTCACAAGACACCTGTTATCCTCTTCTTTCACCCTATCTCTTCCCACCCCCAGCTTCCCTTTGCCCCACAAAGTTCCCATGTGCCTGTACCCTCCCCTGGTCTACATAGGACCTCTAGATAGTGTTAGAGAGAGAACATGTAGTGGTAATGAGTGCTTGGAATGGATTGGGCCTCAGGCCAGGTGGTCTTCAAGGGGACCAGCTAACTGATCCTGCCCTTCAGAGACCCAGGAGTTGGGAGCTTTCGCTCCTTCTCCAAGACTCAGGCCTGTGGGCACTCTATAAGCTAGTTGATCTTGGCTCTCCTGATAACAGAATCCAATTTCCTTCCTTCCCTCCACAGGTTTGGAACAAACTCTCCCTTCACTTGTTGCCCTGTAGCACTACAGAAACCCTGGTTCTTGGGCTCCACTGAGCCCCAGGTCAGTCCCCAGCCCTCTGGGTTGGCCTGCTGTCAGTGCTTCTCTCACTCCTTAGTTGGGGTCCACATCAGTATTGGAGTTTTGTTCTTTATTGCTCCCTCCCAGACACTCCCTGTGGCTGCCCTTTGTGATTCCCTCAGATCTGCCCTAATCCCGGGCATTTGGGTGGGGGAATCTTGCCTTTCCCTTTCAGAGCCCCAGGGATCTCATCTGGGGAACTGTCATTGCCAGCAGAGGCTGTTCCTTCCTGCTGTTTGGAGATGTGACTCATTCATTCACTCACTCCACCCTGCCTCTGCATCCCTTAATGGAGAAACGGGCCTAAAACCAAACGGGTAAAAAGCCCTGGGCCATCCCTGTCTTCCTGTCCCTTGTCTGCCCAGTTGACACCTACTGGTGACTTCTAGGGCACTGAGGAGTGAAAGCGCCTAGGGCTGGAGAATAGCGCTGAGTTGGGTTTGTGACTCTTCCCTCTCCCTGCCTCACAGGATTGTGACTCCCCAGCCCCTGCCCTCAAAGCTTCAGACCCCTCAGGTAGCAGCAGGACCTTGTGATCTTGGCCCCTTGGATCTGAGATGGTTTTTGCATCTTTCCAGGAGAGCCTCACATTCTTCTTCCAGGTTGTATCACCCCCGAGTTAGCATATCCCAGGCTCGCAGACTCAACACAGCAAGGGTGGGAGACAGCTGGGCACAAAGGGGGAATTCCGTTCAGCATGGGCTCTAAACCCACAGAACTGACAAAGCCCCTGCTTCCCCACCCCCTCCTCAGGCTCCTGCGAGCACACCCCCACCCCCAAATCCCTCCCTGTTCTACACTGGGGACAGCAGAATTTTCTCCCCGTCTTCCCCTTCCTGCCATTTTCCCTCCCTTGAAAGGTTGACACTGGACAACCTTGGGGCAGCTGAGCCCTGGCCGCCTCCTGGCTGGAACCATGAGAAGGAAGCTCAGTACTTCCCACAGTGTCCCTGTTGATAACTGTTTTTATTAACTGAATTGTTTTTTTCATGGACCAAACTTTTTTTTGTACTGTCCCCTTATTGATGTTACCCAGTTTTAATAAAAGAATCTTCTGAAGGATGGGTCCTCCTACCTACTGTGAGAGAGCTCTTCCCTGAGCTCTTCTTCCTTCAATACCATTAGCCACGCTTGTAGTGTTTGTTCATTTTATTTGACAAGTATTTATTGAGCACCTGCTATGTGCTAGTTGTGATGCTAGACACGGGAGATAAAGTGGAAAATGAGATTTCTACTTTTGTGGACCTCAGGGTCTTACCTTAAGAGATTGCTGTCTGCCCCAGTGGTCCAAGCAGCCTAGTTGCTGGTTGGGATTATTGGGCTTCACCACTGGATCTTAAGAGCCCTTTCCCGACTTGCTAGGCAGGTACTAACAGGTTGGTGGCAGTCATTTTCCCCCTTGTCCATCTGAGCTCCCCAGAGCACTTGTTGGCTGGAGTGAGCCATAGATGCCCGTGATCCCTTAGGTTTGACGAACCTGAGCCGCCTTTGGAGGAGTTTCACTTCTTCCCCAGGGCTTCTGTTTAGATGTGGGCAGGATCTGGACGACCAAAGACATTTTTGCTTTTTGTGCCTGCTACTCTTTTTTTTTTTTTTTTTTTAGACGGAGTCTCACTGTTGCCCAGGCTGGAGTGCAGTAGCGCGATCTTGGCTCACTGCAAGCTCTGCCTCCTGGGTTCACGCCATTCTCCTGCCTCAGCCTCCCGAGTAGCTGGGACTACAGGCGCCTGCCACCATGCCCGGCTAATTTTTTGTATTTTTTAGTAGAGACAGGGTTTCACCGTGTTAGCCAGGATGGTCTCGATCTCCTGACCTCGTGATCCGCCCGCCTCGGTCTCCCAAAGTGCTGGGATTACAGGTGTGAACCACCGTGCCCAGCCTGTGCCTGCTACTCTAAGGTTCCGCTTTCATGGTTCAAATAAGAGTTCAGTTTTTGTTTGCCTGTTTTGAGATGGAGTTGTGTTCTTGTTCCCCAGGCTGGAGTGCAATGGCGCGTTCTCGGCTTACTGCAACCTCCGCCTCCCAGGTTCAAGTGATTTTCCTGCCTCAGCCTCCTGAGTAGCTGGTTCTTAAGAGCACCATGGAAGTTCTGTGTTGTCATCCTCATACTGTAGACAACTAGCCCCTCCTTGGCAGAGTTTGGAAGACAGCTCAGGAGGGATTCCCATTAGCAATCACTTGAAACTCGCCTGCAGTTCTGCCTGCTTCCCACTTGGAGGCTCATGACTTTTTTCCTTTGTCATTATGCAAGAATGGGGTTTGGAATATAGGATCAGAGTACAACCACTTTCCAAAGTTGTAGTTTAAAAATTATCCTTTGCCTGTTTGGATGGGAACATTCTAGTATTGCCTGTTCAATATATGTAATCAAACCCACCAAAAAATCCAACCACTGTTCCTACTCCGGAACTTGGGGTTTATCAGACTTGAGAAGGGAAAGCAGAGAGGAGTGGTTGGGCCGATAACTAGGAGTGGAGAAAATTGATGTCAAGGACATTGAAATGGCATCTGTTTTTACCCAGGCTAATTACATGTGTAATGAATGGCTGATGAACCATTATTAATTTCAAGCAAATCTACAGTTTGCTCTTGGGAAAAGAGCTCTAGTGATACAGATAACTTCCTGTGATGAGCCGATTCTGAATCTCTGCACCCTCTTTATTCCCATGTAAATGAGCACATTCTTAGTCTCCACACTATCTAAAATGATTGTAGGGGCAAAATGAGAGAGGGAAGCATTTAGGCAAAAACAAGGGGGTTATTTTATGCATAAACATCCATTCTTTGGGGCTCCCATCATTTGTGCCAGGGACAGAAGCATCCTTTCTCTTCCATCACCCGTAATCAGTGCTCCCAGCTGGCAGCCTGGCACTGGAGCCTTCATCTCAGTGCCAGTGCAATAAAGGAGTGGTCTGTGGGAGGCTGTTTCTGTATTAGGTATAACATTGTGCTAAGAAAAACAGCCAACTACTGATTTCATGTCCGTTTCCCTATGGGAAATTACTGGCCATGGAAGGAGAATATGGTTGGTTTTTCCTGGGCAGTCCCCGGAACTTAGAAAGCCATTTCTCCCCAGTCTTGACCTCCTGCCTGCTTACTCCTACCCATGGGTTGCACACAGACTCCCCTGTAGCCCAGTGCTTGTTACCAGTTGCTGGCCAGCAACAGCCCAGGGGGATGGCAACACCCACCTAGCCGTCTGCCAAGCCAGGAGGTCAGCACATGAGCACACAGTGGTGTCTGCCCTCTAGGCCAAGGTGCACAGTGTTAGGAGCCTCTTGCTCCACTCTCCAGATCAGCCTGGAAACCAGAGCTTCCCTCGTCTTAGACAAACAGATGGCCGTGGGCGATGCAGAGCCCTGAACTGCTGAGGGTGCTCCTTCCATTCTCGCCCTTCCCCAAAAAACATACACCAAACTTACCCCCAATCACAGCATCTGAGACCACAAAGCCCCACGGACACAGCTGCCCCGGGTACTGCCTGCCTTCCCCTTTTCTGGCCTCTGCAAACTAGCCATTCACCTGATGAAGCCCCTGGGGCAGTACCTTGGAAACCCCTGAGAGGAGGAGTTGAAGGAGGCTCAAAGCCTTTCAAGGACAGTGTGCACTCTGCCTGCCTCCTATTCTCTCCTGTCCTCTTAAGCCCAGAGTCTACAACAAAATTGTGTACCGCAATTCTCAGAGCTCTCTAACTTTAACCTTTCCCACCTTCCCTAGAACACATTTTTGGGTGGGGATCATCTGAGAGGCCCATGGATGAGTCCCCAAGATGACCTCTGTGGGTGACCAAGACAATCTTGTCTTTTGAGGCACCTGGAGTCTCTCATCCTTTTTTGAGCTGGGCTGTCCTCAAAGCAGGCCCTTACCTCTTATGTGGCCTCATCTTTAGAGGTGGGAAGTGGGCCCACATCCCCCACCCCAGCCCTGCAGTGGAGCTAGCGTGGGCCTGCTGGAGGACAGAACTGTGGAACAGGGTCCTGTGAGGATATGTGGCAGGGTTGGCGGGGGGATAGGGGGTCATGGAGGAGCCTACCTCTGAAAAGCATTCCCCTAGCTGCTACTGAAGCTAAATACAATTTATTTCATGCTGGGGGACAGAAAGGAGCAAGGGAGAGCAGTCACCTGCTCCTTATCTGGGCTATTTTCTTAGCAGACCTCAAAATGAGACCATGGTGGGAAGCTGGGCTGGGGCCAAGGGAAGAAGCTTGCCAGCACTGTCAGCCGATGAGCCCAGGAGAAAAAGCTGGGCCTAGTCTCTGCCCCATTCCTGTTCCACACCTGTCTGTACCCCTGTCTCTCCTTTCCCTGGCTCTGCCAGACTCTCTATCTCCCTGGGCGCCAGCCTCCCCACCCACCCCTGGAGGGCGGGGCTTGGCTGCACCCACGTGTGGTGGAGTTAAATGCTCCTAGCCGGCAGAGGAGCTAGGGAGTGTGGCACTGAGCCGGCTCAGGCAGAGACGCGGCACCATGGCTAGCAAGAAAGTCTGCATTGTAGGCTCCGGGAACTGGTAAGCAGCTCTGTCAAGTGATATGGGGGAAGGGTAGGCCCCCCAAGACAGAGGTGGGTAGGAGGCAGAATGGGTGGGAAAGGCCCTCAGGTTCCTGTTCAGCCCCTGCTGCTATCTTCTATCATAGCAGCACAGGACAGACGGTGCCCGGCCCTCTCCTGACCCCCGCCCTCCTGGGCAGCTGCACCTGTTCACCATGGGAAGGCGTCTCCAGAGCTCTCTATGTGAAGAGCCGCTTGAGTTTGGGGGTGGGAAGATGAGAAGTGGGGCTCCCTTCTCTAGTAGCAAAGGGTGAGGAGACTGAGTCTCCTTTCTACTGCCAGGTCACTGGGGACTATTTGTCATGGGAGTGGAGGTGATAAGGAAGGTAGGTAGGAGTGAACAGCCTGGGGGGCTGCTGTGAGATCCTGAGGTGGGGCGCTGCCCCAACTCCTGCCACTGTTCCCTCCTCCTGTACTTTCCTGTGCTCCCCCTCCCACCAGGGGCTCAGCCATCGCCAAGATCGTGGGTGGCAATGCAGCCCAGCTGGCACAGTTTGACCCACGGGTGACCATGTGGGTATTTGAGGAAGACATTGGAGGCAAAAAGCTGACTGAGATCATCAACACGCAGCATGAGAATGTCAAATACCTGCCAGGGCACAAGTTGCCCCCAAATGTGGTGAGCCCCAACACCCTGCGAAGAACAGGGAGAGGAAGGGAGGGCCAGGAGTTGGAGCCGACCTTACTCAACAGGTGCCTCCTGCTGAGAGGGCCGCTTCAGGTGCAGCAGGACTTGGGAAGGTCTCAGGAGGGCTGCTCTGGGCCCTTTCCTGAGGACTGAGGAGAACCTATGCTTTCCCCTCACAGGCTCCCAGGCGGGTGGGTGGGGAAGGGATGGGAGAACAAGTTGGTCTCCATGGCAGCCAAAGACTGGGCTCCCAGACTTGGGGTCCAGTAGTGCCTGCCTCCGGCACTAATCCTGTTACTCATTCACTGAGTGAGTAGCCGACTTGGAGGCTGCTCCTTGGACTTACGGTCTTTGGTCAAATCCACGTGGCTCTCCCCACCTGGAAAGGGGAAGCAGGGAAGAGAGCAGAAAGGCTGGGGCTCCCCCTTCCCAGCTGGGGTTCCTGAGGAGCTGGGTGATGAAATCTTATTTGAGCTCTTTCTTTTGCCAAGCCCAGGCTGCTTTTGGCCTCCCGCACTGTCCCACAGCCAAGGGATAGGAGAGTGCTGGGATGAGGTTTCCAGGAGTCCTCAAGAGCCCAGGACAGCTGGAGGGAGACAGAGTGGTAGCTGGGGGGAGGGAGTAGAGTGTCTTATTCCTCCAAGTTCAGTCCTTCTAGATTCAGTCCCAAACAAGCCTTCCTGCTCCCCTACCAGCCTCACTCTTTGGCTCCCAGATCTCCTGAATAGGGTTCCACAGGGGCTAGGGGAGGTCTGCCAGGCCCGCGAGCACTTGGTCACCCCCACAGGTGGCTGTCCCAGATGTGGTCCAGGCTGCAGAGGATGCTGACATCCTGATCTTTGTGGTGCCCCATCAGTTCATCGGCAAGATCTGTGACCAGCTCAAGGGCCATCTGAAGGCAAACGCCACTGGCATATCTCTTATTAAGGTGCCAGGGACACCTTCATGTGGATGGGGGAGGGTGCGGCTCACTGTTGTGGGGTTCAGGGTGGGTGAAGCAAGGAGAACAGAAAATGGCAGACGCAGGCCAAGAGTTTGCTGGAGAAAAGAGAGGCAGTTGGCTCTGGAGAGGCTTAGGAAAGCAGTGAGGTGCTGGGGGTCACTGGAAGGGAGGCTGAAGGGAGGAGACGAGATTGGTTTGGAGGTCCTCTCGGGGAGTTTCGGAGGTATAAAGGAATGCCTGGGAGATATGAGAAGCGGGCTGGTTTGAGAAGTGTGAAGAGTAGCTGGTTTGGAGCAGTGACTGGTCACTGAATGGCAGTTTGTTGGGGCAGTCAGGCGGGGTTGCCTAGGGATGTGGAGGGGACCCGTTGCCTTGGAGAAGTAGACTGGTTGAGGGTATGTGGCAGGACAGTTGGTCACATGCTGTCTGGCCTCCTCACAGCAAACTTGAGCTGGGTTGGAATGGGGCAGGACCTGTCGGGAGGGACACAGATGAGCAATGGATTTGGAAGGGACAGAATTTCTGGGCGGAAGCCCGCAGGTGGGCCCAAAGGGCACCTGGCCTGAGCTCCATCCTGTGCTCAGGGGGTAGACGAGGGCCCCAATGGGCTGAAGCTCATCTCGGAAGTGATTGGGGAGCGCCTCGGCATCCCCATGAGTGTGCTGATGGGGGCCAACATTGCCAGCGAGGTGGCTGATGAGAAGTTCTGTGAGACAACCATTGGTGAGAGCCCCCTGGCACCTGCATACACAGTGCATCTAGTTGCATCCCCTCCCCAAACTGCCCCAACCCCACTTAGCCATCTCTTTCCCATAAGGCAGAGAAAGGAAAATACAAGCATCAGAGGTGAAGGAGGCTGGGACACCCCCAGGGAAGGGGCTTCAGGGCCTGCTTAGGGAAACACAGTGATGAGCCCTCCCTCAGAGTTGGTGCAGTGGCACACCTGTGGTCCCAGCTACTTAAGAGGCTGAGGTGGGAGGATCGCTTAAGCCCAGGAGTTTGAGTCCAGCCTGGGCAACAGAGAGAGACTCCCATCTCTATAAAATAAATATTTTTTAAAAAGAGTCCTTCCCTCAAAGCCTTGCCCCCTCCTCACTTTAGGCTGCAAGGACCCGGCCCAGGGACAACTCCTGAAAGAGCTGATGCAGACACCAAACTTCCGTATCACAGTGGTGCAAGAGGTGGACACAGTAGAGATCTGTGGAGCCTTAAAGGTGAGAGGGGCACAGAGGCAGCTATGGGGTGAGGAGAAGGCCCCAAAGGAGGTCTGGCTGAGCTCTGCAAGGCTGCAGGTACTCCAGGCTCTCACTATTGAGCAGTGGTTCCCCTTTCCTACCATGTCCCATGCATATAGGAGGAGCTGCAGAAGCAAGGCCAGGGCCATTCAGGCCGGCTGATTATTCATCATCAGACCGTGGACCCCCTTGCTCCTGTCCCATTTTAGCCCCGTGTGGGACTCCCCACCCTCTGGCTCCAGGAGGTGGTCCAGGGGGACAAGGAGATGCCCAGGCTAATGGGAGACAAAACATCCTTGACACCCAGACAGACTAATGGCCAGAACTATGGATCCTGGACAGCTGTTGACTTGAGGGCTGTACAATGGAATGGTCATAGATGGGAAGATCAACTAGAGAGAAGAGTGGTTTTCAGAAAATGTCCTCGAGGAGGGAGTATGGGGCAGGGCTTAAGAAAGGGGGTGCAGCAAGGGGGGAAACCAAGAGGCGGAAGTAGGCTTCTAAAAGGCCACACACTATACCTCTCTTCTGCAGTGGGTGTCACGGCTGATGAAATGAGTATGAGGGGGCTCCACATGGGGCCTATAGGAGGGGGTCTTTTCTCACCTATGACCTCCACTCCTTCAAGAATGTAGTGGCCGTGGGGGCTGGCTTCTGTGATGGCCTGGGCTTTGGCGACAACACCAAGGCGGCAGTGATCCGGCTGGGACTCATGGAGATGATAGCCTTCGCCAAGCTCTTCTGCAGTGGCCCTGTGTCCTCTGCCACCTTCTTGGAGAGCTGTGGTGTTGCTGACCTGATCACTACCTGCTATGGAGGGCGGAACCGGAAAGTGGCTGAGGCCTTTGCGCGTACAGGAAAGGTGGGCCCCGGGAGAAGGGAGAACAGAGGGGCGGCTCTGTAGGCATCCAGGTAGAGGTGCTTGGCGGGAGGCATCTCTGGAGCACAAACATTAAGACTGTTGTGCACATCCCCATCCCTCTTTTCCTCCCAAGACCCCACTCCCATCTGAGCTCCAGTCTCTCCACCCCCTACTGACAACCCTTCTCTCCCATTTCCATCCACTCATCCTGTTTTCTGCACAGTCCATTGAGCAGCTGGAGAAAGAGTTGCTGAATGGGCAGAAACTGCAGGGGCCCGAGACAGCCCGGGAGCTATACAGCATCCTCCAGCACAAGGGCCTGGTAGACAAGTAAGTATTGGCCACAGCCCCACTGATTAAGGGAGCCACAGCCAGAAGTGCTCGCCCTGTTCATCATCTTCCTAAACCTGCCACAAATCTGTGAAGTGGACAGAAAGGGGAGTATTACCTTACATTTCAGACAGAGTCCAGAGCTTGCAGAGTCTGGCATGCCCATTGTCCGCCAGCTAGTTCATGGTCTTTGAACTCCTTCCAGTCTAGTGCTCTTCACACTACATTACCTGGATCCCTTTGTGCCCCTCCTTCCTTGTCCTCTGCTCTGGGGTTGGAGCTCTGGGGCAGCAGGAATAAGCTCATCCCACTTCTGTCCATCACCCCTAGTTTGAGTCTCTTCCCCAAGGCCAACCCATCTGTTCCCTGAATCCTGTTCTGGGTGCTGAGGTGTAAGGAGAAGGATGGGCTTCAAGGTGCTCGTTTTCAGAAAGACAGCGGGGGTGATTGGGCTGATCAGAGCAGAGCTGTGCTGGTCTGAGAAAGACTCCTAGAAGAAGACAGTATGAAACAGGTTCAGAATATCCACTCATGACTGGTCAGGGTAAAGCTTGGAAAAGGGAGCAGCTGGGCAAAAGGACAGTAAGAAGGAAATGAGTATTTATTAAGCACTTTCACATCATACCTAATTACATCTTCACATACACAATCATTCCTTTGTTATATTGGCCCCATTTTACAGTTGGTGACACTGAGGCTCAGAGAGGTTAAGTGGGTTGCTCAAGGCTGGGTGTGGTGTCTCACACCTGTAATCCCAGCACTTTGGGAGGCCAAGGTGGGTGGATCACGAGGTCAGGAGTTTGAGCTCAGCCTGACCAACATGGTGAAACCCCATCTCTACTAAAAATACAAAAATTAGTCAGGCATGGTGGTGTGTGCCTGTAATCCCAGCTACTCAGGAGGCTGATGCAGGAGAATCGCTTGAACCTGGGAGGCGGAGGTTGCAGTGAGCCAAGATTGCACCACTGCGCTCCAGCCTAGGCGACAGAGCGAGAGTCTGTCTCAAAAAAAAAAAAAAAAAAAAAAAAGTGGGTTGCCCAGTTGGCACAGAAAATCCAAGCCAGAGAATCATGCAGGCCAGTTCAACATGGTAGGGAGCAGGGCAATTAGCAATCTGACCTTAAACCTAGGGCTAGGGAGTTCACATTCTCAGAAGGTAGAAACTCACAGCCATCCTTCCTGAGCTCCAAGGTGGGAGGGCAAGGGACAGGAGGGTTAGGCAGTGAGTGGGGGTGGGGGTAGAGTGGACCAGGAGTGGGAGGCTAAGCTGAGCCTTTCCCTCTCCAATCTAGGTTTCCCTTGTTCATGGCTGTGTACAAGGTGTGCTACGAGGGCCAGCCAGTGGGTGAATTCATCCACTGCCTGCAGAATCATCCAGAACATATGTGAGTGGGGCCAGGGCCCAGGCCAGGCCGCTTTTTTACCCCAGTGGAGACCAGCAGAAGCCTGGGGTACCTAGTCACCAGGATCTCCAGGACTCCCAGGGAGCAGAGTCTTCTCATCTTTTCACTGGAGGACAGGAGGCTATGGGGCCCAGCTACGCACCTGGAGATCCTGAACTGTCAAGCCACTGGCAGCCTCATGCCACCACATTTGCCAGAAATGCAGTTGCCCTGTCCCTCTCCAGATGTGGGGCTTTCTCCATATCCTCTGGGAGGGGTGGAATCAAGCCCCAGTGCTGCCTGCTTGGTGGCGGGGGTGATGTATGTGGAGAAGGGTTGGGGGAGAGGCCGGTAGGGCAGGGGCTGCTAGTGGCTGTCTCACATACACCAGTAATCCTGTTAAAGGGCTGAAGAAGTATCTTAGCCACAGGAGCGATGAGGCAAGGATTGTCAGGGAGGGGTCTGGGCTTCTGAGCTGATGCAGGCCCCAAGGACCCCTTTGCTGACCTCTGCCAGGACCCACACAGCTTCGATGGATCTCAGTGTTTGTTAACAAAATACAAAGATCTCAAACAAACCCCTTTTAGCTTCTCCTAGCAACATCTGTGTCCTCAGAAACCTCTGGTTCTCCCCCTTCCCCCTCCCCCAGGCTGCCCTGGCACCCAAATTGCTGCCATGCTGGCATCTGTAGCTCGGTGGCTTGACATTCTCCCCAGGGACTTCCCGGTTCCTAGTTCTTTGCCAGCTCCTCCCCACTCTGTGCGACCTTTCCAAGCCTTCCCTCACCCTCCCCGCCAGCACCCTCTTTGGGGAGCAGGAACTTAATCTGCTGACAGAGCTACACCTTTCATAACAGGCTCAGATCACTCAGCTCCCTGTGACCTTTGTATTCACCCAGGCTTCCTTCTCAGTAGCTCTAGCTGGGGGAGGTGTCAGCTGGGCCCCTCCTGTGCTATCTCCCCAGAGGACATCCCTGACTCCACCCCTTTCTTCCTCCCAAACTCTGCACCTCTTCCTCAGCTGCTCCAGACCGGCCAGGGTAACCAGCTAACCATGCCTGGCATCTGGAAGCCAGCAGGCCAGAGGGTGGCCCAAAGGCTGATGAACGGTAGGGAAGGGTGAGCAGATTCCTATGTTGGTGGGCACCAATATTCCAAGGGCAGCTCTCTTTGCTGAATGAGGGCCTTCTCGTGAGGTACTGACAACACCAGCAACTCGAGAGCTGGGAAACTCAAGGAGGAGGAAGAAAATCAAAACCACCCTACTCCCTGGGGTGAGGAAAGAACAGGAGGGGAGGAGGAGGAGTGTGCTCTGCACTTGCCTTGCTCCAGGATGGGGTGGCAGCAGAGGAATGTCACAGGTCAGCAGCCTAGGCCTCCAGCTATAAATAGTCCGGAGGGCCCGAGAGGCTCCCGCCCGTCCAGCAGGGCTGTCAGCTTCCTGTGTGGCAGCACCTGGCACACTGGCTCTGGCCAGCATTATGCTAAAACCCTGTTACTCTCCAATGAACCAGGGAGGCGGGCTCCTCTCTGCGCCTATCCCTTGAGAATTCTGTCTTACCAGTGAAGGGTGGGGCTGCCCAGATCAGGCAGCAGGAGTGAGGGGCACAGTCACCCCAGGCCTTGCTGAGCCCAGGTCTGGGTACTGAGTGTCCAGAGCTGCCTCCCCAGGAGGTTAAGGTGGGGGCAAAGGGGAAGCTTCAAGCACTTTGCCTACTTTTGTTCACTCCCCAGTGCACTGTGACTCAGGCCTTCCCATCAGGCCTATTTGTCTACCCAATAAAGCGTGTTTTTTCCAGAAACAAGAAGAGTTGGGAGAGGGAGCTTCAGTGCATGTGGCAGTGCGTGTGCTGGCGCGTATCATTGCACGTATGTTTTCCCTCTTACCGTAGGAAAAATGAAAAAAGAAATCCCTCCTCCATAATCGCAGCTACTCCAGGGGTCAGCGGCGGTGCCCACTCAGTCCCCATCCCTCTCTCTCCCCTCCCGCCAGCGCCCCCTCCCGCCCTCGCCGCAAGCTGGCCCCGGCCTTGCCGGCCCTTCTTAGGGGCTTTATCATGCCTCCTGCAAGAATAGAGATCACACACGGGACGGAAACGTTAGACTCTCATCCCTTGTGCCCATTCCTTGGTCACGGGCCAAGCTGCCGCATCCTTAGCGGTCCAGGCATCGCGGTGCCCCTCGGGCCCCTACCTGGACTAGGCCCACAGCCGGGCTCTAGGGGGCGCGCGATCCACCTCCAGAAGGCCGGCTGCGAAAATCTACCCAGCTACTGGCGACGTCACCGCACCGTAGGCTGAGGATTGGCTGACTCTGATTTAGCATCCTAAAACTTCCGGTTCCAGAGCTTGGCTCGCCAAAGACCCTCCCTCGAGGGAGAGAAACCACAGCCCCCAGAATTCAGCGGGCCTCTCCGAGAGCACGGCGCGTCTGAGGATGCGTAGTAAGGATAACGGGCCCGGAAGCCGGAAGTTCAAAGCCGGCCTCCAGCCAGAGTGACGGCCTGCGCGGACTCCCGCCTTAGTGGGCGGAGTTGTGCCGCGTCTGATGCGCAGTTCCCTTTATAGCGCGGCAAGCCGAATCCTAGAGGCTAACCCGGCAGGTGGGAGGGAGAAAGTTGCTTTCTGCACCAATAGCTGAGGCGTTCAGGGTTGTCCAGGGACGCTACCCTCACGTGTCTGGTTCCGAGTGCTGCGTTCGGCTGTGCTGGGAAGTTGCGTAGACAGTGGCCTCGAGACCCTGCCTGCCTGAGGAGGCCTCGGTTGGATGCGAAGGAGCTGCAGCATCCAGGTACGCTGCCGGCTAGGGCCGAGCAGGGGCTGCCAGTCCCACTGCCTGCGCGCCCACCTGGGCCAGTCTCCGCTTGCCGCGTCCTCCCATCCCCTAGTCTGCAGGCCTGGTGCCCTTGAATTCACCCGCTTCTGTTGCGTTGCGGACCGCGAGCTGCACTGCTTCCTGCCCAAGCCCAAGCTCCTCGCAGCAGTAGGTCAGTCTTGCTAGAGCTCAGCGCTAATCCTGTCAAACCTCGACTCCTGCCTGGCGTCTCGACCCTCCACGCTCCAACTCTGCCTCTTCCTTGCTCTATAGACCTCTGCGTCCTGATAAGTGGCTCTCCGGGGCACCCTTCGTGCATATCGGCTATCCAGCTCCACCTCTTGACCGCTTTCACTTCCTGGAATGCTCTCACTGCTCCTCTTCTCCAGGCCATCCTTCTAAAAAGACAGTTCCACTCCCACCCCGATTCCCACCCCTACACCTTTCTGCTAAGTTTTCTCAAGCCCCCACCCTGTCTTTGAGCTGTTGTCTCTGAACTCTCACAGTGCCTCTCCATGAGACCATAAGCTCCTGTATGACAGAAGCCATGTTCTTTTTAGCGGCCTCCGTAGCATGATGTACGTTATGTTATGTTATGTTATGTTATGTTATGTTATGTTATTTTGAGACAGGGTCTTGCTTTGTCGCTCAGGCTGCAGGTGTGCGCCACCACGCCCGGGTAATTTTTAAAAAAAGGTTTTTTTTTTGTTGTTGTTGTTGTTGTTTTTAAATAGAGAAAAGGTCTCCCTATGTTGCCCAACCTGGTCTCCAACTCCTGAGCTCAAGCCATCCTCCCGCCTCGGCCTCCCAAAGTGTTGGGATTACCGGCGTGAGCCACCGTACCCGGCCGATGTACTACTCTCTAAGTGCCAAACAAAAAGTAGATAAAAGATGATGGATACCTTAAAAGCCCTGAGTTGACCACTATGCAGTGTATGCATGTAACAAAATCGCACTTCTACCCATACGTTTACGCAATTTTTTTTTTTTTTTTTTGAGACGGAGTCTTGCTCTGTCGCCCAGGCTGGGGTCCCGTGGCGGGATCTCGGCTCACTACAAGCTCCGCCTTCCGGGTTCATGCCATTCTCCTGCCTCAGCCTCCAGAGTAGCTGGGACTACAGGTGCCCGCCACCACGCCCGGCTAATTTTTTGTGTTTTTAGTAGAGATGGGGTTTCACTGTGTTAGCCAGGATGGTCTCGATATCCTGACCTCGTGATCCACCCGCCTCGGCCTCCCAAAGTGCTGGGATTACAGGCGTGAGCCACTGTACCCGGCCGTTATTTTATTTATTTATTTATTTGTTTGTTATTTTATTTATTTTTTTGAGACGGAGTCTCGCCCTGTCGCCCAGGCTGGAGTACAGTGGCGCGATCTCGGCTCACTGCAACCTCCGCCTCCCGGGTTCAAATGATTCTCCTGTCTCAGCCTCCTGAGTAGCTGGGATTACAGGCATGTGCCACCATGCCTGGCTAATTTTTGTATTTTTAGTCAAGACAGGGTTTTATCATATTGGCCAAGATGGTCTCGAACTCCTGACCTCAGGTTATCAGCCCACTTCTGCCTCCCAAAGTACTGAGATTACAGGTGGCTCACGCCCAGCCTTTTTTTTTTCTTTATTATCATTATTATTATTATTTTTAGAGACACAGTCTTGCTCTGCAAGTGCAGGGCCGTGATCACAGCTCACTGCAGCCCCAAACTCGTTGGCTCAGGCAAGCCTCCCACCCAAACCTCCCTAGTAGCTGGGACTGCAGGTGCATGTCACCACACCCAGCTATGGTTCTCAATTTTTATTCTAGCCTAACACACTGGAAAGATACAGTACACCTCCATCAGTGGCAGTGACTTGATTCAGCAGTGGTTTTCAACCAGGAAGGGGGATGTAGTTAAATGAAAAAAAAAAAAAAAAAAACAGGTGTTTCTGGAATTTTTTTTTTTTTGAGGGGTGGAGTTTCACTCGTTGCCCAGGCTGGAGTGCAGTGGCGCGATCTCAGCTCACCACAACCTCCGCCTCCTGGATTCAAGCGATTCTCCTGCCTCAGCCTCCTGAGTAGCTGGGATTACAGGCATGTGCCACCCCACGCCTGGCTAATTTTTGTACTTTTAGTAGAGGTGGGGTTTTTCCGTGTTGGTCAGGCTGGTCTCGAGCTCCCAACCTCAGGTGATCCGCCCTCCTCGGCTTCCCAAAGTGCTGGGACTACAGGAGTGAGCCACTGCGCCGGGCCTTGGAATTTCCTACCTGCCTTTTCTCCTTAATTGTTGCCTTCTTTGAACTGTTGCTCCCTTGGCCTCTCTCTTTCTGGTCTTATCCTCTCCTTTGGTTTTGCTTATTACCTCCATATGTATCTGAAACATAGCTTCCCTTCTAAGCTGTATCTATCTAAATTTGTATTTCCATCTGCCTGATAGACATCATCACATGAATGTTGTGTTGAGTATCTTAATTTTTTTTTTTTTTTTTTTTTTTTTTTTTTTGAGATGGAGTCTCACTCTGTCGCCAGGCTGGAGTACAGTGGCTGCAACTTCCGCCTCCTGGGTTCAAGCAATTCTCCTGCGTCAGCCTCCAGAGTAGTTCCGACTACAGGCAGGCGCCACCATGCCCAGCTAATTTTTGTAGTTTTAGTAGAGATGGGGTTTCACCATGTTGGCCAGGATGGTCTCAATCTCTGGACCTTGTGATCTGCCCACCTTGACCTCCCAAAGTGCTGGGATTACAGGCGTGAGCCACCGTGCCCGGCCGGTTTTTTTTTTTTTTTTTAAATAGAGATGGGGTCTCGCTGTGTTGCCTAGGCGTAGTCTTGAACTCCTGGGCTCAAGCGATTCTCCTGCCTCAGCCTCCCAAAGTGCTGGGATTACCAGTGTGAGCCACCATGCCTGGCTGAGCATCTTAATTTTTTTTTTTTTTTGAGACGGAGTCTGGTTTTGTTGCCCAGGCTGGAGTGCAGTGGCGCGATCTCTGCTCACTGCGAGCTCCGCCTCCCGGGTTCATGCCATTCTCCTGCCTCAGCCTCCTGAGTAGCTGGGACTACAGGCACCCGCCACCATGCCCGGCTAATTTTTTTGTATTTTTACTAGAGACGGGGTTTCACCGTGTTAGCCAGGATGGTCTCGATCTCCTGACCTCGTGATCCACCCGCCTTGGCCTCCCAAAGTGCTGGGATTACAGGCTTGAGCCACCGCGCCCGGCCGAGCATCTTCATTTTAACGTGTTCAAGCCCAGCTCATGATCCTCCTTTTTTTTTTTTTGAGACAGGGTCTCCCTGTCACCCAGGCTGCAGTGTAATGGCATGATCTCGGCCCACTGCACCTCTACCTCCTGGGCTCAAGCGATCCTCCAACCTCAGCCTCTTGAGTAGCTGGGACTACAGGTGCATGCCACTACGCCCCACTAATTTTTGTATTTTTTGTAGAGACAGGGTTTCACCATGTTGCCCAGGCTGGTCTCAAACTCGTGGGCTCAACGATCCGTCTGTCTTTGCCTCCCAAAGTGCTGGCATTACAGGTGTGAGCCACTGCACCGGCCACGTGATCTTCTTGATGGACACTGTCACCACCCTGTATATACAGTGATACATACCTCTTCTCTTGTTTCTTATTTCTGTTAACAGTATCCCAGTCTACAAAGTTTCCTAACTTGGAGGTATTAATATTTTCAGCTTTGCCCTAATTCGCTCCATTGATAAATCCTTTTCTACTTCCAAAGTATCTTCTGCATCTGTTCTTTCCACTTCTACTGCTACCACTGCTTTAGCTCAGAATCTGAAGAGTTTTTTTTTTTTTTTTTGAGACAGAGTCTTGCTCTGTCCCCCATGCTGGAGTGCCGTGGCACTCTCTTGGCTCACTGCAACCTCTGCCTCCCAGGTTCAAGTGATTCTCTTGCCTCAGCCTCCTGAGTAGCTGGGGCTACAGGCATCCGCCACCACGCCTGGCTAATTTTTGTATTTTTAGTAGAGACAGGGTTTTGCCATGTTGGCCAGGCTGGTCTCGAACTCCTGACCTCAGGTGATCTGCCCGACTCAGCCTCCCAAACTGTTGGGATTATAGGCGTGAGCCACTGCGCCCGGCCTGAAGAGTTTTTGCTAATTGGATATTAGGGAAAACCACAGGATGGATTAAGACAAGAGAGGGAAGGTAAGGTTCTAGACAGCAGGATTATGTCTGTTAGTTGGTTTTATGTCACTTTTCTAGCCAAGCTGTACCATCCTGTTTTTGTTGGTTGGTGAATGCTTCCAGCTCTTTTCCTCCAGCCCTTGGAAGAGGTGGTCCTATAATTGTTAAGCATCTAGCTAGGGTGATGAGTAGGAATAGCAATAAGTGACAGGGAAGTTGAAGGCTGCAGGGCTCTTTGCAGGCGGCTTAGCGTTCAGCTCCATGGGTGTGTGTTTTGTTCACTATTGCATGCACAGCTTGGGGCCATTTCAAACCTCAGATTTCAAACCTGAACACAATCCTTTCTCATCTTGAACTTGTGTCACTTAGTATTCTTCCTCTGACCTTACTTAATATCACTTTCCATAGTGGGATTATATTTCAAAGAAGCTGTGTCTCAGCTCAGCTTGGGGTCCACACTCAAGACCTGCCTCAAAGGCAATGTTCAGCCCTTAGGGTTTACTCTGAGAAGTATTTACATGTCTGTACCCATGTCTGACCCCTCTAAACCAGCGAATCCTGAGCTTTACTTTCAATTTTTTTTTGTTTTTTGAGACAGGGTCTCACTCTGTCACCCAAGCTGTAGTGCAGTGGTACGATCTCAGCTCACTGTAGCCTCAACCTCCTGGGCTCAAGCAATCCTCCCACCTCAGCCTCCTGAGTAGCTGGGACTACAGCCATATGCCACCATGCGTGGCTAATTTAAAAAAAAATTTTTTTTGTGGGGACAGGGTCTCACTATGTTGCCCAGGCTGGTCTCAAACTCCTGGCCTCAAGTGATCCTCCTGACTCGGCCTCCCAAAGCATGGGATTACAAGTGTGAGCCACCATGCCCTGCCTAGGTTCTTGACTTTGTTGTTTGTGTGTATGCTTTGGTGTGTGTGTGTGCGTGGCCATGGTAAGGGGCGGGATTTTAAGTGTCTCTGCCTACAGTGCTGAGAGCCATTAAGTGGAGAGCAAGCTGCCAAAAACTAAAAATAGGGCCCTCTTAGGCCTCACTGGCAGGCTTATTGGGCCCAGTTCTCTCAAGGCTCCTCAGGACTGGGTCCAAAGGTCCTTGAGACATTCCCCTCTTGGCTTCCACCCTGGCACTCTTTTTCTGTCTCTTTTTTTTTTTTTTTGAGACGGTGTCTCACTCTGTTGCCCAGGTTGGAGTGCAATGATGCGATCTCGGCTCAACTGCAACCTCTGCCTCTGGGATTCAAGCAATTCTCCTGTCTCAGCCTCCGAGTAGCAGGGACGCAGGCATGCACCACCACGCTGGGCTAATTTTTTTTTTTTTTTTTTTGAGATGGAGTCTTGCTCTGTCACCAGGCTGGAGTGCAGTGGCACGATCTCAGCTCACTGCAGCCTCCGCCTCCGGGTTCAAGTGATTCTCCTGCCTCAGCCTCCTGAGTAGCTGGGACTACAGGCGCGCACTGCCATGCCCAGCTAATTTTTTGTATTTTTAGTAGAGACAGGGTTTCACCATGTTGGCCAGGATGGTCTCGATCTCTTGACCTCGTGATCCACCTGCCTCAGCCTCCCAGAGTGCTGGGATTACAGGCGTGAGCCACCATACCTGGCACCCCCCCTTTTTTTTTTTTTGAGATGGAGTCTCACTCCCCGTCATCCAGGCTGGAATGCACTGGCGCAATCTCACCTCGCTGCAACCTCCGCCTCCCAGGTTCAAGCAGTTCTCCTGCCTTAGCCTCTCGAGTAGCTGGGATTACAGGCATGCGCCACCACGCCCAGCTACTTTTTGTATTTTTAGTAGAGACAGGGTTTCACCATGTTTGCCAGGCTGGTCTCGAACTCCTGACCTCAGGTGATCCACCCTCCTCGGCCTTCCAAAGTGCTGAGATTACAGGCGTGAGCCACTGCATCCGGTCCCACCTTGGCATTCTGAACACAGTCTTGCCTTTCACTGCAGTTTCTGTCAGTCTTCGTGCAGCTTGCACATACCCCAACCCCGTCCTTGATGGACATCATGCTCTGGTTGTTGTTTCTTTAAAAATAAATATGTATTTTTGGCCAGGCGCGGTGGCTCACGCCGTAATCCCAGCACTTTGGGAGGCCAAGGCGAGTGGATCACAAGGTGAGGAGATCAAAACCATCCTGGCTAACACGGTGAAACCCCATCTCTACTAAAAATACAAAAAATTAGCTGGGTGTGGTGGCGGGCGCCTGTAGTCCCAGCTACTCGGGAGGCTGAGGCAGGAGAATGGCATGAACCTGGGAGGTGGAGGTTGCAGTGAGCCGAGATCGTGCCACTGCACTCCAGCCTGGGGGACAGAGTGAGACTCCGTCTCAAAAAATATATCTATATATCTATATATGTATTTTTTATTTTATTTTATTGAGGTAGTCTTCCTGACTTTTAAGAAACCTATCTCGCTAATTTCAGTCAGTCTTTTAATTTCAGTTCCCTCAACAGAGTAGCACCTAGGAACACATTCATAGTCCCAAATTGAGGGACATTTTGTTCCAGATGAGGGATTCTCTACTAAACTTTCTCTTGTTTCCTAGCTTGGAATATCCAGGGAACAGTTAAATTAGAAGTAATTTATCTCATGCAAATATGAGTTAACAATTTGCTGGGGACCCAGTAAGTTTCTTTTTAGCCTGTGGGATAGGTTCTTAGTGTTGGGTTTAGAACGTAGAATTAATACTGTAGAAGGTTAAGTATAATTGAAATAATATAAAAGTACTTTTGACACTATTTCAGTTATATTATGGCTTAAACAAGCTTTAGTGTTGACTTGGAAACCTAACCACCATGAATAAGATCGTTTTTATGGGGAAACAAATTGGATATTGCCTGAAAGGTTCCCATTTGATCTTCCTAGAGAGAATAATTCACTGCAAATGTTTCATTTCTGCTACCTCCATTAGTTCCCTCCTAGCTAGAAAAACTGATGCTTGCTTAATGTTACCAGTTAGAGCAGCCCTGGCTGGTGCAGTGGCTCATGCCTGTACACAATCCCAGCACTTTGGGAGGCCAAGGTGGGAGGATCACTTGAGCCCAGGAGTTCAAGAGCAGCCCTGGCAACATACATAGCAAGACCCTGTCTCTACAAAAGTAGAAAAACTGGGCGGTGTGGTGGTACACACCTGTAGCGTCAGCTACTTGGGAGGCTGAGGTGGGAGGGTGGACTTCAGCCCAGGAGGTTGAAGCTGCAATGAGTCATACTCACACCACTGCACTCCAGCCTGGGCAACAGAGTGAGAACCTGTCTCAAAACAAAACAAACCCCAGCAGTCCAGGCTGGTCCATGCCAGTCACTTCTGTCCACAGGCATGGAAGGCCAAATGTTGGCTTTGATGACATTCAGAGACACCTGGTTCCAGGCTTGTTTCTGTATCTTGTAGGCACATTTTATTTGCCCTTTTGAATCATAGAGTTCCTAAATGATATCTTCCAGTATCCCTATGAGACTTTACCTAGACATAGGGGCCATTCAGTATAGAGTGCAGACAGACCAAGCAGGATGCAGAAGTTATGGAATGGCGTTAAACAGGGAGATGGGCTGGGCAGATGAGGCCTTATCCTCAGGTCTAAATTCAATCTGTCTTTGTAGGGGACAAGATGCCAACTGGCAAGCAGCTAGCTGACATTGGCTATAAGACCTTCTCTACCTCCATGATGCTTCTCACTGTGTATGGGGGGTACCTCTGCAGTGTCCGAGTCTACCACTATTTCCAGTGGCGCAGGGCCCAGCGCCAGGCCGCAGAAGAACAGAAGACCTCAGGAATCATGTAGAACTGGGGGGCTTTTTCTCCTGAGCAGAGAGGCCCAAGGCATGCTGTGGAGAGACTTCACCTGCCACCATTTCCAGGTCAACAGGACTAGAGCGTTGATGGTTTTCAAACCCTGTTGGAAGAAAGTGCCCATGGTTTCTCTGGTTCTGCCAGTTTGACAGTTTATGGAGGCTTTTGAATCGTAATAGCAATGTGAGGGTGAGGTACACCTACAGACATTAAATAATTTGCTGTGTCTGTGTCTTGGTGTTTTTTGTTTACCCAAATAGCATATGGACCACAAAAGGGGAGCCTTGACTACCAGTTTTCTGGGTATAGACTGGATTACCATATCTTGAGCTCTTAGCACCCATGAAGTGGGTGATGTACAGCTCCAGGAGTAGTATCTGCCCTCATGATCTTAGAGGAAAGGTTGTCCCAGGATTTATATAAATCCCCTGAAATAATTCTGTAAGGAGCTTTTCTCTGGGTAGAGCCCATTCCTGAGCTGATTACTGGATCTAGGTATCTGGTTACTCTGGCCAGCATGGCCACATGTGCAGCTCTGCATCAAGGAGGGTAGAGGCCCTTGTTTGACAGCCGTAATCAAACTGCATGCAGCAGAGGAGGATAGTTCGCAAGAGGAAGGGCTGTTGGGCAGCGTGTGGTAAAGCAGTTCACCTCCTTAAGCTCAGTGGGTGTAGTAGAGCATAAGGATAGATTCACTGTGCTACTGCACGGGAAACCTACCTGGAGGTTTTATTGCAGAGATGTGAAGAGGATTTGAAAGAAAACAAAGTGCTTTCAAGACCTCATTAGGAAGTGAGAGATCCTTGCCACCATTCCATTTTGAGCTTTGAGGCTCAGCTGGTTCACCTCATTCTTGATGATTGCCCAGAATATCAGCCTCTCTGGACACCTGTCCTCTCCCATACACTCATGTGCAGACTGCGCTGACCTTTGCCCCTGCTCATAAACCTCTTCCATGATTTTAAAACACCAACTTTCGGCTGGGCACGGTGGCTCACACCTATAATCCCAGCACTTTGGGAGGCTCAAGCAGGAGGATCCCATGAGCCCAGGAGTTTGAGACCAGCCTGGGCAACATGGTTGAAACCCTGTCTCTACAAAAAAATTTGAAAAGTTAGCCAGGCATGGTGGTGCATACCTGTAGTCCGGCTGGAGGATCGCTTGAGCCCAGGAGGCTGAGGCTGCAGTGAGCTCTGATTGTGCCACTGCAGTCTAGCCTGGGTGACAGAGACCCTGCCAGCCAAAATCCATCCATCCATATATACATACCAACTTTCCTATATCCTCAACCCCTGTACTCCCATCTTTGTGTCAGCCTAGGCATTCCTGCCTGCTCTGCTTTCCCACAGTAGGGTCATAATTCTCCCAGATCCTCAGTGCCACTTTCGAATATTACTTTCCCTACCCAAGCATCAGATTAGTCCTTTTTGACAAACTTTCTTATATTCTCATTTCTACCATTCTAGACCTTGGAGACTTCAGGTCTCTTGATTCCATTTTTCCCCAATCTGTCAGCCCCCTTTGCCTGCACTGCTTCCTTGTCCAGCATATGCCCATAGATGATCCCCTGAACAACTCACCACACCTGCAGTCTCTGCCTTCATCTGTCTTGTTACCAAGCCTGGACCTTGCTCCTTTAATTACCCTTTCTAACTCACCCTCTTCTTTCGAGTATGTAAACTTGCTTAAGGCCCTCTATCCCACACCAAAACAGCTATTCAAGGTTTGTTTTTTGTTGTTGTTGTTTTTTGTTTGTTTAGATGGAGTCTCGCTCTTTCGCCTAGGTTGGAGTGCAGTGGCGTGATCTCGGCTCACTGCAGCCTCCACCTCCCAGGTTCAAGCAATCCTCCCACTTCAGCCTCATGAGTAGCTGGGACTACAGGCGCATGCCACTGTGCCTGGCTAATTTTTGTATTTTTAGTAGTGACAGGGTTTCACCATGTTGTCCAGGCTGGTCTTGAACTCCTGACTTCAAGTGGTCCTCCCGCTTCGGCCTCCCAAAATGATGGGATTACAGGCATGAGCCACTGTACCTGGTCCCTGGGGTAGTCTTGTACAACAAATTGTCCTAAGTCCTGCACAACTATCAGATGTCCTAGATATTTGGTAGGTGAAAAAAGTTTATATAATAATTAGCTGAGCATATAACCTAACTCCCTTTTACATAAAAACAAAGTATTTTTTGTACAGTTCTGCAGGCATGCAACTAAATAGAGGCAAGACTGTACAGTAGTTTGTTCACCATTTCAGAAAATCGTGCCATTAATGGCTGAGCTGGCTCCTGGTGTTTGAGTCTCTGATACAACAGAATATAGATCAGTCTGCACAGGATAGTAGAGTGTTTTAAGGCCAGGCACAGTGGCTTACGCCTGTAATCCCAACACTTTGGAAGGATGAGGTGGAGGATTGCCTGAGCCTAGGAGTTAGAGGTTACTGTGAGCCATGATTGCACGACTGCACTCCAGCCTGGCAACAGAGTGAGACCCTGTCTTTTTTTTCTTTTTTTGAGACAGTCTTCCTCTGTTACCTAGGTTGCAGTGCAGTGGCGCAGTCTCGGCTCACTGCACCCTTCTGCCTCCCGGGTTCAAGCGGTTCTCCTGCCTCAGCTTCCCAAGTAGCTGGGACTATGTGTGTGCGCCACCACACCTGGCTAATTTTTGTATTTTTAGTAGAGATGGGGTTTCACCATGTTGACCAGGCTGGTTAACTCGAACTCCTGGCCTCAAGTGATTCACCCGCTTTGGCTTCCCAAAGTGCTGGGATTATAGATGTGAGCCACGGTGCCTGGCCAAGACCCTGTCTCAATTAAAAAAAAAAAAAAAAAGGGTAGGGGGTGTGTTGTAAATACAGAAAGTAGCCCAAAGGCTGGGTACCATGGTACATGACTGTAATCCCAGCTACTTGAGAGTCTGAGATGGGATAATCACTTGATCCCACCCAGGAGTGTGAATCAGGCCTGGGCATCATAATGAGACTATTTAGTCTCCAAAAAAGAAAAACAAAAACCCAAAAAACTCAAAAGGTATTGGGCTGTATAGATGAGAACCACTGGCTACAGGGTCAAGGTCAGTGCAGTGTCTTGGTTTGGGTGGCTAAAGCAAATTACCATAGATGGTAATAGCAATTTATTTCTCATAGTTCTAGAGGCTGGGAAATCCAGGATCAAGTTGCCAGCAGATCCAGTGCATCATGAGGACACACCTCCTGGTTTGCAGATGGTCGTCTTGCTGTGTCCTCACATGGCAGAAAGAGGAAGCAAGCTCTCCTTGTTTGTTTTATAAGGGCACTAATCCCATCACGAGAGGTCCATCCTCAGAACCTAATGACCCCCTAAAGAGCCCACCTAATGCTGTCCCACTGGGGGTTAGGGTTTTGACATTGGAATTTTGAGGAGGACACAAACATGCAGTCCATAACACATTCCCTCTCATGATATGCAAGACCTCTTTTTTTTTTTTTTTGAGGTAGGGTCTCCTCTCCGTTGCCCAGGCGGGAGGGCAGTGGCATGATCATAGCTCACTGCAGCCTCAACCTCCTGGGCTCAAGTGATCCTGCCGCCTCACCCTCCTGAGTAGCTGGGCTACAGGCACATACCACCACACCTGGCTACTTTTATTATTTTTGTAGAGATGGAGTCTCACTGTTGCCCAGGCTGGTCTCAAACTCTTTGCCTCAAGCAATCCTCCCACCTTGGCCTCTTAAAATGCTGGGATTATAGGCATGAGCCACCACACCTGGCTATGATGGTTAATTTTATATGTCAACCTGACTGGGTCATAGGGTAACCACATATTTGGTCTTACTCTGGGTGTATCTATCAGGATATTTCTGGGCCTCATTCAACCCATTGAAGGCCTGTACAGAACAGGAAGGCTGATTAAGAGAGAATCTCTGTCTTTGAGGTGGAAAATCAGTCTTCTACCTTGTGACGTGGACTCAGACTGGAACTCATACCGTCAGCTCTCTTGGTTTTCAGGCCTTTGGAATTGGCCTGGAACTATACCATTGGCTCTTCTGGGTCCTCAGCTTATCACCTGCAGATCTTGGGACTTCTCAGCCTCCAGAACCATAGAAGCCAATTCCATATAGTAAAGCTCTGTCTCTCATCTATATATCTTATCGGTTCTGTTTCTCTGGAGAACAGACTAATGCATCCATATTGACAGGAAAATAGTTCATTCATTGTAATTGCTGTATACTATGCCACTGAATGAGCATATCAATTTGTTCCATTACCCTAGTGAAGCATTATTGGGTTGTTCCCACTTTTCCCCTCTTATAAATCAATAGCAATGCAGTGAGTATTTTGTATGTTTACTTGGGCCTATGTGTTAGTTTCTCCAAAGGAGGAAATATCACTGGTATTTAGCTTTACCAGTTGTTAAGTTGCTTTTCCGAAGTGGTTATGTGAATTTCACTTTCACCAGCATTTCCCTATTCTGTTGGTGTTGAGTGGTTCTATTAATTTTAATTTACATATCATTGATATCTGATAAGGTTGAGGACTTTTTTTTATTGATTTATTGGCCATTAGTATGTTTACCCTCTGGGATTTTCCTATTTATATCCTTCCCTCACCCCCACTTTTTTTTTTCGAGATGGAGTCTTGCTCTGTCGCCCATGCTGGGGTGCAGTGGTGCGATCTCAGCTCACTGCAACCTCTACCTCCCGGGTTCAAGCAATTCTCTCTCAGCCTCCCGAGTAGCTGGGACTACAGGCACATGCCACCGTGCCAGGCTAATTTTTGTATTTTTAGTAGAGACAGGGTTTCACCATGTTGGTCAGGCTGGCCTCAAACTCCTGACCTGAGGTGATCCACCCACCTCAGCCTCCCAAAGTGCTGGGATTACAGGCATGAGCCACTGTGCCTGGCCCCACTTCTCTTTCTATTGAGTTGTCTTCTTTGAAAAAACAGTTCGTAGGCAGTACTTTATATATTCTGGATAATAGTATTTTATTAGTTACATGGGTTGCAGGTTTGACTGAAATCATCTTTTGGAGTTTTTATAGGGTGAGGGTGGCTGTAGAGTTCCATGTTGCCTGCATCATATGTCTCTCCAGAGCAAACCTGTGGACAGTGGATCTGAGACCACTTTTTAGAACCTTCTTGGCTGGGGATTTGGTGGGAGTGGTGGTTTTCCAGACCATACAGGAAGAGCACTCATTATTCACATGAGAAATGTTCTAAAATTGACATAAGGGGCAGGCCCAGGATTCAGAATTTTCAACAATCTCCTGATCTCACAAGCCTAGGCATTCAGACTTCCTTGCTTCTTCCTTTCACCACCTGGGTGGGGTTTTTTTATGGTTTCCCCTCTTTCACTAAGGCTGTTGCTCTTTCAGGGTCCCAGCTTTAACTGGGGGTTTCAGTTTCCTGCCTGGAGCCAGTCTTGTCTTTAGTTGTCAGTATTAAAACAAGTCCTTAAGGTACGTTTCCCTTATCCCCTCAGTAATTGCATCGGCTATTTTCCTGTCTGCTCCAGTTTTCAGTTCCTTTGTCTTTAGTCTTTCTTGGAAGCTCTGCTATGCATTTTTAAAAAACAGCTTAGAAAATACTTCACCTATCATTTCTAGATATTTGTCTCAGTTTATTTTAGTCTGCATTAAGCTAGAACTGATACCTTTCATATACTCTCATGTCTCTTCTAAACATAATACCCTTCCCTTCCATTGCTTTTTTGCCTGGCAAAACTCCACCTAACTCTAATGGCCCAGCTTTACTCTCAAGTTTTCCTCCACCTTGCCAAGAATAATTTAGAATAGTTCTTATCACATTGCATTTTATTTCCCCCTTACTGGAGTATGAGCACTTTGAGGATAGAAACCAGATCTTGTTCATCTTTGTGTCTGTAGCTCCTGCTATAGTGCCTATCATAAAGTAGGTACTTAATGACTATGTTACTGAACTGAAAATATTTTCCTGCATGAATACTGGATTTTTTTTTTTTTTTTTGAAATGGAGTCTCGCTCTTGCTCTGTTGCCCAGGCTGGAGTGCAATGGCGTGATCTCAGCTTACTGCAACCTCCATCTCCCAGCTCCAAGCAATTCTCCTGCCTCAGCCTCCTGAGTAGCTGGGATTACAGGCACGCACCACCACACCCAGCTAATTTTTGTATTTTTAGTAGAGACGGGGTTTCATCATATTGGTTAGTCTGGTCTCGAACTCCTGACCTCATGACCTACCTGCCTCAGCCTCCCAAAGTGCTGGGATTACAGGCATGAGCCACCGCGCCCGGCTTTTTTTTTTTTTTTTTTTAGACAGGGTCTCACTCTGTCACTCAGGCTGGAGTTCAGTGGTGTGATCTTGGCTCACTGCAACCTCCATCTCCCGGGTTCAAGCGATTCTCCTGCCTCAGCCTCCCTGGTAGCTGGGATTTCAGGTGGCAATCACCGTGCCTGGCTAATTTTTGTATTTTTAGTAGAGATGGGGTTTTGCCATGTTGGCCAAGCTGGTCTCGAACTCTAGACCTCAGGTGATCTGCCTGCGTCTGCCTCCCAAAGTGCTGAGATTACAGGTGTGAGCCACTGTGCCTGACCATGAATACTGGATTTAAAGTCTGAAGAACTTCATTTATCACCCACCAACTAAACTTACGTAATTATTTTTAGGATTAGATGGACAATCTGTTTTTTTGTTTTTGTTTTGTTTGAGACAAACAAAACAGTGTGTCCACTCTGTCATACAGGCTGGAGTACAGTGGCGTAATCACGGCTCACTGCAGTCTTGACCTCCAGGCTCAAAAGATCCTCCCACTTCAGCCTCCTGAGTAGCTGGACCATAGGTGCATGGCACCACTTGTGGCTAATTAAAAAAATTATTTGTAGAGATGGGGTCTCCCTTTGTTGCTCAGGCTGGTCTTGAATTCCTGGCCTCAAGCAGTCCTCCTCCCTCAGCCTCCCAAAGTGCTGGGATTACAGATGGTAAGCCACCACACCTGGCCTTTTTAAACAACTTCTGAGACTAGGTTTCCTCATTGTGGCATATTGAATCTTTCATAGATGGCTGCAGCAATGTCTCCCATTCCACTGGTCTTCAGTGACCTTGCCACTTCTTCATCAAGAGGTAGAGTCTCTTACCACCCTGCCTTGCATCTGGGCAGTCCCTGTGATTACTTTGATCAGTAGCATACAGTGGAAGTGATGGGTGCCACTACTAGACAACACTGTTTTTTTGAGACAGGGTCTCATTCTGTCGCCCAGGCTGCAGTGCAGTGGTGCAGTCATTGCTCACTGTTAACTTCAAACTCCTGAGCTCAAGTCATCCTCCCACCTGATTCTCCAGAGTAGCTGGGACTACAGGTGTACACCATAACACTTGGCTAATTTTTTAATTTTTTGTAGAGATGGGGTCTCACCTTGTGCCCACGCTGGTCCCAAACTCTTGGCCTCAAGCAATCCTTCTGCCTTGGCCTCCTCAAGTGTTGGGATTACAGGCAGGAGCCACCATGCCCAGCCTAGACAACACTCTTAAGTGTCCTAGCAGCTTCTGCTTCCTGCCTCTTGGAACCTAGCCACCTGTGCAAAGCCCAAGATAATGGAGAGGCATGTACAGGCACTTCAGTTGACAGCCCTGACTGAGCTCCTAGGGAAAATCCAGCATTGACTGATAGCCAGGCAAAACTAGGTAAGTAAATCATCTTGGACGTCCATTGCACCTGCATCTTCATTCAAATAAATAACTCCATTCCCAGCTGAAATCTGACTGCAACCACATGAGATACCTCCAACTGAGCTCAACCAAACAACCACATCATGAGCAATAATAATATTCTGTTAAACCACTATGTTTTAGGGTGGTTTGTTACATATTAATAGATAATCACAACACTCATTTATGGAATGGGGATAATCCTACTTCTACAGCAGTGTTTTTTTTTTTTTTTAACATACTTGGCTCAGCCAGTGTTTTTTCTTTCTTTTTCTTTTCTTTTTTCTTTTTTTTTTTTTTTTAACAGAAGTGTTTCAAACCTTTTAGTTATTGTTGTATGTGAAATCACTTTTGCCAGGCGTGGTGGCTCACACCTATAATCCCAAAATGTTGGGAGGTCAGCATGGGTGGATCACTTGAGGTTAGGAGTTCAAGACCAGCCTGACCAACATGGGGAAACCCCATCTCTACTAAAAACATAAAAATTAGCCAGGTATGGTGGCACGCACCTGTGGTCCCAGCTAGTCAGGAGGCTGAGGCAGGAAAATCACTTGAAGATGAACCGAGATTGTGCCATTGTACTCCAGCCTGGCGACAGAGCAAGACTCTGTCTCAAAAAAAAAAAAAAAAAAAAAAATCACTTTCTAAGCAGTAAAGCACTATACAAACATAAGTCGTTTTTCAGTTAATAATAAAGCTACTTGGGAGGCAGGAGGATCGTTTGAGCCCAGGAGATCGAGGCTGCAGTGAGCTATGATCAAGCCACTGCATTCCAGCCTGGGTGACAGAGTGAGACCCTATCTCTAATAAAAAAGAATAATAATAAAGTTAAAACCCTTTTATAGCCAATAGATGAGAGGTAACGCCTTCTTTTAAAAATACTCCTGGTTCTCTGGTATAGATGATGTTAGTCTGTATCTAACCTACTCCACTAATTTGGGTCCCTCCAGGCCATCTACAAAACTGGTTTTATGACAGTCTTGCAGCACCAATAACGGTTATCTTCTAGCTCTGTATTCAAACTCTCTAGAACCCTACCTGTCACCTCCACCCCAACCATATGCACACAGTTCCTTCTCAGAACAAGATTCTGTTCTGATAGTTGGCCCTCATCTTAATAATTCATTTATCCAATGCAAACTAATATAATCAGTCTGTGCCTTTCGCTGAATGTTTCTGCAACATCTAATCTTCCTCATGAAATCTTGGGAAGTGCTGGTAGACACTGCAGAGCGGTTAATTAGATTATGGTATAGATAGTACGGTGGTTAGGAATAGAGAGGGATGGTAAATAAGATAGGAATAGTAAGGGTTTGACTCCTTACTAGCTGCTTGACCTTAGCAAGTTAACCTCTTTTTGCCTCCTGTTGTCATATGTGTTTAATACAGTGCCTAGCATGTAATGAGTCATGTGTTAGTTATTATTTTTATTATTGTTTTATCCAATTGCATCTTTTGTCAGATTAGCTACACCAACCAATCCAGTTTGTATTAACAAGGCAATTGTTCAAATTTCAGAAGGCAAAATACATTTCTCATCTGACTTTCAAAAGCATATTCATTCATATTTCACAACAATATTAGTCTATTCAATATAGCAAGTTGAGGAACTAAAAGTATGACCTAATTTTTTTTTTTTTTTTTTTTTTTAGACAGAGTCTCGGTCTGTCGCCCAGGCTGGAGTGCAGTGGCACGATCTTGGCTCGCTGCAACCTCTGCCTCCCAGGTTCAAGTGATTCTTCTTTTTCTTAAAAAACATAAAGCTCTAAAATGTAAGCACCCTGGCTGACTCTTCCTACCATGCACAGAAAGGAAAAATTTGGTGTCCAGGGCCTTCTGAATCAGACCTGGAAAAGCTCTTAATTAGCTTATGGATTCAGGAAACTGCGGATAGAGTCACTGAAGAGGTTGAGACAGTAGAGGTGGGTTGAAGCACTTTTAATCACAAACAAACAATAGTATAAGACCGTGAACAGCTCACCCAGTGGCTGTTGCCCTCCTCCAGCCCTCAGCTCACCCTCTTCCCATGCTCCCTCCCTGGGTACCATTGAGTAAAGAGCAGGGTATTGGCAGCTGTCCCTGTTGCTATCAGGTGATTGATAGGAAGGGGATCTAGCTAGGGACCACGGCAATCCTGGCCATCCATCCATGGTTCTGTTTCTATACAACTTCATCATGTGACATATTCCAGCTGTGAAAGAGGAACAGTACAGAAATGTGGGACTGAACTTGGCTGCTCCATTCAGATGGTCCAGGGGTTTAGAGTGTCAAGAGCCAAGGGCAAAAAAGAAGGAGAAGTCTGGAGTTGGCATAATTCAAGATGCAGCCAAATGTGGAACTAAGGTGGGTTCAGTGGGGACCAGGGAAGGCCTCATGGCCCCAGTCCACAATTGTGCCCCAACCCCGGCAATGAAACTCACGCATATGCACAAACGCACATCAACAAACACACAAAAACACACAGAGCAAATAACATTACTGAAAGAACCTGGAGGCTATTAAATACAAAATGGCAGTTTTCTTTCAAAGTGAAAATATTTGCTTCTTTGATACTCCTCAGTGCCTTGCAGTCTCCCAATCACAGAAGAGTAGATATGGGAAGGGCCAAGAGGAGTATGTTGCCAGTGGCCCTACAAGTCCATGTGTGCTGAAGTCCCTATAGCAACCACCTTACTCTTCAGCCCAGTAGCTGCCTCCCATGTGACCATTCACCCGATTGGCACCATTGCTGGAGCTACTGTCACAGGGACTTTTTGTGCAGGTGGTCACATCTTCTTCCTCTGAGCTGCTCTCCACATCACTGCGATCATCCTTCGATACCTGGGTGGGATGAGACCAAAGACAGAAAAGTGAGGAAAGAACTGTAAGACACCTAAGCTCAGAGACCCAGGTGTGGGCACTGTGTTCCCAGTCTGGTCTGCTTTCTGATGACATCTAACTCAAAGAAGTATTGTCTGGACTATGGCTACTGTTGTGACTATGCTTTACCTGCTTTCTAGTTTTCTCCCTTGTCATCTCCAATTCTGTTCTCTGTGGAATTGAAGCTACTTTGGTAGAGGAGTGTGTCTTTCAGGACCAGCCTAAGAGAACTGACATCATTCACTGAGACCTGGTTTAGGTTTCAGACACCCTTTCTCTTCTTCCACTTCAAAGAACAGGGAAGGCCAACACGAACAATACGTATGACTGTCAGCAATGCTTCTATCTTCTGGTGGTTGTGGACAATGCATTTATTCGTATTGGTTATGCTGTTTTGCTTTATCCCCAAAGCTGATCCATAACAGGCCTTTTTTAGTAGTTTCCCACTCCTGGGCTCAACTACCACTATCCTATGACACTGTTTTCCAATCTTCTTCCCTTTCCCAATAGCAAGATCACTTTTCTTATGAAACTTCAGCATCCCTGGCTGGGCGTGGTGGCTCACGCCTGTAATCCCAGCACTTTGGGAGGCCGAGGCAGGCGGATCACAAGGTCAGGAGTTTGAGACCAGCCTGAGCAACATGGAGAAACCCTGTCTCTACTAAAAATACAAAAATTAGCCGGGTGTGGTGGCGCGCACCTGTAATCCCAGCTACTCAGGAGGCTGAGGCAGGAGAATCTCTTGAACCCCGGAGGTGGAGGTTGCAGTGAGCTGAGATCGTGCCACTGCACTCCAGCGTGGGCGACAGAGTGAGACTCCATCTCAAAAAAAAAAAAAAAAAAAGAAAAAAAAAAAGAAACTTCAGCATCCCCAAGATACACAGTATAGTGAAAACACAAATGGATTGGCAGTCAATGAGAAAAGAATCCCAGTTCTAATCATGCTACCATCTGTGAATGCTTATTAACCTGGGTTTTTTTGTTTTGTATTATTTTCAAATGAAGCATTTGGATTACAGCAGCATTTCCTAATCTAAACTATCCTGCATATCAAGCAAAGTATTTCAATTTCTCCACCATGAGCCAGGCACAGTGGCTTACACCTATAATCCTAGCACTTTGGGAGGCTGAGGGAGGAGGACAGCTTGAGCCCAAGAGTTTGAGACCAGCCTGGGCAACATGGAGAGAGCCCTGTCTCTACAAAAAATAAAAAATGACAAAATCAGTTGGGCATGGTGACATGCACCTGTAGTCCTAGCTACTTGGGAGGCTGAGGCAGGAGCATCTCTTGAGCCCAGGAGGTCGAGGCTGCAGTGAGCCATGATTGCGCCACTGTACTCCAGCCTGGGCAATGGAGCAAAACCTTGTCTCTAAAAAAAAAAAGGGCCGAGCATGGTGGCTTACGCCTGTAATCCCAGCACTTTGGGAGGCTGAAGTGGGCGCATCACCTGAGGTCGGGAGTTCGAGACCAGCCAGACCAACATGAAGAAACCCCGTCTCTACTAAAAATACAAAAAAATTAGCCAGGCGTGGTGGCGTATGCCTGTAATCCCAGCTACTCAGGAGGCTGAGGCAGGAGACTCGCTTGAACTGGGCAGGCAGAGGTTGCAGTGAGCCAAGATCACGCCATTGCACTCCAGCCTGGGCAACAAGAGCTAAACTCTGTCTCAAAAATAAATAAATAAAAATTAAAAAAAAAAAATTACCCTGGACTCTAATAGTAAAGAACAGAAATCCAGTGAGACCTGTGTCGGACTTCTGACCTCCAGAACTGAAGGATAATAAATGTGGTTTAAGTAAAGGAGAGAAGGAAGTGAAAAGGAACACAGCTGTAACAACTGTTGCCAAGGAGGTGGGCATTTGCTTTGGATCAGCTCCTTGAATTTGTGTTGGATGGGTCTTCTACAGTTGATTATAGCTGTTGGCCTCTGAACTTAGATGACTAACTGATTACCTGACCTTTAGGAAATTTCCACTAGAGGGCAGAGTGTCTCTAGATTTGAGGTAAACAGAGACTCAAGAAAAACAAAAAAAAGTAGACTCAATTCTTGCCTCAGTTTAGGAAAAAATCTGGCAACTGCAGCTCTAGTCAATAATGGCCCCGAAAAGTCAGGAGAGAGGGCATGCTCTGAGACAAACACAAGGGAACAGAAAGGAGAGCAGGAGGAAAGAGAACCACATTCAGATGGACATGCCTCACTGAATACTAGAAGCACAGATACACTTACATGCAAGAGATGAAACTGTCCAGCTCCCGCCAGGCATAGAAAAAAGGAAGGAGGTGAGGAAAGAGTGGAGAGTACAGGGTCTAATCCTTCCTGGACAGGTCACCTAGTCAGGAAAGAAAAGCAGGAGAGAACAGAGATGTCCAGTAGCTACAGCAAGATGCACAGGCACACTGAGCAAGTTCTGAGCCAATGGCAGCTATAAGGAATAATGATGCAGGAGATCATCAATATCTAGGCCACATTCCATCACTTGGTCCTAGTATCAGTACCTGCTCAAGCAGAGCCCCTCCCACTTGGGATTCTGTATTCCTTTAGGCTGAAATCCCTAGCCCTTTGACTACAGTCTGACTGCTTCAAAACTTGCAAAGTTCAATTATGAGTTTATCATTAAGTGGCACCTTTCTTTCGCTCTTGGCATAAGATGGGTATTTGAAACACTACATACCCATTCACTTAGGACACTTGCCTCATACACTAGTGGGGTGAGGTGGGTATTTAGTTCCTTATATAAACCATATCTTGAATATCACAGCATGGTCACCTTGTGGTGGCTTGTGAACTACCACACACCACTTCTAGGCAACTTAACAATCTGCTTTTATACAGTTTATATGGTTCTGCATATGATTTCCTTTGAAAAGGGCCCCATGTCAAAAAGAAAAATATGAAATCCACTGAAGCAGGTAGGTAAGGGGTAGGAAATGGTTGAGGCCATCTCTTAAAAAACTCTTAACCCTATCATCCTTTAACAAAAGCCATTCCTAAGGGACAGGAAGAAGGTAGAACTTTCCTCTTGCGTCTAAGTCACATCTTAAAAGGTAAAACAGGCAGGCCAGGTGCGGTGGCTCACGCCTGTAATCCCAGCACTTCGGGAGGCCAAGGTGGGCAGATCACAAGGTCGGGAGTTAGAGACCAGCCTGGCCAACATAGTGAAACCCCGTTTCTACTAAGAATACAAAAATTAGCCAGGCCTGGTGGCATGCGCCTGTAATCCCAGCTACTAGGGAGGCTGAGGCAGGAGAATCGCTTGAACCCAGGAGGTGGAGGTTGTGGTGAGCCAAGATCGTGACATTGCACTCCAGCCTGGGCAACAGAGCGAGATTCCATCTGAAAAAAAAAAAAAAAAAAGGTAAAACAGGCTTGGTGTGGTGGCTCACACCTGTAATTCCATCGCTTTGGGAAGCCGTGGTGGGAGGACTGCTTGAGGCCAGTAGTTGGACATTGGCCTGGGTAACATAGTGACACCCTATCTACAAAAAATAAGAAAATTAGCCAGGCGTGGTGGTGCACACCTATAGTCCCAGCTACTTGGGAGGCTGCAGTGGGAGAATCCAAGCCCAGGTGTGAGGCTGCAGTAAGCTATGATCATGCCACTGAACTCCAGCCTGGGTGACAGAGCAAGACCTTGTCTCTAAAATAAAAAAGGCAAAACACTTACCGAAGAGGCGAAGACTTTGGAGCCCTAGGCTTTTTGCTTGGCCTGCTTGAGTAGATGGGGCTCACCAGGTTTGATGGAGAGAGAACGTCTGTTGAGTAATCCCTATCTTCCATACCCAAAAGAAAGAAGCCATCTTTCATCCTCACCTTTCCCCTGATCAAGGCTTTCAAAGCAATCCGTGCAATTAGGTAGGACCAGATGACATGCAGAAGCTGTAGGGTCAGCAGCAGGCCATTGAGGAGCCACCATGAAGCATAAGGCCCGATTATCTCCCAACTCTCAAAGAGGGTCGTGTTCAGAATCCTAGAAGAGGGAGGCCAATAGTCAGATTCTAGAGTCAAAGCTCAGCAGACAGGGATGAAGCTGAGTCCTGGGGATGCAGAGCCCTGTGTGTTTTCCTACCAGCCCTTTTATCAGCTGAAGTTCCAGGGACCGTCATCCACAGTAAGAAAATAAAGAAAGGGAGGAGCCTGTTGTGTTTTCTATCCTTAGGGACAGAGAAAGATATATAAATCTTAGGAACTGATGGATTAAGTCACATTATTAATCACTTCAAATATCCAGAGTTTCACGAAATTAGGACAGCAGTGGGACTCTAATCCTATGAATGACTGAGCTCCTCAGGCACATATAGGATAGGACAGTAGGTAGCTGATTCCCATAGAGCAGTGAATGTAAAAGTGAAAGGAGACAGGGAGAGAGAGGAGAGGGAGGGAGGGAGAGAGAGGAGAGGGAGGGAGAGAGAGAGGAGGGAGGGAGAGAGAGGGGAGGGAGGGAGAGAGAGGAGAGGGAGGAAGAGAGAGAGAGGAGAGGGAGGGAGAGAGAGGAGGACAGGGAGGGAGAGAGAGAGGAGGGAGGGAGAGAGGGGAGGGAGGGAGAGAGAGGAGAGGGAGGAAGAGAGAGAGAGGAGTGTGTGTGTGTGTGTGTGTGTGTGTGTGTGTGTGTGTGTGTCAGGGTTGGGACCAGAGCAGGAACACAAGCAAGAAGGGACTGAGAATTGTATCAACAGTGCAAAAGAAGTCAAAGGAATTACTTAGGCATAAAATGAGGACTGTTCCTCAGAGATGAGTCAGTCCTGAGAAGCCAACCAAGCCGGGTACTCTGAGTCTGGATCCGACCTTGCTAGAAATACGGTCTGAGGCAGCAGAGGTCCTATGAGAGTCCACAGAAGGTCAGCACAGGCTAAGGTAAAAGCAGGGCAATAGGGTTCTTGTGTTCTATTGGCGAAAGTAGAATAGAATAGAACAGAAAAACTGAATGGGCAAAATGAGAATTGGCAAAAAGGTATCATTAGGCTCATACCTACCACAACTCTACAGCCCTACCACTTACCAGAATGGATAGATTCCTAGTCGTGTAACCATAAAAACAGCACTGAAGATCACAAAAAGGGTGTCACAGAGCCGCTGATACTTGGCATAATTGGCCAGTTTGGCTGCCTGGAGAAAGGAAGAAAGAATTGAGCTGGGGAGAAAGTCATTCCTCACATAGGAAGAAAAGAAGAGAAGAAGAAGATGGAGAAAGAGAGATTGGGTTTTTACCTCCAGCAAGAAGTCTGAGACATCATGTAGACACATGATCAGAGTTCCCACTCGAACCATATTGTTGATGTAGGAGAAGGAGATAAGCCCAATGGTGACCAAGTGATGCACAAACATGATCAGGAAGTCCTAGGAAGGAATGGAAATAGAAGAGGGAGGTAAAAGCTGGGCCCTAGAAACACCAGCCAACCCAACGTCCTGCATTATTCTCTAAGAATCTTACCCCACCCCATATAGAATAGTTTCCATTGGCCGGGCGAGGTGGCTCATGCCTGTAATCCCAGCACTTTGGGAGGGCAAGGTGGTCGGATCACCTGAGGTCAGGAGTTCGAGACCAGCCTGGCCAACATGGGGAAGCCCCGTCTCTACTAAAAATACAAAAATAAGCCGGGCTTGGTGGCATGTGCCTGTAATCCCAGCTACTCGGGAGGCTGAGGCAGGAGAATTGCTCAAACCTGGGAGGTAGAGGTTGCAGTGAGCTGAGATCGCGCCACTGCACTCCAGCCTGGGCGACAGACTGAGATTCCGTCTCAAAAAAAAAAAAAAAGTTTCCATTCTGCTTAGACTCTCCCTTGGCTACCTAGCATTTAACTGAACACTCCCTACATCAGTGACTGACCCATACTCTATGTTAATGCAGCTCAGAGGCCAGAAAGTAAAAATTTCCTTTGGTAACTGCAGAATACGTATAGCATGGATGCTAAGCTGACACTTGGGGATAACATCCCAGTAAGACATACAAGCCTTAGAGTTCCCTGAGATTCTATGACTCTTCTGCTTTAATGAGAGAAACGTCAACCACAAGGACCTAATGGAAGGGAGAGGTTTGTGGCTCTAATTTCCTCTTGGGTTCAAATGTCAAGTTAGACCTGGGGAAGTCTCTAAATACTTGAGTTATCAGACACATCTATTAAATACTTCTCAGTTTATTATTTTTAAAACTTAAATATGTATTTCAAACTTTCTTATATGTATCACAATTAAAATAAAATTTTAATAAAGTGACCTGTGTCTTCTGACCATAGGAGAGTAAAAGGCATAAAAATTGAGTATCAAGTTTCTATGTTAGATAACACTAACAACCTGGGTAAGTTTTAATTCATTCCCATAAATGCTAACCCTGGTTTTCTTCATCAAAGATAACCCTGAGTTAGTGACAGATTAGGGTTAGAGCTGCTAGAACCACATTATTTCAGGTAGACACTAATAAAAAGGTAAAGATTCTGCCTTTAAATGACTTAAGTTGTGTAAAACTTAAGTCATTTCCAACTCTGTCACTATCTGGGCAAGTCAGCTCACTTCTCTCAATCTTTGCTTCCTAAACAATAGCAGGAAGAGAGCAAAACCCCTTCCAATTGACTTTCTTTGAGTAAGTGGGGTAACCAGAAAGGGAGAACAGAGAGAGCAAGGGTCCCTAATGCCATGTGAAAGCCATATCCAGCTTTTCTGGAATCAGACATTTTTTCTGAATAAGGCATTGCTATCCCCCAATTCTGACTAGTTTCCTGAGCTTTAGATATGTAAGAAGCTTAAAGAAGAATATGGAAAAAAGTATGCTTCTTAGCTGGTTAATTGTTCTCATCCTGGGGCTTCCCTGAATGTCTTAAATATACTTCATCATTAATTCAGTCTCATTTCTGGGAACATTACGACAAGCTAAGAGTCCATCAAACCCAGTTTCTCCTTTTGCAGTCTCAGGGAAGATAATACATCGTAATGGCAGTCATGGAAGCTGCTAGAAAGGAGGATGTAATAAGTTGGGGAATTGAGGGAGCCAACGTCCTTACCTTTCTTTTAATGTCTGTAAACTGAGAAAACATAAGGGACCAATAGAAGGCCAATTCCATGATATAATAGTGATAAAGCCCACTTGAAAGAGGCTGGAAGAGAGAAAGAAGTAGTTAGATTACCGGCTAGTCAAAGGTGCATTCCATCTCTCCAACTTTCTCTGCCTTGGAGGACCAATACCCCAAATTATTAGACATCTCTCCTCCCCATTATCTGCCAAGATATGCAATAGCTAACAGACTTTGGATTGGTGTAGAGACTTAAGCCTCTTCCCTTGCTCCTCTGCACACACATCTTCAGCTCTCATCTTGCAGAGATGAGATACAGTTAACACATACTGTAACACAATCAAATCAGTATGTCTAGGATTCTGGGCAATTAGTGCTTTTCACAGGATTAAATACACATAGGCCTTCTCTTCCACCCCTTTAGCAGTTCCTAGACATATTTCCAGTATAGGTTACAACCAAGATGCTCTACTGGGATTCCAAGTTACCCTTGATACAAAAAAGACACCTGAACCAGAAAGTACCTCATTAAATACCAGAAACTTGCTTTTCTTTTAGCCCAATTAGGGGGAATTAAATGGGGAAAATCAGAACAAAAAACTCATTGGATTTCATTGCTATGGGGGCCTCAGGAATAGATACCTCATATGACTCTTAGCAGTGGGGGGGAAAAAAAAATAGATACCCTGAATATGACTTAAAGGGACTCAGTCCCTAATCCCTCAATCCCAAGGAAACGCACCATCTGTCCTGGGGACTGGCAAAGGACCCTCACTCACTCCACCTTATACACATTCAAGACCCCTATCCTGAAACGACTCAGATCCTACCTGAAATGGATAGTTATGCCAGCACTGTCGGATGTCCCAGAACCAAGGTGACTAAGAGAAAACAGATAATCCATGTCAGTCCTCAAGATTCTCACCTGGCTTCAAGATCTACCTCATATAATCCCCTTCTCTCTAGGCTGGGGCAAAAGAGGACAGAAAAGCCCCCAAACAGATTTTAGGGCTCCCTAAAGGATCAATAAATAGCTAGACTGTTCTTCTACAACAGAATGTTATAAATAGAAAAACAATGCTTTGAGGTAAATAAGAACAGTGAGAGCTTTAGGCTAGTTTTAGGAAATATCACTACCTGGAATATATATACAGGAAGACAATGATTCATTTGATAACCAAGAAAGATATCTCCATGCCATGTTCAGAAGTCAAAAGTAATCATCTCTAATGGAATAATGATTATGTCCTTTAAGGAGTTTGTCTACATCATCTTTGCTGCTGGATTTCTTATCATTAAATTGTTCATAATACTGTCTTATTATCCTTTCAATGACTATAGGATCTGTAGTGATAACCCTTTCCATATTGATAATTCATATTTCCTTTTTTTGTTGGAGTTGGTCAATTTTAATCAAACCTTTCAAAGAATGAACTTTTGGCTTTATTAATTTTATCCATGGCCAGGCACAGTAGCTCACACCTGTTAATCCTAGCACTTTGGGAGGGTGAGGTGGGTGGATTGCTTGAGCCCAGGAGTTCAAGACCAACTTGGGCAACAGAGTAAAACCCCATCTCTACAAAAAATACAAAAATTAGCCCGGTGTGGTTGTGCACATGCCTGTAGTCCCAAGTTTCCTGGGAGGCTGAGGTGGTAGCATTGCCTGAGCCTGGGAAGTTGAGGCTGCAGTGAGCTGTGATCACGCAACTGCACTTCAGCCTGGGTGACAGAGTAAGACCCTGTCTTTAAAAAACAAAACAAAACAAAACAAAACAGGCCAGGCGTGGTGGCTCACGCCTGTAATCCCAGCACTTTGGGAGGTCGAGGTGGGAGGATCACCTGAGGTTAGGAGTTCAAGATTAGCCCGGCAACATGATGAAAATCTGTCTCTACCAAAAATACAAAAATTAGCTGGGCCTGGTGGCGTATTCCTGTAGTCCCAGCTACTAGGAAGGCTGAGGCAGGACAATCACTTGAACCCAGGAGGCAGAGGTTGCAGTGAGCCGAGATTGTACCACTGCACTCCAGCCTGGGAGACAGAGTGAGACTCTGTCTCAGACAAACAAACAAACAAAAACCCCACAAATGTATCCATTGTTTTTCTAATGCCTATTACATTAATTTCCACTTACTTACTTTATTATCATTTTTTAGAAATGGGGTCTCACTATAGAGACTGGATCTCGCCATCTTGCCCAAGCTGATCTCGAACTCCTGGGCTTAAGTGATCCTCCTACCTTAGCCTCAAAGTGAGGGGAGTACAGGGGTGAGCCACCACGCCTGGCCAATTTCTGCTTATTTTTTATTATTTCCTTACTTTAACCTATTTTGCTTATCTTTTTCAAGAACCTAAAGCAGAAATTTAGATCAACTTTAAACCTTTTGTAATATAAACATTTAAAGCTATAAATTTCCCTCTAAGTATGTTTTATCTGTATCCCAGAAATTTTGATATGATTTTTAGCATGATTCAATTAAAAATATTTTCTTCTCTTGTGATTTTTTATTTGATCCACAGGTTATTGAGAAGAGTTGTTTAACTTCCAAATTTTTTTTTTTTTTTTTTTTTTTTTGAGACAGACAGAGACCCAGGCTGGAGTGAAGTGGCATGATTTTGGCTCATTGCAACCTCTGCCTCCAAGGTTCAAGCGATTCTCGTGCCTCAGCCTCCCCAGCAGTTGGGATTATAGGCACGTGCCACCATGCCCGGCTAATTTTTTGTATTTTTAGTAGAGATAGAGTTTTGCCCTGTTGCCCAGGCTGGTCTTGAACTCCTGAACTCAGGCAACCTGCCTGCCTCAGCCTCCCAGAGTGCTAGGATTACAGGTGTGAGCAACCTCATGCAGGCGAATTCCAAATGTTTTCCATGTCTCTCATTACAATTGACTTGTAATTTAATTCCGTTATGGTCAGAGAACACATTCTTTAAGATTTCAATATTTTGAAATTTACTGAGACTTATTTTATGGCCCAGCATTAGTTTATCTTTCTACATGCACTTGAAAATTATATGTATTCTTCAGCTGTTGGTGTAGTGTTTTATAAATGTCAATAAGGTAAAACTGGTTGATCATGTCATTCATATCTTTTACACCCTTAGTGATTTTTTTTTTTTTTTTGCCTAGGGTTTAGGTCAATTACTGAGAGAAAAGTATTAAAATCTTCAAATACAACTGTATATTTGTCTATTCTCTTCCTTTAGTTCTGCCAGCTTTTTGTCTATAATATTTTGAAAACACAATGATATCATTTAGAGAGAAACAGTATGGTATGGGGAAAAAAACATGAACTAAAGAATCAAAAAGCCTAAAATTCTTCTTCCTTCTTTTTCTGAGGCAGAGTCTTGCTCTGTCACCCAGGTTGGAATGTAGCGGCTCCATCACGGCTCACTGCAACCTTGACCTCCTGGGCTCAAGCGATTCTCCTACCTTAGCCTCTTGAGTAGCTGGGACTACAGGTGCACGCCACCACGCCAGGCTAATTTTTGTAGCTTTTTGTAGAGACGGGGTTTCACCATGTTGCCCAGGTTGGTCTTGAACTCCTGGGTTCAAATGATCTGCCCATCTTGGCCTCCCAAAGTGTTAAAATTACAGGTGTGAGCCACTGTGCCTGGCCCCCTGAAATTCTTCTTTGATTCTGACAATTAACTAAAAAGTAGGAATAATACCTGTTTCACCCACTTTAAAGGGTTTATTCCATTTCTCCTCCTTCAATTTTTGTCAAGTGCTTTGTAAACCATTAAGTATTATGCTGATTTAGTTATTACTAGTATTATTAGTATCTTCTAGGGGAGAAGCAGTAAAGTTATAAAGTTACTGAAGTCAGGCCCCAGACAGAAGACAATCTATTAGGATATAAACCTGGGCTGTGGGCATCACAGAGGAAAAGTTGGGGGAAATATAAAGATCTAAAGGTATTTAGGCCAGGCTCAGTGGCTCATGCCTGAAATCCTGGCACTTTGGGAGGCCAAGGCGGGTGGATCACCTGAGGTCAGGAGTTCAAGACCAGCCTGGCCAACATGGTGAAACCCCGTCTCTACTAAAAATACAAAAATTAGCCAGGTATGGTGATGTGCACCTGTAGTCCCAGCTACTCGGGAGGCTGAGGCAAGAGAATCTCTTGAACCCAACAGGCAGAGGTTGCAAGTGAGCTGAGATTCCACAACTGCACTCCAGCTTGGGTGACAGAGCAAGACTCCGTCTCAAAAAAAAAAAAAAAAAAAGAAAAGAAAAAAATCTAAAGGTATTTAACTCTTACTTCTAGAGATCTAGGCATGATTAGAACCCAACAGAGGACTAGAGAAAGTTAAGACTCACCGACCAGAGAAATCTAATTCCATAGCAGAATATACATAAATAAAATGTGAATCTCCACCTGGGTGGGCAAAGAGTAAAGGTTAGACAAATGTCCACTCAAACCAAAGCCTCTGAGGCTACGGAAGTCAAGATAGCAAATTTGGGGATAAGAGTTACTGGTGAGAAAGAGGATCAATTCCTAGAATAGGCAACTACTGTCATTTAAAAAGCCAAAGACAGGGGCCAGGAGTGGTGGCTCACACCTGTAATCCCAGCACTTTGGGAGGCCGAGGCAGGTGCATCACCAGGTCAAGAGATCGAGACTATCCTAGCCAACATAGTGAAACCTTGTCTCTACGAATACAAAAATTAGCTGGGCATGGTGGCGTGCACCTGTAGTCCCAGCTACTCAGGAGGCTGAGGCAGGAGAATCGCTTGGACATGGGAGGCGGAGGTTGCAGTGAGCAGAGACTGTGCCACTACACTCCAGTCTGGTGACAGAGCAAGACTCCGTCTCAAAAAAAAAAAAAAAAAAGCCAAAGCAGCGTCATCTTTCATTAGGAAAATATTAGGCTGTATCATCAGACTCCCTAGCATTTTTCTTTACATGACAATTACTAATACAGTGCTCACAGACAGGATAATGAGAAAAAGCTCAATAAAATGAAAAATAGTATTTCCCAGAAAAGGAATGCTTCCTAAAAATTGTCAACTTATAGCAAGCAAGCTAGTACTCCCTCTATTAAGGTATACATGTGTTAGTACATCTACTTACATAAGTACAGTTATAAGGATTTACTCCCAATCTATTTAGGAAAAGGGAACAAAATAGAACCACACCTAGCTTAGTGGCAACATGCCCAAGAAACTTAAGGGAATCAGTGTTCCAGTTCCCTTCTTTCCTACCTATAATAGGCTGAGTTAGTTCTCTATATCCATTAACTGTTGTCCTAACAACAGAAGTGATGTTCAAAACAGAAACTTCAGTCCAGTTGTATCCCACCGTCTTCCTTATTCCCTCCCTCCCTCCTTGCGTACTTACATGCTTTCACAGAATTTAGTAAGCGTTGGGGGCTTGTCCTGATTCCTCCGATGGCGAAACCAGCATTGGATTTTTCGGACATTCCAATCCAGCTGCTTTGACAGGCCCTCCAGCCTTTTCTTATCAGGATACTGTGAATGTATAACCAGAGTCAGAACACCCGTCTCCTCATACCCCTCCTTCAATCCCATTGACTAGCTGAGCGACAAGGTATGATAGCCATAAGTGGCTCAAGTGATGTTTATCTTTCCAAGTTTTATCCCAAAGTCATTTTTAGTAAGAAATTTTATCTTACATATCAAGGACCTGTACTGCTCACCTATACATATCCTTTTGTCTCTTCCTCCAGCCCAAGCTGAGTAAAAAAGGATATTAAAAACCCAAATTGCAGGCCAGGCATGGTGGCTCATGCCTGTAATCCTGGGATTTTTGAAGGCTGAGGGCCGAAGGATGGCTTGAGCCCAGGAGTCCGAGACCAGCCTGGGCAACATGGCAAAACCTTGTCTCTCCAAAAAACAAAAAACCCAAACTGCAAAGGCTATCAGTACTGTCTCCATCTCGATCACACAACTAGGCAGTGACAGAAACTGGAACAAGGAAAAACAAAAACCAGATATGGTATGTGTCTGGGGAAAGAGGGGTAAGGGTGGCTGCTGGGCCTAAAACTCAAACCTACTACGTACGTAAACTTGACATACGTAGGGCCCAAAGGTTTTCCCTGAGGGGATAAAGCTCTCCATATAGCTACATGGACTACTCAAATATGAAGGACCATCCCATCCTATCCTTACCCTTAGAGGTACGTGCTCTCTATCCTCCCCTGCCCCATGGAGCAACGCCTTATGTGAATATTCCTCTCTGTTTCTTTGCCCACTTACCTTGGTAATAGATATGAACACCTTTTCAAGGATGGCATTGGGTTGGGCCTGATAAGGACCACTGTCCTCGATGCCAATACAGAGTGCACAGGGTTTGGCAATAAATCTGTAATGGAGAAAACCCACGGGCCAATTCTTTTTAAAAAAATTTTATTTATAGTTGACACATAATAATTGTACATATTTATGGGGTACAATGTGATGTTTCAATGCATGTATACATAGTATAATGATGAAACTGGGGTAATTACCATATCCATCACTTTCAACATTTATCACTTCTTTAGGGTGACAATGTTCACCAGCCTCAGTCTCCCAAAATGCTGGGATTACAGGCGTGGGCCACTGTGCTGGCTGGAAGCTTTTTAGAGATGCATAATCTTGAGCCCATCTCAGACTTGCAAAATCAGAATCTGCATTTTAACAAGATCCCCAGGTGATTCACATGTCCATTAAAATGTGAGAACCACTAATCTACTTCATAAGAATCTTGTAAGTAATTCAGTGAGATAATGTATATGAAAGACCCTGGCACAAAGGAGGTGATTAATAAATGGCAGTTTCCTTACATCAAAAGACCAAGATCTTAATTGGAGGGAAAAGTAGAACTGAGACTAAGCTCTTCCTGCATATAGATATCCTGGATCTTGGATACCTTCCTGCCTAACCAAGAGATTATGGAAATACTTAGATCTTTCAGGAGTCGAGAAGAAAGAAATCAGGAAGCTAGGAAAGGTGAGAAGGAAATCACCTATTAGCACTCTATCGTAGTCTCAGATCTACTAATAAGGCATATAAACTTGGTAAAATCACTTACCTCTTGGGTCTTGGTTTCATCATCTAAAAGAAGAGGTTATATCAAGCAGAGTCCCAAGGATTTAAATTTTTAAAAAGAATAAAAAAGCCGGGCGTGGTGGCTCACGCCTGTAATCCCAGCACTTTGGGAGGCTGAGGCAGGAGGATCACAAGGTCAGGAGTTGGAGACCAGCCTGGTCAACATAGTGAAACCCCGTCTCTACTAAAAATACAAAAAAAAATTATCTGGGCGTGGTGGTGGGCGCCTGTAATCCCAGCTACTTGGGAGGCTGAGGCAGGAGAATTGCTTGAACCCTGGAGGCGGAGGTTGCAGTGAGCCGAGATTGTGCCACTGCACTCCAGCCCAGGCGACAGTGTGAGAATCCGTCTCAAAAAAAAAAAAAAAAAAAAGAAGAAGAATAAAAAATAAAAAGAGGTTATATGAGATGATTTCTAAGATTTTTTTGTATATCTAAGATTCTATGATGTTATCATTGATTGATTATAATTAATTTCCAACTTTTGAATCTTTGAAAATTGAGGAACTATTCCTTGGTTCTTCAAGAAAGATCTCACTCTCCCCCGTAATCAGAGATTTTTAAGAACATCAGCACTAGGAAAACTCTATATTGCCACTTTCAGGATAAGTCAAAACCAGTTTTAGCCCTTAGCATCTTAAGGAGTCCCATAATGAAAATATGACTGGGAGGTGTAAAATGGAGTGCCGTTAACCTATTTTCTTGAGCTGCATTTGAACCTAGAATATATTATCTCTAAAGGAGGGATTGAGAATAAGAAACTTTATCTCCCTCTATGAAAACTTTTTACCTTATCACCAAAGTTCCTGAGCCATAGAGTAATATTTATTCAGAGCATAAATTTAGCCACATCTGTAACACATTCTCTTTTACACCGGTGGGGGGGAAAAAAAAAATAGTTCCATTCAAAGGCCAATGCCAGTGGATACCTTAATTTACATTTACTGGTATACTATTCTGTATACCAATAATATTTAACCCCCAACTCATGTTTAAACTCCTTGTAAACACAAATAGACTGCTTTTATATTTACCAAGGTACTATGCTCAGCAGTTGCTCAGTAACTGACAAGCAACATGTTTTAGTGAAACCCACTCTTGTTGTATTGGAGGTCAATTCTGACCCAAAATTAATCAGCATTCAGAAGAGTAAATGAGGCCGTCATTCTTTGTTGTTGAGTTGATGCCATATCAGAGATAAAAATCATCTAAAAACCCTGTCTCCTCCTTTCTCCTATCGACATAATTGCATGAAAATCCAAAGGCAGAAAACAGCCTTTCCAATTCCTACTCTTACCCCTAACCCAGGCTTCTTTAATCCAGAGGCAGTCAGCTGATTAAAACTCAGATCTGCAGTTAGACAGATTTTACCAGCTGAAAGACCTTGTGACTGTTACATACCCATAGAATGGAGATAATATCTACCTCACAGGGTTATTTTAAAGATAAAATGAAACAATGTATGCCTACACCAATACCTGACACTTAGCAAACATTCATTAAAGAGTAGCTATTATTATTTCACTAGAAACATATTTCAGTCTGGGTACTCTCTGGTACCTCCAGCAGAAAGTGAGAAGCAAGAAATACTCTTTGATATAACAGGTCTATATTCTGCTCACCTCGGTGAAGCCAATTTTAAAATTACTATTATCTGGATCATGGAGTGGACTTAACAATCTAGAATTGTCATTAGCTCACATCCTGCCCTCGTTAGTTCAGAGTTCGGTGAAAAGCATAAAGCTACTCATATCCAGTCAGTTCCAGCTATATGGAGCGTAAGAACATTTGACAGCCGGGCGCAGTGGCTCACGCTTGTAATCCCAGCACTTTGGGAGGCCGAGGTGGGCGGATCACGAGGTCAGGAGATCGAGACCACGGTGAAACCCCGTCTCTACTAAAAATACAAAAAATTAGCCGGGCGTGGTGGCGGGCGCCTGTAATCCCAGCTACTCGGGAGACTGAGGCGGGAGAATGGCATGAACCCGGGAGGCGGAGCTTGCAGTGAGCCGAGATCGCGCCACTGCACTCCAGCCTGGGCGACAAAGTGAGACTCCGTCTCAAAAAAAAAAAAAAAAAAAGAACATTTGACAAATACTTGTTGATTGTTTATTTTGTGCTACAGAATGAAGCTTTATTATATTTTCCAGATGTGATTGGAAAATAATCTTTTCTAATTTGTGATAAAAATTAAATATATAGATTTAGTTATACACAGTTAATGAATTACCTTACTGAAGAAAGTGAAATTATTTGAAATTATAGCTTTTGAGAAAGTATTAATTCTACATCATACAAAAGGTTGGTATTTGGTATAACTTATAAAACAGGTATCTAGGCCAGGCGCGGTGGCTCATGCCTGTAATCCCAGCACTTTGGGAGGCTGAGGCGGGCGGATCACGAGGTCAGGAGTTCGAGACCAGCCTATCCAACATGGTGAAACCCCATCTCTACTAAAAATACAAAAAGTTAGACAGGCGTGGTGGTGTGTGCCTGTAACCCCAGCTACTCAGGAGGCTGAAGCAGGAGAATTGCTTTTACCCAGGAGGCGGAAATTACAATGAGCTGAGATCACGCCATTGCACTCTCTCTGGCCTGGGTAACAGAGCGAGACTCCATCTCCAAAAAAAAAAAAAAAAAAAATAGGTACCTAGGGTGGTCAATTTCCAGAGCCTGGCATTCATCATTTCTGCTACATCAGCATTTCTCAAAGTGTGGTTTAGAGACCCCTGGGGGATCCAGAGACCCTTTCAGTAGGTCTACAAGGTCAAAACTATCTTCAGAATAATTCTATAATTTCATAAAAATCTATTCTCTCTCATGAGAGTACAGTGGAACTTTCCATAAGTTACATGACATATAACAACAGACTGAATGCAGACGCTGACATGAGACTACAGCTGCCAGATATTTTCAAAAATGTTAAAATGCTACTCTTCTCACAGTTTTTTGTTTTGGAAAATAGTTATTTTTCATAAAACGTAATGAGTTCATTGTTATTTATTTATATTGAGACAGGGTCTCACTCTGCCACCCAGGCTGGAGTGCAGTGGTGTGATCACTGCTCACTGCAGCCTTGACTTCCTAAGCTCAAGTGATCCTCCCACCTCAGCCTCTCAAGTAGCTGGGACTACAGGTGTTGGCCATGCCCAGCTAATTAAAAAATTTTTTTTTTTGTAGAGACAGGGTTTCACCATGTTTCCCAGGCCATTGCTATTTTTAAATGAATAAATATGGGCTGGGCACGGTGGCTAATGCCTGTTATCCTAGCACTTTGGGAGACTGAGACAGGTGGATCACTTGAGCCCAGGAGTTTGAGACCAGCCTGGGAAACGTGGTGAAACCCTGTCTCTCCCCAAAACACAAAAGTTAGACAGGTGTGGTAGCTCATGCCTGTGGTCCCAGCAACTTGGGAGGTTGAGGTGGGAGGATCACTTGAGCCTGGGAGGTCGAGGCTGCAGTGGGCTGTGATTGCGCCACTGCACTTCAGCCTGTGTGATAGAGCCAGATCCTGTCTCAAAAATAAATAGGCTGTATGCGGTGGCTCATGCCTGTAATCCCAGCACTTCGGGAGTCTGAGGTGGGCAGACTGCTTGAGCTCAGGAGTTCAAGACCAGGCTGGCCAACATGGTGAAACCCCATCTCTACCAAAAAATACAAAAATTAGCCAGGCATGGCGGCACATACCTGTAGTCCCAGCTGCTCAGGAGGCTGAGGTGAGAGGATCTCTTGAACTCGGGAGACAGAGGTTGCAGTGAGCTGAGATCTCACCACTGCACTCCAGTCTGGGCGACAAAGCAGACTCTGTCTCAATAATAAATAAATAAATAGGCCGGGCGTGGTGACTCAGACTTGTAATACCGGCACTTTGGGAGGTTGAGGCAGGCTGATCACTTGAGGTCAGGAGTTTGAAACCAGCCTGGCCAACATGGCGAAATGCCATCTTCTACTAAAAATACAACAACAAAAAATTAGCCGGGCATGGTCGTGCACACCTGTATTCCCAACTACTCAGGTGGCTAAGGCAGGAGAATTGCTTGAACCCGGGAAGCGAAGGTTGCAGTGAGCCAAGATTGCGCTACTGCACTCCAGTTGGGGTGACGGAGCGAGACTCCATCTCAAAAAAAAAAAAAAAAAAAAAAAATATATATATATATATATATGTGTGTGTGTGTGTGTGTGTGTGCGTGTAGACATTTTATACATGTATAAATACATGTAGAAAACATGTACATTTTCCCCATTTTTTTTCTAAAACAGTAGACATTGATAGGTACTATCCACATAAACAAAAACTCTTTGGGATCCTTGAAAATTTTTTAAGATTGTAAAGGAGTCCTGAGATCATAGTTTGAAAACTGCTGTGCTAGATGATACTGACAAATTATACTTTTAGTGTGGCTTTCTGTCTTCTCCAGGATCAATCCACATTTTAAAATAATTTGTCAGACAAGATTTTTCCTTTCCTGGCAGATTTTAGTAAGTAGGCATTTAGTGGTCTATAAAAAGAAGCTACTACTTTCCACCTGTAACTCCAGGAACACGAGTCTAGTGACCCATCCTGACAGTATTAGATTTGTCCTGCTTTGTAGAGATCATTTCACTCTGCCCTTTTCCTGCTCTCCAGATACATAGCAGCAGTTGACCTAAGCCTGGGTTAATTAGGATGAAATTACCTAGTGCTTTCGCTTTTTCCTATCAAAGACAGGATGTATATTCACAATGCTACTTTTGTGATTCATTACACCACTGATGAATATGAATTATACACAAATAAAACCAAAGTCTAGATTAAGCTTCTCAACTATTGTGGCAAGTAACACAAATGGGCTATACTTATGCTGAGATATTGATTTTAGCTCTCAGGGTGATCCATGGGGCCTTCGGGTAGCCAGAAACCTTTAGTCTGTAGTCTCTGGCCTCATATACCTTACTGTATAATGCAAATGTTATTTATGTATTTATTTAGAGACAGAGTCTCGCTCTGATGCCTAGGCTGAAGTGAAGTGTGGTGGCGTGATCTGGGCTCACTGCAACCTCCGCCTCCCAGGTTCAAGTAATTCTTGTGCCTCAGCCTCCCAAGTAGTAGCTGGGACTACAGGCGTGCACCACCATGCCCAGCTAATTTTTGTATTTTTAGTAGAGACGGGGTTTCACCACATTGGCCAGGCTGGTCTTGAGCTCCTGACCTCAAGTGATCTGCCTGCCTCGCCTCCCAAAGTGCTGGGATTACAGGCGTGAGCCAGCATACTCAGCCACAAATGTTATTTTTTATGTGTGCAGCAATATTTCCAGATTGAGAAGTACCAGCTTAGATCAATTTCTGGAAAAATATAAAGTGCCAAAGTAGACATATAAAAAGAACAGGAGTTTAAGACCAGTCTGGGCAACATGGTGAGACCCCGTCTCTACAAAAAATTTTAAAAATTAGCTGGATGTGGTGGCATGTGCCCATGGTCCCAGCTACTGCGGAGGCTGAGGCAGGAGGACTGCTTGAGCCCAGGAGGTGGAGGCTGCAGTGAGCCCTGATTGTGCCACTACACTCCAGCCTGGGTGACAGAGTGAGACGCCATCTCCAAAACATAAAATAATGAAATAAAAAAAAGTTTGGGAGTGAAAGATGAGTTGAGTTTTGTGTATGCTGAATCTGAAGTACCCATGGGACACTGAAATGGAACTGTCTAGCATGCAAATACACTTGGAAAAGGGGCTTGGGTATGATATATATATAGAGAGAAAGAACAGAATATACGAATACAAATGAATGAGAATGTAAGTGATAGCTAAATTTGTGGGGGTGGCTGTGATTACATATGAAAGGAATATAAACTTAAAAGAGAACTGAGGTCAGAACGCTGGACAACATCAGCATAAAAGGTGAATTTAGGGGACAGGAAGGTCAGAGGTGGAGTTGTATCAAATAAGGGAAAGACCAAGACAAGGACTTCAGTATCTACTACATTTGGCAATTTTTGGAGATCTGTAGTAACCTTCACCAAAGAAATTCCAGTAAAATAAAGACTCTAAAACACAGCAGTGAGTTAAAGCAGTTAAAGATATAGGAGGAAAGAAGTAGAAATAGCCAAACCCTCAAGCATTTAGGCTAAGAAGAAAATGGAATGTCCTCAACTTTGGCATCAGAATCACTCAATCTAAACTAATCACATCTAAAACCAATCTCCCTGTGCTTTAGACCCACTCTTTACTGATCAGAAATTTCATTCTACTTATCCCTCCTTCCTTCTATTATCTTCAGCCTCACTCTCAACTTTGTTCTTCTCATCAGATCTTAAACATGCTCAAGTTTTTCACATCTTAAAACAGCCCTCCCGGTCCCTAGCACCCTCTGGCCTTCCCCAAACTCACAACTAAACTCCCACACATTCCTCAACTCTCCTTTCTCTCCCCTCTGGCTTCTGTCCCTACACTCCACTGAAGCTGTTCTTGCCAAAGTTGTCAATGATCTCCATATTGTGAAAACAAATGGATGCTTTTCAGTCCTTTATCTTACTTGACCTTTCAGCAGCATTTTATTAGGTTGGTGCAAAAGTAATTCCCATTACTTTTAATGGCAAAAACCACAATTACTTTTGCACCAACCAAATACATTAATGACTAATCTCCTTCTTGAAATGCCCTTTTCTCTTCCTTACTGCCACTCTTCCTAGTCTTCTCCCTCTACCTCTTTGGCAGTGGAACTAGACTGCCTGGTAAGCACTGCTAGTTGAGTCACCTTGGACAAGTTCCTCTGTGCTTCAGTTCTCTCATCTGTAAAATGAGGATAACAGTAATGCCTACCTACCTCATAAACTTACTAAAGAGGATTCAAGCTTAGCACTTAGAACAATGCCTAGGACAAAGTAAACACTTATTAAACACCCACTTTGAGATGGAGTCTCCCTCTGTCACCTGGGCTGGAGTGCAATGGCACAATCTTGGCTCACTGCAACCTCCACCTCCCAGGTTCGATTCTGCCTCAGCCTCCCGAGTAGCTGGGATTACAAGTGCCCACCACCACACCTGGCTAACTTTTGTATTTTTAGTAGACACGGGTTTCACCATGCTGGCCAGGCTGGTCCCGAACTCCTGGCCTCTAGTGGATTCACCCACCTCGGCCTCCCAAAGTGTTGGGATTACAGGCGTGAGTCGCCGTGCGCGGCCTATACCAACTACTAATATTATCAAATAACGTATGGCTGTCATTCCTCTATCTCCTTTGCAGTTTATTTTTCCTCTGCCTTTTCCTGAAACATGGTGTTTCCTCAGGGTTCACTTAGAGGTTCTTTTCGTACTCTACACGCTCACCCTCAGTAACCTCATTCAGTTATGGTAGAGGGTCTCAAGGTATGGACTGCAGATCCCTGAGGGTTCCTGAGGCACTCTCAGGGGCTCTACAAACTAAACTATTTTCATAACAATATTATTATTTGCCTTTTTCACTGTGTTGACATTTGCAGTGATTGTGCAAATCAATGGTAGGTAAAACATTATGGTACTTTAGACCAAATCAAGGTAGTGACACCAAACCATACTAGTAGTTACTATACTGTAGAGCTAGGTCTTCTCAATTTTTAAAACATGCCAGTTTTGCTTAAGAATGTCCTTGATGAAGCACTACAAATTATTACTTTTATTAAATCTTGACCCTTGAATATATTTTTTAAAAGTATTCTGTGATTGGGCACAGTGGCTTATGCCTGTAATCCCAGCACTTTAGGAGGCTGAGGCAAGCGGATCACTTGAGGTCAGGAGTTCGAGACCACCCTGGCCAACATGGTGAAACCCAGTCTCCACTTATTCTGTGATAAAATGGATGTACCCAAAAAGCACTTCTGATGCATACCAAAGTATATGGCTCCCAAGGAAAACCATTTGTATGACTACTGCAAGCTGAATAAACTAAGTCGCTTTTTCCATAGAATACCACTTTTACCTGAAAGGACTGACAGACTAACGTTAGTCAGCTCTGAGTATTTAGCAAAAACTTTCTCAAAAATAAATGAGGCCAGACGCAGTGGCTCATGCCTGTAATCCCAGCACTTTGGGAGGCGGAGGCGGGCGGATCACCTGAGGTCAGGAGTTTGAGACCAGCCTGGCCAACACAGTAAAACCCCATCTCTACTAAAAATATAAATATTAGCCAGGCGTGGTGGCGGCCGCCTGTAATCCCAGCTACTCGGGAGGCTGAGGCAGGAGAATTGCTTGAACCCAGAAGGCAGAGGTTGTAGTGAGCTGAGATCCTGCCACTGCACTCCAGCCTGGGCGACAGAGCAAGACTTTGTCTCAAAATAATAATAATAATAGTAATAACTATAATAAGTGAGCCCGTCATTTCAAGAAAAGCATTGTTGCCAATGATAAAATTCAAGCTTTCAAGTGAAACTTAGAATGTTTAGAAAACTTTTACCTGCCTTTCAGCCTGACAACTTCTCAATACTTAAGACTTTTCTGATGAGATTGGTTATAATGAGATAAACTAATATGATTTTTTTTTTTTTTTTTTTTTTTTTTTCTGAGACGGAGTCTCACTCTGTTGCCAGGCTGGAGTCCCGTGGCATGATCTTGGCTCACTGCAACCTCTGCCTCCTGGGTTCAAGCGATTCTCCTGCCTCAGCCTCCCGAGTAGCTGGGACTAGAGGCATGCACCACCACGTCCAGCTAATTTTTGTATTTTTAGTAGAGACGGGGTTTCACCATGTTGGCCAGGATGCTCTCAATCTCTTGACCTTGTGATGCGCCCACCTCGGCCTCCCAAAGTGCTGGGATTACAGGCAAGATTTTAAAATATTGTATAATGTCACATATTGACATGTGGGACATTTGCATAACTGAATGAACCAGTATTTTCCAAATGATGGATACATGATGTCCATTCAAACTGTAATATAGGCCAGGCATGGTGGCTCACGCCTATAATCCCAGCACTTTGGGAGGCTGAGGCAGGCGGATCACCTGAGGTCAGGAGTTTGAGACCAGCCTGGCCAATATGGTGAAACCCCATCTCCACTAAAAATACAAAATTAACTGGGCGTGATGGCGCATACCCATAATCCCAGCTACTTGGAAGGCTGAGGCAGGAGAATCATTTGAACCTGGGAGGCAGAGGTTGCAGTGAGCTGTGACTGCACCATTGGACTCCAGCCTGGGCGACAAGAGCAAAACACCACCTCAAAACAACAACAACAAAACACAATGAACATAGAACAATGGATTTTAACATAATAAAATGAAAAGCTCATTAATATGGCTTCAGATTCTACCTAGGAATCAACGTTTAAGAAACTGCTACTTGTGGCTGGGCGTGGCACGCCTGTAATCCCAGCACTTTGGGAGGCCGAGGCAGGCAGATCACGAGGTCAAGAGATCTAGACCATCCTGGCCAACATGGTGAAACCCCATCTCTACTAAAAATGCAAAACTTAGCTGGGTGCGGTGGCACATGCCTGTAATCCTAGCTACTCGGGAGGCTGAGGCAGGAGAATCGCTTGAACCAGGGAGTCGAAGGTTGCAGTGAGATCGCGCCACTACACTCCAGCCTGGGAACAGAGCAAGACTCCGTCTCAAAACAAGACAAAACAAAACAAAAAACTGCTACTTGTGTTTTGGTGTAGTATCAAAGATAAATATCAAATTATTTGAAAGGGCTATTAAAATACTTCCTGCTTTTCAATGACAAAGCTGTGTGAGGCCATCTTTTCTTCATATACTTCAATCAAAACAATGTATCACAAGAGATTGAATGCAGAAGCTGCTAGGATAATCCAGCTGTCTTCTATTAAGCCAGATATTAAAGAGATTTGCAAAAATGTAAAATCAATGCTGTTCTTCTATTTTTTCTTTTGGAAAATAATATTTTTCAAAAAGCTTATTTATGTTAACATGTAAATCAATTTATTATTATTTTTTGTCTATTTTCTCCCTTTTTGTGGAGAACGAGGTCTTGCTATGTTACCCACACAGGTCTTGAGCTCCTGAGCTCAAGCTATCCTCCTGTCTCTGCCTCCCTAAGTGCTGGGATTACAAGTGTGAACCCCTGCACCTGGCCTGTTGTTATTTTTAATGAATTAATAAGCATTTCTTAAATTTCTTTTTGAGACAGAGTTTCGCTCCGTCACCCAGGCTGGAGTGCAGTGGCGCTATCTTGGCTCACTGCAACCTCTGCTCTCAGGTTCAAGTGATTCTCCTGCCTCAGCTGCCCAAGTAGCTGGGACTATAGGCGTGCACCACCATGCCTGGTTAATTTTTGCATTTTTAGTAGAGACGGGGTTTCACCGTGTTGGCCAGGCTGGTCTTGAACTCCTGACCTCAGGTGATCCACCCACCTAGGCCTCCCAAAGTGCTGGGATTATAGGGGTGAGCCATCGTGCCCGGTCAGCATTTCTTAAATTTCTCAATTTTAATTTAAAATATGGTAAAGTTGATGGGTATATGTAACCCACATAAACAAAAGCTCCTTGGAGTCCTCAGTAATTTTTAAAAGTGAAAAACAATCCCTGAGAACAAAAAGTTACAATGTATTCTTCTGAGTAAATTCTTAAAAGAAGAGGATTCCTTGTATACAAGGTATTGCACTTTTCAAGATACCTATACCACCAAACCCAACATTTCTTGCATGGTCTGTGCTCAAGTGATCTTTGCAGCTTCCTTTGAGGGCCATTAAAAAAAAAAATTGCCAGGCACGGTGACTCAGGCCTGTAATCCCAGCACTTTGGGAGGCTGAGGCAGGTGGATCACGAGGTCAAGAGATCGAGACCATCCTGGCTAACAGGGTGAAACCCCATTTCTACTAAAAATACAAAAAAATTAGCCAGGCGTGGTGGCAGGCGCCTGTAGTCACAGCTACTCGGGAGGCTGAGGCAGGAGAATGGCGTGAACCCGGGAGGCAGAGCTTGCAGTGAGCCGAGATTGCGCCACTGCACTCCAGCCTGGGCGACAGAGCGAGACTCCATCTCAAAAAAAAAAAAAAAAAAAAAAAAAAGGCCCAGCCTGGGTAACATGATGAAATCTTGTCTCTACAAAAAATATAACAATTAGTGGCCGGGCATGGTGGCTCACGCCTGTAATCCCCAGCACTTTGGGAGGCCAAGGCGGGTGGATCACCTGTGGTCAGGAGTTTGAGACCAGCCTGACCAATATGGTGAAACCCCGTCTCTACTAAAAATACAAAAATTAGCTGGGTGTGGTGGCACACCTGCAGTCCCAGCTACTCGGAGGCTGAGGCAGGAGAACTGCTTAAACCTGGGAAGCAGAGGTTGCAGTGAGCTGAGATCGCGCCACTGCACTCCAGCCTGGGCGACAGAGCGACATTCTGTCTCAAAAAAAAAAAAAAAAAAAAGGCCGGCCGTGGTGGCTCACGCCTGTAATCCCAGCACTTTGGGAGGCTGAGGCGGGTGGATCACAAGGTCAGGAGATCGAGACCATCCTGACTAACACGGTAAAACCCCGTCTCTACTAAAAATACAAAAAAAAATTAGCCGGGTGTGGCAGCGTGCGCCTGTAGTCCCAGCTGCTGGGGAGGCCAAGGCAGGAGAATGGCGTGAACCTGGGAGGCAGAGCTTGCAGTGAGCCAACATCACGCCACTGCACTCCAGCCTGGGTGACAGAGCAAGACTCTGTCTCAAAACAAACAAACAAACTATATATATATATATATAAAACAATTAGTAGCCAGGTGTGGTGGCATGCACCTCTGGTCCCAGCTACTGGGAGGCTGAGGTGGGAGGATTGTTTGAGCCAAGAGGTGGAGGCTGTAGTGAGTCATGATCATGCCATTGCATTCCAGCGTGGCTGACAGAGTGAAGCTTAATACATACTTAAAAAATTTATCAGTATTAGTTTTTAATAGAGAAAATATTGATAGATATAACTCATATAAACAAAAGCTATTTGGGGTCTTCAATAATTTTTTAAAATATAAAGGAGTCCTGAGCAAAAGATTTGAGAACCCACTGCTGTACAGCATAGGAATCTCAGGAGTCAAAAAGGAAATTATGTAGCTGGGCCTGTAGTTCCAGCTACCATGGAGGCTGAGGCAGGTGGACTGATTGAGGCCAGGAGGTCAAGGCTGTAGTGACATCAGCCCTGTGAATGGCCACTGAATTCCAGCCTGGGTAATTGTGATGGTTAATACTGAGTATCAACTTAATTGGATTGAAGAATGCAAAACACTCATCCTGCACATGTCTGTGAGGGTGTTGCCAAAGGAGATTAACATTTGAGTCAGTGGGCTGGGAAAGGCAGAGCCACCCTTAATCTGGGTGGGCACCATCTAATCAGCTGCCAGCATGGCAAGAGGCAGAAAAACGTGAAAAGACTAGACTGGCCTAGCCTCCCAGCCTACATCTTTCTCTTGTGCTGGACTCTTCCTCCCCTCAAACATCGGACTCCAAGCTCTTCAGTTTTGGGACTTGGACTGGCTTTCCTTGCTCCTCAGTGTGCAGACGGCCTATTGTGGGACCTTGTGATAGTGTGAGTTAATACTTAATAAACTACCCTTCATATATATATCCATCCTATTAGTTCTGTCCCTCTAGAGAACCCTGACTGATACAGTAATATAGCAAGATTCCGTCTCTTAGGAAGGAAAATTAGAAAAAAAAACAGTAATTACTGTACTAGAGTCGCAACATCTCAAGCAGAAGTAGGTTTCAGAGTGATTCATTCAATAAACACTTACTGAATAGCTAATATGAATGTACAAAGCACTGCATTAGATACCTACAGTTTCATGGGGGAGACAAGTCCATAAACAGAGCCCAATCTGAAGGTCATTCCCCAAAAATAAGGCAGTTCATTCAAGATCTCTGAAATGGTTCTCTTCAAATTCCAGCTGTGACCTGACAAACATTTCTGACATTATTCACTTTACCTAGATCCTTGACTTCATTAAAGGCATACAACGGAGAATATTAGATGAGGAAAAAAGAAATTGTCCAAAAAAAAAGAGATCAAACCTGAAACAATAATTGACACTATCTAGACAGAAGCAAAATAATCTACTGTAGGCCAGGCATGGTGATTCATGCCAGTAATCTCAGCACTTTGGAAGGCCGAGGTGGAAGCATCACTTGAGCTCAGGAGTTCAAGACCAGCCATGGCAAAACCTCATCCCTACAAAAAATACAAAAATTAGCCAGGCACAGTGGCACATGCCTGTAGTCCCAGCTTCTTGGGAGGCTGAGGTGGCAAGATGGCTTGAGCCAGGGAGGTGGAAGTTGCAGTGATACCAGATTGTGCCACTGCACTCCAACTTAGGTGACAGAGTGAGACCATGACCAAAAAAAAAAAAAAAAAAAAAAAATCTGTAATAGATGTTTTTCTCAAGGAATGCATGTAGATTGTATATTTTTGTAAATCCAATCATTCTAATGTACTAGAAGAATTCTACTGAGAGGACACTAAAGTGAATTCAGGCCAAAGTGGTAGGATAAACCCACTTGTTCCTTTCATTAAACATATTTACCTTTTTTCAATGGATAATTATACAACTTAATGCATTTGCTTAAAATAGAAACACAAACACACATAAGGGATAACCACTGATTTTGTTGCTCTCTCCAGGGTAGAAATCATGGTTTATTCACCTTTTAATCCTTGGCACATAGTTTGATACCTTTTTATTTATTTTTACATTTTTCTTGTCCAACTTCTAAAACCATCACATATAGTTTGATATGACATATCCTAAGCTTTCAATAAATAGATGTTGAAGAATGAACAGATGAACAAATGGGTGAAAACTTAATTCTCAACTAAGAGGCAAAGTGTTTCATGGAAGTGTGCCACTTGTAAGGATGAAATTAAAACTCAGCCTTATCCTCCTGGGTCATCAGATAACCTACCAGTTTGGTGTTTATCAAGTGTAGGAGATGACTGATTTCTGGGGAATCAGTAGATATTCAAGTTAACCGATTTCAATCTATAACTGGAGATTGCCCTAAACACAACCACAACAATCTGATCTAGTTTGAGACACTTTATGCCTGTAATTGCGACTGCTTACTAATGCTGACAATACCCAAAAACTAAAAACTACAAGGAATATCCTTACAAGAAATCTTGTATTTTACAGAAGAGATATAGTAAGAGTGTGATTATTCTCAATGCCTTATCAGAGCTATGCAGTTCTGCATGGACATTTACCTACTTGACAAACTTTCTTATAGATCATTAACACCGAGAAGATAGATGTAAAAAGGCAAAATTATAGAGCAATGCTTGGCTAGAAGCAACTGTCAATCAAAGATTACTCAAGCGGCCGGGCGCGGTGGCTCACACCTGTAATCCCAGCACTTTGAGAGGCCGAGGCGGGCGAATCATGAGGTCAGGAGATAGAGACCATCCTGGCTAACACGGTGAAACCCCATCTCTATTAAAAATACAAAAAATTAGCCGGGTGTGGTGGCGGGCGCCTGTAATCCCAGCTACTCAGGAGGCTGAGGCAGGAGAATGGTGTGAACCCGGGAGGCAGAGCTTGCAGTGAGCCGAGATCCCGCCACTGCACTACAGCCTGGGCGACACAGGGCGAGACTCTGTCTCAAAAAAACAAAAAATTACTCAAAATAGAATATGACCAGTCATTTGAATATTTCAGAAAATAATTTACATTTAGAAATCTTATTTTTACTAAAATGTCTTAGATTCATTATTTAAAGGAACATCTAATACCTTTGCATCATCTTTTGATCCTAAAAAGTGTATCAAATGTGAATTTACATTAAAATTATTTTCTCAATTATTATTAATATTGTCTGAATTACTGTCATCACCATCCAACAGAAATATAATGTGAGTCACATATGTAATTTAAAATTTTCTTTTCTTTTTTGAGACAGGGTCTCGCTCTGTTGCCCAGGCTGGAGTGCAATGGTGCGATCTTGGCTCGCTGCAACCTCCACCTCACAGGTTCAAGCGATTCTCCTGCCTCAGCCTCCTGAGTAGCTGGGATTACAGGTGCCTACCACCACACCCAGCTAATTTTTGTATTTTTAGTGATGGGGTTTCACCATGTTGGTCAGGCTGGTCTCGAACTCCTGACCTCAGGTCATCTGCCCACCTCAGCCTCCCAAAGTGCTGGGATTATAGGCATTAGCCACCGTGCCCAGCCTGTAATTTAAAATTTTCTAATATCCACATTTTAAAAAGTGAAAAAGAAACAAGTGAAATTAATGTTGACAATGTATTTTGTTTAACTTGATATGTCAAAAGTACTGTCAATATGTAATCAATTAAAAATTGAGACCAGGTGTGGTGGCTCACACCTGTAATCCCAGCACTTTGGGAGGCCGAGGTGGGTAGATCACCTGAGGTCAGGAGTTCAAGACCAGTCTGGCCAACATGGCAAAACCCCATCTCTACTAAAAATACAAAAATTAGCTGGGCGTGGTGGTACACACCTGTAGTCCTAGCTACTCAGGAGGCTGAGGCAGGAGAATCGCTTGAACCCAGGAGGCGGAGGTTGCAGTAAGCTGAGATTGTGCCACTGCACTCTAGCCTGGGCAACAGAGCGAGACTCTGTCTCAAAAAAAAAAAAAAGAAAAAAAAAAGAAAAGAAAAAAGGAAATAAATGGAAACATGCACAAGAAAATGAATCACTACTCTTGTTGTCAGTTACATGACAGGCCAGCGAATGAGTCTGTTCAATCCCCACTGAGAGAATGGCATTGAGAAGGCTCTTTAGACACCCCAGTGAGGTTGCCTTGAAGTAATAAGAGAGAAGAGGGGACTGGAATAATGAATAAGCAGCGGTGAAAGCTCTCAGCTATCTCCTGTATAATTCGCCAAATTACTTTCTTCTGGCAACATAAAGCTCCTATTATAGTACCGTATTTAAAATAAATGAACCTATATAGATCTGATGGTATCAATATTGTCTCAAACTCCTACTTGATCCCAGGGAAAATATGCTCAAGGGACAAAATACTAAGTTTCAAACAATTTTATCTTTAAGATTCAGTTTAAGTCAGATCCAAGAGGCCTACTTGGACTTGGACCACACCTTGGACTATTCTTTCCCTAATCAGCACACAATATTCAAAGAAGCAACAAGTGGAAGACTTTCTTATCTCTCTTTTGATAGGTAACAGTGGGTAGCCTGAGTGTGTGTAAGAGGAAAGGGGAGAAAGAGAAGCTGTAGAAAAGTGTACAACATGCAAACATAGTATGGTGAAATTTAACAACAGAAACAAAGAAATTATAATTTCACCTCTCTTAAGCCAAATATCTATTTCAGATTGAATAATTAGATTCTGGGTTACTCCTCAGGGCATCTGAGTGGACAAGAATAGACCCTTCTCAATCATTATACTCACATGCTGCACTGAGGCACTGTGCAAGAGTACAGTCCACTGCAATGAACCAGTCAACAGAGGCCCACAAAGGCAAGCCTCTGTGCTTTGGTGGGTAATAATCACCTTTCTGCAGTTCTTTAACAAAATAGCTAAATATGCTTAACTTATGGTCAGATGGCTTTCCAAGTCATCCCCATCAGGTGAGGCTACAGTTCTCTATAGGGAATATGGAAACTTAAAAAATATTTAATAAATGCTCAGTGTGGTTGATGAGAAGGAAGAGAAAGTAAGACCAAATTGTACCCTCTATATTTATTCTTTGGGAGATTCCTGAAACACAAATAGAGACTATGTATCTAGGCACATAGAGTAAGATGCATTTAAATATGCAATAATGATATGAAACAAACAAAGCAAAGTTGGCCAGATGCGGTGGCTCACGCCTGTAATCCTAGCACTTTGGGAGGCCGAGGCAGGTGGATCACTTGAGGCCGGGAGTTCAAGACCGGCCTGGCCAACATGGCAAAACCCTGTCTCTACTAAAAATATGAAAATTAGCTGGCTGTGGTAGTGTATGCCTGTACTGCTAGCTACTCAAGAGGCTGAGGCATGAGAACTGCTTGAACCTGGGAAGCAGAGGCTGCAATGAGCTGAGATCAAGTCACTGCATTCCAGCCTGGGTGAGAGAGTGAGACTCCGTCTCAAAAAAAGAAAAAAAAAAAAAAAAGCAAAGTTCAAGTTAAAAGGATAATGTTAAATAACTAAGAACAGGATGAATACAGATTTGTTCTTCTTCTTTTTTTTTTTTTTTTTTTTTTTGAGACAGAGTCTCACTCTGTTGCCCAAGCTGGAGTGCAGTGGCATGATCTCAGCTCACCGCAACCTCTGCCTCCTAGGTTCAAGCGATTCTCCTGCCTCAGCCTCCCAAGTAGCTGGGACTTAAGGCGCATGCCACCACACCCAGCTAATTTCTTGTATTTTTAGTAAAGACAGGGTTTCACCATGTTGGCGAGGCCGGTCTCGAACTCCTGACCTCAGTTAATCCACCTGCCTTGGCCTCCCAAAGTGCTGGGATTACAGGCATGAGCCACCATGCCTGGCTGATTTGTTCTTTTTTTTTTTTTTTTTTTTTTAAATGTATATGAAGTGTGTAACAGGAAATAAATTTGTTCTTCAAATACTAGAATACTAGAACAAGAGGTTAAATCTTAACACTTGAAAGGGGGTTTAAGGAATAGGAAAAGATGAACGGCCCTATCAGTGAAAGAGAACTGGGCTGGGGAAAAAGACCAGTTGTATGTTGCAACCTCTGAAAAGCTGAAGGATGTTTCTAAGCCTTAGTAACTGTCTGTAAAAGGAGGCCGGAGTTCTAGCTTTTAGCAGTCTATGATTACTACATAAATCATTTCTACAAACTAAATAGGTAGGATTTTAGAATGAGAAAATGTATGCAAGGATTCTGGGCTCTGAAAAAAAGAGAAAATGTAGGAAAGATGACTAATTGTCCCAATATACCTCTTTATCTCTCTCTCTCTCTTTTTTTTTTTTGTGATAGAGTCTTGCTCTATTGCCTAAGCTGGAGTGCAGTGGTGTGATCTTGGCTCACTGCAACCTCCACCTCCCGGGTTCAAGAGATTCTCCTGCCTCAGCCTCCCAAGTAGCTGGGATTATAGGCACATGCCATCACGCCCAGCTAATTTTTGTATTTTTAGTAGAGATGGGGTTTCACCATGTTAGCCAGGTTGGTCTCGAACTCCTGACCTCAGGTGATCCGCCCGTCTCAGCCTCCCAAAGTGCTGGGATTACAGGCATGAGCCACTGTGCCTGGCCTCTCTTTCTTTAAGAGACAGGGTCTCACTCCTTTGCCCAGGCTGGAGTGCACTGGCGCTATCATAGTTCATTGCAGCTTTGAACTCCTGGGCTCAAGCCATCTTCCTGCATCAGCCTCCTGAGTAGCTGGGACTACAGATGCATGCCACCACATCTGGCTAACATTTTTATTTTTTGTAGGATCAGGGTCTCGCTATGCTGCCCAGGCTGATCTCAAAGTCCTGGTCTCAAGCAATTCTCTCACCTTGGCCTCCAAAGTGTTGGGATTACAGGTGTGAGCCACCATGCCAGGCCCCAATATTTATTTATTTTTGAGATGGAGTGTCGCTCTGTTGCCCAGGCTGGAGTCCAGTGGCACGATCTCAGCTCACTGCAACCTCCACCTTCCAGGTTCAAGCCATTCTCCTGCCTCAGCCTCCCAAGTAGCTGGGATTACAGGCGCCCGCCACTACGCGGGGCTATTTTTGTATTTTTAGTAGAGATGAGATTTCATGTTGTTAGCCAGGCTGGTCTCAAACTCCTGACCTCAAGTGATCTGCCTGCCTCGGCCTCCCAAAGTGCTGGGATTACAGGTGTGAGCCAGCATGCAAGGCCATGCCCCGATATTTTTGATATGCCTTCTATTGCATTCTACAAGTGGCTCTAGGCCAGGGGCAGTGGCTCATGCCAGTAATCCCAAAACTTTGGGAAGCTGAGGCAGCAGGATCGCTTGAGGCCAGGAGCTCAGGCCTCTACAAAAATTTATTTTATTTATTTTTCTGAGACAGGGTCTCACTCTATCACCCAGGCTGAAGTACAGTGGTTTGATCACGGCTCACTGCAGTCTCAACCTCCCGGGTTCAAGCAATCCTCCTGCCTCAGCCTCCCAAGTAGATGAGACTAGAGACTATAGGCATGCACCATCACACCCAGCTAATTTTTAAATTTTTTTGTAGAGACAAGGTTTCACCATGTTGCCAAGGCTGGTCTCAAACTCCTAGGCTCAAGTGATCTGCCCTCCTCGGCCTCCCAAAGTGCTGGGATTACAGGCATGAGCCACCATGCCCAGCCTCTACAATTTTTTTTTTTTTTTTTGAGACAGAGTTTTCCTCTGCAGCCCAGGCTGGAGTGCAACAGTGTGATCTTGGCTCACTGCAACCTCTGCCTCTCCAACTCAAGCAATTCTCATGCCTCAGCCTCCTGAGTAGCTGGGATTACAGGCATGTACCACTATGCCCAGCTAATTTTTATATTTTTAGTAGAGATGGGGTTTCACCATGTTGGCCAGGCTGGTCTCGAACTCCTGGCCTCAAGTGATCTCCCTGCCTCGGCCTCCCAAAGTGCTGGGATTACAGGTGTGAGCCACCATGCCCCGCTCTCCCAATTTTTTTTTTTTTTTTTAATTAGCTGGGCATAGTGGTGTGCACCTATGGTCCTGGCTACTTGGGAGGCTGAGGTAGGAGGATTGCTTGAGCCAAAGAGGTCGAGGCTGGAGTGAGCTTCGTGCCACTGCAGTCCAGCCTGGGTGAGGCTGAGACCCTGTCTCAAAAACAACAATAAGAGTGGAGTGGTCTATTTTCTTTATGGAAGACCAGAACGGTAAAAGAGGAATTGGCAAGTCAGCAGTGAATTATATTACTGAGGTAATGGGTCTTAAAAGAAACAAAATAGCAAGAGTGCTTCTAGGGTTAAACTTTCCTAAGAGCAAACATGAGACAAACAAGGTGCCTGTCTTTACTAGCCAAGAATTATCATACTAGAATGCTTTCAGCTCAGTATTCCCATCCACCTGTACTCCTCTGACACTGGAGCACCATAGAAACACTCAGATAGAATTCCCACAGGTAAAGGATCCCTTCCAGCAGCTCTGCCAGGGGATATATGTCTTCAGCCATCTGAGGGAACACTTTGGAATCTCAAGAGATACGTAAGTTTATATAAAATGGGTGTTTATAAGCAACAAAACTATTTCCTCTTACCACTAACATGGGGAAATTTCCATATTGGCACATATTTATATGAAAAGCAGAGATGTTTTTCTATGAAAATCACCTTTTAAAAAAAAATTTGTCCTGACTTGTGTATTTTCCTTTGTAGTGATTACATTGCCTTCCTCCTTTTTTTTTTTGGCCCTCATATACAGAGACTATGGAAGAGAGTACCTGGATCTAGTTTATTCCAAAGACAGACAAGCAGTTTGTGCCTCCACTCCAGGATGACTAACTACAACGATTACACGTAAAAAGACAAAACAAGGCCGGGCGCGGCGGTTCACGCTTGTAATCCCAGCACTTTGGGAGGCCGAGGCAGGCGTATTACGAGGTCAGGAGATCGAGACCTTCCTGGCTAAGACGGTGAATCCCCGTCTCTACTAAAAATACAAAAAATTAGCCGGACATGGTGGCGGGCGCCTGTAGTTTCAGCTACTCGGGAGACTGAAGCAGGAGAATGGCGTGAACCCGAGAGGCGGAGCTTGCAGTGAGCTGAGATCGCGCCACTGCACTCCAGCCTGGGCGACAGAGCGAGACTCCGTCTCAAAAAAAAAAGAAAAAGAAAAAGAAAAAAAAAAAAACCTTGCTACACTAAGTTCCTGAGGGCCAAGGAAAGCCATTTAGATCTTTGGGTTTCATTTGCTTCACTTAAGCATCTTTATTTTTGCACTTGAACGTCTGGCAGAGCATTTTGATGATGATGATGCACAAATACTACGAATAAATGGATGCGTGACTAGCTAAATAGAACACAAGATTTTGAAAGACTTGAGTCAAAAACAGTAGGCAAATCAAAGAAGCAATCCCAAACAGATGCTATCTTTCAGAAATTAACAGATTATTTCACCTGCAACATATTCCCATCCTAGAAAGGGCATTCCTGCATTACAATCATTTATGCTTGGATAAAGGCAAAACGAACAGATGTCCAAGAACCACCCTCATTACCTGAGGCCTATGGCAGAAACATGTCTCCTTTCTTGGAGTCTGAGTAGACTTGATCAAAATCACCCACAGGTATAAATTCACATTATAATATCACACACCAAAGCCTCAGTGAATATCTTTATCTTGGACAAACATATGATCCATTCACTTAAAGGTGAAATCATGTGGTTGAACAAAGTATACTGCAATTCTGCTAAACTCATTTAGAAGCTGGCTCAAGGCCGGGTGCGGTGGCTCACGCCTGTAATCCCAGCACTTTGGGAGGCAGAGGCGGGCGGATCACTTGAGGTCAGGAGTTACAGACCAGCCTGGCCAACATGGCGAAACCCCGTCTCTACTAAAAATACAAAAAGTAGCCGGGCGTGGTGGCGCGTGCCTGTAATTCCAGCTACTCGGGAGGCTGAGGCAGGAGAATCGCTTCAACAGGGGAGGCGGAGGTCGCGGTAAGCCGAGATCGTGCCATTGCACGCCAGCCTGGGCAACAAGAGCGAAACTCTGTCTCAAAAAAAAAAAAAAAAAAAAGAAAAGAAAAAAGAATCTGGCTCAATATAGCTGTCCTCTGATAAAGCCCTGTGGCTCTCCTCCATCCCTTCGAACACACTCCTCCTTCCATTTCAGGCCCCAAGGCCTGTTCTGCAACTAATCTGACATCTTTCCATTACTTTGGAAGCCTAGGGCTCCACCACACCCTATCCCAACCAGATTTCTACCCTCCTACCAACAAACGTGCATGAGTTGACATACCAAACCAACTCTTAGGGCCAAACTAATCCTGTTCCCCCCAATTCTCGGAAACTCAAGCGTCCTAACAAATCTTAAGAGTCTGATGAGTCCATTCCTTTCCCTTGGAACGTCTGGCCCTTGCGTTGACCCCTCGGCTTCCATGGTCACAACTAGCTCTGGTTCTCCTGGCCCCTTCCTATCCCTCTCTTCGGGGCCTCTGCCAGAGCTCACACTGAACCTGTTTCCTCATCTGTAGGACCCTTGGAGGTTGGGAGGAGGCCTATATGACCCCCCCAATCCAACTCCGGATCTAACATTGAAGGGGCCCAGCATTCCCCTAGACCCTCACTCTTTCTCTTGCCCACGCCCCAAACTCCTTCTCCATCTAGGCTACCACCTCGCCCACGCGCCTAGCATCACCCGCCGCGGCCCAAGCTCCCCCAGCCCCTGCTTCCGGGCTTTCCTTGCAGTTCTGCTTCCGGCCCTCGGCCCTTCCCACAGCGGGGCGCCCCCGGCCCGCGCCCGGCCCCCGAGCCGCTCGCTCCCGGGCTCTCACCGCTCGAAGAGCAGCCTCACGAAGAAGATGCCCGCCGCCAGCGGGAACACCGAGAGGATGTGCCGGCCGCGGGGGTAACCGTAGCCGTCGGCCGGCCCCTCCAGATCAGCCCAGCTCACGTTCTCGGGTAGCCAGAAGCGCTCGCTCCACAGCCAGCCCCACAGCAAGCTTAGGGGTCCCTGCGCTGCTGTCGCCATCTTACGCCCACCCCGAAGCCACCGCCGCCACAAGCGTCAGCTGCCGCCACAGCCAACGGAACCCGCGGGGAGGCGGCCCCAGGGCGGGGCCCGGCCGGCGGCCACCCCCTTCCGGCCCCTTCTGGTCACTGCCACGGATCCGCCCGCCTCCCTGGCAGGGCCGGGCCTCTTCACCGCCCATCTCTCCTCCCGGCCCACTTCCCTCACTGCAACCCGGGGACCGCCTCCGGGGATCCACGCCCCTTCCCGAGCCTCTGACTCGCCCAGCCCGGCCCTGGGACCACGCCTCGGGCGGCCCTGGGCCCGCCCTCTTTTGCTGCTGGTCTAGGCCACGCTTCTACTCCTCCCTCACTCTTCCATCCAGCTACGGCCACACCCCTTATTTCAGGCCTAGCTCCTTTACGGGGACATTCTCCTTTCTCAGCCTGTTGGAATCGAATCCGTTCCGGCTCCCACCCAGGCGGTACCTCTGTCTCCACTCCCGGAGGCCAGATCGATCTCTCAGGTCAGGGCTTCTCTTGGATGTCAGCTGGTCCTGCCCACTACTGTCCGCCACTAGAGTTCTTTTCGCTCCCAACCTTTTCTTCCCTTCGTGCCCCGTGACCTCAGCCTACTTTCACTGCTTTATCCCTTAAAAATTAGTCACTTTTCCTCAGAAAAAATGGACTTAACAGTTTACAAAAGGCCGGGCGCGGTGGCTCACGCCTGTAATCCCAGCACTTTCAGAGGCCGAGGCTGGCGGATCACCTGAGGTCAGGAGTTCGAGACCAGCCTGGCCAACATGGCAAAACCCCGTCTCTACTAAAAATACAAAAATTAGCTGGGCCTGGTGGCGCTGTGCCTGTAATCCCAGCTACTCGGAAAGCTGGGACAGGAGAATCGCTTGAACCTGGGAGGCGGAGGTCGCAGTGAGCCGAAATCGCGCCATTGCACTCCAGCCTGGGCGACAGACCAAAGACTCCGTCCCAAAATAAAAATAAAAAAAGTTTACAAAAATCCTTTTATTCTTCTCTTGGGGAAAAGGAAATGGAAGAAAAACAAAGTGAAAAGGGAAGCACTCAAAAAGTATACGTAAAGGCAGGCCGGGTGTGGTGGCTCACGCCTGTAATCCCAGCACGTTGGAAGGCCAAGGCGGAAGAATCACCTGAGGTAAGGAGTTCGAGACCAGGCTGGCCATGGTGAAACCCCGTCCCTACTAAAAATACAAAAATTACCCGGGTGTGGTGGTGCATGCCTGTAATCCTAGCTACTCGGGAGGCTGAGGCAGGAGAATTGCTTGAGGCGGAGATCACAGTGAGCCGAGACCACGCCATTGCCCTCCAGCCTAGGCAACAGAGCGTCTCAAAACAAAAACAAACAAAAAAAGGCCGGGCGCGGCTCACGCCTGTAATCCCAACACTTTGGGAGGCCGAGGCGGGCGGATCATGAGGTCAGGAGATCGAGACCATCCTGGCTAACACGGTGAAACCCCATCTCTATTAAAATACAAAAAATTAGCCAGGCATGGTGGCGGGCGCCTGTAGTCCCAGCTACTTGGGAGGCTCAGGCAGGAGAATGGCGTGAACCCGGGAGGCGGAGCTTGCAGTGAGCCCAGATTGCGCCACTACACTCCAGCCTGGGCGACAAAGTGAGACTCGTCTCAAAAAAAAAAAAAAAAAAAGTATATCTAAAGGACCTAAAGGCAAAACAAAATAAATAGCCAATGTTTGATGAGGTTTCCTGTGTGCCAGGCACTGCATGGAACATTTTACACAGGTTATTTCACTCCTTCACCCTATAAAGTTGATCTTGTTATCCCCACTGGATAAGTAAACTGAGGTCCAGTGAGGCCAAACAACTTGCCCAAAGTTATGTAGGTAAGAAGTGGTAGCTAGTGTTAAGTCAAGTTTAATCTAAAGCTGCCTCCTTACATATTTAAGTTCGGCCTAAAGGTTTTCTGTACATTGTGAACTGTAACAAGTGGAGGTGTAAATCGAACGTAGACCACACCAGTGCCAATCACTGAATTTTGGCCAATCAAATGTAGCCAACTGTTCCAACCACGTTCAAATGAGACAAACGCTGATCTGTAACCAATCTGGTTGTTTCTGTACCTCACTTTCATTTTGCTGTCCATAAATCTTCCACCACGTGAATATGCTGGGTCTCTGTGGATATGCTGGGTCTCTCTGAATCTGCTGTGATTCAGGGGCTGCCCAATTTGAGAATCATACATTGCTCAAACTCCTTTAGGCTGGGCACGGTGGCTCACGCCTGTAATCCTAGCACTTTGGGAGGCCGAGGCAGGCGGATCACAGGTCAGGAGATCGAGACCATCCTGGCTAACATGGTGAAACTCCGTCTCTACTAAAAATACAAAAATTAGCTGGGCGTGGTGGTGCGTGTCTGTAGTCCCAGTTACTTGGGAAGCTGAGGCAAGAGAATCGCTTGAACCCAGGAGGCGGAGGTTGCAGTGAGCTGAGATAGCACCACTGCACTCTATCCTGGGCAACGGAGTGAGACTTTGTCTTGGAAAGAAAAAACAAAACAAACAAACAAACAAAAAACTCCTTTAAATTTGGCTGTTTTGTTTGTTTGCATGTTTTTTTGTGAGAAGGAGTCTCACACCCAGGCTGGAGCGCAGTGGTGCCATTTCTGCTCACTGCAACCTCCACCTCTGGGTTCAAGAGATCCTCCCTTCTCAGCCTCCCGAGTAGCTGGGACTACAGACACGTGCCACCACACCCGACTAATTTTTGTATTTTTTGATAGAGCCTGGGGTTTCACCATGTTGGCCAGGCTGGTCTCGAACTCCTGACTTCAAGTGATCTGCCTGTCTCAGTATCCCTGTTGGGAATGAAGTTTTTGGTGTTGCAAAAAGAAAAGAAAAGAAAACAAAACAAAAACAAAAAAACACGGGAACAAATGATCTCTCAGCAAGGAGAGCTTTACTTTCTGCAGAAAGGGTGCTGCTACTCAAAAGCTGTCTAGCCATGAGAGCACACCGAACAAAGGAGACAGAGTTATTTATAATCTGAGGTGTCTACCCTACTGCTGTGTCCATTTTCCATTGGCTGGAATAGGACCTCACATTTTACACTTTACCTGATTGGCTATTAGTTTAAAACTTTTAAAATTGGTTAAGGGGAACAGAACAAAGAAAGAAAAGGAAGTTGCCCAGGGATCATTAAGGAAGCATCACCAAATAAGGAATGGCATGCACTGTGGGCTGGGGCTTGTCTAGTTCTGTCCAGGCATGCAGGAGCAATCTAGGACAGCTGATTTGGAATACACACACACACACACACACACACACACACACACACACACATACATACACACACACACACACACACAGTGGATAGCAATCTTATAGTAAGAAATTGTGACTTTTTATAATCTTTGAAGAACTTTCCGATTTCTCACACTCCCAAAGTGCTGGGACTACAGGCGTGAGGCCACTCCGCCCAGCCTAAAGTGTTTTTTTTGTTTGTTTGTTTTGTTTTGTTTTTTGTTTTTTGTTTTTTTTTGAGACGGAGTCTCGCTCTGTCGCCCAGGCTGGAGTGCAGTGGCGGGATCTCAGCTCACTGCAAGCTCCACCTCCCGGGTTCACGCCATTCTCCTGCCTCAGCCTCCCAAGTAGCTGGGACTACAGGCGCCCGCCACTACGCCCGGCTAATTTTTTGTATTTTTAGTAGAGACAGGGTTTCACCGTTTTAGCCGGGATGGTCTCGATCTCCTGACCTCGTGATCCGCCCGCCTCGGCCTCCCAAAGTGCTGGGATTACAGGCGTGAGCCACCGCGCCCGGCTTTTTTTTTTTTTTTTTTGAAACGGAGTCTCGGTCTGTAGCCCAGGCTGGAGTGCACTGGCGGGATCTCGGCTCACTTCAGCCTCCGTCTCCTGGATTCAAGCTATTCTCTCCCCTCAGCCTCCCGAGTAGCTAGGATTACAGGCAGGCTCCACCATGCCCTGCTAATTTTTGTATTTTTAGTAGAGATTGTGTTTCGCTATGTTGGCCATGGAACTCCTGACCCAAGTGATCCACCCGCCTGGGCCTCGCAAATGGCTGGGATTACAGGCTTGAGCCACCACGCCCGGCCGAATTTTTTTTTTTTTTTTTTTTTTTTTTGAGACGGAGTCTAGCTCTGTCGCCCAGGCTGGAGAGCAGTGGCGCGATCTCGGCTCACTGCAAGCTCCGCCTTCCAGGTTCACGCCATTCTCCTGCCTCAGCCTCCCTAGTAGCTGGGACTACAGGCGCCCGCCACCACACCCGGCTAATTTTTTTGTATTTTTAGTAGAGACGGGGTTTCACTGTATTAGCAGGATGGTCTCAATCTCCTGACTTCGTAATCCGCCCACCTTGGCCTCCCAAAGTGCTGGGATTACAGGCGTGAGCCACTGCGCCCGGCCTAATTTTTGTATTTTTATGAGACGAGGTTTCACCATGTTGGCCAGGCTGGTCTTAAACTCCTGACCTCAGGTGATCCGCCCGCCTTGGCCTCCCAAAGTGCTGGGATTACAGGTGTGAGCCACCGAGCCCAGCTGGTTAGCTTCATTTTAGTTCAGTGCCTCTCAAACTTTAGCATCAGCTCAGATATCAGCTTGTCCCATCTCGCATAAAGAGAGTTTCTTTAAGTTCCTGGACCCCATCCAGAGAGATTCTGCTTTCATGAGTTTGGGGGTAGGATCTATGAATTTGCATTTCCCATTTCTAACAAACTCATAGGTGATGCCACTGCTGCTGTTCTGTGAACCACTGCCTGAAGCCACTTCCATCCAAACCCAGGAATAGCTTCATGGTAACTACACTATATTAAGATACAGTTTTAAAGGGCTGGGCAGGGTGGCTCGCGCCTGTAATCCCAGCACTTTGGGAGGCTGAGGCAGGCGGATCACCTGAGGTCAGGAGTTCAAGACCAGCCTGGTCAACATGGCAAAAATCCACCTGTACAAAAATATAAAAATTAGCTGGGCATGGTGGCAGGTGCCTGTAGTTCCAGCTACTCGGGAGGCTAAGGCAGGAGAATCGCTTGAACCCGGGAGACGGAGGTTGCAGTGACCCGATTGTGCCACTGCACTCCAGCCTGGGCAACAAATGGAGACTCCATCTCAAAAAAAAAAAAAAAAAAAAAAAGAAAAGATATATTTTAAAAGGAAGTAATAAACCCAGCCCCATGGGATTTTCAATCAGCATCTCAAGGAACAGAGGACATACTAACTTAGCATACAGGAACCACCAGTACACAATGATCTTGGTCTGAGACCCTATTCATGATTTTTTTTTTTTTTTTTTTTTGAGATGGAGTCTTGCTCTGTCACCCAGGCTGGAGTGCAGTGGCGCCATCTCAGCTCACTGCAACCTCTGCCTCCCGGGTTCAAGCAATTCTCCTGCCTCAGCCTCCCAAGTAGCTGGGATTACAGGTGCACGCCACTACATCTGGCTAATTTTTGTATTTTTAGTAGAGACGGGGTTTCGCCGTGTTGGCCAGGCTGGTCTCCAACTCCTGACCTCAGGTGATCTGCCCACCTTGGCCTCCCAAAGTGCTGGGATTACAGGCATGAGCTACTGTGCCTGGCCCCTGTTCATGATTCTATCCCCAGAAAAATGAGCATGTACCAATTCCCAGTCTCTTGGCTGTTGGGAAACATTGCTAATGAAATATGTAATGCAAAGCAAATTTACTTTCACCTTGCCCAAGAGTGATCCAGCAAGTCACTGGAACCAAGCTGGCCTTGTAGCAGTCATGAGCAGAGCCTCCTTAACCATCATAAGTCCCAAGCTGGCCCCTTTTTCTGCTTTACCAACAGAAAAGCTGTCATCACCCTATAGTCACCAGTGATATACCAGGTCCAAACAAGGTAGCCTTCATTTAGAGAGCTAAAAGAACAAATGATTAATGCTTTTTCTGTTTGGCTGCTTTTGTTTTCTAAGAATGTTCAGTGTTATCTGGTCATTCTTTTGGCTAGGACATCCTTTCTTTATATTGACTCTGGAGCTATTCCTTGTTCCTACTCTGTGTACCCATGATACGTCTATATCTTAGCCCTTGAAAGGCATAGAAAAGAGTTTTTTTGTTTTTTTTTTTAGATGGAGTCTCACTCTGTTGCCTAGGCTGGAGTGCAGTGGTGCAATCTCGGCTCACTGCAGCCTCCACATCCTGGGTTCAAGTGATTCTCCTGCCTCAGCCTCCTGAGTAGCTGGGACTATAGGCACGTACCACCATGCCCAGCTAATTTTTGTATTTTTAGTAGAGATGGGGTTTCACCATGCTGACCAGGCTGGCCTTGAACTCCTGAGCTTGTGATCCACCTACCTCAGCCTCCCAAAGTGCTGGGATTACAGGTGTGAGCCACCGCACCCAGTCAAAAAGAATTCTTCTGAGGGTAATCTCAGTCCCCAAGGGGTGGCCCACTCAACTGATATCCACAGGTACTTAAACTTTTTTGTATAAAGTCAGTGCATAATGTGAGTACCATGTGGATGGATTATAGTAAAACGCAAGTCACAGAAGTTCAAGCCAGGATTGGATATTTTATATCAGTGGGAGCTTTTGGATTAACGTGAATATGGATTTTTTTTTTTTTTTTTTTGAGATGGAGTTTTGCTCTTGTTGCCCAGGCTGGAGTGCAATGGCATGATCTTGGCTCACCGCAACCTTTGCCTTCCAGGTTCAAGCGATTCTCCTGCCTCAGCCTCTCTAGTACCTGGGATTACAGGCACCTGCCACCATGCCCGGCTAATTTTGTATTTTTAGTAGAGACGCGGTTTCTCCATGTTGGTCACGCTGGTCTGGAACTCCCAACCTCAGGTTATCCTCCCGCCTCTGCCTCCCAAAGTGCTGGAATTACAGGCATGAGCCACCACACCCGGCTTTTTATTTTTTTGAGACGGAGTTTCGTCGTTGTTGCGCAGGCTGGAGTGCTATGGTGTGATGTCCGCTCACTGCAACCTCTGCCTCCCGGGTTCAAGCGATTCTCCTGCCTCACCCTCCTGAGTAGCTTGGATTACAGGCATGTGCCACCACGCCCGGCTAATTTTGTATTTTTAGTAGAGATGGGTTTTCTCCATGTTGGCCAGGCTGGTCTCCAACTCCTGACCTCAGGTGATCCGCCCGCCTCGGCCTCCCAAAGTGCTGGGATTACAGGCATGAGCCACTGCGCCCGGTCTGAACATGGATCTTTAAATGACTCAGTGGGGGCAAGAGCAGAAAGTAGTATCCTACCAACCACTCAGAAAACCAGGCAAGACTCTAGAAAACACAGGGATCCTGGAAAATGTAACAGATGACTCAAAAAGCATGCCTTAACTCTCCAAGGAAATCCACATTTCAACCCTACCAATTAAAAAGAAAGCCTGAACAATTGGAACAGTTGCCTCTACAGGCAAGGATATCAATCAATCAAAAATGCATCTGCCCACTTGGTGTGAACAGTGATTTTTTTTTTTGAGACGAAGTCTAGCTCTGTCGCCCAGGCTGGAGTGCGGTGGCGCGATCTTGTCTCACTGCAAGCTCCGCCTCCCGGGTTCACGCCATTCTCCTGCCTCAGCCTCCCAGGTAGCTGGGATTACAGGCGCCCGCCACCACGCCCGGCTAATTTTTTGTATTTTTAGTAGAGATGGGGTTTCACCATGTAAGCCAGGATGGTCTTGATCTCCTGACCTCGTGATCCGCCCGCCTCGGCCTCCCAAAGTGCTGGGATTACAGGCGTGAGCCACTGCACCCGGCCAAACATTGATCTTAAAACAGCAACAACAACAAAAAAAAAAAAAAAAAAAAAGAAAAGAAAAAAAAGAAAAAAGCGCCAGGCACGGTGGCTTACACCTTACGTAATCCCAGCACTTTGGAAAGCCGAGGTGGGTGGTTCACGAGGTCAGGAGTTTGAGACCAGCCTGGCCAACATGGTGAAACCCTGAGTCTACTGAAAATACAAAAATTAGCCGGGCGTGGTGTCAGGCGCCTGTAATCCCAGCTACTCAGGAGGTCTGAGGCAGGAGAATCACTTGAACCGGGGAGGCGGAGGTTGAAGTGAGCCGAGATGGTGCCACTGTACTGTAGCCTGGGCGACAGAGCAAGACTCGGTCTACAAAAAAAAAAAAAAAAAAAAAGCATCTGCCTAAAGTGAAAAACAAGTCCATTTTCAGCAGAGACATTTGGAAATCCATTCAGCATGCTAGGCATAATTGTAAGGTGAATTATTCAATGTTGAGTGTTATAAACAATAAAAACCACCACTAGATTTCGAATTGGTAAAATACCTCATTTTGAATGCACACATTAATTCTCTTGCCAAGTTGCCTGCAATTTTCCAGAAAAATTTGTCTTCCTTCAGGGAGGATTGAAATCCAAGATCAGCCCAACACTACCATCTAGTGGTGAGATGTATTGATAATGCTTCTATTCAACTAAAACTTAAAAAAGTGGTACCATTTTTTTCTTCCCAAACTGCAAAAGTAGATCCTGAGAGACAGTAATAACGTAAGAAAATAATGGAAGAGAAACATTGAAAAGTTCAAATTTTAATTAAAATCTTTATTGAATAAAAATGTTTCAGACTAGGTAAGACTAAGAAAGCAGAATGTTTTACATCTCTAAAAAATATTAAAGCTAAATCTCTATAAATGCAGTACAAAGAAAAGCCTACAGCTTAAGACACCTCTCCCTCCCATCCATACAATTTGGAATATCAACTGTGTACAACAAATGTACTCAAGTTTATAATGTCCCCAAACCTTAAGACTAGAAAATCATCCCAAGAAAAAGGCCTATAGTTGGTTTAATTTCACCCTGAGAATACTGTGATAAAAATCAATATATTTCAGAGCTAGTAAGTATTTAAAAATTAGTGTCTCAAAAAGGGGACATCATAAGGGAAATACAGGGTTTAGAGGTCTGAGCTCAAGTGGTGTAAGACAGTTCTTTCTTCTTCCTCCTTTAAACTCTTCACTTTGCTCTAACACGGAAGATGGGGGACAGTGATCCCGAAGGTATTACTAAAATATTGCAGCTTTCAGTAATTATGAGAAGCACAGATATCACCAGAAAAGAAAGCAATCATTTGGAGTACAGTAAATTCACTGGCAGATACAAAAGCTTATTTGGGAGACAGCAGATCTCTCTAAGCACCGAAGAGTGTAGGTTGGTTTTTCAATTGCCTCAAAAAGTGCTCTGTTGTATTATACCTCAGGACGTCGAGTTCAGGATGTAGTTTAGAGAGCAGGACATAAAGTAGTAAATTCCTCATATATATCACAGCAAGAAAATTAACCTAAAAAATTTAAAGACTAAATAATCTCTTAACAGGTAAATACTAAAAAATTAAATTGGTATTCATTTAAAAATATACAAACTGTGCCCTTTATACTAAAGTGCATTCAGTCGTAATGTTTAAGCCCCTAAATTCCTTCTGTATGTTCTCTAATTCCAAAATAGTGTGTAACAATATACTACTAATCATCTGTCTACCTTAATATTGCCTTTTGGGAATACAGTAGAATCTGGGCTATTATCAGGTGGAATATTTCCCCAGTTACAAGCCTTACAGCACTTATGCATATCATCACTGCTAAAATGAAGAATTTAAGTAAAGTTATCTCTAGTATTTAGAATGTGTTTTTTGTGTTTTTTTGTTTTGTTTTTGATTTTAAGAAGGAATTCTTTTCCAAAGTTACTTCCAAGTAAATTACATTTCATGCTGGGATACCTGCTTATGTGCATCACATTTTGACAAAGGGCAGTGGCTCGCTAACACTAACATGAATTTAAGGCCCAGCATCATTGCAATTTGTCACTCTTCATCCTCATCCTCATCATAATACCGATTTCTCTTTATCTGTTCTTCCACAGAGAGCTCTTTGACCACTTCTCCCTCCCAGAGTTCCACATCCTGGGATTTCTGATTCTGAGTAGTGAATTCTTCAGCAAAGGTGTTGTCTACAAAACTCGACCAATTCAGAGACTTGGGTTCTTGTGGAGATTGTTGTTTGAGGAAGCTGTTATCATCTTCATCGGAGTCTGCACCATTTTCTACAAGATTCTCATTCTCCATCTCCAAACTATGACCTTCCTTACTTCTCTTCCCTGTCTCTCCTTTAGATTCTTTGTTTTGCCAGGTTGTTTTTCCCACATTCCCATTCTTCTTAGAAGCCTTGGCATTTTCCACTTGTTTCCTTTCTGCAACTCTTCCACCCACAGACTCTTCACTCTGCTCTGACATGCTCCAGCCTTTCCTGATAGGTGGGGACACAGTTTTTGGGCTCTTGACAGAGGTGCTTTGAAATGAAGCTGCTACAGTGAATGGGCGGCTTCTTTCCTTCAGTGAAGAAGATCGTCTTAGCTTCTTCAGATCTAGATCGACATCCTCAGGAACTTCGGGCTTGCTGATTTCGTCTTCAGGAGGCCATTTGGGCTTTGACATTTTGATCCCTTCCTCCAAGGCACTTCCTGAACTTCCAAGTTCAGTGGGGGGTGGCCAGGCGATCCTCAGCTTCTTGGTTTCAGCTGGCTTGTCTTCCTTCTCCTGCTGAGAGGAGGCCTTGGCTTCCATACTTGCAGCCAGGACACCCACCTTAGCAATAGGGGCATCTTCTACCCCTGGGCTGTGAGGGGTCTCCCTTGCATTTGCAAGCTGGGCTGGTCTCTCCAAAATCTCTTCGTTTTCATTTTTGCTTGCCCATAGATCCTTGTGTGGTCTGTGCCCAAAGCCTTCATCATAGTTGCCCTTAGATTTAAAGAGTTGATTGAAGTGAGGCTTACAATAGATTCTTCCATGTAAAGATGCATATGTTCCTAGACTGTCATTAAAAGAAAAAAAGCATAAACTTAGCAAATCTTCACATTCTCACTTATACCAGGAGGCTAAAATCTGGCAATTCCAGTATTTTCAGAAGATGCCAAGTAAGAAAAAGATCTTTAAAAGCCCTTCAGTGACCAGGAATTCCTTACCCCCATTTTAGCACATTTGTTTTCTTATCATAACACAAAGCACGGGTTGGGTGCAGTGGCTCATGCCTGTAATCCCAGCGCTTTGGGAGGCCAGGGTGAGAGGATCGCTTGAGCCCAGGAGTTTGAGACCAGCCCGGCCAACATAGTGAGAATTCATCTCTACAAAAAATTTAAAAATTAGCTGGGTGTGGTGGCACATGCCTGTAGTCTCAGCTACTTGGGAAGCTGAAGTGGGAGAATCACTTGAACCCGGGAGGCAGAGGTTGCAGTGAGCTGAGATTGTGCCACTGTGATAGAGCGAGACTGTCTTAAAAAAAAAAAAAAAGAAAAAAAAACCAACAGTAATAGAAACTTTAAATCATTCTGAGCCTTGAGAGGAATGTGGCTATGCAACCTGGGTCACACAGCATGTAGCTGCAACTCTTTCTTTTCACTATAAATTATGAAGACCAAAGGGCACCAGAGATAAGACCCCCTCAGATCACTATCCCTTCTTTGCGAGTGATAATCTTCCTTGGAATGTACCAATCTGTACCCAATCAAATCACTGTGGTATATGCACTGGTCTTATATGAAAAATGTCATAATCTTTGCTAAAATTTCTGTGTAAGTGAAACTAACTTTCTCCACTTTGGAATGCTGACCCCATTCATTTGGAGTCAGTGTTTCTGGGTAGCCATCATCAAGCTTTTGTGCTTGAATTAACTCTATTCTTAACGGTATATAAATACATATATATATATATATTTTTTTTTTCTTTTTCTTTTCTTTTTTTGAGAGAATCTCGCTCTGTCGCCCAGGCTGGAGTGCAGTTGCACAATCTTGGCTCACTGCAACCTCCGCCTCCCAAGTTTAAGCAATTCTCCTGCCTCAGCCTCCTGAGTAGCTGGGATTACAGGAGTGCGCCACCACGCCTGGCTAATTTTTGTATTGTTTTGTTTTGTTAGAGTCTCGCTCTGTCGCCAGGCTGGAGTGCAGTGGCATGATCTCAGCTCACTGCAACCTCTGCCTCCTGGGTTCAAGCGATTCTCCTACCTCAGCCTCCTGAGTAGTTGGGACTACAGGTGTGTGCCACCATGCACGGCAAATTTTTGTATTTTTAGTAGAGACGGGGTTTCACCATGTTGGCCAGGATAGTCTCGATCTCTTGACCTCGTGATCTGCCCGCCTCGGCCTCCCAAAGGGCTGGGATTACAGGCGTGAGCCACCACGCCCAGCCATTTTTGTTTTTTTTTGAGACAGAGTCTCGCTCTGTCACCCAGGCTGGAGTGCAGTGACACGATCTCAGCTCACTGCAAGCTCCGCCTCCCAGGTTCACGCCATTCTCCTGCCTCAGCCTCCCGAGTAGCTGGGACTACAGGCACTCGCCACCACACCTGACTAATATTTTGTATTTTTAGTAGAGACGGGGTTTCACCTTGTTAGCCAGGATGGTCTCAATCTCCTGACCTCGTGATCTGCCCACCTCGGCCTCCCAAAGTGCTGGGATTACAGGCATGAGCAACTGCACCCAGCCATTTTTTGTTGTTTTTTTTTTTGAGTGGAGGTCTTGCTCTGTCACCCAGGCTGGAGTGCAATGGTATGATCATAGCTCACTGCAGCCTTGACCTCCAGGGCTCAAGTGATCCTCCAGCCTCAGTCTCAGCCTCCCCAAATTTTTCATAGAGATGGGATCTCCGGCCAGGTGCAGTCCCAGCACTTTGGGAGGCCGAGGTGGGCAGATCACTTGAGGTCAGAAGTTTGAGACCAGCCTGACCAACATGGTGAAACCCCATCTCTACTAAGAAATACAAAAATTGGCCAGGCGTGGTTGCTCACACCTGTAATCCCAGCACTTTGGGAGGCCGAGGAGGGCAGACTGACTGAGGTCAGGAGTTCAAGACCAGCGTGGCTAACATGGTGAAACCTCATCTCTATGAAAAATACAAAAATTAGCCAGGCATGTTGCACACGCCTGTAGTCCCAACCACTCGGGAGGCTGAGGCAGGAGAATTGCTTGAACCTGGGAGGTGGAGGTTGCAGTGAGCTGACATCATCCCACTGCACTCCAGCCTGGGCGACAGAGCAAGACTCCATCTCCGGAAAAAAAAAAAAAAAGAAAGAAATTAGCTGGGCGTGGTGGTGCCCGCCTGTAATCCCAGCTACTCAGGAGACTGAGGCATGAGAATCGCTTGAACCTGGGAGACAAAGGTTGCAGTGAGCCAGGATCACACCACTGCACTCCAGCCTGGGCAACAGAGTGAGACTCCATCTCAAAAAGAAAAACCAGATGGGGTCTCTCTATGTTACCCAGGCTAGTCTTGAACTTCTGGCATCAAGTGATCCTCCTACCTGGGCACTCCCAAAATGCTAGGATTACAGGTGTGATCCTTATATCCACACCTAGATATAAGCTTGATTAATAGAAGAATGGTGAGGAGTTGACAGGAGGTAGTTTTTCCCTAATGTCAGTCCTAGACAAGCCTTTAGGAGATTTGGTGTCTCTTGCAGGATGATAAGTTTTATCTTTTTAAAGTTTTTTCCCTTAAGTTACGAACCATTCTGAAGAGTGACAAATGTTAAAGGGGGTATAAAACGGCAGCACTTCCACAAAAGAAATAAGGTGCTTTAAGCCAGGCACAGTGGCTCACACCTATAATCTCAGCACTTTGGGAGGCCGAGGCGGGTGGATCACGAGGTCAGGAGATCAAGACCATCCTGGCTAACATGGTGAAACCCCTTCTCTACTAAAAATACAAAAAATTAGCTGGGTGTGGTGGCGGGCGCCTGTAGTCCCAGCTACTTGGGAGGCTGAGGCAGGAGAATCGCTTGAACTCAGGAGGTAGAGGTTGCAGTGAGCTGAGATCACGCCACTGCACTCCACCCTGGGCAACAGAGTGAGACTCTGTATCCAAAAAAAAAAAAAAAAAAAAAGGTGCTTTGGAGAAAAAAATTAACACAGTGGGCAGCAGAAGAACTAATGAGTGGAAGTGACTGAGGTACACTTTGGCTGCATGTTTGGAGAAGCTGTCTAGCTAGAGCTATCTAATAGCTAGAAATGTCACACAGATGCCAAAACATCTTTCAAGAGTATTTTAGGAAGGATTGCTCAGAAAGGAAAGCTGGAGAAAGTGACATCTTGGTTACTTCCTTCTGTAAGACTCTATGATTAAAATGAGTTAATTTGGAATGTTTCCCCGATTTGTCACATTTATATTTGCACTTTGAGTTACTTGGAAGAAATGATATGTAACAACTATTTTCTCAGAAATAAAGTGAGGCAACATAGAGAAAAAGACATGCTCTCCAGGGGCTATTATTATTGCCATTATTATCATTTATACAGTGGTTAAGACAAGTAAGGGCTTAAACAAGTAACCTCTTGAGATTTCTTAACTTTGTGATTCTGTGATACCAAGGGAAAACATTCTATTAAATTAGGTCACAGGGGGGTTTACCTGCAACTCATATTATTTAAGCTTCGGTCCTAACATGTAAATTAACATATCAATACACCAAGAAGTTCCAAACACCATCATTATTTGGTATGAAAGACTTGTCACTAAATGATGCTTTTTACTTTATTCAAGAGCCTTCAACAGAATATCATTAGCACAGTAGCTTTTAGCACCAGTGCTCTAAAAGCCAAAGACTCCCTCTAGAGTTCCAGTTATAGACAGATGGCTTGTTTTGGGCTGACTTACCTGAGTTTGTTGTTGCAATAGGAGCAACGGAAGCAGCTGATGTGAAACACCTGCTGGTTGGCCAAGAGACGCTCCATTGGATAGACTGTCTTCTGACATTCCACGCAGGTCTCTCTTGCAGGTGCCTGAAACTTCTAGGAAAAACAAAAAGACAACTTTAGCATGGGCAGCGATGAGTTAGCACTGTCTTGAGATGGACCCTAGAATTTACTTTGTCTAAGGGCTCCCTTAGCTGGTCAGTCAATTCTCATGGAGCACTAAACCTGCTACAATTCTATCAGCTGACTCTTTAAAGCCAAGAGGCTCTCTTGATATTCCCTTCCCAAACTGTGTGGCTGCTCTAAATGTAGCAGCCACCAAGGATAGGTGGAGCTACGTCTGGATTACAAAGAATGGCTTAGACAAGTCACGACCCACATAAAAAATGTTAGGAGCAGGGGATGGGGGAAGGGGTCGGGGGGGGGAGTGCAGGGATTAGGAGAAAATGTTATCACACACAGAAGAAAGAAGTTTGATTCAAGTGCCAAGTAAACACAAGACAGATTCTAAAGGGGATAAATTTCAAGGAGAGGAAGAGCATTTGGCTTTGGGAATTAGGAAAGACATTTCAGTAAAGCCCCTTTTATTCTGCTCTGCTTATAATCTTGATTTGTTCAATCAACTAGACATACTATTTTTAAACAAGTCAAAACTGACACACAAGTGGAACAATTTATAAGAGACACAAAGTATTTTATTAGGACACCAGAGGGAAGCATAGCCCATTAAAGCTATAGGTTCTATAATATTTCTAAAAACCAATGGAGAGAAAAACTAATGCAATGGGAAACACACTGGTTAATGTATTAATGACTGGGAATTCATGAACTGTTTGTAAAGTTGGAACAAACATGGGCACAGTGGTTCTACCTGATAAACTCAATCCTAAAGAATATAAAACAGTTGGTATTCTAGCACTGATAAAAGCCAGAACTCCAAAAATATTATAAGCTTTCACATGATAAGAAATAGTTACATGGGCCAGGTGCGGTGGCTCATGCTTGTAATCCCAGCACTTTAGGAGGCCGAGGTGGGCGGATCATGAGGTCAGGAGTTCGAGACCAGCCTGGCCAACATGGTGAAACCCCGTCTCCAGTAAAAATACAAAAATTAGGCAGGCGTAGTGGTACACTCGTGTAATCCCAGTTACTCGGGAGGCTGAGGCAGGAGAATGGCGTGAACCCGGGAGGCAGAGCTTGTAGTGAGCCGAGATGGCGCCACTGCACTCCAGCCTGGGCGACAGAGTGAGACTCCATCTCAAAAAATAAAGAAAAGAAATAGTTACATGGCTACTAAGGGGTGGGGAGTAGATGGGAATGCAAAGTCCCTAGGTGTATGGGAGTTAACCCTTGACTTGCCCAACACAAACACCTCAACCAGTAGATGCGGGAGACAGCTTAGGTGGCCAGGAAGCTCTCATCAGCAATTAGGAGGTGCTTTTGCTGCCATGATCAGCCTGGGCTCTCACCAGAAAACACATGATGGTAAGTAATGCAAATTAATCCCAAGGCCCAGGACCTGGATAGTTAAGCCTGAAATGAACCAGGTTATGGGCAAGATAGAATTTTGAGTAAAAAAAATCCAAAATAGGCTGGGTGTAGTGTCTCACGCCCATAATCCCACACTTTGGGAGGTTGAGGTAGGCAGATCACGAGGTCAGGAGTTCAAGACCAGCCTGGCCAACATAGTGAAACCCCATCTCTACTAAAAATACAAAAATTAGCCGGGCATGGTGGCGTGTGCCTATAGTCCCAGCTACTCGGGAGGCTGAGGCAGGAGAATCGCTTGAACCTGGGAGGCAGAGGTTGCAGTGAGCCGAGATTGAGCCACTGCACTCCAGCTTGGGCAACAGAGTGAGACTTGGTCTCAAAAAAAAAAAAAAAAAAAAAAAACCCAAAACAGGCCCATAAAAAATTCAGACTGTTGGTTCACTTGCCACATGATTCACTAGGAGGTAAAGCAAAAAATAAAAATGGTTTTCCAAGTAGATTTGGGCAGGAAGTGAGAGCAGAAAATGTGCATAAAATGAAAATAAAGAAATCTATAAAAGGAAGTTTAATAAAATTAGTGGTAAACTCCCAAGTAGTGCCCAAGGGATTTAAGAAGGAAGGAACAAAGCTGAGTGGAAATGGCTAGTTACCAGGACTCTGCTTTATTCTAGGGGCAATGTCCTAAAAAGAAACATCTAAAGAATCAAAAGACCACAGGTTACAACCTAGTTTAGCATAAGGGAGGTATTTAAATATAACCAAATGTTATTGTAATGAATGTTGTTGCAAGTAATTAACACATTATCGTATTTGGAGTTCAGAATTCTTTTTTTCTTATATGGACACTGCTAAATGGAGATATCTTTGCAGAGTTTTAATTAAGTTTTCTCTAAAAGGACTAGGTCTTTGTCTAGGTAGGAGATACACTGGCCAGGTGCGATGGCCCAGGCCTGTAATCCCAGCACTTTGGGAGGCCAAGGCAGGTGGATCACTTGAGGTCGAAGTTCCAGAGCAGCCTGGCCAACATGGTGAAACCCTGTCTCTACAGAAAATGCAAACATTAGCTGGGCGTGGTGGCGGGCGCCTGTAATTCCAGCTACCAGAGAGGCTGAGGCACAAGAATCACTTGAACCCAGGAAGCAGAAGTTGCTGTGAGCTGAGATCTCATCACTGCCCTCCAGCCTTGGAGACAGGGCAAGACTCTGTCTCAAAACAACAACAACAAAAGGAGAGATATTAAAAAGCAGAATAAATTTTTGGTGTAATAGTATAATGGATGCTACTGGAGAGAGCCTGTACAAATCACAATTCACATAATGTAAAAGTAGGACAAATGTATTTATCAGATTAAAAATCATTTTCAGTTGCAGAAAGGGAATTCTGCGTTTTTTGTTTTTTTTGTTTTGTTTTGTTTTTTGAGACAGAGTCTCACTCTGTCACCCAGACTGGAGTACAGTGGCGCGATCTCAGCTCACTGCAAGCTCCACCTTCCGGGTTCAAGCGATTCTCCTGCCTCAGCCTCCTGAGTAGCTGGGATTACAGGCGTGCACCACCACACTCGGCTAATTTTTGTATTTTTAGTAGAGATGGGGTTTCACCATGTTGGTCAGGCTGGTTTCTAACTCCTAACCTTGTGATCTGCCCACCTTGGCCTCCCAAAGTGCTGGGATTACAGGTGTGAGCCACTGCGCCTGGCCCGGAATTCTGTATTTTTTAACACTTGAAATAGATGTAGGAGAGTAAGTGCTCATTCTGGTCAGTAAAGACACAGCAGGAGACAGAAACTTCACATGGGATAAGAGGAGATGGATACTGTTCTGCTAAAGGGGAACTGAAGGACGCAGAGCACTCCTCCATCACAAACACACGGAGGGGAGGCACACACTGTGGGAGGGGGAAGCAGCCCAGGGAACAGAAGGAAAGGAGAACCTGTGAGAAAGCTGAAAGTTGAGCTCACATTAGGAGGAAAGTGGAAGGCAGGAGCAGAAATTAGGTACCAGGAGCAGGAGGCAGAAGCTGGAAGAGACAAACAGGAACCTTCAATGAATACACAGCATTTGGCGTGCCCTGGAGAGCTTTACTGCAGCTGAGCTGAAACTCAGAGACTCAGATCCAAGAATAAGACCACATTTTTCTTTTTTTCCTTTTTAAGTAACTCTGCTAATCATGGCAAAATCAGCCTCACTCGTATCTACCTGAGGCTGGAACATATCCCAGCTCAGGAGAGCGAGCTTTTATGAGCCTTCACCCACACAAGGAGTGTCTCATTAACAATTCTTTAGTGGCTTACTACCTCCCACACCTGACCCACATCGGCTCTCTCTTTAATAGAGCCTTCACCCACATGGAGCAAAAAGTCTGTCTTCCTCCTTAACATCAAGTTAATAGATTGCTAGCTCACATAATTGACTAACCTTGAGCTTCTAACTAGCCAGACCTATCAGAGTCCCATTATTCCTATTCATTTCTCACATCAACCCTTTTCAATATTATTTAAGGTTTATGCAGCAGCAGCTGCCTAAGGGCCCCTTCTAGTTTCATAAAGACAAGAGGGTCCCGACATGGTAAAATGCCAACTCACAGCGGCTGCGGCTGTGCCTCCCCTTTATTTTCTATGTCCTGGGCTCTCAGCCACTTTTCTGTAATTGCCCCCATGTCTATTCAGACAACAGGAAGCATAGTCAGTGCCTAAAAATCTCTACCATTATCACAGGCCTGGCATACATCCTGCCCATGCCTTCATGGCATGCTCAGACTTGGCACAGCCATGTTTAAAACACTGCCAATACGACAATGTTAGACATTTTTTATCTTCACAGTATATTTTTTCAGTTAGTAAGAGATTTTTTTTTTCATTCCCCTTCTCCCACCATTTTGCCCCTACCAAGTAGAAAGTTAAACACCAGGTCTTATCAAAGTTCACATAGTCAATAACAGAAATAGAATTAAAACTGTAGGAAAACAGCCTGTTGCATGGCAGGAGTGATGCCATCTTGGAGTGAAACCACCATGCTAACTGGTGGTTTGACTCCTGCATACCAAGGTGGTTTGTTCTGCAGCAAAGTCTTTAAACAATGCCTGTAGCATAGATTATCCCTCATAAAGGGGTAGTGCCCAGAGCATAGACAACCCCTCATAAAGATGCTTATCCAATCGCTCCAGTGATAAGTTTTGCAAGAAAGTCAAGCGTGACTAGCTGCACATGTTTTATCCTAAAACCTTGCTATATAAAGGATATTTTCTGGAGGGCTGGTGCAGGGATCCACTGTCTCATGGCCTCCTAGACATCACTTCTGTTCATAAGCTCTTATTAAATGTTTCTTTCTGAGAAACTGGATTTGTCAGCCTCTTTCTTTGGCTTTTCAGCTCCCTCAGCCTTTGTGGGTAGGTCTGCATAGACCTGCTCACTGCACAAACTCAGAACTCCTGACTCACAAACCAAGAGAGCATTTTCTAAATTGTCCTGGAATGTTAAATTTCCACAGCCAAGGGAAACTCTTTGGGGAGGAGAGCAGATGCTAACCCAAATGAAATTAATCCCACGACAGCAATTTGAACAAACTATGGTCTTCCCTTTGTTTCAAATAAAAATGTGTAGATAATATCTTCAGGATATTCTAGAGTGAATGAGGTAATCTATAAATAATTGATGTTCATAAATACTGTCTTTCCCGTTTGAGGGATATTACAGACCCTCTGTTGATTACCATCTACTTAAAGCTGTTTTTCTAACAAATTTGCATGGCTTCATTTACATTCTTTTACCCTCTTGTCTCATATATTTTTTACTCTAATAAAGGCCCCAGTTGTGGTGTGTGTGGGAGGTAGGGGGGAGCAGCTGACAACAGACATTGATGTTAACTAGCCTTTAGACATAGTGAAAGAAGATGAAAATTCTGTATTGACGTCAAGCCTCTATTCCTCAGAATACCACAAAATGCCTTTCATTCCTTCCAATTTGTGTAAAATATCTAGGTAATGAAACTGAAATTCTTCACCACACAGCAAATGGTTGGGCCAGCCCTGTGCAGCCTTAACCCTTCCTCTAATTTTCTGTGAAACTCTATGAAAGCATTTTGGGGAATATTCATATCTTAAATAGAGTGCTCTACACAGAGAAGAAAGGACAGTCCTCTGAAAAGGCAGTAATAGTGAGTGAGTGAGAAAAGATTCTAGACACTCTTCTAGCATAATTTTGACAGCTTTGCAAGCCAGCATAAAACCTCCCACTGTGTCTTCAGGGGGAGGAACAGCTGGCAGGGTACCGAGAGGGGCAGTGCAGTGTGTGCTGCCCTCTCACGTAGAGTGCCATGTTCTCTCTCAACATTCATCAGCAAAACGCTGTGAGGAGGCCTGGGACTTGGTTGTCCCGTACACAGTGAGGGCAGACAGTTGTTCCCTAGGGCCAGTCACATCTCCTTGCCTCTTCCTTCCCTATCCTCTCCTCTGGGAACGTTTAGGGGATGATTTCTTTCAAATGGGAGGACATAAAGCCTAAGAGATCTCTGAGTCTCTTGAAGTAGAAAGGCCTGATACTTCTCACAGGGTCCACTAAGCTCTGCTCTCAGAACGACACCCTTTTTGAGAATGAACCTGTAACTTCATTGGTACCAAGTCTTACCAAGTAAGCTCTGTGGCCAGTGTTCAAAGTGTACAGAATCCTTAAAGACCTCTATCATTTCTTTTTACTTTATTAAGCTAAAATTTGAAATGAATTGAATCTCTACCTTAGATGTCCTCTTTTCAATAACAGACAGGCACTAAGAAACAGTTTTTTCCAGGATGTGTGGGATCCAAAAATCTATTCTGAGTGAACAAGTTTATTCTTAGCTGTATGTAATTTCCCAAAGTGGAGAAACAACTTCTGTTCATAGTCTGCAGCCATGAGACCAGTTCTGCCAGCAGGTCTTCCTATAAACATTTACTAAAGTATCTGTATATTTGCCTGCAGACTGTAAAGGGGAACTCTGAGGAAGAGCAAATAAATTGCCCTTAAATAACAGTGGAGATGTAACTGGGTTCCACCAGGCTCTGTACACCATGATCATCTGAGCTGTGGACCAGAGGCAAACAGCCAGGCCAGTTTACTCTGGTCATTACACAATGCTCAAAACCCGAGGTGTGTGACTATGCAGATAGGGCCGTCTACTACTATACTACTATTCTACTGCTGAGTGACCAGTGCCAAAGGAGTAGGCATGGGTCTGAGGCAGAGACAGAGACAGCTTTACCTCTGTTTCCTCTCCCTGGTGCCAAAGGAGACCTAAGTGAGGTGTGCCCTTTCACACACCACTCATCCGCTCACCCCGTGGAACTTGAGTGGGGAGGGATCCCCACCCAGTACAAGGAAGTCTGGCCAAGCAGTTGAACGAGGGATGCAAGACTGCATTGAGAATTCAAATAGTCACAAGAACAGATTTTAGTTCCTGTATTTCCCCAGGTCCTGGGTTACACAGAATCCATCACCAAGTTAGATTTGCTAGCCGTTCTTGATCCCCAACCACAACCTGAGCACTCACATCTAGGCAGCATTGCTGTCAGAGAGGAAAGTAACCCTGTGGGGTTTGCTACTTTGTGAGACTCCAGATACTGACAAAGAAAGTGCTGATGGCAGCATCAGCCAACCTTCAAGGCCAGAACACAGCCATGCGGAGCACATGTACAGATTCAATCACCATGACCCCGCCCATTCTTCCTGGACTTGCTTTCTCTTTCTGCTTTCTTTACCTTTTGTTCCTTTTCAATAAACCTTACTCTTCTCATAAATCTCTGCCTCCTTTAAAATTTTCATGTTTTATCTTTTTCACCTTGCTCACCTTTTAAATCCACTCTTTAAATCCTGGATTCTCCCCTTTCCTCCTTTTGTTCCAAACCCTCCCTGATGTCCCCTCCTCTTCATACTTTGTGTGCAGTAAAACTTTTATCTGTGGACCAATCATGCTCACAGTCAGAGGTATAAGCACGGCAGATATGAGCATGAGTTGGGAGCAGCACAAACCACCTTAAAACTCATTCTATTTATTGAGTTTCTCTCAAATGCTAAAACTTTTGAAACACAACCCTGCTACTTAAAAGAGCACTAGAGGAGAAAGACACTAAAGAAGTGTGGGTAATCCAAACGAGTGAAGTAGCCCCTCATTAGCAAGCTAGTCAATTAAAACAAGTCAGCTAACAAACCTAAAATAAGTTTTGCATTTTTAATAAACATTTTTTGGCTTATTTTTATGGGAATATATATTTGCCCATAGAAGAGGAAAAGACGACTTTTAAAACTTGGGTAATAAAAGCAGATTATAGATTGAGGAGCCTAGCTCTGTTGCCCAGGCTGGAGTACAGTGGCGCGATCTTGGCTCACTGCAACCTCCACCTCCCGGGTTCAAGCAATTCTCCTGCCTCAGCCTCCCAAGTAGCTGGGATTACAGGTGCCTGCCATCATGCTCAGCTAATTTTTGTATTCTTAGTAGAGACAGGCTTTCACCATGTTGGCCAGGCTGGTCTCAAACTCTTGACCTCGTGATCTGCCCGCCTTGGCCTCCCAAAGTGCTGGGATTATAGGTGTGAGCCACCATGCCTGGCCAATTTTTTTTTTTTTTTTTTTTTTTTGAGATGGAATCTCACTCTGTCACACAGGCTGGAGAGCAGTGGTGTGATCTTGGCTCACTGCAACCTCTGCTTCCCGGGTTCAAGTGATTCTCCTGCCTCAGCCTCCCAAGTAGCTGGGACTACAGGCACGCACTACTGCGCCCAGCTAATTTTTGTATTTTTAGAGACAGGGTTTCACCATGTTGGCCAGGCTGGTCTCGAACTCCTGACCTCGTGATCCGCCTGCCTCGGCCCCCCAAAGTGCTGGGATTATAGCTGTGAGTCACCGTGCCTGGCCTCAATTCTTAATATCTAATGTTATACCCTTAGTATAAGTGTTGCTTGAATGTCATTTTTTTTTTTTTTTTTGAGACAAGAGTTTCATGCTTGTTGCCCAGGCTGGAGTGCAATGGCATAATCTCGGTTCACCACAACCTCTGCCTCCCAGGTTCAAGCAATTCTCCTGCCTCGGCTTCCCAAGTAGCTGGGATTACAGGCATGTGCCACCATGCCCGGCTAATTTTTTTTTTTTTTTTTGTACTTTTAGTAGAGATGGGGTTTCTCCATGTTGTTCAGGCTGGTCTTGAACTCCCGACCTCAGGTGATCCGCCCGTCTCAGCCTCCCAAAGTGCTGGGATTACAGGCGTGAGCCACCACACCCGGCCTCATTTTTTTTTTTTTTTTTTTTTTTTTTTTTTTTTTTTCAGAAAATGGGCTGGCCAGCCCCCATTCCAGTGGACACATTCTTTCGTTAAAAATGTTAATGACATTGTTGTAAACAACAGGTCCTAAAAAAAAAAAAAAGTGGGAACAACAGGGCCAGGTGTGTTTGGTGGCTCATACCTGTAATCCCAGCATTTTGGGAGGCCAAGGTGGGGGGATTACTTGAAGCCAAAAGTTCAAAACCAGCTTGGGCAACATAGTGAGACCCCATCCCTATAAAAATGTAAAAAATATATTAGCTGGGTGTGGTGGCATGTGCTTATAGTCCCAGCTACTTGGGAGGATGGTTTGAGCTCAGGAGATAGAGGCTGCAGGGAGCTGTGACCACACCACTGCACTCCAGCCTGGGTGACAAAGTGAGAACCTGTCTCAAAAAAAAAAAAAAAAAAAAAAGCTAACCACAGGTTAAGATCAAGCTCTGCAGATTAGGAAGCCATTATCTTTAAGGTGAAATTGCACATCTCGTCCAATGTGCTGATTTTAGTTGAACAGATTTTTCCTGGCTGGGCACAGTGGCTCATGCCTATAATCCCATCCCAGCACTTTGGGAGGCCGAGGCAGGCAGATCACCCAAGGCCTGGAGATTGAGGCCAGCCTGGGAAACATGGCAAAATCACATCTCTTAAAAAAAAAAAAAAAAAAGCCAGGCATGGTGGCATGTGCGTATAGTTCTAGCTACTCAGGAGGCTGAGACAGGAGGATTGCATTAGCCTGGGAGGTCAAGGCTGCAGTGAGCCGTGATCACACCACCATACTCCAGCCTGAGCAACAGAGCAAGACCCTGTCTCAAAAAAACAAAACAGGCCAGGCGCAGTGGTTCACGCCTGTAATCCCAGCACTTTGGGAGGCCAAGGCAGGCGGATCACGAGGTCAGGAGATTGAGACCATCCCGGCTAACACGGTGAAACCCCGTCTCTACTAAAACTACAAAAAGTTAGCCGGGCGTAGTGGCAGGACACCTGTAGTCCCAGCTACTCGGGAGGCCGAGGTAGGAGAATGGCGTGAACCCGGGAGGCGGAGCTTGCAGTGAGCCAAGATAGCGCCACTGCACTCCAGCCTGGGCGACAGAGCGAGACTCTGTCTCAAAACAAAACAAAAACAAACAAACAAACAAACAAAAACAAGGCCAGGTGTGGTGGCTTACCCAGCACTTTGGGAGGCCAAGGCAGGCAGATCACAAGGTCAGGAGTTTGAGACCAGCCTGGCCAACATGGTGAAACCCTGTCTCTACCAAAAAATACAAAAAAATTAGCCAGGCATGGTGGCGCATGCCTGTAATCCCAGCCACTCAGGAGGCTGAGACAGGAGAATTGCTTGAACATGGGGGGGCGGAGGTTACAGTAAGCCGAGATCATGCCACTGCACTCCAGCCTGGGTGACAGAGCGAGATTCTGTCTCAAAAAAAAAAAAAAGATAATAATAATAAATAAACAAAAACAAAAATAAAAAAACCGACATTATTTTAAAACTTTCATGAGTTTTCCAGAGTTCAAACTGAGAGTCATTAGTGAGCCTTCTCGCTCCCGGGCCAAAGACCTGAGCAGAGGCAGCAAGATTTCCAGGGAAAGCGACTGGCTTCAGTGTGCTCTTCTGTGGCATTATCATCCACAGGAAAGCAAAACCAGGTTATAATCAACATCATCATCATAAAAGGTACAATTAGCTCTACCAGTAGACCAATGTCCAAAGGCTCAGAGAGAAATTGCCATCATACCTTCATTGCTTTGGGAGGAGAACTTTCAGAAAGACTGGAGGCTCTGGAATCTGGACTTAGTGGCTTGGGATGGACAGGCTGTTGAACCTCACTCTTAACCTGGGAGTCACCTGCTTGAGTTACAAAAGGAAGACATTTTACAGTATCTCATGGAATGTCTTGGAAAGTGTTCTTCCGAAAAGCAAAGTTTGGGCACTTTCATTAATGACAGATCCTTCCAACACCAGGAAAAACACTGCTTTTCTGTTGAAGAATATTCGAACACTAACAACTATGGCTCAGGTATTCTCTGGTCCTGTCAGAAATCAGGTTCTCAGTGAGGAGGCTTTCTTACCCTCTGCCACACGTAGCAGAAATCCAAACCACTCTGTATAAAGAACTTTCTTCCTTGTGCCATTTGTCATTTTTAAAGGCCGTTTATAGACTTAGATGTCTTTTTGGTCATTAACATTCCTAATAACTTTTTCTGAAGTGTTTCAACTGAAGTTGGAAAAAGGGGGAGATGTGAGGGCAGAAATTTTGTACTCTGTGTGTGTGTGTGTGTGTGTGTGTGCGCGCGTGCGCGCATTTGTGTATACATGTAACCTGACACTGTTTTTGGTCAGTTCTATAGCAGATACCAATGGATGAAGATTATGGAAAAGGGCTCCATGAAGTTTTTTTCATAATCATTGAAATTCCAACTACATGAGTTACTTTCCTGCCAAAATGAAGAGGTGAGTCAACAAAGTACTAAAATATTAAGGCTTATTTTTCAAAAAAATGTTTCATAAACCTAGTCAAAAACATTTCTCAGAAACATTTCTAGTCCCAGAAAAATGATTGCAAAAAAAGAATGTTTCTGGATTCAAGCAGAAGGAGTTTTTCTCCGAAATTTTAAGGTAGGATTAACTAGAGATCTGTTTAATTCATCATTCTATTTCAGTTGTAGGGTTTTCAGTGTCCAGTAAACTAGCCTGGGGAGATGCTAGAAATCCACATATATATGTTTTTCTTTTTTGTCTTGTGACCTACAAGAAATTTATATATATATAGTATATATATATCATATATGTGTATATATGATATATATACACATATATGATATATATATACATATATATCATATATGTATATATGATATATATATACATGTATATATGATATATATATACATGTATATATATATACATATATATACGTGTGTGTGTGTGTGTGTGTATATATATATATATATTTTTTTTTTTTTTTTTTTTCAGAGTCTCACTCTGTCACCCAGGCTGGAGTGCAGTGGCATGATCTCGGCTCACTGCAACCTCTGCCTCCTGGGCTCAAGTGATCCTCCTGCCTCAGCCTCCCAAGTAGCTGGGACCACAGATGCATGCCACCATGCCCAGCTAAGTTTTGGTACTTTTGGTAGAGACAGGGTTTCACCATGTTGCCCAGGCTGGTCTCCAACTCCTGAGCTCAAGCAAACTGCCTGCCTCAACCTCACGAAGTGCTGGGATTACAGGCATGAGCCATAGCGCCCAGCAAACATATATATACATATATATATATATATATATTTTTTTTGAGATGGATTTTCACTCTGCTGCCCAGGCTGGAGTGCAGTGGCATGATCTCAGCTCACTGCAGCCTCCACCTCCTGGGTTCAAGCAATTCTCCTGTCTCAGCCTCCTGAGTAGCTGGGACTACAGGCACCCACCACCACATCCGGCTAACTTTTTGTGTTTTTAATAGAGATGGGGTTTCACCATGTTGACCAGGCTGGTCTTGAACTCCTGACCTCAGGTGATCCACCCGCCTTGGCCTCCCAAAGTGCTGGGATTACAGGCGTGAGCCACCGTGCCTGGCCAGCAACATATATATATATTTTGTTTTGAGTCGGAGTCTCGCTCTGTAGCCCAGGCTGGAGTGCGATGGTGCGATCTCAGCTCACTGCAACCTCCACCTCCTGGGTTCAAGCAATTCTCCTGCCTCAGTGTCCTGAGTAGCTGGGATTACAGGCGCCCACCACCACGCCTGGCTAATTTTTGTATTTTTAGTAGAGCTTGGGGTTTCACCATATTGGCCAGGCTGGTCTTGAATTCCTGACCTCAAGTGATCCACCCACTTAGGCCTCCCAAAGTGCTGGGATTACAGGTGTGAGCCACTGCGCCTGGCCCAGCAACATATATTTTTAAATGGGCTGGGCACAGTGGCTCACGCCCGTAATCTCAACACTTTGAGAGGCTGCGGTGGTAGGACTGCTTGAGACCAGGAGTTGGAGACCAACCTGGGCAACAAAGTGAGACCTTTTCTCTACAAAAATATTAAAAAATTAGCTGGGTACGGCCAGGCACGGTGGCTCACGCCTGTAATCCTAGCACTTTGTGAGGCCGAGGCGGGTGGATTGCCTGAGCTCAGGAGTTCAAGACCAGCCTGGGCTACATGGTGAAACCCTGTCTCTACTAAAATACAAAAAATTAGCCAGGCATGGTGGTGTGCGCCTGTAATCCCAGCTACTCAGGAAGCTGAGACAGGAGAATCGCTTGAACCTGGGAGGGGGAGGTTACAGTGAGCCGAGATTGCACCACTGCACTCCAACCTGGGTGACAGAGTGAGACTCCCTCAAAGAAAATTAGCTGGGTATGGTGGTGTGTGCCTGTAGTCCTAGCTATTTGGGAGGCTGAGGTGGGAGGACTGCTTGAGCCCAGGAGTTTGAGGCTGCAGTGAGCTATGATCACACCACTGCACTCCAGCCTAGGCAACAGAAAGAGACCCTGTCTCTAAAAAATGAAAATTAAAAGTTATACTGAAAATCAGAATAAAAAGTGGACATAGTCAAGTAAAAAACAAAAAAAAACATTTTTGTCTTTGGGAAAAGGGAGGCTCAAAATGACTCCAAAATAGGATGACAGGTGACAAAATTCACTGTCAGCAGGAAAATCCCTAGAACCTGGCTAGGAGGTTGACTATAATATACATTTAGATAAACAGGGAAAAAATATGTATCTTTAACAGATTATTCAAATACTTATTCACTAAAGAATAGGTATTTATGAATAACATTATAAATGAATAAAATCCGTATTGGCCAAACTTCTGTTAAAATGAAACTTCAAAATTAGTTTATACAGCTTCAATTCTGAAAGGGTTTGGTGCAAAAAGTAGGATGAATTCAATGAGAAAAGCATTACAAGTATTCAGTTTGTCCCAAGTTAACTATATTCAATTGAATTTAACTTCTCCTTAAGCCATGAAGTGTGTAAAGGACATTCAAGCATTAGCCCTTAAATTCAAGTAGAGGATTTACTATGTTATTTTCTCAGCACTGACAGTAATGGGAACACCCCTGAACCAAATACAGATAGAAAACAAGAACCTCATCCTCCAGATCTAAGAAAGAATGCTTACGGGAGTCATCTTCGGCAGGGGTGGAACGGACTGCCAGGCTATTCTCATTTGCAGAAATCTACAAAAAAAAAAAAAAAAAAAAAGTTAGAGGGGGATTAAGAGTCATATTAAAAATAAAAGAGCAAACTGCTGTTAATGCCATAAAAACCTGCTGACTCCAGTCAGTCACTGGCTGCCTAGGGGAAATAACGGGCACCAGAACAGCTGAGCATTTGAACAAGAGGCAGCAAAATGTCTTTTATGAGGATATTAACATGCCTCTCAATTACAGAGTAACCCGAGAAACAGACTGCACTCAACTGCCAAAAGTGTGCATCATCTCCCTTTATAAAACAACTTCTAAACCATATTTTTCTGCTCTCAAAAAACAAAGCAAAACAAAGCCCTCTATCAAGGAGAGCAAAGCTCCTCACCGTATAACCATAACCCACTCCAAGGAAAGATAAAGTATTTAAATATAGGAACCATTCTTATTTTTTAATTTTCCTAATTCTTATTTCCCAACCAACTACATCCTGCTGAAACGAGCTTGCCTATATAGAAGACCTTTTGACAGTTATAAAACAAATTTACCTAAAACTAACCTCAGTATTATCTTTGAGGACAGTTTCCCTTCTAATCCCAGTCTCAAAATGGCAATGTTTAAAAAGATGGCAGATCTTACGTATAGGTGTATATATCATTTTCTCAAAAGCCATCAAATTTAAATAAAAGAACTCTCTATTAGAGCTCTCCCTCCTTTCTACTGGCCCCCATGCCTTCCTGGTATCTTACTCCACATCCAAAATCATGAAGAGTCAACAGGTGACCCAATGTGCACTCTTCACATAATTTCCTTTTATTCAGATGCCACGGATTTTATGGGCAATGCTGAGTGTTTATATCAGGATGTCTGACAAACTGAATAGATTTACAATGAAGATTAAGCTGCTGGCTGACTGCACCTGAATTTCAGCGTGGTTATTTTTTCCACTACTCTCTTCATTACAGGAATTCTGACATGGCATAAAATAAACCGGTACAATCACAGCCAGCATTTACTGGGTGTTTACTATGTGCCAGGTATTCAACTAATCGCCTTACAAATGCACTATTTTATCTAATGATATGAAATAAATTTTCTGAAAGTTGTGCATGCCTACAAAAAGCTCTTCAGTTCTTGAGAATTAGTAGGTACCTCCATCCCAGGATGTTCTTCTCTCACCTTTAATTTGGTCACCTTGAACCTGTGAGGTAATCTTTGCTTTTTTTTTTTTTTTTTGAATGGAGTCTTGCTCTGTTGCAAGGCTGGAATCCAATGGTGCGATCTCAGCTCACTGCAACCTCTGCCTCCTGGGTTTAAGTGATTCTCCTGCCTCAGCCTCCCGAGTAGCTGGGATTACAGGTGCCCATTATCACACCCGGCTAATTTTTGTATTTTTAGTAGAGCAGGGTTTCACCATGTTGGCCAGGATGGTCTCAGACTCCTGACCTCAGGTAATCTGCCCACCTTGGCCTCCCAAAGTGCTAGGATTACAGGCGTGAGCCACCTCGCCAGGCACATGTCCTTTTTTTTTTTTTAACAAGCTGAAGTTCAAATAACACTTAGGTATTGGTTAACAAAAGCTAGGCAAACAGCCAAAAGGATAGCTAAGGGTCTGAAAAACATTGCGAATTTTAAGGCAGCTGAGGGTTTGTAAACCTGCAGCATGTGCTTGAAGAATATGTATTGTCTTTATCTCCTTTCTTCCCCACCCACTTCATGATTCACAGTCGCACTAATGTCCTTTTAGGCTATAATTAAAATGTTCTAATCTTCCAGTTCAGTTCAGAGTTCCAGTTTCAAATCAGCATGAAGACAATGACGAAGGAAACATGAATTTAGATACAGGGACAATTCAAGCATTATTTCCCAAATGACTGTTTCCCAAACTATGCTCCTGGGATAAAGATGGGGATATTTCAATGCTGGGAATATTTTTCTCTTAAAATTTCTTTCTTTCTTTTTTTTTTTTAACAGTATATAAGAAAAACTTCAAAAATATTTAGTCAGTTATTCTTAAGAAATAATCTCCCATTTAAAAGATGAGAAAACAAGACAGTTTAACAAGATAACTCACTTAATACATGGCATGTGCCTCATGGGCTAATGCCTGAGTCCACTGCTGCAAGGATGTTTGCAATTTATGGGGGATTATATGACCATGTAACACATGACTGCCAAGTATTTTGTCTTGTTATTCCAACATACATTTGTGATGTTTTTATAAAATAAACTATTCTAATATTTTTTTCTGTTCTGGTCTTTGAATCAAATTTTGTAGCCATCAGTTTGAGACCATTTTTCTGTGGGTCTGCTTTGATCCAAGAGTAGTATATCTCATGAGTTCCTGTTAGTATTCTGACAATATACCATCCTACTTTGTAAAGTCTGTTGTAGTCAAATAAGTTTGAGACAGGGTGCAGTGGTTCACACCTGTACTTCCAGTACTTTGGGAGGCTGAGGCTGAGGGGATTGCTTGAAGCCAGAAGTTTGAGACCATTCTGAGAATTATAGCGAGACCCTGTCTATACAAAAAATAAAGATAAAAATAAATTAGCCAGATGTGGTGGTGCACACCTGTAGTCCCAGCCACTTGGGAGGCTGAGGCAGGAAGATCACTTGAGCCCAAGAGTTGGAGGCTACAGTGAGCTATGATCACACTACTACACTCCAGCCTGGGTGACAGAGCAAGACCTCATCTCTAAAAAAATTTAAAAAATACAAATTCCAACTAAGCTTGAGAACTGTTGCTCTTAATCCATTTAATGATCTCCATGTCTTTTGGAAGAATGGCGTCAAGGGTGTCAATAAGTGTAACAGAAGCAATGGCTTTTCTCCTAAGATTAAATCACTGTAATAGATTTGAAAACCCTTTCTCCTCATCTCATTTAACATTCGATTATCATATTGACTGAAAGACTAAAAGAATTGGACAATGGGCAATGGTAGAGAACATGATAATTCCCCTGACATAAATAATGTTACTTATTTCAATTAAGCCATTCATCTAATGATTAATACATAACACACAAATATGATTTGCTTAAAATCTTTCAGTGGCTTTCTCCTGCTGCACCACTACATCCAAACCCTTAAGGGTGACATAAAGATTTACCCTAGCCCTCTCCTTCCACCTGTCTCTCACTGCTGCCTATGTGTACCTCATGCTCCAGCCAAGTCAGCAAACCTGTAATTCTGGCCAAGCACGGTGGCTTACAGCTGTAATCCCTCACTTTGGGAGGCCAAGGCGGGTGGATCACGTGAGGTCAGGAGTTCAAGACCAGCCTGGCCAACATGGTGAAACCCCATCTCTACTAAAAATACAAACAATTAGCCAGGCATGGTGGCACGTACCCGGAATCACAGTTACTTGGGAGGCTGCGGCAGGAGAATTGCTTGAACCTGGGAGATGGAGGTTGTAGTGAGCTGAGATCACGCCACTGCACTCCAGCCTGGGTGACAGAGCGAGACTCCATCTCCAAACAAACAAACAATCCCTGTAATTCCTCAGCCATCATCTCTGGTTTCCAAATCTCTGTTGTATCTGCCTGGAATAGCCTTCTATTTCTAACTCAACCTTCCCCTCATTCACTTGGCCTACTTCCACACGTTCTTCAAGACTCAGCTCAGACATCACCTTCTTGAGGAAGTCAGGTTAAATATCTTTGCTCTGGGCTTCTGTGGTCCTGTATACCCCTCTCACAGCCTCACAGCACCTATCATACATTTTTATGATAGCTGACCTCTTATTAATCTCTCCTCTACTCTGTTTTCTTGCACATAAAGACCACATGGAATGGTTTGTCAATAAGTTTTTAAGCTTATTATTTCCTATGCTTACTTAGCATAGTGACTGCCTTTCAAAATAATATGAGTGGAAGAGTAAGATTTTCTTGCACAAAATGTGTTAAATGTATACTTAAATTAAGAATATATGAGTATCTGAAGATAATCTCTAATCAAATATATTTTTATTTTATTTTTGTAAATTATTCTTCCCAGGAGCATGGAATCAAGTTGCCCTGAATCTATGCTCTCCCAAATAGATTTTTTTTTTTTGAGATGGAGTTTCGCTCTTGTTGCTTAGGCTGGAGTGCAGTGGTGTGACCTCAGCCCACTGCAACATCCGCCTCCTGGGTTCAAGCGATTCAACTGTCTCAGCCTCCTGAGTATCTGGGATTACAGGCATGCACCACCATGCCCGGCTAATTTTTTGTATTTTTATTAGAGACGGGGTTTCTCCATGTTGGTCAGGCTTGTCTCGAACTCTCGACCTCAGATGATCTGCCTGCCTTGGCCTCCCAAAGTGCTGGGATTACAGGCGTGAGCCACCACACTCGGCCCGAATAGATTTTTATTTTATTTATTTATTTTTGAGACAGAGTCTTGCTCTGTCGCCCAGGCTGGAGTGCAGTGCACTCAGCTCACTGCAACCTCCACCTCCTGGGATCAAGCGATTCTCCTGCCACAGCCTCCCGAGCAGCTGGGATTACAGGCATGCACCCCCACACCCGGCTTTTTATATTTTTAGTAGAGATGGGGTTTCACCCTGTGGGCTAGGCTGGTCTCGAACTCCTGACCTCAGGTGATCCACCTGCCTCACCCTCCCAAAGTGCTGGGATTACAGGCGTGAGCCACTGTGCCCAGCCTCCAAATAGATTTTAAAAAATCACTTCAGCTCTTTGCCTTCTGAGCATCTGCTGAGCAAAATAATTTTCCAATGAAGGCTCATTATTTGGTCAGCTATAAGTTGCAGAGCTACTCAACTGAAATTATGTGACCTGCAAAAATGGCAATCTGTCCTGGCAGCTGTTACCAAATTCCCAGACACTCTACAGCCTAGAGTTAGAGTTGTTTCTAATTTCAAGCATCTAATTTAGAACACATGCTTCCTTGGCAACTGGACATCAGACTTTTCAACCTACCTTTTCCCCTTCCTGATGGGTGATGCAGACCTCAGGACCTGGGGGCACATTCTCCTTTTGCTCCATTTTATGAATTTTGATTTCGCCACCACTGGCTTTCAGCTCATTCTACAAAATAAAAATAACTGTAAAAATTTTTTTAAAGTCCCATCATTCTGTTCTCTTCATAGCACATCTATTAGATAAACTTGGAATGTTAAAAAATTCTTCTAAGAAGCCTCGGGTCAAATCAACCCCCTAACTCTCACAAGCAAAACCCACTGACTAGTGAAATGACAAAAGCAGCTTTGTGGACACATACCTCAGAGTTAAATATCTGTATGCTAGTGTAAAACTGGATTGCTCATTAGAATACAGACACATCAACACAGGCACACAGAACACCCCAAGCATACAACATTCTTGTGATTCACTCTTCTAGCAGCAGAGCTTGTGGTAATGCAAAGCTTGTGAGTTTTATCAGAAAAGACCATTCTGGAGCAGGGGAAAGGAGATGCCAAGTGCCAATAATAGAAAATATACTGACCATACATATATAAATGCCCGGCCTGGAAAGAGAGACAGGGATGATGTATACATATAAAAACTGAAATTATATTTAATGATACCATAAAGAAACCTTTTTGGTGGGACTTTCAAAAAGCATGTTTTTCCATATACAATTCATATATTGTACTAAAGACATAATTTATTTTACTTCTCAAAACAGAGCCTCAACATAAAAGAACATGCATTTTATTGTCATAAGGAATAAGGATAATTGCATTTTTTTCCTTGCAAAGGACACTGGGGTGAATATTACAATTAACTCATCTATTACATCTAAAATCAACATAGAACCTGGGTGCAGTGGCTCACGCCTGTAATCCCAGCACTTTGGGAAGCTGAGGCGGGTGGATCGCCTGAGGTCAGGAGTTCAAGACCAGCCTGGCGAACATGGTGAAATCCTGTCTCTACTAAAAATACAAAAAATTAGCCACGTGTGGTGGTGCACACTTGTAATCCCAGTTACTTGGGAGGCTGAGGCAGGAGAATCGCTTGAATCAGGGAGGCAGAGGTTGCAGTGAGCCGAGATCACGCCACTGCACTCCAGCCTGGGGAACAAGAGTGAAACTCCATCTCAAAATAAAAAAATAAAATAAAATAAAATAAACATAGAGGTCGATGACTATAGACATTTCCCACCATTAGTCTGCTAATAATGTAGTAATCTAGTACTTTTCTGTTCTCTGTGAATCTTTAGGCATGGGAGGAAACAATTTATGGCCACCAGGTCAATGAAAGGAATGTGAGTATGACTTAGTCACCTAGTGATGGTATTCTAGATTACGACCCACAGCACCGGAGGTGCATCTGTGAGGAGGAGCTGGCAGCTAGCACTGCAGAACATTATATAGCCCAACAACTCATTCCTGACCCCATCTCAAAGCCCCACCTCCAGAACTGCTGCCAGAGAGTATGTATGTGCCTTGTTACAACCATATTCTGTAAGGGGCCTGGGAAATTCTTTGGGGATGAGACAAAATGTACTTTTTACAAGAATTCCCAAAGAGTTTTCAACTCTTAAAATCTCCAGAGCAGGAGAACTGTAATGCAGAAATGGTTAGGAGTTAAAAAAAAAAAGTTACTCAACAGGTTTCCCCACATAGGGAGTCACCTGGTGGGAATGTTTACAGCAGGAGGGCACTGAGAAGCAGTAAAATCTGGTAACAAGAGGAAGTTCAGCTTCGCAGATCCCAATTTGCTGTATCTCCTGACCTGCCTTCTAAGGGAAGTCTAAATTTGCTCGCTTTTCACATTCACGGTGCATAATCAGCCTGTGATACTCCACTTTGCTAATTGATTTACACACATCATCTCTTCTTAAAACATAAAGTTGTTAAAATTACAGTTAAAAAACCAAGATGAAATTATTCATTGCCCAGAGAATTAGTCCACCAAATATTATTAGAGAATGTATACTTAATAATGTGGGGAAGAGAAGGCTTAACTCCCAGAATACTCATTATGGTTTCCAATATGCACCAATTTCGATCTGCCTAAGAACAAATAAAATTCAATATTGTTCTTTTTGATTTTGTTAGACAATTAGGACATCAAGAGATTAATGGTTTGTAATTTGAAATCTTAGAACAAATGCTTGAAGGATACAAAAATATGTGTGTGTACATTTGTATCTATGTGTGTGTATACATATATATGTGAATAAATGGCATTTGAAAGGTAACTTCCTTTTTTTTTTTTTTTTTTTGAGATGGAGTCTCACCCTGTCACCCAGGCTGGAGTACAGTGGTGTGATCTCAGCTCACTGTAACCTCCATCTCCTAGGTTCAAGTGATTCTCCTGCCTCAGCCTCCCTAGTAGCTGGGATTACAGGTGTGTGCCACTACACCTGGCTAATTTTTTTTTTGTATTTTTAGTAGAGACGGGATTTCACCATGTTGGCCAGGCTGGTTCTGAACTCCTGACTTCAAATGACCCACCCACCTCAGGCTCCCAAAGTGTTGGGATTACGGTGTGAGCTCCTGCGCCTGGCTATAAGGTAACTTCAATTTAGCAGTTCTGTAGCATCAGCTTACCCGTTAAGCACAGGACAACGTAAAGGGGAAGGACCCTCCATTGTATTTTGAATACCAATCTTTTTTTTTTTTCCTGGAGACGGAGTCTTGCTGTGTCGCCCAGGCTGGAGTGTAGTGGCGCAATCTTGCCTCACTGCAACCTCTGCCTCCTGGGTTCCAGCGATTCTCCTGCCTCAGCCTCCCAAGTAGCTGGGATTACAGGTGCCTGCCACCATGCTGGCTAATTTTTGTATTTTTAGTAGAGATGGGGTTTCACCACGTTAGCCAAGCTGGTCTTGAACTCCTGACCTCAGGCAATCTGCCCACCTCGGCCTCCCAAAGTGCTGGGATTACAGGTGTGAGCCATCACACCCAGCTGAATATCAAAATTTTCATGCTTACTGAGCACGTCACCTTCTTGTGATCTCTCCCTTTTCCTTATCTACTATTCTACTTCTTTAGGAAAACAGTACATCGTAAGGATTAAAGATTAAGTAGAAGATCTACTGTATGACTCCTTCATATGAAATTTCCAAAATAGGCAGATACATAAAGACAGGAAGTAGCTAAGTGGTTGCCAGGGGATGAGAGCAGGGGAAGTTGGGAGTGACTACACAGGTATGAAGTTTCTTTTCAGGGTGATGGAAAGGTTCTGGAATTAAACAGTGGTAATGGTTGTACAACCTTGTGAATATGCTAAGTATCACAAGATTGTATACTTTAAAATGGTGATTTTATATTATGTGAGTTATATCTCAGTAAAAAATCACAAAAAAAACCCTCGTTAATGAACACAGCTGATATTTCTCTCCAGTCTTCTTCTTTCTTCCCTCAAAAGCCAAAATAAGCTCTTCAGTCTTCTTCCTTCTTCCCTCAACAACCAAGATAAAATAAGAGTTATATTAAAACTAATAAAATACTACTTCTTTAACAACACAAAGATTAAGTAGAAGAGCCAGGGAAACTCTCAATGATACTCACTGGTAACATCACAAAAAAAGTGAGTGGGGTGGGAACCAGGACTAAGAAAGCAAAGTCAGGATTAGACCATGGTAAGAACTGCAAATCCAGCGAGGGTAGGGTTCATGTGAAAAGAGAACAGCTAGGGGACCAGGGCTCAGATACAAGGGTCTGGTGACATTTCCTAATTCCAGTACTCAGTGACCATCTGCTGGATGATGGAATGAATGAATGAATGAATGATGCAGAACACATACTGTATAGTTGGTTGAGCTGCTTTGTTTGGACACAGCTGCCTGGTACTTGGCCATTCGATCCTTTATAGAGGTTTCTGAGAGGCGTGGAAGTTCCAGATTTCGTCTACTCTCATTTTTCTCCGAGTCAAATGTAGAAGATGACAACTGACCTGGAAGCATCCAAATAACATGTTTTATTTTATTTCTGAGATGGGGTCTCACTCTATCACCCAGGCTGAAGTGCAGTGGCACGATCATAGCTCACTACAGCCTCGAACTCCTGAGCTCAAGATATCCTCCCGCCTCAGCCTCCCAAAGCGCTGGAATTATAGGTGTAAACCACCGTGACTGGCCAACATGTTTTATTAGAAGATAAAAGTGATTCAAATAATTTCAAAATTCTAAATTTTGGGTTATTTTTATCTAATGGCCAATATCTTCTGTTAAAAGCACGAAGAAGAAAATCAGGAATATAATTGTCATTTATAAAGTAATATTCACTCACTTTCTTAGCATTAAAAGAACCTTACCATAATTGAGGATTGCATATTTTATTTTTTGAGACAGGGTCTCACTCTGTCACCCAGGCTAGAGTATGGGGCAGTGGTACAATCATAGCTCACTGCAGCTTTGAAGTCTTGGGCTCAAATGATCCAACCACCTCAGTTTCCCAAGTAGCAGTGACTTCAAGGATGCACCACCACGCTGGGCTTTTTTTTTTTTTTTCTGTAGAGATAGGTCTATGTTGCCCAGGCTGGTCTCAAACTCCTGGATTTAAGTGGTCCTCCTGTCTCAGCCTCCCTAAGTGCTGAGATTATAGGTCTGAGCCACCATGCCTGGGCTCGTATTTTAAAATTCTGGCTAATTTAACATGAAAAAGAAGAGATCTCAATGCTTTTTAATTTACATTTCTTTGATGACTAGGTAGCTGATGTTTTCCTGTTTTTACTAATTTTTTCTTTTGTGAAGTGCCTGTATATGTCCCCTTTAAAACATAATTCCACTCTCAAAGTGTTATGTTATCACTGGTAATACAGGGTAACCAAACCTGATAGGGGACACAGCCCATCTACTGAAGCCCTCAAACCCCAGATGACTGGAGGCAAAACTGATCGTAGCACTTTACTTATAGCTCCTCAAAGTACCCTTTGCTTACCATAGGTTACCACTAACAAGGGTGGATTAAAAATATGAAAAAAGCAGCCGGGCATGACGGCTCATGCCTGTAATCCCAGCACTTTGGGAGCACGTCAACTTCCGTCTCAAAAAAAAAAAAAAAAAAAAAGCTATTTATCGAGAGCAATGAGATTTGAGAATGGCTTGCATCTAATAGGCAGACTTCCTTTTAATTTGTGCCACTCTTCCTTTAAAAGCATTGGCTTCGAGTCCAAAAGATGTTACTACTAGTGAGTACTTCCTAAAGGACCTCATACACATGGAACTCTCTGCTTACCTGGGCCTATTTCCAGGTCATCTAGAGAATAGCTGTTTTCAGAGATCTTCCTTCCACTTGCACTTCGGCTTTGGGCCCGGAGAATCTGGAAAACGAAACCCAACGATAAGTTTTGCAGAAACAATGGGAAATCTTGACGCAAGGTTCAACTTGCAAACCTTCTTTATAAATAAAATCCAGATTTGATTTTATATTTTATATTCTATAGAATTTTTTTTAAATTACAAATATCAAGCACTACACATTCACAGGTGCCCAGGGAAAAATAAGTAACCCTATATAGGTAATATTCTCTGCTAAAGATGGCTTCCTAACCAGCAAGCTTTGTAACACTTATTGGAGGGGAATCCTCACATACCAGATGACAATGACATGTCCTTCTAAACTGCCAAGTGCTGATGCAGAATCTGCTGTTTCCTTTCTCCGTCTCATGTTATTTCTGCTATTGCTGCCTTAGTTCATGTCTTCATCATCTTTCCCCTGGACTACTGCATTATACCTCTTTAACTGGTTCTTCATTATCTTCCAATCCAGTCTCTATGATGCTACCATTATCCCCAATAATACAAAGTAATTATCCAAAAATATAAATCTATTTTACCCTCCTTTTCAAAATTCTTTCAGCATTCCTACTCATTCCTGAAATTAAACTCGAAGTGCTTAGTAAGTCACAGAAGTCCTGTTCTAGATCTGGTCCCTACCGAGCCAGCCTCCTTTGTCCTTCTGTTGCCTTACAAATGCCTGTTCCTTCAAAGACTCAGTGTAAGCACTATGAAGTCTGAGTACCTTGCCAACATAAATTTAGGTAATCTTTCCTCTGTTCTCAAGGTACCTGGTCAAACTGTTGGGTGACTGTCCCTCTACTGCACTGTAAGCTCACTAAGGGCAGAGACCATGCCTTTTTGTCCATATATTTCCAGGACTTACAGAAAAGTGGATGACACAGATTTTTTTTTTTTGAGACAGAGTCTCACTCCGTCACCCAGGCTGGAGTATAGTGATGTGATCTTGGCTCACTGCAGCCTCCGCCTCCCAGGTTCAAGTGATTCTCCTGCCTCAGCCTCCTGAGTAGCTGGGATTACAGGCGCCTGCCACCATGCTCAGCTAATTTTTATATTTTTAGTAGAGACAGGGTTTCACCATGTTGGCCAGGCTGGTCTCGAACTCCTGACCTCAGGTGATCCGCCCACCTCGGCCTCCCAAAGTGCTGTGATTACAAGCTTGAGCCACTGCGCCTGGCCAACAAAGATTTTTTTTAATGAAGTGTTTTGTGATTCCATTAAATTACTACATTTATCTCTGTCATATCTAAGGTAGATCTTTAATGAAAGTTACAAATTATAATTTTTAAGACTGTAGTGTCAAAGAATATTCCCAGACATAGTACACAGGGAGTATGTCATGTTTATTCAGCTTATAATGAGATCCTTACATCAGATCCTATCATTCAAATCTCAGTTTATTTCCAGACAACTTGAGGTTAAAAAAGATATCTGAAATCCAGTATGACAGGAGATAAGAATAAAACACTTAGCACCCTTTTGAATTTAACATTAGTAAATAGTTACTAAATCTTTAAGTTCAATGGACTAATCAACTTTACTGTAAAGTTTGAGGAAGTGAGACTGGGCATGGTGGCTCACACCTGTAAAACCACCATTTTGGGAGGCCAAGGCGGGCAGATTGCTGGAGCTCAGGAATTTGAGACCAGACTGGGCAACATGGTGAGACCCTGTCTCTACTAAAAATACAAAAAATTAGCCAGGTGTGGTGACATGCACCTGCGGTCCCAGCTACTTGGGAGGCTGAGGTGGGAGGATTGCTTGAACCAGGGGGGCAGAGGTTGCAGGGAGCAGAGATCGCTCCACTGCACTCCAGCCTGAGAAACAGAGTGAGACCCTGTCTCAAAAAAAAAAAAAAAGAAAAGAAAGTGAACTATCACTTTTACATATTTTTTATACCCCCTCCTTGGAGACAGAAAACATACCACATCAGAAATCAGAGCCAAGGATTGGTCTGTTTATACCACACCAGTAAGAATAGTTTCTTTCAAATTCAATATATATTTAATATATCTCCCAAGGCTAGGCACAGTGGCTCAAGCTTATAATCCTAGCACTTTGGGAGGCTGAGACAGGTGGATCACTTGAGCCCAGGAGTTTGAGACCAGCTTGGGCAGCATGGCAAAACCTTGTCTCTACAAAAAAGATACAAAAGTTAGACTGGGCACGGTGGCTCACGCCTGTAATCCCAGCACTTTGGGAGGCCGAGGCAGAAGGATCACGAGGTCAGGAGTTCGAGACCAGCCTGACCAACATGGTGAAACCCCGTCTCTACTAAAAATGCAAAAAAATTAGCCAGGCGTGGTGGCCCGCACCTGTAATCCCAGCTACTCAGGAGGCTGAAGCAGGAGAATCGCTTGAACCCAGGAGGCGGAGGTTGCAGTGAGCAGAGATCAGGCCACTGCACTCCAGCCTGGGTGACAAAGCAAGACTCCGTCTCAAAAAAAACCAAAAGTTAGCTGGGCATTATGGCATGCGCCTGTAGTCCCAGGTACTCAGAAGGCTGCAGTAGGAAAATTGCTTGAGCCTGGGAGGTGTATGTTGCAGTGAGCCAAGATCATGCCACTGCACTCCAGCCTGGGCAACAGAGTGTGACCCTGTCTCAAAAGAAATAATAAAAATAAAAATATATTATATACATATTACATATGTGTGTGTGTGTATATATAATTTGTCTCCTTGCTGGGTTTGGTGGTTCATGCCTGTAATCCCAACACTTTGGGAGGCTGAGCCAGGAGGATCCTTTGAGCCTAGGAGTTCAAGACTAGCCTGGGCAACATAGGAAGACTCCATCTCTACAAAAAAGAATACAGTGAGCCGTGACCGCACTACTGCATTCCAGCCTGGGTGATGAGTAAGACCCTGCTCAAAAAGTAATAATAATAATTTATATCCAGTCAGCTTTGCAATTTATATTGTTGATTTAAGTCTATTTTTTCTTTCTTTCTTTTTTTTTTTTTTTTACAGTAGAGACAGGGTCTCACCACGTTGCCCAGGCTGGTCTCAAACTCTTGGGCTCAAGGAGCCTCGGCCTCCCAAGGTGCTGGGATTACAGGTGTGGGCCACTGCATCCGGCCTGATTGGGTCTATTTTTAATAAAAACTAAAACAAGCTGGAACAACACTATCCGTGCTACATCACACACAGGTCAGGCATACTTTCATGAATTATTATACATCCATATGACTCACACAGCTCAACATACTCTTGCTCTAGGAGCAGCCGCTATCTGAAAATGAAGTGGTTGGGTGCGGTGGCTCACACCTGTAATCCCAGCACTTTGGGAGGCCAAGGTGGGTGGATCTCTTGAGGTCAAGAGTTCGAGGCCAGCCTGGCCAACATTGTGAAACCCTGTCTCTACTAAATATACAAAAATTAGCTGGGGTGGCGGTGCGCACCTGTAATCTCAGCTACTCAGGAGGCTGAGGTTGAGAATCACTTGAACTTCAGAGATGGAGGTTGCAGTGAGCAGAAATTGTGCCACTGCTCTCCAGGCTAGGTGACAGAGCGAGACTCCATCTCAAAAAAAAAAAAAAAAAAAAGAAAAAAGATAATGAAGATCTTGGTCAAAAGGAAAAGATATGTCTGGCAGGATACCCTCAATCCACATTTTTAATTTTTATTTATTTATTTATTTTGAGACAGAGTCTTACTCTGTCACCCAGGCTGGAATACAGTGGTGTGATCTCAGCTCACTGCAACCCCCACCTCCTAAGCTCACACAATTCTCCTGTCTCAGCCTCCAGAGTAGCTGGGATTACAGGCGTCTGCTACCACACCTAATTATTTGAGTTTTTGGTAGAGTTGGGGTTTCACCATGTTGGTCAAGCTGGTCTGAAACTCCTGACCTCAAATGATCTGCCCTCCTTGGCCTCCCAAAGTGCTGGGATGACAGGCGTAAGCCACCGCGCCTGGCCCACCTTTTTATTTTGTTTTCAACATACTTCTTATTTGCTGATCATTAAAATAAAGAAAATTCCACATATTTATTCCAAATGCTGCTGCACTGGAAGATAACCACTACAAAAATTAGAATTTTCAAAACTCAAAATGGGAGAAAGCCTACTGATAAACTTCTTTTGAAAAACCAAAAGGGGCCGGGTGCAGTGGCTCACACCTGTAATCCTAGCACTTTGGGAGGCCGAGGCAGGTGGATCACTTGAGGTCAGGAGTTTGAGACCAGCCTCGCCCACATGGCGAAACCCCATCTCTACTAAAAATACAAAAATTAGCTGAGCATGGTGGCACGTGCCTGTAATCCTAGCTACTGGGGAGGCTGAGGCAGGAGAATCGCTTGAACCAGGGAGGTGGAGGTTGCAGTGGGCCAAGATTACTGCACTCCAGCCTGGGCAACAGAGCAAGACCCCATTTCCAAAAAAAAAAAAAAAAAGAAAAAAAGAAAAGAACAACCAAAAGGAAACGGGTTCTGTGTTCTTAATACAGATATTTGCTTTCTGTCAAAGTTCAAGCACAATTCCAAGAATATGTGTTACATGTTACAACCTGCAGAGAGCTGTTTTCTGTCTAGTTGGAGCTACACATCCTTCTCTGTCTTGTGTGAAGTCCCTGCACTGCTGTTATTGGGAGCATAATCATTTAGAACCAGAGCATACACCTTGCCAGGGCAGAGGCTTTCTTTGGTTTTAAACGCATAAAATTTCCCATCTTTGTTAGCTTTTAATTTAAACTGCTGGGTTAATTAAATAAGGCCCCCTTACCTTTTTTTTGAAGCCTTTTGCTCCATGGGGGTATCAAAACTCTGCATTAATTTATTTCAAGTACTAAAAAAGTACATGAACAAAGCCATTTGGTCTCAGAGAAAAATAGGAAGAGAACTGTCTCTGAAAAATCCCTCATACAGACTGTGGCTCTGAGGAGAAACACAGCTGTGAGGTAAGATGGGTTTTCATGATATCGCAGGTTCAGTGAAGCACAGCATTACTTTCAATATATTTCACCTTTAAACCACTCAAACATTAAGAATAACAAGGCTTGGCTGGGCATGGTGGCTCATGCCTGTAATCCCAGCACTTTGGGAGGCCAAGGCAGGTGGATTACCTGAGGTCAGGAGTTCAAGACCAACCTGGCCAACCTGGTGAAACCCCATCTCTACTAAAAATACAAAAAATTAGCCAGGCATGGTGGTGGACACCTGTAATCCCAGCTACTTGGGAGGCTGAGGCAGGAGAATCACTTGAACCTGGGAGGCAGAGGTTGCAGCGAGCCAAGATCACGCCATTGCACTCCAGCCTGGGCAACAAGAGCGAAACTCCGCCCCACCCCCCCAAAAAAAAAAAAAAAAAAGAATAACAACAAGGCTGGGCGTGGTAGCTCACGCCTGTAATCCAGCACTTTGGGAGGCAGAGGCAGGAGGGTTGCTTGAGGCCAGGAGTTTGAGATCAGCCTGGGCAACATGGTGAGACCCTGTCTCTGCTTTAAAAAAAAAAAAAAAAAATTAGCCAGGCATAGTGGTGATGCCTGCAGTCCCAGCTACTCCGGAGGCTGAAGTGGGATGATTGAGTCCAGGAAGTCGAGGCTGTAGTGACCTATGATTGTGCCCCGGCACTCCAGCCTGGACGATATAACAAGGCCCTGTCTCAAAAGCAAGCAAACAAACAAACAAACAAAAATGATCTCAAATGCATTTAAGATGAGTTTTATGATCCACATTTTCCAAGTGGTAATCTGAGGTACAGGAAGAAGGAGGGGTTTCCTCCAATATTTCTCAAGGAAGTAAAGGAACACAAAACACACACACACACACACACGAATTCTGATACCAAAATACTCTTCTGTAACAGACTTTTATCACATTTTAGCTCTTTTTACTCAGACACTTGAGGGAGCCTTAATCATTCTAATGTCAAGGAAAGAGAATAGACAAGATACTTTTAAGACTTTCTGGAATTTCCTGAGGCCTGGCCTCACCCACCCTGAAGTCCTCCTTCCTGTCAGCTGACAATAACTCTTGTTAGTATGAACATCCCTTAAATATTCTCTGTGAATCCATAAATCAAACGCACCAAGATGTACTAGTAAGAGGATAAAAGTTTTAGACAGTAGTCTGTAGAATTTTTTTCTGTATTTTTTAAAACAGAAATAAAGTAAGTTAGGTTCTAAATAAGTAACAAAGCAGGATTTCCTGTCTTTTCTACACCTATCTTCAGAAAAAATTATCTTTAAAAGCTGATTCTCAACACTTTAATTTACTGAGAGTCCCCTGCCTCACTTAGCCACTTCCTTCAACCTTTCAACTTCAGCTTCCTTTGGACGCTGTCATCTCACCAAAGTCAAGGGCAGAGGAAGGTTGGCTTTTAGGGAAAAATGGAGCTTTGCTGAACTATGCATGGAAATCGGGGCATAGATAAAACCTAGCCTTGATTTATTAAAGTATTGAGAGAAAAATTTCTTTCTTCAGGGACTCTCTTAGAAAGAGAGTTAATGTAAGTAAAATAATACACATAGAAAGAGATTTATCTCCAGGTGGTAGGATTTCTCTACATTTTTTGTATTCCCAAGCATTCTACAAATACTTTGTGTTAGTCTTACAATTAGGAAAAGAAAAAAAAAAGAAAGGATAACAAGTCATATCTATTAATTTAAGTAGACAAAAATGGTAAAACCAAATGCTAATGCTTTGGGGAATGTGTCCTTATATTGTACTAGTGGTGTTATAATCTTGAGAACAAGCTGAAAATATATAAGAATAAACAATAAATCATACCTTTTGATGTAAGAACAATGTTTAATGAATTATATCTTTTTAATTTTATTTTTTATTTTTTTTGAGACAAAGTCTTGCTCTGTCGCCCAGGATGGAGTGCAGTGGTATGATCTCAGCTCACTGCAACCTCTGCCTCCCAGGTTCAGGCAATTCTCTTGCCTCAGGCTTCTGAGTAGCTGGGATTTCAGGCGCATGTCACCACGCCAGGCTAATTTTTGTATTTTTAATAGAGATGGGGTTTTGCCATGTTGGCCAGGCTGGTCTCGAACTCCTGACCTCAAGTGCTGGGATTACAAGTGTGCCTTGTGCCTTGGCCTCCCAAAGTGCTGGGATTACAAGTGTGAGCCACCACGCCAGGTCCCAAACTCACAAGCTTCTAACTCCAGTGCTTTCATTCATATCTCTTGCATTCCAATGTATTCCTTCTGTTCACTGTCCTGATGCTTTTCAATTAGTTAAGCATAAACTGTGGGAAGACAGAGTTAAAGTCTTTGAGAACATAGCTGTTTTTATGTTTTCAATTTTTGCCAGTTTCCTTAGATTTCAAAGATATGTAGGGCCCATTGTTTCTATCCAATAAATAGTTATTATATCCATGAAGATAGTGTTATATGGTAGAAGGGGTACTACCCAATTTCAATCCTGTTCTGATATTAATTAGCCACATGCCATGGGGCATATCAATTAACTTCTCTGACCTCATCTAATCGCATCTGTAAAATTGGGATTGTAAAGTTCTAACTGACTGAGGGCAGTGAGCTGGATTAAATAACTTCTTAAACTCTCTTAAGGTTCTAGGATCTATATGTCAACAATTTTGATAGCGATTTCTCACTCATTGTAACTCACTGATGAGTTAGAATGAGTTAGAAGGCTAGAGGAAATGACTTGTAAATATATTCATCTGGATACACACCTGTGTTGTCTAATTTAGGAATGAGCCCACTAGCAGGAAGACAAAGGTAGTAATATTTGTACTGGGGGGAGATGAAGTCTTTCTAGCCCCCTTGAAGTCTAATATAGCCAACATTGCTTAAAGAATATTCCAGTCCCCTGACATTGCTTGTTGATATGTTTTACTATAATGAAACTGGTTAAAAACCAGTACATAGTTAGTGGACATGAAAGTAAGCAGAGAAGAAGAGATGAGTGGTCTCTAGCTGGCACATCAAGGACAGTCATTTAGGGCAAGGAACAGTTAAAAAGATTGGAATTCTTTGACTGCATCTTTACCCTGGATCAATTATTATCTTACCACACACACACACACACACACACACACGAGATTACTCAGAGTTATTAAGAGTAAATAAAAAATTTATGCTGATATGTAGTCTTTACAAGAAATGTACCACTATAAATAGATGTCAGTCAAAATAATGCTGAGGATAGCCTTATTTACATTTTTGAAATGACAAGAGAAGCTACAAACTATAGGTGAATATGCTAAATCAGCAAAAAGTTAGTTTTACCAAGATATGTAAGAAAGTGCATTGATAGAAAAACAAAGACAATTCTTGTGTACAATTAACAATAACATGCAAAACCAATTATCCACATTTAAAGCACTAGCAATGTATCTATTGAAGATTAAATGTTAGGTCAAGGTAAAAGTGAAGATTCACTGACAGGCAAATTAAAGATATACTCCCCTACATTGAGATGACTGTATAGACTCCACATTGATGTTAATAGTTATTCAAATACCTTTCCTCCCCAAACTTACTTTAAAATTTTAACTTAAAACCATGCAATTTGGCTGGGCGCAGTGGCTCACACCTATAATCCCAGCATTTTGGGAGGCCAAGGTGGGGGGATCACAAGGTCAGGAGTTCAAGACCAGCCTGACCCACACGGTGAAACCCAGTCTCTACTAAAAACACAAAAATTAGCTGGTGTGGTGGCATGCGCCTGTAATCTCAGCCACTCAGGAGGCTGAGGGAGGAGAATCACTTGAACCCGGGAGGTGGAGGTTGCAGTGAGCTGGGATTGTGCCACTGCACTCCAGCCTGGGCGACAGAGCAAACAAACAAACAAACAAAACTATGCAATTAATACAATTATGAACATCCTCAGAATTGTATTCTTCTTGGGATATAATTCTAAATAAGACATATTCAGAAAGCAGAAGAAAATTTTTTATCTTAACGTTAAGTAGATAAAGGAACACATACAATTATTAACTAAGAGGAAGATAAGATGTTATGAATAATTTCTGCAACAATCTGGGCATTCCCTATGGACACCTACCCATTCATCAAGAAGGCCTATATAAATTATTTCTTTGATGCAGATTACAGATTGGCTATGAATAAGTACCTGATGAACAGAGATCATCACACTTTAGCTTGGTTGCCTTACTCTCTAAAGACTCATTCTACTACATCAGCGCATATACACTCTTATGTACGAGTGTTATGCAAAACTAAACAAAATACCAAGTGTCACTTCCAGGAACTTACAAGAAGAAAAACCACAAAGATGTTGGAACAAGTGAAGTTTTTGTTGGCATTTTGATGCTATCTATACATATCATGATCCTGGTGCTAATAAGAACTGAAATTCAGAGGGAAGCTGAAGGGCTGGGAGTCTACGGGGAGAGGTCACAAACAAGAGAAAAGGGTGATGAGTCAAAGGAAACTTCCTTTGTTATTTTATATATGTCTATTTTACCTGAATATATTGCTTTATTTATTTTATTTATTTATTTATTTTTCTTTGAGGCAGTCTCGCTCTGTCGCCCAGGCTGGAGTGCAGTGGCGCAATCTCGGCTCACTGCAAGCTCCGCCTCCCGGGTTCACGCCATTCTCCTGCCTCAGCCTTCCGAGTAGCTGGGACTACAGGCGCCCGCCACCACGCCCGGCTAATTTTTTTTTTGTATTTTTAGTAGAGATGGGGTTTCACCGTGTTATCCAGGATGGTCTTGATCTCCTGACCTCGTGATCCGCCTGCCTCGGCCTCCCAAAGTGCTGGGATTACAGGCGCGAGCCACCGCGCCCGGCCTGCTTTATTTTTATAATATAAAATCCCAGCACTTTGGAAGGCCGAGGTGGGTGGATCACTTGAGGCTGGGAGTTCGAGACCAGCCTGGCCAACATGGCAAAACCCCGTCTCTACTAAAAATACAAAAATTAGCCGGACTTCGTGGTGCACACTTGTAATCCCAGCTACTCAGGAGGCTGAGGCAGAGAATTGCTTGAACCTGGGAGGCTGCAGTGAGCTGAGATGGTGCCACTGCACTCCAGCCTGGGCAACAGAGCGAGGCTGTCTCAAAAAAAAAAAAAGGCAACATGACAATAACTAAACATGGGTCATAACTAGTTGGTCAGTTATCTTTTTCATAAAAGGCTGTCCTGAATGGTTATCTTGGCCACCTAAAATCCAGATTAATACATATAAGGAATTAGGAATGCTAAACCACACTCACTAAGTGTCACCGTGGCATTTCTTTTCTTTTCTTTTCGAGAGAAGTTTTGCTCTTGCTGCCCAGGCTGGGATGCAATGGTGTCATCTCAGCTCACTGCAAACTCTGCCTTCTGGGTTCAAGTGATTCTTCTGCCACAGCCTCTTGAGCAGCTGGGATTACAGACATGCACCACCATCTCCAGCTAATTTTTGTATTTTTAGTAGAGATGGGGTTTCTCCATGTTGGTCAGGCTGGTCTCAAACTCTCGACCTCAGGTGATCCACCTGCCTTGGCCTCCCAAAGTGCTGGAATTACAGGCGTGAGCCACTGCTCCCAGCCCACTGTGGCATTTCTTTTGACGATAGGTTACATTAATCCATATACCACTCATTCACTCATAGGAAGTAGAACCATCACATTCAGGCTGGGCGCGGTAGCACTTTGGGAGGCTGAGGTGGGCAGATCACCTGAGGTCAGGAGTTCAAGACCAGCCTATCCAACATAGTGAAACCCCATCTCTACTAAAAATACAAAAAAAGTTAGCCGGGAATGGCAGCGGACACCTGTAATCCCAGCTACTCGGGGGCTAAGGCAGGAGAATTGCTTGAACCTAGGAGACAGAGGTTGCAGTGAGCCAAGATTGTGCCACTGCACCCCATCCTGGGCAATAGAATGAGACTCTGTTTCAAAAATAAATAAATAAAACCATCATATTCAGCTAAACCACCTGACCTAAATAACCTATCTATTCATCAAATGTAGAGAATAACTGAGAAATAGGCTTTAATCAATTTTCATTATTTGGAAGGCAGCTATGCTTACCACTATACCACCAATGCCACCTTCCTTTTATTAAATAAATACTATGAACTAAGTTATTGACCACTAGGGTATAAAAACATCCTTACTTTTCTTCTTGAATTTATAAAAATAAGTTTTTATTTTTGCCTTATCTAGTAGCAAACATAAAACTATCCTGACTTAAAAAGCCAACATTGTTCTTTCTCCTATTTTTTCCTTGGATCACAAGTTCATATACAGTCAAGCAAGCACCCCAAAAATCCCAGAATTGAAAACAGGTGTATTCCCTTCAGAAAAATCAAAGCTAGAATGTTTAGCTATTAAAGTGTTTCTCTCCAGACTGAGATCAAGTGACTTCACTGCAGTGGCTCAAGAGTGGCTGACTCCCTCCTTCCAAATCAGCCCATCATAGAACACCTATTGCTAAATAGCAAAAGCCAGAGGCTTAGACTGGATCCCTCATAATTGGAGACTTCAAAGTGTTCAGAACTTCAAGCCTGGCCTTTGAAGTAAAATCTTTTTTTTTTTTTTAAGTACAATTGCAATTTTTTTATTTTTCTCCAGAGGCTAGTTTTTCTTCAGTCCTTAAGAACTCTGCTCCTTATATGGGCTTCGGTGGCAGTCATGGGGCAGCACCGCAGGTCTACAGTGGGGTGGAGGTGTTCGGTCCTTGCGGGCTTCATGACCTTGATTTCTGGCGGTCGTGGGGCAGCACCCGCAGGTCTACAGTGGGGGGAAGGTGTTCGATCCTTGTGGGCTTCATGACCTTGATTCCTGACTACCGTGCTGTGAATGGCACAACTCACACAGTAATGTAGCTTCACATCCAGCCTGGGAAGTACACAGGCATCTAGGACGCTCACTTCAGAAATATCGCTGACTGCCGCAGCCTCTACATTTCAAGCATTTCAAGTGATGAATTTCTTTTCTTTTTTTTTTTTTTTTTTTGAGACGGAGTCTCACTCTTGCCCAGGCTGGAGTGCAGTGGCGTGATCTCGGCTCACTGCAAGCTCTGCCTCCCGGGTTCACGCCATTCTCCTGCCTCAGCCTCCCGAGTAGCTGGGACTACAGGCGCCCGCCACCACGCCCAACTAATTTTTTTGTGTTTTTAGTAGAGACAGGGTTTCACCGTGTTAGCCAGGATGGTCTCAATCTCCTGACTTCGTGATCCGCCCGCCTCAGCCTCCCAAAGTGCTGGGATTACAGGCGTGAGCCACCGCGCCCGGCCTATGATGAATTTCTTAATAAGCCTTGTCATTGGGCACACAATGGGCACAGTTTATGCAGCAAATTGGCTGCAGTGAATAGCGTACACCTGGTTGCGGCCCTCTTTGGTGTGACCATTGTTTCTTCTTTTCTTTGTCATCTTGGAGGTACAGGCCCAAGAAAGATGAAGTAAAAATCTTAATTTGAGGGTGACTAAATGAGTGCTTCAAGACCACTTACCCCAAATCCACATTCTGCAAGACAGTTCAAGAAAAAAGGCAAAGTAGCCGTCTACCTCAAGGCTATGGGCTCCACAGTACTTAGCACAGCTGTACCCAAATGTAAACACTTCCCATGGCGTGCTTCTTCCCTGTCTCCCAGGTTAGTCACAATGATGCCAAGGTGCTCTGTCATTGACATTCTCATCCTTTAAGAATTTCAGGCTGGGTGTGGTGGCTCATGCCTGTAATTTCACCAGCTTGGGAGGCCAAGGCAGGAGGATCACTTGAGCCCAGGAGTTTAAGAACAGTCTGGGCAACATAGCGAAACGCTGTCTCCATAAAAAATTTTAAAAATTAGCTGAGAGTGGTGGTACACACCTGTGGCCCCAGCTATTTGGGAGGCTGAGGCAGAGGGGTCAAGGCTGCAGTGAGCCATAACTGTACCACTGTACTCCTCCAGCCTGGGCAACAGAGTTAAGACCCTATCTCCATAAAAAAAAAAAAAACAAAAACAAAAAAAAAACGCATTTCAAACAATAACAGCAGTTTAATTCTTCCTTTGGAATCTAGGTAAAACTGGTCTTCTCTATAAAGTCTACTATGTTCTGGTCTCATTTCAAAAAGTATAAACACACTGAAGTTAAAACGTGAAATATTAAGAATAAAAGATTCAAAAAGTAGCAGTTGGGGGATGAGTATTCCAAGGTTTGAGTATAAGATTGGCTGTGAGACTATACAGGTAGGTTGAGCTCAGACTATAGAATACCTGACAGAACTGTTAAAAATAATCTAGACTGAGACTGGGCGTGGTGGCTCATGCCTGTAATCCCAGCTCTTTGGGAGGCTTGAGGCAGGCAGATCACCTGAGGTCAGGAGTTCAAGACCAGCCTGACCAATATGATGAAACTCCGTCTCTACTAAACATACAAAAATTAGCTGGGCGTGGTGGCGGGCGCCTATAATCCCAGCTATTTGGGAGGCTGAGGCAGGAGAATTACTTGAACCTGGGAGATGGAGGTTGCAGTGAGCCGAGATCGCACCAATACACTCCAGCCTGAGTAACAGTGAGAGATTCTGTCTCAAAAATAAATAAATAAATAAATAAATATAATCTAGACTGTTTTCAGTATGGACAATGATGCTTATTTACAAACAGCAATAAAACCAAGGGTGGCTGTGTTTTCCACTCCCTAAGCAGTCCATTAAGTGACAAATCAGGAAATTAAAAATGGCACACACAAAAAGCAATGAAACCTAGAAGCCCAGGTGAATCTTATGTCTCTTCCATCTTCTTGTTTTTAAGGGACAGGGATCTTACTGTGTTGCCCAGGCTGGAGTGCAGTGGCGATCATGGCTCACTGCAACCTCAAACTCTCATGCTCAAGCAATCTTCTGCCTCAGCCTCCTAAGTAGCTGGGACTATCAATGCATACTACCACACCTGGCTAATTTTTAAATTTTTAGTAGAGACGAGGTCTGGCTATGTTGCCCAGGCTGGTCTCAAACTCCTGGGCACAAGCAATCCTCCTGCCTTGGGCCTCCCTAAATTCTCATTACAGATGTAAGCCACCGTGCCCAGCCTCTTCCATCTTCCTATACCTTTAGCAATCAATCTGGTGGCCCAGTGCTATCAGCCATCTAGTAGGATCTTTATTTTTATTTTTATATATTTTTTGAGACAGAGTCTCACTCTGTTGCCCAGGCTGGAGTGCAGTGGCATGATCTCGGCTCACTGCATCCTCCACCTCCCAGGTTCAAGTGATTCTCCTGCCTCAGCCTCCCAAGTAGCTGTGACTACCAGCAACGCCACCATGCCTGGCTAATTTTTGTATTTTTAGTGGAGACGGGGTTTCACCATGTTGGCCAGGCTGGTCTCGAACTCCTGGCCACAAGTGATCCCCCAACCTCTGCCTCCCAAAATGCTGGGATTACAGGCTTGAGCCACCACGCCCGGACTAGTAAGATCTTATATGGAAAGTTTTTCTCCTCTCCAAGCAGCCTTAGGGAGATAGGCTTGTTCTGACCCATATCTCACTAGATATTTATGAGAAAAAGTGTCTCACCATATCCTTACACATAATCAGCATTTTTGTCTGCTACAGTCCCAGTCATTTCCTACCTTTGGCCAGTTTCAACATGCAGCAGCCTTTTGCACTGAATCTACATTGTGTGTACTGGCATGACATCAGCTGTCCTGTTCCTAGCAGGGTCTGGGAGGAGGAGACTTACAATGGTGCTTTGAGTCACAACAAAACCCCTTCCTCTCTATTTAGGATTTCTGACATTTTTTCCTTCCACTTAAAATTCTTCTTCCCATTTAAATAAAACAAATTTTTAAATTAAAACCATAAAGGGGAAAGAAGGAGTTGGCAGGACTAAAGGTCTAAAAACTTGAGAGGGAAGAGAGTTAAGAAACGTTATAAAACTGCTTTGTGGTTACATCTCTTGCCAACTGGTTTCACTGTTAAAGTAGAGCTAAAGCTCATGCACAGAGAAGTGTTGTAGCTTTACACATCGTCAAAAACTCGCACAACTTCAAACATGACCCGCAAACATTCAAGAACTTTTCTAATTCTAAGTAGAAAAGTGACTGGCACTGCAAGTCATGGGAAGGGATTGACAATATCACATCTAATATAACTGAAGACTACAGGATGAGTTATTTTTTATCTCAGAAAGAATGCTTAATATTATTATATTACTTTCCAAACATAGGGACTTGGGCCAAATATTTAGCTTAAAAAAAATCCAGCTTTCCCATCTAGGTGGAATCTAGAGTAACAGATGGTTTTGCTCCCCATCAGGTCTGTTTATTTCATTATAACGACTGTTGTAACGAACCATCCCCATGTACAAAGCCAGATATATAGGAAAGTATGAGAAAACTGGAAAAATTTACCAGCTCTGTGGCCTCTGGATTGTGTTATAAATCACCAGCATATGTAACTCATTTTCTAGTTAAGTAATTCCCTCTGGGGACGAGGTCTGCAATCCACATGAAGGATCAAATTTCATTAGCAGTTGTAGGAAAACGCAACCCTGTGCATTTGCAAGTCAAAACTCCCGAAAGCTATAGCTAGTCTGGCTATCTTCATTGATTTTGCCTGAGAGAGGATTTTAGCTGATAGAAAACATTTGTTGGAAGGCACAGATGAGGAAGTTGAGAAGAAGAGAAGGGATTCAGCTAGCAGAGACAAGTAAGCCTCAGTCTTAATGTTAAACTCCGGCCTTAACACTCAGTCTGCAGCTGTGTCCAAGCAGAGAGCTATTCAGCAGTAATTCCACCCCCAAAGCTACAAATGATAAAGAACACAGGAAGACAATTTAAAAGGGCAAGTGTACAAAAACACATAATCCAATCGGTATTAAACTCTCTTCATTTCTAGATACCAATTTGAATCCCAGTGTGAACCTGATTTAACATGAAATTGTGTCAGAGACTCACAAATCTTAGCATCTATGTAAATAATGCATTTGAGACTATTAACTTATCTAACTGGAATCAAAAGACATACTGACCACATATTCGCCTCTACTCAAAATAGCTAGATTGGAAAAACAGCTTTGTTTAGTGCTTGAATTGGCTTTCTCAAGTTTCAAACCCGCCCAATTCTTACCTTAGTTTGAGTTGGTTCACCTTTCTCAAACATCATCTTAAGCCTGTTCAGCGGAACATTATATTTCTCTATTTTGCCCGAAGCATCTGTGTTTTCACTGATTTCTGATTTTTCTACTTCATGCCTGGATTCTCCTAGACAATTTTCCATTTTTTTACTTTCTGTTGAGTGGTCTTTAAGATCCTCACCGTCCTTGATGTGGGGATATCGACCCTGAACGAGGGCTTCAGGAGGTGACCTGAGTCTAGATCTGGGGTGGATTTGTTCTTCTTGGTCAGCTTTGGCTCCAGAAGCAGCGTGGCTTGTCACTTCAGCAGGAGGATGGTCTGCTCTGTGCCTAATCTCAGTGCTGCTGTTCCGTAGAGAGTCTGTGTGAGACTCTGCTCCCAGCCCTGGGTTCTCCCACTTCTTCTTTAACACAGTCAGGGTCCCCTTTCTAAAGTGCTGGGAGAGATTTTCGGTGTTCTAGAAGAACAAGAAGTAGATGCCAGTTATAACTTGCCTGCTGAAACATTCAAACATGTTGTTCTTTGTAAAATGAAAGTTAAAACTCCAAGCTGCTCCTGGTCCACTGCTGTTTCAGACAGCTGTGAACAGTTACAGCCTTGCCACATGGAGAAAGCATCCACCCGGCAGAGGGAGAGGGAGAGGGGAAGAGAGAAAAACTCAGGAGCTGAAGCAGGAAGTGATAAAACAGGATGGCCTTATAAGGACAAAATGAGAAGAAAGGCAAACCCAGCTCTAATGATAGTTACATGCGAAACAAGAGATTTTTACCCAAAGATTAATGGGGAAAAAAACAAGAAAGAAAAAGCAAAATACAAGTGCTTGAAACACTGTAACTACACATCAGCAAAGTTCATCATTACCTGCCATAAAATAACATGGTAAATTCTGCTGGGTTTTTTTTTCTTCTTTTAAATAAGACAAAGATGCAGGATAGTTGCAGGATAGCTGAAACTATACCATTAATTACGGATAGTGGCAGCAAGGATTGAAACAATTTGTAGAACCCTGGAGAAGTCCCCAGACTTTCCAAGTATTTGCATAAATATTTAGTTATATCTGACATAATTTACATGCATATGAGCAGTCAAATTTTATTTTTCATAAGAATTTAATCTTTTTTTTTTCCCTGCTCTTCTCTACAAGTTTATCTGTGTATAAATTCTCACTTATCAGGGCCAGGCACGGTGGCTCACGCCTGTAATCCCAGCACTTTGGGAGGCCGAGGCCGGCGGATCACAAGGTCAGGAGTTTGAGACCAGCCAGACCAACATGGAGAAACCCTGTCTCTAAAAAAAATACAAAAATTAACTGGGTGCAGTGGTGCACACCCATAGTCCCAGCTACTCTGGAGGCTGAGGCAGGAGAATCGCTTGAACCTGGGAAGTGGAGGTTGCAGTGAGCCAAGACTGCGCCACTACACTCCAGCCTGGGTGACAAAGTGAGACGCCATCCCCCAACCAAAAAAAAAAAAAAAATTCTCAGTTATCAAGAAATTCACTGTTTTACAGATCCTCTGGTTGTAAAATATGCAGGCTTCAAATGCAAATACCACTACTTATCACTCAGATGATCAAAGGACACACATTTACATATCTAAGAGAGTTCACTTTCACTAGGGCCAAAAATGGAATTAATTTATACATGTAAGACAGACTGAAAACAACCTGGAAATTGTCACTGTTGTTCCATAATAGAGGAAACACGCTTGTTGAAAATTAAATGTCCCGGCTGGGCGCAGTGGCTCATGCCTGTAATCCCAGCACTTTGGGAGGCCGAGGCGGGTGGATCACCTGAGGTCAGGAGTTCGTGGCCAGCCCGGCCAACACCGTGAAACCACGTCTCTACTAAAAATACAAAAAATAGCTGGGCGTGGTGGCACGCGCCTGTAGTCCCAGCTACTCAGGAGGCTGAGGCAGAAAAATGGCTTGAACCTGGGAGGCGGAGGTTGCAGTGAGCCCAAATCGCGCCACTGCACTCCAGTCCGGGTGACAGAGTGAGACTCTGTCTCAAAAAAAAAAAGAAAAATTAAATTAAATTAAATGTCCCGTACTTTGAAAGGACTGTACTCCTAAATAAATTGAACAGCACCACCTTCCCAACAAACTGCAAACTCCAATACCTTCTCTCCTGTAGTCTGTGACTCACCAGTCTTTCAACTAAGAAAGAAAGGACAAACAACCTAGGAATTAAACAGGATTAGCAGCTATTTTGGGAATTAAGTCTCTCACCCTATTACTCTTCTGAATATACTCTTGAAAGCCACTTCATCAAGTAGAAATAAGGCTTGAAAAGAAATTATAGAACTGCTTGATTCTAGTGTTTAAATTTTAGCTTACAAAATGATCCATTGGGGGAAGAATGTATGCATCAGAGATATAAGAAGCTTAAAAAGTTTTCTTGCTGGAAAAGAAGGAATTACAGAACAGCTCCAGAAGCTGGTTCTACCCTAACTGCCAGCAGCACTCTTGGCTCTGTAAGGTCTCGTGCCACACAATGGATGAGTCATCTAGGTCTCTGACTTCACCTGCCCTTACTGTAACCACACAGGAGCCCTGACAATCAAAGTGGCACTTTGCCTTGGTAACTGGACACTGTTTTTCTCAGATACCTATCATGTGATCAAAGTATACTTATTGACATGAAAAGATGCTCATAGGATACTTTTGAATGAAGAAAGCAAATTATAAGACAGCATGATCCTATTTTAATTTTTTTTTAGAGACGGGGTCTCGCTCTGTCACCCAGGCTGAAATGCAGTGGTGTAATCATAGCTCACTGCAGCTGTTTGACTTCCTGGGCTCAAGTGATCCTCCCACCTCAGCCTCCTGAGTAGCTAGGACTACAGGTGTATGTCAGCATGCCTGGCATTTTTTTTTTTTTTTTTTTTTTTGAGACGGAGGTTCACTCTTGTTGCACAGGCTGGAGTGCAATGGCGTGATCTCGGCTCACTGCAACCTCGGCCTCCTGGATTCAAGCAATTCTCATGCCTCAGCCTCCTGAGTAGCTGGGATTACAGGCATGTGCCACCATACCTGGCTAATTTTGTATTTTTAGTAGAGACGGGGTTTCTCCATGTTGGTCAGGCTGGTCTCGAACTCCCAGCCTCAGGTGATCTGCCTGCCTCGGCCTCCCAAAGTGCTGGGATTATAGGCATGAGCCACTGCGCCTGGCCCCAACTGTCTCTTTAAAATGTTCATAACATTATCTTATTTTTAATTTATTATTTTTCTCAATTAAAAAAGTAATAACTTATTGGGGGAAAAACTCTCAATCAATATAGAAATATGTACCCGACATGAATAGATGCTGTAATACATGCCATTTTCCCTACTTGACTCCCCACCTCTCCCAACCTAGATACCCAGTCCTGACAGTTTATATGGTATATATGTTGTCTTTTTTTCTATTTTGTACACTATATGTATTTTTTTGTACAAAATCATACTGTACTTACTGTTCTACACTTTGCATTTAATCACCTAATGTGCTTTTGATATCTTTTCATGCCCATACATGAAATCTTCAATCTTTTTTTCTTTTTGAGACGGAGTCTCACTCTGTCACCCAGGCTAGAGTGTAGTGGCACGATCTTGGTTCACTGCAACCTCTGCCTCCCAGTTTCCAGCAGTTCTCTTGCCTCAGCCTCTCAAGTAGCTGGGCTTACAGGAACATACTACCATGCCGGCTAATTTTAGTGTTATTAGTAGAGACGGGGTTTCACCATGTTGGCCAGGCTGGTCCTGACCTCAGGTGATCTACCTGCCTTGGCCTCCCAAAGTGCTGGGATTATAGGTGTAAGCCACCATGCCTGGCCAAAATCTTAATAACCATATAGTATATTATACTGTATGTGCAATTACCATTCCCCCACTGATGAATATATGTATTGCTCAAAATTATTTGCCAACTGTTTAGATTACAATTTATATCTCATTATTAATTTACATTTATCTGATCATCAGTGAGGCTAAGCATGTTTTTACACTGTTACTTCTTTGTTATCTATTTTATTTATTTATTTACTTATTTATTTTTGAGACAGGTTCTTGCTCTATTGCCCATGCTAGAGTGCAGTGGCATGATCACGGCTCACTGCAGCCTTGACCTCCTGGGCTCAAGTGATCCTGCCACCTCTGCCTCCCAAGTATCTGGGACCGCAGGCCCATGCCACCACGCCCAGCTAAATTTTTAAAATTTTTATAGAGAGGGTTCTCACTATGTTGCCCAGGCTCAAACTCCCAGGCTCAAGTGATCCTCCCACCTCGGCCTCCCAAAGTGTGGGGATCACAGGTGTGAGCTACCATGCCCACCCTCTTCTTTAAATACCTATTCACGTCCACTTACCTCAACTGCTAAAAGCACTGGAGGCTTCTGCTTTATTTTATCTCACTATAGCATCTGACATTACTGACCACTCTCCCTGGTAAAAATTGCTTCCAACTTTTCTGTGATACCCCTTTTTCTTAGATTTCTTCCCATTTTGAGATGCAAGAAGGGTGTAGAAAAAAACAATAATGAAAAAAAGATTTCACTGGGCGCAGTGGCTCACACCTGTAGTCCTGGCACTTTGGGAGGCCGAGGCGGGCGGATCACAAGGTCAAGAGATTGAGACCATCCTGGCCAACATGGTGAAACCCTGTCTCTACTACAAATACAAAAATTAGGTGGGCGTGGTGGCGTGCGCCTGTAATCCTAGCTACTCGGGAGGCTGAGGCAGGAGAATCGCTTGAACCCGGGAGGCGGAGGTTGCAGTGAGCTGCGATCATGCCACTGCACTCCAGCCTGGCGAAAGAGCAAGATTCCATATGAAAAAAAAAAAAAAAGATTTCTTCTCATTTATCTGGCCACTACTCAGTTTCATAATTTAGTAATTCTTTTTCTTTTTTTTTTTTTTTTACAGGTTTCTCCTCCTCTGTCCCTCCCTTATATGGTGGGGTCCCTCAGGGTTTTTGTCTTAGGTCCTCTGCTTTGCTTACTTTACATATTCTCTGTATATGATGTTATTCATCCCGATTTCACCCACCATATAGATTATAGTATCAACAAATACATAGATAGATGTATACTGTGTATCTATATAGACAGAGTTATAGAACTTATCTCTAGATAGACATCTCTCCTTTTCTACCAATTCTACCTGGAAGTGCTAGAGGCATCTTAAACTCCTTCTTGATTAAGGTTGAAGTCTTCACTTTCTTTTTTCTTTTCTTTTTTTTTTTTTTTTTTTGAGATGGAGTCTTGCTCTGTCACCCAGGCTGGAGTGCAGTGGTGCAATCTTGGCTCACCACAGCCTCTGCCTCCTGGGTTCAAGCAATTCTCCTGCCTCAGTCTCCCGAGTAGCTGGGATTACAGGCGTGAGCCACCAAGCCCGGCTAATTTTTTGTATTTTTAGTAGAGATGGGGTTTCACCATGTTGGCTAAGCTGGTCTCGAACTCCTGACCTCAGGTGATCCACCCGCCTCAGCCGGGATTACAGATGTGAGCCACCGTGCCAGGCCCGAAGTCTTCCCTTTACTCCTCACTCTCTAACCTGTTTCTTTTCTTGAATTGTCTATCTTGGTGAATGCGACAACCATCTTTTCATCTGTCAAGTAGGCCTGTTCTCTTATGCCTTCATGCTGTGCGTGTGCTGCTTCCTCCATCTAGAATACAAAGATTCTGCCACTCCCTGTCGCCTCTGCTTAGCTAATTCCTCTTGGTCCTTTAGGGTTGAGTCAGGCACTGCCTCTTCTGGGAAGCCTTTCTAGATGTAGCACAGTTCAGATCCCTCCTAAATTCTCCCCCAGCCCACTCTGAGTATTTATTTGATATGGTAATTTTTTTTTTCTTTTTTTTTTTTTTGAGACGGAGTCTCGCTCTGTCACCCAGGCTGGAGTGTGGAGTGCAGTGGCGCGGTCTTGGCTCACTGCAAGCTCCGCCTCCTGGGTTCATGCCATTCTCCTGCCTCAGCCTCCCGAGTAGCTAGGACTACAGGCGCCCGCCACCGTGCCCGGCTAATTTTTGTATTTTTAGTAGAGACGGGGTTTCACCGTGTTAGCCAGGATGGTCTCGATCTCCTGACCTTGTGATCCGCCCGCCTCGGCCTCCCAAAGTGCTGGGATTACAGGCTTGAGCCACCGCGCCGGGCCTGATATGGTACTTATCACACCTGGGTTGTAATTCTATTTTCCAAATTCTAAACAGTCCCTTTGGAGGTAGAGAATACATCTTATTCTTCTTGTGTCTTCAGGAGCTGGAACATAAGAGATGCTCCACATATGATTGTCTATACTCGTGGGGTCAACTTCTCTTAACCCACTGTCTTGAACCTAGTCCAATTCAGGCCTCTATTCTACCACTCCCAAACAACACAAGATGACCAATGACCTTCATGTTGCCAAATCCGATGGTCAATTCTCAGCTTACCTGTGTGTTTGATTCTGTTAACTCCCCTTCTAGAAACACTTTCTTCACTCGGCTTCTGGCACTTGTTTCCTCTGCTGGTTACTCCTTATATCTCCAACCTTTAAACACCAAGGTGCCCCTGAGCTAAGTCATGAGACCACTTCTCTGTCTACACTCACTTCCTAGCTTATATCATGCACCTCATAGCTTTAAGTACCACTGACACTTTGACACATGTCCATTTTATCCGCAGCGGGGATCTCTTCCAATTCTAGATTTTTATATAGTATCCAAGTTCCTACTGACATTTCCATTTGGATGTCTTAATAAAACATGTTACAGTTTACATGTGCAAAACTGAGCTTCTACTATTTCTCCCTCTCTAATCTGCTTTTACTGTAGTCTTCCCCATCTCAATTAATGGTATTTTAATTTAATTGTGTTTGGGCCAAAAACATTGTTGCTATTCTTTTATTTTTTACTTTTTGTAATAGAGATGGGGTCTGCTATATTGCCCAGGCTGATCTTGAACTCCTGACCTCAAGTGATCCTTCTGCCTTGACCTCCCAAAGTTCTGGGATTACAGGCACAAGCCACTGTGGCAGAGCCACTGCTGCCATTCTTGATTCTTCTTTCTCTCTACATTCAACATACATCCTGACCACTTCTCAACACCTATACTGCTACTACTCTAGTCCAAACCATATTATACCTGGCCTAAATCATTATAATTGTCTCTTAATTGGTCTCCATGCTCCTGCCATTATTGTTCCTCTACATTCTCTTCCTTCTATTTTTTTACATTTAAAAAATAGAGATACAGGGTCTCACTAGGTTGCCCAGGCTAGTCTTGAACTCCTGGCCTCAAGCAATCCTCCCACCTCGGCCTCCTGCGATCCTCCCGCCTTGGCCTCCTAAAGTGCTGGGATTAGAGCCTTCTCTTCAGCCATAAAAAAGGATGAGTTCATGTCCTTTGCAGGGACATGGATGAAGCTGGAAACCATCATTCTCAGCAAACTATCGCAAGGACAAAAAACCAAACACCGCATGTTCTTACTCACAGGTGGGAATTGAACAATGAGAACACTTGGACACAGGAAGGGGAACATCACACACACGGGGGCCTGTTGTGGGGTGGGGAGAGCGGGGAGGGATAGCATTAGGAGATATACCTAATGTAAATGACGAGTTAATGGGTGCAGCACACCAACATGGCACATGTATACATATGTAACAAACCTGCATGTTGTGCACATGTACCCTAGAACTTAAAGTATAATAATAAAAAAAGAAAAAAAAATTTAAGTCAGACCACATCACTCCTTTGCATATAAACCCTCTCCAAAGGCCTCCTTGCATTCAGAGTTAAAGCCCAGGTCTTTACAATGACACCATTTGACCTTTCTCTTCTATTCCTCAAACACACCAAGACTGTTCTTGCCTGAGGACATCCGCACAAGCGGTTCCTTCTGCCTGACTCTTCTCCCTGGCTCATGTCTTCAAATCTCTGCTCAAACGTTTCCTCACCACAGGCCTTCATTGACCACCCTAGACTCTATCCTCCTTACCTGCCTCATGCTGTTCCACAGCACTAATCACTACTGACACAATTTCTTTTTTAAATTTTTTTATTTTTTTTGAGACGGGGTCTCACTCTGTCGCCCAGGCTGGAGTGCAGTGGTGCTATCTCGGCTTACTGCAATCTCTGCCTCCCGGGTTCAAGTGATTCTCCTGGCTCAGCCTCCAGAGTAGCTGGGACTACAGGCATGTGCCAACACACTCAGCTAATTTTTGTATTTTTAGTGGAGACAAGGTTTCACCATCTTGGCCAGGTTGGTCTCCCAACTCCTAACTTCAGGTGATCTGCCTGCCTCGGCCTCCCAAAGTGCTGGGATTATAGGCGTGAGCCACCGCGCCCAGCCATACTGACACAATTTCTTTATTGTCTGTCTTTTGCACTAGAATGTAAATTCCACGAGGGCTGGGATGTAGTCTGTGCTTGGCATGTAGTAGGTGCTCAGTGAAAACTTGTTAAATGGATGACAGTGAAGGGAAGGAAGAAAGAAAGGAGCAAGTTGGGGGAAAAACAGAGGCAAGAGGGAAGGAAGAAAAGAAACCAGCAGTTGAGTAAAGTAATGGTAGTTTTTTCTTTTTTTCTTTTTCTTTTTTTTTGAGACAGAGTCTCGCTCTGGCTGACTGCAGAGTCAAGCTGGAGTGCAGTTGCGTGATCTCGGCTCACTGCAAGCTCCGCCTCCCAGGTTCACGCCATTCTCCTGCCTCAGCCTCCCGAGTAGCTGGGACTACAGGCGCCCGCCACCACGCCCGGCTAATTTTTTTGTATTTTTAGTACAGACGGGGTTTCACCGTGTTAGCCAGGATGGTCTCGATCTCTTGACCTCGTGATCTGCCCGCCTCGGTCTCCCAAAGTGCTGGGATTACAGGCGTGAGCCACCGCACCCGGCCAGTTTTTTCTTATAATGCACCAGAGGAGACCCATTTTTTAATTACAGGAAAATGAAGCCAAGGACCTTAGCCTTAGAACAAATTTACAGGAACATATTATGCACTAATTTAAATAGGTTAGCTACTGAAAACTGCCAGGAGGATGTTTTTGTAATGCCATCCGAATTAAGGAATTATTGACCAAACATATGAGTTTTTTTCCTCACAAGATTAAATCAAGTAAAATTTCAAAAGACATGTATTATTCAGCCTCACCGGAAGTTAGCAAGCACGGAGACTAGAGAACGGGTAGAAGCAGAGAGTTTATTCTGGAGGTTTTTGTCTTTGGTAGATCCTGCAGCTAGGAAACTTGCTAACTAGATTGGGTCAAGAAGTTTGCTTTAAACAAAAAACCCAGAAGATGACAACAGCTGCACAGCTACTACCATTTAAATGCACAGATGTAGAAGTTCTGATTGTCTGATTTGGAAAAAAGGAAGACCACCTAGGAAACCCTGTGTTCTCATTTGAGTAGAAGCCATTTTACTAACCTCAGGCAAGCATTTGGCCTCTTGTCCTTCACTCAACACAGGAAAGAAAAAGTGGTTCAAAAGGAGAAAAGCAGTGAAAAAATAAGATTCCCTGCACTAAGCCAAGTTGTCCTGAGCAAATGGCTCAGAGATCACACCAGCTGGCACAAATGTCCACTCAGCTGACATAGAACCCAAGCCCCACAGAGGCTGCAGGTGGCTTGGCCACACAATTCTGCTCAAGAAGTGCCACATGCCCTGGAATTTCTGAATACTTACACTTCTCTTCTTCTCCATGTTTGTTTCTTCAGCTGCTTTCTGGTACCTTCAGAGAAGGGAAGGAAAGAATGTCTCAAATTAAACTTATATTTTTACTCTTTCAATTTTTTATCTTTTTTTGAGATGAAGTCTCACGCTTATTGCCCAGGCTGCAGTGCAGTGGTGCGATCTCGGCTCACTGCAACTTCTACCTCCCGGGTTCGAGTGATTCTCCTGTCTCAGCCTCCAGAACAGCTGGGATTACAGGCACCCACCACCATGCCCAGCTAATTTTTGTAGTTTTAGTAGAGATGGGGTTTTACCATGTTGGCCAGGCTGGTCTCGAACTCCTGACCTCAAGTGATCCACCTGCCTCGGCCTCCCAAAGTGAGTGCCCAGCTTTTTTTTTTTTTTTTTTTTTTTTGAGATAGGGTCTCACTCTGTTGCTCAGGCTGGAATCCAGTGGTACAACCATGGTTCATCATGGTTCACTGCAGCCTTGACCTCCCGGGCTCAAGCAAACCTCCTGTCTCAGCCTCCTGAGTGGCTGGGACTATGTAAGTGCACACCACCACACCTGGCTTAATTTTTTTATTTTTGTAGAGATGGGGTCTTGCCATGTTGCCTAGGCTGGTCTCAAACTCCTGAGCTAAAGTGATCCTCATGCTTCAGCCTCCTAAAGTATTGAGATTACAGGCATGAGCCACCAGCCCGGCTACTTTCTTTTTTCTTTTTTTTTTTTTTGAGATGGGATTTCCCTCTGTTACCCAGGCTGAAGTTCAGTAGCGTGATCTTGTCACACTGCAACCTCCGCCTCCAGGGCTCAAGTGATCCCACCACCTCATCCTCCTGAGTAGCTGGGACCACAGATGCACACCACCACACCTGGCTAATTTTGTATTTTTCGTAGAGACAGGGTTTCACCATGTTGACCAGGCCAGTCTCAAACTCCTGAGTTTAAGTGATCTGCTGGCCTCAGCCTCCCCAAATGCTGGGATTACAGGCATGAGCCACCAGGCCCAGCCCCCCAGCCACTTTTAATCTTTAAGAAAACCAGTTCTGGGCTGGGTGAAGTGGCTCATGCCTGTAATCCCAGCACTTCAGAGGCCGAGGTGGGTGGATCGCCTGAGGTCAGGAGTTCAAGACCAGCCTGGCCAGCATGGTGAAACCCCACCTCTACTAAAAATACAAAAATCAGCCAGGCATAGTGGCGCACACCTATAATCCCAGCTACTCGGGGGGCTGAGGGACGAGAATCGCCTCAACCCAGGAGGCGGAGGTTGCAGTGAGCTGAGATCACGCCACTGCACTCTAGCCTAGGTGACGGAGCGAGATTCAAAACAAACAAACCCAAAAAAACAGTCTGCATACCTATTTCTGCCAGCAGTTGCTTTTAATCAACTCTATCAGAAGAAGCTGTAAATCAGAGCAGACCTCACTTCCTGCAGCTATTCCAGTCATCTGCTCTGATATAACAACAAGATCCCCGTGGATAAGGTCAAATGCTGAAACAATTGGATAGAGCAGAAAGTCTAGGCTTTAAGCCCCAGTTTTGCTGCTTATTAACTGTGATCTCTGGCAAGTGACTTAATCTCTCTAAGCCTCAGTTTCCTTATCTAGAAAGAAGTTACAATCTACTTTCAGGATTGCCAGGAAGATTAAATGTAATCATGTGTAAAAACATTTTGAAATTAGTTAAGTCCATACAGCAATGCATTAATTCCAACATATACATTTCCCCTCCCATATTTATGCCTGATATCTTACAATTGTTCTCAGCCAAATGGTTGAGAGATAGTCACATTGCCTGTACATGTTGAATTTAGTGTAAGTTATTGATATTGTCATTTTAACTCAGTTAAAAGTATTTGATGGTACTACATGGTTTTGTTTTGTTTGAGACAGAGTTTCGCTCTTGTTGCCCAGGCTGGAGTGCAATGGCACAATCTCGGCTCACTGCAATCTCCGCCTCCCGGGTTCAAGCATTCTCCTACCCCAGCCTCTCAAGTAGCTAAGATTACAGGCATGTGCCACCATGCCCGGCTAATTTTTGTATTTTTTACTAAAGACAGGGTTTCACCATGTTGGCCAGGCTGGTGTTGAACTCTTGACCTCATGTGATCCACCTGCCTCAGCCTTCCAAAGTGCTGGGATTAAAGGCTTGAGCCACAGCACACAGCTATTATTATATGTTTTAAATGCCACTTAAAAATGTCTTTTAAAAGATCATACTATGTTTGGCATTTAAGGAAAAATTATTTTACATATGCACAAGAGTGATATGTGAGAAAAGTTTGTAATAAGCAGTGATTAGTTTAATCAGCATTTTTTCTTAGAGATGCAAAAATAGTGGCACAGCTATAGTTGATGACATCTTAGATTTCATAAATAATTATTTGTTATTACTTTTATCATTTTGTCATTTTTATTACTTGGATTGGAAGACCTCTGAGAAAAAAATTAAAGTTCTTTTCAAGGAGGAACAGGTTTTCTCCATTTAAAGACTAAGTGGTCCGGAGATTTGTGCAGGTACAAGCTGCACAAATCTCCAGACCACCCAGAACAACCTTTTTTTTTTTTTTTGAGACAGAGTCTTGCTCTGTTGCCCAGGCTGGAGTGCAGTGGCACGATCTCAGCTAGCTGCAACCTCCGCTTCCTGGGTTCAAGTGATTCTCATCCCTCGGCCTCCCAAGTAGCTGGGATTACAGGCATGCCCCACCACACCTGGCTAATTTTTGCATTTTTAGTAGAGACAGGGTTTCACCATGTTGGCCAGGCTTGTCTCGAACTCCTGGCCTCAAGAGATACGCCTGCTTTGGTCTCTCAAACTGCTGAGATTACAGGCATGAGCCACCATGCCTGGCCCTAGAACAACCTTAACCTGGCTTCCTCCAGACCTCTGAGTCATGCATTGAAGTCAGCACCACCACGTGGAGAATCACCATTATGTGCCTCTCCTTGGGCCTGCCTTAGCAGAACTCAGCCCCACCCCTAGAAAAGGGCACTGTCCTCTGCCTAAAGGTAGAATTTCAGAATTCATGAGGCATTTGGAGTAGGAGGTAAAAGAAGAAGAAAAAAAGCAGCCTCAGGCCTGGTGCAGTGGCTCACACCTGTAATCCCAGCACTTTGGGAGGCCGAGCTGGGCGGATCGCTTGAACCCAGGAGTTCGAGACCAGACTGCGCAACACAGTAAAACCCTGTCTCTACGAAAAATACAAAAATTAGCCAGGTGTGGTGCACGCCTGCAGTCCCAGCTACCGGGGAGGCTGAGATAGGAGGATTCCTTGAGCCAGGGAGGTTGAGGCTGCAGCGAGCTACGATCATGCCACTGTACTCTAGCCTGAGCTACAGAGTAAGACCCTGTAGCTTGCCTTGACCTCCAGGACTCAAGCAATTCTCCTACCTCAGCCTTGCAAGAAGCTGGGTCTAAAGACGTCTACCATCACACCCGACTAATTTAAAAAAATTTTTTTTAGTATAGGGTCACGCTATGTTGCCCAAGCTGGTCTCAAACTCCTGAGCTCAAGTGATCCTCCTGTCTCAGCCTTTCAAAGTGTTGAAATTACAGGCATGAGCCACCATGCCCAGCCAAGAAAGAGTATTACATAAAGGGTCTTCCAATCCTATCACTTTTTTTTTTTTTTTTTTTTTTTGAGAAGGAGTCCTGCTCAGTCTCCTAGGCTGGAGTATAGTGGTGTAATCTCGGCTCACTGCAACCTCTGTCTCCCGGGTTCAAGTGATTCTCCTGAGTAGCTGGGATTACAGGTGTGCACCGCTATGCCCGGCTAATTTTTGTTTTTTTACTAGAGACGGGTTTCACCAAGTTTGCCACGCTGGTCTCGAACTCCTGACCTCAAGTGATCCACCAGCCTTGGCCTCCCAAAGTGCTGGGATTACAGGTGTAAGCCACCGTGCCCAGCCCCCAATCCTATCACTGTCTAATTTTAATAATCAGATATTAACAAGCATCTCAGTCGCCATGTAGTACTGCTCTGCAATTGAGCAGAACTCTCTAATGGGGTAGGGTAAAAGGGCTACCAAAAATTTCTGGCACTTCGTTGACCATAACTAGGAAGAAAGTGGGATTAGAACTGCTGTGATTCAATTGACAAGCTGAAAATATATTTGCAACTTATATTACAGACAAAAAATTAATTTCCCTAGAATATAAATAACTACTAATAAGCAGGAAAATGACAACTGAATAAATAAAAAGGCAGATATAAACATACTGTTCACGGCTGGGTGCGGTGTCTCATGCCTGTGATCCCAGCACTTCGGGAGATGGAGGTGGGTGGATCACCTGAGGTCAGGAGTTGGAAACCAGCCCCGCCAACCTGGCAAAACCCTGTCTCTACTAAACATACAAAAATTAGCCAGGCATGGTGGTAGGCACCTGAAATTCCAGCTACTAGAGAGACTGAGGCACGAGAATCGCCTGAACCCGGGAGGTGGAGGTTGCAGTGAGCCGAGATTGCACCACTGCACTCTGGCCTGGGTGACAGAGCCAGACTCCATCTCAAAAAAAACAAAAACATACAGTTCACAAAAAGAACATCTCATGACTCTTAAACAGAAAAGATGTTCAACCTCAAAATGCAAATTCAAACAATGCTAACAACATTTTACCTATTAAGTAGGAAAATATTTTTTTTTCTTTTTTTTTTTTTTTGACATGGAGTCTCACTCTGTCGCCCAGGCTGGAGTGCAGTGGCGTGATCTCGGCTCACTGCAACGTCTGCCTCCCAGGTTCAAGTGATTCTCCTGCCTCAGCCTCCCAAGTAGCTGGGATTACAGGCACGCACCACCACACCCGGATAAGCTTTTTGTATTTTTAGTAGAGATGAGGTTTCACCATGTTGGCCAGACTGGTCTCCAACTCCTGACCTCAGGTGTCCGCCTGCCTCAGCCTCCCAAAGTGCTGGGATTACAGGCGTGAGCCACCGCACCCGGCCGGAAAAGATTTTCTTAAAAAGCTAATATGCAGGGGGTTCCCTTTCTCGGCTTGGAGTCCTTCTCCCTCTGTCTCTGTATGGGGAAGCTGCTTCTTCCGTCTTTCTTGCCTATTAAAGACTCTCTGCTCCTTAAAACCACACACACACACACACACACGCACACGCACACAGCTAATAAGCTAATATGCAGTTGGGTTGGGTAGCTCATGCTTGTAATCCCAGTAATCCCAGCGCTTTGGGAAGTGGAGGCGATAGGATTGCTTGAGGTCAGGAGTTCGAGGCTGCCGTGGGCTGTCATTGTACCACCGAACTTCTGTTTAAAACAAATAAACAAACAAAAAAGGCTAATATGGGACATTGGTGAGGGTATGGGGAAACAGGTTCTGTCTTACATTGCTGGTGGGAAGGTAAATTGGTAAAACCTTTATAGAAGGCATTTTGTCTATGCCTTCTTTAATATCTGCCAAAATTATAAAAGCACAAATGTTATAATTTACCAATTCTTTCTGCTCCCAGAATTTGTCCTATAGATACACTAAAAAAAGATTTTAATATTGGATTATTTATCATAGCATTAAATATAACAGCAAAAGACTGAGAACAACCTGAATGTCCGTTAGCAGAGGAGTGGTAAATTATAATGTATATGTATAATGAAATACTGTGCAGCAACAAAAGGACAAAGGGAAGGTGGTAGTGATTGTACAATAATATGAATGTACTTAATGCCACTGAACTGTGTTCTTAAAAGTGGTTGGCCAGGTGCAGTGGCTCACGCCTGTAATCCCAGCACTTTGGGAGGCCAAGGCGGGCGGATCTCCTGAGGTCAGGAGTTTAAGGCCAGCCTGGCCAACATGGTGAAACCCCATCTCTACTAAAAATATAAAGATTAGCTGGGCATGGTGGCTCATGCCTGTAGTCCCAGCAACTCGAGCGGCTGAGGCACGAGAATCCTTTGAATCTGGGAGGTGGAGGTTGCAGTAAGCTGAGATCACACCACCGCACTCCAGCCTGGGCAACAGAGTGAGACTCGGTCTCAAAAAAAAAAGAAAAAAAGTGGTTAAAATGGTAAATTTTATGTTATATACTGTGTATTTTACCACAGTTAAAACAAAACAGTATGATACTGGCATAAAGACAGATATACAGACCAATGGAACAGAACACACAGCCCAGAAATAAACCCTTACATGTATGGTCAGATAATTTTTTGACAAGGGTGCCAAGACCATCCAGTGGGGAAAGGAAAATCTTTTCAACAAATGGTGCTAGGAAAACTGGATAGCCACATGCAAAAAAATGAAATTGGACTACCATATACAAAAATTAAGTCAAATGGATCAAAGACCTAACTATAAGAGCTGAAACTATAAAACTCTTGGTTGAAACATATGGGAAAAGTCTCATGACACTGGATTTGGCAATGATTTTTTGAAATTTATTTTTTGTCGTTTTTCTTTCTTATTCTTGTTTTTCTTATTTTTTCATCTTATTTTAATTTTTTATTATCTTTTGATCATCTCATCATTACAAGATTTGGTAATGCCTTATTGGAATACAACACCAAAAGCACAGGCACAAAAGAAAAAACAAACTAGACTTCAGTAAAATTAAAAACTTTTCTGAGGCTTGGCATGGTGGCTCACACCTGTAATCTCAGCACTTTGGGAGGCCAAGGTGGGCGGATCATGTGAGGTCAGGAGTTCAAGACCAGCCTGGCCAACATGACGAAACCTTGTCTCTACTAAAAATACAAAAATTAGCCAGGTGTGGTGGTGGGCACCTATAATCCCCGCTACTTGGGAGGCTGAGGCTGGTGAATCATTTGAACCCAGGAGGTGGAGATTGCAGTGAGCCGAGATTGCGCCACTGCACTCCAGCCCTGGCGACAAAGCAAGACTCTGTCTCAAAAAAAACAAAACAAAACAAACAAAAAAAGACAAAAAAAACTTTTGCGCATCAAAGAACACTATCAACAAGCCGGGTGCAGTGGCTCATGACTGTAATCCCAGCACTTTGGCAGGCCGAGGCAGGTGGATCACTTGAGGTCAGTCAAGACTGGCCAACATGGTAAAACCCCGTCTCTACTAAAAATATAAAAATTAGCTGGGTGTGGTGGTGGGTACCTGTAATCCCAGCTATTGAGGAGGCTGAGGCAGGAGAATCGCTTGAACCTGGTAGGTGGAGGTTGCAGTGAGCTGAGATTGCACCACTGCACTCCAGCCTGGGCGACAGAGCGAGGCTCTGTCTCACGAAGAAAAAAAAAATCATGAAGAAAAAAAAAAAGAACATTATCAACAAAGTGAAAAGTTCCCATGGAGTGGGAGAAAATATTTGCAACTCATATTTGAGTTTTAAGTAACAAAAATGAGATAATGTGATACATACTATTCTGCTTCTCCCTTTCTCCATTTCAGAGAGAAATTCAGAGAAGCTGACATTTTCATTCGAGAAATACTTATTGCTGTCTACTATGTTCCAAGCACTAGAGAAAAAGTAACGAAAGAAATAACCAAAACAGACATAATATCTGCTCTCCGATGCTTACAATTTAGACACTAAAAACAGAAGCACACAAATATACATACACATACACACACACAGAGTGGTAAGTCCTTTGAAAAAAAAGAACAGGGTATTATTAAATAACAAAGGAACACAATTGAGAAAGGAAGAGGAAATCAAGGAAAGCCTCACTTATATTAATTAGCCTGATTTGATAATTCTACAATGTATTCATGTATTAAAACATCACATTGGCTGGATGTGGTAGTTCATGCCTGTAATCCCAGCACTTTGGGAGGCTGAGTCGAGTAGATCACTTGAGGCCAGGAGTTAAGACTGGCCTGGGCAACATGGAGAAACCTCGTCTCTATTAAAAAGACAAAAATTAGCCACCAGGCACGTTGGTGCACACCTGTAGTTTCAGCTACTCGGAGACTGAGGTGGGAGGATCGCTTGAACCTGGGAAGAGGAAGTTGCAGTGAGCCAAGATAGCACCACCACACTCCAGCCTGGGTGATAAAGCGAGACTCTGTCTCAAAAAACAAACAAAAAACCATCACATTGGACCCCATACATATGTAAAATTATTCTTTGTCAGCTAAAAACAAATGGATGAGTACGATGGCTCAAGCCTGTGATCCCAGCACTTTGGGAGGCCAAGGCAGGCCAATCACTTGAGCCCGGGAGTTTGAGAAAAGCCTAGGCAACATGGCGAGACCCCATCTCTTAAAAAAAAAATAACTAGCAGGGCTTGGTGGCATGCGCCTGTAGTCCCAGTTACTCAGGAAGCTGAGGTGGGAGGATCACCTGAGCCCAGGAATTTGAGGATGCAGTGTGCCGTGATGGCGCCACTGCACTCCAGCCTGGGCAACAGAGTGAGACTCTATCTCAAAATAACATAACATAACATAACATAACATAACATAACATAACATAACATAACATAACATAACATAAAATAAAAAATTTTTAAAAGGAGCGCCTCACTGAGAAAATGACCTGTAGGCTGAGATGTGAAGTTTGACCAGATGAAGTTAGCCAGACAAAAGGAAGGGAGGAAAGCATACCAGGAACAGAAAAACACCATGCATAAAGGCCTCAAGGCAAGAAAGTGTCTCATGTATATAGGGTGCACAAAGAACTCTAGTGTTGCAGAAGCTCACTGAGAGGGGAAAGGGCAGGCAATGAGGCGGGAGGCAGGGATGGGCCATGCAGGTAATGCTAAGGACTTTGAATTTAATGGTAGGATGGTCACTGATTCAATTCGTGTTTTTAAAGAGTGCTCTGGAGTGTGGAGAATGGACTGGAGGGGCTGAGAATGGAGGTGGCATTAATGAGAGATAATGCTGGCTGGGCTGCAGAGATAATGGCACTAGAGATAAAGAAAAGTGAATAGATTTGAGATATATTTCGAGAAAGAATCAGTAGGGTAGTAATCAGATGGGGAAGAGAGAATGATTCCTAGGTTTCTGGCAGCTGAGTCAATGGAAGTAATGCTTCCTGGGACGAGGAATTGTGAAAGAAGAGCAAATTTGGAAACGGGGAAGATCAAGAGTTCAATGCTAGCCATGTTAACTAAAACATCCATTTGGTGGTAGCAGTGATGAGATGCATGTGTCCGGAGCTCAGAAGAAAGCTCTGAGCTAGTTGTATGCATTTAGAACTTGCGTGCCCATGGATGGTATTAAAGCCACAGGAGTAGATGACATCTGCAAGCAGTGTGTAGTGTGAGAAGATGCCTGGAACTCAGTCCTGGAGACTCGAACATTTCAGCAGTCAGAACAAATGATAAGAGAGACTGACAAGGAAGAGAGAGAGAGGGAGGAAGAAAATGATGAGACTGCCAGAGAAGCCAAGAGAAGCAAAAATGTGGGAGGGAAAAAGTGGTGAGAGTTCATGTAAGATAAAGGCCAAGAAACATCCCTTTGATTTAGCAACATGGAAGTGTTTGGTAATCTTGACAATCCTCTCTCATTATAATTAATTCACCCATATTCCTTTAATGGGCATTTGGATTGTTTCCAGTTTTTCACCATTGCAAATAACGCTTTGGGGAATGTCCTTTTACGTATATTTTTCCCACTTGTACTAATATATCTGTCTAAGAGATTCCCTAAAAGTGAGAATTCAGGGATACAGTGGATTGTAGCTATTATAAAAAGGAACTTAGAACTGGCCTTGAACTTGCGTTTCCACACCCCTTGGATAATCATCTACAGTATATTACAGCAATAATACAATATATGAAAACTAGAACCAATTGGCAGACAGGTTTATATTTAGCCAACTGTTCTCCAAGGCAAGGTATTTACATTGTGGTTAGTTGAGTAAATAAGCTCAGAGGTTCCCTTCCCTTTAGTGTCTAATAGAAACATAGATTAAAAAAAAATCAAAATAGTTCCCATCTTTAGCCTTGTCCTTTTAGCATGGAGGCATCTGTAAGACCAGGTGTATACACCAAAGGCTGTCTTTAATCCTGTTCTCAAACCCCTACTCAAATATCTCCACCTTTTATTTGTAATGAAGTTCCTGCTAAATAGTAGATAACAGGGAGAAAGGCTCTACACCACCTCTTTCTTCCAAGTTAGATCCCTGGTACTTTTATATTTTGTACTCTTAGATTGCCACAAGACTGAGGCTCAATACTTCTGAATTCCGTGTTCAGGCCTCAGACTTTTCTCAGAGGCCCTTACAGCAACTAGCATTCTTCTGACACAAAATGTGAAGGACACAAAATGGGGGCACCATTTTGAAGATCCAAATTTGAGAAAATAAAACATTTACAATAAAATTTCTGTAATTAAAATTTTGTTCCTCTTTCCTTCCCAGATTTTTTTTTTTTTTTTTTTTTTTTTTTTTTTTTTTTTTTGCGGTCCAGCCTCCTTTTCTTTACATAAGGAATTTAATCTTGCAACAGCTCACTAATGCTCAGCTGTGGGGCAGGCAGCTGATGGAGGACGCTAAAATTATCTGGGGAGTAATAACAGTGTCTCAAATTTTTCTAGGGCCAGAAAACAGAGTTCCTGAGCCATGACTCTTGCTTGTATGCCCTCAAATAGAGCAAAGGGAATGCTGAGCCAAAAAGGGAAAACAGAAACTCCCAAGGTTTAAGCAATGTATTTTCTTCTGGAAAAATTTCACCACTAAAATGTTACAGAGAAGCGAAAGAAGAGGAAGTTAACCAGGCTGACTTGAAGGTCAATTTTTTTCTTATTGAAGGAAGAATAGTCACAGAAAACTAAATATGAACGCTCTTTGTTTTTTTTTTTTAAGATAGGTTCTCACTCTGTCACCCAGGCTGGAAGGCAGTGGTGCAATCATAGTTCACTGCAGCCTTGAGCTTCTGGACTCAAGTGATCCTCTCTACCCGGCCTCCTCCTGTTTCCTGGAACTAGGAATGGGTAAAGTTATAACAAAAACAGGAGAAGCTGTGATAAGGTAGAGGCATGCTGGCAGGGGGTTAGGTTAGGGATCTTCATGCTGTGATCATCAATTCTACCATCTTGGTGTATGACCTTCAGTCATAATTGCTAATCCTCAAGCTCCTAATCTGTCAAAGGAATAGGGCAAATGCTAGCCAGACCAGTGGTTTCAAGCTCTGCTAGCTGCAGAACCCTCTCTTCAAATGCTGTCTTACGCAGAACCTAACCTTTACAAGGGATCAAAGCAGGATTGCTGGAATGGAAAATCTAAAGAGCTGGGCCTGGGATCTGGGACTGGGATCTGGGCCTGGGATCTGGGCTTGGGTTTAGCCCTTAGGGTGTTCCAGTTGTTGGAGAACTGGCCCTGAGATTCCTCTGAAGACTTCAATTAAGATAGTTTAAAAACTACCAGGCTAGATTCTCTTTAATTCCAAAAATGTATGAGTCAAACAAATTCCACCCAAAGAGTCAACTGTTATCAAATGAAGGATCATATTATGCTGAAGTCAGTGGTGAGTGAAACCAAAGCTAGCTATTCAAATGGATGTATCAATAGGAACTTCTTACCTCAAATTTAACGACTGTTATAGAGGCTTAGTCAGAGAAATAAGCCTGCAGCTATAAAGGACCATGGGACACAAGCTCTGATGCTAGAAAAAGTACTCTTCTATACATATAAACACAAAATGCACTGTTAACAATTAGAAAGTAAAGCTGACTTATCTACAAACATCAGCTAGATTAAGCTTCCTCCAAACAACAATTTCATATTAATCTCTGATCAGAGACCTCCTAAGTTTTCCTACTGTTTTTAGCTAGGCTTGTATAGGACTCACTATTTGCAAACCCCATAAATATAAAGCCACTAGGTGTTGGAAACAGACATTAGTATATGCTTTGTGGAAAATAGTCCTGTAGTCTACAGCCATACCACCCTCAACGCGCCTGATCTCAACTGATCTCGGAAAATAGTCCTGCAGTCTTCTTTGGGAAGCTGCAGTGAGTGAACCTTACAAACCTTAAGTAATATTAGCAACGTGTTTCCACTGAGTATAAAACCTAGAACAGAAATCCAGGCTGATTCCCTGGTTTTCACTCCTTTCAGTATATACCACCACCTGTCCTACTTCTATGCCTTTACCTCCTGTTGCTCCCCTTCCTCTGGAATGTCTTCAGCATTCTCCAAGCCTACCAAATAACTCTATTCATCTTTCCAAACCAGTTCCATGTGTTAAGCACATCAGAAGAAAAATATGTGACAGGAACAAACTCAAATATTAACTTCAGCAGGTTACTTCCTTTACCTCAGTTTTCTCAACTATAAAAGAGGGGTAAAGCCCCTTCCTCATATAGTTTTTGTTAGGATTCAAAATAGTATATATTTTATATATTTCTTTTTTTTTTTCTGAGACGGAGTCTCACTCTGTTGCCCAGGCTGGAGTGCAGTGGCATGATCTTGGCTCACCACAACCTCCGCCTCCCAGGCTCCAGTGATTCTTCCACCTCAGCCTCCCAAGTAGCTGGGATTACAGGCACGCACCACCACCGCCCAGCTAAATTTTTGTATTTTTTTGTATTATTATTATTTTTTGAGACAGAGTCTCGCTCTGTAGCCCAGGCTGGAGTGCAGTGGCGTGATCTCGGCTCACTGCAACCTCCGCCCCCCAGGTCCCAGTTAAGCAATTCTCCTGCCTCAGCCTCCCGAGTAGCTGGGATTACAGGCATGGGCCACGATGCCCAGCTAATTTTTGTATTTTTTAGTAGAGATAGGGTTTCACCACGTTGGCCAGGCTGGTCTTGAACTCCTGACCTCGTGATCTGCCCGCCTCAGCCTCCCAAAGTACTGGGATTACAGGTGTGAGCCATTGCGCCCAGCCATTTTTTTGTATTTTTAGTAGAGATGGGGTTTCACCATGTTGGGCAGGCTTGTCTTGAACTCCTGACCTCAAATGATCCACCTGCCATGGCCTCCCAAAGTGCTGAGATTACAGGCATGAGCCAGCGTGCCCAGCCAAAATAGTATGTGTTTCTATCAAGGGTCTAGCATGGTGCCTGGCACACTGATTGTAATTAATGGGTTCAGGATTGACAGTTTTGCAATCCTTTCAGCCTTCATGGAGAAAAGACAGTGAACCCAGTATACCATGAGAAGGACCTGTGAGATCCCTCTGCACTTTCTCTCTGCAAGATTAAGAAGGCCCTAAAGATGAAGCCTTTTCCAACCTCTTAACTCTCCTTAGTGCTACTATAGGACCCAAATCCTAATGAGAACTGGCTGGGCTGGACAATGACAGAATAGAGTGGTGAGAAAGGCACTGGGGAAGAGGTGAGAGCCTCACTGAAGTGACTGAGCTGGGCAAGGAAGAAAGTGAGGCCAGGAAGGGGACTGACATCCAGGGCTGGGTGTCCTGGTGAGGTCAAAACACAGGGTCACTGGGAATAAGAGTTAAACAAGTGGAAAAACAGAAGGCTCCAATCAAACAGTAGGTTCTCCAAATGCATCATTTCAGAGAAGGATTCTGAGTGATAGGTTGAGACGGGAGGCAGAGGCATGGGAGACAACATGCAGGTTGCAGAAACAGGGAAGATCAAGAAATTATGAGTCCAGGTTGGGCACAGTGGTTCACACCTGTAATCCCAGCACTTTGGGAGGCTGAGGCAGGAGGATCGCTTGAATCCAGGAGTTCAAGACCAGCCTGGGCAACATAGTGAGACGCTGTCTTTACAAAAATAAAAAATTAGACGGGCATGGTGGTGCATGCCTGTGGTCCCAGCTACTTGGGAGGCTGAGGCAGGAGGACTGCTTGAGCCTGGGAGGTCGAGTCTGCAGTGAACCATAATTGCACCACTGCACTCTAGCCTGGGCGACAGAGTATGACCCTGTCTCAAAAAAAAAAAAAAAAGAGAGAGAGAGAAAAAGAAAAGAAATTATGAGCCCAAAGTATCAGACAGGTCACTGATGTGGACCCAGTGATCCTTTAATGAGGACACCATTGGTGCCAATGGCCCTGGGGGACATTTAGACACATGTGTTAGAATCTTGTTGGGTTTTCTCCCCTATCACTTTTTTTTTTCTTTTTTGGTTGTCACAATGTCATGGGTTCATTTAGAGGAGGGCATGATGATGAATACCCTGCATGGGGAAGATCTGCCTTACCCCAAATGCTACAGCACCCCCAGTGAGAAACACTAAAAAAAAAAAATGATGCTAGAAGCCAGCGTCCCCTGGAGGCTGGCACGCCACTGCAATGAAGGGGAGGATAACAGTGCATTATAGTTAGATGTGAGCCTGAAAGCACATGTCTAGAACTTCAGAAGCAGGCATGAGAAACAATGAATGGGAAACATTATTGGAGATATAGAAGAGTAGCAACCCTGGCCCCCAAAATATTTCAGGGAAGCATGTGCAGAAGGAGCAGGCAGCCAGGCCGGGCGTGGTGGCTCACGCCTGTAATCCCAGCACTTTGGGAGGTCGAGGTGGGCAGATCATGAGGTCAGGAGTTCAAGACCAGCCTGACCAATATGATGAAATCCCATCTCTACTAAAAATACAAAAATTAGCCGGGCATGGTGACATGTGCCTGTAATCCCAGCTACTCGGGAGGCTGAGGCAGGAGAATCGCTTGAACCCAGGAGGCGGAGGTTGCAGTGAGCTGAGATTGCACTATTGCACTCCAGTCTGGGTGACAGAGTGAGACTCCATCTCAAAAAAAAAAAAAAAAAAAGAAAGAGCAGGCAGCCACTGCTCAAACACAGAATGCATGTCATGCATGTCAAGGGAAAGCCAAGTTTAGTTAAAGACAGGTGGGGCTAAGGAGGGTGAAAAGGGTAAGAACGTGGAGAAGTTTCTGTGCAGGACAGGGAGTTTCCAAGTCCCATAATCACATCTCAACACCGTCTGATATCCTTCCCTTTCTCTCTATTCCTGTTCCCCCTTGACCCCCAACAGCTTTCACTTGGGTTCCCAAGAGAGCCTCATAAATTGTCTCCATGTTACCAATCTCTCACCTTTCTAATATAGCTTTACACTGTTGCCAGAAGGCTTTTTCTAAAATACCGGTCTGATCATGTCACTCTCCCCACATGAAAACCAATTGCGTTCCCTGGTTTTCTTACTAAATCCTAACCTTAGCAGAGCATCCGAGGTCTTCCATCTGGCCCTAAATGAATTACACCAGTTCCTTCTCCCTTCTGTATTTTTCCATGGCAGACTGCTTGCTTTCCTATTCCCTTTATTCGTGTTCAGCTTCCATAATCCTTTGCTTCAATCTCCTATCTTAGACTCGACTCATTCCACTTCAAGCTCACTGCTTTGACTCCACAAGTCCATCCCTTCCACTACCAGTGCTTCTTAAACTTCCCTGAAGGTAAAAATTACCTGGGATACTTGTTAAAAACATAATTTCCTGGACTCTATCCACACATACTGAATCAGAATATAGGATGATTTTAAAACATGTCCAGGCCAGGCACAGTGGTGTGTGCCTATAGTCCCAGCTACTCAGAAGGCTGAGGTGGGAGGATTGCTTGAGCCCAGGAGTTTGAGGCTGCACTGAGCTGTGTGGTCACACCACTGCACTCCAGCCTGGGTGACAGAGTGAAACCCTGTCTCAACATTTTTTTTTTAATTAAAAAAATTTAAAATGTCCAAAAAATTCTGACATTCCTCCTATCAGAGAAGGTGGAGTCAAATTGCCCTTCCCCGAAATGAGTCAGCTTTAGTGACTCACTTCTAATGAAGTGAATGTGGTAAAAGTGATACTGTATGACTTCCGAGGCTAGGTCATAAAAGGCAACACAACTTTGAACTCCCCCTTTTCTTCCCTCCTTCCCTCTGTCTCTGGATGATTGCCCTGGGAACTGAGCCACCAAGCCAAACAGCCACATGGAATGGCCATGTGTAGGTGTTCCTACCATGGCCCCAGCTGAGATCCCAGATGACAGCATCAACCGCCTGACTTGTGAGTGAGCCAGCCTTTTGATGATTACAGCTCCCAGCCTTTGGGCCACCCTGGCTGATGCTAAGTAGAGCAGAGATCCTGCCCAAACTGGAGCTTCAAAAGCAAAATAAATGCTGGAATTATTATTATTATTATTATTATTATTATTATTATTTAAGACAGAGTCTCGCTCTGTTGCCCAGGCTGTAGTGCAGTGGCACGATTTCAGCTTACTGCAACCTCCGCCTCCTGGGTTCAAGCAATTCTCCTGCCTCAGCCTCCTGAGCAGCTGGGACTACAGTACAGGCATGTGCCACCATGCTCGACTAATATTTGTATTTTTAGTAGAGACAGGGTTTCACCATGTTGGCCAGGCTGATCTTGAACTCCTGACCTCAAGTGATCCACCCACCTCGGCCTCCCAAAGTGCTGGGATCACAGGCATGAGCCACCGCGCCTGACCGGATGTGTTCTAATGAAGTTTTATTTACTAATCAGCAGCCAGTGGGCTGTAGTGTGCCTGTGTAGGTTACACTTTTCAGCAGAACTTCGTGCAATGATGAAATGTTTCTGTGCTGTTCAATACGACAGTCACCAACAAGTAGTTACTGAGCACTTGAAAAGTGATAAATGCAGCTGGTAAACATTTAAAACTAAATTTTAAATGTTATTTAATTTTAATTAACTTAAACTGAAATAGCCACCTATATAGTGGCTACCACATTGGAAAGTGCAGGTATAGAGAGTGCTTAACGCACCATTCAACCAAATCAAAACTCGCCTCAACACTCATCTCAACCAGAAAGCCTTCCTGATGAGCTCCTGTCTGTGATGCTCTGTCTCTTATTCTGTACCTAATCCTCACTCCTATTCATTTTAGACTTGCTGATATTTTGCTTTATAATTATTTCATAATTATCTTTTTTAAAATAATTTTTGTGTCTATAACTGTTTCTTCCACAAACTAAACAAAAATTCAAAGAATAGAATGTATCTTCTGATTATTACCCTCCTCCTCCTTCTCCACAGTACCTCATATAGTGTTTAAAATCCACGAGGCGCCCAATAAAATTATTTTACATTATGTACTTCCTTCACCAATTTCCCTGACAGGTGGCAATGTGTGCTCCAGACAGATGGTCCTTTTGGACCAGGATCAGCACTTACTTGGAGAATATTTCCACAATAGCCGATGACTTGTTCTTGTTGACAAGAGAAAGTTCTTTGGCTGTTACCCTCAATGATAGTGAGGTCCATTGCCGTCTATTAAATGGAGATGATTCCATCTTGTCTACAGACACTGAAATACCTATGCAATAAAGAAAGTCAGAACATTAGACACAGAAGAGGATTCTCCAACATCCAAGGATTGGCAGTGGTGTGGTAGAGCCCTAAACTTGCAGACCACACTCCTCCACTGTTCTCCCCCAAACTGTGTAACCTTGGTCAAATGATCCAATATCTTTGGGTTGTGGTTTCTTATAAAAGGAGGCTACACCAGATGACCTTTAAGGTCCCTTCCAGTTCCATTTTATGACTGACCCCACTGTGCAAACATCAATTGGCCTTTCCCTGAACTGAAGTCTGTTCCAAAGTCACATTTGGAGTGAAATGTTTCCCTCTTCTGAATTACATCCCAGGGGAGGTACAGTCAGCATCTCAGTAGAGCCAGGTCCAAATTAGTTTCTACCTACATTCAAGTTTCTTTTGGCTGCCCTCTCTCCCCAAGCTCTGCAGCACTGGCCACTCAGTGCCAGGGAGAGAGCTGGGGGCGCAGCGTGGTGTAATAGGAAGAGCAGGGCTTTAAGGTGAGACAGACTTCGGGGAAATCCTAACTTTGTTACCTTGAACATATTATGTAATATTTTCCATTTCACTTTCTTCAGCTAAAAAATAAGGATAATATCTATCTTTAGGAGGTTTTGATATAGATTTAAGGAGATAATATATTTAAAATACTGGGTATATTACAGTAGTATTAAGAGCATTTTAAGTATAATTATTATCATTGACTCTTGTTATAATTCTCATTTTAAAGCCTTTATCAAGGAGAAGTATAATGTACTTTAAGTTCAGGAGACAAACCCTATTTTCCAACATCCCTTTCAGCCAAAGAATACATAAAGCCATACCCTTGATATCACCTAGTCCCTACCCATTAATCTGGATCGTTTGGTTATTTTGCCCCACTAATTACCAAAGGAAAGGAGTTCCAACCTTTGTCCAGAAGACGAGAGATTAGAAATGAGTCAACAGTTTCCTTATTTGAAGAGTGAAAAATATAAAGTACCACTTTGTTTCTGATCCAGGAGTCTTGAAAACTAAAAAAAAATAATAATAAAGTACTGCTAATTCACAGCTTACCAGAAGTAAAAGAAAAATAAAGTACTACTTGCAGCTCTTGGCAACCGAAGAGCATAACTGATCTGGTTGAATGTATGGTTCATCAGGTACTGCTTTCAATAACCTTGACAACTGTAGAACACAGAGAGTATTTAAATCCAGCAACTCAAGCTGCCATTTCACATTAAAAGTCCTGGGTCAGGCTGGGCATGGTGGCTCATGCCTGTAATCTCAACACTTTGGGAGGCCGAGGTGGGTGGATCACTTGAGGTCTGAGGTCAGGAGTTTAGGACCAGCCTGACCAACATGGTGAAATCCTGTCTCTACTGAAAACACAAAATTAGCCAGGAGTGGTAGCGCATGCCTATAATCCCAGCGACTTGGGAGGCTGAGGCAGGAAAATTGCTTGAGGCAGAGGTTGCAGGGAACCGAGATCACACCATTGCACTCCAGCCCAGGCAACAAGGACGAAACTCCGTTTCAAAAAAAAAAAAAAAAAAAAAAAGGTCCTGGGTCAGACATGGTGGTTCATACCTGTAATCCCAGCACTTTGGGAGGATAGCTTGAGGCCAGGAGTTTGAGACCAGCCTGGGTAACATAGCAAGACCCCCTCTTCTCTACAAAAAATTAAAAATTAGCTGGGCGTGGTGGCACACACCTATAGTCCTAGCTACTAGGCCCAGGAGTTGGAGGCTACAATGAGCTATGAATTGCGCCACTGGACTCCAGCCTGGGTGACAGACCAAGATGTTCTCAAAAAAAAAAAAAAAAAAAAAAAAAGTCCCGTGATGCAGAATAAGCAATGGACAATTCTAAAAGACCACACTACTACTGTTCTACATGTAATATTTGTTCTTCCAATGAAATCCTTGTCGGAAAATAATACTAGTTTTGTTAATATGTTTTAATCCTCATGTTGGAAGGCATAGTATGCCCTTTAATGGTAAGGAGCTCTGGGTTAGAGACAGATAAGTCTAAGTGGGAATGTTGGCCTCATCACTTAATGAAAAGTTTCCCTAAAACTTGGATTTCTCATCCATAATAATAGCATTTACTTCACAGTATTCTTATGAGAAATAAATAAGATAAAGAAGAAAAGACCCTGATACAGAATAAGTAAGCAATAAATGTTACTGTTTAGTGTTTTTAATGTTTTCTTTTCTTCCTGAACAAAATAATCTTAATTCTATACATGTACTTTGCAATAAACTGGAATGTACCAAATAATACATGATACCTATTTGTCTATCTGGTATTAAACTGGCAGACTCACCAAACAATGCCAGCCCCTTCTCTAAGATGAAAAAGACACAGAAGCAACAAACATTTCAGCTAAACTTAACTATATAAAACTATCATAGTTTTTTTTAAACTCTGTAAGGCAAGTTAAGGAAATGCTAATGAATGCTTTAAGATATTATTTGGTAGAAATATACTACCAATATAGTTGTGGGTATAAATACTGTCAGTTCTTCCATAAAGATCAACTCTGGATCAAAGGGGAAAAAATATATACAAGATACATTTGCAGGCCAGGCACGGTGGCTCACACCTGCAATCCCAGCACTTTGGGAGGCCGAGGCAGGCAGATCACTTGAGGTCAGGTGTCCAAGACCAGCCTGACCAACATGGTGAAACCCAGACTCTACTAAAAATACAAAAATTAGCCAGGTGTGGTGGTACACCCCTGTAATCCCAGCTACTTGAGAGGCTGAGGCAGGAGAATCACTTGAACCCTGGAGGCAGAGGATGCAGTGAGCTGAGATCATGCCACTGCACTCCAGCCTGGGTGACAGAGTGAATGAGACTCCACCTCAAAAAAAAAAAAAAAAAAAGGTATGTTTCTAAAAAAGGAAAAGGATTTATTATTTGAGATACCGAGCACGATAAAGAAAAAAAAGGTTAACTCCCAAGTCTAAGTCCGTGGTTTTGATTACTCCCAGCCAGAAAGTTAAGAAAAGTCAGAACATCTATTTTGGTATACAGCTAGGAGAGGCACACAGTTCTTAGAGTTCTTACACTCAGGGAATGAGATGACTCTCACCCTGACCACACTTGTCTTCACAGAAGCATAATGTTATTTCTTAGCAATGTGATTAGTACCTATGAAACAGATAAACGTGAGAATCAATACATGATTTTTGATAGACTCTGGTACCAGGCTATTGAATAACTACTTCTTATGAGATGTAGGGAGATGTCCCTGCCTGAATGGTGTACATAATCTACTGTGCTTGCTGACATACACACAAATATTTATAGTACAAGACAGAATGTGGTTAGAGGCTATGCGTGGTGTAGGAATACAAGACCTGATTTTCTGGCTTTGTGAGAGGGAAAGGAAAAGATATCAGATGACTTGGGACTTAAAGAACGGGCAGAATTTCATCAAAGTGAAGGCAGGAGGAGGAAGGAGGAGAATAGCATTAGCACCTTTGGGGAGTGAGTTAAACTCTAGGTGCAAGAGAAGTTGAAGATAGACAAGACTTGGCCAGGTGTGGTGGCTCACGCCTATAATCCCAGCACTTTGGGAGGCTGAGGCAGGCGGATCACCTGAGGTCAGGAGTTTGAGACCAGCCTGCCCAAGATGGCCAAACCCCATCTCTACTAAAAATACAAAAAATTAGCTGGGCGTGGTGGCACGCGCCTGTAATCCCAGCTGCTCGGAAGGCTGAGGCAAGAGACTCTCTCGAACCTGGGAGGCGGAGGTTGCAGTGAGCCGAGATTGCACCACTGTACTCCAGCCTGGGTGACAAGAGCGAAACTGTCTCAAAAAAAAAAAAAAAAAAAAAAAGACATAATGGGGCCTGACTGGGAAGAAAACCATGCTAAGGAGTTTGGGCCATATTTCAATAGTGGGAAGAAGTAACCCATGAGTGATCAGAGATTAGGTCTAATCTTATGTGCTATTTACTTAGCACATGCATGGTTTTTATAACAAAAAAAGTTTCTGATCCTCAATATCCACACCTGTAAGATAAGATCTCTGTAGTGGATTAACCACAGTCTCTCTGGTGGAACACAGAAAGTTTCTGAAAAAGCATGTAACATGACTAACATCATATTTTAAAATATTATTCAGCAGTAGTGTGCAACTTGCTAAGAGGGAAAAAGACTGGAGTCTAAATTACTAGTCAAGAAGATCCTGAAACTAAGTGAGAGGTAATCAAGGTTTAAATTCGTAAATTAATTAGGGTAGGTGGAAATGGAAAAGTGGGAAGAGAGAAATTGACAGTTCTTAGAATAAAATGAACTTAGGGTAAAAGAGAATCAAAGCTGGCATCATCAAACCCGAATGATGGAAGGCTGTTGATTCCATTAACAGAGACAGTAAATATAGAAAGAAGAGGGAAAATGATGAGTGTTGATTTACACATGTTGAGACATACATGTCAGCAAGAGAAATCCAAATGATATACAATAGGAAACTACAAATTCAAAGCTAAAGTTAGAAATCCGACTCTTGGAAGATTTTAAGACACTAACTTTATGCTTTGCATATATCTCAATCCTCACAATCATTCTACAGGATTGGTTTTATTGTCTTATATTTATGGTAACGAAATTGAGATTCAGACATATTAACTTTACAAAGATCACTTAGCTATAAAGTAGCAGAGCTGGGATTCAAACGCATATTCTGTTTGATTCCAAAGTCCATTTTCTTTCAACTACAATTAATGAAGAATGATTAAAACCGCCACTTTTAGCCAATGTAGAAAACCAGCTAGAAAAATCCCTGAACCACCTAGCTGAAAACCCATACAAATTATTTTTCAGTAAGAGAATAGTGGTGAGTATCTTCCCAGAGTGGTGAATATCAGAGATAATCATTCCTGCTTTCAGGGAAACTTAAAAGTTATCCTGGGCTCACTTGGAATACCCTCCATTGTAGTAACTGGCTTTCATTGGCCTGCATTAAAGGTGTGGTATTGGGGCCAGCATGGTGGCTCACGCCTGTAATCCCAGCACTTTGGGAGGCTGAGGCAGGCGGATCACCTGAGGTCAGGAGTTCCGGACCCAGTCTGGCCAATGTAGCAAAATCCTGTCTTTACTAAACATACAAAAAATTAGCCAGGCATGGTGGCAGGCGCCTGTAATCCCAGCTACTTGGGAGGCTGAGGCAGGACAACTGCTTGAACCCGGGAAGCAGAGGTTGCAGTGAGTCGAGATCATGCCATTGCACTCCAGCCTGGGCGACAGAGCGAGACTCTGTCTCAAAAAAAAAAAAAAAAAAAAGAAAGGTATATTATCTCTCCCCACCCACACAGTCTCTCTCAGATATGAGTTCCATTTTCAGACTTTCAGACTCCAAAACCCATTCTCTTCAGTCATATGCATTCTACTACCACATGAACTGTGAAGGAAGAACTGCTGGATTGGAAGACAGTTGGCTGCAAGAGTTAAAGGAAACATATAACAAAAATAAACACAGATTTTTAGCTTCAGAGACTAGAAGGATCGTTGCATGACAAATAAATGGTATACATAGAAAGGGGAACAGTTTGCTGAGAAGGAAGATGCCTTCAGTTTCAGATACAAATGGCAGATTTTTTTCATTAAGAAAGTAGCTTGGAAATCAAGTAACCAAATCCCCTTTTTTACAGTGAGGAAACTGAGATGCATAAAGCTCCAATCATTTTCCAAAGTCACCAGCTGGTTAGTATTAGAGCTAGAGTTCTAACTCCCAGGATCAATGTTCTTTTATCAAACCAGGTAGCTTGAGATGGGCCACTAAATTGTCCTAGGGTAGGGTAAGCTGTAGCTTGGAGATAAAGATCTCTCGAACAAAGGTCCTTGAAAAGTTGAAGAGTGACTCACTGGGAAATCTGCCCCAGGTATCTGCTTCCTCAAGCTGTTGCTTACGGTGAGGCCGGTAACTGCTCCAAGAAACCTATTCTAATAAATTCATTTACAGACTCTCCTGACCAAGGAAACTGTCTCTCAGAAACCAGGCTTGGACAAAAACAGCCGGGCGCGGTGGCTTATGCCTGTAATCCCAGCACTCTGGGAGGCTTAGGTGAGTGGATCACTTAAGTTCAGGAGTTCGAGGCCAGCCTGGCCAACATGGTAAAACCCTGTCTCTACTAAAAATACAAAAATTAGCCAGGCGTGGTGGTGCATGCCTGTAATTCCAGCTACTCGGGAGGGTGAGGCAGAAGAAAAATTGTGTCACTGCACTCCAGCCTGGGCAACAGCACAAGACTCTGTCTCAAAACAAAACCAAAAAAAACAAAACAAAAAAAAACCACCAAACCAAACCAAAAAATAAATGAGCTGGCCCTGCAACCAGCCCTCCCCAAGCCACTAATAAAATCCTGTTCTTATATATCCGATCTCAGTGGCCTCCTCTCTTTTTTTTCTCCTGAGATGGTTACTTATTCAAGCTGTATGGCTTCCTGAACATAGCCTCAAAAAATTAGAACAAAGTAAAAACTACAAACTCACTTATGAAGAAAAAATGGGCCACATGTGGTGGCTCATGCCTGTAATCCCAGCACTTTGGGAGGCCGAGGCAGGCAGATCACATGAGCTCAGGAGTTTGAGACCAGCCTGGGCAACATGGTGAAACCCTGTCTCTACAAAGAAAAAATACAGAAAACTATCTGGCCATGGTGGTGTGTCTGTGGTCCCAGCTACTCAAGAGGCTGAGGTGGGTCACTTGAGCCTAGAGGTTAAGGTTGCAGTGAGCCGTGATCACACCACTGTACTCAACCTGGACTATAGAGCCAGACCCTGTCAAAAAAAAAAAAAGAAAAGAAAAGAAAAAAAAAAGTAAAGAAAAGAAAGAAAAGAAAGGAAAGAAAGAAAAGAAAAACATTATTTTTAAGAAATAGATTGTAGAGTTTTAGTTTTTCTACCAACCTCTCTTCCCAATTTGAATGTCATCAGGTAAAAGGGAGCAATTAAAAGAAAAAAAAAAACTAAAAAACTTCAAGTTGCAAAGGGAATTTTAAATAAAAGCAACATGAAATACATTGCTACATAATGTTTTTTCAGAAAATTACATTTCTAAATTTATATTTCTGTACAAAAATAGTGACTAAATTCACATTCTTGAACATTTTTTGGAAGTTAATAGTTATTTATTTTTTTTTTGAGATGGAGTCTCACTCTGTCGCCCAGGCTAGAGTGCAGTGGCGCAATCTCGGCTCACTGCAACCTCCGCCTCCCAGGTTCAAGCAATTGTCCTGCCTCAGCCTCCTGGGTAGCTGTGATTACAGGCATGTGCCACCACACTCGGCTAATTTTTTTTTTTGTATTTTTAGTAGAGATGGGGTTTCACCATGTTGGTCAGGCTGGTCTTGAACTCCTGACCTCATGATCCGCCCGCCTCGGCCTTCCAAAGTGCTGGGATTACAGGCGTGAGCCACCGTGCCTGGCTGGAAGTTAATAGTTCTTTAACCTTTTTTTTTTAAACTTTTTTTTTTAAACATGGACTGCTTCACAAATTTGTGTGTTAACTTCACACAGGGACCATGCTAATCTTCTCTGTATCATTTCAACTTTAGTATATGTATGACTGAAGTGAGCACTCACCTTTTATTCTGAAACAATTTCATACATAAGAGTTGCAAAAACAGTACAAGAGTTCCCATATACATTTCACCTAGCTTTATCTTATATTACCATAGTACAATTAGCAAAACTAAGAAATGAGCACTGGTACAATACTATTAACTATAGACTTTATTGAAATTCCACCAGTTTTTTAATTAACGTCTTATTTCTGTTTCAGGATCATACACTGCATTTAGTTGTCGTGTCTTCCTAAGTCTACCCCAATCTATGACAGTTACTCTGCTTTTCCTTGTCTTTCATGACCTCGATATTGTTGAAAGTATTGGTCAGATATTATGTAGAATGTTCCTCAATTTGGGTTTCTTGGTTTCTCCAATAAAATAGAATCAAGACTCCTTGGAGAAGCGGTTGATTCCAGAGCTGGGGAAGGGCAAATACAAGATCAGCCTGGAACATCTTGCAATACTCAAAAGACAAAACAAAAAAAAGTTTTTTTAAAAAACATGATATTTTCTCAGATTAGATTGAGATTATAAATGTTTGAAAGGAATAATCCAGAGTTGATGTTCCCTTCACAGTGCATCATATCAGAGGGTACGTGATGTTGATGTGATGTCTTATTACTCACGACATTAGCCTTGATCACATGGTTAATGTGGTATATCAGGTTTCTCCTCTGTAAAGTTATTATTTGTTTTCCCTTTGTAATTCATAAATATTATGAGGGAGAACTTTGACTCTGTTTCTCCTTAAACTTTTTCCCATTAATTTTAGCATTCATGGGTGTGTCTTGCTTATGGCAATTATTACTGGTATTCTAATGGTGATTTTCTGTTACTGTCATCCTTTCTACATTTATTAATTGAAATTCTTCTATAACGAAGATTTGTTCTCCCTCATTTATTCAACCATTTACTTAGAAGATTTTACATTACTTAGAACCATTTACATAGAGATGAAGTCTCCCTATGTTGTCCAGGCTGGTCTCAAATTCCTGAGCTCAGATGATGTTGAAGGCCGAAAGAGTGAGGGTCGTGATCAACTCAGTATACCACTGGAGGCTATATGAGTAAACAGCAAACTGTTCTCATGAATGCAGAATGTTGGCAAACTGACAAATTGCATCTGCCACCCAGAAGGAATGCTGAGGGCAGTCACACCAGCAGTGTTTCTTGTGATTAGGCATAATTGATACCTGTTAACAGTAATATGAACCTGTGATCAATTAAGCAGCTGACCAATCGTTACCTCCTCCTCCCTGCTCTTTCTACCCAATAAATACAAAGGGCTGTGGAAGCTCAGTGGGCTGCCTTTGCTCACTAGAAGCAGGGAACTCTCTTTTTCTTCCTCTGACCCCTTCCTTTAAAATAGTTACTTTTAAGTTTTCATTTCTGCTTTCCACACCCTTAGTTCAGTCTTATAATGATGGTCTCAAGTAGTAACAGTAGTAACTGTCATAGTGATGGTCTCAAGTAGTAACCTTGGCAGTATGCCACAAGATGATCTTCCTGCTTCGGCCCTCCAAAGTGCTAGGATTACAGGCATGAGCCACCACGTCCAGCCCAACCATTTATTTATATTAGGATGGTTTCATAGATAGTTACTTTATTCCCTGTATTATAATCCAATACTATCCTTATTTTATTGCTTAAATTGTTCCAGCTCTTGGAGTTTTTGGCTTGGCTCCAGTGTTCTCTCAACTTGCCCTGTTTTTTGTTTGTTTTGTTTTTAGCACTTCCTTACTTTCTAGCACTGCAAGATGTTCCAGGCTCGTCTTGTATTTACCATGCCTCAGCCCTGGAATCAACTATTTCCCCAAGGAGCCCTGTTTTCTTTTATGGGAGAAGTTAGCATCTGGGCACTACTAGTTATGCTCATTGCCACTGAGATGTCACTGCTTCTAGGCGTCTTAGTGGACAAAACCAAGAATTATATGTATGTATACTGGCCCATGTATACACACTGCTTTTTGTGTGTGTGTGTGTGTGTGTGACAGAATCCACTGTCACCCAGGCTGGACTGCAGTGGTGCAATCACAGCTCACTGCAGCCTACCTCCTGAGCACAAATGATCCTCCCACCTCAGCCTGCCAAGTAGCTGGGACTAGACACATGCCACCGCGCCTGGCTAATATTTTAAATTTTTTTGTAGAGACAGAGTCTCCCCGTATTGTCCAGGCTGGTGTCAAACTCCTGGGCCTAAGTGATCCTCACGCCTCAGCCTCCCAAAGTGCTGGGATTATAGGTGTGAGCCACTGTGCCTGGCCTATAGGCACACATTTCTTTATTTAGCTCTATATCTACCTATACTTTTTTTTTTTTTTTTTTTTTTTTTCTGAGATGGAGTCTCACTCTGTCACCAGGCTGGAGTGCAGTGGTGCGATCTCGGCTCACTGCAACCTCTGCCTCCCGGCTTCAAGCCACTCTCCTGCCTCAGCCTTCTGAGTAGCTGGGACCGCAGGCATGCGCCACCACACCCGAGTAATTTTTGTATTTTTAGTAGAGACAGGGTTTCACCATGTTGGCCAGGATGGTCTCGATCTCTTGACCTCGTGATCTGCCCACCTCGGCCCCCCAAAGTGCTGGGATTACAGGTGTGAGTCACCGCGCCCAGCCCTATAAAAATTTTATAAACTATAAATTCATACTGATATTTCTGACTCCAGTCTAGCATCACAAGGTTCATTCTAGTATTCCCTCTTGGCTTATTTATAACTTCTTTCTCTGATAGTAAAAAGCCTAACCCCACAGAACTTTGATTTCTGAAAACAGATCTAGAATCTCTAAAATTATGCCATAACCAGCTTCTCCTCCCATGATACACCGTATATTTTTTTCACTCCATTTGAAATGTTATCCCGTACTCAACCTATTCACCTTAAAAGACTCAAGTGAAAGAACACACATGGCCCTTTTCCAAACTGCCCTAGCCCTATTCCTAATCAGCATAAGTCAATCCCCCTGCCTTATAATAATTTCATAATTCCTACTCAATAGCAAGATATTTGAAGTCAGAAGACAGATCTACTTTGTCTTTTAACCTTCTGACATCTAGTATTTAATACATTGCTTTCTAAATAGAAAGAACTCTATAAATACGCCTTCCATAAAATTACACATAGCTTTAAGTTTTATCTGAAACACAATTAGTACAGAAACTGAATGCTTATCCTGCAGTCCCAAGACTAGTTATGAGGAAGCATATATTTTTCAGAACTGTGAATTACCCAGTAATTTTAGCTTATTCAAACTCTCATATAAACTCACAATATAAAAAAATGGAACCACTAAATAACATCAAATGTTATAAATAAAAAGCTCACTACTCTATTATTCAGAAACATGATGATAGACAAGTCTGCAGGCATGTTAGAATAATCACTGCTACTGTTCTTGGAAGAGCTTCAGGTATGTGTAGAAACATGAATCTAGACAATAGCACAATTGTAACATTGACCAAATTCCCAGGGGTCAACAAGAATGTAAATGTTTACATCAGGACAGACTCACTTCAATAATATTTGATCTCTTTATCGCCTTTTAAAGGATATTTTGTGCCTTCAAAAACACTAAGACCCAGAGCAAAAGCAACAAAAATGAGGCTGTGTAATTGAGAATAAATTCCACTTTTCTCTTTTCTTGCAGAATCCTCTTTTCCTACCTCCACTCTTACTCCCAGGAATCAATAAAGAGTCAGTCTCTCTCCCTTCTCTGAGCGAGCTCACTTACTCTCAACTCATCAAAAGTCACTTATTCCACATGATTCCCAAAGCTGGATCCTAAGGCCTAACTTTCCTGGCTTCCACTCCTAGAGTTTCTTTTTTTTTTTTTTTTTTAGACAGAGTTTCACTCTTGTTGCCCATGCTGGAGTGCAATGTCGCAATCTTGGCTCACTGCAACTTCCGCCTCCTGGGTTCAAGTGATTCTCCTGCCTCAGCCTTCCGAATAGCTGGGATTACAGGTGCTCACCACCATACCCGGCTAAGTTTTTGTATTTTTAGTAGAGACGAGGTTTCACCATGTTGGCCAGGCTGGTCTCGAACTCCTGACCTCTAGTGAGCCACCCGCCTCGGCCTCCCAAAGTGCTGGGATTAGAGGCGTGAGCCACCACGCCCAGCCCAGTCCTAGAATTTCTACTCCATGCTGGATAGTTTCATATGTCCAATATGCAACGTAACATAACCCAAATCATATGTATTATCCTTTCTTAACCTCTACTCTTCAAATTAAGTTCATTTAATTACAAATCATTTTTCTCCAAAGAATTGGTATATGAATTTTTGCTTCTATCAAATAAAATAACACATAACATAGTATAACAAAATGTACACAAAGTTTGAAGTTAAAAGGAGAACTTACAGGTTCTCACTGGGCCTCTAACTGTGGTGACATGTGCAAGTTTCTTTACTTCTCTGAGGCATATACCATTACCTACCCTAGCTAGTCAAAAATTCTATATAAAATGCCTAACACAGGGACACATTTTGGAAAGAAAATAGCAAGAGGCTAAGGGCATGGGGCATGGATTAGAATTTAGCTGTTGAGATCTCTCACCACGAACACTAGCTGAGTGATCTTGGGCAAGTTTAATAACTTGCCCCAAAAAAAAAAAAAAAAAAGGAAGTCATTTATTTACTTATTTACTTATCAGTAAATGCTATTTTACCCCTCTCCCTGCTTTTTTTGTCTTTTGCTTTTCTGCCATCTAGTATATTTTTTTTTTTTTTTTTTTTTTTTTTTTGAGATGGAGTCTCGCTCTGTCGCCCAGGCTGGAGGGCAGTGGCGTGATCTGGGCTCACTGCAAGCTCCGCCTCCCGGGTTCACGTCATTCTCCTGCCTTAGCCTCCCGAGTAGCTGGGACTACAGGTGCCCACCACCACGCCCAGCTAATTTTTTGTATTTTTCAGTAGAGATGGGTTTCACCGTGTTAGCCAGGATGGTCTCCATCTCCTGACCTCGTGATCTGCCCACCACAACCTCCCCAAGTGCTGGGATTAGAGGCGTGATAGTGTATTGCTTTCTAAATAGAAGGAACTCTATAAATGCAGCTTGAATAAAATTGGACAAAGCTTTGCACATATGGATTTTGCACAAGCTTTTCCTCACATCTTTAGGTATGCTCAAGTTATTTCTTGATGCAAGCCATTCTCTGAGCACACTACTCCCCCCGAGGACACTGCTACCCTCTGTCTGAAAATGCTTGAGCCTCCCTGGCCTTCTGCTATGGGTCCCAGCTTGGGTGACACTTTGTTCCAGATGCCTTCCCTGACCCCTCAAGCTTGGGCTAAAAGGTTCCCTATAAGTTCTCAAAGTATTAGACCTATCCCTACCTGATCAGATGGTAATTTTTTTTCTGAGACAAGGTCTCACTCTTATCTCCCAGGCTGGAACGCAGTGGTGTGATCATAATTATTGCAGCCTCGAACTCCTGGGCTCAAGCGATCCTCCCAGCTCAACCTCCCAAAGTGCTGGGATTACAGGTGTGAGTCACTGTGCCTGGCTCACACTGTAATTTTTTAAAATCACACTGTATTTTAACTTGCAGAACAGTGCCTGACACATGGGGGGCACTCAAGTATTTGTTAATGAAGAGAGGGATCCCAGGCATCTGAAATAATTTTTTGGATTCAGCTATTTTTAGAGACTAGTGTTTCTGGGGAAAAGAAATCAAACAATAGAGTAGGTTGTATATGTTTATTCCAAAATAAATCATTCCAAGGTATGGGAAACCAGTGGAGATAGCCATCAAAAAAATGGTCTCCAGTATTCTACTAAGGTAGAATAAAACTGAAACCCATCAATATTGTTTTAGTTAACTCCTTCTACTGAGATAATTTAGGTGTTTTCTTATAAATGCTAATGAATTACTATTTGGCTCTACAGGTAACAAAGCCAAATAGTAATTTTAGAAACCAAAAGGAAGATGAGAAATAAAGGGGGAAAAACACTTAATTCAGTTGGTCACAAATTTGAGTGTACATAGAATCACTTAGGAAACTTGTATACAATACTGATTTTTCAGGTCCCATCCCATGATTCTGATTCATTAGGTCTGGAGAAGGGCTCAAAAAACCCACATTTTAATAAGAAGAACGTTGAAGCAACTCTAGTGTCAGAGGTTCCCTCATCAAATGCTGGAAAACACTGAATTAAAGGGTTTAAGGCTGGGCACAGTGGCTCATGCCTGTAATCTTAGCACTTTGGGAGGCTGAGGAGACAGGACCGCTTAAGGTCAGAAGTTCCAGACCAGCCTAGGCAATATGGCGAGACCTGTTCTCTGCCAAAAAATAAAGTAAAATAAAATAAAATAAAATAAAATAAAATAAAATAAAATAAAATAAAAATTAACTGGGCATGGTGGTGCATGCCTGTGATCCTTGCTACTTGGCTGAAACAGGAGGATCACTTGAGCCCAGGAGGTCAAGGCTGCAGTGGGCCATGATCACACCATTGCACTCCAGCCTGGGCAACAGAGCAAGACTCTGACTCAAAAATAAGTAAGTAAAGGGTTTAAGACCTACATGTATTCTAAGAAAAATGGAAAGACAGCAACATAAAATATTTCTTATATTGCCCACTTCAATTTCATGTTGCCATTCAAATTTGACAGTGTAAGGAAAATGGCTGCTCTTTAAAAGTACACTGAGGTTTGGACAAAAATGAATCTGAGACACTGCACTGATTAATTCAATCTGCCTAATTTGATGCCCATCATCTAGGTTCACCTAGTACTTTTCTGTCCAGACGGCACAAAATCATTGTGTTAAAACAATGACTCGTGATAATAAAATTGAGTTATTCTCATTCTTTTTTTTCCTCTAGCCAGGTCTGTTGCTGAATTTAAAATGCTGCTTGAGAAAGATAAGAAGCTTAAAAAATAGAAACTATTTTATTTTTATCTACCGAATAAAAGGGCAACTATAATTTACTGAGAGGTCAAAGTTAAAGCAGGGAGCCAACAGGCTTGTGCTCTCATTTTGAATCTGCCACTAATTAGTGGTATGGCCATGAACAAGCCACTTCTCTGGGTCCTCTTTCTTCTTGTGCAAAATGAAGGGGTTAAAATAGCCTAGTGTTTTTCTAGCTGCAGGTCACAATTAGTGAGTTGTAAAAGCAACTTGAGCGATCAGAAGCAACATGTTTGTTTTGATGAAAAAGAACAGAATGCAATCGAAAATGTCAAAGTGCATCAGACATAGTATAGGTAGGTTTTTTCTAAAGTTTTTGTTTCAGTTATTTGTATGTGTATAAACTGAGTAGGAATGTAAAATATTTCTTATTGTGGGGTATAGTTAAAATATAGTTTGACAAGTGTTAGCGAGGACGTGGAGAAACTGGAACCGTTATACACTGCTGGTGGGAATGTAAAATGGTGCAGCCACTTTGGAAAACAGTCTGGTGGTTCCTCAAAAGATTAAACACAGAGTTACCATGGGATCCAGCAATTCCATTCCTCTGTGTGTGTGTGTGTGTGTGTGTGTGTGTCTATATATATATAGAGAGAGTATATATATATATATATAGAGAGTATATATATATATATATATAAAGTATATATATATATATAAAGTATGTATATATATATATATACTCAAGAGAAATGAAAACACATGTCCACACAGAACTTGTACACAAATGTTCGTCAACTGATGAAAGGATGAACAAAATGTGGTATGCCCATACAAGGGAATATTATTCGGCTATAAAGAGTAATGTAGTGCTGACACATGCTACAACATGGATGAACCCTGAAAATATTAAGCTAAGTGACAGGAGCCAGCCACAAAAGACCATTTACTGTATGATTACATTTATATGAAAGGTCCAGAACAGGAAAATCTATAGAGACAGAAAAAGAATTAGTGGTTGCCTGGGACTGGCAGTAGGAAGACAAGGAACTGACTGCTGATGGGTATGAATTTTCTCTGGAAGGTGATAAAATGTTGTAAAATTGATTATGGTGATGGCTGCACAACTGTGTGACCATATTAAAACCGCTGAACTGAGCATTTTAAATAGGTGAATTGTATGGTATATAATTTTTCAATAAAACTTTATAATTTTTAAACAATGGCTTGAAAATCATTAGACTCGATGACAGATGATCACTGAGGTCCCTGAGAATTCTCATGTGGCCCCCCCAGGGCTCACCTTGCCCACCCTTACCCCATGACCCTCTGGAGGCAGGACAGTAGAATGGAAATAGCAGCTGGTTCCAATTCCCATTCTAGTGTTTACCAGATGCATGGCAACCTCTCTGTACTTTACTTTCCTTCTATGTAAAAGGAAGATGATAAATCTGCCTTACGGGGTTGTTTTAAACTAAAGGAGACAATAAATGTAAAACAGTGCCCAGCACATTGCTTGAGGTCAGAGGCAGATCTTGTCAGTCTTCGCATGCTTCAGAGTCTAAGCCACATTCAATAAACATTATTCTAAAGGTTCAGATACTAGAACTCCTATTTGGGTTTAGCTTACTTTATGTGTCATATTGACTTAACAAGGTTTAGATCAATAAGGCTGTGATTAAAAATAATTCATGGCCAGGCACAGTGGCTCACACCTGTAATCCTAACACTTCGGGAGGCTGAGGTGGGAGGATCACTTGAGTCCAGAGTTCAAGATCAGCCTGGGCATGATGGTGAGACTCCATCTCTACAAAAAATTTTAATAATTAGCCGGGTGTGGTGGTGGGTGCCTGTGGTTCCAGCTACTTGACAGGCTGAAGTGGGAAGATTGCCTGAGCCTAGGAGATTGAGGCTGCAGTGAGCTGTGATGGTGCCACTGCATTCCAGCCTGGGCAACAGAGTGAGACCGTCTCAAAAAAAAAAAAAAATCAAAAATGTTACATTTGCTTCAGCTGTTTGACTTTTTAGCTTGAAAGTTGCTGTCATTATTTAAAACATGGCTGGCCAGGGTGGTGGCTCATGCCTGTAATCCCAGCACTTTGGGAGGCCAAGGTGGGCAGATCACCTGAGGTCAGGAGTTCGAGACCAGTCTGACCAACATGGAGAAACCCCATCTCTACTAAAAATACAAAATTAGCCGGGCGTGGTGGCGCATGCCTGTAATCCCAGCTACTTGGGAGGCTGAGGCAGGAGAATTGCTTGAACCAGGAAGGTGGAGGTTGCGGTGAGCCAAGATCACACCATTGCACACCAGCCTGGGCAACAAGAACAAAATTCCATCTCAAAAAAAAAAAAAATTGCTCATCACTATATAATGGAAGTAGTAACATTAGTTGAAGAGAAATTGTTTCTTTAAAATATCAATATTTTTATTTCATAATTATTAGAAAAACTACCCATTTTTTAAAATGTTTGTTTTGAGCACTTTGACCAATTATTTTCTGTAGTTTTTATTCAAAAGTCAAATTAAACACAAATCACTTTTTTAGTATAAATATAACTTAGTGAATTATAAAAAGGATAAGTCCAAATACAAGCTGGGCTTTGTAAGGTTCTTGTGCAATGTAAATTTTTTAAATCTTTAATTAGGTCAGGTGGTTTTCAAAAAAAAAACTTCAGTAGCCATGGTGGAATCCACAAACATCCTTCCCATCTCCACACAGCACCACCCTTCCTTATCCTCCTCCTTCCCATGGGGAACCTTCTTCTGCAGGTCTCAACAAGCCTACTTGTTGAGCCTACAGAGCTGCCACTTCCTTCACTGTCTAGGCTCCTCGGTCAGTGACTGGCCAGGGATGGGCCTGCTCCATATAAACAATGCTATGGAAATACACAATGTAAGAAGTAGAAGTCCCTGCCAGCTCTTGTCTGCCCTCCCCCCAAACCAATTCTACTTCTCAAAGGTAACCTCTGTCAAAGTCTGGAGCATAAACTTTCTGTTATTACCTATACAATAATAATTGCCACCACAAAGCACTATGTGTCAGTCACTGTACTAAGCACTCTACATATGTTATCTCAGTTTACCCTTGCAACAAGTCATGAGGTAGGTACCATCAGGATGCCTATTTTACAGATGAGAAAACTGAGGCACAGAGAAATTGACACACAACATGCATAAATACAAACATGTTTTAGAAATACAATGGTTTCATGTTAATGTGCTGTTCAGCAATTATTTATTTCCTCTTGAACATCTTCCCACCTCAGGGCATACAGATCTATCTCAATCTTTCAGTACCTCATAATATTTCATTCTGTAATAGTTTAAAACCTATTTAACAAGGCCCCTGTGGATGATCATGTAGGTTGCTTTTGCTTCTTCACTGTTATGAATAAGAATGGAACAAACATGCTTGTACTATTGCCTACCTGGGGCGGGGTGCATCTACGGCATAAATTCCTAGAAGGAGCATTTCTAGTTTAAAAGGCCTATGCATTAAATTTTTAAATAGATATTCTGAGATTTCCCTCAAAAAAGTCACATCCATTTATATTTGAATCTTTCTCCACATTCTTGTCAGTAATAAGCATTATTTTTATTTTTTCCAATCTGATAGATGTGTGAAAATGGTACATTATTGTTTTAGTTTTCACTCCTTTAATCATGAGTGAGGTTGAGCATATTTTCAAATATGTGTTGGCCACTCAATACATTTACTTTTTTTTTATTCTGAGACAGAGTCTCACTCTGTCACCCAGGCTGGAGTGCAGTGGCCTGATCTTGGCTCACTGCAGCCTCTGCCTCCTGGGTTCCAGTGATTCTCCTGCCTTAGCCTCCTGAGTAGCTGGGATTACCGGGGCGTGCCACCATGCCCAGCTAATTTTTTTATTTTTATTATTATTTTTTGAGACGGAGTCTAGCTCTGTCGCCCAGGCTGGAGTGCAGTTGCGCAATCTCGGCTCACTGCAAGCTCCATCTCCCGGGTTCACGCCATTCTTCTGCCTCAGCCTCCCAAGTAGCTGGGACTACAGGCATCCCCCACAATGTCCGGCTAATTTTATATGTATTTTTAGTAGAGATGGGGTTTCACCGTGTTAGCCAGGATGGTCTCGATCTGCTGACCTCGTGATCCACCTGCCTTGGCCTCCCAAAGTGCTGGGATTACAGACGTGAGCCACCGCACCCGGTCACGCCCAGCTAATTTTTGTATTTTTTTTTAGAGATAGGGTTTCACCATGTTGGCCAGGCTGGTCTCGAACTTCTGACCTCAGATGATCCACCCTCCTTGGCCTCCCAAAGTGCTGGGATTACAGGTGTGAATCACCGTGCCCCCTGGCCACATTTACTTTTTTTTTTTGAGACAGAGTCTCGCTCTGTCGCCAGGCTGGAGTGCAGTGGTGCAATTTTGGCTCACTACAACCTCCACTTCCTGGGTTCAAGCAATTCTCCTGCCTCAGCCTCCTGAGTAGTTGGGACTACAGGTGCATGCCACCACACCCAGTGAATTTTTGTATTTTTAGTAGAGGCGGGGTTTCACCATGTTGGCCAGGATGGTTTTGATCTCTTGACCTTGTGATCCACCTGCCTCGGCCTCCCAAAGTGCTGGGATTACAGGCATGAGCCACCACACCCAGCCTGCCTATTTTTTCTTTTGGTGAAGAATGAGGTCTCACTATGTTGCCCAGGCTGGCCTCAAACTCCTAGCCTCAACCTATCTCTCACTTCTGCCTCCCTAACTGCTGGGGTTACAGGTGTAAGCCACCGTGCCCGGCCACATTTATTTTTTTAACGACATTTATAAATTGTTTATTATCTCTACAACTTACTTTTTTTTAAATTATACAAGGACTTTCTGAATATCATGTGTAACTCCTTGTACAATTGGATTTGCCTCTCACAGCAGCTGTCCTTTCCTGGTGTCTGATTCTTATCCAGATCTCATTAATATTCTTTCCAAACAAAAATGCCGCTTGACTATACAGATGAGTGCCTCGTTTCTGCGGGGTTCCCTTTTGCAGGACACCCACCCCTGACTGCTCATTAATATTCTAAGCAGAGCACAACCCTGTAAGAAGCCTGACGGACACTGACAGCCCAGGCATTGAGAGAGGATCACTGCTGCTACCCTCCACCACCCAGTCTAGTGCTTTCAGATAAGGGTGGTACTCTGAGTATCAGGATCACCTATGGAATCTGAACCTCTCATATGGAGTCCAAACATGTTAATTTTTGCAGACCCAGACCCTAAACGCTCACCATCTAGACAGATAATGTCAGAATCAGGTACAAGTTTGAACCCCTTAAGCATAAGCCTGAGGATTGGTTATTGAGTACTGGCCATATGCCAGGTGCTTTACATGTTATCTCATTCCATTTGATCTTATTCACTTAATTCTTACACTGCCATGAAGCAATTATTATTATTATTATTATTATTGTAAGAGACAGGGTCTTGCTATGTTGCCCAGGCTCGTCTTGAACTCCTGGGCTCAAGCGATCCTCCCACCTTGGCCTCCCAAAGTGCTGGGATTATAGGCATGAGCCACCACACTGGGTCAGCAAATATTTATTATTCTCATTTTACAGAGGAAGAAACTAAGGCTCTAGAAATGTTCAATAACTTGCTCAAGGTCACAGAGCTAATAACTGATAGAGCTAGGATTTGAAACAATCCCACAGACCATAATGTCCATGTTCTAATGACATATTACAAACCACATCTTCCCGGTATTTAGGGGCTGTCTGGACCGGTCTTATCCTTTAAGAGTCTTGAAACTAGGAATATTAAAGGCTGGGCCAGATGCCCCAGCCTATTCCACATCTAAGCCAACTCTACCCAAGGCTCCTTTTGGCTCAAGTCTACATATTGAGTCTACCACACACTTACTGGGTAACATGAGGAAAATTACTCTAAGCCTTAGTTTCATCATCACTAAAATGTTCTCTTAGCACATTGCTAAAATAAGTACTTAATAATGATAGCAGTGGTGGTAATAAAAATACCTAACATTTATTGACCATTTACCATGTGTCAGATACTGTCTTAATTGTTTTGCATATATAACTTATTTAATCTTCACAGTAACACACTCAGAATTATTACCGACTCACTTTATGTAAGTGTATTATTGAATAATATTCAGATGAAGAAACTGAGGCCCAAAGAAGTTAAATAAATGTTAGCTCTTTTCATTTTTTAGGAGGTTGGCCTGGAAACAAAATGATCTGCAGCACGGAAAATAAACCAGAAAAGCAGTTCTAGCGTACATGATATTTCAGGGTCAGCTTATTTCTGTTAAATCACCAATAAAAAGAGAATATCTCTAATGTAATAATATCTGAGAAACTGATGGTTACTACCAGGAACACCAGATCTGATCAAAGACCTGACACCATTTCTCTGCACCATAAAGTCTAAATCGGTAAAAGTTATCTCTCTTAAGGATAAAATTTTAGGAGCGGGCGCAGTGGCTCATGCCTGTAATCTCAGCACTTTGGGAGGCCGAGGCGGGAGGATCACCTGAGGTCACAAGTTTGAGACCAGCTGACCAACATGGAGAAACCCCGTCTCTACTAAAAATACAAAAAATTAGCCGGGTGTGGTGGCACATGTCTGTAATCCCAACTACTTGGGAGGCTAAGGCAAGAGAATCGCTTGAACCTGGGAGGCGGGGGTTGCAGTGAACTGAGATCACACCATTGCACTCCAACCTGGGCAACAAGAGCAAAACTCCGTCAAATAAAAAAAAAAAAAAAAAAAAAATTTAAAAAGGCTAGGCACGGTGGCTTATGACTGTAATCTCAGCACTCTGGGAGGCCGAGGTGGGCGGATCACCTGAGGTCGGGAGTTCAAGACCAGCCTGACCAACGTGGAGAAACCCCGTCTCTACTAAAAATACAAAATTAGCCAGGTGTGGTAGCACGTGCCTGTAATTCCAGCTACTCGGGAAGGCTGAGGCAGGAGAATCTCTTGAACCCGGGTGGCAGAAGTTGCGATGAGCCGAGATCGCGCCATTGTACTCTAGCCTGGGCAACAAGAGTGAAACTCTGTCAAAAAAAAAAAAAAAAAAAAAAAAAAGGGATAAAATTTTAGGTGTTATCAACGCATCAACACCTCTGTAAGAACTCTAAGTTGGGCCAGGCACAGTGGCTCACGCCTGTAATCCCAGCACTCTGGGAGACCAAGGAGGATAGATTGCTTGAGTTCAGGAGTTCAAGACCAGCCTGGGAAAAATGGCAAAACCCCATCTCTACAAAAAGTACAAACAAATAAGTTAGCCAGGTGTGGTGGCTTGAGCCTGTAATCCCAGCTACTCAGAAGGCTGAGGTGGGAGGATTGCTTCAGCCTTGGAGGTGGAGGTTGCAGTGAATCCAGATCACGCCACTGCACTCCAGCCTGGGCAACAGAGTGAGACCTTATCTCAAAAAAAAAAAAAAAAAAAAAAAAAGAACTCTATGTTGAAGAGAACATAACTATAACCTTCCCACAGGGCTTCTATTACCTTATTCATTTGTGTGAATATCTTATCTTCTTGTGCTTATGAACCCCAAATTAGTTTTTTACATAATTGTGGTAATCTTCACATATCTTATTTAGACAGGTAAAAAAGAGTAACCCCAGTTACAGCCTTTGAAAACTGACTTTGGGCACCTGTAATCCCAGCACTTTGGGAGGCCGAGGTGGGCGGATGACGAGGTCAGGAGATCAAGACCATCCTGGCTAACACAGTGAAACCCCGTCTCTACTAAAAACACAAAAAATTAGCCGGGCGTGGTGGCGGGTGCCTATGGTCCCAATTACTCGGGAGGCTGAGGCAGGAGAATGGCATGAACCCAGGAGGCGGAGCTTGCAGTGAGCCGAGATCGTGCCACTGCACTCCAGCCTGGGCGACAGAGCGAGACTCCGTCTCAAAACAAACAAACAAACAAAAAACTGACTTTGGGCCAGGTGCTGTGGCTTACGCCTGTAATCCCAGCACTTTGGGAGGCTAAGGTGGGAGGATCACTTGAGCCCAGGAGTTTGAGGCTGCAGTGAGCCGTGACTATGCCACTGCACTCCAGCCTCGGCGACAGGGCAAGACTCTATCTTGAAAAACAAAAACAACTGACTTTGGTCTAAAATTTGTAGGTCATGAAGAACCACCCAAGAACTTTCCTAATCTTTTTTTTTTCCCTTTAAATTAAAAAATTACCAGATCAAATTCAAGTCTAACTCCACCTCTCTCCCAATTAATAAAATTTGTTATTTGCTCATTTGGTTCTTTCCCTCCCCGTCCCAGCTGATCATTAACTTATTCTAAGGGCAAACATAATCCAACGAAGTGAGGTTTTCTTATTTTTCCAGTAGTTTTTTTTCACACATAGTAAGAAAAATCTCTTTCAGTAAGTAGAAAAACAGATCATTAAGTCACTAGCTTCAAATTTAAGGTAAAGAGTAGAGAAAAACATAGCTAATTAGAAAAAGAATGTGGAAATTTACAATTGACCAAGACCATCACGACAAAGCACAGACTTCCTCTGAACAGCATATTTCTCCTTTAACCTTTGTACCTTTCCATACTTTAACATCAGATGTACTGAATACCAGTGCCTGGAACATGTAGGGGCTCAATAAATATCTGTTATATGAATGAAAAACAGTGTTACACTAGTACTGAATTGCCACACATCTCAGCAAAGGCCCACCTACATAACTGAAAATCTGCCGAGAAACTACATGCTCATAAGTCTTGCCAATTACATGCTTAATTAAGGCAAAATAGTTCATTAAGGAGCCTTCTTTACAATCTCAAAGCAAAAGAAACACATACGCTTATTTTAGGAAGGCTCCTTCTGTTAAAGATATAACCTTCTTAAAGCAGCCCTTTGTCCTTAATAACTAATCAAGTTTTCTCCAAATACAGGGCTTCTTAGTTTCACTTCTGGACATTTCCAGGAAGGGCCTGGCTTCCATTCTTATCTGAAATTTTAGATGATGTGCTGTTTTTCAGGACTTGCTCAATCTGAAGAGTCAGTTCAGATCAGTTTAACCAATACCTTCAAGCAGGAGAATTAAAATGGATTTACTAAAAAGTGACTCTTCTCTAGGCAAGTTCTTTAATCCTTCCTTTCTTTAAAAGAGAAGCTGGCCGGGCACGGTGGCTCATTCCTATAATCCCAGCACTTTGGGAGACCGAGGCGGGCGGATCACCTGAGGTCGGGAGTTCGAGATCAGCCTGACCAACATGGAGAAACGCCGTCTGTACCAAAAATACAAAAAAATTAGCCAGGCATGGTGGTGCATGCCTGTAATTCCAGCTACTCGGGAGGCTGAGGCAGGAGAATTGCTTGAACCCGGGAGGTGGAGGTTGCAGTGAGCCGAGCTCGTGCCATTGCATTCCAGCCTGGGCAACAAGAGCGAAACTCCGTCTCAAAAAAAAAAAAAAAAAATCTGAGCAGCTACCACGTAACAATGCCTTAATAAAGGACAAGCATCACTGAGGCTGATCACATAAAGATGTACCAAATCACACCGCCACACAAGTGATAAAATTTGGCTACTTATCTGGACCAGTGCTAGGTATCTTATTAAGAATTGGTTATAGGGCCGGGCGTGGTGGTTCACCCCTGTAATCCCAGCACTTTGGGAGGCCGAGGCAGGCAGATCACGAGGTCAGGAGATCGAGACCATCCTGGCTAACATGGTGAAACCCCTTCTCTACTAAAAAAAATACAAAAAATTAGCCGGGCGTTGTGGCGGGCGCCTGTAGTCCCAGCTACTCGGGAGGCTAAGGCAGGAGAATGGCGTGAACCCAGGAGGTGGAGCTTGCAGTGAGCAGAGATCACACCACTGCACTCTAGCCTGGACAACAGAGCAAGACTCTGTCTCAAAAAAAAAAAAAAAGAATTGGTTATAAACATTTTTTTTTAAGAGGGAGCCTTACTCTCTCTCCCAGGCTAATTTTTGTAATTTTAGTAGAGACGGAGTTTTGCCATGTTAGCCAGGCTGGTCTCGAACTCCTGACCTCAAGTGATCCGCCAGCCTTGGCCTCCTAAAGTGCTGGGATTACAGGCGTGAGCCACCACACCTGGCCTGGTTATAAACATATTAATGTTACTGTTTCAATTGAATTTTAATGATTAGCTTCTAAAAGCTACATTTAATTCGGGACTGTAGAAAATAGTTATTGAGAGGCATTTGCTGGGTAGTGGTCTTTCAGTTGGCAGGGGAAAGATCATCACTGTCTTTGGGCCTCAATTTCTTCATCTCAAAAACAGGTATTGATTCACACAGGATGCTTATGAGGACTAAATGAAAGGATAAAAGCAAAAGTACTTTGAAAACTGTCAGCTACTCTACAAAGCATTATTTTAAATAAAACTTCAAGCCAGCATTAAGAAAAAAAATGGAATTAAAAAAGACTAACCAATGAAAAGAAATAGAAATTAGAACTAATTCATTATAATGTCTGGTTCAACTAGATGTTAATAAGAAACCTTTTGTTTAAAGCTGTTGCTGAAAATCTTTCTAATCAGTACACTGTCTAAACAGTGTGTCTAAACAGTAACACATTTCAGAGCATGTGTTAATAGTAAGTATAATGAAAATCATTTCATTTTTTCTTGAAGATTCTAGATAGCTTTCTAATTTTTCTCCTAGAGAATGAAAACAGAAGAAAACTTCTGGTTGTTTGTGGATTCCAGTAATTGGGTTTTAGTTTTGCCACACTGGCTTTTGAAAATGTAATAGGAGTTGATAGACTAGTATAATCCAGAGTAACAATCTGGGAAGTAGATGGCTATAGTGGTAGGAAAATAGTGGCCTGGATCCTGGAAACACCTTAGAAAACTTGCACTCAGATGGAACTTAATCCTGGTTGTCACAGTATCCAAACTTTTGTCCTGCTACCTTCCGAACTCCTCAGAGACTGCTACCTGATTTGAACCCAGATGGACCGACCTCAGCTGTTGTCCAGTTAAAAAAAATACAACACTTTGGATTGCAAAACAAAACAAGACTTGTCCAAATGAAAAGTCCATCTTCAAGGCTTATTCATTCATTCAACAAATATTTATTTAGCATTTACCAAGTCTTTGGCAGTATTCCAAGTGCTGAAGATATAATGTTAAAAATGACAGACAAGGCCGAGCGCGATGGCTCACGCCTGTAATCCCAGCACTTTGAGAGGCCAAGGCAGGCGGATAATGAGGTCGAGAGATGCAGACCATCCTGGCCAACATGGTGAAATCCTGTCGCTACCAAAAATAAAAAATTTAGCTGGGTGTGGTGGCAGGTGCCTGGAGTCCCAGCTACTTGGGAGGCTGAAGCAGGAGACTCTTGAACCTGGGAGTTGGAGGTTGCAGTGAGTCAAGATCGTGCCATTCCACTCCACCCTGGGTGACAGAGTGAGGCTCCATCTCAAAAAAAAAAAAGACAGACATGGTCTCTACTCTCATGAAATTTCCATTCCACTGGAGAAGCCGGACAATTAAAGACTGTGATTAGTGGTGTGAAGGAAATACAAAAAGAGTAACTGGAGTTGTGGTAGGAACAGGGACACGAACAGCTTCTTTAGGCAGTGATCAGGGAAGGCCTCATTGAGTGAATGACATTTGAACTGAAACCTGAATGATGGGGAGAACATATGCAGCCAGCAAGGTGAAGACAATAGATGGGGGAGTTTTCCAGGTAGAGGAAAGCAAATGCAAAGGCCCTGAGGAAGGAATAATACAGCTAGGAAGTAAGTGAGAAGCATGCGATGACACAGAGATGAGTAGTAGTCAGATTAAATACGGATTAATAACAATGCTAAAGGATTTTAATTTTATTCTATGTGTGATACAAAGCCAAACATTATTATATAAAAGTGTGTTTGCAAGATCAGATATATTTCATGTACTAAATGAGTACTTTGGCCAGGTGCGGTGGCTCATGCCTATAATCCCAGCACTTTGGGAAGCTGAGGTGGGCAGATCACTTGAGGCCAGGAGTTCTAGACCAGCCTGGCCAACATGGTGAAACCCTGTCTCTACTAATAATACAAAAAAAAAACAAAATTAGCCAGGCGTGGTGGCGCGTGCCTGTAGTCCCAGCTACTCCGGAGGTCTGAGGCATGAGAATCACCTGAACCCAGGAGGTGGGGGTTGCAGTGAGCTGAGATTGCGCCATTGCACTCCAACCTGGGACAGAATGAAACTGTGTCTCAAAATAATAAAATAAAATGAGTTCTTAATTGTTTATATGTGCATAATGGCCACAAAATGAAAAGGAAGGGAAAGGTTCTCATACCTAAAAGGCTTGTAATCTTACAAGGAAGCAATAATTTATAAATAGTGACAACATTAAGTAAGGTAAGAAATGAAGCAAAAATCAAGTGTTAAGTATAAAGACTGGGGAGGCAGCCACTGATTCAAGTAGAAGAAATTAGAAAAGGCTTTTTTTTATTAAAAAAATTTAAAAAGGTAGCATTTGATTTGGGCTCTTAAGGAAAAGGATTTCAACAAGAGGGTGGGGAAGGGGAGGAGCATGAGGCTGTGGTAACTGCATGAGCAAAGGCACAGAGGCAGGAAAGAACTGGGCAGGTCCAGGAAACAGAGAATTATTGTAGGGTCACAGTGCCAGGTGGGTGGGTCGTGTTGTGGGAGATAAGCCTAAAAGAATAGGCTGTCAGAGTGGGGGTGTGGGTGTCTTGAAGAGCATGTCAGAAAGCTAGACTGAATTTACTTAGGCATTGTCTCCCCTTAAGTTTGTATATAAATCTCTTGAGGTACTTGATAAACTTCAGGTTCCCAGGCCCATCCCTCAGACACACTGATCTGCAGGTCTAGGTGGGACCTGAGACTCTACCTTTTTAACCACTGCCAGGTAATTCTAACACAGGCAATTAAAGGAACCATATTTTGAAAATCAGTGCTTTTTTTTTTTATGACAACTCTGATAACTTTTCTGCAAGGGAAAAACTGAAGCCAACTCTAAGGATTACTCAAGGACTCAAGGACTCTGGCAAAAAACTAAAAGGGGAATCTGAATTAGAAGACTGATTAAAGAACTCTTATCACCCCTGGGGCAGAATCAGCCAAACTTGGGGATTGATCAAATGTGGGTGGAGAAAAGTATTAAAGTGGTAAGTACAACCTCAAGCTTTCTCCTTAGTGAATCTGGGTGTACGCAGATGCATGGCGTACAGGGACTATCCACATAGCCTAACAGGTAGCTGGAAATACAGATCTGGAACTCAGATATACAAAGGCATTAAACATATTGGTTTGGTACTTCAAAGTAAGTTCAATACAAATTAAAGAATTAAATATAAAGTGTAAAACGGTAAAAATCAGAAGGAAATGAAAGTGAGTATTTAACCAATCTCTGGATGGTGAAGGCCTTCTAAACATCACAGCACCAGAAGAAATCTCAAATTTAAAAATCCAGGCTGGGTGTGGTGGCTCACGCCTGTAATTGTAACACTTTGGAAGGCCGAGGCGGGCAGATTACCTGGGTCAGGAGTTCAAGACCAGCCTGGCCAATATGGAGAAACCCTGTCTCTACTAAAAATACAAAAATTAGCTAGGCGTGGTGGCATGTGCCTGTAATCCCAGCTACTTGGGAGGCTGAGGCATGAGAATCACTTGAACCCTGGAGGAGGAGGCTAGAGTGAGCCGAGATTGTGCCACTGCACTCCAGCCTGGGTGACTGAGTGACACACTGTCTCAAAAAAAAAAAAATCTATAGATAAGTAATAATATACTATATACAAAATTAAAAGGCAAACTGGTTAAATATTTGACCACAGGACAAAAAATTAATATTCTTAGAAGAGTTTATACCAATCTCAAAGAAAAACACTAAGAATGGTTCTGTATGAAGTAGAAGAAGTTGTTAAATAACTTGCCTTGGAGACGTACACCCTCTAGTCACAAAATGAGACATTTTTCACATACATTGTAGATAATCGAGTTTTGTGGCACAGGTCAGCAGGGCTTCTGTGATTTTATCTTACCAGTTTCCAAGTGTCAGTCTATGGGAGTGCCTAAAAAAATACCAATCTTTTTGACTTCTTTTTTTTTCTTTTCTTCCCCCAACCCCCACAGCAAGAACCCCATTCAATTTTTTTTTTATACTTCTATTTTCCTGAAAGTTAAAGGGCACAAACAAATTAAGCTGTCCCCAGGCTCCCCTTGCTACTCCGGTGGACACTGCCTTTACTGCATCCAGTCTTTCCTCAGGCTCTATATATCTAAAATTAGGTGAAAGGTTAGAGATGAGACAGAAAGTAATTCCAGAATGTCTAGTGAACAGTAGTAGCTCCAAAGGCATCCTTTCAGCACAGAGGTTGTCCAGTCTTGGGGATCAAAAGCCCAACCCTCTCATTTTACAGATGAGGCTCTGAGTCAATGAATCAATGACTTGTCCAAGATCACCTGATTGGTTGATGACAACATTAAGTTGGGAATCCTGACTCTCAAATAGCACCCTTTCCATTCTGCAGTACTGCTTCATTGATCACAAGCTCTGGCCCCTCAAAACAATGGGCATTTATAACACCACAATTCCAACTTCTGTATACTTTCCACTTTGTCACTCCATTCACTCTATTTGGTCTAATAAAAGCCTGTGCTTCCCCCACAAAACGCTCCAAATAAAAGAATACCAAACAAAAAACCAACATAATTAAAATGTTAACGCCCAAATAAAAATGGGAGTGGGATTAACCCAGACATAATTCACAGAAGAAACAGAAATGAATGTATGAAAAATGTTCTCTCTCACTAGCAAAGAAATACAAATTAATTCATTTCTGCCTATCAAATTAGTAAAGATTAAAAAATAATATTCGGGCCGGGCGCGGTGGCTCATGCTGTAATCCCAGCACTTTGGGAGGCCGAGGTGGGCAGATCTCCTGAGGTCAGGGGCTTGAGGTCAGCCTGATCAACAGGGTGAAACCCTGTCTCTACTAAAAAACACAAAAATTAGCCAGACGGGCTGGGCGAGGTGGCTCATGCCTGTAATCCCAGCACTTTGGGAGGCCGAGGTGGGCGGATCACAAGGTCAGGAGATTGAGACCATCCTGGCTAACACGGTGAAACCCCATCTCTACTAAAAATAAAAAAAAAAATAGCCAGGTGTGGTGGCGGGCACCTGTAGTCCCAGCTACTCAGGAGTCTGAGGCAGGAGAATGGCATGAACCCGGGACGTGGAGCTTGCAGTGAGCAGAGATCGTGCCACTGCACTCCAGCCTGGGCGACAGAGCGAGACTCCATCTCAAAAATCATCATAATAATAATATTCAATGTTACCAAGGCCGCACTAAGATGGGCACTCACAATCACTGCAGTTGAGAATGTTAATTAGTCTAATCTTTACAAAAAGCAATTTGGGAGCAGGTTTAGTATTTTTAAATTTTCACACTCCTTGACCTGGTAATTCAACCTCTGGGAATCTAACCTAAGGAAATAATGAGTCATTTGCACAAAGATTTATGCATAAATTTGTTCTCAATTGTTTTCATTTAATGTAAAACCAAAACACAAATAAATTATGCAACCTCAATATAATAAATTATTAAATAGATTACAATGGAGATTAAATATCCATTTAAATGTTTTCAAAAATTTTTGATGCTATGAAAAATAATATAAAGCAAAAAAAGCAGACACAAAACTATATCTACTGCAACAGTATGAGTTCAATTACCTTTGTGTTTATGTGAGTGTGTGTATATCAAAGAAAACAAAACCACTGAAAGGAAATATATCAAATGATAGATCTCTCTGGAACAGATTATGGAATATGGGTTATTTTGTCTTCTTTATAATTTGTTTTTTCCACATTTTCTTTTTTTCTTTTCTTTTCTTTTTTTTTTTTTGATATGGAGTCTTGCTTTGTCACCCAGGCTGGAGTGCAGTGGCATGAGCTTGGCTCTCTGCAACCTCTGCCTCCTGGGTTCAAGGGATTCTCCTGCTTCAGCCTCCTTAGTAGCTGGGACTACAGGCATGCGCCACCATGCCCAGCTAATTTTTGTATTTTTAGTAGAGATGGGGTTTCACTATGTTGGCCAGGCTGGTCTCGAACTCCTGACCTCAAGTGATCACCCGCCTCAGCCTCCCAAAGTGCTGGGATTACAGGCATGAGCCATCACACCCGGCCTGTTTTTTCCACATTTTCTATAATAAACATATATAATTTTTATTTTATAATAATATAAATATCTATAATTTTTATTTTTAAATGTGTTGGCATATATGAAAATAAAACAATTATATATACAATATGAAAGAAGTTTTTTAAAAAGATAAATTTTCAGGCCACTTACATGGAGGTGATAGTGGAAGTCATGGAAAGAAATCAGATTATAAAGGGAGAAAGTATAGTGAGAATAGGAAGCTGAGCAGGGCTATGGTGAACCCGGCATTTAAGGGGCAAAAAGACTGAGTTAATGGATCATGGGAGTAAGTGGTTAGATTAGAAAATGGAGAACCAGATAGTAGTCATGTCAAGAAAAGCAAATGAAAGGAAGAACTAGACAAGTTGTTCACTTGGTCAGTTATTGCCAAGGGGTAAGGACCGTTAGACAGAAACCACTGGATACTATGCATGGACAGACAGCTTTCCTGTAGTGCTGGAAGCCAAATTTTTGCTCAGACGCCAAAGCTGAGCAAATGTTACCTGTTTAGTAAAACTGACTATGAAATAAAAGAAGTCCCGGGGCATTAGCTTGAATTTCAGTTTATGGAGAAAAAAAAGATTGTGGAAATCTAAAACTAAGTAAAGCGGATATTGGGACTAATTTATGGGTAATGAAACAAAAATGGCAATACTTTGTGCAAGACAAAACATATTTGAAGGACTGTAAAGTTTTCCATATCATAAACTCTGTTACAGAATAATTAAGGGGGAAAATAGATCCACACTTGTTATCAGAAGTACAAAAAAGTTGCATCTTTTTTTCCCCTAAAGATGAAAGTTCTTAGTTTCAGGGTAGTAGTATTTTTTTTTTTTTTTTTTTTTTTTTTTTGAGACGGAGTCTCACTCTGTCACGCAGGCTGGAGTGCAGTGGCGCGATCTCCGCTCACTGCAAGCTCCGCCTCCCGGGTTCACGCCATTCTCCCGCCTCAGCCTCCCGAGTAGCTAGGACTACAGGCGCCTGCCACCACGCCCGGCTAATTTTGTTTTTGTATTTTTAGTAGAGACTGGGTTTCACCATGTTAGCTAGGATGGTCTCGATCTCCTGACCTCGTGATCCTCCCGCCTCGGCCTCCCAAAGTGCTGGGATTACAGGCGTGAGCCACCGCGCCCGGCCCAGGGTAGTAGTATTAAGAAATTATTTAAAAGAACATCAAAAGAATGTAAAATTTTCATGGTATCATGTTAACTTCTTATGAGTGGACACAGGAAGTCTCTAGAAAGTTTTCACGTGTCAAGAAATCATCTGACATGCTGAATAATGGATTGCTTGTTAGGTCAAACTCCATCCTTTTTATGAAAAGAGGTCTTCAGTAGCACAATAATTTGACTGAGTCTTGAGGACTCTGCACCCAGCTTCAGAATAAACTCATCAGTATGGTCCTACCTTATCATCCACCATAGACTCTCAACTCCATAATCATTAAGTAGAAACTACTTCATTTACAACCACTGGTTTGTTAGTAACCTGAAGAGGCTGTGTTAAGTAACCTCACCTGGAGATTACTGTATGCAATCTAAAATGAAGTACCTTAAGTTTCTATCAAAAAACATACAGTGAAAGACAATAGCAAACTTAAAAAACAATTGCCTTTTCTAATGGAAATTACTAACTTAGGACTCGTTATACATTTTCCTATCTGCAGAAAGGGTACAATTCTAATCTAAAAGTCATCTATCTAATAGTGTATGGAATTAAGAATGCCTGAAACTAGTTTCACTGTCAATTTAAATAATAAATTCTTCCAATTTGTGGTTAGGTGCCCTATTATGCCAAAGATGTCTAATGAACTCCCACACTCTCAATATTCTTTTGTGTCTGTGTGTGTGTCTTTGATAAATTTTTTTGGTACGAGGGCTCTAAGTTAATTGCAGTTAACTGGTGAAAAATACCAGAGAAAATATAAGAATTTGAAACCTGAAGAAACACTAGTCAAAATTATACTTAAAAACATTTTTCCCCACCCACCTATCTACCCTGTCTTCCCCACCCAAGAAAAAAAGAAAGAGAAAAACATTTTGAGGGCATCTTAGCAGGAAAAAGTATCCCCTGTCACCAAGATGTGAATTGTTTTAGCTTCTGAAGCTTTCTTTTAGAATTATTAGGTTGAAATTTAGCCCCACCTTTAACCAGAGTCTGGAACAAAGCTTGAGTGTACCAAGTTAAAGAAAGTTATACAATGAGGTAATTTTTACAAAATGGCACTCCTTTGCTAATGTTGCCAATATACTGTTCTCTTCCCAGGGACTACCTGATAACAACACTTCCCAGCCCAATACAGAACAGTGGAAACAGATCCAACTATTTACTAAATGCCACATTAACAACAGGGTCTAATCCCATTTTCCATAGGCCATAGAATTGGAGGAAGAGAGGGTAAGAAATATGAAAGTGATACAAATACATAGATTGAAGAGAATCACTCATTATTACTCAGAGGTTTTTGTTTTTAAGGAAAAGCAGAAGAGAGAATTAAAAAACAAAACAAAACACCTATATTCCCTATGCTCCTACAGTACCCTGGGCTGACCTCTAGTATAGAAATGACCTCACTAATACCATAAATTGTATGTGGATCTGTCTAACCCATTTGATTTTAAGTTCTTTTAGGGTAAAGACGTTTGGCACTTTGAATCTACAGTAGGACTGACATGAAAGGCACTCAATATTTTGTCCAAAGAATGAAATAAGTTCCTAAACTAATTACCTAGTACATTATATGTTGTTCTATCAATGCAAAACAAGAAAACATATATGAACACACACTTTTTTTTGCCTTCTTTCACGCCAACTCTATAATTTTTTGAAGATCTATCTAAAACGTGATCATCCTGCACCCAGGTTATACCTCTACAGGAACTTAGAACATGTTGTTAGGGGTCATGTTCTTTTGTGTCTACATCATACCTCAGAAGAAAGGATTGGTGTTATTTCATGGCTCCTGAAATATTTAGCATTTGTGAATAGTATTGGTAACCAAGCAGATAAAAGGTACTGTGTTAAACCATTTAAATCAAGAGCAAAAGAAAGAATACTTAATGCAAAAGAAAACCTCTCCCCAAAATGGGCATTGCCTTAAAAACTGATAACTCCCTAATTACCTTTGACTAACCTGAAAAGTCAAGTCAATTGAACCATCTGGATTAGGCAGATCTGGATTAGGCAGACTTATCTTTTATTTTTATTTATTTATTTATTTTTTTGTAGAGACAAGGGTCTCGCTAAGTTGCCTTGGCTGGTCTCAAACACCTGGGCTCAAGCGATCCTCCCGCCTCAGTTTCCCAAAGTGTTGGGATTATAGGCGTGAGCCACTGCGCCCGTCCAAGGCAGACTTTTGAAAGCTGGAATTAGGTGCAAGACAATAGTAGTTCAAATATCTCTCACCAGGATCAGCTAAACCGTTCTTGCAAGCATCAGTAAGGAGGCTAGGAAGGGTGCCAGATGGTTCGTTCCTAGCAGCTACAACTTCAAGCTTTAGTATGTGTAGCCAGGGGTGTACAATTACCTTACATTAACACCAACATATGTCGGGGGCAAGTGCCAGCGATATATACACGATAGCGATTCGGGGATGACACATCGGCTGCAAGGACTGCTATATTCTCAACATTCCTCAAAAGGGTGTAAGTGTCTTAAACAGAGTTCAGCTGGCGTAATGGAAGGGAGAAAAAATCGAAAAGAGAGGGAATGGCTGAAAATGAAGGAAAAAGAACAGTTGAATATTACAGTATTTCCCTGGAAGGAGGGTATTTGGAGTTTTAATGAATTGTCACCTTCCTCCACCACACCAGAAAGTATACAGTTAGAATGCAGTGTTCTCGGTGGGAGAGGACGGGGTATTTGCAGCTCCCGCCCTTGGGCAGCAAAGGCTCAGCCCGACATAAGCACTCCCCACCCAGCGCAGGCCCCAGAAGTGAGGAAAGAACGGAGGATCAGCGTCCCTCGACCCCTTATCTCGAGGGGGAGGGACTCACACTCCTTGCACTCCCCCCGCCCCAAAAGTCGAAGGAGAAAGAGGGTGTGGAGAGAAGCCGGGGTCTTCCCGCACTCTCCGGTTGTGGAGAGAGAAGGCCCTTACCTGGCTAAAAGCCGCCTTTCCTCTGCGCTGCTACCAGCCCTGTCACAGGTCCCGGCGCTCTACCTAGCGCACCTGTCGCGACCAAGCTGCTAACACCTACTGCTCCTGCGGCCCCGCCCCGGACCCCGCCCACCGCCGCGGGGGCGCGCACGCCAGACAGCCTCCCGTGCGGCCTCGGGCTGAGCGTGCGCGCCACCGGCTACGTGCCCAGCGCTCGCGTCTGCTCCAGTCGCTCTGGCGGTGCGGGGCGCTGGCGACGGGACAGGGTTTTTGCTGCCCGGGGCCTAGTCTACCTCGGCACGCTTTTCTCTGAAGGAGACACGCACTTGCACGACGTGGGCCTCTGTGCAGCTCTACTTTGTCCTTAACTCCTCTGACTCAACGTTATCGCAGTTTGACTCTGGAGCCACTCAGGTTTTTCCTAAGCTCAACTCTAGCCAGCTAGGTTCCTGGTGCTTTGGGGGTAAGTTGTGTGCAGGGAGGGTGTTTTACAGGAGGCTGTGTGGTGTAGTGGAAAAAGCTGAATTAAGTACATTAATCCTGAAAACGGTTTGACAAGGGCAGATGACGTCCAAGTTCTCCAACAGCTGTTTTTACTCCTCCATTCAGAATAGGAGCTGTGCTAATGGTTTGGAGACCGTCAATTGGCCTAGCACTTGGCCATCCTGCCCCCAAATTCTTGTCCCAGTTCCGTGCCAGCTGCATGATGCCTTTTGATAGTATCCTTCTTTCCTGTACCTCAAGCATAGTAGGGTTTCAGACCACAAGTTTTCTGAAGCTTTTCGGAATTCATGCAGCTTGATGCGTTATTAGTAGGGGCTGCTCGTGGGAAAACGCTTGTAATTACACTTCCTCAAGAAGTTAATGAAAATGTGTGAGAAGAGAGATTTCCAACAGGTGATGAATATGCCAGCCAGTTATTCCCTTCTTCCTTCAAATATCCAGCCTAGACTGATTTCTGGATAGGTATTGTAGAAATAAAAATTTCAGACAAAACAAACTTAGATTTTGAATCGGACAACAGTCAGAACCAAAAGAGGCTCAGACACCCCTGCTCTAGCTGCCCAGGCATCAAACTTTATAGGCTGAACACGAAAGTAAAGAAATTTGATTGGCTACAGCTAAGCGTTTGCCTTATTTGGGTATGGTCACATGGGAGGTCCCTAATTATATAACCACTTGGCTGGTTGTCTGTTTGTGATTGGTTGAAACTCCATTCAAAATCAGGTACAAGGGGCCGGGCGCGGTGGCTCACACCTGTAATCCCAGCACTTTGGGAGGCTGAGGCAGGCGGATCCCCTGAGGTTAGGAGTTCGAGACCAGCCTAGCCAACATGGCGAAGCACCGTCTCCACTAAAAATACAAAAATTAGCCGGACGTGGTGGTAAGTGCCTGTAATCCCAGCTACTCGGGAGGCTGAGGCACGAGAATGACTTGAACCCGGGAAGTGGAGATTGCAGTGAGCAGAGATCTCGCCACTGCACTCCAGCCTGGATGAGAGAACGAGACTCCATCTCAAAAAAACAAAACAAACAAAAGGTGCAAGGAATACCTCTAAATTTTGGGTTGCTTTCTGGGTACAAAAACAACTCCAAACTAATGGCCTGCTACTTATTTTGCATTAACAGTATCAAGTATCAAGACTCCAGCAAAAGTGGCAGACAGCATGGGAATGCTAAAGAGCATACAATATCAATACAGGATAGTACTCCAGAAAATACGTTACCCTGCATGTGGCGTTCCCTCAATAGATGTCTCCCCTCCCCCCAATTTTTTTTAGCTCTGTGCTTTAGTGGATACAAAAATTACTTGCTTTCCCAAAGCCTCCTTTTGAAGATAGAGCTAGCATTAGGTTGATTGCTAAATTTTCAGGGATTTTATGAGCCAGGTCATAAGCACAACCATTATTAGAAATCAAATTATATAAGCTACAATTAAATTATCTTAAAAATAAAAGTAATAGGCCAGGCATGTTGAGTCACATTTGTAATCCCAGTGCTTTGGGAGGCTAAGGCGGGAAGATGGCTTGAGGCTAGAAGTTTGATGTTGCAGTGAGCTATGATCACACCACTGCACTCCAGCCTGGGCAACAGAGTGAGACCCTATTTCTAAAAAAAAATTTTTAAATATAATAAATATTAAAAACTCATCACTTTGTAGTTTTTTTCTTCATTTTACTAATAATTCTGCTCTTGAGGTTATTTGTCCATTGTATTCCCTGTGGAAATACTACATATGTTGTATGCATCTCTTCCCAACTCTATTCAGAAATGTCACATTGGTAGCACGAAATTGGCTGTAAGGGGAGTATTTACACCATGGAAATGGGCAAATGCAGCAAGTCAGGGCGTGATTTATTGTTTTGTTGATTTTTCTAGACCATATGTTAGCAAACCTTTTGTGTAAACAGCCAAATAGTAAATATTTTAGGCTTTGTGGGACTTATAGTCTCTGTCACAGCTACTCAGCTCTCACTGTAGTGCCAAATGTGCCAAAGTAGCCATAGACAATACTTAAAGAATGGGCATGGGCCAGGTGCAGTGGCTCACACCTGTAATCCCAGCACTTTGGGAGGCCCAGGCAGGGATCACTTGAGGCCAGGAGTTAGAGACTAGCCTGGCCAACATGGCAAAACCCTGTCTTTACAAACAAATAAAATAAACAGACAAAAAAGCTGGGTGTGGTGGTGTGTGCCTGTAATCCCAGTTACCTGGGAGTGTGAAGTGGGAGGATGCCTTGAGCCCAGGAGTTGGAGATTGTAATGAGCCGAGATCACACCACTGCACTCCAGCCTGGGCGACAGAACAAGACCCTGTCTCAAACAAAAAACTCATAGGCCTTTATCTGATAGTGAAGGGAACAATAGAGTTGAAAGGGAAAAATGGAGTAGATACAGGCAAATGTTTACATACATGATACGGTGCAACAAGAATAGCAGAACATACTGCAAAAGAAATTATGTCAACATATTTAAGAATCTTGGAAGAGAATGGCAAATATGCACTATAATTGATGAGACATCTACATATTGGAAGAAAATTACCTAGAGATTTATCTCCAGTACACAGTTGAATAAGCTTCTGTACTGGTAAAGATATTTGTTGCTTTAAAAGAATTGGTGTCAGCTGGGCACGGTGGCTCACGCCTATAATCCCAGCACTTTGGGAGGCTGAGGTGGGCAGATCACAAGTGGGCGGATCACGAGGTCAGAAGTTCGAGACCAGCCTGGACAACATGGTGAAATCCCATCTCTACTAAAAATACAAAAATTAGCCAGGTGTAGTAGTGTGCGCCTGTAGTCCCAGCTACTCAGGAGGCTGAGGCAGGAGAATCGCTTGAACTCCAGAGACACAGGTTGCAGTGAGCAGAGATCACACCATTGCACTCCAGCCTGGGCAACAGAGCGAGACTCCATCTCCAAAAAAAAAAAAAAAAGTAATTGGTGTCTGCCACACAGATTATATTTCTACTACATTATTGTCTATTTTACTTTTTTTCTTTTGAGGCAGAGTTGTGCTCTGTCCCTCAGGCTGGAGTGCACTGGCACGATCTTGGCTCACTGCAACCTCTGCCCCCTGGGTTCAAGTGATTCTCCTGTCTCAACCAAGTAGCTGGGATTACAGGCGTGCACCACCAAGCCCAGCTAATTTTTGTATTTTTAGTAGAGACAGGGTTTCACCATGTTGGCCAGGCCGGTCTCAAACTCTTGACCTCTAGTGATCGACCAGCCTTGGCCTCCCAAAGTGCTGGGATTACAGGCGTGAACCGCCGCGCCCAGCCGATATTGTCTACTTTAAATGTGGCTTCAGTAATGAATATTTGAAATTTAATAATGAATAGTTGAAAGTAAGCTGCATTTTGTTTTAATGGTGCTTTCACAATAATGGGAAAGAAGACTGGAGTGGCCACAGATTTGTCAGAAAAATTTCCTAATGTCATCATTTGGTTCTGTTACCAATTATAATTCAGTATCTGAAATAAAACAAGTCAATCATTTAAAAATATTCTGGATAGTCTGGGCACGGTGGCTCATGCCTGTAATTCCAGCACTTTAGAAGGCCGAGGCAGGCGGATAACTTGAGGTCAGGAATTCAGAACTGGCTTGGCTAACATGGTGAAAGCCTGTCTCTACTAAAAATACAAAAATTCACTGGGCGTGGTGGTGCACGCCAGTAGTCACAGCTACTCGGGAGGCTGAGGCAGGAGAATCACTTGAACCCAGGAGGCGGAAGTTGCAGTGGACTGAGATTGTGCCACTGCACCCCAGCCTGAGACAGAGTGAGACTCCGTCTCAAGAAAAAATAACAATATTATGGATAAAATTTATTCTGTTTACCACCAACCCAAAAAAAGGAAACAGTTGGAAATTATAGCTAAATAACTTGAAACTGAAATTATTAAAATTAGCCAAGTACTTAGGTTGAGATGGGTGGACATGTACTTTACCAACCGCTAATGCTGCATGGCACACATATCCTACATTATAAATGCATTTTTCTCATTCTTTTTATTCTGGCCTAGCAACAAGATCAGCTAATATTAATTTCTTGTAATACCTTACTTTAATGATTGATATTCTTAAATAATTTTCATTACTTTCAGTTGCACTGCAGTTAAGATCAACCAACATTCAGAAAATTAAAAAATTAATAGAATGCACTATAAAAGCTTTGGAAAAATTAAAAATTGGCATTAGAAAGCATGACTCTCAAGTTGAATATTTGGTTAAGTCATCAGTTTGAAGTCATTCCATTTAATAATTTTTTTTTTGAGGCAGGGTCTCACTCTGTTGCCCAGGTTGGAGTGCTGTGGCACAATCATAGCTCATTACAACCTCACACTCCTGAACTCAAGTGATTCTCGTGCCTCTGCCTCTCAAGTAGCTGGGACGACAGGCACATGCCACTACACCTGGCTAATTTTTAAAAACTTTTGGTAGAGATGGGGTGTCACATGTTGCCTAGGCTGGTCTTGAACTCTTGGCCTCAAGCAATCTTCTCATCTTGGACTCCCAAAGCACTGGGCTTACAGGCATGAACTGCCACACCTAGTCAAAAATAGATTTAAACCTCTGCCTAAGAATGTGTTACTAAAAAGTAATGAATACATGTCTTTTATTAGAAACATCATTTTAAGTTGTTTTTATTTGTTAAAATCACCTTCTTGGACTTCTTCACTGTGGAAAATAATATCATTTAAGTGAAATTTTAAAACATGTATTTTGAATTATTTTTTCTTTTTTTTTGATATGGAGTCTCGCTCTGTCACCCAGGCTAGAGTGCAGTGGCGTGATCTCAGCTCACAGCAACCTCCACCTCCCAGGTTCAAACGATTCTCCTGCCTCAGCCTCCCAAGTAGCTGGGATTACAGGCGCCTGCCACCACGCCCAGCAATTTTTTGTATTTTTAGTAGAGACAGGGTTTCATCATGTTGGTCAGGTTGGTCTCGAACTCCTGACCGCAAGTGATGCGCCCACCTCGGCCTCCCAAAGTGCTGGGATTACAGGTGTGAGCCACCATGCCTGGCCTTGAGTTATTTTCAAGATTTTGCAAGTAATAATTTAGAATCAAACAAAATTACAATCCCTGCAATTATACAAAAAGCTAAAAAGATAGCATTATTGCAATCAATAGTGCTAAAACTGAAAGAAGTTTCATTTTAATAAGTTTGTATGAGGTTGAAAAATGGTAATGGATGAGGAATGGTAGTTTAATAGTAAATCAAATGTCACACTTAAGGACAAGAAATATGTTGGGAAAAGATTAGCAGATTGAAAACATCGAATGATGGTTGAATTGCCATCATAAATTGGCTGAGGTAGAAGAGTTTGGAAAAATTATTGAAAGCTTGTGGAATCAACTGGCTGTGTGGAATTCACAAAAAGAGTATTTTATATTTATTATTTGTAAGCTGTAAGCTACACATGCTTTATATTAGTAACATTTTTATAGATTTATATAGATAGATATAGATATGCACACATTATCTCCCCAGGGAGCTGGTTGTTTATTAGCACATTAATGAGTAGTATGTATTTTTAGGGGTAATGTGAAGCTCAAACAAGAAAATGTATGTAAAATATTTGGTATTGCTTACTACAAACTTGATAATAAATGTTAACTCTGTTCCCACTTTCCACCCTACCTGCTTTGTTCTTTCCTGAACAAGTTACTTAACTTTTCAACCATAGTTTCCTAATGGGAATTACAGGTTCATTCCTAATTGACTTTTGGGGATTCAATAAAATGGCATGTCTTACTTAGCTGACAAACTAGGAGCTTAGATTTCTGTTCCTCCTTCTTCTTTTAGTATATAAAGGTGTAATTCATTAAGCATTTGGTAAAATGAAACTTCTGCCATGTCCTTAGGAATAAACCAAAGAAAAATGTTCCAAAATTATTTATAGTTAATAATCTCATATATTGTTATTTATCTAGATCTAGTCTACTTACTGCCAAACTTTTTTTTCATTTCAGTTTATAGTTATAGTTGATCAATCAGATGTCTTTTTTTTGGTAAATATTCTTGTTTTTTATTTTGTTTTTATTCCTGGCAAGCTATGATAGATAGGTAAACATTCTTTTTTTTTTGAGACAGAGTCTCACTTTGTTACGCAGGCTGGAGTGCAGTGGCACAATCTCGGCTCAGTGCAACCTCCGCCTCCCAGGTTCAAGGGATTCTCATGCCTCAGCCTCCCAAGTAGCTGGGATTACAGGTGTGCACCACAACGCCTGGCTAATTTTTTTTGTAAAGACGGGGTTTTGGCCATTCGCAGTGGCTCACACCTGTAATCCCAGCACTTTGGGAGGCCAAGGTGGGTGGATCACCTGAGGTTGGGAGTTCAAGACCAGCCTGACCAACATGGAGAAACCCCGTCTTTACTTAAAATACAAAATTAGCCGGCCGTGGTGGTACATGCCTGTAATCTCAGCTACTCGGGAGGCTGAGGCAGGAAAATCACTTGAACCCGGGAGGCAGAGGTTGAGGTGAGCTGAGATTGCGCCATTGCACTCCAGCCTTGGCAACAGGAGCAAAACTCTGTCTCAAAAAAAAAAAAAAGAAAAAAGAAAATGGGGTTTCACCATGTCTTGAACTCCTGACCTCAAGTGACTTGCCTGCCTTGGCCTCCCAAAATGCTTTGATTACAGGCATGAGCCACCACACCTGGGCAGTAAACATTCTTGAAAAAATATTGTTTACCTTAGATTATAAACTTGAGAATCAAGATCTGTTTAACCATATTCTCTCTTCTGCTTGCCTTCCATAGTTGGAAGAATTGAGTCAACCAAAGAGTACTATCCACTTCCAAATTATTTTTTACTCTTACCAAAATATGAACTTCTAGGGGGTTTTGTTTGTTTGTTTTGAGACAGGGTCTCACTCTGTTGCCTAGGCTGGAATGCAGTGGTGTGATCGTGGCTCATTGCAGCCTCAACCTCTGAGCTCAAACAGTCCTCCCACGTCAGCCTTCTGAGTAGCTGGGACTACATAGGCACATGCCACCACATCCTACTAATTTTTGTATTTTCTGTAGAGACAGGGTTTCACCACGTGGCCCAGGCTGGTCTGAAACTCTTGAGCTCAAGTGATCCACCTGCCTTGGTCTCCCAAAGTGCTGGGATTACAGGTGTGAGCCACTGCACCCATGAGATCTCTCTTTTTTTTTATGGCTGAATAGTACTCCACTGTGTATAGGTACCACATTTTCTTTATCCCATTCATCTGTTGATGGACACTTAGGTTGCTTCCAAATCTTGGCTATTGTGAATAATAGTGCTGCAATAAACATGAGAGTGCAGACATCTCTTTGACAAAGTGATTTCCTTTCTTTTGGGTATATACCTAGGAGTGGAATTGCTGGATTGTATAGTAGCTCTATTTTTAGTTTTTTGAGGAACCTCCAAACTGTTCTCTGTTATAGTTGTACTAATTTATATTCCCACCAACAGTGTACGAGGGTTCCCTTTTCTCAACATTCTTGCCAGCATTTATAATAATAAATGCCTGTCTTTTGGATAAAAGCTATTTTAACTGGGTGAGATGATATCTCATTGTAGTTTTCATTTGCATTTCTCTGATGATCAATGAATTATGTTGATCACCTTTTCATAAACCTGTTTGCCATTTGTATGTCTTCTTTTGAGAAATGTCTGTTCGGATGTTTTGCCCATTTTTAATTGAGTTATTAGATTTTTTTTCCTATACAGTTGTTTGAGCTCCTTATATATCCTGAGAAAATATTTGCAAATATTTTTCTCCTGTTCTGTGGGTTGTCTCTTCACTTTGTTCATGGTTTCCTTTGCTATGCAGAAGCTTTTTAACTTGATGTGATCCCATTTGTCCATTTTTGCTTTGATTGCCTGTGCTTGTGGGGTATTACTCAATAAATCTTTGCCCACTTCAATGTCCTGGAGAGTTCTTCCAATGTTTTCTTTTAGTAGTTTCATAGTGTGAGGTCTTAGATTTAAGTCTTTAATCCATTTTTATTCGATTTTTGTATATGCTGAGAGGTAGGGGTTAAGTTTCATTTTTCTGCATATTGGATATCCATTTTTCCCACCACCATTTATTGAAGAGACTGTCTTTTCCCCAATATGTGTTCTTGGCACCTTTGTTGAAAATGAGTTTACTATAGATGTATAGATTTGTTTCTGGATCCTCTATTCTGTTCCATTGGTCTATGTGCCTGGTTTTATGCCAGTACCCATGCTGTTTTGGTTACTATAGTTCTGTAGTATAATTCAAGGTCAGGTAATGTGATTCTTCCACTTTTTTTTCTTTTTGCTCAGGATAGCTTTGGCTAAAATATCTAAAATATAAATTTTAGATAAATTTATATCTGAAATATAAATTTTAGATAAATTTATATCTGAAATATAAATTTTAGAATTGCTTTTTCTATTTTTGTAAAGAATGTCATTGGTATTTTGATAGCATTGCATTGAGTCTGTAGATTGCTTTGGGTAGTATGGATATTTAAACAATATTGATTCTGCCAATCCATGAACATGGAATATATTTCCATTTTTTCATGTTCTCTTCAATTTCTTGCCTCAGTGTTTTATGATTTTCACTATAGAGCTCTTTTATTTCTTTGGTTAAGTTAATTCCTGGGTATTTTGTTTTATTTGTAGCTATTGTAAATAGGATTACTTTCTTTTTTCTTTTTTTTTTTCCTGAGACGAAGTCTCGCTCTTGTCCCCAGGCTGGAGTGCAATGGCATGATCTTGGCTCACTGCAACCTTTGCCTCCCAGGTTTAAGCAGTTCTCCTGCCTCAGCCTCCTGAGTGGCTGGGATTACAAGAGTGCGCCACCACACCTGGCTAATTTTTGTATTTTTAGTAGAGACAACATTTCACCATGTTGTACTTACTCCAGCTAGGCTGGAGTAAGTACAATTTTTAAATTCTGCTTCCCTTACTTCATACTTCTATAGGTAAAAGTCATTCATTTTTAAATACAATAAATATTTATTAAGTACATACAATATGCCAGGTACAGTGTGAAGCACTGAGGATTCACTGGAGAACAAGACAGTGATTCAGTGGGATGAATAATTAAATAGGTGGAATACTTTAGATAACTGTGTTATGGTAAGGGAAATACAGGAGGCTAGTAGCCCTTAGGAGGGGTACTTATCCCAGAGTTGGGAATCAAGGATGTCTTCGTAGTAGAGGAATTGATGTCTAAATTGAATGGTAAATAGGTATTAGCAAGGCAGAGGTGTGTATCATTATGTGTGTGTGTGTGTGTTTGGTTGGCTCGCTGAAAGGTTAGATGGGGTAGGATCAACAGGGGAGAACAAAGCATTATAGGGCTATGTTTACTTTAAAAATGGGAAAATACAGTATAGCTTAAGTCTAGGTTGTAGGAGGTGGTACTTACAGATGAAGGTGAAAAGCTAAGCAGGGACTAGATCTTATAAGGCATGAAGACATGTTAAGGAGTTTGAGTTCTATCTTAGGAGAACTGGGGACCTCTTAACCCTGTGCCTTAAAGCTAAAGACTACCTATATCAGAATCACCTAGAGGTCTGGTTAAAAATGCTCATTTCTGGCTGGGCATGGTGGCTCACGCCTGTAATCCCAGCACTTTGGGAGGCCGAGGCAGGCGGGTCACAAGGTCAGGAGATCGAGACCATCGTGACTAACACGGTGAAACCCCGTCTCTACTAAAAATACAAAAAAATTAACAAGGCGTGGTGGCGGGTGCCTGTAGTCCCAGCTACTCAGGAGGCTGAGGCAGGAGAATGGCGTGAACCGGGAGGCGGAGCTTGCAGTGAGAGGAGATCGCGCCATTGCACTCCAACCTGGGTGACTGAGAGAGACTCCGTCTCAAAAAAAAAAAAAAAAAAAAAATGCTCATTTCTATTTTCTGCCCCAGATCTAAAAATCAAAATCACTGGAGTGAAGTCCCCAAATCTGTATTTTTAACAATACTTCCAAGTAATTTCTTTCTTTTTTTTTTTTTTTGAGACGGAATTTTGCTCGTCACCCATGCTGGAGTGCAATGGCTCTCAGCTCACTGCAACCTCCACCTCCCAGATTCAAGCGATTCTCCTGCCTCAGCCTCCTAAGTAGCTGGAATTACAAGAGTCCGCCACCATGCCCGGATAATTTTTGTATTTTTAGTAGAGACTGGGTTTCGCCATGTTGGCCAGGCTGGTCTCAAACTCCTGACCTCGGGTGATCTACCCCCCTTGGCCTCCCAAAATACTGGGATTACAGGCATGAGCCACCGTGCCCAGCCCCAGTTAATTTTTTTATTTTTGTAGAGATGGGGTATCAGTATGTTGTCCAGGCTGTCTTGAATTCCTGGGCTCAAGGGATCCTGCCTGGCCTCCCAGAGCACTGGGATTATAGGCATGAGCCACCACGCTCAGCCAGTTAATTCCTTTTTAATGCCAAGTAATATATTCCATTATAGGCACATATCACAATTTATCGATTCACCAGTTGATGGACATTTGGGTTGTTTCTAGTTTTAGGCTATTTATTAATAAAGCTGCTGTGAACATTTACATAACAGTCTTCATATAGACGTGTGTTTTTATTTCTCTTGGATAACTACTTAGGAGTGGGATTGCTGGGTTGTATAGTAATGTACATTTAACTTTTTAAAATACTGCCAAATTTTTCCAAAGGTGGTGTACTATTTTGCATTCCCGCCAGCAATGCATGAGAGTTCTAGTTGTTCCCCATCCTCTAATGTACTTGATCTTGCTGGTCTTTTAAGTGTCAGCCATTCTATTGGGTGCCGTGATAGCCCATTGTGGTTAATTTTCATTTCACAAATAACCAATGATGTTGTACATCTTTTCATATGCTTATTTGCTTTTATATTTTATTTAGTGGAGTATTTGTTCAATTTTTTTGCCCATTTATTAATTGGGTTATTTGTCTTATTATAGAGTTGAAAATATTGTCCATATAGCCTGGATACAAGGCCTTTATCAGATACATGCTTTGAAAGTGTTTTCTCCCAGTCTGTAGCTTATTTCTTAATTTTTCTTTTCTTTCTTTTTTTTTTTTTTTCAGATGGAGTTTCACTCTTGTCGCCCAGGCTGGTGCAATGGCACGATCTCGGCTCACTGCAACCTCCACCTCCCAGGTTCAAGTGATTCTCCTGCCTCAGCCTCCCTAGGGATTACAGGCATGGGATTACAGGCATGTGCCACCACGCCTGGTTAATTTTGTATTTTTAGTAGAGATGGGGTTTCTCCATGTTGGTCAGGCTGGTCTCGAACTCCCGATCTCAGGTGATCTGCCTGCCTCAGCCTCCCAAAGTGCTGGGATTACAGGCGTGAGCCACCATGCCCGGCAACAGTGTGTTTCAAAAAGCAGTTTAGGCTGGGCGTGGAGGCTCACGCCTGTAATCCCAGCACTTTGGGAGGCCAAGGCAGGTGGATCACCTGAGGTCATGAGTTCCAGACCAGCCTGGCCAACATGGTGAAACCCCATCTCTACTAAAAATACAAAAAATTAGCCAGGCTTAGTGGTCTGCGTCTGTAATCCCAGCTACCCGGGAGGCTGAGGCAGGAGAATCGCTTGAACCCGGGAATTGCAGGTTGCGGTGAGCCGAGCTTGTGCCACTGCACTCCATCCTGGGCAACAGAGTAAAACTCCATCTAAAAAAAAAAAAAAAAGCAGAAGTTTAAAATTTTCAAGTACAAATTACCAAATTTTTTTTTATGGCTTGTGCTTTTTGCATCCTGTTTTATTTTATTTTTAAGACATGGTCTCATTCTGTTGCCCAGGCTGGAGTGCAGTGGTATGATCATGGCTCACTGCAGCCTCAACTACCCAGACTCAAGCAATCCTCCTACCTCAGCCCGCCAAGTAACTGGGACTACTGGTGCACACCATGACGCCCAGGTAATTTTTGTATTTTTCTATAGAGCCTCCCAAAGTGCTGGGATTACAGCATCCTACCTAGGAAGTCTTTTTCTTGTCCAGGTGTGGTGGCTCATGCCTATAAGCCCAGCACTTTGGAAGGCTGAGGTGGGCAGATCACTTGAGGCCAGGTATTTGAGACCAGCCTGGCCAACATGGTGAAACCTCATCTCTACTAAAAATACAAAAAAAATAGCTGGGTGTGGTGGCACGTGCCTGTAATCCCAGCTACTCGGGAGGCTGAGGCAAGAGAATCGCTGGGACCTGGGAGGCGGAAGTTGCGGTGAGCCGGGATCGCTCCAGTGCACTCCAGCCTGGGTGATGGAGGGAGACCGTCTCAAAAGAAAAGAACAGAAATATTTGTCTAACCCAAGGCCCCAGAGATTTTCTCCTATGTTTTATAGATTTAGAAGTTTTATAGTTTTAGCTCTAACCTATAGTTAAGGGTCAGAGTTTTTCCATGTGAATATCCAGTTGTTCCAGCACTATTATTGAAAAGTCTATCTTTTCCCCCATTGAATTACATTGGCTGCTTTGTTGAAAGTTAAATAAATATATTTGTGTGGGTCCATTTTTGGAAATTCTGTTCTATTCCATTTTACTATATGTCTATGATAATCTTTTTAATAAAGAAAACTATTTTACTTTGGTGAAAAGAACTCTGAAGTTATTTTTAGGTATTATGAAAAAAGGCTGAATCTTTTTTTTTTTTTTTTTTTTTGAGATGGGGTCTCATTTTGTCACCCAGGCTGGAGTGCAGTGGCACAATCTTGGCTCACTGCAGCCTCTGCCTCCTGGGTTCAAGGAATTTTCCTGTCTCAGCCTCCTGCGTAGCTGGTATTACAGGCATGTGCCACCATGCCTGGCTCATTTTTTATTTTTAGCAAAGGTGAGGTTTCACCATGTTGGCCAGGCTGGTCTTGAACTCCTGACCTCAGGTGATCTGCCCGCCTCAGCCTCCCAAAGTACTAGGGTGACAAGCTAGAGACACTGCGCCCGGCCAGGCTGAATGTTATACGTGTGAACAATTGGCATTCTTCCCAAACATCTCTTACTCTAACCGGAAATATATGTGTATATTAAAGGTATTTTCTGTAACTAATTTCTAGGATAGTAAGTTATCATTGTATTGAATGTGCATTTTTATGCGTAAGAAGTAATTAGGCATTCTTTGCCTGAGCTTCATTTTTCTCCAAATATAAAAAAGGGAGTAAAATAAACTCATCATGTGGAAATCTTTAAAATAACCAAAACCAGGTTCTATTAAAGAATAATGAAAAAATATATAGAACATTTCAAAGGGTAAACCAGAATAAATTCTGTTCTTTGGGAACAACAGTTAGCCACATAAATACCACAAATCAAGGAAGGGGATTTCCTGACTTCCGCTTCCAAGCAATTCCAATAAATGAAGGAGGAAGTTATTTTCCTTTTTAAAAAACTTACTGTTGGCAGGATTAGTGTACTTCCTTTCACTCTTTTAGGATGTTAAACGCACATACACGAATATTCCTGTACTTCATAAACCTTTGGGATTTTGTCAGGTTCTGAGTATGCAGATTTTTTATTTATTTTTTTTTTGAGATGGAGTCTTGCTCTGTCATCCAGGCTGGAGTGCAGTGGCACGATCTCGGCTCACTGCAACCTCCGCCTCCCAGGTTCAGGTGATCCTCCTGCCTCAGCCTCCTGGGTAGCTGGGATTACAGGCATGCACTACCATGCCTGGCTAATTTTTGTATTTTTGGTAGAGACATGGTTTCACCATGTTGGCCAGGTTAGTCTGGAACTCCAACCTCAAGTGATCCTCTGGCTTCAGCCTCCCAAAGTGCTGGGATTACAGGTGGGAGCCATGGTGCCCAGGTCAGAAGGTTAAATTGTTTCAGTAAAAAGTCATTCTGTTGTGGAAATGTTACAAATGCATTGCTAAAAGGGAGAGAAACATCCAGGCGTAAACACTTATTGTCAGGGATCCCTTATCCTGGTGGAATAAGCATAAACTTTGGAGTCAGAATTAATTTGCATTCTCTTTTACTTATTATGAGTCAGGGGACAAGTTTCTTAGCTTCTCTAAGCCTCAGCTTCTTCCTTTGCAATAATAACACTTGGCTGACAGTGTTATCATGAGGATTAAATTAAATGACATCTAGTATTCTGCTTGGCCTAGAGTACACACTCAGTAAAACTGATCCCTTTCTCACTTCTCCCAGGCTTAGAAGTTTTCTGGAGGTAAATTGCATAGCCCACAGCTGAAGTTGATCTCTTGGTTCTTCCTCATTCTTTTTTAGTAACAGAATGATAGAAGTTTGAAAAGTACTGGAGGACAGGAGAACACCTGAGCTCAGGGATCAGACTCTAGGATAAGAAACTAGTTCAGCAGGAAGTGTGCACTGTCAGCCTCTTAAGGATCATATGCTCAAGGTGTCCAATCCCATCGCACATGTTTAATACCTCAAATGTCACTTGATGGTAGAAGACTCTCTAGGGAACTCTGAGAACAGTACCCAGCTGTAGTGGAAGGCTCACCTGAGAGCACCTTTTAGTCTTTCTCTATCCTTCTTTGTCCTCATGTAATTTAATTATGTCCTTTCTTGCTGCAGCTTTTAAATTCAAAGACCTTTGTTATTAGTGTCTGTCACCTTAAATTACCAGATTTGGGCTCTCTTCACTTCCTCCCACCCTTATCCTGTGAAACAGACAGTGGTACTGCCTAATTTGTTTCTGGTTGTTCCTCCCATCTCCCCAACACACCTGACATTTAACAATTAATTTTATTCCAAAAAGCAGAAAAAACATTTTCCAAATGCCCTAGCTATTTATTGAGAAGCTCTCCACATCCATATTAGCAAATAACAGATTTTCAGTTATGTGTGCAAATATCTCAATGTACTTTAGGGATCATACAGAATAATGGTCAATTTTTATATTCAGAATATTGGCCAAAACATAAAATAGTCTCAATTGGACTGGTCATACTAATTTATAGTTATATCTGTATCAGTATTCCCATATTATTGAAGAACAAAATGAAGATTAGACTTTTATATACTGTTTATGTACTATATGCTATATACTGTTTATGCCCTGAGAATATAAAAAGTACAATATTTGGACCTTATACCTAAGTTTCAAGGAAGGCAAGCTAGTGTTAGAACTTAAAGTTCCTAATTCTGTTTTTCATTTTGTTTTGTTTTGAGATGGAGTCTCACTCTGTTGCCCAGGCTGGAGTGCAAATGGCACAATCTTGGCTCACTGCAACCTCCGCCTCCCGGGTTCAAGCGATTCTCCCACCTCAGCCTCTTGAGTAGCTGGGATTACAGGCACCCACCTCGGCTAACTTTTTTTGTATTTTTGTAGAGATGGGGTTTCACCATGTTGGTCAGGCTGATCTCGAACTCCTGAACTCAGGTGATCCCCCCCACCCCCACCCCCACCCCTCCCCGCCTCGGCTTCCCAAAGTGCTGGGATTACAGGCATGAGCCACCGCACCCAGTCCCTAATTCTGTTTTTTTGCATGGACAAATATTTTGTCCTATAGTGCATTGGATCTATCTCAAGCATAAAAATGCACAGAACTGTTTCTCTGATTCTATATAAATAAAATATATTCATTTGTATGTATGTACATCCACCTTACACTATAACACCTAACAATATTTAATTGGCCAAGCCTGGTGGCTCATGCCTGTAATCCCAGCACTTTGGGAGGCTGAGGCAGGTGGATCGCTTGAACCCAGGTATTTGAGACCAGTCTTGACAACACGGCGAAACCCCGTCTGTATAAAAAATACAAAAATTAGCTGGGTGTGGTGATGCACACCTGTAGTCCTAGCTACTCAGGAGGCTGAGGTAGGAGGATAGATTGAGCCGGGCAGGTCCAGGCTGCAGTGAGGCGTGATTGTGCCACTGCACTCCAGCCTGGGCGAGAGAACAAGACCCTATCTCAAAAAATAAAAATAAATAAATAGATAATATTTCCTTGATTGGTTGATTTCCAAAAGCTCTTTCTTTATGGGCTTCTTTTGTTCAGGCATAAATTTGAGCCTGATCAGATGTGTAGTATAAACTTTTTTACACTTTCTGTTACAGTGTCATGCAGGTGCTGCACCACTGAGAGCAGAACACTCAGATTTTTTTTTTTTTTTTTTTTTGAGATGGAGTCTTGCTCTGTCACCCAGGCTGGAGTACAGTGGCGCGATCTCAGCTCACTGCAAGCTCCGTCTCCCGGGTTCACACCATTCTCCTGCCTCAGCCTCCTGAGTAGCTGGGACTACAGGTGCCCGCCACCACGCCCGGCTAATTTTTTATATTTTTCAGTAGAGACGGTGTTTCACCATGTTAGCCAGGATGGTCTCGATCTCCTGACCTCGTGATCCTCCCACCTCGGCCTCCCAAAGTGCTGGGATTACAGGTGTGAGCCACCGCACCTGGCCACACTCAGATGTTAATACTGTTTCTGGAAAGACTTCTTGTTAAGGAAATACTTAAATGTCTTCATTGATCAAGCCATTGTTAAAAGGATATTCTGCTATATGTTACTGAAAGCAACATTAAAAGCAATTTTGTTTGCAGTTAAAGCACCTGACTTTATTTAGGTGTTCGTTCAGGTTTTCAAAGATCTGATTATTTAAGTCTTATATAAAATTTTCTGGAACAGAAAAAGTAGAAATATTCTCCAGCTCTTTCTATAAAGTTGTGATAACTTGAAACCAAACCATCAGTGTGGCGATTCCTCAGGGATCTAGAACTAGAAATACCATTTGACCCAGCAATCCCATTACTGGGTATATACCCAAGGGATTATAAATCATGCTGCTATAAAGACACATGCACACGTATGTTTATTGCGGCACTATTCACAATAGCAAAGACTTGGAACCAACCCAAATGTCCAACAACGATAGACTGGATTAAGAAAATGTGGCACATATACACTATAGAATACTATGCAGCCATAAAAAATGATGAGTTCATGTTCTTTGTAGGGACATGGATGAAGCTGGAAACCATCATTCTCAGCAAACTGTTGCAAGGACAAAAAAACCAAACACCACATGTTCTCACTCATAAGTGGGAATTGAACAATGAGAACACATGGACACAGGAAGGGGAACATCACACACCAGGGCCTGTTGTGGGGTAGGGGGAGGGGGGAGGGATAGCATTTGGAGATATACCTAATGTTAAATGACGAGTTACTGGGTGCAGCACACCAACATGGCACATGTATACATATGTAACTAACCTGCACGTTGTGCACATGTACCCTAGAACTTAAAGTATAATAATAATAAAAAAAAAAAGAAACCAAACCAAACAGGGAGAAAAAGAAAATGAAAGGCCAGTTTCACTCATTATCATAGATACATCAATTCTAAATAAATTGTTATGGTGAGTGTGCTTGGAAATAAAAATAAATAAATAAATAGTAAACTGAATCCAGCAGTATATTAAATAGATAATATGTATGCATGATCTAGGTGGATTTATTCCAGAATATAAGAGTGGTTTCACATTAAAAAACAAAACCAAAAAAGTATCAATGTTAAGTTGCCTATTAACAGATGGGGGTATCATCATCTCTAAAGATGTAGAACAAGCATTTGAATTTATCACCCATTCATGATAAAAGCTTAGCAAACTAAAAAGGAAAATTTCCTAATTTGTTAAGGGGAATCTACAAAAAACTTAAATTGAACATCATTCATAACATTAAACTTTAGAAAATTTTATCTAAAACTAGGAAAATATAGGGATGTCCACTATAATTACTGCTTCTATCAGCATTTTACAGGAAATTCTAGACAGGGCAGTAAGTCAATACAAAGAAATAAAAGATATAAGAACTAAAAAGGAAGAAACATTGACAGAGAATATGCTTGTCTTTGTGGAAAGCTCCAAATTATATAACCGTAAATTATTAGAAATAGTAATTGCACTTAACAAGGAAGCTGGGTTTACGATCAACATACAAGGCCGGGCACAGTGGCTCACGCCTGTAACCCCAGCACTTTGGGAGGCCGAGGCAGGTGGATCACCTGAGGTCAGGAGTTCGAGACCAGTCTGGCCAACATGGTGAAACCTGTCTCTACTAAAAATACAAAAATTAGCTGGGCGTGGTGGCAGGCACCTGCAATCCCAGCCACTCAGGAGGCTGAGGCAGGAGAATTGCTTGAATCTGGGAGGTGGAGGTTGCAGTGAGCCGAAATTGTGCCACTGCACTCCAGCCTGGGCGACAAGAGCAAGACTCCATCTTAAAAAAAAAAAAAAAAAAAAAACAAGGAGGCTGGGTTTAAGATTAACATACAAGGCCGGGCATGGTGGCTCATGCCGGTAATATATATATATTTTAGATGAGACCTTGCTCTATCACCCAGGCTGGAGTGCTATGGCACAATCATGCTCCACTGCAGCCTCAACCTGCTGGGCTCAAGCAGTCCTCCCCCTTCAGACTCTCGTGTGGCTGGGACTCCAGTGATGCGCCACCATACTTCAAAATATTCTATCTTGGTAAAGAAACTGGGAAAAGTAGAGTGAAAATAGCTAAAAGTTTTAGGTATTGTAGTTGTCAAAAACATCGTTAACATTTTCCAGATCCTAACATTAAAAGAACACCACCGAGCTAGGTCCATTGGGTAAGAGGACTACGTGGAACACTGAACCATGTTAAAGAATGTTGGCGGCCAGGCACGGTGGCTCACGCCTGTAATCCCAGCACTTTGGGAGGCCGAGGTGGGCAGATCACCTGAGGTCAGGAGTTTGAAACCAGCCTGGCCAACATGGTGAAACCCCATCTGTACTAAAAATACAGAAATTAGCCAGGCATGTTGGCAGGTGCCTGTAATCCCAGCTACTCAGAAGGCTGAGGCAGGAGAATCGCTTGAACCTGGTAGGTAGAGGCTGTAGTGAGCCAAGATTGAGCCATTGCATTCCAGCCTGGGCAGCAAGAGTGAAATTCCGTCTCAAAAAAAAAAAAAAAAAAAAAAAAGGATGCTTTGGAATGAAAATGTACAATGCCTTCCCAAGGAGTGAGAAAAGGTCAGCAGTCTCATCCCGGCCACATCCTTGTGGCAACTGACCTCATCTGGAAAGCAAACTGTTTATTCCACTCATTTAAATGTGATGGAAGTTCATGACAATTGAGCTCTGGGAGCTGGTTCTAAAAGAGTCATCCACAGATTCTTTACCCTGAAAGGAATCCCAGATGTGTTCAGTTTATCTCCTTTCATTGGGAGATTTTTTTCATTAGATTTATTAGGGAAGTATAGTATTGTGCTTTAGGGTTGCTTAATTTGTTTTTGTTTTCGTAATTAATAGACAATGTCAGGAGCTGCTAAACCTGGGTTTTTGTATAGCAGGTGAATAGAATTAGAACCATGGCCAGGCGCAGTGTCTTACACCTGTAATCCCAGCACGTTGGGAGCCTGAGGCAGATGGACTGCTTGAATCAAGGAGTTCGAGATCAGCCTGGGCACATGGCAAAACCCCAACTCTACAAAAAAATGCAAAAAGTAGGCAGGGGTGGTGGCACATGCCTGTAGTCCCATCTACTTAGGAAGCTGAGGCAGAAGGATCATTTGAGACTAGAATATGGAGCCTGCAGTTAGCTGAGGTCGTGCCGCCATTGCACTCTGGCCTGATGACAGTAAGACCCTGTCTCAAAAAAAAGAAAAATAATTAAAACTATGAACTTTAATTAGTTCATTTACATAGCAGAATTGGGAGCCAAGGCTTTGGTTTCAGCACTCTTGTAATTATAAATTACTACTTGAAATAAAAGCTGACCATATTTTAAAAATATTTATTTCTGTTAGGCAGTTCTCTTTTTTTTTTTTTTTTGAGACAGAGTGGTGTGATCTCGGCTCACTGCAACCTCTGTCTCCCAGATTCAAGCAATTCTCCTGCCTCAGCTTCCTGAGTAGCTGGGATTATAGGCACTTACCACCACACCAAGCTAATTTTTGTGTTTTTAGTAGAGATGGTTTCGCCGTGTTGGCCAGGCTGGTCTTGAACTCTTGACTTCAAGTGATCCACCCACTTTGGCCTCCCAAAGTGTTGGGATTACAGGCATGAGCCACCACGCCAGGCCAGACAGTTCATTCACTGAGTAGCTAAAGTAGATAAAAGAAGAAAAGATATCGTTTCCTTTTTTTTTGAGACGGGGACTTGCTCTGTCACCCAGGTTGGAGTGCAGTGGCGCGATCTCAGCTCACTGCAAGCTCCGCCTCCTGGGTTCACTCCATTCTCCTGCCTCAGCCTCCTGAGTAGCTGGGACTACAAGCACCCACTACCACACCCGGCTAATTTTTTTGTATTTTTTAGTAGAGACGGGGTTTCACCGCGTTAGCCAGGATGGTCTCGATCTCCTGACCTTGTGATCCACCCTCCTCGGCTCCCAAAGTGCTGGGATTACAGGCGCAAGCCACCGCACCTGGCCCCGATGTTGTCTTCTATAAGTAACTTTCATCCTAGTTGGAGATAATCACCACATACTTGCAAGAAAGACTTTATCCTTATCCTCTTGTTCTGTCTTCTGCTTGAGGCTTTGGATAAAGGCAAAGCCCTTTTAAGCCCAAGCAGGACAAAGTCCAAATCTGAAAATTGCACTATCCTCCAAAGGTCTTTACCTTCCAATGAGTCAGATAATTTTGGATCATTCCCATTAATGAGTCATGCTGACCAAATGTAGTTTTTGTGTATTTCTTGCTACAACTTTTAAATATTCCCTTCCTTCCCTTTCTACATTTGTTGAGTGACTACTGTGGAAACAAGACTCAGAAAGTTAACAGGCTCTTGTATAAAAGTATTTTAGTAATTTAACAAACTAGTGTTGCTGGGCGCGGTGGCTCATGCCTGTAATCCCAGCACTTTGGGAGGCCAAGGTGGGCGGATCACCTGAGGTCAGGAGTTCGAGACCAGTCTGGCCAACATGGAGAAACCCCATCTCTACTAAAAATACAAAAAATTAGCTGGGCATGCTGGCAGGTGCCTGTAATCCCAGCTACTCAAGAGGCTGAGGCAGGAGAATCGCTTGAACCTGGGAGGTGGAGGTTGCAGTGAGCCGAGATCATGCCATTGTACTCCAGCCTGGGTGACAAAAGCAAGACTCCGTCTCAAAAAAAAAAAAAAAAGAAAAGAAAAGAAACTAGTGTTATCTGAGCATTGACAGCAAACTATATACTCAAGGATCAATTTTCTGTTTTAATAAAAAATCCAAATTTTTACTTTTAGTATACCATCTGTGATGGTTTTAAAACCACAAATTCCAGGCCGGGTGCGGTGGCTCACGTCTGTAATCCTAGCACTTTGGGAGTCTGACGTGGGTGGATCACGAGGTCAGGAGTTCTAGACCAGCCTGGGCAATATGGTGAAAACCCATATCTACTAAAAAATACAAAAATTAGCCAGGCATGGTGGCTCACACCTGTAATCCCCGCTACTCAGGAGGTTTAGGCAGGAGAATCACTTGAACCCGAGAGGCAGAGGTTACAGTAGTGAGTCAAGATCACACCACTGTATTCCAGCCTGGGCAACAAGAGTGAAACCCCATCTCAAAAAAAAAAAAAAAAACCCACAAATTTTTTGATGCTTCTCCCTATAAAATGTGAAACGCCCCTCCCCTTGAACATGGGTGGGGTTTATGGATTTTCTTTTTTTTCTTTTTCTTTTTTGAGATGGAGCTTCGCTCTTGTTGCCCAGGCTGGAGTGCTATGGCGCCATCTCGGCCCACTGCAACCTCTGCCTCCCGGGTTCGAGCAATTCTTCCGCCTCAGCCTACAGAGTAACTGGGATTACAGGCACCCGCCACCATGCCCAGCTAATTATTTTTGTATTTTTAGTAGAGGCAGGGTTTCACCATGTTGATCAGGCTGGTCTCAAACTCCTGACCTCAGGTGATCCACCCGCCTCAGCCTCCCAAAGTGTTGGGATTACAGGCGTGAGCCACCGTGCCCGGCCTGGACTTTCTTCTGAGTAAAAATGACAGTATGTCACTTTTTTTTTTCTTTTCATGGCTCATTGCAGCCTCAACCTTCCAGGCTCAAGTGATTCTCCCACCTCAGCTTCCTGAGTAGCTGGAACCACAGGCAAATGCCACCATGCCCAGCTAATTTTTTTTTTTCAGGGATACGGTCTCACTATGTTGCCCAGGCTGGTCTTGAGTGCCTGGGCTCAAGGGATTCTCCTGCCTCGACCTTCCAAAGTGCTGGGATTACAGGTGTAAGCCACTGCGCCTGGCCTGACAGTGTGTCACTTCTAAGACTAGGTCATATAAAGGCATTGTGGCTTCATCCTTCCTCTCTTGGACCATTTATTGTGGATGAAACCAGTCATCATGTCATAAGGATACTCAAGAAACTTTATGAAGAGGTCCCTGTGGCCTCTAGCTAAGAACTATGTGAGTGAGCTAATTTGAAGGCAGATCCTCCAACCTCTTCCCCTACCCTCTACCAAGCTTTTGGACGACTGCAACCCCAGCCAACATCTTGACTCCAATGTCATGAAAGACCCTGAGCCAGAACCTGCCAGCTAAACTGCTGCTAAATCCTGACCCACAGAAATTATGAGATGTATGTATGTTGTTTTAAGCTACTAAATTTTGGAGGTAATTTGCTATGCAGTAATAGATAACTGATACACCATCACGTACAATTTTATAATAAATAATTCACAAACTTTTTACCCATCTTATGAATAAGCTCACCAGAATGGCACAGTGGCTTACGCCTGTAATCCTAGCACTTTGGGAGGCCAAGACAGGTGGATCACCTGAGGTTGGGAGTTCGAGACTAGCCTGACCAACATGGAGAAATCCCATCTCTACGAAAAATACAAAACTAGCCGGGCGTGGTGGCACATGCCTGTAATCCTAGCTACTCGGGAGGCTGAGGCAGGAGAATTGCTTGAATTGGGAAGGTGGAGGTTGAGGTGAGCCGAGATCACGCCATTGCACTCCAGCCTGGGCAACAAGAGTGAAACCCCATCTCTAAATAAATAAATAAGCAAGCTCATCAACATCATTGTTTAGTTCTCCTAAATTCTTGTTTGTTATTGCTTGTTCTTCTTTTTTTATTTTTATTTATTTATTTTTTTTTTTTTTTGAGACGGAGTTTCACTCTTGTTGCCCAGGCTGGAGTGCAATGGCGTGATCTTGGCTCACCAAAATCTCTGCCTCCCAAGTTCATGTGATTCTCCTGCCTCAGCCTCCCGAGTAGCTGGGATTACAGGCATGCGCCACCATGCCTGGCTAATTTTTTTTTTTTTTTTTTTTAGTAGGGACGGGGTTTCTTCATGTTGGTCAGGCTGGTCTCAAACTCCTGACCTCAGGTGATCTGGCTGCCTTGGCCTCCCAAAGTGCTGGGATTACAGGTGTGAGCCACCTTGCCCGGCGATTTTTTTGTTTTTTTGTTTTTGTTTTTTTTTGAAACAGGGTCTCACTCTGTCACCCAGGCTGGAGTCAGTGTCATGATCTTGGCTCACTGCAACCTCCGCCTCCTGGGTTCAAGTGATCCTCCCACCTCAGCCTCCCGAGTAGCTGGCTCTACAAGTGTGCACCATCATGCCTGGCTAATTTCTGTATTTTTTGTGGAGATGTTGGCCAGGCTGGTCTCAAACTCCTGACCTCAAGCAATCTGCCCACCTTGGCCTCCCAAGGTGCTGAGATTATAGGCATGAGCCACCCCACCTGGCCTGTAATTATTACCTTTATATCAGTATTCATATAACACCTCGGTCCCCTTTTTCTTTAGCCATTGACTATTAGTTTCCTATTTGGAGCAACAATGAAAGAACTTGAAACCTCCTCCTTCTCTCCTCTGTGCCCTTCACCATCCAATTTTAGTTAATAGTATTATCTTTCTTAGTATTTATTTATTTTATTGTATAGTATTTATTGTATTGTATTGTATTGTATTGTATTTATATTTTTTTGAGATGGAGTCGTGCTGTGTTGCCCAGGCTGGAGTGCAGTGGCGCGATCTTGGCTCACTGCAAGCTCCTTCTCCCGGGTTCATGCCATTGTCCTGCCTCAGCCTCCCGAGTAGCTGGGACTACAGGCGCCGGTCACCATGCCCAGCTAATTTTTTGTATTTTTTTTTAGTAGAGACAGGGTTTCACCATGTTAGCCAGGATGGTCTCGATCTCCTGACCTTGTGATCTGCCCATCTCGGCCTCCCAAAGTGCTGGGAATACAGGCGTGAGCCACCATGCCTGGCCTATTTTATTTTATTTTTTTTTGAGTCGGAGTCTTGCTCTGTCACCCAGGCTGGAGTGCAGCGGTGCGATCTCGGCTCACTGCAACCTCTGCCCCCTGGGTTCAAGTGATTCTCCGCCTCAGCCTCCTGAGTAGCTGGGATTATAGGCTCGCACCACCATGCCTGGCTAATTTTTGTAATTTCATTTTTATTTATTTATTTATTTTTGAGATGGAGTCTCACTCTGTTGCCAGGCTGGAGTGCAGTGGCGCGATCTCGGCTCATTCCAACCTCCACCTCTCAGGTTCAAGTGATTCTCCTGCATCAGCCTCCTGAGTAGCTGGGACTACAGGCGTGCGCCACCAAGCCCAGATAATTTTTTCATATTTTTAGTAGAGTCGAGGTTTCACCATGTTGGCCAGGATGGTCTTGATCTCTTGACCTCGTGATCCACCCGCCTCGGCTTCCCAAAGTGTTGGGATTAAAGGTGTGAGCCACTGTACCTGGTCCTTAGTATTTATTCTTATCCTCTTTAATATATTTTGGTTTATAATGCTCAGTTTGGCTGGGTGTGGTGGCTCATCATGTCTGTAGTCCCAGCTACCTGCTACTCAGGAGGCTGAGGTGAGAGCGTCACTTGAGCCTGGGAGGTCAAGGCTGCAGTGAGCCATGATCATACCACTGCACTCCAGCTTAGGTGACAGAGCGAGACTCTGTCTCTAAACAAATAAATAAGTAAAATACATAATATCCAGTTTCTTGGCCTTAAATGACATCATTTATCCCTACTTTTTACTTATGAGATAATCAATGAGCCAATTCTACTTTTTTTTTTTTTTTTTTGAAATGGAGTTTCCCTCTGTTGCACAGACTGGAGTGTAGTGGTGCGATCTCATCTCTCTGCAACCTCCGCCTCCCAGGTTCGAGCGATTCTTCTGCCTCAGCCTCCTGAGTAGCTGGGATTACAGTCACGCACCACCATGCCTAGCTAATTTTTTTTTTTTTTTGAGGCGGAGTCTCACTCTGTCACCCAGGCTGGAGTGCAGTGGCGCGATCTCGGCTCACTGGAAGCTCCGCCTCCCGGGTTCCGGCCATTCTCCTGCCTCAGTCTCCCGAGTAGCTGGGACTACAGGCGCCCGCCACCATGCCTGGCTAACTTTTTTTGTATTTTTTGGTAGAGACAGGGTTTCATCGTGTTAGCCAGGATGGTCTCCATCTCCTGACCTCGTGATCCACCCGCCTTGGCCTCCCAAAGTGCTGGGATTACAGGTGTGAGCCACCACTCCCGGCCAAATTTTTGTATTTTTAATAGAGACGGGGTTTCACCATGTTGGCCGGGCTGGTCTCAAACTCCTGACCTCAAGTGATCTGCCCACCTTGGCCTCCCACAGTGCTGGGATTTCAGGCAGGAGCCACTGTGCCTAGCCCCAGTTCTACTTCTTTATACTCCTTTTTTTGTTTTGTTTTGTTTTTTGAGACAAAGTTTTCGCTCTTGTCCCCCAGGCTGGAGTGCAGTGGCATGATCTTGGCTCACTGCAACCTCTGCCTCTCAGGTTCAAGCAATTCTCTTGCCTCAGCCTCCCGAGTAGCTGGGATTACAGGCGTCTGCCACCACGCCCAGCTAATTTTTTGTGTTTTTAGTAGAGAAGGGATTTCATCATGTTGGCCAGGCTGGTCTTGAATTCCTGACCTCAGGTGATCCACCCGCCTCAGCCTCCCAAAGTGCTGGGATTACAGGTGTGAGCCACCGCACCCAGCCTATACTCCTTCTCTCTCTCTCTCTCTCTTTTTTTGTTTAATTACTAAATTGTCAGAGCATATAAAATTTATATACAATTGCAGGGGAAGAAAGATTTATTTTCTCACCTGTTACTGGGTACATGGCTGAGATCCCTATAACAAAAGCCAAATTAACAAGAGAAAAGCATGGAAATTTATCTCACAAGTCTTTACATGACACAGGAGCCTTCAGAAATGAAGACCCAAAGAAACAGGGAAAATTGTATGTTTTATGCTCAGTTTGATGGAATGTGAACAGTCAAGGGGAAATATGATTGGAGGAGAAAGGGGTATGAACTAATGGGAAAAAATTCGGAGAAACTCAGCAAGGTCTGTTTGTTCAGATTCTCTCCTATGTCCCTCTGTCTTCAGAGATAAGGATGTTCCCTTCCTCTGGGCATAGGGAGGGTACCTCTCACATGAGGGTTTTGTGACCTGCTTCTGGGGAGAAGGGTGAGAGAAAAGTGAGAGTGATCATGTTTCTGCTGTTTTCTCAAATGCCAAGAGGTAGAGTGTTCTGAACCGCATCACTATTCATATCTCCACTTGTGTTTTAGTCTTGGATATTCAGCTAAATATATTCAACACTCGCCATCAGTCTCTTTGCTGAAGTTTTCTCAGTCCTTTCTTAGTTGGGTGCAGTTTGTTTGCATGAAGGACTAATGAGTATAATAGTCCCTGATGTTTAGCACACTGAAGACTTTTTTTCTATAGCCTTGCTACTTGTAGGACAGTTTGTTGGCATTTAGAATCCCTGGTGCACATTTTTTCCCTTCATTCAATTGTAGATGTTGCTTTACTATTTTCTGGCTTTGAGTATTGTTGAGAGCTCTGATGCCAAACTGGTTTGATATCCTTAGAAGGTAACTTGATCTTTTTGCCAGGAAGCACAGGTAATTTTTTTTCTTTGTATTAAAGTATAATAGTTGGCCAGGTGTGGTGGCTCATGCCTATCATCACAGCACTTTGGGAAGCTGAAGCAGGAGGATCACTTGAGCTCAGGTTGAGACCAGCCTGGGCAACATAAGAAGACCCTGTCTTTACCAAAAATTTAAAAATTAGGCTGAGTGTTGTGGCTCATGCCTGTAATCCCAGCATCGAGAGGCTGAGGTGGGAGGATTGCTTTAGCCCAGGAGTTCAAGACTAACCTCGGCAACATAGCAAGAGTAAAAATAAAAAAAATTAGCTGGGTGTAGTGGCATGTGCCTGTAGTCCTAGTTAGTTGGGAGGCTGAGGCAGGAGGATGGCTTGAGCCCAGGAGTTTGAGGTTGCAGTGAGCTATGATCACACCACTGCACTCCAGCCTGAGCAACAGAGTGAGATCTTGACTTAAAAAAAAAAAAAATTAGCCAGGCTGGGTGGGGTCGCTCACGCCTGTAATCTCAGCACTTTGGGAGGCTGAGGTGGGTGGATCATGAGGTCAGGAGTTCAAGACCAGCCTGGCCAATATGGTGAAACCCCATCTCTACTAAAAATACAAAAATTAGCCAGGTGTAGTGGCGGGCGCCTGTAGTCCCAGCTACTCAGAAGGCTGAGGCAGAGAATTGCTTGAACCCGGGAGGTGGAGGTTGCAGTGAGCCGAGATCGCAGCACTGCACTCCAGCCTGGGCGACAGAGCAAGACTCCGTCTCAGAAAAAAAAAAAAAGAAAAGAAGAAATGAAAAACTAGCCAGGCATGGTGGCATGGACCTGTGGTCCCAGCTACTTGGGAGGCCGAGGTAGGAGAATCGCTTCAGCCTGGAAGGTTGAGGCGGCAGTGAGCCATGATTCTGCCACTGCACTGTAACCTGGGCAACACAGCAAAACCCTGTCTTAAAAACATAAAGGACTAAAGAATAATAGTTTTCTAGGATATATCTTAGAGTTAACCAATTTGGGTTTATTTTATTTGATGCATGGTTTGCTCTTCCAGTATGTAGAGTCATGTCTTCTCCCACCTCCACCCAAAGTGTTAATTGAATTATAGTTGTAAATATTAATTCTATTCCATTACTTTTGTTTTCTTCTTCATGGCATCCAGAAATACATATGTTGGATCTGGTTTGATTATTTTATCACTTTGTTTTCAATCTTTTTAATCTTTTTAATTTTTCTTGGCCTTTCTTATTTCCACACTCTATATCTCACATTATATATTTGGTCCTTACTATTCTTTTTGTTGATTGAGGTCACATTCTCTGGGACGCAGATTCTAAGACAGAGACATGTACACATTTGGAATCGACAGTTGTGACAAAGTGAAAGGAGGAGGATTGGACAAGAGTAACAGCTGAACTGTAATCAGTGATGTGCTAGTAAATAGTTAACAACTGGCTCTTGGGGGAGGAAAGCTTTGATTTGTAACATTTGACAATTTCCAGTGTATAAATATGTCTTTCTTTTTTTTGAGATGGAGTTTCACTCTTTTGCCCAGGCTAGAGTGAAGTGGCGTGATCTTGGCTCACTGCAACCTCTGCCCCCCACGTTCAAGAGATTCTCTGGCCTCTGCCTCCATACAGGCACCCGCCACCAGGCCCAGCTAATTTTTTTTGTATTTTTAGTAGAGACAGGGTTTCACCATGTTGGCCAGGCTGATCTCAAACTCCTGACCTCAAGTGATCCACCCGCCTCGGCCTCCCAAAGGGCTGGGATTACAGGCGTGAGTCACCGCGCCCAATCAGTGTGTAAATATTTATATCATGGCTAACTGAAAATTGGCAACATGATGTTACTGAACATGGAGCTGGAAAGAAATGCATAGTAGCTAATCCCAGCACTTTGGGAGGCCAAGGCAGGTGGATCACCTGAGCTCAGGAGTTTCAGACCAGCCTGAACAACATGGCGAGACCCTCTCTCTACAAAAAAAATAAAAAAATTTGGCCTGGCGCGGTGGCTCATGCCTGTAATCCCAGCACTTTGGGAGGCCGAGGCAGGCAGATCACTTGAGGTCAGGAGTTTGAGACCAGCCTGGCCAACACGGTGAAACCCCATCTCCATTAAAAATACAAACATTAGCTGGGCGTGATGGTGCCCGTCTGTAATCCCAGCTACTTGGGAGGCTGAGGCAGGAGAATCGCTTGAACCTGGGAGGCAGAGGTTGCAGTGAGCTGAGATTGCGCCACTGCACTCCAGCCTGGGCATCAGAGTGAGACTCCATCTCAAAAAATAAATAAATAAAATTTAAAAAATAAAATAAAATAATTAGCCGGGCATGGTAGTGCCTGCCTATAGTCCCAGCTACTTGGGAGCCTGAGATGGGAGGATTGCTTGAGCCTGGGAGGAGGGGATTGCGTGAGCCATGATTGTGCCACTGCACTCTATCCTGGGCAACAAAGCAAGAACCCATCTCAAAATAAAATAAAATAAAATAAAATAAAAATGCATAGTAGCACCCCTTCAGGTATATATAGACAATCTCTAAAGAACAGATAATAGTACATGTAGTAAAATAATTAGAAAGTAATATGTATTGAGTGTTTATTACCTTGGTTTTGAATATTATTTAGTTTTAAGTATATGTAATTTAAGTTTTAATAATGGCTGTGTTTAACAACCTGCTTGCAAAATTCCTAAAACCGTAACAATTGGTTCTCACAAGCCAGTAGGAGCCAGTTCCAGCACACCGCTGACCATGATGCAGTTGCAATAAAGATCTCAGCCAATCCCGTGGGGAGCTTTCAAGTCAGAATCCCCTGTCAGAGTTGTCTCACCCTGAGGCAAGGGCTTCTATATCTTGGCATGGACCTGTCACTACATGCAGATGGATCTTTGGGACAGGGTGTTGCCTTGGGTGGAGGGATTCCCTTTGAGTCCCAGAGAAGGATTCAGCCACCATTACCAGCAACTTGAAGTATGAGTGCTCCAGTCCCGAAGTGGGTATTTAGGGAACATACCATAGCATCCACTACACTTATGTATCCTGTAGTTTGTCTTGGTTTCTGTTTTGGGATAGTATTTTTTTCTGGTATAGTTTCACCTGTCATAACTTATGATTCTTGTTTCTGTGGGGTTTTGTTCTTACTGTAACTTTGTATGGATACTGAATTTTTTTGTTGGTTTGTTTTCCTTTTTTTTTTTTTTGAGACAGAGTCTTGCTCTGTCACCCAGGCTGGAGTGCAGTGGTGCAATCTCAGCTCACTGCAACCTTCACCTCCCAGGTTCAAGCGATTCTCCTGCCTCAGCCTCCTGAGTAGCTGGGATTACAGGTGTGTGTTGCCACACCAGGATGATTTTTTTGTATTTTTTTGTAGAGATGGAGTTTCAACATGTTGGCCAGGCTGGTCTCAAACTCCTGACCTCAGGTGATCCACTGGCCTCAGCCTCCCAAAGCACTGGGATTAGAGGCGTGAGCCACCACGCCCGGCCGGGATACTGAATTTTGGTTGTGATTATTATTCATATTTGAGTTTATTTATTATTTGTTTATTTCTGAGACAGTCTTGCTCTGTCACCCAGGCTGGAGTGCAGTGGCAGCGATCTTGGCTCACTGCAACCTCCATCTCTCGGTTCAGGCGATTCTCATGCCTCAGCCTCCCAAGTAGCTGGGATTACAGGCACCCGCTACCACACTTGGCTAATTTTGTATTTTTAGTAGAGACAGGGTTTCACCATGTTGGCCAGGCTGGTCTGAAACTCCTGGCCTCAAGTGATCCTCCCACCTGGGCCTCCCAAAGTGCTAGGATTACAGGTGTACGCCACCATGCCTGGCCTCGTATTTGAATATGTTGGATTTTTCTGGACCAGCTTTTTTTTTTTTGAGACAGAGTTTCACTCTTGTTGCCCAGGCTGGAGTGCAATGGTGTGATCTTGGCTCACTGCAACCTCCGCCTCCCGGGTTCAAGGGATTCTCCTGCCTCAGCCTCCCCAGTAGCTGGGATTACAGGCATGCACCACCACGCCCAGCTAATTTTGTATTTTTAGTGGAGATGGGGTTTCTCCATGTTGGTCAGGCTGGTCTCGAACTCCCATCCTCAGGTGATCCCCCCCAACCTCTGCCTCCCAAAGTGCTGGGATTACAAGCTTGAGCCACTGCACCCAGCCTGGACCAGCTTTTAATAGATGGATCTTTAGAAGAGAATGTGTTTTGAGGGTCTTTCCTGGTTTGGTTTTTTAGCTCAAGAGCTCCCTCTCCTGTTGTCATAGTGTGCCTTTCTTGTAGTCAAACTCTCTGATTTTCCTAGTGTTTTTTTCAGTGGGATACTTATTACCAGGAATATTTATTTTATTTTCCAAAGTGCCTCTTTATCCCGAATGACACACTTTCGCAAGACTGCCACTGTTGTTCCTATGAATTCTCCAAGCCTTATGACTCCTGTTGCCAGTGCTGATACGCCAGGTTTCAGACCAGTTCTTGGCTGTTCCCACTAAGGGTCGGGCACCTTTTTCTGGGAGTGAAACTTGTTGATGTTATCAGGTTCCATTAATGTTTAAGACCCTCCATATTCCCTACTCTTTCAAGCAGCTCCAGTGATGTCTACACACTTGTGGGGGTTCTGGCTGGTTTCCAGGGTATTTTTTCCAACTTGTATGTATATTGCGGATTGTAGCAATCTTTTTTGCTGGTCAATATATGTTGTAGGAATTTTTATTTGCTGTCCTTTTTGCTCTGTATAGTTTTTAGGAAGAGATTGGGACGAGTCACCGGAACCCAGAAGGTGTATTTCTTTCTTTCTTTTTTTTTTTTTTTTGAAACTGAGTCTCACTCTGTCACCCAGGCTGGAGTGCAGTGGCACAATCTCGGCTCACTGCCACCTCTCCCTCCCAGATTCAAGCCATTCTCCTGGCTCAGCCTCCCAAGTAGCTGGGATTATAGGCGTGTGACACCACACCCGGCTAATTTTGTGTTTTTAGTAGAGACGGGTTTTCATCATGTTGGCCAGGCTGGTCTGGAACTCCTGATCTCAGGTGATCTGCCTGCCTTGGCTTCCCAAAGTGGTGGGATTACAGGCGTGAGTCACCACACTTGGCCTTTCTATTTAATATGTATAAATAGTATTGTGCTTTAAATATCCTTTTTTCTTTTCCTTTTTTTTTTTTTTTTTTTTTTAAGACAGGGCCTTGCTCTATCACCCAGGCTGGAGTGCATTGGTACAATCATGGCTGACTGCAATCCCCTCTTCACAGGCTCAAGTGATCCTTTCACCTCAGCCTGCCAAATAGCTGGGATTTCAGGCAAGCGCCACCAAGTCCGGCTTAGTTTTTTTATTTTTTGTAAAGACAGGATCTCGCCACGTTATCCAGGCTGGTCTCGAACTCCTGGACTCAAACGGCCTCCCAAAGTGCTGGGATTATAGGCGTGAACCACCGCGCCCAGCCTGTTTTCATTTAGCATTTGTGTTTACATCTGTGCTCCATATGTACACCTAGTTTGTTACTTTTAGTTGTTACATTTCTCTCACAGTTTGCATCCACCTATTTTAGGTACCCATTCTTGGTTGGTTAAAACACTTGGGCTGGCCGGATGCGGTGGCTCACACCTGTAATGCCAGCACTTTGGGAGGCTGAAGTGGGCAGATTACAATGTCAGGAGTTCGAGACCAGCCTGACCAACATGGCGAAACCCTGTCTCTACTAAAAATACAAAAATACAAAAATCCTCCTCACTTGAGGCCAGGAGTTGGTGCACGCCTGTAAACCCAGCTACTCAGGAGGCTGAGGCAGGAGAATCACTTGAACCCAGGAGGCGGAGGTTGCAGTGAGCCAAGATCACGCCACTGCACTCCAGCCTGAGCGACAGAGTGACACTCTGTCTCAAAAAAAAAAAAAAAAGACAACCGGGCACAGTGGCTTATGCCTGTAATCCCAGCACTTTGGGAGGCCGAGGTGGGCGGATCATGAGGTCAGGAGATGGAGACCATCCTGACTAATGTGGTGAAACCCCGTCTCTCTAAAAATACAAAAAATTAGCCAGGCATGGTGGCACGTGCCTGTAGTCCCAGCTGTTTGGGAGGCTGAGACAGGAGAATCACTTGAACCTGGGAGGTGGAGGTTGCAGTGAGCAGAGATCACACCACTGCACTCCAGCCTGGGCAACAGAGTGAGACTTCGTCTCAAAAAAAAAAAAACCAAAAAACAAAAACAAAACAAAAAACACTTGGGCTGGGCCAGGCACGGTGGCTCACACCTGTAATCCCAGCACTTTGGGAGGCTGAGGTGGGTGGATCACTTGAGCCCAGGACTTTGAGACCAGCCTGGGCAACATGGTGAAATACTGTCTCCACAAAAAAATAAAAAAATTAGCCCAGTGTGCTTGTGCATGCCTGTAGTCCCAGCTATTCAAGAGGCTGAGGTGGGAGGATCGCCAGGAGGTCAAGGCTGCAGTGAGCCGAAACTGTGCCATTGCACTCCAGCCTGGGAGACAGAGCGAGACCCTCTTTCAAAAAACAAACAAACAAACAAACAAACAAACAAACAAAAAACACCTGGGTTGCTTCCACTTCCCTGCTATCATTGGGAGAGCTGGATAAACGCTTGTATGTGTTACTGTGGTAAGCCACATGACAATTTTTCTAGGACATATACCCAGGAGATGGGATCTTGGGGTGACAGAGCACACACACACACACACACACTTAACTTTACCAAGCACATCCAGAGTATTTCCAGAACAATTAAGATAGTTTACAGTTCCTTTTGCAGTGCACAAGAGGTCAGTCTCCTCCCAAATTCATGCTAAGATTTGGTATTAACCACCTCTTAAATTTGCCATGCTAGTAAATAATTCATTAACTTTCAGCCTTAAATTTTGTATTTTGGTATCTTGTTTAAGAAACCTTTCCTCATGCTCTCATGCTAAGTCACAAACATATTATACTTTTTTTACCCATGGATAAGAATTCATTATCTTCCATTAGCTTTGTGGTTTACTTTTTCCTTTATATATATTTTTAAATTTAATTTTTTTCTTTTTAAGAGAGATGGGGTCTCACCATGTTTACCAGGCTGGTCTCAAACTCCTGGGTTCAAGTGATCCTTCCCTTTCAGCCTCCCAAAGTGTTGGGATTACAGGCTCACGCCACTGTGCCCCTCTGTTTCTTTATATCTTTTTTCTTTTTTTTTTTTTTTGAGATGGAGTTTCACTCATGTTGCCCAGGCTGGAGTTCAATGGCATGATGTCGGCTCACTGCAACCTCTGCCTCCTGGGTTCAAGCGATTCTCCTGCCTCAGCCTCCAGAGTAGCTGGGATTACAGGCACCTGCCACCACACCCAGCTAATTTTTTGTATTTTTAGTAGAGACGGGGTTTCATCATGTTGGCCAGGCTGGTCTCCAACTCCGGACCTCAGGTGATTTGTCTGCCTCGGCCTCCAAAATTGCTGGGATTACAGGTGTGAGCCACCGTGCCTGGCCTGGTTCTTTATAGCTTTAATCCATCTGAAATTCACCTTTAGTGTGAGGTAAGGCTCTAACTTAATTTTCTTCATATTACAAACCAGTTTTATCAACATAATTTCTTTTCTTTTTTCTTTTTTTTGCAACAGAGTCATGCTCTATCACCCAGGCTAGAGTGCAGTGGCACGATCTTGGCTCACTGCAACCTCTGCCTCCCGGATCCTCAAGCCTCAGCCTCTCAAGTAGCTGAGATTACAGGCATGAGCCACCACACCCAGCTAATTTTTGTGTTTTTAGTGGAGATGGGGTTTCACCATGTTGGCCAGGCTGGTCTTGAACTCCTGACCTCAGGCGATCCACCTGCCTTGGCCTCCCAAAGTTCTGGGATTACAGGCATGAGCCACTGCACCCGGCCTATCCACATAATTTCTAAACAATCTGGCTTTTTGTCATAAAGACGCCTTTGCCACCTTTATGATGCCACCTTTTTCATGTGAAGTTCTATGTATCATGGATCTATCCTGAATTTTCTATCTGTTCCATTGGTTTATTTGTCCTTGTGTCTATCTCACTGGGTTTTAAAAAATTTCTATAGTGTGTTAGGTCTTAATAGTTGTTATTATCACCCCCCTGTTTTTTGTTGTTGTTGTTGTTTTTGAGACAGAGTCTCACTCTATTGCCCAGGCTGGAATGTAATGGCACGATCTCAGTTCACTGCAACCTCAGCCTCCTGAGTAGCTGGGATTCCAGGCACATACCACCATGCCCGGCTAATTTTTGTATTTTTAGTAGAGTCACCATGTTGGCCAGGCTGGTCTCGAACTCCTGACCTCATGATCCGCCTGTCTCAGCCTCCCAAAGTGCTGGGATTACAGGTGTGAGCCACCACACCTGGCCTATTATTCCCCTTTTAACCTCCTTTTTTGAAATTGACTTATCTTTTCATTGACTACTTTTCCGTAATCACTTTAGAAAGAGTTTGTCACAGCTAGAAAAAGTTCCAGCTAACATTTTTAACATTTAAAAACATTTTCTGGCTCACGCCTGTAATCCCAGCACTTTGGGAGGCCGAGGCAGGCTGATCACTTGAGGCCAGGAGTTGGAGACTGGCCTGACCAACATGATGAAACCCTGTCTCTACTAAATATACACTAATCCCAGCTACTCAGGAGGCTAAGGCTGGAGAATCACTTGAACCTGGGAAGCAGAGGTTGCAGTGAGACGAGATCACACCACTGCACTCCAACCTAGGTGACAGAGTGACAGTCTGTCTGAAAAAAAGAAAAAAAAGTCCATTTTCTATATATTTAATATATTTGAATTTATAGATTAATTTGGGGAGAATCATTATCTTTACTAAGATAAGGTGTCTTATCTAAGAATGTAGTTTTTGTATGTGTGTTTTTTTTTGTTTTTTTGCTTTTTTGTTTGAGATGGAGTTTTGCTCTTGTTGCCCAGGCTGGAGTGAAATGGTGCCATCTCTGCTCACTGCAGATTGGCGCCTGGGATTACAGGCGCATGCCACCACACCGGGCTAATTTTTGTATTTTTAATAGAGACGAGGTTTCATCATATTGGTTAGGCTGGTCTCAAACTCCTGACCTCAGGTGATCCACCCACCTCGGCCTCCCAAGGTTCTGGGATTACAGGTGTGAGCCACCATGCCCGACCTTTTTTTTTTTTTTTTAAGATCTTTTTTTGTGTCATTTCACAAAGTTAAAAAATTTTCAGGATAAAGGTATTGTGCTATATATAGTAATATTTCTGTTTTTCTAAAGATTTTTCTTTTTTTTTTTTTTTTTTGAGACAGTTTCACTCTTGTTGCCCTGGCTGGAGTGCAATTGCACGATCTCGGCTCACTGCAACCTCCTCCTCCCAGGTTCAAGCAATTCTCCTGCCTCAGCCTCCCGAGTAGCTAGAATTACAGGTGCCCACCACTACGCCTGGCTAATTTTTTGTATTTTTAGTAGAGACGGGGTTTCACTGTGTTGGCCATTTATAAAGAATTTTAAAACGTAAATGTTTATTAGATGTTTTTATTCTGTACCTCTTGGGATGATCATGTGATTTTCCTTCTTTAATTCATAGATCCAGTTAATTAGATAGATAGTTGTCTCATGTTAAGCCATTCTTGTATTCCTGGAAGAAAACCTTAATTGTTGGGTTCAGTTGGATATTTATGTGCATCTTTTTAAAAAATCTATTTCCATCGGTGACTTCAGTTTATTTATTTATTGTTTTAAATAGAGTCTCGCTCTGTCTCCCAGGTTGGAGTGCAGTGGCAAGATTTCAGTTGACTGCAACCTCCGCCTCCCACGTTCAAGCGATTTTTGTGCTTTGCCTCCTGAGTAGCTAATTTTGTTTTGTATTTTTCATAGAGACAGAGTTTGGCCAGCCTGGTCATAAAGACAATGTTGGCCAGGCTGGTCTTGAACTTTTGGCCTCAAGTGATCCACCCGCCTAGGCCTCCCAAAGTACTGGGATAACAGGCGTGAGCCACCGCACCCAGCCAGTAACTTGAGTATATGATTCTCTTTTCTTATATGGTCTTAATCTGATTTTGAAATAAAGAGTAAAGCAGCTTCTCCTCTTTTCTAGAAAAACTTATTTGTTAAAAGGATTATTTGTTCTTTGAAGTCTTGGTAAAACTCACTGTAAAACCTGATCCGCCTAAAGCTTTTTTCTTTGGATAAGGTCTTTAATTACCAATTTATTTATAGATATTTATCTGTTCATACTTAATTTATTTTCCCAATTTTGACATTTTATATTTTCTAAAAACCATCTATTTATTTTTATTTTTGTTTTTTCTTATTCTTCTTCTTACCAAAAACGATCTAATTCATTTATTATTAAATGTATTAGTCTATAATTGACCATCATATGGTTTTCTATTTCTGTTGTATCTGTAGTAGTTCTCTTAATTTCATTATGTAATTTGATTATTTTCCTTCTTCTTTTTTTTTTTTGAGATGGAGTTTCGCTCTTGTTGCCCAGGCTAGAGTGCAATGGCGCAATCTCGGCTCCCCTAGCTGGGATTACAGGCATGCACAACCACACCCGGCTAATTTTGTATATTTAGTAGAGACGGGGTTTCTCCATGTTGGTCAGGCTGGCCTCGAACTCCCGACCTCAGGTGATCCTCCCACCTTGGCCTCCCAAAGTGCTGGGATTACAGGCATGAGCCACCGTGCCCGGCCATCATCTTTCTTTCTTAAGAAATCTTAGAGATTTTTTAGGCCAGGCGCAGTGGCTCATGCCTGTAATCCCAGCATTTTGGGAGGCCAAGGCGAGGCGAGCGGATCATGAGGTCAGGAGATTGAGACCATCCTGGCTAACACGGTGAAACCCCATCTCTACTAAAAATACAAAAAATTAGCTGGGCATGGTGGCACGCGCCTGTAACCCCAGCTACTTGGGAGGCTGAGGCAGGAGAATCGCTTGGACCCGGGAGGCGGAGGTTGCAGTAAGCCCGAGATTGTGCCACTGCACTCCAACCTGGGCGACAGAGTGAGACTCTGTCTCAAAAAAAAAAAAAAAAAGAAATCTTAGAGACTTTTTTATCTTACTAATCTTTATAAATAAGATAACAAAAATAAGTCCCAATATGACTGAAATTACGATAAATATTAATCCGTTATGTTGATCAATAAGAAAGCAGAAACTCAGATTGGATCTCAGACTGGATTTAAAAATTGAGGTCTAGCAATACACTATCTCTATACTATGAGATACGCTTAAAATGAAAGTATATGGGCAAGTTGTAAGTAAAAAGAAGTAAATAATACCAGCACTTTGGGAGGCCGATGCGGGCGGATCACGAGGTCAGGAGTTCGAGACCAGCCTGACCAACATGGTGAAACCCCGTTTCTACCAAAAATACAAAAATTAGCCAGGCATGGTGGTGTGCACCTGTAAACCCCGCTACTCAGGAGGCTGAGGCAGAAGAATCACTTGAACCCAGGAGGCGGAGGTTGCAGTGAGCCCAGATTGTGCCACTGCACTCCAGCTTGGGTGACAGAGCAAGACTCCGTCTCAAAAAAAAAAAAAAGATATAAATAGACATTTCATCCTAATATGAACACACACTCACATACCAGGAACAAACCAGGTAGCTATTTCCTATCAGATGAATTCAAACTAGAAATCAAGGCAAAAAGTATATCAGGGACAAAGCATAAGAAATAGGCTTGGTGCTGACCATCAGGAGCTCAGCCAAGTGGAGATATCAAGTAGATAGTTGGATATATAGCACTAGAATTCAGGGGCAAAGCTCAGAGGCAAAGTCAGAGCTGAGATATACATTTGGAGTCATCAGCATGTATATGGTATTTAAAGCCATAAGACTGGGTGAGATGCCGGGCGTGGTGACTCACACCCAGCACTTTGGGAGGCTGAGATGGGAAATAAATCAGACTAAAACTCAGGGACCTTCTACCTCCGTAAAATTTCTAGGGGTCCAGTGGTGTGGGGTCTGTCAAGATATTCCTTCTAAAGTGAAGGATAAGTTGTTGCATTTGCCCCTCCTACAACCAAGAAAGAGTCACAATGCCTAGTGGGCCTATTTGGATTTTGGGGGCAACACATTCCTCATTTGGGTGTGTTACTCCGGCCCATTTATTGACTGACCTGAAAGGCTGCCAGTTTTGAGTGGGTTCCAGAACAGGAGAAGGCTCTGCAACAGGTCCATTTTGCTGTGCAAGCTACTCTGCCATTTGGGCCATATGACCCAGCAGATCCAATGGTGCTTGAGGTGTCCGTGGCAGATAGGGATGCTGTTTGGAGCCTTTGGCAGGCCCCCATGGGTGAATCACAGCGGAGGTCTGTAGGATTTTGGAATAAGGCCCTGCCATCTTCTGTAGATAACTACTTTCATTTTGAGAGACAGCTCTTGGCCTGCTACTGGGCTTTGGTGGAAACTGAACATTTGACTATGGGTCATCAAGTCACCATGCGACCTGAACTGCCTATCATGAACTGGGTGCTTTCTGACCCATCCAGCTTTAAAATGGGTCATGCACAGCAGCATTCTGTCATCATATGGAAGTGGTATATACATGATCGGGCTCGAGCAGGTCCTGAAGGCACAAGTTACATGAGGAAGTGGCTCAAATGCCCATGGTCTCCACTTCTGCCACCCTGCCTTCTCTTCCCCAGCCTGCACCGATGGCCTCATGGGGAGTTCTCTATGATCAGTTGACAGAGGAAGAGAAGACTAGGGCCTGGTTCCAGATGGTTCTACACAATATGCAGGTACCACCTGAAAGTGGACAGCTGCAGCACTATAGCCCCTTTCTAGGACATCCCTGAAGGAGAGCAGTGAAGGGAAACCTTCCCAGTCGGCAGAACTTTGAGCAGTGCGCCTAGTTGTGCACTTTGCATGGAAGGAGAAATGGCCAGATGTGTGATTATATACTGATTCATGGGCTTTGGCCAATGGTTTGGCTGGATGGTCAGGGACTTGGGAGAAGAATGATTGGAACATTGGTGACAAAGAAATTTGAGGCTGGGCATGGTGGCTCACACCTGTAATCCCAGCACTTTGGGAGGCCGAAGTGGGTGGATCACGAGGTCAGGAGATTGAGACCATCCTGGCTAACACAGTGAAACCCCATCTCTACTAAAAATACAAAAAATTAGCCGGGCTAGGTGGCAGGCACCTGTAGTCCCAGCTACTCGGGAGGCTGAGGCAGGAGAATGGCATGAACCTGGGAGGCGGAGTTTGCACTGAGCCGAGATTGCCCTCCAGCCTGGGTGACAGAGCAAGACTCTGTCTCAAAAAAAAAAAAAAAATTTGGGGAAGAGATATGTGGATGGACCTCTCTGAGTGGTCACAAACTGTGATGATATTTGCATTCCATGTGAGTGCCCACCAGTGGGTGACCTTAGCAGAGGAGGAATTAAATAATCAAGTGGATAGGATGATCCGTTCTGTGGACACCACTCAGCCTCTTTCCCCAGCCACCCCTATTATCCCCCAATGGGCCCATGAAAAAAGTGGCCATGGTGGCAGGACTGGAGGTTATGCGTGGGCTCCGCAACATGGACTTCCACTCACCAAGGCTGACCTGGCTATGGCCACTGCTGAGTGCCCAATTTGCCAGCAGCAGAGACCAACACTGAGCCCTCGATATGACACCATTCCTCCAGGTGATCAGCCAGCTACCTGGTGGCAGTTTGATTATATTGGACTGCTTCCATCATAGGAAGGGCAGAGGTTTGTCCTCACTGGAATAGACACTTACTCCGGATATGGGTTTGCCTATCTTGCACGCAGTGCTTCCGCCAAGACTACCATCTGTGGACTCACAGAATGCCTTTTCTACCATCACGGTATCCCACACAGCATTGCCTCTGACCAAGACACTCACTTTACAGCTAAAGAAGTGCAGCAATGGGCTCATGCTCATGGAATTCACTGGTGTTACCATGTTCCTCATCATCCTGAAGCAGCTGGATTGATAGCATGGTGGAATGGCCTTTTGAAGTCACAATTATAATGCCAACTAGGTGACAATACTTTGCAGGTCTGGGGCAAAATTCTCCAGAAGGCCATGTATGCTCTGAATCAGCATCTAATATATGGGACTGTTTCTCCCATAGCCAAGACTCACAGGTCCAGGAATCAAGGTGGAAGTGGAAGTGGCACCACTCACCATCACCCCTAGTGATCCACTAGCAACATTTTTGCTTCTTCTTCCCACAACATTATGTTCTGCTGGGCCTAGAGGTCTTAGTTCCAGAGGGAGGAACGCTGCCATCAGGAGACAGAACAACGATTCCATTAAACTGGAAGTTAAGATTGCCACCTGGACACTTTGGGCTCCTCCTACCTTTAAGTCAACAGGGAGTTACAGTGTTGCCTGGGGTGACTGACCCGGACTATCAAGATGAAATCTGATATAAGTCTACTGCTCCACAATGGAGATACGGAAGAGTATGCATGGATACAGGAGATCCATTAAGGCATCTCTTAGTATTACCATGCCCTGTGATTAAGGTCAATGGGAAACTACAACAGCCCAATCCAGGCAGGACTACAAATGGTCCAGACCCTTCAAGAATGAAGGTTTGGGTCACTCCACCAGGAAAAAAACCATGACCTGCTGAGGTGTTTGCTGAAGGCAGAGGGAATACAGAATGGGTAGTAGAAGAAGATAGTCATCAATACCAGCTACAACCATGTGACCAGCTACAGAAATGAGGACTGTCATTGTCATGAGTATTTCCTCCTTCTTTTGTTAAAAACATGTTTGTGTGTATATACACTTGTACTAAGAAACTATTTTCATTTTATTTCCTTTTCCTTTATCATGTGACATAAGATTTATTGACTTCATATCAGCATTTAAGTATTGTTAACTTTATATAACAGTATTTGGGTTGGGGATTGGTGTCTTTCTGGTTGTACAAGGGATAGTCATATTATGTTAAGTGTAATTATGATATTATTGTTTTTATTTGAAGATTATGTATGATCTCAGGAGATGTGTTCAAGTTGACAAGGGGTGGACTTGTGATGGTTAATACTGAGTGTCAACTTGATTGGATTGAAGGATGCAAAGTACTGATCCCGCATGTGCCTGTGAGGATGTTGCCAAAGGAGATTAACATTTGAGTCAGTGGGCTGGAAAAGGCAGACCCACCCTTAACTGGGTGGGCACAATCTAATCAGCTTCCAGTGAATATAAAGCAGGCAGAAAAATGTGAAAAGGAGAGAGATGAGAGACGGGCCTAGCCTCCCAGCCTATACCTTTCTCCCATGCCGGATGCTTCCTGACCTTGAACATTGAACTCCAAGTTCTTCAGTTTTGGGACTTGCACTGGCTCTCCTTGCTCCTCAGCTTGTAGACAGCTTATTGTGCAACCTTGTGATTGTGTAAGTTAATACTTAATAAACTCCCCTTTATATATATCCTATTAGTTCTGTCCCTCTAAGAGAAGCCTGACTAATACAATCCCCGTGTTGGAAGCCTGGCCCTCCGCTGTACAGAGTTATTGAGGAAGGAGAACAGGGTCTGGAGGCAGCAAACCTAAGGCTGCACGCCAACTTCCTAGAACTAAATGAAAAGGAAACCCCTAACTTTCCACACACCTAAGTAACAAAAGGACCAGAGGCTACTCCCTTTAACCTTTTTCTGTGAGGCAGATGGGAAATTGGCTGCCCTCAATGAATCAGACTGATTGCAGGCCAGTCTTTGTTTGCATAAAAGTGTAACTTTGAGACCTGGCGTGGTGGCTCATGCCTGTAATCCCAGCACTTTGGGACGGCAAGGCAGGTGGATCACCTCAGGCTGGGAGTTCGAAACCGCCTGACCAACATGGAGAAACACTGTCTCTACTAAAAATACAAAATTAGCCAGGCATGGTGGTGCATGCCTGTAAACCCAGCTACTCGGGAAGCTGAGGCAGGAGAATCGCTTGAACCTGGGAGGCAGAATTTCAAGAACCGAGATCGCACCATGGCACTCCAGCCTGGGCAACAAGAGCGAAACTCTGTCTCAAAAAAAAAAAAAAATAGGAGTATAAGTTTGTAACTTCACCCTAGCCTCTGATTGGTTGCTTTTTGCTGCAACCAATCAGACTGATTGCAGGCTACCGCTTTATTTACATGAGGTGAGCATGAAGTGATCAATAGGCAACTTCTAGAGGGTATTTGGACCCAAGAAGATTCTGTATCCAGGTCCTTGAGCAGCTGCTCGGGCCACTCCTGCACTGTGGAGTGTACTTTTGTTCTCAATAAATCCCTGCTTTCGTTCTTCTGTTGCTTCATTCTTTATTTGCTTTGCTGGGCATTTTGCCCAATTCTTTGTTCAAAATGCCAAGAACCTGGACAACTTGCAGTCACAACCCTCTACTGGTAACATTATGATTTCCCTTCATTACCAATCATAACCACCTTCTAATTCTTCAGGGGTGTCTGCTGGTTTTTAGTTTCCTTCATTATACTCATTTATTTCTTCCTTCTGAGGCATCTTCGGGTTTAGACTGGGAAAGGCAGACTGTGCCACTTTGCCATCATGTTAGGGGCCCATAATGATGTCCCTTTCATGACTCAGCCTACCCCAGGGTTGTTGAACCTTTGTGTTTCCAGTAATGTAGAGCAGAAGATACTCTTTCTTGAGTGGTCATAGTAGTAGCCCAGAAATGAAGATGTTCAACCTGAAGAACTGCAAGGAGAATATAAAAGCAAAGGAAAGACAAAGCAATATATACGCATGAAAGAGAACAAAATAGGCATTTTACTGAAAGATACTGAAATGTACTTTCAACATGCTTGTATTTAATTTTACAGTCATTTGGGAATCTTCTTAACCCTGGAAATGAGACAAGAAAATTAACCTCATTATAAATTGCTTTAAACACATTTGTGGGAATATAGGTGAGTCATAGGGAAAATAAAAGTGCCTCCAGAACTCAAAAAGATAAACTAGTAAAATCTGTATGTAATCCTTTTTTTTTTTTTTTTTTTGAGACAGGGTCTCCTACTGTCACACAGGCTGTAGTACAGTGGTGCCATCTCAGCTCACTGCAACCTCTGCTCCCTGGGCTCAAGCAATCCTCCCACCTCAGCCTCCCAAGTAGCAGGGACCACAGGTGCACACCACCACACCTGGCTGTTTTTTTTGTACTTTTGGTACAGACTGGGGTCTTGCCATGTTGCCCAGGTTGGTCTTGAACTCTTGAGCTCAAGCAATCTACCCGCCTTGGCCTCCCAAAGTGCTGGGATTACAGGTGTGAGCCACTGTGCCTGGCCTGTAATCCATATATATAAAGTTACATAAAGGTGACAGAATGCCTTGAAGACCCAAAATCGGGAAGAAAAGGACTTGGCAATAGCTTATTGCTTATTAGACAGTATTCTTATACCTAAAGTTAGAACATGGCTTAAATATTGATAATTAATGATTGTTATTTCCAAGGATAGACCTGTCTGTATTTTTTAAATTTTCAGTGAACATGCATTACTTAGGCAATTGGAAAAAACTGAATATTATTTTAATGGAATTTTTGTAGGAAAATAATTATATAAATATACAAAGTACTTCAAAGATATTTGGTGTAGCATTGTTTGCAATGTTGAAAAATATCCAAATTTCTATCAGTAGGAGAACAATTCAATAAATTATGATATATCTATACAATGGGCCAGGTGTGCCTGTAATCCCAGCTACTTGGGAGACTAAAGCAGGAGGGGATCACTTGACCCCAGAAGTTCAAGGTTACAGTGAGCTATGATTGTGCCACTGCACTCTAGCCTGAATGACAGAGCACGACCACGTCTCTAAAAACAAACAAAAATACAGATCTACAATGAATATCACACAACCAACAAAATGATGATGTAGCTCTATATTTATTAGCATAGAAAAATTTCAAAGCTGTACTGTTTAATGAAACATATAGTAGGTTTTATTTTTTATTTTATTTTATTTTTTATTTTGAGAGAGTCTTTGTTGCCCAGGCTGGAGTGCAGTGGAGCGATCTCGGCTCACTGCAACCTCTGCCTCCCAGACTCAAGCCATTCTCATGCCTCAGCCTCCTGAGTAGCTGGGACTACAGGTGTGTGCCACCATGCCCAGCTAATTTTTTGTATTTTTAGTAGAGACAGGGTTTCACCAAGTTGGCCAGGCTGGTCTCAAACTCCTGGCCTCAAGTAATCCACCTGCCTCAGCCTCTCAAAGTGCTGGATTACAGGCATGAGCCACCACTCCTGGCCTCGAAGTAGGTTTTAAAACATGTCCAGGCCGGGCACGGTGGCTCACGCCTGTAATCCCAACCTTTTGGGAGGCCAAGGCGGGTGGATCACCTGAGGTCAAGAGTTCAAGACCAGCCTGGCCAACATGGTGAAGCCTCATCTCTACTAAAAATACAAAAAAAATTAGCTAGGCATGGTGGCATGCACCTGTAGTCCCAGCTACTTGGGGAGGCTGAGGCAGGAGAATCACTTGAACCCAGGAGGCAGAGGTTGCAGTGAGCCAAGATTGCACCACTGCACTCTAGCATGGACGACAGAGGAAGACTCCGTCTCGAAAATGAATAAATAAATAAAAATAAAATAGTAAACTGGAAATAAGAGTCTGCAGGGATTTAGCATGAGTAAGAAGTGGTTAGGTCAGAAGGATATCTGACACTTGAAGCTAGTAATGGAATGTAAGGAAAATGAAACTTAAAAATTTACATATTTTGTCCCAAAGCCCTATAATCATTAAATTAACAATATTATCTCTCAAAATAACCTAAATTAATTAATTTAATCGCTATAAAAGGGAAAATCAGAGACCAGAAAAAATGTTGCTTTCTGATTATAACCTAAGAGTCATGCTTATTCAACTTAATGGTTACATTTGGTTTAATAACTGTTTTCCATAAACTCGTGCTCATGATATATGACTTTATACTGTATACATCAAATAGTAATATTTTTCTTAATATTTTCCTGTATTATAGAATTTTAAATGTCTTATTTTATGCTGTCTGCCACCTGGACAAATTTGTGAATTAACACTACTTTTTTTTTTTTTTTTGAGACAGAGTCTCACTCTATTGCCCAGGCTGGAGTGCAGTGGCACAATCTGGGCTCACTGCAACCTCCACCTCCTGGGCTCAAGCAATTCTCCTGTCTCAGCCTCTGAGTAGCTGGGATTACAGACGTACACCATCATGCCCAGCTAATGTTGTATTTTTAGTAGAGACAGGGTTTCACTATGTTGGCCAGGTTGGTCTGAAACTCCTGACCTCAGGCGATCCACCCGCCTCGGCCTCCCAAAGTGTTGGGATTACAGGCATGAGCCACCACACCTGGCCTAACACTACTTCTTACGTGAGGACTTAGATTTCACCAAAATAAATCAGACTGCTCCTGTGAACTCTTGCAGATTAACAAAAGTTCGATTTTCTAAATTCTTGATTTAGAATATTAAATAATTATCTGTCCTGAAAGAGTTAATGCAGACTCTAAAGCCCTTATTTCCTCTGGAATAATTTCTAGTGGTTTAAGTGAGAATCTGGTTCAACAGATTTTGGAAATGTGGAGTCATCTCTTCAGTGTATCCTAGGAAGTAAACACCTAATTTACTCAATTTGGGTCTAGATATGATAATTGCACTTAAGCTCATGTCACTGAATCATAATATGGAGAAAAGCATTCTACAATGGTCTTTCTGGTACTTCTATTAACAAATCCCCAAGGATGGAATTAAAAGTGGACCTATCTAGTGTTAGATTAGATTCATGGTATTATAACTGGTTTTTTGTTTGTTTTACATTATTCAGTGGTGACATCTATAGGCCTATGATTAGAAACACTAACAGACTAATGCTGAATTTACCTGTACTATTTTATGACTGGTGTGAGTCTAACCTCATACCAAACATTACTTTTGGTTGATGTACCTGGTGCTACAGGAGAAAGTCAAGTTAGGGAACCAAAAGGTATATGATCAAAGGCCCAATTACCAGAGTGCTTCCAGTCCATAACTTACCGTGATTGGAGGGATGCAAGAGATTTTCGGAAGGTAGACTGCACTTCTAACTGAAGCAGCCTGGGAATATCTGGGTACCCACCCAGCTGGGCCCAGAGTGAATGCATAGATGTCTTCTCTGCTATTGGGTAGCTTGAAGTGGACAGATCAACATTCCAGATGGCCTCTGTCTGGTCCTCTTGTTGCCTACAGAATCAGCATAAATTGGGAACGCCAAATTCTCCTGAGCTCCATAGCCCATCAAAATATATCTTATTCTCCCCTCTTCACTGCCACCTTGTCCTATAATGCCTTCCCCTTGCACTGACCAGCATTAGCTATGCCCACTTTGACAGAGAGATGGATGAAAAAGCAGAATTCGCTGAGTTACCAAAGCTGCATTTGCATGGCTTCACCTAGTAATCCATTTTAAAACTACCATTTTAGCTTCATGGCGTAGAGAGACCACATAACTTGCCCCCTTCCTTCCCAAAGCTCCTGCCTCCTTAAAAAAAAATAGAAGAAAAAGAGAAGATAATGCTTCTAAGTTTCTTTATTAAATATTCTTAAAAGAATTTGTTTTTTAGTAAGAAAGAATCAGCTTTATTTTTAGAGGAACTCACAATCCAATGTTAAATATTTAAGTAGAAATATATGTAAATTAACCTCTTGCCAATTTAGCTAAGGGAATTAATACTCTTTTTTTTTGAGACAGAGTTTCGCTGTTGCCCAGGCTGGAGTGCAATGGCACGATCTCGGCTCACCGCAACCTCTGCCACCCAGGTTCAAGCGATTCTCCTGTCTCAGCCTCCCAACTAGCTGGGATTACAGGCATGCACCACTATGCCGGGCTAATTTTGTACTTTTTTTAGTAGAGATGGGGTTTCTCCATGTTAGTCAGGCTGGTCTTGAACTCCCGACCTCAGATGAGTCACCTGCCTCGGCCTCCCAAAGTGCTGGGATTACAGGCATGAGCCACCGCGCCCAGCCTAATACTCCTTTAGACTCTCCATTGCACCATTTGATAATTGTGGAGAAAGGGAAGTTCTTGGGCAGGGAAAAAAAAATTAGGTCCCACATATCGTCCAAAGTTTAATATCAGTCTTTCTAGCACATACCTAAATTTCTTGCATATGTCAGAGGTTCTGTCCTCTTCCATTAGTAATTTTAAGAATGGCTTTTGAACAAATGTGGTAGAGGCAGGTATCTGCTTTTCTTCGATGATTAAGGGGATAGGTTGACTAAGATTCAATTCATGTATCTTTTTGAGCTATAAAAAAAAATAGATCAGAAAAAGGAAACCATGAAAAGAGACAGAATCTTTAGAAGGGTCTTCAGAGCTGGCCCTAGACTAAACTGTGACTCCTCCTTTTCCATGGATTTGCAAATCCTCTCCCTACTCCACCCACCTCCAACATGCATCATTTTAGAGGTGGCAGCTCTGCTACATAAAAACCTTTGTCCTACTTAAGCTTAAGTCCTGGTCCTCTTATTTTCTTGCTGTGAGACTTTGGGATAGTTGCTTAATTTATCTGCACTTCTTTCTCCTCATTTCTAAAACAGGGATAATAACACAGGGTTGTGAGAATTGTAAAACACAGTATATATGGAAGCACTTTATAAATTGTGATGCAGTATGCAACTGTAATGATAGCCAGCATTTACTAAATACTTAGTGAATGTCAGACACTGAACTAAGCATTTTCCATATATTAGCTGATTTGGTATTTATAACAACCTTATGCGGTATGTCTTATAATTACCCTTGTCTTACAGCAGGAAAATCTGAGGCTCAGAAAATGTAAGCGGCTTGCATAAAGTCACTTAGCTAGTATGTAGCTAGCCTGATTTGAACCCAGACAATCTGGTAGCGGAGCTAGCCATCTTGACCACCATGCTGATTCAGTGCAAAGTATTCATTCATATCTAACCTCTTATCCCTTTTGCTTTTTTTGTCTCCTTTCTCCAAGCCTTGATACCCATACCTCATCCTCTGGATTCTGGCTTCCCTGGCCCCAGACCCTTATTCCTCCTCTGAAATGCCCTAGGCATTGTGATTCCTGTTAGATAACGCATGTTGCTGCCAACCCATCTTGCTTTACTCTATGTACATTGGCCATATTTGCCAAATCAAAAAAAGGAGAATATTCATTTTTTTGACAAAGAGCTGTAATATTTAAAATATAACTGTTCTGGGCCGGGCACGGTGGCTCAAGCCTCTATCCCAGCACTTTGGGAGGCTGCCATGGGCGGTTCACTTGAGGTCAGGAGTCCAAGACCAGCCTGGCCAACATGGTGAAACCCCATCTCTACTAAAAATACAAAAATTAACCAGACATGGTGGCAGGCACCTGTAATCCCAACTACTCGGGAGGGTGAGGCAGGAGAATCACTTGAACCCAGGAGGCGGAGGTTGCAGTGAGCCGAGATCACGCCACTGCACTCCAGCCTGGGTGACACAGTGAGACCTCATCTCAAAAATAAATAAATAAATAAATAATAAAATAAAATATAACAGTTCTGAAAATTTACAATATATGTTTGACTTGGATTAGGCTCTGATGAGAAGCCTCTCTGTACCTTCCAAAGTAGCAAGTAAACTAATCTTATAAATTAATCGATTTTAAGGAAAGACAAGGATATACAGATATAAAATGTTTCTAGAACCACAGCTTGTAATATTTACTATAAGAACTCAGGCCAGGCGTGGTGGCTCACGCCTGTAATCCCAACACTTTGGGAGGTTGAGGCGGGTGGATCACCTGAGGTCAGGAATTCGAAACCAGCCTGGCCAACATGGTGAAACCCCATCTCTACTAAAAATATAAAATTTAGCTGGGCATGGTGGTGGGCGCCTGTAATCCCATCTACTCGGGAGGCTGAATCAGGAGAATCTCTTGAATCCAGGAGGTGGAGTTTGCACCGAGTCGAAATAGTGCCACTGTACTCCCTGGGAGACAGAGCAAGACTGTCTCAAAAAAACGAAAAACAAAGCAAAACAAAAAAAAAGGCCATTTGAAAGATGGAGGCGGAGATTGGAATTATGTGGCTACAAACTGAGGAATGCTAAGGATTGCCCATAGCCACCACAATCTAGGAGAGAAGCATGCAACAGAATGCCCTCTCAGAGCTTCTAGAAGGAACCAACCTGGCAGACACCCTGATTTCACTAACTTCTGGCCTCTAGAACTGTGAGAGAGTAAATTTCTGTTGTTTTAAGCTATGAAGTTTGTGGTAATTTGTTACAGCAGCCCAGGAAAGTAATATGACATGGTGTCTCCAGGTAAATGTCATTTACAAAGCTTACCACTTTCATGTTTTTACAACATGCTGGACAGAGGGAGTGGAAAGCAGGTTACCTGGTTGAATACGTGTATCATTTTCTTCAGGCACTGATTCCGTTTCTGCCCTAGAGACTTCTGCTTCTCAGTCCAGACCTGCATCACCTTTTTCCCGTAGTCATCAAGTCTGCTCAGCATCATGTGGAGGTTCCTGGCCTCATAGCCTTTCCCAGTATTTTGGATGGCTTTTAGTCGTTTCATTATGTTGTTCCTTGAAAAGATTAATAAAAATTAGAGCGATAATAGTTGCAGACCCTACTTCAACAAACTTGTCCTCAGTTTCTTTTTTTTTTTTGAGACGGAGTTTCGATCTTGTTGCCCAGGCTGGAGGTGCAATGGTGCAATCATGGCTTATTGCAACCTCCACCTCCTGGATTCAAGAAATTATCCTGCCTCAGCTTCCTGAGTAGCTGGGACTACAGGTGCGCACCACCATGCCCAGCTAATTTTTGTATTTTTAGTAGAGACGGGGTTTCTCCATGTTGGTCAGGCTGGTCTCAAACTCCTGACCTCGTGATCCACTTTCCTTGTCCTCCCAAAGTGCTGGGATTACAGTCCTGAGCCACTGAGCATGGCCTCTTTTTAATTTAATTTTATTTTTTTGAGACAGAGTCTCACTCTGTTGCCCAGGCTGGAGTGCAGTGGTGTGATCTTGACTCACTGCAACCTCTGCCTCATGGGTTCAAGCGATTCTCATGCCTCAGCCTCCCAAGTAGCTGGGAATACAGGTGTGCACCACCACGCCCAGCTAATTTTTGTATTTTTAGTAGAGATGGGGTTTTGCCATGTTGTCCAGGCTGGTCTTGAACTCTTGACCTCAAGCGATCCTCCTGCCACAGCCTCCCAAAATGTTGGGATTACAGGAGTGAGCCACTATGCCCAACCTGTCCTCAGTTTCTTTCAATTCTCTCATCATCCCCAGTAAGTAGAGAAGGATGGGAAGCTTGCTTAATAAGACTTTAATCCAGTTCCTATGAATGAACCTTCAAAAATCTATATGATTATCAAAATTTTCATTAAGTCTTCACAAAATTTCCAGTGTTAAAATAGTGTTGCTTACAATTATTTTAATATATTTTAAAAATTATGCCAGGTGAAGTGGCTCATGCCTGTAATCCCAGCACTTTGGGAGGCTGAGGTGGGAGGATCGCTTGAGGCCAGGAGTCTGTGACCAGCTTGGGCAATATAGTAAGACTCCGTCTCTGCAAAATAAAAATAGCTGGGCATGGTGGCACATACCTGTAGACACAGCCACTCAGGAGGCTGAGGTGAGAGGCTTGCTTGAGCCTAGGGAGTTCGAGGCTGCAGTGAGTTATGATCACGCCATTACATTCACCTTTTTGTTAAGGGCAAGACTCCAACTCTTAAAAAATTAGTTAAATGTGGCTATTTGTAATAAAAATTACCTTAGGGGATAAGATAGATCATTTTTTTCATATGTATAGATATGTGTAAGACACATAGAAGGTAAGGCCGGGCACAGTGTCTCACGCCTGTAATCCAAGCACTTTGGGAAGCCAAGGCTGGTGGATCACAAGGTCAAGAGTTCAAGAGCAGCCTGGCCAACATGGTGAAACCCCATCTCCTCTAAAAACACAAAAATTAGCCAGGTGCGGTGGCAGGTGACTGTAATCCCAGCTACTTGGGAGGCTGAGGCAGAAGAATCACTTGAACCCGAGCAACAGAGGTTGCAGTGAGCCGAGATCGTGCCACTGCACTCCAGCCTGGGCAACAGAGTGTGAGATCCTATCTCAAAAAAAAAAAAATGACACATAGAAAGTACTTAATACAATTATGGAAAAGACAGTGTCCTTGCCTTCAAAAGCACTTATAATCCAGAATAGGACACTACGTTACTTGTAAAAAAAAAGAAATAGAATGAAATAAATGCTAACTAAATAGGCTGCAGGAGCAAAAAGGAAAGCATAGTTAATTCCAGTAAGGGTAATAAGGCCGGGCGCAGTGGCTCATGCCTGTAATCCCAGCACTTTGGGAGGCCGAGGTGGGCAGATCACGAGGTCAGGGGCTCCAGACCAGACTGACCAACATGGTGAAACCCTGACTCTACTAAAAAATACAAAAATTAGCCCGGTGTGATGGCGGGCGCCTATAGTCCCAGCTACTCAGGAGGCTGAGGCAGGAGAATCACTTGAACCTGGGAGGTGGAGGTTGCAGTGAGCCGAGACCACACCATTGCACTCCAGCCTGGGTGACAGAGTGAGACTCCATCTCAAAAAAAAAAAAAAGAGTAATAAAGAAGGCTTTATAGGAAGGTGTCAAGCAGAATTTTGAGGGACAGTCATAAAAAGATTCTCCCTTTCTCTCTCTCTCCCTACTGCCCTCCTATAATGTATTCCACCACATTTTGGTGGTCCTAAACAGAGTTTTGCCATCCTCATTCTACAGAAGAGGAAAAGAAATCTCAGCAAAGTTAAGTGTTTTTTCTAATGTCCCATAATTGATAAATGGTAGATTTGGGAAGCAAGCCCAGAACTTCTTTCTTCCACAATGCCAATATTTCTCAAGGTGCGGACTCTGATCACCTAGACTGAACCATATGGGGTAGACGGGTGGGGTGCTTGTTGAAAATGCAGGTTCCAAGGTCCTTCTCCATACCTTTTGAATCAAAATCTTAGTGGTAGGCTTCAGGAATCTGCATTTTAAAATCTCAGGTAACTCTTACTTTACTAAAGTTTGAAAACCATTGTGCTTACGGACAGAACAGGGAAGAAGGGGATGAGGAAGTCCAGGTGGAGAAATCCCATAAACAAAGGTAAGAAAACGAAAGTTATATTTTGAGAGTGATGAGTAGTCTGGGGTTTTTGACCACAGATATGTGAAAGGATATAGTGGGGGATGAGACTGGAATGGTTGGATAGTGAAAGATGAAAGGCTTTCAAAGGTATGTTAAGGAGTTTGGATCTTCTCTTATTTTTTTTTTTGGTAGATGATGGGGACCCATCAAAGACATTTTTCTAAATATATGTATTTTATATACATGCGTATATATATATATTGCCTCAGGTGAATCAGTGAGATTTACCTGAGATTTTATTTATCCATCTCTATCTATATTGAGAGAGAAGAGAGAAAGAATAATTCTTAGCTCTTAGGTTTCTTTTGTGGGTTATAATGAATACTTTAGAACCTACTATATATATGGATCATTTAATACTTAAATTATTATATTTGTATTTAATATTTAAACATATTAGATTTTTTAATTTTCCAATAAGCCTCTTCACACCAAATATTTCCTGACATTTTTCTGTCTAATTACACAGGCTTTTGAGATTTCCTTATCATTTTTTCTTATTGAAATCATATTTCACTGCTTGGAAAAGTTTAACTTCAAACTTAGGGACTTTATTGTTGGATGTAGTTTTAGAGATAATTCTTTTTTTTTTTTTTTTTTTTTTTTAGACAGGGTCTCTCTTTGTCACCCAGGTTGGAGTGCAGTGGCGCGATCTTGGCTCACTGCAGCCTTGACCTTGTGAGCTCAAGCCATCCTCCCACCTCAGCCCCCCTCGGTAGCTGGGACTATAGGCACACCGTCAGGCCTGCCAATTTTTTTTTTTTTTTTTTAAGTAGAGATGGGGTTTTACCATATTGCCCAGGCTGGTCTTTAACTCCTGGGACCAAGTGATCCGCCCACCTCGGTTCCCAAAGTGCTGGGATGACAGGCATGAGCCTGGTGAGAGAATTCATTTTTAATAATCTGAAGGCCGGGCGCGGCGGCTCACGCCTGTCATCCCAGCACTTTGGGAGGCTGAGGCGGGCGGATCACAAGGTCAAGAGATCGAGACCATCCTGGCCAACACGGTGAAACCCCGTCCCTACTAAAAATACAAAAATTAGCTGGGCGTGGTGGCAAGCGCCTGTAGTCCCAGCTACTCGGGAGGCTGAGGCAGGAGAATTCCTTGAAACTGGGAGGTGGAGGTTCCAGTGAGCCAAGATGGCGCCACTGCATTCCAGCCTGGCGACAGAGCAAGACTTCGTCTAAAAACAAACAAACAAACAAATAAACAAACAAAATCTGAGCATTCAATCCAGTAGTAACCATGGGGGTATCTTATTATTTAAAAGCCTCTATCTAGAATCATGGCTATTCATCCTCCTTACCTTTTGTTTCCACTGTCTTAGCCAATCCCACTTACGTTGATAAAACATTGCCCCGTCCTAAGGAATATTGATTTTTAGATAGAGATTCTTTACATTTACTGAGCATCTACTATGGTAATACTACTACTGTACTACTACTGTTGTGCTGCAAGCTACATATGTTATTTTATTTAACCCTTTCAACCTTTCATTTTATTTTATTTTGAGACAGAGTTTCGCTCTTGTTGCCCAGGCTGGAGTACAATGGTGCAATCCCAACTCTCTGTAACCTCCGCCTCCAGGGTTCAAGCAATTCTCTTGCCTCAGCCTCCCGAGTAGCTAAGATTACAGGCTGCACCACCACGCCCATCTAATTTTTGTATTTTTAGCAGAGACGGGGTTTCACCATGTTGGCTAGGCTGGTCTCGAACTCCAGACCTCAGGTGATTCACCCGCCTCAGCCTCCCAAAGTGCTGGGATTACAGGCATGAGCTACCATGCCTGGCCTCAACCATTATTTGAAGTAAATATTATTATATCCATTTTACATGCAACACATTTAAGTCTCAGAGAAGTTCTGGAAATTTGAACCAAGATCTGCTTGACTTCAAAGTCTATGTTTAAGAGAAAGCATGATTAGGATTTAAATATAAAAACCATTACAGTTACTACTTTAAGACAGTGTAGTATAATAGGTAGTATAGTATACTATATAGACTTTGGAAATGGATTTTTAAAAATTCACTTCTACCAATTATTAGCTGTGTGATTTGGGCAAATAGGATGACCTTTCTGAACCTGATTCCCATTCTTCCAGTTAAATGCAATAATATATCTGAAGTTTGTGTTTGTTGTAGATGCATTATAAGCCCCTGTATGCACATAACTAAATTTACATAATTTATTTTCATTTAGTTTCTCCTTGTCAGTGTTTCCTCCAACAATTCCAGATTAGATTAGCATGATTCTCCTATAAAATTTATATTTCCTTTAGTCTATCCATTTTTACTGTTTCAAGACTGTAGTAATTTTTTTTTTTGAGACAGGGTCTCACTGTGTTGCCCAGGCTGGAGTGTAGTGGTGCATCCATGGCTCACTGCAACCTCAACCTCTCAGGCTCATGGGATCCTCCCACCTCAGCCTACCAAGTAGCTGGGACCACAGGCATACATACCACCACGCCTGGCTAATTTTTATAATTTTTGTAGAGACAGGGTCTCACTATGTTGCCCAGGCTGGTCTTGAACTCCTAGGCTCAAGCAATTCCTCCATTTTGGCCTCTCAAAGTGCTGGGATTACAGGCGTGTACCACCAGACCGGGCTGATTTTACTTTTTATTTAGACTTCACCAGCTTGCCTGGCATGGATGCCCTTGTTTAGTAGGAGTTACACTGTTGATATATCACCTTAGCATAGAATCCTTTTAAAACAACTGTAAATATTTTCCTAGTAATTCTACTCTCACCCTTATATTCTTTCAAAACATTTAGGTGGATGCCACCTAGTCCTAATTTATGCCTCTGTATGAGCTTTACTCTTCTTAAATCTGTCTTCCACATTACTGGCATTTTACTTCCCTTGCTAAGAATTCTTTAGTTATCCTCTATTAAGTACGGAATTAAATACAAGTTCCTTAGCATGTGATTTAGGATTCTCTTTTATCTTGCCTCTCTTTTATCTTTCCAGTCTCATCTCTTACTACATTTTGCTTTTTCTTTGTGTTCTAAGTATTAGCCACAAAGTACTTTACACACACACACACACACACACACACACACACACACACAGAGCTTCTTCCTGCTGCCTTTCTTTACTCTGCTACACTCTCTGACTTCTTTGTTTTCCTGACTTTTTCTTTTTTTGAGACAGAGTCTTACTCTGTCACCCAGGCTGGAGTGCAGTGGCGCAATCTCGGTTCACTGCAACCACCGCCTCCTGGGTTCAAGCGATTCTCCTGCCACAGCCTCCCAAGTAGCTGGGATTACAGGCACCTGCCATCGTGCCTGGCTAATTTTTTTATTTTTAGTAGAGATAGGGTTTCACCATGTTGGTCAGGCTGGTCTCAAACTCCTGACCTTAAGCAATCCACCCACCTCGGCCTCCCAAAGTGCTGGGATTACAGGCGTGAGCCACAGTGCCCTGCCTGTCTTACTGACTTTTACTGGTTCTTTGAGGCACAGTTCAGAGGTCTGAACTCCCAGAAGCTGTACCTAACTCCCGCCTCTCCTCAGTCCTCTTCTATAACTGCACATGCGCCATTATTGTACTTTCCACATCATACGATATAATCATCTCTTTGTGTGACTGTCTCTCTGAGGAGACTAGGTGCATTGAAAGCAGGGATGTAGCTTATCCATCTTTGTATCCTTCTACCCTCTAATCCCTGTACCTAACACAGTCCCCACAAGTGGTGGATATTTTTTAAATGTTGATGGGCCGAGCTCAGTGTCTCACACCTGTGATCCCAGTAGCTTGAGAGGCCAAGGCAGGAGGATTGCTTGAGCTCAGGAGTTCAAGACCAGTCTGGGCAACAGAGGGAGATCCATCGCTAAAAAAAATATCAAAAATTAGCTGGGCATGATGGCACACACAGGTCGCTTCGGCCCAGGAGTTTGGCGTTATGGTGAGCTATGATCACACCAATGCACTCCAGCCTGGTTGATAGAGCAAGACCCTGTCTCTTTAAAAAAAAAAAAAATGTTGATGAATTAAGTGATGCTATCTAGAGAGCACAACATCTAGTACTATTGAGAACTTTCTTCAATATATATGGAAACAAATGTCTAATTATCATCATCTTTTCTAATTTTTTTTTTTTTTTGAGACAGAGTCTTGCTCTGTTGCCCAGGCTGGAGTGCAATGGTGTGATCTGGGCTCACTGCAACTTCTGCCTCCCGAGTTCAAGCGATTATCCTGCCTCAGCCTCCCAAGTAGCCAGCATTACAGGTGCACGCCATCATGCCCAGCTAATTTTTGTATTTTTGGTAGAGATGGGGTTTTGCCTTGTTGGCCAGGCTGTTCTCAAACTCCTGACCTCAGGTGATCTGCCTGCCTTGGCCTCCCAAAGTGCTGGGATTACAGGCATGAGCCACCGCGCCCAGCTCATCTTTTCTAATTTTACATCTTCCCTGTCATCTCTTCTCAGATATATTTCACCGATCATGAGGGAATACAATTCTAAAACTATATTTTAGCACTTAAATGTAGAATTCTTCACTTACAGAGGCTCTACAGAAATCTTTATTCAAAAACAGTTTATATTACTGTAGTATTTTTCTCTTACATATAATATTAGAATCTTCTTGACCTAGCCATCCTTGTCATAAAATTTTTAATCTTTCAGTATTTTATTTGTTGTTGCATCTGTCTGTGATTTTGTTATTATAACATTAAATATTAGAGAAGAGCTTTCTGAAAGAATGAATTGATCCTCGATGGGATTAAGGTTATGATTGTATAAAGTCATATTTTTAAATGATTTTACTGAGACAGGTCAGATTATGCTACTTAGGTTCTCAAAGTCTTCAATAAATCTAAATGAATCCTAAAAATTGAGAAAGCGACCTGACACAGTGGCTCATACCTGTAATCCCAGCACTTTGGGAGGCCAAGGTGGGCAGATCACGAGGTCAGGAGTTCGAGACCAACCTGGCCAACATGGTGAAACCCTGTCTCTACTAAAAATACAAAAATTAGCTGGGCGTAGTGATGTGCATCTGTAATCCCAGCTACTCAGGAGGCTGATGCAGGAGAATTCCCTGAACCCAGGAGGCGGAGGTTGCAATGAGCTGAGATCGTGCCCCTGCACTCCAGCTTGGGCAACAGAGCAAGACTTCGTCTCAAAAAAAAAGATAAAATTGAGAGAAAGCTGTCAAAGAACTCCCTTCAAAAAGTACTAAGCCAGTGTAATATCATAGGGGAAATCTGCCAAACCTTAAAAGAACAGCTAATTTTACTATTAAATTGTTTCAGAGCACAAAAGATAAACTTCCACATTTTTTAATGATGCAAGCTTAAGATTATACCAAAACTTCACAAAGATAATACCATAAGAAGTAAACTGCCTGCCAAACTTAACTTATGAATATGAATGAGAAAAATCCTTAATAAAATATAGTGATTCTACAATATAGTCAAGGAAGGAAAAAAAAAATAGCCAGGCATGGCGGCGGCGTGCCTGTAATCCCAGCTACTCTGGAGGCTGAAACAGGCTGATGCAAGAGAATTGCTTGAACCTGGGAGGCAGAGGTTGCAGTGAGCTGAGATCATGCCACTGCACTCCAGCCTGGGCAACCAAGTGAGACTCTTGTCTTAAAAAAAACAAAAACAAAAACAAAACAAAACAAAAAAACAAAGAATGTTACATGTAGAACAAATAGGATTTATGACAGGAATGCAATGATGGTTTAATATAATTATATTAATAGAACTAAGGGGGAAAAATCTCCTTTTTTATTTTTTATTTTTTATTTTATTTTATTTTTTAAAATTTTTTTTTAGAGAGAGAGTCTCGCTCTGTTGCCCAGGCTGGAGTGCAGTGGCATGATCTCGGCTCACTGCAACCTCTGCCTCCTGGGTTCAAGTGATTTTCCGGCCTCAGCCTCCCGAGTAGCTGGGACTACAGCTACATGCTACCACATCTGTCTAGTTTTGTTTGTATTTTTAGTAGAGACAGGGTTTCACCATGTTAGCCAGGATGGTCTCGATCTGATCTCGTGATCCACCCGCCTCAGCCTCCCAAAGTGCTGGGATTACAGGCGTGAGCCACCGCTCCCGACCTTTTTTTTTTTTGAGACAATGTCTCGCTCTGTCACCCAGGGTGGAGTGCAGTGGCACAACACGATCATAACTCATCACATCCTTGAACTCCTGGGCTCAAGCAGTCCTCCTGTCTCAGTTTTCCAAATAGCTGGGACTACAGGTGCACACCACCAAGACTAGATAATTTTTTTTTTTTTTTTAAAGATGGAGTCAGGCTGGGTGCAGTGGCTGACAACTGTAATCCCAGCACTTTGGGATGCCGAGGTGGTAGGATCATTTGAGCCTAGGAATTCAAGACCAGCCTGGGCAACAGGAGACCCTATCTTTACAAAAAGTTTAAAAATTAGCTACTGGGGAGGCTGAAGTGGGAGGATATTTTAAACCCGGGAAGTTGAGACTGCAGTGTACAGTGATCACGCCACTGCACTCCAGCACAGGCAACATAGCGAGACCCTATCTCAGGAAAAAAGAAAGACGGGGCCCCATGTGTTGTTCAGGCTGGTCTCAAAACTCCTGGCCTCAAGCAATCCTCCCGCCTTAGCTTCCCAAGGTGCTGTGATTACAAGCATAAGCCACCTTCCCAGCCCACATTTTCTTTAATACATGTGAAAATAAAGTGCTCAAATCACATTATTTAACAAAATTGAACATTCAGGGTTTTTTTATTGTTGTTGCTGTTGTTGCTGTTTTCTGAGACAGAGTCTTGCTCTGTTGCCCAGGCTGGAGTGCAGTGGTGCAGTGGTGCGATCTTGGCTCATTGCAACCTCCGTCTCCCGGGCTCAAGCAATTCTCATGCCTCAGCTTCCTGAGTAGCTGGGACTACAGCGAACCCAGCTAATCCATGGGTTTTTGTTTTCTCTCTCTTTTTTCTTTTTTTTCTTTGAGACGGAGTCTCGCTCCGTCACCCAGGCTGGAGTGCAGTGGTGCAATCTCGGCTCACTGCAACCTCCACCTCCCGGGTTCAAGCCATTCTCCTGCCTCAGCCTCCAGAGTAGCTGGGACTACAGGCGCCCGCCACCATGCCCAGCTAATTTTTTGTATTTTTAGTAGAGACGGGGTTTCACTGTGTTAGCCAGGATAGTCCTCATTCTCCTGACCTCGTGATCTGCCTGCCTTGGCCTCCCAAAGTGCTGGGATTATAGGTGTGAGCCACCACACCCAGCCTTTTTTTTTTTTTTTGTAGAGATGGGGTTTCACCATGTTGGCCAGGCTGGTCTCGAACTCCTGGATTCAAGTGATTCACCACCTTGGCCTCCCAAAGTACTAGGATTACAGGATAAGCCACCACACCCAGCCAGTCTATTTTTTTTTTTTTTTCAAATTGAATTTGGTTTAATTCAACTTTTCTTTTTTATTTTAGTAAGTTCAACTTTTACTTTAGATTCAGAGGGTACATATGCAGGTTTGTTACATGGTTATATTGCATGATGCTGAGATTTGGGGTACAAATGATCCCATCACGCAGGTTATGACCATAGTACCCAATAGGTAGTTTTTCAAACCTTGTCCCACTTCCTCTCTCCCCTACTAGTGGTCCCCAGTGTCTGTTGTTCCCATCTTTATGTCCCTGTGTACCCAACATTTAGCTCCATTTATAAGCAAGAATGTCGGTATTTGGTTTTCTGTTCTTCTGTTAATTTGTTTAGGATAATGGCCTCCAACTGCATCCATTTGCTGCAAAGGACATGATTTTGTTCTTGTTTATGGCAGCATAGTATTCCATATGTTGTATATATACCACATTTTCTTTATCCAGTCCACCACTGATGTGTACCTAGGTTGATTCCATGTCTTTGTGAATAATGCTGCAATGAGCAGACAAGTGCATGTGTCTTTTTGGTATAATAATTTATTTTCCTTTGAATATATACCCAGTAATGGGATTGCTGGGTCAAGTGGTAGATCTATTTTAAGTTCTTCGAGAAATCTCAGCTGGGCATGTTGTCTCAGGCCTGTAATCCCAACATTTTGGGAGGCTGGGGCAGGAGGATAACTTGAGCCCAGGAGTTCAAGACTAGCCTGGGAAACATAGTAAGACCCTATCCCTACAAAAAATAAAAAATTAAAAAATTAGCCAGGCATGATGGCATAGGCCTGTAGTCCCAGCTACTCGGAGGCTGATATGGGAAAATTGCATGAGCCCAGGAGATCTAAACTGCAGTGAGCCATCATTGCCCTGGACAAGAGAGTGAGACCATGTCAAAAAACAAAACAAGGCCGAGCGCGGTGGCTCACGCCTGTAATCCCAGCACTGTGTGAGGCGAAGGCGGGTAGATCACCTGAAGTCAGGAGTTCGAGACCAGCCTGACCAATATGATGAAATTCTGTCTTTACTAAAAATACAAAAATTAGCCAGGGGTGGGCAACAAGAGCAAAACTTCGTCTAAAAAACAAAACAAAACAAAAAACAAAAACAAAACACCACCACCACCATAAAAACAAGAAATCTTCAAACTACTTTCCACAGTGGCTGAGCTAATTTACATTCTCATTAACAGCGTATAAGCATTCCTTTTCTCTGCAGCCTTGCTAACATCTGTTAGCAAGGCTGAGGCAGGAGAATGGCTTGAACTCAGGAGGCAGAGGTTGCAGTGAGGTGAGATCGTGCCACTGCCCTCCAACCTGGGCAACAGAGCAAAAACTCTGTCTCTAATACATAAATAAAAACAAAAAAAGAAACAGAATGGTATTTCCTAGGTTTTCTTCTAGGATTTGTATAGTTTGAGGTCTTACATTTAAATCTTTAATCCATCTCGAGTTAATTTTTGTATATGGTGAAAGGTAGGGATGCAATTTCATTCTTCTGCATATGGCCAGCCAGCTGTCCCAGCATCATTTATTGGACAGAGAGTCCTTTCCTCATTGCTTGTTTTTGTTGACTTTGTCCACAATTAGATGATTGTGGGTATGGGGCTTTATTTCTGGGTTCTCTATTCTGTTCCATTGATCTATGTGTCTGTTTTTGTACCAGTACAATGTTGTTTTGGTTACTGTAGCCTTATAGTATAGTTTGAAGTTGGATAATGTAATATGCCTCCAGCTTTGTTGTTTTTGCTTAGGATGGCTTTGGCTATTTGGGCTCTTTTTTGGTTCCATATGAATTTTACAATAGTTTTTTCTAATGTAGTGAAAAATGACATTGGTAGTTTAATAGGAATATCATTGAATCTGTAGACTACTTTGAATAGTATTATATGGTGCCATTGCACTCCAGCCTGGGGGACAAGAGCGAGACTTTGCCTCAAAAAAAAAAAAAAAAATACAAAAGTTAGCCGGGCGTGGTGGCGTGTGCCTATAGTCCCAGCTACTCAGGAGGCTGTGTAGAAGGATTGCTTCAGTCTGTGAGGCAGAAGTTGCAGTGAGCCAAGATTGCACCACTGCACTCCAGCTGGGCGACAAAGCCAGACCCCGCCAAAAAAAAAAAGAAGAAAGGAAAGAAAGAAAGAAAGAGAGAGAGAGAGAGAAGGAAAGAAAGAAAGAAAAAAAGAAAGAAAGAAAGAAAGAAAGAAAGTCATACAGAATGGAATGTAGTGGTGGCGCCATCTCAGCTCACTGCAATCTCTGCCTCCCGGGTTCAAGCAATTCTCCTGCCTCAGCCACCCGAGTATCTGGGATTACAGGCACACACCACCATGCCCAGCTAATTTTTGTATTTTTATTAGAGACAGGGTTTCATCATGTAGGCCAGGTGAACTCCTGACCTTGGGTGATCTGCCCACCTCAGCCTCCTACAGTGTTGGGAGATTACAGGCATGAGCCACCGCACCCAGCCCTGTATCTGTTTTATACATTTATTTAAACATACAAAAATCGCCGGGCGTGGTGGCTCACGCCTGTAATCCCAGCACTTTGGGAGGCCGAAGCGGGTGGATCACGAGGTCAGGAGATCGAGACCATCCTGGCTAACACGGTGAAACCCCGTCTCTACTAAAAATACAAAAAATTAGCCAGGCGTGGTGGTGGGCGCCTGTAGTCCCAGCTACTCGGGAGGCTGAGGCAGGAGAATGGCGTGAATGCGGGAGGCAGAGCTTGCAGTGAGTGGAGATTGCCCCACTGCACTCCAGCCTGGGCAGCAGAGCGACACTCTGTTTCAAAAATAAAATAAAATAAAATAAAATAAACATACAAAAATCAAAATTTTTTGCATATGTGGTCACACATGCACACACACACACACACACAAACCCGAACAACAAAAAAAAGATGTATAATTGGCTTGGGTGACAGAGTAAGACTCTGTCTCAAAAAAAAAAAAAAAAAAATAGATATACCATATTCTTGGATAGGAAGACTCTATTAGTGAATATAAGCTAGGTTTTGCTATTTTAACAAAACTCCCAAGCCTCAGTGGCTTAAAACAACAAAAAAATTCACTTGTTGCTCATACTACGAATCCATCATGGCTTGGCAGGGAGTGAACTTCACTGTATTCTTTCAGGGACATGTGTAAAGGAACAACAATCACCTTGAACATTGTGGGTTACTATGCCAGAGGAAAAGGAAACTCTGTAGGTCATCAAACCAACAAAGACAAGCTCAGCACAGAAATAACGTATCAATTCTGCTCACATCTCATTGACAAGTGCTGGCAAACAGCACTAATAAAGACCTCAAAGACTCAGCATCATAAAAATAAAACGAAAATAACAGAGACTGGAAGTGACTTATCAATAGGCAGATCAATAGAAAATAATAGCTGGGCGCGGTGGCTCACACCTGTAATCCCAGCACTTTGGGAGGCTGAGGCAGGTGGACCACCTGAGGTCAGGAGTTCGAGACCAGCCTGGCCAACATGGTGAAACCCCATCCCTACTAAAAATACAAAAATTAGCTGGGCATGGTGGCACACACCTCCAGCTACTCTAGAGGCTGAGGGCAGGAGAATCGCTTGAACCCAGGAGGCAAAAGAGGGAGACTCCATCTCAAAAAAAAAAAAAATTCCCCGAAATAATAGGTTGGTAACTTCAAATGCAAATGTTAAGAATGGCAGGAAAATTGTTACCTGCCCTAATCCATTTCTGATATTTGCAACTTTTAAAAATCAGGACCAGGACCTGCTGCCTGCTGCCTCCAGGTCACCCCAACAGCAAATTTGCCATGGCAACAACCTCCTACATAATCTGCCATCTCCCTTTGTTTCTTTTGTTTTGTTTTTTTGTTGTTTTTTTGAGACGACGGCACAGTCTTGCCTCACTGCAACCTCTGCCTCTCGGGTTCAAGCAATTCTTCTGCCTCAGCCTCCTGAGTAGCTGGGACTACAGGTGTGAGCCACAATGCCTGGTAATTTTTTTTTTTTTTTTTTTTTTTTGAGATGGAGTCTCACCCCGTTGCCCAGGCTGGAGTGCAATGGCGCAATCTCTGCTCACTGCAACCTCCACCTCCCGGGTTCAAACGATTCTCCTGCCTCAGCGTCCTGAGTAGCTGGAGGTGTGTGCCACCATGCCCAGCTAATTTTTGTATTTTTAGTAGGGATAGTGTTTCACCATGTTGGCCAGGCTGGTCTCGAACTCCTGACCTCAGGTGGTCTGCCTGCCTCAGCCTCCCAAAGTGATGGGATTACAGTTGCCCACCACACCCAGCTAATTTTTGTATTTTTAGTAGAGAAGGGGTTTCACCATGTTGGCCAGCTGATTTTTTGTATTTTTTTTAATAGAGATGAGGTTTCACCATGTTGGCCAGGGTGGTCTCGAACTCCTGACCTCAAGTAACCCACCTGCCTTGGCATCCCAAAGTGCTGGGGTTACAGGCATGAGCCACTGCACCCTGCCTATATTTACTTGTATTTTTTTATTTGTCTTTTCTGTTTATTTTTTATTTTTTCCTGAGATGGAGTCTTGCTCTGCCCCGCTGGCTGGAGTCCAGCGGCTCAATCTCGGCTCACTGCAAGCTCTGCCTCCTGGGTTCAAGCAATTCTCCTGCCCAGCCTCCCAAGTAGCTGGGATTCCAGGCACGTGCCACCATGCCCGGCTAATTTTTGTAGTTTAGAAGAGATGGGGTTTCACCATATTGGCCAGGCTGGTCTTGAACTCATGAACTCGTGATCCACCTGCCTCGGCCTCCCAAAGTACTGTGATTACAGATGTGAGCAACCACGCGTGGCCATTTTTTTGTTTGTTTTTCTTTTCATTAAAAAATTTTTTTGTGGGTACATAGTAGGTATATATATTTTGGGGGTACAGGAGATGTTTTGATACAGGAATGCAATGTGTAATAATCATATTAAGGTAAATGAGGTATCCATTGCATCAAGCATTTATCCTTTGTGTTACAAACAATCCAATAATCCAATTATACTCTGTTATTTTTAAATGTACAATTACATTATTATTGACTATAATCACCCTGTTGTGCTTTCAAATGCTAAATCTTATTCATTCTTTCTATTTTTTTGTACCCATTAACCATCCCTACTTTCCCCCCACCCCCACTACCCTTTCTAGCCTATGGTAACCATCCTTCTCTTTTTTTTTTCCCTGAGACTGGGTCTTGCTCTGTCACCCAGGCTGGAGTGCAGTGGCGCGATCTTGGTTTACTGCAGTCTCAACCTCCTGGGGCTTGAGTGATCCTCCAAGCTCAGCTTCCTGAGTAGCTGGGACTACAGGCATGCACCATCATGTAGAGACAGGGTCTCAATTTGTTGTCCAGGCTTGTCTCAAACCCCTGGGCTCAAGTGATCCTCCCCCCTCAGACTTCCAAAGTGCTGGGATTACAGGCGTGAGTCACTGCACCTGTCCCATCCTTCTACTCTATGTCCATTAGTTCAATTGCTTTAATTTTTAGCTCCCACAAATAAGTGAGAGCATGTGAAGTTTGTCTTTCTGTGCTCAGCTTATTTCATTTAATATAATGACCTCTAGTTCCATTCATGTTGTTGCAAATGGCAGGATCTCTTTTTATTATTATTATTATTATTTTGAGACAGAGGCTGACTCTCTCACCCAGGCTGGAGTGTAGTGGCATGATCGGCTTATTGCAACTTCCACCTCCCGGGTTCAAGCGATTCTCCTGCCCTAGCCTCCCAAGTAATCCTGGGATTACAGGTGCACGCAACCATGCCTGTCTAATTTTTGAATTTTTTGCAGAGATGGGATTTCGCCATGTTGGCCAGGCTGGTCTTGAACTCCTGGCCTCAAGTTATCCACCTGCCTCAGCCTCCCAAAGTGCTGGGATTACAGGCATGAGACACTATGCCTGGTCTCATTCTTTTTTTATGCCATCTCCCATTTTAAAAATCATACATTTCTGGTGAACCAAAAATGATGAAAGAAATTCAGAATAACTGGAAACTTTTGAAATTGATGTTTTGGAGACCAACCATGATCCACAAAATATACTTGGCATCTCCGCTGGAGATATATATGGATGAAATGGATCACGTTATATGTCATTTCTTATTTTCCAAAAAATATATCTCCTTTTGCTATCTTAAACAAGCTTCCTTCCCATAGACCTTATATAAGGCAGTCCTTTAGAACATATGGCCTGACAAATATGAATATACTTCTGGGACAATGACAGAAAATATTTGCAATCAGAACTAAACCAGAAAACTAGACGTAAATAATTATATCTACCTGGCATGCTGGATCAGCCTATAGGCAATGTACTTGCGGAATAAGTATCCCAACTGAACTGTGTCCATATGAAGTATCTCAATTATGAGAGTCCTAGCCATTGTGTGTAGCTGTGAAGGGAGTCCACAAGTTTTTATAGCCTGATTTAATAGTATCAGGTTCTTCTTCTGAGCCTCCACATCAACAAAATACCTCTTTTCTTCAAGTTCTTGAGGAGAGGAAGGGGGCACCATTACTTTGGGTTTCTTGGTATCTGAAACTGAACTCAGTATCCAGGGCTTGTCTATAGGAGGGAATCGGGATTTCTGGTACCATTCCAAAGGTGAAATCTGTGATGTTCTGAGTAGAGTAGTGAGAGAAGATGGTGATGTTGTTGGCTTCATGAGAGTGAGAAGGGCCCTTTCATCAGTGTAAGGGGTTTGGTATACTGGTGTCCTATATTTGGTGAAATGGGACTGAAATGTTCTAAATGATTCTATAGCAAAAGTGTCTCGAAGTATCTGGGTTTCTTCGGAAGTGTCAGAGACCTCCGACATTTGGAACTTCTTAGTGGTGAAAGGAACTTGAGCTACCTTGAAATCTGGAGCACTAGGATGGATCAATACTGATTTAGATTTCAGAGAAGAAATAATTGCCAATCTTTTCTTAGCAACAGAAGGGGACCAACTTTTCTGGGGCTTTCCAGGGGCTGGGGACGGCCATAGTGTGGGAGGATGTCTAGAGGTGGGAGGGATCCATAATGAAGAAGCTCGCCCAGGAAGGGTCCATGTTGCCAGATGCTGCCCAGGGGTAGAAGGAGCCTGCAGATAGGGAGATTGCTCAGCAGTGGCAGGAGGCTGGAATTCCTGGAGCTGCTCAGAGAAGGTTAAGGGTCCAGATTCCAGGAGGTCCCCAGGGATGGAAGAGGCTTCAGGAACTAAGGGCTGCCCAGGAGAAAGAGGAGCCCAGAGACTTGGAATCTGTCCAGAAGTGGGTGGAACTCCAGCTATAAAGGGCTGCCCTGGAGTGGGAGGGGCCCGAGATATTGGGAGCTGCCCAGGGGAGGGAGGGGCCTGTGGTGCCGGGAACTGCGCAGAAGTGGATTGACCTCCGTATACCAGGGTCTGTCCAGAGGAACGAAGAGTCTGTGGTGCCCCAAGCTTCCCAGGCTCAGAAAGAATCCCCATTTCTAGGGGCTTCCCAGGGGCAAAGGGGCCTTGGTTGAGGGGAACCCTTGATATCTGCAAAGGAGTAGAAGAGACCCCGAATATAGAGGACTTCTCAGCAGTAGGAGCTGATGATGCCAGGGACAGCCTAAGACTTGGAGACAATCTTGATATGATGGATTGCCCAGTGGGGAGAGAAGCCTTCGATTTCTGAAATGGTCTATGGGACCACTGGACTTGCTTAAGGGTGAGGGGCGATCCCAAGGTATGGGCTTTATCTAAGGTGAGAGGAACCCCTAACTTCAATAACTGTTCTTGAGCCTGTTCTAAGTTCATAGGGGACTCCAAAGCGTGGGTTTGCTCAGAGGTAAGAGTGACAGCTGACACCCAGGCATTTACTGGGGTGATGGGGACTCCCAGTGCCTGGGCCTGCTGAGGGGTGAGAGTGATCCCCTGAGCCTGCGCCTGCTGAGGGGTGAGAGAGATCCCCAGAGCCTGGGCCTGCTGAGGGGTGAGAGGGATCCCCTGAGCCTGCGCCTGCTGAGGGGTGAGAGGGATCCCCAGTTCCTGCGCCTGCTGAGGGGTGAGAGGGATCCCCAGTTCCTGCGCCTGCTGAGGGGTGAGAGGGATCCCCAGGGCCTGGGCCTGCTGAGGGGTGAGAGGGATCTCCAATTCCTGAGCCTGCGGAGGGATGAGAGGGATCCCCAGGGCCTGGACCTGCTGAGGGGTGAGAGGGATCCCCAATTCCTGAGCCTGCGGAGGGATCAGAGGGATCCCCAGGGCCTGGGCCTGCTGAGGGGTGAGAGGGATCCCCAATTCCTGAGCCTGCGGAGGGATGAGAAGGATCCCCAGGGCCTGGGCCTGCTGAGGGGTGAGAGGGATCCCCAATTCCTGAGCCTGCGGAGGGATGAGAGGGATCCCCAGGGCCTGGGCCTGCTGAGGGGTGAGAGGGATCCCCAATTCCTGAGCCTGCTGAGGGGTGAGAGTGATCCCCAGCTCCTGAGCCTGCTGAGCGGTGAGAGGCATCCCCAGGGCCTGGGCCTGCTGAGGGGTGAGAGTGATCTCCTGAGCCTGTGCCTGCTGAGGGGTGAAAGGGATCCCCAATTCCTGAGCCTGCTGAGGGGTGAGAGGGATCCCCAGTTCCTGAGCCTGCTGAGTGGTGAGAGGCATCCCCAAGGCCTGAGCCTGCTGAGGGGTGAGAGGGATCCCCAGTTCCTGAGCCTGCTGAGTGGTGAGAGGCATCCCCAAGGCCTGAGCGTGCTGAGGGGTGAGAGGGATCCCCAGTTCCTGAGCCTGCTGAGTGGTGAGAGGCATCCCCAAGGCCTGGGCCTGCTGAGGGGTGAGAGTGATCTCCTGAGTCTGCGCCTGCTGAGGGGTGAGAGGGATCCCCAGGGCCTGCGCCTGCTGAGGGGTGAAAGGGATCCCCAGAGCCTGTGCCTGCTTAGGGGTGAGAGGGATCCCCAGGGTCTGGGCCTGCTGAGGGTTGAGAGGGATCCCCAATTCCTGAGCCTGCTTAGGGGTGAGAGTGATCCCCAGGGCCTGGGCCTGCTGAGGAGTAAGAGGGATCCCCAGTTCCTGAACCTGCTTAGGGGTGAGAGTGATTCCGAGAGCCTGCGCCTGCTGAGGGGTGAGAGGGATCCCCAATTGCTGGGCCTGCTGAAGGGTTAGAGTGATCCCCAGGGCCTGGGCCTGCTGAGGGGTGAGAGGGATCCCCAATTCCTGAGCCTGCTGAGGGGTGAGAGAGACCCTCAGGGCCTGGGCCTGCTGAGGGGTGAGAGGGATCCCCAATTCCTGAGCCTGCTGAGGGGTGAGAGGGATCCCCAGGGCCTGGGCCTGCTGAGGGGTAAGAGGGATCCCTAGTTTCTGAGCCTGCTGAGTGGTGAGAGAGATCCCCGGGGCCTGGTCCTGCTGAGGGGTGAGAGTGATCCCTTGAACCTGGGTCTGCTGAGGGGTGAGAGGGATCCCCAGGGCCTGCGCCTGCTGAGGGGTGAAAAGGATCTCCAGGGCCTGGGCCTGCTGAGGGGTGAGAGGGATCCCTAGTTCCTGGGCCTGCTGAAGGGTGAGCGTGATCCCCTGAGCCTGGGCCTGCTGAGGAGTGAGTGTGATCCCCACTTCCTGGGCCTGCTGAGGTGTGAGATGAATGCATTTAGTGAGAGGCTGGCCAGAAATAGGAAGAGCTCCAGGCAGGGAGTATTGTAGGGAGGGGGGAGGTGTGATTGATATGGGCTCCTTTTCATCAGGAAGGTTCTCTAATGTCTTCAGATTCCTCTGAAACTCTTTTCCTTCATATGACCGCTGTACATCTTTCAATACACTCTTCCACCTGGGAGATAATGTCATTGGAGTTTGGATGACCATTTTTTCTAGCTCTTTAGGTTGTGTTTCCTTCATCTGCATCTGATCCTTTGTTTTGATCTGCCTTTCGAGGTCCTCTAGCCCTCTCTCTGGCTTCTGCTTTTCCTTCCCTTTCTCCCTTCTCCTGTGTGGCCCCAAATGTTTCGCTTCCTTCTGAATCTGCCTCATCTGTCCATTCTCCTTTTCCAAGAGCAACCCTTGTGTTTTCATTTTTTGGGTCCCTTCTTCCAGCCGCTGCAGGCTTGACTTTGGAAGCTCTTCTTCCTCCTGTCCTCTTTGCTTTTGCTTTTCCTCTTGCTCAGCCTGCTTTGGAGTTGCCTGTTTTTGCTCTTCCTTCCACATCTCTTCTTCCTGCCACTGTTTCTGGCTCTGTTGTTCTTGCTTTCCCTCCTTCATCTGGAGCCATGCCTTTTTTTCTTCCCAATTCTCACTTATCTTCTCATAGTGCTCCTTCAAGAGATTTCTTTCTCCCAGCAACTGCTGTTTGAGACTCATGCCAGACATTTGTTCTTGACCCTCTTGCAAATATTGCTCCTGCCTTTGTTTTTCCTTCTCCTTGTGGTCTTTCTGTACTGTTGAGACTGTTGGAATATCTCTTTCACTTTCTATTTCAGCCAAGATCATTTGTATTAAATTGTTAATTACTGGATCTGTGCTCTCATATGAGAGGAGGGTACTGCTTTCAGATTTTGCACTAATTGGTGACTTCTGAAAATGCAATCCTGGCATAAATGAGACTACCTTTTTTTGTTTTATAGGTTTCTCTCCAACTTGTTCTTCCTTTTTTGTATCTTTGTATTTTCTCAAGATTTTAGTCACAGTTTCAGCCACTTTTTGGAAATATTCCTCCATTTTTGCCTTTATGATTCCTAATTTTTCAGCTTCTGCTCTTTTTAATAACTCCTCTTCCTTCGGAACAGTCTTTTTGTCAAAAGCCTTTCCTATGTTATCAATTTTCTGTTTTAGGAAAGCCATTATGGCTTCCTGAAATTCTTCGAGGTTACTCTGTTCACTTTTGCCATCTGGACTTTCTAGAACTCTGGTAGATTCTGAAGTCTCTTTAGCCACTCTTGAGAGTGATTTAACAAGTTGATGAGACTTGACTTGTTTGGTCAACTCTTCCTTCTCTTCAGTTTTTTCTTCTTTGCTTGTGATAGTTCCTGAAGAGATATGGTGTTTCTTTCCTTTTATTTTTCCTTTCTGTGGCTCAGCAGTATCATCAAATTGGATCATACTGAGTGGCTCCACTAGGCTTCTAATTTCACCTTTGCCCTCTTTGTCCAATGACTCAGTGGTGGGTTCCACTTTAATCTCTGCTGCAGTTGGACGTTTGTCAAATGGAGATTCACGTTTGACCTTCCTAAATTGCTCCAACATCATCATACTTGTTCCACTTTTGCCACCTTGGCTCTTTGTTTCAGTTAAAGAGAGATGTTTTCTTTTTGCTTCAGTGGGTGACTTTGATTTATCTTCAGAAAAGGATTTCATTTCTTTTCTTTTCTTTTTCAGTACTTGTAGCTCATAGTATTGACTAGGTTTGGCCTCTGAGACTTTCTGTCCACTTTTATTATCACTCAGATTTGGTCCAGAGGTCTCATATACATATGTGGCTTTTTTGTGGCTTCTTTTCCATGATTGATACTCATCAGTCTCATCTTCCTGATAGAAATCACCTTTCTTCAATGATACGTTATCTTTAGTGCTGTCTTCGGAAATATCTTCAGAAGCAACAGGTTGCTGTCGTAGTTCAGTTAAATCTGGAGTTCTTTCAGCTTGGGCTGTATATGAAATAGTGGAGTCCCATTTTATCCCAGAGTCCTTGGTCTCTTTTCTTTGGACTTCATCTACAATATTTTCAAGTTCCTTGTCTAAAATATTGTCCATATTGTCCTCAGTATCACCAACTTTGATTATCGCCCTGGATGACTGTGGAGAAGGTCCAGGTAACACTTTCAAGGTTGATGATGTGGACAATTTTGCATATAGTTGTTCTATAACAATTTTGGATCGAATAAGTTGTTCACATTTTTCTTCTGCATCTTGAAGTTTCTGCTGAAGCATTTCATTTTCGTTACTGAGATCTCGTATTATCTTCAGAGAGAGCTCCTTTTCTGCTTCACTTGTCTCATGTGCATACACAGTGGAACTTTGGAAGTTAACACATTTTAATTCATCATTTAGCATACTCAAAGCTGTAGAAAGGTTTACTATTGTTGATGATATATATTTAATAGCATTGTTTTCCAATGTACTGAACATTGTGGTGCCTATGAGTTCCTGTAGCATACCTTGGATTTCTGAAACCTTTGTATTTGTTGCAAGTTGATCACTAATCATCTGATCTGGTCTTAAAGCACGGGCTGTTGAAGGTCGTTTTATAACTCTTTCTTTCCAAGATTTCCATAGAGTACCTCTAGATACTGAAGAACAAAACATAAAACAGTGAGATGGCATTTTTTTCTTTTGCATTGTGTTCTATCTATGTTTAAATCTAAGGAATTTAGCCTAGATTAACTATAACTAATTAAATATAAGATAAAGATTAATCTGAAAACTTTAGCTCTAAAATAAACAGTATTATTTTTAAAGAATGACTCTTTTCACACAATCACCTAGAAGTTTTTCTTTCTTTTTTTGTTGAGAGGGGATCTCCTTGTTTCCCAGGCTGGAGTGCAGTGGCACGATTACTGCAGCCTCAACTTCCTTGGCTCAAACAATCCACCCACCTCAGCCTCCCTGCCTGAGTTGCTGGTGTTACAGGTGCAAGCCACAGTACCTGGCAATCACCTAGAACTTCTGCCTCCAGAGTTTAGGACATGAACTCAGCTGTGACCTCAACTTAATTTTAGTTACAAGTTTGGGGTTAGATATAATGTATCTAAGACAAGGCCAGGGCTTGGTGGTTCACGCCTGTAATTCCAGCACTTTGGGAGACCTGGGTGGGCAGATGACCTGAGGTCAGGAATTCAAGACCAGCCTGGCCAATATGGTGAAACCCTGTCTCTACTAAAAATACAAAAATTAGCCAGGCGTGATGGCGCATGCCTGTAATCCCAGCTACTCAAGAGGCTAAGGCAGGAGAATCACTTGAACTCGGGAGGCGGAGGTTGCAGTGAGCCGAGATTGCGCCACTGCACTCAAGCCTGGGTAAAAGAGTGAGACTTCGTCTCAACATACATACATACATACATACATACATACATACATACATACATACATACATAAAATAAAATAAAAGATGTAATTCAAGACAAAACTTTTCTCTGGTTTTGGTTATGCTAGTGCTTTCCACTTTCTTTCTCAAATTCCTGTCTCTCTTTTCTCTTTTTTCTGAATCAAAGCTTGCCTTGGTTCTTTCAAAAGTGTCATAAATTAATAGATAAAAAAGACACACATTTGGCCAGGCGCAATGGCTCATGCCTGTAATCCCAGCACTTTGGGAAGCTGAGGCAGGTGGATCACTTGAGGCCAGGAGTTCGTGACCAGCCTGGCCAATATGGTGAACTCTACTAAAAAAACAAAAATTAGCCAGGCGTGGTGGCGCATGCCTGTAGTCCCAACTACTTGGGAGGCTGAGGCAGGAGAACCACTTGAACCTGGGAAGCGGCGGTTGCGGTGAGCCGAGATCACACCACTGTACTTCAGCCTGGGCAAAGAGTGAGACTCTGTCTGAAAAAAAAAAAAAAAAAAGACACACATTTGAAAAGATTTGCAGAATGTCTGAGTGAGAAAATCAGCAATCTTTTTCTTCCCAAAAGGCAAAGATAAAACAGGGCAAAACTGCCAAAACAACTATTTTAGGACTTTGAAATTGACCAAAGGCATACAACACATTGAGAAGCATTTATTCACGAAAAACTACCGAACCTCAGTAACAAACAGGGAAAGTTTGCAAACTTGGAGTCGCGTCCATCCTCAACCGCCAGATCCATGGCCTGGAACTTCTACCAGAGTGAGGCAGGCTGTGGGGACTGACAACTCTACTGCCTACAGGGATGATTTGACTTGGAGCAAAGCCTGGAAAAGCCCATGCCTAGTGGCATTGTCGGCTGAGGCAGGAGAATCGCTGAACCCAGGAGGCAGACATTGCAGTGAGTCGAGATCACGCCACTGCACTCCAGCCTGGGTGACGGAGTGAGACTGTCTCATAAATAAATAAATAAATAAATAAATAAATGAAAAGAAATCATACAAAGTATGTTTCCCAATTGCAATGGAATCTACATATATATAAGGATTATATATAATGTCATACTAATTCTTCTGCCTCTCTTATTGAACCCTGAGTGATACGAGTTCTTAGTACAATACTAAAATCATGATTCATAAAAAAAAATTGATACATTTATTGGATTTCATCAACATTAAACACTTTTAGGCTTCAAAAACACCACTAAGAAAATGAAAAGACAAGTCATAGGCAGGGAGAAAATATTTGCAAATCACTTTTCTGATAAAGGACTTATATCCAGCGAGGTGTGGTGACTCATGCCTATAATCCCAGAACTTTGGGAGGCTGAGGCAGGAGGATCGTTTGAGCTCAGGAGTTTGAGACTAGCCTGGACAACACGATGAGACTCTGTCTCTACAAAAAGTTTTTAAAAATTAGCTGGGTGTGGTAGCACACACCTGTAGTCCCAGCTACTCAGGAGACTGAGGCAGGAGGATCCCTTGAGCCCAGGAATTCCAGGCGGCAGTGTACTATTATTGTACCAATGCACCCCAGCTTGGACGACAGAGCAAAATCCTGTCAAAAACAAAACAAAACAAAACAAAAACCTATATCCAGAAGCTGTAAAGAAATGTTAAAACTCGGCCAGGCGCAGTGGCTCATGCCTATAATCCCAGCACTTTGGGAGGCCGAGGAGGGTGGATCACGAGGTCAGGAGTTCAAGATCAGCCTGGCCAAGATGGTGAAATTCCATCTCTACTAAAAATACAAAAATTAACCATGCGTGGTGGCATGCGCCTGTAATCCCAGCTACTCGGGAGGCTGAGGCAGGAGAATCGCTTGAACCCAGGAGGTGGAGGTTGTAGTGAGCTGAGATCACACCACTGCACTCCAACCTGGGCGACAGAGTAAGACTCTGTCTCAAAAAAAAAAAAAAAGTTAAAACTCAATTTCAAAAATGGGCAAGTACTTGAATAGATATTTCACCAAAAAATGTATGGAAATAGCTTAATAAGCACATGAAACATGCTCAGCATCATTTGCCATTAGGAAAATGCAAACTAAAACCACAATGAGATACCACTTCACAGGTACTAGGATGGCCATAATAAAAAAAAAGACAGACAGAGGCCGGGTGCCTGTAATCCCAGCACTTTGGGAGGCAGAGGCGGGTGGATCACCTGAGGTCAGGAGTTTGAGACCAGCCTGACCAACATGGAGAAACCCCATCTCCACTAAAAATACAAAATTAGCAGGGCGTGGTGACACGTGCCTGTAATCCCAGCTGCTAGGGAGGCTGAGGCAGGAGAATCACTTGAACCCGGGAGGTGGAGGTTGCAGTGAGCTGAGATCACACCACTGCACTCCAGCCTGGGCAACAAGAGTGAAACTCCGTCTCAAAAAAAAAGACAGACAATAACAAGTGTTGTTGAGGAAATGGAGAAATTGGAACCTGTGTACATTGCTGATGAGAGTGTAAAATGGTACAGTCACTTTGGAAAACAGTTAAGAGTTTCTTTAAAAGTTAAACATAAACTTACCATATGTCCTAGCAATTCGACTCCTAGCTATCTACCCCCCCAAAAAAAATGGGTAAATAATGGCATTATTTATAAAAGCCCCAAAGTGGAAACAATTCATATGTATATCAACTGGTGAATGGGTAAACAAAATGTGGTATATCCAAACAACTGTGTAAACTAACAATGAAAAGAAATTACCAAAATGCCCTATAACATGGCTGAATTTCAAAAACATTATGCTAGTTGAAAGAAAATAGACAGAAAATACCACAATACAATATGATTCTGTTTGTGTGAAATATCCAGATAAAACAAATGTAGTGTGAGAGAGAATACATTAGTGACTGTGTGGTGCTGCTGATGGGTAAAAGGACTGACTATAAATTAGTATGAGGGATCTTTTCGGGATAATGGAAATGTTCTAAAATTAGATTGTTGGCCGGGTGCTGTGACTCACACCTGTAATCCCAGCACTTTGGGAGGCCAAGGCTGGTGGATCATTTGAGGTCAGGAGTTTGAAACCAGTCTGGCCAACATGGTAAAATCCCTGTCTCTACAAAAAGTACAAAAAATTAGCCAGGCGTGGTGGCAGGTGCCTGTAATCCCAGCTACTCGGGGAGCTGAGGCACAAGAATCGCTTGAACCCAAGAGGTGGAGGTTGCAGTGAACTGAGATCTGGCCACTGCACTCCAGCCTGGGTAACAGTGTGATACCCTGTCTCAAAAAAAAAAAAAAAAAATTAATAAATAAATTTAAAATAAATAAAAATAAAATTAGATTGTGGTGATAAATGCACAACTCTGTAAATACACAGAAAATCATTTAATTGTACACTTAACATGTATGCACATTATACCTCAATAAAGCTGTTTTTTTTTTTGGCTGGGTGCAGTGGCTCACGCCTGTAATCCCAGCACTTTGGAAGGCCGAGGCAGGTGGATAACTTGAGGTCAGGAATTTGAGACTAGCCTGGCCAACATGGTGAAACCCTGTCTCTACTAAAAATACAAAAATTAGCCAGGCGTGGTGGTACACGTCTGTAGTTCCAGCTACTCTGGAGGCTGAGGCAGGAGAATCACCTGAAACCTGGAGGTGGAGGTTGCATTGAACTGAGATCAGGCCACTGCACACCAGCCTGGGTGATAGAGCGAGACTGAAAAAAAAAAAAGTTGTTTCTCTAAGAAAAAGTCAAACTCCATCTACTCCAACTCCAAAATCATAAAGCACCCTTACATATTTTTTTCTTTTGTTTCTTCTTTTCGTCGAGGAAAGATGTACTAAATCTGCTTAGTATCTTGACATTGTTCTCAATAGCTTTTAACGTGTCCGGTAACAACTCCATTTGTGCTATCCAGTGGTGGTGTTCATCAACATCCATTAGAGTCATCTCAGACAAAACATCATCTTGAAGAGAGTAAAAAAAAAATCATTTTTGTGCAGAAAAATAAATAACTATAGCTACATAGGCTTATAATATTGGGTAACTACTCAATACAGTAATATTGGGGAATATAGGTATCTCACACTTACTGCCATTCTGAGGCTTTTCTCTATGAAGAAATTAAAAAGGAAGAAACTTGGAATAGAAGGCTAAATAGTAAGTCTTAGACATAAAGACATGAATCAGATTAAAAAGTGTCTATTTGGTTTGGTACCTAAAATGTGTGTGTGTGTGTTTTGTTTTGTTTTGTTTTGAGACAGAGTCTTGCTTTGTTGCCTAGGCTGGAGTGCGGAGGCGCAATCTCCACTCACTGCAACCTCTGCCTCCCAGGTTCAAGCGATTCTCCTGCCTCAGCCTCCCGAGTAGCTGGGATTACAGGCATGTGCCGCCATGCCCAGCTAATTTTTGTATTTTTAGTAAAGACGGGGTTTCACCATGTTGGCCAGGCTGGTCTTGAACTCCTGACCTCAGGTGATCTGCCCGCCTCAGCCTCCCAAAGTGCTGGGATTACAGGCATGAGCCACCACACCCGGCCTATGTGTGTGTGTTTTAATATTGGAGATCTAAGCCCCAATTAACTCATTTGGCAAGTTTATCCAGTTGTCTTTTTTTTTTTTTTTTTTTTAAGAACGAGTCTGGCTCTGTCACCCAGGCTGGAGTGCAGTGGTGCAATCTCAGCTCAGTGCAACCTCTACCTCCCAGGTTCAAGCGATTCTCCTGCCTCAGCCTCCCTAGTAGCTGGGACCAGAGGTGTGTGCCACCACACCCAGCTAATTTTTGAATTTTTAGTAGAGATGGAGTTTCACCATGTTGGCCAGGCTGGTCTCAAACTCCTGACCTGGGGTGATCTGCCAGCCTCGGCCTCCCAAAGTGCTGGGATTACCAGCATGAGCCACCGCGCCCGGCCATTATCCAGTATTTCTAACCCTCGCTGCATGAAATTTCTAGCAACAAAATAAAATTCCCTTTTTTGATATTCTTAGTTTATTCATTCTTTTTGTTGTTGTTGTTGTTTTTGTTGTTGTTTTGGAGACAGTCTCACTCTGTCACCCAGGCTGGAGTGCAGTGGCACGACCTTGGCTCACTGCAATCTCCACCTCCCGGGTTCAAACAGTACACCTGCCTCAGCCTCCCGAGTAGCTGGGAATAGAGGCATATGCCGCCACACCCAGCTAATTTTTTGTATTTTAGTAGAGACGAGGTTTCACCGTGTTGCCCAGGCTGGTCTTGAACTCCTGAGCTCAGGCAATCCACCTGCCTTGGCCTCCCAAAGTGCTAGGATTACAGGCGTGAGCCACCGCACCTGGCCAGTTTATTCATTCTTTCATTCAACCAGTGTCTACTCTGACGTGTGCTATTCTAGATGCTGTGGATACAACATTAAGTAAAACAAGTTCCCTAACTTCATACTGCTTACCTTCTGGTGAAAGGAGAGAGAGAAAAGGTTAATTATATAGGAAGTCAGATACTAATGCTATAGACAAAAATAAAGAAAGGTAGGCCAGGCGCAGTGGCTCATGCCTGTAATCCCAGCACTTTGGGAAGCCAAGGCAGGTGGATCATTTGAGGTAGGAGTTCAAGACCAGCCTGGCCAACATGGTGAAACCTTGTCTCTACTAAAAATACAAAAATTAGCCGGGCGTGGTGCTGCATGCCTCTGGTCCCAGCTACTAGGGAGGCTGAGGCAGGAGAATCGCTTGAGCCTGGGAGGCGGGAGTTGCCTTGAGCTGAGATCGCGCCACTGCACTCCAGTCTGGGTAACACAGTGAGAACCTGTCTCAAAAAAAAAAAAAAAAAAAAAAAGGGTAAAGTGTAAGGAAAAGTGCCAGGTGGTAGGGAATGGGGATGGTCAGAGAACATCTCATTTTAAAGTGGAATTTAAGCAGGGAATGAGCCATGTGTCCATCTGGTGGAAGATGCTCCAGATAAGGGAATAGTATGCATAAAAACACGGCTGGCATGCTTTAAAAAAAGCAAGGAGGCCAGCATAGCTGGCACTAAGTGAATAAGCCTATATTTTTCCTATTTTATTCCTACTGGAATAGAGGATAACCATTCTCTGAATAACCTCCTTAGTCTTTTCTTCTTTAATCTGATTAATCCTTCAAAATTTACTTATATATTCTCTTCTCTTTTTCATTAACTTTATGGTTTTCCTCTGAACCGCTTCTGTAAACTTACTCCATTCTTCCAACCAGGCCAGAATGTTGGCAAGAGTCTTTTCTCTTATTTCAATAGTCTTAGCGTAAGTAGCCATTTTCTCAAGAAAATTGGTTCTCTGTTTTTTCTTATGTTCTGTAAGGGAGACATTCCTTTCAGAGGACGAGTTAAAAACAAGAGTATAGCGAGTCATTATCCGATGCACATTGTTCATTATTTCACTCAGCTGCATATCAATGTCCTGTCAGAATAAGAAGGGGGCATGTATTAATCTTCAGTTTGAAAAGAAGCTTTGGTCATCTTTCTTCTCAGAACGTCAGTGACAGTTAATTTAAAGCTATCCAATTAAAGTCTTGCTAATTCTAGCTTTTATTGTGAGTCTCAAATTTTCCCTCTTAAAAAAAAATTCCTTTTTCTGCCTTCATCATCCTAGCAATGCTATGATATAATGGAAAGAGCATTGGGTTTGAAGCCATATCTGGATCTTAACTCTAGGTCTTTCATTAAAATGACTTTTAATAAATCACGGCATGTCTGAGCTCCCTCTGCCGCCTCTGTAAAATGATGGAGATACTAAATACACAGTTGATGTGAAGTGTATAAAATTTGTGAAAGTGCTTTATAAGCTGTAGCTGCTAAAAAAAAAAAAGAAAGAAAGAAAGAAAAAGAAAACAGAAAAAAATGCAAGTTGCTTCTTTTTTCCTTTCTTACCTGGAAAGCAGTTATCAGACTATGCCTCAAACATACTTTTCTTTCATTATCTCCTTTGCTCAAGAATCTTACCACTTATTAGCTTAGTACATTGAGTATATGGGGAAGAGAAAGAATTTTATCAGCAAATCTCTTTTCTTCACTCTATCCTAGAAATTTTTTACGGATGTAATTACTACCTCATATATGGCACTTGGAAATTTGTGAAATCATTTTTGGTTGTCATAATAATTGTGAGGATGGACTACTGGCATTTAGTAGAGGGTACTAAGGAATGCTAGCCCACCCTACAGTGCAGTGGACAGTATCACACAGTGAAGAACTGTCTCAAATCCTGTGTGACTTTTGTGTGTCTCACCGGAATTCATGTAGGAAAAAAAAAATCTGTTTATAATTATCCAAGTCTTAAACCAAACTCCTTTTAAAATATAAACACAAGGCTGGGTGCGGTGGCTCACGCCTGTAATCCCAGCACTTTGGGAGGCTGAGGAGGGCAGATCGCGAGGTCAGGAGATCGAGACCATCCTGGCCAACACGGTGAAACCCTGTCTCTCCTAAAAAAAAATACAAAAAATTAGCTGGGCGTGGTGGCGGGTGCCTGTAGTCCCAGCTACTGGGGAGGCTGAGGCAGGAGAATAGCATGAACCCGGGAGGTGGAGCTTACAGTGAGCCGAGATCACGCCACTGCACTCCAGCCTAGGCGACAGAGCAAGACACTGTCTAAAAATAAATAAATAAATAAATAAAATAAAAATAAAAATAAAATAATATAAAATATAAACACAGACCAAGAGCAGTGTCTCACGCCTGTAATCCAAGTGCTTTGGGAGACCAAAGCGGGAGGATCTCTGGAAGCCATGCATTCAAGACCAGCCTGGGTGACAAAGTGAGATCCTGCCTCTAAAAAATAAAATTTTTTTTGGCCAGGCATGGTGGCTCATGCCTGTAATCCCAGCACTCTGGGAGGCCGAGGTGGGTGGATCACCTGAGGTCAGGAGTTCGAGACCAGCCTGGCCAGCATGGTGAAACCCCGTCTTTACTAAAAATACAAAAAATAGCCAGGCATTGTGGTGGATGCCTGTGATTCCAGCTACTCAGGAAGCTGAGGCAGGAGAATGTCTTGAACCCAGGAGGTAAAGGTTGCAGTGAGCCGAGATCGCACCATTGCACTCCAGCCTGGGCAACAAGAGTGAAACTCCGTCTCAAAAAAAAAAAAAAAAAAATTAACACCATGTGTTTTTTGCCCAATTTAATGATACACTGCAATTTCCAGGAATACAAATACTACGTAAATCAATAAAAAAATGTTCTTTAAAATTTCTCCAAGAAAATTTCACCATTCTGGAACACCACAATACCAACAGCAATGCACTAGTGATAATAGTATTTAGTGCCAGTACAATAAAACTGAATTTGTATCAGCCTCCATTTGTGTCTTTCATATTTATTTTAATTTTATGTATCAATGCAAGCCTCGGTCTACTTCTAGTGAAGTTTGACCTAGGATTTACACACTGAAATGCATGTTATTATAAATTGCTTTCCTTTTACTTATACTCACACATATTAATTTTTAAAGTATAGGTAGTTTATCTGTGAATATCATTTTAGAGGAATAAAGAGAATGTTAAAAATATTTTTTAAAGGCACAGTAAATCTGACAGTTAAGAACCACTGGTTCACCCCTTCCAACTTTATTATTCTTTCATTTTGGCTTCAGACAAACTGAACTTTCTCTACAGTCCGTATAATAAGAGTAAGATAAGTGTGTAGTTCTCTTCCCTTTTGCCGCCATCTCCAAAGCCGGAGTGGCCAAAATGAAGTTCAGTCCCTTTGTGACTTCCGACTGAAGCAAGAATCACAAAAGGCATTTCAATACACCTTCCCACATTCGCAGGAAGATTATGTCTTCCCCTCTTTCCGAAGAGCTGAGACAGAAGTACAACATGTGATCCGTGCCCATCTGAAAGAATGATGAAGTTCAGGTTGTATGAGGACACCATAAAGGTCAGCAAATTGGCAAAGTAGTCCAGGTTTACAGGAAGAAATATATTATCTACATTGAACGGGTGCAGTGGAAAAAGGCTAATGGCACAACTGTCCATGTGGGCCCTCGCCCCAGCAAGGTGGGTATCACTAGGCTAAAACTGGACAAAGACCGCAAAAAGATCCTTGAACAGAAAGCCAAATCTCGCCAAGTAGGAAAGGAAAAGAGCAAATACAAGGAAGAAACAATTGAGAAGATGTAGGAATAAAGTAATCTTATATACGAGCTTTGATTAATACTTGAAACAAAAAAAAAAGAATAAGATTTGGATTTTGCCAAACAAATCATCATGCAAAATGAGTATTCTGATGTTAGGTGTATTTGCTGTTACAGCAAATAATAATTTAAGTCAGGAACACAGGTGAGCCAAGGCAAAGTTTGCTAAACCAAATGATGAAGAATAACATTACAAGCTAACACATAGCACAGTGAACAAAGAAAAGATACTACTAACTCCTCATAAATTCTCCCAGAAAAGTGAAGAGGAAGAAACACTTCCCAACTCATCCTTTGAGGCCAACGTATATCGAAGCCAGACAAAGGCACTACAAAATAAGAAAACTAAATACAAACATGCCTGATGAATATTGATACAGAAAACCTTAGCAAAATACTAGTGAACAGAATTCAACAGCATGTTAAAGGGATTATACACCACGATCAAGTGAGATTTATTTCTGGAATGCAAGGATGATTAAATATATGTAAATCAATCAATGCAATGTGCCAAATGAATAGAATGACCAAAAAAAAAAAAAAAAAAAAAACGTGATCATCACAATTGATACAGAAAAAGCATTTGAAAATATTTAACACCCTTTCATTATTAAAAAAAAAAAATACACAAGAGGCTGGGCACAGTAGCTCACGCCTGTAATCCCAGCACTTTGAGAGGCCAAGGCAGAAGTTTCACTTGAGTCCAGGAGTTCGAGACCAGCCTGAGCAACATGGTGAAACCCTGGCTCTACAAAAAATAAAAAATATCAGCCAGGTATGGTGGTGTGTGCTTATAGTTACAGCTAGTCAGGAGGCTGAGGTGGGAGGATTACTTGAACCTGGGAGGTCAAGGCTGCAGTAAGCCATGATTATGCCACTGCACTCCAGCCTTGGTGACAGAGTGAGCCCCGGTCTTAACACAAACAAAAAACATATACAAAAGAAACTAGAAATAGAAGAAAACTTCTTCAACATAATAAAGGCCATATACGAAAAGCCCACAGGTTATAATATATTCAACAGTGAAAGACTGAAAGTTTTTCCTCCAAGATTAGGAACAAGGCAAGGATGCCCACATTCACCATCTATCTAACCTGGTATTGGAAGTCCTAGACAATCAGGCAAGAAAAAGAAATAAAGGCCAGACACGGTGCCTCACGCCTGTAATCCTAGCACTTTGGGAGGCCGAGGCAGGCGGATCATGAGGTCAGGAGATCGAGACCATCCTGGCTAACACTGTGAAACCCCGTCTCTACTAAAAATACAAAAAAATAGCTGGGCATGGTGGCAGGTGCCTGTAGTCCCAGCTACTCGGGAGGCTGAGGCAGGAGAATGGCGTGAACCTGGGAGGCAGAGCTTGCATGAGCTGAGACTGTGCCACTGCACTCCAGCCTGGGAGACAGAGCGAGACTCTGTCTCAAAAAAAAAAAAAAAAAAAGAAAAGAAATAAAAGGCACACAATTTGGAAAGGAAAAAGTAAAATTATCTCTGTTCATAGATAACATGATCTTAAATTGTAGAAACCCTACATATGTAGAAAACTCTATATATGTAGAAAGCCCTAAGGATTACCCTCTGTGTGCATGTGCGTGCACACACACACACACACACACACAAACACACTATTAGAACAATAAATTCAGCAAAGTTGCAGGGTAAAACATACATACAAATCAGTCACTTTGCTAACTACACTAACACTGAGCAATATGAAAAAGAAATTAAGAAAACAATGCCATTTATAATAGCATCAAAAATAATAATATATTTAGAAATCGCAGCTCATGCCTGTAATCCCAGCACTTTGGAAGGCCGAGGCGGGTGGATCACCTGAGGTTGGGAGTTCAAGACCAGCCTGGCCAACATGGTGAAACCCTGTGTCTACAAAAATACAAAAATTATTCAGCTATGATGGTGGGTGTTTGTAATCCCAGCTACTCAGGAGGCTGAGGTGGGAGAATCACTTGAACCTGGGAGGCAGAGGTTGCAGTGAGCTGAGATCACGCCACTACACTCCAGCCTGGGTAACAGAGAGCGACTCTGTCTCAAAAATAATAATATTGAGAGGCCGAGACAGGTGGATCACTTGAGGTCAGGAGTTCGTGACAAGCCTGGCCAACATGGTGAAACCCCATCTTTACTAGAAATACAAAAATTAGCCAGCATGGTGGTGGGCATTTATAATCCCAGCTACTCAGGAGGCTGAGGCAGGAGAATTTCTTCACCCGGGAGGTGGATCCTGTAGTGAGCCATGATTGCGCCACTGCATTCCAGCCTGGGCAACAGAGCAAGACTCTGTCTCAAAAATAAATAAATAAATATTTTAAATAATAATAATAAATTTAGAAATAAACTTACCCAAGGAGGTAAAAGACTTGTTGTTTTCACTACAAAATGTTACTGAGAGAAATTAAAGAAAACACAAGTAAATGGAAAGATATCACATGTTTATGGATTGGAATATTTAATATTGTTAAGATGTCAATACTACCCAAACCAATCTACAGATTAATGCAATCCCTATCAAAATCCCAATGGCTTTTTTTTCTTTTGCAGCAATAGAAAAATTCATCCTAAAATTTACATGGAATCTCAAGGGATCCTGAATGGCTGAAACAATCTTGAAAAAGAATAACAAAGTTGGAGATCCCACATTTTCTGATTTCAAACTTATTCCAAAGCTACATTAATCAAAATAATGTGGTACAGGCATAACGACAGACATATAACCTGATGGAATAGAATAGAGAGCCCATAAATAAACACCAAGTTAACAGTATGTGTATAGTATAGTATATTCATAGCATAAGGTTAAATTATTTTCCATAAGGATTCTAAGGCCATCCAATGAGGAAAGGACAGTCTTTTAAAAAAAAAAAAAACACACACAAATGTTGGTGGGAAAACTGAATACCTACACATGAAAGAATGAAGTTGGATCCTTATCTTATATCATATAAAAAATTAAACTCAAAATAGATTAAAGACCTAACACTTATAAAACACTTAGAAGAAAACATAGGAGAAAGGCTTCATGGCATTGGATTTGGCAATGATTTCTTGGTGACATGACACAAAATCACATGCAACAAAAGTAAAAATAGATAAATGGGCTGGGCACGGTGGCTCACTCCTGTAATCCCAGCACTCTGGGAGGCTGAGGCAGGCGGATCACGAGGTCAGGAGATCGGACCATCCTGGCTAACATGGTGAAACCCCGTCTCTACTAAAAATACAAAAAAAATTAGCCAGGCATGGTGGTGGGCGCCTGTAGACCCAACTACTCGGGAGGCTGAGGCAGGAGAATTACTTGAACCCGGGAGGCAGAGGTTGCAGTGAGCTGAGATCGAGCCACTGCACTCCAGCCTCAGCCTGGGCGACAGAGTGAGACTCCGTCTCAAAAAAAAAAAAAAAAAAGATAAATGGACTATATCAAAGTTAAAAACATTTGTTTGTCAAAGGACAAAAATCAACAGATTGAAAAGTCAACCTAGGAAATGGGAGAAAATATTTGCAAATTGTATATCCACTAAGGGTTAATATCCACAATATATAAATAACTTGTACAAACTCAATGTCAAAAAAAGAAAAACCAAAAAACCCAAATAGGCTGTGCACTGGTGGCTCACCCCTATAATCCCAGGACTTTGGGAGGCTGAGGTGGACAGATCAGTTGAAGTCAGGAGTTTGAGACCAGCCTGGCCAACACTGTGAAACCCCATCCCTACTAAAAATGCAAAATTTAGGCCGGGCGCGGTGGCTCACGCCTGTAATCCCAGCACTTTGGGAGGCCGAGGAGGGTGGATCATGAGGTCAGGAGATCGAGACCATCCTGACTAACACAGTGAAACCCCGTCTCTACTAAAAATACAAAAAATTAGCCGGGCGTGGTGGTGGGCGCCTGTAGTCCCAGCTACTCGGGAGGCTGAGGCAGGAGAATGGCGTGAACCCGGGAGGCGGAGCTTGCAGTGAGCAGAGATTGCACCACTGCACCCCAGCCTGGGCGACAGAGCGAGACTCCATCTCAAAAAAAAAAAAAAAAAAAAAAAAGCAAAACTTAGCCAGGCATGGTGGCACACTCCTGTAATCCCAGCTACTTGGGTGGCTGAGGCACAAGAATCACTTGAGCCTGGGAGGTAGAGGTTGCAGTGAGCCGAGATTGTGCCACTGCATTCCATCCTAGGCGACAGAGTGACACTCCATACCCCCCAAAAAACAAAAACAAAAACCCAAATAAACCAATTTTAAAATGGGCAAAGGATCCAAAAAAGATATACAAATGGCCCAAAAATATATGAAAATATGTTCAACGTAACTAGTAATTAGGAAAATGTAAATCAAAACCACAATGATATACTACTTCATACCCATTAAGATGGCTACTATGAAAAAAACAGAAAATAACAAGTGTGGGTGAGGCTGTGCAAAATTGGAACCCTGTGCACTGCTGGTAGGAATGTAATATTGTGCAGCTGCTGTGAAGAAAAGGATGACAGTTCCTCCAGATATTAAAAATAGTATCACTATATGATCTAGCAATTGTTCTCTGTGTATACATCCAAAAGAATTATAAGCAGGGTCCCTAAGAAATATTTGTACACTCATGCTCATAGTGTCGTTATTCACAATAACCAAGAGGTAGAAGTAACCCAAGTGCCCATTGACAGATAAATGGATAAACAAAATGTGGTATATATTTATATATATACACAATGGAGGCCAGGCACAGTGACTCATGCCTGTAATCCCGGCACTTTGGGAGGCTGAGGTGGGCAGGTCACTTGAGGTCAGGGGTTTGAGACCACGCTGGCCAACACGATGAAACCTCACGTTGCACTAAAAAACACAAAAATTAGCCAGGCATGGTGGCGGGTGCCTGTAATCCCAGCTACTTGGGAGACTGAGGCAGAAGAATCGCTTGAACCCAGGAGATGGAGGTTACAGTGAGCCAAGATTGCACCACAGCACTCCAGCCTGAGCAACAGAGCGAGACTTCATCTCAAAAAAATAAAATTTAATTCAATTTAATTTTTTTTTTTGAGGCAGAATCTTACTCTGTCACCTAGGCTAGAGTGCAGTGGCATGATCTCGGCTGACTGCAAACTCCACCTCAGGGTTCAAGTGATTCTCCTGCCTCAGCCTCCAGAGTAGCTGGGGTTACAGGCGCCTGCCTCCATGCCCAGCTAATTTTTGTATTTTTTAGTAGAGACGGGGTTTCACCATCTTGGCCAGGCTGGTCTTGAACTCCTGACCTCATGATCCATCTGCCTCTGCCTCCCAAAGTGTTAGGATTACAGGCGTGAGCCACCGTGCCCGGCCAACTTAATTTAATTTTAAAATATACATAATAGAATGTTATTCAGCCTTAAAATTGAAGGATATTTTGACATACACTACAATATGGATGAACCTTGAACAGACTATGCTGAGTGAATAAGCCAGTCATAAAAAGACAAATACTTTATGATTCCACTTAAATGAGGTATCTAGAATAGTTGAATTCATAGAAACTAAGTACAGTTGTGGTTTTTAGGGGATAAGGAGAAAGGGAAATGGATATTGTTGTTTAATGGATATAGAACTTCAGTTTTGAAAGGTGAAATAGTTCTGACTTTGGTTGCAAAATAATGTATGGCAATATATATTCACACTTAAAACTATTGTACTATATACTTAAAAATAATTAAGGCAGTAAATTTTATGTATATTTTACCACAATTAATTTTTTTTTTTAGACGGAGTTTCGCTCTTATTGCCCAGGTTGGAGTGCAATGGCATGATCTTGGCTCACGGCAACATCGGCCTCCTGGGTTCAAGCGATTCTCCTGCCTCAGCCTCCCAAGTAGCTGGGATTACAGGCATGCGCCACAATACCCAGTTAATTTTGTATTTTTAGTAGAGACGGGGTTTCACCATGTTGGTCAGGCTGGTCTCAAACTCCTAACCTCAGGTGATCCACCTGCCTTGGCCTCCCAAAGTGCTGGGATTACAGGCGTGAGCCATCGTGGCTGGCCCAATTAATTTTTTTTTTAATTTAAAAAGGAATAATCAAACGTTAAGTATGGAAATACTGGAATCAGAAAAAGAGGTGATGCAGTTGTAGCAAATCTAACTTAAGTCAAGAACACAGGAGACGGGAGACAAAGTTGGCCAAGCCAAGTGATAAAGAATAACATCACAACTAATACATAGTATGGTGGTTAAGAAATAAATACGCCAGGTGCAGTGGCTCAAGCCTGTAATCCCAGCACTTTGGAAGGCCAAGGAGGGTGGATCATGAGGTCAGGCGTTCAAGACCAGCCTGGGCAACATAGTGAAACCCCCGTCTCTACTAAAAATACAAAAAATTAGCCGGGCATGGTGGTGGGCACCTGTAATCCCAGCTACTTGGGAGGCTGAGACAGGAGAATTGCTTGAACCTGGGAGGCAGAGGTTGCAGTGAGCCAAGATTGTGTCACTGCATGCCAGCCCGGGCGACAGTGTGAGACTCTGTCTCAAAAAAAAAAAAAGAAATAATACTAGGCCGGGCACGGTGGTTCACATCTGTAATCCCAGCACTTTGGGAGGCCGAGGCGGGTGGATCACTTGAGGTCAGGAGTTGGAGACTGACCTGCCCAAGATGGTGAAACCCCATCTCTACTAAAAATACAAAAAATTAGCTGGGCATATTGGTGGGTGACTGTAATCCCAGGTACTTGGGAGTATGAGGCAGAGAATTGCTTGAACCCCGGAGGCAGAGGTTACTGTGAGCCGAGATGGTGCCACTGCACTCCAGTCTCCTGGGCGACAGAGCAAGACTCCGTCTAAAAAAAAAAAAAAAGAAAAAAGAAAGAAAGAAGGAAGGAAGGAAGGAGGAAGGAGGGAGGGAGGGAGGGACGGAGGGAGGAAGGAAGGAAGGAATGAAAGAAAGAAAGAAAGAAAGAAAGAAAGAAAGAAAGAAAGAAAGAAAGAAAGAAAGAAAGAAAGAAAGAAAGAAAGAGAAAAGAAAGAAAGAAAGAAAAGAAAGAAAGAAAAACTAGGCTGGGCAACGGTGGCTCACACCTGTAATCCCAGCAGTTTAGGAGGCCGAGGTGGGCATATCACGAGGTCAGGAATTCAAGACCAGCCTGGCCCACATAGTGAAACCCCGTCTCTACTGAAAATGCAAAAATTAGCCGGGTGTGGTGGCACGCACCTGTAGTCCCAGCTTCTTGGTAGGCTGAGGCAGGAGAACTGCTCAAACCCGGCAGGCAGAGGTTGCAGTGAGCCGAGACCACACCATTGCACTCCAGCCTGGATGACAGAGTAAGACTCCATCTCAAAAAAACAAAACAGAAAAAGAAATAATACTAATAGCTCACAAACTTTTCCAAAAAGTTGAAGAGGAAGGAGCAATTCCTGACTCATTCTTTGATGTCAGCGTTACCCTGATATCAAAATCAGACAGATGTAAAAGAAGAAAACTACAAACCAATATCCCTCACCTCATGAAAATAGTCACAAAAAATGCTTCATAAGATTTTCATACCATCTCACACCAGTTAGAATGGCAATCATTTAAAAGTCAGGAAACAATAGGTGCTGGAGAGGATGTGGAGAAATAGGAACACTTTTACACTGTTGGTGGGACTGTAAACTAGTTCAACCATTGTGGAAATCAGTGTGGCCATTCCTCAGGGATCTAGAACTAGAAATACCATTTGACCCAGCCATCCCATTACTGGGTATATACCCAAGGGATTATAAATCATGCTGCTATAAAGACACATGCACACGTATGTTTATTGCAGCATTATTCACAATAGCAAAGACTTGGAACCAACCCAAATGTCCAACAATGATAGACTGGATTAAGAAAATGTGGCACATATACACCATGGAATACTATGCAGCCATAAAAAATGATGAGTTCATGTCCTTTATAAGGACATGGATGAAATTGGAAATCATCATTCTCAGTAAACTATCGCAAGAACAAAAAACCAAACACCGCATATTCTCACTCATAGGTGGGAACTGAACAATGAGAACACATGGACACAGGAAGGGGAACATCACACTCTGGGGACTGTTGTGGGGTGGGGGGAGGGGGGAGGGATAGCACTGGGAGATACACCTAATGCTAGATGACGAGTTAGTGGGTGCAGCGCACCAGCATGGCACATGTATACATATGTAACTAACCTGCACATTGTGCACATGTACCCTAAAACTTAAAGTATAATAATAATAAAGAAAGAAAGAAAGAAAGTTCTAAATAAAAATCTTTATAGAAATTAAAAAAAAAAGATTTTCAAAAATTCTGGGACAGATAGGTGACCAATAAAATAAAATAGAAAATAGAAACAAACAATATCCTTAAAAAATAGCATCATGAAAAAGTGGGATTTACCCTGGTATGCAAGGCTGATTCAAAATTTGATAATTTCTAAATGTAACTCACTATGTCAACGGATTAAAGAAGAACCATTTATCGCCTCGGTATATACAGAAAAAGAAGTTGACAAAATTCAACATTCATTCATGATTTCTAAAAGAAGCTCGATAATAAATGAGGAATAGAGGGTAATTTCCTCAACCTGATAAAGAGCATTTACAAAACATTTACAGCTAGCATCATACTTAATGGTAAACGTCTCAAGTGCTCTAAAGGTTCTGTTCTAATCACTTCTGCTCAACATTGGATAAATGTCCTAACCAATTCAATAAGGTCAAAAAAAGAAATACAGGAAAATGGATTGGAAAGAGAGAAGCAACATGGTTTCTATTTACAACAAAAAGTTTGTCCATGTAAAAACTCCCAAAGAATTTACCAAAGAGGCCAGGAGCAGTGTCTCACACCTGTAATCCCAGCACTTTGGGAGGCCAAGGCTGGCAGGTCACTTGAGTACAGAAGTTCAGGACCAGACTGGCCAACATGACGAAACTCCCTTTCTATCAAAAATACAAAAATTAGCCGGGCGTGGTGGCATGTGCCTGTAGTCCCATCTACCTGGGAGGCTGAGGCATGAGAATCGCTTGAACCCAGGAGGCAGAGGTTGCAGTGAGCCAAGATCGCTTCTCTGCACTCCAGCCTGGGCCACAGAGTGACACTCCATCTCAAAAAATAAATAAATAAATACAAATAAAATAAAACAAACCAAAAACCATTTATTTACACTAGCGATATACAATTACAAACTGAAATTTGGCCGAGTGTGGTGGCTCATGCCTGTAATCCCAGCAATTTGGGAGGCCAAGGTGGGTGGATCACCTGAGGTCAGGAGTTTGAGGCCAGCCTGGCCAACATGGTGAAACCCTGTCTCGACTAAAAATACAAAAAATTAGCCAGACATGTTGGCACACACCTATAATCCCAGCTACTTAGGAGGATGAGGCAAAAGAATTGCTTGAACCCGGGAGGCAGAGGTTGCAGCGAGCCGAGATTGCACCATTGCACTCCAACCTGGGCAACAAGAGCGAAGCTCTGTCTCAAAAAAAAAAAAAAAAAAGTAGCCAGGTATGGTGGTGCATACCTGTAATCTCAGCTAATCGGGAGGCTGAGGCAGGAGAATCGCCTGAACCTGGGAGGCAGAGATTGCAGTGAGCCGAGATTGTGCCACTGCACTCTAGCCTGGGTGACAGAGGGAGACTCCATCTCAAAAAAAAAAAGAAAAAGAAAAAGAAAAAGAAATTGAAATTTAATAAAACAGTGTCACAGGATCCTATGGGTGTCACTTTGCCAGCCAGAAACCTCTGTGGCCAGCGACGCCTCTGCTTGAGTTTTGCTCATGCCCACTGGGCTCATTCCACCTACTAGGCCCAGCAAGCTGCCCTCAGATCGTGATACCGGCCCGGATCCCATGCCTGCCAAGGGTGAGCCAGGCATGGAGCACCGAGGGGTGTGTGAGCAAGCAAGTGCAGGGTCTGGCCACTGTGCACCCCCACTGTAGCAGCAGGGCAGGCATCTCCAGGTGCTGGCACAAGCACTGGCTCTGGGAGAGGCTGTGGCTGGACCAGACATACCACAAGCAGGTTCTGCTGCAGGCACCAGTGTCTGGATGAGGGAAACTCAGTGGTGCCCAAAAGCTCAGAGGTCTGGGCCCTCAGAAGGATCACCACTTTTCACTCACACGGTCCGGGGGCATGTCACAACCCATAGCTCAGTGAGCAAGCTGGGGATGTGTTACAGCTCTTTTAGCTCCTGCTGTTCAGTCCCAAGTTCCTGTCTCATGTCTAGGAAGAATGAGTTTACATGGACAACTGAAGGGTGAGCAAGGTGGAGAGGAGCTTTACTGAGCAACAGAAGAGCTCTCAGCAGAGAGGATACCTGAAGTGAGTAGCTCCTATCCGCAGGCAAGTCATCCCAACAAGGGTAGAGGAGACTTGAAGTGGGTAGCTGCTATCCAAAGGCAGGTAGGCCTGATGAGTATAGGCCACTCAAAGTGGATAGCTTCTGTCTGCAGGCAGGTAGTCCCTAGGAGTCTCTGAGTCTGGCTAAGTCTGGGGTTTTTATGGGCTCAAAAGGGAGGAAGTGCATGCTGACTGGTCCATGAGCAGCCATGGTGGGCCTGGTAAAAGTACCATCTGATCGGCCAAAAGGCATCAAGGAAGTTCTCACTCTGGTCCTGGACTCCACCCTAAACTGGCAATGTGGGTCAAACCTCCTTTTACCTCTCTCTCTCTCTCTCTTTTTTTTTTTTTAGACAAGGTCTTATTCTGTTGCCCAGGCTGGAGTTCAGTGATGCAGTCACAGCTCACTGCAGCCTAGGACTCCTGGGCTCAAGAGATCCTTCCTCCTTCACCTCCCAAGTAGCTGGGACTACAGACGAGTGCCACCATGGTCAGCTAATTATTTTTTATTTTTATTTTTTTTAGAGATGGGATCTCACTGTGTTGCTCAAGCTGGTCTGAAACTCCTGGGCTCAAATGGTCCTCCCACCTCAGCCTCATGAGTGCTTGGGATTATAGGCATGAGCCACTGCACCCAGCAGAACTGTGTTTAAAGATGCACAATTTAAAGGGGCAATCTTCTGGAAGTGGAAAAAACACAAGGTTGGAAGAAACACCATTTGGCAATTAGGTAGTAAAAAGGGGGAAAAAAGAACTACAATCATCAGGACAGTATGGTATTGGTGTAATGACGGACAAATACATGAATGGAATAGAATAGAGTGTTTAGAAAAGGACTCACATACATGTGGTCAATTAATTTTTGACAGAGGTGCAAATGCAACTCAGTAGAGAAAGGACAGTCTTTTTAACAAGTGGTGTTCAAATAATTGAATATCCACAAACCAGAAGTGAAAAACAAGCTTTTATTCATATCTTGCACAATATTTCAAAAATTTAGTCAAATGAATCTATGAGCTAAATATAAAATTTAACACTATAAAACTTCTAGAAGAAAACATGGGAGAAAATACGAACTTGGGTTAAGGCAATGATTTCTTTGATATGATAACGAAGGCACAACCAATGAAAGTACAACACAAGGCCAGGCGCAGTGGCTCACGCCTGTAATCCTAGCACTTTGGGAGGCCGAGGCAGGTGGATCACCTGAGGTCAGGAGTTGGAGACCAGCCTAGCCAACATGGTGAAACCCTGTCTCTACTAAAAATACAAAAATTAGCCGGGCGTGGTGGCTGGCACCTATAATCCCAGCTACTTAGAAGGCTGAGGAAAGAGAATTGCTTGAACCCGGTGGGGGCAGAAGTTTCAGTGAGCCAAGATCGTGCCACTTCACTCCAGCCCGGGCAAAAGAGCAAAACTCCACCTCAAAAAAAAAAAAACAAGAAAAGAAAGAAAGTACAACATGATACATTAGATTTCACAAAAATGTAAGACTTCTGCAATATGAAAGATACTGTTAAGAAAATGAAAAGTCGGCGAGGCGAGGTGGCTCATGCCTGCTCATCCCAGCACTTTGGGCGGCCAAGGCAGGTGGATCACCTGAGGTCGGGAATTTGAGACCAGGCTGACCAACATGGAAAAACCCTGTCTCTACTAAAAATACAAAATTAGCCGGCGTGGTGGCCACATGCCTGTAATCCCAGCTACTCTGGAGGCTGAGGTAAGAGAATTGCTTGAACCGGGAGGCGGAGGTTGCAGTGAGCCGAGATTGCGACATTACACTCCAGCCTCGACAACAAGAGCGAAACTCCATCTCAAAAAAAAAAAAGAAAATGAAGTCAGCCGAGCACGGTGGCTCACGCCTGTAATCCCAACACTTTGGGAGGCCGAGGTGGGTGGATCACGAGGTCAGAAGTTCAAGACCAGCCTGGCCAAGATGGTGAAACCCTGTCTCTACTAAAAAGTACAAAAATTAGCCAGGTGCAGTGGCAGGCGCCTGTAATCCCAGCTACTCGGGAGGCTGAGGCAGGAGAATCGTTTGAACCCCAGGAGCAGAGGAAACAGTGAGCCGAGATTTCACCACTGCACTCCAGCCGGGGAGACAGAGTGAGACTCCATCTCAAAATATATATATACATATATGTAAATTGTATATATATATATATACACATATGTAAATTGTATATATATATATACACATATGTAAATTGTATATATATATATATACACATACATATATATACACACACACATATATATATAAAATTAAATTAAAAAAAAGAAAATGAAAAGTCAAGCCACAATCTGGGAATAAATATTTACAAATCATATCACTAGTGGGAATACAAATTGGCACAACTATTCTGGAAGAAAATGTGTCAGTGCTTAAAAGAACTTCAGGTACACTTAAATTTTAACCCAGCAATCCCATTTCTAGGAATATACCTTGGAGGTACAGCTTCAACCATATGAAAATGTCTATGTGTAAGGTTACTTTCTGCAGCATTGTTTGTAATTATGAAGTATTGGAAATAACTTAAATGTCCATACATAGGAAAGTGGTTGAATTAACTATGGTATAACTGCACAATGGATTATTTAAAAGAATAAAGAAGGCTGGGTGCAGTGGCTCACGCCTGTAATCCCAGCACTTTGAGAGGCCGAGGCAGGCAGATCACCTGAGTTTAGGAGTTTGAGACCGGCCTGGCCAACATGATGAAACCCCATCTCTACTAAAAATACAAAAATTGGGCCGGGCACGGTGGCTCACGCCTGTAATCCCAGCACTTTGGGAGGCCGAGGTGGGTGGATCATAAGGTCAGGAGATCGAGACCCTCCTACCTAACATGGTGAAACCCCGTCTCTACTAAAAATACAAAAAATTAGCCGAATGTGGTGGTGGGCGCCTGTAGTCCCAGCTACTCGGGAGGCTGAGGCAGGAGAATGGCATGAACCCAGGAGGCGGAGCTTGCAGTGAGCCAAGATAGTGCCACGGCACTCCAGCCTGGTCAACAGAGCGAGACTCCCTCTCAAAAAAAAAAAGAAAGAAAAAAAGAGGGAAAAACAAAAACAAAAACAAAAAAAAACTAAAGCACAGGCCGGGCTCAGTGGCTGATGCCTGTAATCCCATCACTTTGGGAGACCGAGGCACGTGGATCACCTGAGGTCGGGAGTTAGAGACCAGCCTGATCAACATGGAGAAACCCCATCTCTATTAAAAATACAAAAGTAGCCGGGCGTAGTGGAGCATGCCTGTAATCCCAGCTACTTGGGAGGCTGAGGCAGGAGAATCGCTTGAACCCGGGAGGCAGAGGTTGCAGTGAGCCAAGATCGCGCCATTGCACTCCAGCCTGGGCAACAAGAGCAAAACTCCATCTCAAAAAAAAAAAGTAAAGCACAAAAGAATATAGCTATTGTATGTTACCCTTCATGTAAGAAAAAATGAGAAATGAAAAATTATGCATGAATCTACTCATTTGTGCAAAATAAATACAAGAAGGATAAGCCAGAGGCTAGACAGATTGGTTACATATAGGGTGTATGTGGGGAAAAGGTGGAAAGAAAGAAGGAATGACAATAGGGTAGCAAAGATAAGAAAGGAGTGACATTTTTCTGCATGTAGCTCTGACTTTTATCAGCACAGTAATGTTTCACATACATACCTTTCATATACTCGATAATAAACTGTTAAAACCAACCTGTATTTGGGCTGACCCAAAATGGAATATGAATACTAACAACTGAAATTAAGTGTATACAAATGAATAACATAACTTCACTTAGAAGAAGATAAATAGGTAGCAACTTTGAAAACAGTATATTGAGTGGACAATGTAAGGTTAAATATAAAACAATGGTACATAAATGCAGTGCTACTTAATAAATGTCCTTCTTATATGCTTATGGATTAGTAATTCTGAAATTACATTATGTGTGTACTGGAAATCAACTAATAAATATATTGTATATAATAAGAACTGGTGTTGTTCGGGTGCGGTGGCTCACGTCTGTAATCCCTGCACTTTGGGAGACTGAGGCTGGTGGATCACCTGAGGTCAGGAGTTCGAGACCGGCCTGGCCAACATGATGAAACCCTGTCTCTACTAAAAATACAAAAAAAAAAAAAAAAAAAAAAAAATTAGCTGGGCATGCTGGTGCATGCCTGTAATCCCAGCTACTCAGGAGGCTGAGGCAAGAGAATCGCTTGAACCTGGGAGGTGGAGGTTGCAGTGAGCTGAGATCATGCCACTGCATTCCAGCCTGGGTGACAGAGTGAGACTGTCTAAAAAAAAAAAAAAGAACTGGTGTGATGGGATATTTGGGGTGTCGCTTTTCTGGCCAGAAACCCCTGTGGCCAACTTTTGCCCAAGTTTTGCTCAGGCCCACTGGGCTCCTTTCGCCCATTCAGCATTGCAGGCTGCACTCAGCTCATGCTACTGGCCTGGATCCCATGCCTGCCAAGGGTGAGCCAGGCATGGAGTGGCGAGGGGTATGTGAGCAAGTGAGCATTGGGCCCGGCCACTGTGCACATCCAGGCATGCCACCTGTGGCAGGGTGGGCATCTCCAGGCACAGGCACAGTGCCGACTCCCTGTGAGGCTGTGGCTGGACCAGGCATACTGCAAGCAGCTTCCACAGCTAGCACCAGGCAATGTGGTGGCACCCAGAAGCTTGGAGACACCAGGAACCACAGAGCCCCAAAGAGGGTGTCGCAGCCCTGGCTTAGGGAGTTTCTAGGTCTGGGCTCCCCGAAGGGCCACAGCTCTTCTCTTTCTCTCTTCTTTCCTTCTCTCTACTCTCCTTCTTGTCACCTGCAACATGGCAAGCAAGGGGCGTGTTTCAGCCCTGTTTGTGTTATAGCTCTTTCAGTCCCACCATTCGGCAGGTCCCAAGTTCTTGTCTTGCATTCAGAAAGAATGAGCTATGCAGACAAGTGGAGGGTGAGCAAGGTGAAGAGGTGCTTTATTGAGTGACAGAACAGCTCAGAGGAGACCCTCAGTGGGTAGCTCCTCTCCACAGGTAGCTCATCCCAATGAGTGTCCAGCTGTCAGCAGAGAGGAGACCCACAGTGGGTAGCAGTGGGCCAAGGTTGCACCACTGCACTCCAGCCTGGACAACAGAGCAAGATTCTGTCTCAAAAAAAAATTGATTAATTAATTAATTAAATGTAATGAAGAGATGGAAAGATATTCTGTGTAAATGGAAACCAAAAAAGAACAGGAGCAGCTATACTTATATAACCGAACATAAACTTTAAGTCAAAAACTAATAGAGCCAGGCAGGTTTACATGATTGTAATCTTGGAAATTTGGAAGGCCAAGGTGGGAAGATCACTTGAGGACAGGAGTTTGAGAACAGCCTGGGCAATATTGCAAGACCCTGTCTCTATAAAAAATTAAAAAATTAGCCAGCATGGTGGCTTGTACCTGTAAGTCCCAGCTACTGAAGGGGCTGAGGTGGGAGAATCACCTGAGCCCAGGAAGTTGAGGCTGCTGTGAGCCATGATCGTGCCACTGCACTCCAGCATGGGTGACAAGGAGAAAACCATCCAGGTCAAAGGGCACCAAATATGAGGCAAACAGAAATCAAGCATCCCCTTTTGAGTAGGGAGTGGGGAAGAAGTTCTTGGAAAGTTGGTGATTTGGGGTTAGTCCCTAAAAACCACTTTAGGATTTCTCTGCTCTGCCCACCCTCTGGAGAAGGTGGACACTGGTCAGTTAACAGATGACATGTTACTTGATGAGCAGTCACTTGATGCCCATGGCTTTCGTTTTAAAGACACATACACATATCACACCACTGCACTCCAGCCTGGGTGACAAGAGCAAAACTCCAACTCAAAAAAAAAAAAAAAAAAGACACACTCTTGTCCACACATGCTTAGAGATACGAGTAGGCTGGTCAACTTAAGCATGTTACTGGCAGAGGGGGTATTGGGGTTATTTTCTAGGGGGAATAGCATGTCACTTTAGCATGCTTTTTAATATATTAATTAAAAATATATATATATGACCAGGCACAATGGCTCACGCCTGTAATATCAGCACTTTGGGAGGCTGAAGTGAGCAGATCACTTGAGGCCAGGAGTTCAAGACCAGCCTGGCCAACATGGTGAAACCCTTTCTCTACTAAAAATACAAAAATTAGCCAGGTGTGGTGGCTCACACCTGTAATCCCAGCTACGCAGGAGGCTGAGGCAGGAGAATCGCTTGAACCTGGGAGGCAGAAGTTGCAGTGAGCTGAGATCGTGCCACTGCACTCCAGCCTGGGCAACAGAGCAAGACTCTGTCTCAAAAAATAAAATAAATAAATAAATAAAAAGCAAAATAGAAGTTTAGATTTTAATAAAATTTGTAGGGTTTCCAAGTAATTTTTACAGAATTTACTTGTTTGCTTCAACTGTCTCCTTCTACCTCTGCTCTTGAAGGAGATGAGGACAGGCCTGGATTTAAAATACTTGTAATTTTGTATCCTAACATCTCTTTGATCCCTTTCTTTTAAGACTGCTGAGGAGTTATTTTTTTCTTTTATAGTAAGAAACAAGGTCGGGCATAGCGGCTCATGCCTATAATCCCAGAACTCTGAATGGCCAAGGCTGGTGGAATTCAAGACCAGCCTGGACAACATGGAGAAACCCCATCTCTATAAAAATACAAAAAGAACAACAACAACAACAACAAAACAAAAAACAATAGCCCCCAGTGTGGTGCCATATGCCTGTGATCTCAGCTACTCTGGAGGCTAAGGTGGGAGGATCACTTGAGCCTGGGAGGTGATGGTTGCAGTGACCTGAGATTGCAGCCACTGCACACCAGCCTGGGTGACAGAGCAAGACTCCGTCTAAAAAAAAAAAAAAAAAAAAAAAAAAAAAAGAGAGAGAGAGAGAGAAAGAAAAGAAACGGCTGGAAGCGGTGGCTCACGCCTATAACCTGTAATCCCAGCACTTTGGGAGGCGGAAGCACGTGGATCATGAAGTCAGGAGTCTGAGACCAGCCTGGCCAACATGGTGAAACCCCATCTCTACTAAAAATACAAAAAATTAGCTGGGCGTGGTGGTGCACACCTGTAGTTCCAGCAACTTGGGAGGCTGAGGCAGAAGAATCACTAGAACCCGGGAGGCAGAAGTTGCAGTGAGCCAAGATCGCGCCACTCAACTCCAGCCTGGGCAACAGAGTGAGACTTTGTCTCAAAAAAGAAAAAAAAGAAAGAAACAAACAAACCCCACCTTTATCCCTACATTCCCCCTACTGGTCTGTGGTTGTTTTTCTGTTGGCTGCAGCAGGCTGGCTGTGGTTTTTCTCTTGCCATGACAACTTCTAATTGCCATGTACAGTATGTTCAAAGTCAGGTAACTCCTCATTGTAAGCAAACTATGTAACTGCCCAGAGCAGCACATATAAACCAGCCTAATGTGAAAAAAGAAAGAAATAGGCCGGGCGCAGTAGTTCATGCCTGTAATCCCAGCACTTTGGGAGGCCGAGGCAGGCGGATCACGAAGCCAGGAAATCGAGACCATCCTGGCTAACATGGTGAGACCCTATCTCTACTAAAAATACAAAAATTAGCCAGGCATGGTGGCACATGCCTATAGTCCCAGCTACTCACGAGGCTGAGGCAGGAGAATTGCTTGAACCTAGGATGTGGAGGTTGCAGTGAGTTGAGATCATACCACTGCACTCCAACCTGGGCGACAAGTGAGACTCTGTCTCAAAAAAAAGAAAGAAAGAAATCCTAAGATATGTACAGAGGCCAGGTGTGGTGGCTCACACCTGGAATCCCAGCATTTTGAAAGGCCAAGGTGAAAAGGTTACTTGAGGCCAGAGTTCAAGACCAGCCCGGGCAACATAGGAGACCCTGTCTCTACAAAAATTAAAAAAAAAATCAACTGGGTGTGGTAGTCCTAGATGGTCGGCAAGCTGAGGCTGGAGGATCCCTTGAGCCCAGGAGTCCAAGGTTTCATTGAGCTATTATTGCACCACTGCACTATAGCCTGGGTGACAGAGCCAGACCATGTCTCTAAACAAAAATAAATAAATAAACTAAAACATGTATGGAGCCACAACAGACCCTGAATATCCAAAGCAATCTTGAGTAAAAAGAACAAAGCAGGAGGCATCACTGTACCTGATTTCAAAATTCAATACAAAGCCATAATAATCAAAACAGTGTGGTACTAGCATAAAAACAGATACATTAGACCAATGGAACAGAGTAGAGGGCCCAGAAATAAATCCACACATTTCACAGTCGATTGATTTTCAGCAAAGATGCCAAAAACAATGTGGAAAGAAGAGTCTCTTCAATAAATGGTGTTAGAAAAACTGGATATCCACGTACAGAAGAATGAAATTAGACTCTAAACTTACACCATATACAAAAATCCACTCAAAATGGATTAGAGTTTTTGTTTTTTTTTGAGACTGAGTCTTGCTCTATTGCCCAGGCTGGAGTGCATTGGCGCGATCTTGGCTCACTGCAACCTCTGCCTCCCAGGTTCAAGTGATTCTCCTGCCTCAGCCTCCCAAGTAGCTGGGATTTCAGGTGCCTGCCTCTATGCCCAGCTAATTTTTGTATTTTAGTAGAGATGGAGTTTCACCATGTTGGCTAGGCTGGTGTCAACCTCCTGACCTCAGGTGATCCACCCGCCTTGGCCTCCCAAAGTGCTGGGATTACAGACATGAGCCACCATGCCCAGCCTGGATTAGATTTAAACATAAAATGTGAAATTATGGCCTGGCGTGGTGGCTCATGCCTGTAATCCCAGCACTTTGGGAGGCCGAGGTGGGTGGATCATGAGGTCAGGAGTTCAAGACCAGCCTGGCCAACATAGTGAAACCTTGTCTCTACTAAATATACAAAAATTAGCTGGGCATGGTTGTACGCACCTGTAGTCTCAGCTACTCAGGAGGCTGAGGCAGGAGAATTGCTTGAACCTGGGAGGCAGAGGTTGCAGTGAGCTGAGATTACGCCATAGCACTCCAGCCTGGGCGACAGAGCAAGACTCTGTCTCAAAAAAAAAAAAAAAAAAGAAAGTATAAAACTACTAGAAGGAAACAGGGGAAAAGTTCCATGACATTGTTCTAGACAATGATTTTTGTATATGGTTCCAAAAGTATAGGCAACAAAAGCAAAAATAGACAAATGGTATTACATCAAACTAAAAGGCTTCTTCATGATTTCACTCATATGTGGAATCTAAAGAAGTCAAACTTGCCGGGCGTGGTGGCTCAAGCCTGTAACCCCAGCACTTTGGGAGGCCGAGGTGGGTGGATCACGAGGTCTCAGGAGATCTAGACCATCCGGGCTAACATGGTGAAACCCCGTCTCTACTAAAAATAGAAAAACTTAGCCAGGCGTGGTGGCAGGCGCCTGTAGTCCCAGCTACTCGGGAGACTGAGGCAGGAGAATTGCTTGAACCCAGGAGGTGGAGCTTGCAGTGAGTTGAGATCGCACCACTGCACTCCAGCCTGGGCAACAGAGCGAGACTCCATCTCAAAAAAAAAAAAAGAAGTCAAACTCATAGAAGCAGACAGTGTAGAACAGTGGTTAGCAGAGGCTGGGGATGGGCAGATTGTGGAGATGTTAGTCAAAGGATACAATTTTTCAGTTAGACAGGAGAAATAAGTTCAAGAGATTTATTATACATCATGATAACTATAGTTAATAACAATACATTGTATACTTGAAGATTGCTGAGAGGAGATATTAAGTGTTCTCACCACAAAAAGAAATGTGAGGTGGCCAGGCATAGTAGCTTACGCCTGTAATCCCAGCACTTTGGGAGGCCAAGGTGGGTGGATCACCTGAGGTCAGGAGATCGAGATCAGCCTGGCCAACATGGCGAAACCCTGTCTCCACTAAAAATACAACAATTAGCCAAACCTGGTGGCACCCATCTGTAATCCCAGCTATAGGGAGGCAGGAGAATCGCTTGAACCTGGGAGGTGGAGGTTGCAGTGAGCCAAGATCATGCCATTGCACTCCAGCCTGAGAGACAGAGTGAGATCCTGTCTCAAAAAACAAACAAACAAAGAAACAAACAAAAAAGATATGTGAGGAAATGCATGCATTAAGTAGTTGGATCTAGCCATTCCGCAATGTATAAATATATCAAAACATAATGTTGTACACCACACATAAACCGTTTTGGTCAACTCAATACAGAAAAAGAACATTTTGGCCGGGCTCATGCCTGTAATCCCAGCACTTTGGGAGGCTGAGGCAGGCAGATCACTTAACGTCAGGAGTTCAAGACCAGCCTGGCCAACATGGTGAAACCCCGTCTCTGCTAAAAATACAAAAATTATCCAGGCATGATGGTGCGCACCTGTAATCCCAGCTACTTGGGAGGCTGAGGCAAGAGAATAGCATGAACCCAGTTTGGGGGTGGGGGGGTTAGGGAGAGGTTGCAGTGAGCCGAGATCGTGCCACTGCACTCCAGCCTGGGCAGCAGAATGAGACTCTGTCTCAAAAAAAAAAAAAAAATTCAACTTATGATTTCATCCCAGATGGATATTGGAAAAAACTTTCAGTTTTTTTTTCTATTCTATTTTTTTCTATTCAGCAAAACAGTTATCAACTTATTAACACAGAAGACTTCCATGATCAGACCAAATGTGGGGTCGGAGGAGCAGATTCTCCCCACCACCAAGCAGGGAACCATTTCTGCAATGGACATCAGGTGGGTGTCTTTTATTTCAATTCAGACACCATCTACCTAGATACAGTGTCAGATCCCATAGGTCGAAGCCTCAGTCCCCAAAACTGCCCCCACTCAGACACCAGTCACAAATCCAGGCCTCCAGAACTTCTGACCAATCAATTTCAATTTGGCATTCCTAAGACTCCCTCTTTTGGTTGGATTAATTTGCTGGGGCAGCTCACAGAACTGGTTTATTGAAGAGATGCTAGGGCAAGGTATTGTGGAAGGGGAATGGAGCTTCTGAAGCAGCTACATTGTCTCTGTTGTATACCTGGGGTTCATCATCTGGTACCAGGAAAATTTAGGACACGAATACACACTAGGAGTTTAGGAGTGGAGGTTTAATAGGCAGAAGAAAAGAGAAAGAAAAACAGCACTCTCAATAAAGAGAGGGAGATCTTCCCAGAGGAAAAGACCGGCTGGTGGTGGATGTGCTAGATTTTATAGTGTGGCTTGAGGAGCTGGTGTCTGATTTATGTAAGGCTCACAGATTGGTTCAATCAGATATGATGTTTACATAGTGCATATGGAAGGCTGGTTGCTTCACCCTAATATTACTATGCAAATGAACTCTCCTTGGCCGGCACCACGTTGTCTCCTCCTTACTGTACACAAGGCTGGCAGAGAAGGAAAGATGGAATCGCCCTCTTGAACATGTCTAGTCCCTAGTTTCTGCTGGCATTCACCCCTGCAAGCTCCCAGCTTGCTGCTCTGTGTCTGCAGCTCGACTTTACAGGCTGCTCTTTGTTAGAAAATGATTTGGGGCTGCTTTTCATTAAAAAGAAAAGCCTTACCAAGGACTCCCATACCCTCACTATCTGCCTACGTGATTTCTTCTTAACTCCTATATCACTTTCATATTCTCTCTGGGCACACCACTCTCCAGGAACCTCCATGTGTTCAACTCTCTGTAAGCTCTCCAAACCCTGTCCTTTGGGTTTGTATGGAGGTTTGATTACATAGTTATGGTTGATTAAACCATTGGCCGTAGATAAGCAGCTTGACCTTCAGCGGCTTTCCCCACCCCTGAAGGTTGGGGGGTGGGGTTGAAAGTCCCAACCCTCTAATCAGGGCTTTGTCTTTCTAATGACCAGTCCCATCCTGAAGCTAGCTGTCAATCATTAGCATACAAAAAGACATCACTTTGGAGATTCCAAAGATTTTAAGAATTGTTATATTTCACAATATCCCAATGGAATAACAGGGTCAAGGTTTATCCTTTCAGCCAGGCGGGCGCAGTGGCTCACACCTGTAATCGCACACTTTGGGAGGCAGAGGCGGGAGGATCCCCTGAGGTCAGGAGTTCGAGACTAGCCTGGGCAACACAGTGAAACCCCCCTCTCTACTAAAAATACAAAATTCAGCCAGGTGTGGTGGCACATGCCCATAATTCCAGCTACTTAGGAGGCTGAGGCAGGAGAATCGCTTGAACCTGGGAGGCGGAGGTTGCGGTGAGCTGAGAATGCACCATTGCACTCCAGTGTGGGCAACAAGAGTGAAACTCCGTCTCAAAAAAAAAAAAAAAAGATGTATCCTTTCATCCTGTCAACTAAGTGACAGTTGACAGTTACCTAAAAGGATTAATGAGAACAATTCACAGACCTCACCTAGGAAGGGGCAATAGTTTCTCCCTAGGAAAAATTAATTTCTTAAAATACAGTGCCTGGGCACAGTGGCTCATGCCTGTAATCTTAGCACTTTGGGAGGTCGAAGCGAGCAGATCACTTGAGATCAGGAGTTTGAGACCAGCCTGGCCAACATGGAGAAACCCCATTTCTACCAAAAATACAAAAATTAGCTGGGCGTGGTGCATGCCTGAGGTCCCAGCTACTCGGAAGTCCGAAGCGGGAGGATCACTTGAGCCTGGGAGGCGTAGCGTAGGTTGCAGTGACACGAGATCGTGCCACTACACTCCAGCCTGGGCAACAGCAGAGGGAGACTCTGTCATTTAAAAAAAAGAAAAAAGAAAAAAAAAATCAGGTGTGATGGCTCATGCCTGTAATCTCAGCATTTTGGGAGGCTGAGATGGGAGGAACACTTGACTTCAAGAGTTAAAGACTAGCTTGAGCACAATAACAAGACCTTATCTCTACTAAAAATAAAAAAATAGGCTGGGCACTGTGGCTCACTCCTGTAATCCCAGCACTTTGGGAGGCCGAGGTGGGTGGATCACCTGAGTTCGGGAATTTGAGACCAGCCTGACCAACATGGAGAAACCCCGTCTCTACTAAAAATACAAAATTAGCCGGGCATGGTGGTGCATGCCTGTAATTCCAGCTACTTGGGAGGCTGAGGCAGTAGAATTGCTTGAACCTGGGAGGTGGAGGTTGCAGTGAGCTGAGATCGCGACATTGCACGCCAGCTTGGGCAACAAGAGCAAAACTCCATCTCAAAAAAAGAAACTTCCTTGGGCCAGATGGTTTTGCAGGTAAATTCTACCCAACTGGCAAATTAATATACTCCTGAGATAGAAGACCGAAGCTGTATCGCTGGCCTTCCCAGATAAAAGCAAACTACTTCTGGTGGGCCTTATTGACAGATTGGAAGAAATAATCATTTGCCAGATCATAGCGGCATACCAGGAACCAGGGAATGTGTTAATTTGTTCAAGCAATGAAGCCACATCTGGTACAGAAGCTGTGACTGGACTTAGTACCTAGTTAAGCTTACAATAATCCACTGTCGTTCTCCAAAATCCATCTGTATTCTTTACAGGCCAAACAGGAAAGTTGAATGAGGATATGGTAGAAATCACCACTAAGGAATCTTTGAAGTCCTTGATGATGGCACTAATTCTTCCAGGAATGGGATATTTGTTTTATTTTTACTGTTTTCCTAGGTAGAGGCACTAGTGGCTCCTATTTGGCCTTTCCCACCACAGTAGCCCTCACTCCACAGGTAAGGGAGTCAGTGTGGGGATTCTGTCAGCTGCTGAGTATGTATATTCCAATTACACATTTTGGACCTTGTGAAATAACCACAGGATGGGTTTGGGGACACACTAGTTTCACTGTGAGATGGGCCTGAGCTAAAGCTTTTTTGATTAATGGGTAGACCACAATAACATTTTGGATCTCCTGGGATTAATGTCAGCTCAGAGCCAGTGCCCAGTAGTCCCCCAAAAGGTCTGATTATTTCCTTTTTCCCAATGCACACTCTGTTACAAGGTCAGCAGAAAAAGTAATAGTATACAGGTAGACCCAGGGTCCTTCTTCAAGAGAACTTGAGGTCCTGTTCACTCAAGGAGCTCTGAGTCTGTCAACTGGCTCAAGTTTGGGAATTGACTGATGGACTCTGACTCGTTTTCATGATTCATGATTCAGGTATTTATTTTCATTCGACCGAGGAATTTCCTACTTGTTCAGATTAAGTAAGAATTTAGTAGGCTTCCTATCTATTCATTTCTGGGAACATCTTGATCAACTAGCCAATGCCATAGGTCAGTGTGAGTCAGACTATTTTGATTGCTGCTTTCCTGCTGCTGTCCATTACAGTAATCATATCCACCTTGCCTTTGGTGGTTGGGTGCCACTACTGGGTCCCAGTTAGGTTTACAAATTCAGTGACTACAGTTCCCACTGTTAAGGTCTGAACTCTAGAGAAGAGTGATCACAGAGCTCTTCAAGGATGCCGGGGCTTCCTTCACTACATTTTTTCTCATACTATTGGTGAAAGGGCCTAGCACAATGGCTCATGTCTATAATCCCAGCATTTTGGGAGGCCGAGGTAGCCACCACCCCTGGCTAATTGTTGTATGTTTTGTAGAAACAGGGTCTCGCCATGTTGCCTAGGGTGGTCTCAAACTCCTTAGCTCAAGCAATCCTTCCACTTTGGACTCCCAAAGTGCTAGGATTACAGCCATGAGCTACCATGCCCTACCTCCTTTTTTTTGTTTTTGAGATGGAGTCTTGCTCCGTTGCCCAGGTTGGAGTGTAGTGGTGCGATTGTGGCTCACTGCAACCTCCACCTCCCAGATTCAAGCAATTTTCCTGCCTCAGCCTCCCGAGTAGCTGGGATTACAGATGCCTGCTACCATATCTGGCTGATTTTTGTATTCTTAGTAGAGATGGGGTGTCACCATGTTGGCCAGGCTGGTCTTAAACTCCTGACCTCAGGTGGTCTGATCCACCCTTGTCGGCCTCCCAAAGTGCTGGGATTACAAGCATGAGCCACCATGCCAGGCCTTATTTTATTTTTTTATTTTTTATTTTTTATATATATTTTTTGAGACAGAGTCTCGCTGTCACCCAGGCTGGAGTGCAGTGGCGCGATCTTGGCTCACTGCAACCTCTGCCTCCCAGGTTCAAGCAATTCTCCTGCCTCAGCCTCCCAAGTAGCTGGGACCACAGGTACCTGCCACCATGCCCGGCTAATTTTTGTGTTTTTAGTAGATATGGGGTTTTACCATATTGGCCAGGCTGGTCTCAAACTCCTGACCTTGTGATCCGCCTGCCTCAGCCTCCCAAAGTGCTGGGATTACAGGTGTGAGCCACCACGCCTGGCCTATTTTATTTTTTTGACAGTCTCACTGTCTCCAGTCACCTAGGCTGGAGTGCAGTGGCTCGATCTTGGCTCACTGCAGCCTCTGCCTCCTAGGCAGATTCTCATGCCTCTGCCTCCCAAGTAGCTGGGATTACAGGCATGGGCAACTGCAGCTGGCCTAGTAGTTTATTTTTTAAAATGAACATTTACTACCTTTAGACTTAGCCATTCCAAGCTTAGGTATTTATTCCAGAGAAATGAAAGCATATATCTGTATAATGACTGGTACATGAATGTTTATAGCAGCTTATTTGTAATAACCCAAAACCAGAAACAGCCCATGCCATGCCATGCCATGGAAAAACACTCAACAATAAAAAGGAATCAACTATTCATATATGCAAAAGTGTGGATGAATCTCAAAATAATTATGCTAAGTGAAAGACGTGAGGCAGAAGAAAGTAGATACTGTATGGCTCCACTTATATAAAATCTAAAATATGCAAACTAATATACAGTGACAGAAGCAGATTGGTGGTTAGCTGGGGATTGGGGGTGGGGGGCAGGGAACAGCATGTGGGAGGGATTATAAAGCAGCATGAAGAAACTTTTGGGGGAAATGGGCAAAATCATTATGTCGATGTGGTGAAGGTTTCACAGGTTTGTTGTTTGTTTGTTTGTTTGTTTGTTTGTTTGTTTGTTTTGAGACGGAGTCTCGCTCTGTCGCCCAGGCTACAGTGCACTGGCGCGATCTTGGCTCACTGCAAGCTCCTCCTTTCCGGGTTCATGCCATTCTCCTGCCTCAGCCTCCCGAGTAGCTGGGACTACAGGCGCCCGCCACCACGCCCGGCTAATTTTTTGTATTTTTAGTGGAGACAGGGGTTTCACCGTGTTAGCCAGGATGGTCTCGATCTCCTGACCTTGTAATACGCCCGCCTCGGCCCCCCAAAATGCTGGGATTACAGGCGTGAGCCACCGCGCCCAGCCGGTTTCACAGGTATTTATGTATATCAATAGTTTTTTTTTGAGACGGAGTCTCGCTCTATTCCCAGGCTGGAGTGCAATGGCGCTGTCTTGACTCACTGCAACCTCCGCCTCCTGGGTTCAAGCAATTCTACTGCCTCAGCCTCCCGAGTAGCTGGGACTACAGTCGTGTGCCACCACACTTGGCTAATTTTTTTTTTTTTTTTTTGGTATTTTTAGTAGAGACGGGGTTTCACGGTGTTAGCCAAAATGGTCTCGATCTCCTGAGCTCATGATCCGCCCGCCCCAGCCTCCCAAAGTTCTGGGATTACAGGCGTGAGCCACCGCGCCCAGCCAGTATCAATACTTGTATACTTTTTTTTTTTTTTTGAGGCGGAGTCTTGCTCTGTCACCCAGGCTGGAGTGCGGTGGCGCAATCTTGGCTCACTGCAAGCTCTGCCTCCCGGGTTCACGCCATTCTCCTGCCTCAGCCTCCCGAGTGGGTGGGACTACAGGCGCCCGCCACCACGCCCGGCTAATTTTTTGTATTTTTAGTAGAGACGGGGTTTCGCCGTGTTAGCGAGAATGGTCTCGATCTCCCGACCTCGTGATCCGCCCGCCTCGCCTCCAAAGTGCTGGGATTACAGGTATGAGCCACCGCTCCCGGCTCGATACTTGCATACTTTTAAAATGTACATTTTGGCTGGGCGCGGTGGCTCACTTCTGTAATCCTAGCACTTTGCGAGGCCGAGGCGGGAGGATCACCTGAGGTCAGGAGTTCAAGACCAGCCTGGCCAACATGGTGAAACCCTGTCTCTACTAAAATACAAAAATCAACCGGGCATGACGGCGGGTGCCTGTTGTCTAGTCTCAGCTGCTCGGGAGGCTGAGGCAGGAGAATTGCTTGAGCCTGGGAGGCGGAGGTTGCAGTGATCCGAGGTGGTGCCATTGCACTCCAGCCTGGGTGTCAGAGCGAGACTCCATCTCAAAAAAAAAAAAAGTGTATTTTGGGCCAGGCGTGGTGGCTCAAGCCTGTAATCTTAGCACTCTGGGAGGCTGAGGCAGGCAGATTGCTTTAGCTCAGGAGTCCAAGACCAGCCTGGGCAACATGGTGAAACCCCATTTATACAAAAAATACAAAAATTAGCCAGACGTGCTGGTGTGTGTGCCTGTAGTCTCAGCTACTTGGGAGGCTGAGGTGGGAGGATGGCTTGAGCCCCGGAGGCAGAGGTTGCATACATTTTATGGTATGCTAACTGTACCTCAATAAAGCTGTTAAAAGCAAACACTGTGTTATTGTTGCTAGTTGCCAGAAGTTGGAACAGGAGAAAGTCTGTGTGAGGAGTGGGAATTTATCGATATTTAGCACTCTTTTTTTCTGTGAGGCAGAGTCTTGCTCTGTCACCCAGGCTGGAGTGCATTGGCACCATCTCGGCTCACTGCAACCTCTGCCTTTCGGGCTCAAGTGATTCTCTTGCCTCAGCCTCCTGAGTAGCTGGGACTCCAGGCAGGAGCCACCACACCCGGCTAATTTTTTGTATTTTTAGTAGAGACCGGGTTTCACCATATTGGCCAGTTGGTCTTGAAATCCTGAGCTCAAGTGATCCACCTGCCTCTGCCTCCCAAGATGCTAGGATTACAGGCATGAGCTACTTACCACACCTGGCCAAGCACTCTGTTTTTTTGTTTTTGTTTTTGTTTTTTAAAAGAATATATAAAATGGGCTGGACGCAGTGGCTCACGCCTGTAATCTCAGCACTTTGGAGTGGGGGTGGGTCACAAGGTCAGGAGATCAAGACCATACTGGCTAACATGGTGAAACCCTGTCCCTACTAAAAATACAAAAACAATTAGCCAGGCTTGGTGGCCGGTGCCTGTAGTCCCAGCTACTTGGGAAGCTGAGGCAGGAGAATCACTTGAACCCAGGAGATGGAGGTTGCAGTGAGCCAAGATCGCGCCACTGCACTCAGCCTGAACAATAGCATGATAGTCTGCCTCAAAAAAAAAAATCTATTTATCTATCTATCTATCTACCTATCTACCTATAGAGAGAGAGAGACAGAGGTCTTACTATGTTGCCCAGACTGGTCTTGAACTCCAGGACTCAAGCGATCCTCCTGTCTTGGCCTCCAAAGTGCTGGGATTACAGGAGTGAGCCACTGTGCCTGGCTAACACTCTTTTTTTTTTTTTTTTTTTTTTTTTTTTAGAGATAGAGTCCCTCTGTCACCAGACTGGAATGTAGTGGCACAATCTATAGCTCACTGTAACCTCAAATTCCTGGTCTCAAGGGACCTTCCCGAGTAGCTGGGACTGCAAGTGCATACCACCACTTCCTGGCTAATTTTTAAATTTTTTCTAGAGACAGGGTCTTGCTTTGTTGCCTGGGATGGTCTCAAACTCCTGGGCTCAAGTGAGCCTCTCACCTTGACCTCCTAAAGTGCTGGGATTACAGGCATGAGCCACTGTGACCAGTTTAGCTTTCCTTAAACATAGGAAAGAACCCCCCCTTAATCAATTTCATCAAACATGACTGATTTTTGTTTGTTTGTTTGTTTTTGAGACAGGGTCTCGCTATGTCACCCATGCTGAGTGGGGTGCAGTAGTGCAAGCATGGTGCTCACTGCAGTCTCCTGGGTTCAGGGGATCCTCTGGCCTCCCAAGGAGCTGGGACTACAGGTTTGAGCTAACATGCCTGGCTAATTTTTTTATTTTTAGTAGACAGGAGGTCTCCTTATGTTGGCCAAGCTGGTCTAGAACTCCTGGGCTCAAGAGATCCTCCTGCCTTGGCCTCCCAAAGCATTGGGATTACAGGCATGAATCGCTGTGCCTGGCCTGATTTTGTTGTACTGCGAGAGAATAAAATGCAGTATAACCTTAATTGTTTGGGGGTCTATTAGATTCTTATGTATTTATTTATTTATTTATTTTTCTAAAAATATAGATGGGGTCTCACTATGTTGACCAGGCTGGTCTCTAACTCCTGGCCTCAAGGGATCCTCCCATCTCAGCTTCCCAAAGTGTTGGGATTACAGGCATAAGCCACCGCACCCGGCTGACATTATGTAAACACTCTTTCTATTCTCCTTGAATTTCTCCTAATTTCTCCTTGAAGTGTACAGGGAAAATAAAAGGAGCTAGAATTCAAAGCCATCTAAATTCTATCTGGCTAATAGCTGTTTGATAAAACCTCCATAGGGAACAAATGAAAACTTTTTTTTTTTTTGAGATAGAGTTTCGCTTTTGTTGCCCAGGCTGGAGTGCAATGGTGCAATCTTGGCTCACCACAACCTCCACCTCCCTGGTTCAAGCAATTCTCCTACCTCAGCCTCCTGAGTAGCTGGGATTACAGGCAAGTGCAATCATGCCCAGCTAACTTTTTGTATTTTTAGTAGAAACGGTGGTTTCTCCATGTTGGTCAGGCTGGTCTTGAACTCCCGACCTCAGTGATCCGCCCGCCTCGGCCTCCCAAAGTGCTGGGATTACAGGCGTGAGCCACCATGCCCGGCTTGATTTATTTCTTAAATGGCTTTATTAAACCTGATATAAAGAGATTAATGTCAAATTGGAGCTTGTTATATCCACAGTCGGTGTCAGGTGAAATTGTCATTTGAAGTCAAAGCTACCCTAAATACAGTCAAATATCATGAAAGTGATTTCTAAAATAAACAAAAATGTACTTGGTCACAGAAAGTTTAAAAAGAAAATTGCAGTCTGTAAACTTCAGATTCACTACCTACCTCTCTGGCTCGATGGAGCTGTGCGCGCTCAATCCTAGAGATGATATCCTTTACTGAGAATGGGATCTCAAGGTTAGGGAGCATCAAAGGACTAAGGATATTTTGGGGCTCTCTTCTCATGATGGTGGAATCCTTGATGCATTTTTCTGATTCAGGGTCATTGTCTATCTCATTTTTCATTTTGAAGAACATTTTGAAAATGTGGGTGATTTCGTTTTATTTCTTCTTTTTCACAGAATCTACAAAAATGCTAATAAAGATATCCAGTAGGAAGCTAGGAGAGGTCTTTCCTGATCCTAGAAGTTGTGGCATACTCTGCTACTAATTGGTGGCTCCCATGATATTCCCGTCCTGTTGATGTCACAATAGACCCATTGTGACATTATCATTGATCAAACATGTAAAGAATGCTTACTATGTGCAGAGAACTGGTCATTCTATATGCTGCCATGGTAGAAGGGTGAGGGGGGAAGGAGGGTAGGAAATAATAGACAACAGGAATGCTAAAATAAACAGAAGATATAGCCCTGCTTAAATAAGCTTAAAATCTAGATGTGTTGGCCGGGTGCAGTGGCTCATGCCTGTAATCCCAGCACTTTGGGAGGCCGAGGCAGGTGGATCACCAGAGGTCGGAGTTCGAGACCAGCCTGACCAACATGGAGAAACCCCGTCTCTACTAAAAAAAAAAAAATACAAAATTAGCCATGTGAGGTGGCACATGCGTGTAGTCCCAGCTACTTGGGAGGCTGAGGCAGGAGAATCACTTGAACCCGGGAGGCGGAGGTTGTGGTGAGCCGAGATCACGTCATTGCACTCCAGCCTGGGCAACAAGAGTGAAACTGTCTCAAAAAAAAAAAAAAAAAAATCTAGGTGTGTCAAATATAACTCCTGGTTCTTCTCTCTTCCTGGGGTTTTGCTTAAGTATTTTTAAGCCTGTAATGGAATAAAGGTTACAACTACTTCCTCAGCTGCCCCTTAACTTTTCCTAGACATGTAGTAACTTGGATGATATCATTTGGATGAAGTAACTTGGATGATATCATTTGGATGAGGATCACACTCTTTGCACTGCTTACTCTTTTTTCTTTTCTTTTCTTTTCTTTCCCTTTTTTTTGGAGACAGAGTCTCACTTTGTTACCCAGGCTGGAGTGCAGTGGTGTGATCTTGGTTCATGGCAACCTCTGCCTCCCAGGTTCAAGAGATTCTTGTGCCTCAGCCTCCCTGAGTAGCTGGAATTACAGGTGCGCGCCACCACGCCTGGCTAATTTTTGTTTAATATTTGCTTCCAATTTTTTTAATAATAAAAAAGCATTACAGAAGGTTGAAGTCCTCTTTGATGTCCCCCACCCCTGGTTCCTTCCTTCCCCACTGTCCCATTCCAGAGGAAATGACAATCATGAATTTTACATATTTGTGTTATCTATTTTTACATAGTTTTACTACAGGTGTATGTATTGTTTTTTCTTTCTTTCTTTCTTTCTCCTTCCTTCCTTCCTTCCTTCCTTCCTTCCTTCCTTCCTTCCTTCCTTCCTTTCTTTCTTTCTTTTTTTTTTTTTGAGGCAGAGTCTCACTCTGTTGTCCAGGCTGGAGTGTAGTAGTGCCATCTCAGCAGACTGTAACCTCTGCCTCCCAGGTTCAAACGATTCTTCTACCTCAGCCTCCCGAGTAGCTGGGATTACAGGCATGCGCCACCACACCTGGCTAATTTTTTTTTTTTTTTTTTTTGAGACGGAATCTCGCCTGTGGCCCAGGCTGGAGTGCAGTGGCATGATCTCGGCTCACTGCAAGCTCCGCCTCCCAGGTTTGCTCCATTCTCCTGCCTCAGCCTCCCGAGTAGCTGGGACTACAGGCGCCCGCCACCACACCCGGCTAGTTTTTTGTATTTTTTAGTAGAGACGGGGTTTCACCATGTTAGCCAGGATGGTCTCGATCTCCTGACCTCGTGATCTGCATGCCTTGGCCTCCCAAAGTGCTGAGATTACAGGTGTGAGCCACTGCACTCGGCCTACACCTGGCTAATTTTTTATATTTTTGGTAGATATAGGGTTTCACTGTGTTGGCCAGGCTGGTCTCAAACTCCTCAAGTGATTCACTCACCTCGGCCTCCCAAAGTTTAGTTGTCAACTAAACTAAATTTGCATTATTCTTTCTCTCTCACTTGCATCTTTTATGCAGCATGGAATTCATCAATCAGCAACTAGACATGAAGGCTTTTCTTTGAGACAAAATCTCACTCTGTCACCCAGGCTGGAGTGCAGAGGCACGATCTAGGCTCACTGCAAGCTCCGCCTCCCAGGTTCACGCCATTCTCCTGCCTCAGCCTCCCAAGTAGCTGGGACTACAGGCGCCCACCACCACGCCCGGCTAATTTTTTGTATTTTTAGTAGAGAAAGAGTTTCACCGTGTTTGCCAGGACAGTCTCGATCTCCTGACCTCGTGGCCTCCCAAAGTGCTGGGATTACAGCCATGAGCCACCACGCCTGGCCATGAAGGCTTCTTAAAGTCAATTTTTAAATCCTGCTTCCCTTTCAATTCGACAAGCATTTGTTGAAACACTATGCAGCTTACATTATCCTAAACTGAAGAATATATGATAGGGTTCCTGTGAAGAAACTAAAACAAAAAAGAAAAGATTTAAGATAGAATATAATAATCAAGTGCTAATAAGGGACACGAAGAAGAGATCTGTAGAAGCAGAATCTTTGAGAAAACCTTATGGAGAGAGAAGGTTGATTGACAAATGGAGGCAATCCAGGTAGGGGCAACACCTTGAGCCATGGCTTTGGCGGTGAGTGCTAATGAGTTTGCATCTTAGGGGGAAAGTAAGGAGATTGGTTTAATCACTGAGATGACTTCACGGGAATTTACTGAGGACCACATTAGGGTGGGCCTGAGATAACAGATATCAGCAATTTGGTGGTGGAATTAATTTGGTATCTGAGGAGATTCCATTTGCGGCAAAGCAAGGAGGATTTCATGAGATCAGAATGGCAAAGTCTTGAAATCAAGTAACAGTGGTTTGGTGAAAATGAAACCTTCACTTTGGGAAGATTTTTTAAATAATAGAATGGAAAAATCCATTGGAAAAGATCAAGACATGATTATTTCATTTTTATTTATTATTATTATTTTTTAGAGACAGAGTCACACTCTGTCACCCAGGCTTGAGTGCAGTGGCGTGATCTTGGCTCACTGCAACCTCTGCCTCCCAGGTTCTAGCAATTCTCCTGCCTCAGCCTCCCACGTAGCTGGGACTACAGGCACACACTGCCATGCCTGGCTAATTTTTTGTATTTTACTAGAGATGGCATTTCACCATGTTGCCCAGGCTGGTCTTGAACTCCTGAGCTAAGGCAATCCACCCGCCTCGGCCTCCCAAAGTGCTAGAATTACAGGCGTGAGCCACGGTGTCCGGCCAATTTTTATTCGTTACTATTATTATTACTATATTTGAGACAGAGTCTCACTCTGTCACCCAGGCTGGAGTGCAGTGGCGCGATGTTGGCTCACTATTAACTCCACCTCCTGGGTTTAAGCGATTCGCCTGCCTCAGCCTCCCGAGTAGCTGGGATTACAGGTGTGCACCACCACACTTGGCTAATTTTTGTATTTTTAGTAGAGATGGGGTTTTACCATGTTGGCCAGGCTGGTCTTGAACTCCCGACCGCAAGTGATCCGCCCGCCTCAGCTTTCCAAATTGCTGGGATTATAGGCGTGAGCCACCCTTCCCAGCCAAGACATGATTATTTCAAAAGATGAGTGTTTGAACTAGGACATACAAGTGGGAGCGATCTATCCTACTACATATTGCTAAAGACAATAAGGAATTTGGACCATCTAACAAAAATTATAGATAATTTTAAAAATTTTGTTTTTATTGTATTTCGTTTGAATTAATGACAGAACGTCAAAGAAGACACTGTCCAGATTAAGTGTTATTACTGGTATATTAAGCGGTGACATGGGTAATTAATTCAAATGAGCCTGGGGCAAAGTTCTTTAAAGGGAAACCCGACCTCCTAGAGGGCTTCTTCAACTGTAAAATGGGGATGATAATAATAGTGTTTATTGCATAGAATTGTTTTAAGATCAATTAACATAAAATGCTTAGTATAGTGCCAAACACAATGTAAGCATTTAATATACATTAGCTGCTATTAACATATTTGCTAGTATCATAGTTTTTTGTTTTTTTTTTCTTGTCTACTTTTCTTCTGTGAGCCACCACTTTTCGGCAGGGTTGGTTTGTTCAGTACACTTCGCCAAGGTCGGCTTTAAAAATCAAATCTAGATTGTGAACTATGAAAACTGCGGAATTATCAGTGCTGTGTAGCTATCTGACAAGTGATAAAATGTGTCATTACGATTTTTACACATCCCCGTGCCACAGAATGGCGTCTCCTTCTAATCGTTCCCCCCGACAGATGATAGTACATCCCACACTGCTGCTGGAAAAGATAGTGCAAAAGTTGAGCGCGCCGAGGGCTCTCTTTTCTCCCGGAAACAATTTTTCCCTAGACCCGGAAGCAGTTGTTGTTTCAAGGGAGGTGGGACTGGGCGGGTCAGGCCGCAGCGGCTGACGGCAGGGGAGGAGCCGGGTCCACTGCCGGGTGGAGGGGCAAGGCGAGTGTGTGTCCTTATCCTAGCAATTGGGGCGCGGGCCTGTGAGCCAGTTGGAGTTGCGGCGGCGGGAACGATTGGGCTGAGCAGAGGACGACATGTTGCTTTTCGTGGAGGTGAGTGCATTATGCTAGTCTCGTCCTGCTCTTAGGAGAGCAGGAGTGTAGAGGCGCCGGCCGGTCCCACCGCCATGTGACTTTCCGGGCCGTACACGCCGCGGAACCGGCAGATAGGCTGACACAGCACCTGGGCCGAGCAGGCCTGCAGCTTCCCTCTGCGCGCTCACAACACTCTAGGAAGCTATGGGAGGTGAGGCCCGTAGTGGAGAAGAATTGAAGGAGAAAAACGGAGGGCTGTTCTGGTGTGGCGGTGAGGTTCAGAGGAAGGGGAAAGTGTCCCATATGGACCTCCTAAAGGAGGCAGCATTGGGGGGTTGGGGGGCGGAGTCTGAGGGAGGAGAGGGTAATCAGGTGGGCGCGTTCCGGGGGCCGAGCGCGGCCTCGCGGGGCCCCTCTGGGAGGGAGGCGAGCAACATGTGGGGCCACGGATGGAGAAAGGTGAAATGCGGTAAGTATTTTGAAAAGAAAATTGAAAAGTTCTTTTGAGCAACTTCCACCAAATTCTGCCCGGGCCCCGTCCCTAGGTCTCTGGAACGTTCTGTGGGTGAAAGCGAGTTACTTTGAATCGAGGAGAAGCCAGTAGGGTTTGGAAGCCTTGAAAGGCACCGCTTTGACCTTTTGTAAAAGTTACTCAAGCAGCAGCTGCGTGATGAAGGGTTGGTTCTATGAACCGATTAAAAGCCCTTTACAAGGAAAATTCCAAGAATGAGGGAAACTTATTCCGGGAAAAGCCGTTTTTTGTAATGTTATTTGAACAATGAGACACTTTTATTACTTAAACTAGAACGTCTGCTGTTGGCCTATTTTAGTTTTCAAGATAGAGTTGGATACCTGCCTTACAGAAATACGAAATTTAATTTCCCTTAATTCTGTCCTCTTGTGTGCAGTGAGCGTCAGCTGACTGCCTGGCTAATGCTTTGAGTAGATTCCAGATCATATTGTTCTTACATTGTGAAAACGTCAAACCAGCAAAGCTGCAACTTCGCAACTTGGCATTTGTTAACTATGCCCATAAGAAGAATCTTTTCAATGAGGGAAGGAATTTACGGGTTGTATAATGAATCTAGGAGCCGGGGCCAGCCTATGGCAGATTTTTTTTTCCGGGTTGTGGGAAAATCTTACTCCGTAATATTCCAGCATAAAGTAAATAAATGATTTTACGGTTTTTTTTTCTCTTTAAACTAACTGATATTGTGTCGCCGATAAGCTTGATATCTTTAAATTAGTTTTTTAAAAGACTGCTACATTAGAGTGTATCTAACATTCATAATAAACATTCATTGGAACATTCCGGGGAAATCATGAAAAGACTTAAAATTACTGAACTCATTCTGTTTACTGTTTTCTGTCCTCATTGTTGTTTTCCTTAGGCAGAATAAGAAATCAGATAAGATTTTAAGCCAGTGCCAGCCAGTTTTTTTAAGGAATGTTATGCTATGTAAATACCACAGGTTTTAAGTGTGTGTTTTGCTGGGCAGAAGAAAGATTGTGAAGTTTATATTGACAGGAACTCCACAATATACTTTTGACTTCCAAATTGATTCCTTTGGCTTTATTAAAATGTAAGTTTTAATAACAGCTCCATTTATTGTTTAAACTAGGTCTTCTCCTGTCTCTAAAGCGATACTTAATATGTTTTACAGATGACAAAACCGAGCCCCAGAGGTTAAAGTAACTTTACTTAGTAAAAGTAAAGTAGTTTAACTGGGATTTAGATCCAGGTCATGCTGATGTCAAATCATGGACGGGATGTTAGCAATTCAGGCCTGTCCGACTCCCCAGGTTAGACAAATTCTATCGTATCTCTCGCCAAACTAGTGTTTAAAAGTTGTATCTCCATTAATCATTTTCTTTGTGAGTCACTATGTCATTCTTCATTTTCTCATATGAGTTTTATTGAAAATTAACTGTCTTTAAATATTTGGGGCTGAATATGTGGTATTAAAATCAGTGAAAAACAACATGTTGGTCGTTTGGCGTTTTGTTAACTAATATTTGATCCCTGTAACCTCATGATAGAGGAATTATTCTCAGTGAGAGAACCAAAGCTCAGAAGTTAGATGTCTAAGGTCATTCAAGTGTAAATAATGTGGGGGCTAAAGTCTGAAGTCTGACTTCTAGAACATAAATTTCTGGCTTCAAAATTATTTTTGTACTTTCCCATAAGTCAAAGGTTCTTAATCTAGGTTTTTGGATAGAATTGAGGAAGTAAGTACCTAAGCTTGGTTGAGGAAAAAAATTTGCGTGTTTATTTTCTCTAGCTTCTAACTGAAATCTAAATGGAAAAGAAGTGAAAATTCTTTAAATGTTAATGGCAGCAACAGTGTATGTGACCTTGTCACCAAGACAAATCACTTTTTTACATGTATTACAGCTTTTGCAGTTATCTTGAAATATTTATGCTCATTACTTGCTATATGTCAAAAATATTGTTAACGTATTGCTATATTAGACATTTTAAAATATTTTGATAACTGCGTTTCAATATAATTGGTTTACTTTGTGATCCTATATATTTTAGAAATGTAAAAAAACGGAGAAGAGATCCATAGATTAATTGGACTACTAAAGAGGTCTGTGTCACAGAAGAGGTTAAGAACTGCTTTACTAAACCAACTTGCTTGTGGATCATCTTTGGCAGGGTTAATCTGGGATCCCTGGGTCCTCTGCAGTTGTGTTCAATACCTTTTACTTATGTGTATTTTTCTGGAGAGATTCCAGCTTAACTATCCCACTAGAATCAGTAGGATAGATAATAGCAATATAACAATAACAACAGTAGTAGTATATACTTGTATCGTGCTTTGTGTCAGGAACGTTTGATGTTTTTGCATATATAGATATCTGTACATCTTAAGTCTCAATATCTCTATGAGGTGTTAGTATCCCCATTTTAGTGATAAGTAAGGCAGCTGGGCGCAGTGGCTCATGCCTGTAATCCCAGCACTTTGGGAGGCTGAGGTGGGTGGCAAATCACCTGAGGTCAGGAGTTTGAGATCAGCCTGGCCAACATGGTGAAACCCCATCTCTACTAAAAATACAAAAATTAGCCAGAGGTGGTGGCACACACCTGTAATCCTAGCTACTCGGGAGGCTAAGGTAGGAGAATCGCTTGAACCTGGGAGGCAGAGGTTGCAGTGAGCTGAGATGGCACCACTACACTCCAGCCTGGACAACAGAGTGAGACTCTGTCTCAAAAAAAAGAAACTAAGGCACATATAATTTAAACTTGCCTAAGTTTATACAGCTAGTGAACATGGAAGCTTGTATTAGAACTCATCAACCACCTACTTGTATTGGAGTAGAATATATTGCAGACAAGGAATCAATCCTATGTAAATAATACTTAGATGCAACTTTTTAAAACCTGGCCTTGGGCCCAATGTGGTGGCATGTACCTGTAGTCCCAGCTACTAGGGAGGCAGAGGCAGGAGTTTCGCTTGAGTATGGGAGGTCAAGGCTGGAATGAGCCGTGATTGTGCCACTGCATTCCAGGCCGGGTGACAGAGCAAGACCAACTATATTGACTTCAGTAGATTATTGGTTTGTTTTATTTTTTTCCTCTTGAGACCGAGTCTCGCTCTGAGACCGAGGCTAGAGGGTGGCGCAGTCTCAGCTCACTGCAACCTCCGCCTCCTGGGTTCAAGCAGTTTTTTTTTTTTTTTTTTTTTTTTGAGACGGAGTTTCCACTCTTGTTGCCCAGGCTGGAGTGCAGTGGCGCCATCTCGGCTCACTGCAACCTCCACCTCCTGGGTTCAAGTGATTCTCCTGCCTCAGCCTCCCGAGTAGCTGGGACTGTAGGCGCATGCCACCACGCCCAACTAATTTTTGTATTTTTAGTAGAGATGGGGTTTCACCATGTTGGCCAGGATGGTCTCGGTCTCTTGACCTCATGATTCGCCCACCTCGGGCTCCCAAAGTGTTGGAATTACAGGCGTGAGCCACCACACCTGGCGGGTTCAAGCAGTTCTGCCTCAGCCTCCCTAGTAGCTGGGACTTCAGGCATGTGCCACCATGCCTGGCCTTTTTTTTTTTTTTCCTGATTTTTAGTAGACACGGGTTTCACGATGTTGGCCAGGCTGGTCTCGAACTGCTGACCTCAAGTGATCCGCCCGCCTTGGCCTCCTAAAGTGCTGGGATTATAGGCGTGAGCCACCGCGCCTGGCAGATTTTTTTTCCACCTCTGTTCTGAAGGAGAAACAAACAATGTCCCTCTCTGGAAAGAGGTAAAAGTTTGGATGATTCACAAAGTCATCAAACATGACCTGCCATGAATTCTTTTACAACAAATTGTTTGTAAGTTTGAAACTGCAGTGTACTACCTTCATCTGAATGCTATCAAGTTACTTAAAACTTGTGAGCCCTAAGGAGGCAGATAGTAATTTAAAAAAATTTTTTCATTTCTCTCTTTTATTTACAGTTTTTTTTTTAATTTTTAATTTTTTGAGACACAGTCTCGTTTGCTGCAGCCTCCACCTCCCCAGCTCAAGTGATCCTCCCACCTCAGTCTCCAAAGTAGCTGGGACTATAGACATGTACCACCATGCCTGGCTAATTTTTTTCTTTTTTGGTATTTTTTGTAGAGACAGGGTTTTGCTTTTTTGCTCAAGCTGAAATTTTTGTTTAAATAAAAAAAATTAAAACTAGAGACTGGGAAGGGTGGGTATGCAGTGACTACTGAAATTGGGTTTCTGTCTCTGTTTGAGTTTTTCCCTGAAAATGAAGACAGTTGTCCCTCAGTATTTGTGGGAAATTGGTTCCAGGACCCTCTGTAGATGCCAAAAACCTTGGATGCTCAAGTCTTACATAAAAAGGCATAGTATTTGCGTAGCACCTATGCACATCTTTGTGTATATGTTAAATAATCTCTAGATTATTTATAATACCTATTAAAATGTAAATGCTTTATAAATAGTTGCTATACTGTATTATTTATAGAGTGATAAGAAAAAAGTCTCTACATTGTCAGTACAGATGCAATGATTTTTTTTTCTGAGTATTTTTGATTTGTGATTGATTGCTCCACTGATACAGAACCTATGGATATGGAATTCATGGATATGGAGGGCCAACTGTACTTACTTACTTAGGTAGCAGTTAAGTTTCATACGACCTAGGACGCTTTAATAACTCTTAAATAATTAAAACATATTTTAGGTTGGGTAACGTGTCTCATGCCTGTAATCTCAACACTTTGGGAGGCCGAGGTGGGAGGATAGCTTGAGCCCAGTAGTTCAAGACCAGCCTGGGCAACAAAGTTAGACACCCCCCACCCCCACCCCCAACCTCTACAAACAAATTTAAAAAATTAGCCAGGCCTGGTGGCATGTGTTGTGGTCCCAGCTACACTTGAGGTGGGAGGATCACTTGAGCCAGGAGATCGAGGCTGCAGTGAACCATGTTCATGACACTGCACTCCAGCCTGGATGACAGAGTGAGACCCTGCCTCAAAAAATTTTTTTAAATTATTATTTTATTATTTTTTAAGAGACAGGGTCTCACTGTGTTGTCCAGGCTGGAGTACAGTGGCTATTCACAGGTACAGTCATGGCACACCATAGCCTCAAATTCCTGGGCTCAAGCAATCTGGCCTCAGCCTCCTGAGTAGCTGGGACTACAGGCTCATGCCACCAGTTAAAAATATTTTTAATTGTGAAATACATATAACTTAAAAAGTATCATCTAACAGTTTTTTGTTTTTTTGAGAGAGAATCTTGCTCTGTTGCCCAGGCTGGAGTGCAGTTGCATGATCTCGGCTCACTGCAATGTCTGCCTCCTGGGTTCAAGTGATTCTCTCACCTCAACCTCCCCAGTATAGCTGGGACTACAGACGTACGCCACCATGCTGGCTAATTTTTGTATTTTTAGTAGAGACGAGGTTTCGCCATGTTGGCCAAGCTGGTCTCAAACTCCTAACCTCAGATCTACCTGCCTCAGCCTCCCAAAGTGCTGGGATTGCAGGCTTGAGCCACCGCGCCCAGCCCATCTTAACAGTTTTTTTGTTTGTTTTTTGAGATGGAATCTTGCTCTGTCGCCCAGGCTGGAGTACAGTGGCATGATCTCGGCTCACTGCAACCTCCGCCTCCTGGGTTCAAGCGATTCTTCTGCCTCAGCCTCCTGAGTAGCTGGGACTACAGGCGCGTACCACCACGCCTAGCTATTTTTTGTATTTTTAGTAGAGACGGAGTTTCACCATATTGGTCAGGCTGGTCTCGAACTCCTGACCTTGTGATCCACCCTCCTCGGCCTCCCAAAGTGCTGGGATTACGGGCGTGAGCCACTGCGTCTGGCCGAAGCTTTGTTTTCTTTAAGGTTTAAACTAATTTAAGAGAAGTATAACTTCTAAGTTTTCATCTCAGCCTTGTTACTAACATACTCTGATTTAGGGCAAGTCAAACAATTTATAATTATTTAAAGTTTTTTTTATAGTTGGAGAGTATACTTTTGGTTGGGCAAATAAAAGTTTTAAAAGAGGAATGAAGATGGCAGTATGTTAAAATACACATTTACTTGCAGCATTTAAAGGAGTACAGCTGGGCGGGGTGACTCATGCCTGTAATCCCAGAATTTTGGGAGGCCGAGGCAAGTGGATCACTTGAGGCCAGGAGTTTGAGACCAGCCTGGCCAACATGGCGAAACCCCATGTCTACTAAAAATAAAAATATTATCTGGGCATGTGCCTGTAGTCCTAGCTACTTGGGAGGCTGAGGCACACCTTGAAGCAGAGGTTGCAGTGAGCCGAGATCATGTCACTGCACTCCAGCCTGGGTGACAGTGAGACTGTCTCAAAAAAAGGAAAATTAATTAAAGGAATACAAATGTTAAAATGCAAATAGGCACTTTGCACTTACTCTTTTGAAAAAAATTATAATGTAAAAGTGTAAGTAAATGTAAGAAAAAGAAACATCTAAGTATGTACTCATCTTTCCTGTCTTACCTGTGTCCTTGTCCCACCACTTGAACCAATCTTTGGTTCACAGAATATCTCTACTGTTTTTAAATGACGGGCTCTAAACCAAAGACAGAAGAGTGCTTTAGATGAATATTATTAGGGGTAGGATGTGAACTGCATTCATAAATGCCAAACTCCAGGGATGAGTTGAGTTAAGTTCTATTGGGTTTGTATGTACTGAGAGAAGAGAAAAGGATTTTCTGCTTTTTTTTTTTTTTTTTTTTTTTTTTCCAGCTGGAGTTTCTCTCTTGTTGCCCAGGCTGGAGTGCAATGGTGTGATCTCAGCTCACTGCAACCTCCGCCTCCCGGGTTCAAGTGATTCTCTTACCTCAGCCTTCCTGAGTAGCTGGGATTACAAGCATGCACCACCATGCTGGCTAATTTTGTATTTTTAGTAGAGACAGGGATTCTCCATGTTGGTCAGGCTGGTCTCGAACTCCCAACCTCAGGTGATCCGCCCTCCTCGGCCTCCCAAAGTGCTGGGACTACAGGCATGAGCCACCGCACCCGGCGAGAAAAGGATTTCTCGTCAGGGTAGAAAAGTCTGCAGTAATGCAGGGTAGAAAAGTCTGCAGTAATGCAGGGTTTGTGTAACAAATAGTTCGATAGTATTTCATACTACTGACTAGCAGGTAAGATGATCTTACCTGCTATTTTGCCCTGGAAGGTCACAGCATACAAATATTTTCTGTGACAGATGTTTTACCCTTTTTCCTTCTCAAAAGTATTCTGGTTTGTATAATAACTTGTAAATTTTCAGAAGAGATTAGAGGTTTACTGTGTGCTTATTGGCAAGACTTTCTTTCCTGCTATACTAACAAAGTAACATAATGCACGTAAGTGGGTACTGAAATATTTGTTACATTGGGTATGGCAGGCTGGGTGGGCGTGGCTCATACCTGTAATCCCAGCACTTTGGGAGGCTGAGGTGGGAGGATTACTTGAGTTCAGGAGTTCAAGACCAGTCTGGGCAACATAGTGACACCCCATGTCTTAAAAATTTTTTTTTTAAATATATTGGCTGTGGAAAATGTAAATTTATAGGGCAGAAAGTTGCAGTTGAGCAAGATAATGAAAATAGGATTATTTTTGCCTTTTGAGTTGGAGGAAGAAAAAAAATAGGAGGGCAGTGACTGAGTAAAATTAAGATACATTTATATACAAGGTTACATAAAAGATTTTTTTTTTCTTTGACCAGCAGGCAAGAAGAAAACAATGTCTAGAAACATGGACTCTGGGGCCAGCCTGCCTGGGTCTAAATCTCTGCTGAGACTGAGCCACTTTTTGTTTAATCTCTCTGCTTCCTTATCTGTAAATTGAGGACAATAATATGGGAGGGTAATATTAATATCTATCACGTAGGGATGTTAAGAAGATTGACAGAATAAAACATTTAGAGTTGTAGGCTGGGCGTGGTGGCTCACACCTGTAATACTAGCACTTAGGGAGGCAGACAGGAGGACTGATTGAGGCCAGGAGTTCAAGACCCAACCAGGGCCAGGTGCAGTGGCTCATGCCTGTAATCCCAGCACTTTGGGAGGCCAAGGCTGGTGGATCACTTGAGGTCAGGAGTTTGAGACCAGCCTGGCCAACATGGCAAAACCCCATCTCTACCAAAAAATATACAAAAAAAATTAGGCGGGTATAGTGGCACATGCCTGTAAGGGGCTGCATAGAGGGCTGAGGCAGGAGAATGGCTTGAACCCAGGAGGTGGAGGTTGCAGTGAGCTGAGATTGTGCCACTGCACTCCAGCCTGGATGACATAGCAAGATTCTGTCTCAAAAAAAAAAAAGAAAAGAAAAAGAATTATTATTATTATTATTATTTTTTTAAGATGGCGTTTCGCTCTTATTGCCCAGGCTGGAGCGATCTTGACTCATTGCAACTTCCGCCTCCCAGGTTCAGGCGATTGATTCTCTTGCCTCAGCCTCCTGAGTAGCTGAGATTACACACAGGTACCACCATGCGTGGCTAATTTTGTATTTTTAGTAGAGACGGGGTTTCTCCATGTTGGTCAGGCTGGTCTCGAACTCCTGCTCTCAGGTGATCTGCCCACCTCAGCCTCTCAAAGTGCTGGGATTACAGGTGTGAGCCACCACGCCCGGCAAAAAAAAAAAAAAGAACTATTTTGATATTTAATATTGATGCTTGAGGTTGAGGTATATTTAAGTTCGTTTGTGTAGTTAGCCATTAGCTTTATCAGCTGACTAATTGAAGTAATGGCTTAGTATTTTGAGGATTAAATACTAAATGTTAGATACCTTTTTTTAATAGAGACAGGGTCTTGCTATGTTGGCTAGGCTGGTTTGAACTCCTGGCCTCAAACGATCCTCCCATCTTGGCCTCCCAAAGTGCTGCGATTACAGGTGTGAGGAGCCACAACACCCAGTCTGTTAGACGTCTATTAATACAGGATTCTTTATCTTTTTTTTTTTTTTTTTGAGATGGAATCTCGCTGTTGCCCAGGCTGGAGTGCAGTAGTGCAATCTCTGCTCACTGCAGTCACCACCTCCTGGGTTCACGCCATTCTCCTGCCTCAGCCTCCCAAGTAGCTGGGATTACAGGCGCCCACCACCACGCCTGGTTATTTTTTGTATTTTTAGTAGAGACAGGGTTTCATCGTGTTAGTCAGGATGGTCTCGATCTCCTGACCTCATGATCCGCCCTCCTCAGCCTCCCAAAGTGCTGGGATTACAGGCGTGAGCCACGGTACCCGGCCTAGAATTCTTTATTTTTAATGAAAATATTCATGAATCTCATGTTGAACTTTCTAGGGAGAAATTTGTAACTTTGATTATATTTTCAGAGTGATTCGTGACCCCCAAAAGGTTAAGTGCCACTAATCGATGGTGGCGTCAGGTTCTTTTGATGAATGACAGATACTGTCTGATTGAGATAGTGGGAATTTTAGGATATAAATCCTGTCTTTTCCACTGGTACTAGAGTACCAGCAATAATACTGATGATAATATTGATGAATAAACTTCAGATTTTCTTCCACAGTAGAGGGCAAGTGAATTCTGATTTTTGACAACTTCGGGAGGTTGGTGGAAACAACTTAGGGTGGTCCAGTTTCCTTGCTGTTCAAAGTGTTATCCGTAGATAGTAGTAAGCTCCTTTTAACCCAGGGGTTTGTTACAGTAGAAACTCTACCCCTGAATTACTGAATCAGTCTGCATTTTATCAAGATCCCTAGTTGATTCTTTTTTTTTTTTTTTGAAGATAGTGACTTGTTCTGTTCTCCAGGCTGAAGTGCAGTGGCGCAATCTTGGCTCACTGCAACCTCTGCCTCCCTGGTTCAAGTGACTCTCCTCTGCCTCCTAAGTAGCTGGGATTACAGGCACCTGCCTTTTTGTATTTTTAAAAATTTTTATTTATTTTTTGAGATGGATTTTTGCTCTGTTGCCTAGGCTGGAGTGCAGTGGCACAATCTCAGCTCACGGCAACCCCTGCCTCCCGGGTTCAAGTGATTTTCATGCCTCCCGAGTAGCTGTGATTACAGACGTGCACCACCAACCCCATCTAGTAGAGATGGGGTTTCACCATGTTGGCCAGGCTGGTTTTGAACTCCTAAACTCGGGTGATTCGCCTGCCTCAGCCTCCCAAAGTACTGGGATTACAGATGTGAACCACTGAGCCCAGCCTAGGGACCCTAGTTGTAATCTGGCGGCTATTTTCTATATTCATTTTTGTTTTTTCTTTTTTCTTTTTTTTGAGATGGAGTCTCGCTCTGTTGCCCAAGCTGGAGTGCAGTGGCGTGATCTCATCTCACTGTAGCCTCTGCCCCCCGAGTTCAAGTGATTCTCCTGCCTCAGCGTCCCGAGTAGCTGGGGCTACAGGCACACGCCACCATGCCCACTGAATTATTGTATTTTTAGTAGATAAACGGGGTTTCACCTTGTCGGCCAGGCTGGTCTTGAACTCCTGACCTCAGGTGATCCACCCGCCTTGGCCTCCCAAAGTGCTGGGATTATAGACCTGAGCTACTGTGCCCAGCCCCTAGACTCCTTAGGTTTAAATCCTGGTTTTGTATTAATAGCTATGTAACTTTGGGCAGATTACTTTACCTTGAAGTAAAGTAACTTTTTCCTTGTCTGTAAAATGTGGATGATAATAGGACTTAACTGAGATTGTTATGAAGATTAATTAGATGTTCCATAAATGTAATTACTATTCTCTGAATGAGTGAAGAATTCCCACTTTAATTTTCATTTTTACTTTTTGTAAAATAGCCCTAAGCATCTTCTGGTAGGATTCTGAAGTTACTTTGGAAGAAATGACAGGTGTTTTTTTTTCCCCCCCTAAGTACTTGTAACTTAGTAGTAGCCCTCTCAGTATTGGAGATGTAAAAATTGAACCTGGATGATTGATGGGGCAAAATACATTTAATCAATTTATACATTTTATTTCTGTTTTACAGCATTTATGGGGTTAAGTGGCATGGGATTTCTGTTTCTGATAGTAAATAGGTAAGTAAAACAAAAGGTTATGTATGTCCGAAGAGACGGTTTTACCATATTTATGGTGATTTTCTTCCTAACTCATGGTTCTGTTACCTTAGGTCTGTAATTTCTTAGGACAGGAGGATACCATTTTCACAAGAATTTGATGGTTCTCTTTTTCCTTTCATTTTTATCTCTCTGAAGGTAGAATTTAGCATTAAATGGGACAATAATCAGGACTGCCTTTGGCTTATTTGGGGATGACATATTGCTTAGAAATAAGGGTGGTGATTGAAGCATCAGTTTTACAGATAGTTTAGATCTTTTTGTTGAGTATCTATGTGCTTGCATACTATGTATATGTTGGCAGATAGTTTAGCATGCATTTGGACAGTTTACATCGTTTAGTAGATATTTATAAAACTGTAATCTCAAGGGCTTCTAATCCTGTGGAAGTGATCAAGATTTTGATGGCGGTCTAAACTGTGGTGAGAAGATGAATAAAACTTGGCTATTGGCTGGGCGTGGTAGCTCACACCTGTAATCCTAGCACTTTGGAGGCTGAGGCGGGCGGATCACGAGGTCAGGAGTTTGAGAACAGCATGACCAACATGGTGAAACCCCGTCTCTACTAAAAATACAAAAAATTAGCCGGACGTGGTGGTGGGCGCCTGTGATCCCAGCTACTCAGGAGGCTGAGGCAGGAGACTCCCTTGACCCCGGGAGTCAGAGGTTGCAATGAGCTGAGATCATGCCACTGCACTCCAGCCTGGGCGACAGAGTGAGACTGTGTCTCAAAAAAAAAAAAAAATTGGCTGTCTAGAGTCTAAATGAAAAGATAGATTTTATTCTAGCTAAACTGACTTAGGGGCTGCCAGCCATCAGTTAACTTATTAGCATGCAAAAAGACATCACTTTGGAGATTGTAAGGATTTTAGTTGTGTGTGGATACTATCATACACAACTGAAATACACTGTAAAATATATATTTTACAGTATCACAGATAGTGAACATTTCCCATACTTTCTAAGATTTTTTCTCCATTTTTCAAAACTTTTTAAAGATAATTCAATCTTGCCTTGTTCAGGGATACATCCTGAGGGATGTGTTACGGATTTCATTATGTGAACATCAGAAAATATTTATACAAATCTAGATGGTATACCTACAACACACCTAGGCTATATGGTATGGCTATTATAATCTTATGGGACCACTGTTGTACATGCAGTTTGTGCTTGATCAAAATGTCATTAATGCAGCACATGACTGTAATTATAGATTCATGAAGTTGCAAAACAGTGTACAAAGTGGTCCTGTGAAGTTGTTGCTCAGTTTCTCCTTGTAGTATCACCTTGCGTAACTATAGTATGGTATAATGAGCAGCAAATTAACATTGATACAGTCCACAGACCTTACTCAGATTTTTACAGTTTTCCCTAAATCTGGTTTTAAGGATCTGGTATATTCTATTTTATAGATGAACTACAGTTCACCTCTATGGTAGGATGTTTATAAAATTAGTGTGGCAAACATCCTTGTACTTACATGTTTTTATATATCTCAGTTTCTTTTGAGTAAATCTGACAAGTAGAATTTTTGGATCAAAATTGTGTATTTAAGGCTTTTAATAAACATTGCCAACTCTTCAGAAGAGTTATATAAATTATAGCAATGAACTGATTTTTCCTTTTCATGCTTATCAAAATAGTATTGAATCTGGGCCGTTGAATAGGGTAAAAATGATATTTTATGATAAACTATTCCAGTCTGTCCTTTGCACATTTTCCCTGTTCGGCAAACAATCTTGGTAATTTGTAATTCTCTTGTTTAACAGTATTGTAACCTTTCAGGTCTTTTCTGGGTTTTGTTGTTGTTGTTGTTGTGTTCTGTTGAGACGGGGTCTTGCTCTGTCATTCAGGCTGGAGTGCAGTGGCATGATCTTGGCTTACTGCAACCTCCTCCTCCCATTCTCAAGCCATCCTCTCGTCTCAGCCTCTTGGGTACCTGGAACTAGAGGTGCATGTTACCATGCCTGGCTAATTCTTGTGATTTTGTAAAGACAGGGTTTCACTGTGTTGCCCAGGCTGATCTTGAATTCCTTGGGTTAGGCGATCCCTCAGCCTCAGCCTCCAGAAGTGCTGGGATTACAGACATGCACCACTGTGCCTAGCCTATACCTATATATTTATCTGTACAGTGATTTTGTTTGTTAATAGAAATGATAATATAAAGTGCTTATTGTTTTGCAGCGTTACTTTTTTCACTGAACAATATGCATTGGAACAATTTCCATGTTGGTGAATGTAGTCCTATTTTGGTTTTCTTAAACTTTTATAGTATTCCACATTAAGAGATAGACCATATTTAACTATTCACCTATAGGTGAACATTTAGGTGGTTTTCAGTTTTTCACTTGTGGGTTCAATACTGTACTATACAACCTTTTATATGTCTTCTTGTGTGCATCAGTGGCTTTTAAAATGTATAGTCTTGGCCTGGTACAGTGGCTCACGCCTGTAATCCCAGCACTTCAGGAGGCCGAGGCAGGGAGATCATGGGGTCAGGAGTTCGAGACCAGCCTGGCCAACATTGTGAAACCCTGTGTCTACTAAACATACTTAAATTAGCCCAGCATGGTGGCGCACACCTGTAATCCCAGCTACTCAGGAGGCTGAGGCAGGAGAATCGCTTGAATCCCAGAGGTGGAGGTTGCAGTGAGCCGAGATCGTGCCATTGCATTACCAGCCTGGGCAACAGAGCAGGAGATCTGTCTCAAAAAAATAAATGAATGAATAAAATAAAATGTATAGTCTTAACTAGGCTGATGAAAGATATAAATATGCCCAGAAGTACTGCTTATCTTTATGCCATTAGAGTGTAATGTCTTTAGATCTTACACTTTGAGTATTCTTAGCACCATTAATTATCAGGGACACATCAGATTTTGGGGTAGTGTACTGCTGAAGGGAATATATTTATTAATGATTTTGATCAGTTATTAAATATTTAGTGAAATAGCGTACCCCATCAGGAGAAAAGGTTTTTGAGCATAATCCTCCGATATTTGGATATTTATAAATTAATTATATATGACATACTTTGTATGTTAAATATTAGCCTTAGTCTCATATGGTGAATATTTGTCATGTCCGAAGCCTTCCAATTTTTTGTTATATGTCTACATTTGCAAAATTGCCCATGTTATGTGTCAGGCCTCCTCAGTATGTGTACTAGTGAAAACTCAAATTCCCAGCTTCTTTTTTTTGTTTTTTTTTTTTGAGACGGGCTCACTTTGTTACCCCGGCTGGAGTGCGGTGTCACGATCTCGGCTCACTGTAACCTCCACCTCCCAGGTTCAAGCATTCCTCCTGTCTCAGCTCTCCAAGTGGCTGGGACTACAGGTATGAGCCACCATGCCCAGCTAATTCTTGTTTTTTTGTTGTTGTTTTTTTTTTTGGTAGTGATGGAGTTTTGCCATGTGGCCCGTGGTAGTCTTGAACTCCTAAGCTCAAGTGATCCACTCACCTTGGACCCCCAAAGAGTTAGGATTATAGGCGTGAGCCACCGCCCCCACCCTCCATGTTTTCTTGGATGCAGGCATGTGACCTACAGACACACTCAGATGACTTCTCTTTGAAAGTACACAATGGAAGGAAGTGAAGGTTCTGTTTATAACTTCCATTTTGCAGTTAGGAATGGCAGCAGGGTTGGTCAGCTTTAAGTGGAGGTAATAGTTGCAGATTGAGTTCCTAATAGAGAGTGGCTTTGGTGCTGGCAGTAGTAAAGGTTATAATGGATTTGAATCTTGTTATTTAGTGCCTGGTGGTGACAGGGATAGTGGTTTCCTCACCAGATCCTTGTGCAACATTATTTTGGGTGATCTTATCTTTGCATCTGTTTTTTCACCCCTCCTAGTGAGAATCAGAGCGTCTACTGCACCTTTCAGATGACCGGGTGCCGTGGCTCAACACCTATAATCCCAGCACTTGGGATGGGAGGCTAAGGTGGGTGAATCACTTAAGCTTGTGAGTTTGAGACCAGCCTGGGCCACATGGTGAAACCCCGTCTGTACTTAAAAACAAAAACAAAAACAAAAACACAACATCAGCTGGGCATGGTGGCACATGCCTGTGGTCCTAGCTACTCAAGAGGCTGAGGTGGGAGGATCCCTAGAGCCTGGGAGGCAGAGGCTGCAGTGGGCCAAGATCACACCACTGCGCTCCATCCTAGGCCGCAGAGTGAGACCCCATCTCAAAAAATAATTACCTTTCAATGTGGGCATGGTGGTGCACGCCTGTAATCCCAGCACTTTGGGAGGCTGAGGCAGGCTGATAGACTGAAATCAAGACCAGCCTGCACAACATGATGAAATCCTGTCTCTACAAAAAGTGCAAAAATTTGCCAGGTGTGGTGGCATGCAGCTGTAGCTTGGGAGCCTGAGGTGGGAGTATTGGTTGATCCTGGGAGGTTGAAGCTGCAGTGAGCTGAAGTGCTACTGCACTCCAGCCTGGGCAAAAGAGTGAGATCCTGTTTCAAAAATAAAACAAAACTCTTCTGCTTAATTTAGCCAGAGTGGATTTGAATAGTGATTGATTGTTTAAAAACTTTGATGAGATACTTTTGGTACAGCAAGCACTTTTTGCATGTATATATAGTGGCAAATATGAAAGTGTCTTGCTTTTGAAAATTGATACTTATGCCAGGTATGGTGGCTCACGCCTATAATCCCAGCACTTTGGGAGGCCGAGGTGGGTGGATAACGAGGTCAGGAGTTCAAGATCAGCCTGGCCAAGATGGTGACACTCCATGGTGATGGGCGCATGTAATCCGAGCTACTTGGGAGGCTGAGGCAGAGAATTGCTTGAACCCAGGAGACAGAGGATGCAGTGAGCCGAGATCGTGTCACTGCGCTCCAGCCTGGGTGACAGAGCAAAACTCTGTCTCAAAAAAAAAAAAGAAAAAAAAGAAAATTGCTACTTATACGTTCTTAAATAATACCTTGATACTTCTCCTGGTGGGGCTGTTTGAAAACTAGTTGTCTTCCTCCCTGAGCTAATTACGATATGAGGAAGTTGTGAATTAACATCTCTAATCCAAGATGTTGCTATAGTTATTCATGGTGCTACTTCAGAGATGCTTTAGCTCCCCTGTAAGGGCTGTTATCTTGTTACTGGTTTTGCTATTATTGTAAAAGCTTCTAGCAGCCATGAAACCAAAAGCCAAGAAGCACTGCATAGCAAGACTTCTGCTTTAATTACTTATTAATTAATAATTTATATTTTGAGATGGAGTCTCACTCTGTTACCCAGGCTGAAGTGCAGTGGCACAGTCTTGGGTCACTGTAGCCTCTTCCTCCAGGTTTAAGTGATTGTCCTGCCTCAGCCTCCCAAGTGGCTGGGACTACAGCCACATGCCAACATGCCTGGCTCATTTTTTTTTCTTGTTTTGAGACGGAGTTTCACTCCTGTTACCCAGGCTGCAGTGTAATGGCGCGATCTTGGTTCACTGCAACCTCCGCCTCCTGGATTCAAGCGATTCGCCTGCCTCAGCCTCCCAAGTACCTGGGATTACAGGCACCCACCACCACGCCCGGCTAATTTTTGTATTTTTAGTAGAGACGGGGTTTCACCACATTGGCCAGGCTGGTCTTGAACTCCTGATCTCAGGTGATCCACCCGCCTTGGCCTCCCAAAGTGTTGGAATTACAGGTGTGAGCCACTGCGCCTGGCCCAATTTTTGTGTTTTTATTAGAGAGTGTCAGTGTTTCACCATATTGGCCAGGCTGATCTTGAACTCCTGACCTCAAGTGGATCCACCAACCTTCGCCTCCCAAAGTGCTGGGATTACAGGCGTGAGCCACTGTGCCTGGCCTAGGCGTTATGTTCTTAAAAATAGAGAAGCGGAAGGATTACATAATTATTGGGTGGCAGAATAAAGTTTTTCTGTTATACCATAATTGTCTCAATTTTTGGAATTACTCTTTAATTTAGCTTTAAGAAAAAATACTGGTATTATTTCCTTGAAATATTATGAATTAGCTGTTCTGAGAATTCCTCACGGCTCTTTTCAGTCTTGACCTCCTGGACTTAAGTGATCCTCTTGCCTCAGGCTCTCAAATAGCTGGGACTGTAGGCATGTGCCAACACGCCTCGCTAATTTTTTAAGTATTTTGTAGAGACAGGGTTGTGCCACGTTGCCCAGGCTGGTCTCGAACTCCTGAGCTCAAGCGATTTGCCTGCCTCAGCCTCCCATAGTGCTGGGATTAAAGGCATGAGTCACCATGCCTGACCCATTTTGTTTTGTTTTTTGAGACAGTCCCGCTTTGTCATCCAGACTGTAGTACAATCATGTGATCTTGGCTCACTGTAGCCTCAGTCTCCCAGACTCAAGCAATCCTCCAGCCTTAGCCTCCCAGGTAACTGGAACTACAGATGTGTACCACCACCCTGGCTAAGTTTTTAATCTTTTTTGTAGAGGGGGGTGGTCTTCCTATGTTGCCAGGCTGGTCTTGAACTTGTAGTTTCAAGCAGTCCTTCCGTCTTGGCCTCTGAAAGTGCTGGGATTACAGGTGTATATATAAAGTTTTTCAATTCAACACATATAAAGTTTTTTTAAAGCAGAGATTTAAGCTGGTAAAAAAGCAAATGAGGCTGGGCATGGTGGTTCATGCCTGTAGTCCCAGCACTTTGGGAGGCTGATGCATGAGGATCACTGGAGCCCAGGCATTCAAGACCAGCCTAGGCAACATGGCAAAATCCCATCTCTGTAAAAAATACAAAAAAAATCAGCTGGGCATGGTGTCATTCACCTGTAATCCCAGGTACTTGGGAGGCTGAGAAGTTGGAGGATTGCTTCATCTTGGAGGTTGAGGCTGCAGTGAGCCTTGATGGTGCCACTGCACTTCAGCCTGGGCAACAGAGTGAGACCCTGTCTCAAAACAGGTAGGGAAAAAAAAGACTTTCCCAGAGAAAAGCACACTGACAGTTTTAGCCTTGGCTCTGGGTTGGTGCAGGAGAGGTCTTTGATGATTCTAACCACAGATCCTCTTTGATACCAGAGTATGGCTAGATTTTGCACTACCTATTATTTCCAAAAAACTCAAGTTGAAAATTTAAATCTAGTCCAGATTGGTAGTCTTCCTAGGCAGACATCTAGCAGAAGTAAAATAAATTATCTCCTTAAGAAGCCCATTTAGGCCTGTTGTGGTGAGTCATGCCTATAATCCCAGCACTTTCGGAGACCAAGGTGAGATGATCGTTTGAGGCCAGGAGTTCAAGACTGGCTAGACAACATAGCCACACCCCATCTCTACAAAAACAAAAACAACCTATCCACGTGGTGGCTCAAACCTGTAGTCCTAGCTGGTCACCAGGCTGAGGTGGGATGATTGCTTGAGCCCAGGAGTTCAAGACTGCAGTGAGCTGTGATCACGCCCCTGCGCTCCACCCTGGGCAACAAGAGTGAGACCCTGTCTAAAAAAAGCCCATTTAAACATAATCTTTAATAAAATTCTTACAAAGTTCTAAGAAAAATAGCCTTACAGTAGAAAATTATGAAGGATGTAAGTCATTAGGATCATGATTTAGCAGAAAAAACAAGTCACAAAATAAAGTCCTCAAAATTACAAATATTGGAATTATCATCAAGTGTAGACTATAAAATTAAAATGTTTGATATGCTTAAAAGAAGAAAAAAGATGATCCAGAAACAAAAAAGTTGATCAGATAGATTTGAGGAAAGAACTAAAAGAAACTTTAAGAAATGAAAAATATAAAAAGGGAGCTTAGAAACTTACTAGACAAGTTGAACAGCAAGTTAGAAACAGCTTGAGAAAAATCAGTGAACTGGAAGAACGATCGTAAGAAATTGTTCAGAATGCAACTAGAGAGACCAAAATGGAAAATAGGAAAACTTGATACATGGAACATATGATGACAAGGTAGCATATATTTTATTGGAGTTTCAGAAGAGAATAATAGAGCAGTTGTGGAGAGTGAATATTTTAAGAGAGAATGGCTGAGAATTTTACAGAATTGATGAACGATTTCAGGGAGTTCAGCAGATCCCAGTTATATCAGATAAAAAACAATTTCACACTTAGACTTTTAATGATCGTAAAACCTCATTAACAAATCAGAGAGTAAAGAGAGATTAAGAATGGCAGCTAACCTGATGGCTGATTGCTTGTTAGCCATAGTATAAACCAGAAAGTACAGGAATGTCTTTAAAGTGCCTGAAAGGGGTTATATGCCTATTGATAATTCTGTATATGGCAAGGATGGTTAAAAATGTATTTTCAGAGAAAGCACAACTTGAGAGAATTTACTAAGAAGTTCTGAATGATATCCTTTGGGTAGGCGGTAAATGATTCCGAAGAAAACTCCGAGATGCAAGAAAGAACGATGAACAAAGAAAATGGTCAACATTCATCATGTAAATTTAAGTAAATGTTGACAGGTATAAATCTAAAATAATACTATGTATTTAATATATTTGAAGGTACAGAATAACCTTTGCTTTTTTTTTTTTTTTTTGGAGAGATGAAGTCTCGCTGTGTCACCCAGGCTGGAGTGCAGTGGCGCTATCTCGGCTCACTGCAACCTCCACCTCCTGGGTTCAAGCGATTCTACTGCCTCAGCTTCCCAAGTAGCTGGGACTGCAGGTGCATGCCACCACGTCCAGCTAATTTTTGTATTTTTTAGTAGAGACGGTTTCGCTGTATGTTGGCTAGGCTGGTCTCGAACTCCTGACCTCATGATCTGCCCGCCTTGGCCTCTCAAAGTGCTTTGATTACAGGCGTGAGCCACCGTACCCAGCCGGCTTTTAACGTACTGTAATATGCTCTGGTTTGAAAAAATCAGTACTAGATGCAATAATCTTAAGTTTCATATTTTTTTATGACTCAAAGCAGCATTTTAATGGAATGCTTTAGGCTGGGTGCAGCGGCTCACACCTGTAATCCCAGCACTTTGGGAGGCCGAGGTGGGAGGATCAAGAGGTCAGGAGATCGAGACCAGCCTGGACAATATGGTGAAATCCCGTCTCTACTAAAAATACAAAAATTAGCCGGGCATGGTGGCACACGCCTGTAATCCCAGTTTCTCTTAAGGCTGAGGCAGGAGGAGAATCGCTTGAACCCTGGAGGCAGAGGTTGCAGTGAGCCAAGATCTTGCCACTGCAGCCCAGCCTGGGAGACAGCAAGACTTCATCACAAAATAAATAAATAAATAAATAAATAAATAAATAAATAAATAAATAATACTTTGTAAGTGGGGAGAACACCAATCTGGTCTGGTTACTATAGCAGGTCATGTTTCCTTCCCGCCTATAACCACATGCTTAGGTACTTCTTGCAATTGTAATAATCTGTGAGTTGTAATCATTGTGTGGTTAATCCTTTGTTTCTGGAGTCAGGCTGCCTTGGGTTTGAATCCTTCCTTCATATTTCATCTTTCTATGTCTTTAATTGGGTTTGTTATTACTCTGTACCTCTCATAATGGGATAATCTATAAAAGAGATATTAATACTTACATTGGTTGGATTTTTTTTTTTTTTTGAGATGGAGTCTTGCTTTGTCACCCAGGTTGGAGTGCAGTGGCGTGATCACTGCTTACTGCAACCTCTGCCTCCCAGGTTCAAGTGATTCTCCTGCCTCAGCCTCCTGAGTAGCTGGGACTATAGGCATCCACCCCCACGACTGGCTAATTTTTTTTAGTAGAGACAGGGTTTCACCATGTTAGCCAGGTTGGTCTCACACTCCTGACCTCAAGTGATCTGCCTGTCTTGGCCTCCCAAAGTGCTGGGATTACAGGCTTGAGCCACTGCCCCCGACCTACATTGTTCTAAAAAGTAGGGGAGATGATACATATAAAGCATTCTATACAGTGCCTAGCCCACAGAATTAGTTTAACACGTTTGCTTTTGTTATTATAGCAGTTACAGCTGTTTTTTCCACTCTATTATGTGAAAGCATTTTCCAGTTTTCATACATTTCCATATTTAATCAACCCTGAGATGCATATTTTTGCACATTTTAACTTTGAAAATTGGGGTAAATCTTAAAATATTTGATGTAGGATAGCTGAATAAACAGCAATTTTTTCTTTGTGATATTAGTATCCATCTGAGTTATAAGATGTGTTAATGTGATATCTTTATAATTTTGGATTGCTGTGTAATACTTTATTTAGTAAGTATATCATTTCCTGTATTCCTCATCTGTTTAAACAGGGTTATTTGCATTTCTTAGCATTCATAAATAATGCTAATATATGTAGAAATATGAGTTGAATCATTTTATATAGTCTCCATAAAAGGATTTTCGCCAACTCTATGCCAGTTGGGAAATTATATTATTATTATTATTATTATTATTATTATTATTATTATTATTATTATTATTTTTGAGACGAGTCCCCCTCTGTCGCCCTGGCTGGAGTGCCATGGGGCAGTGTTGGCTCACCGCAACCTCTGACTCCTGGGTTCAAGCGATTCTCTTGTCTTAGCCTCCCAAGGAGCTGGGATTACAGATGCCTGCCACCATGCTTGGCTAATTTTTTTGTATGTTTAGTAGCGACGGGGTTTCGTCATGTTGGCCAGGCTGGTCTTGAACTCCTGACCTCAGGTGATCCACCCGCCTCAGCCTCCCACAGTGTTGGGATTACAGGCGTGAGCCACCGCGCCTGGCTGGAAAATTATTCTTAAGGGCTTTGCCAAACTAGTAAATATAAATAGTACTTTATTTTCCTATTTACATCCATGCATTTTTCCTTTAAAAAATTTTTATTTTCTTAGTCTTTTTAGGTTTTTTAGGTTTCAGTTTTATAGCATTCTATAGTCATCTTTTGTAATTTTATGTTTCTTCAAAGCTAATTTTCTATGACATAATAGTTTACATTTAACTTCACTTACACAGTTATTTTGATAGAATGCGTCGGTGTTTGTGTAGTATACTTTTGAGGGTGAGACAGCAGAATTGCCTTCCATTCAAAACTGACATGCTTTATAAAAAAATCTATGCAGTGTTTTCTTTTTTGAGACGGAGTCTTGCTCTGTTGCCCAGGCTGGAGTGCAGTGGCGTAATCTCGGCTCACCACAACCTCCACCTTCAGGGTTCCAGCGATTCTCCTGCCTCAGCCTCCAGAGTAGCTGAGATTACAGGTGCAGGCCACCACGCCCGGCTAATGTTTGTATTTTTAGTAGAGATTGGGTTTTACCATATTGGCCAGGCTGATCTTGAACTCCTGACCTCATGATCTGCCTGCCTTGGCCTCCCAAAGTGCTGGGGTTACAGGCGTGAGCCATCGTCCCCGGCCTGTAATTTTTTTTTTTTTTTTTTAGACGGAGTCTTGTTCTTGTCACCCAGGCTGGGGTGCAATGATGCAATTTCGGCTCACTGCAATCTCCACCTCCTGGGTTCAAGCGATTCTCCTGCCTCAGCCTCCCGAGTAGTAGCTGGGATTACAGGCGCCCGCCACCACACCCAGCTAATTTTTGTATTGTTTAGTAGAGACAGGGTTTCACCATGTTGGCCAGGCTCATCTTGAACTCCTGACCTCAGGTCATCCACCCAAGGCCTTGGCCTCCCAAAGTTCTGGAATTACGGGCATGAGCCACTGCACCCGGCCATGTAATTTTTAAAATAAGGACTTCTTGGCCCAGTGCAGTGGCTCATGCCTGTAATCCTAGTGATTTGGGAGGCTGAGGTTGAGAGGATCTGTTGAGGCCAGGAGTTTGAGACTAGCCTGGGCAACATAATGAAAACCCAACTCTGCCAAATTTTTTTTTAATTAGTGGAGCATGGTGTTCCAGGCCTGTAGTCCTAGCTACTCAGGAGATTGAGGCAAGAGCATCATTTGAACCCCGGAGTTTGAGGCTACAGTGAGCTATGGGCACGCCACTGCACTCCAGCCTGGACAACTGGCTGTCCTTTTTTTTTTTTTTTGAGACAGAGTTTCGCTCTTGTCGCCCAGGCTGGAGTACAGTGGCCCGATCTCGGCTCACCGCAACCACTGTCTATGGGGTTCAAGCGATTCTCTTGCCTCAGCCTCCCCAGTAGCTGGGATTACAGGCATGTACCACCACGCCCAGCTGATTTTGTATTTTAAGTAGAGACAGGGTTTCTCCATGTTGGTCAGGCTGGTCTCGAACTCCCGACCTCAGGTGATCCACCCACCTCGGCCTTCCAAAGTGCTGGGATTACAGGCGTGAGCCACCATGCCCAGCCAACCCTGTCTTTAAAAATAATAAAAATAAAAATAAGAATGTTTTACCCCAATTTACAGTTAACAAAATTGAGGCTCAGAAGAGTTAAGAAATTTTGCCAAGATCACACAATAATAAAAAGTTCATATTAGAGCTGTTTTTGGATTCAGGAGTGACTCCAGCATCTCAATCATTGTGTGTTTAGATAATGATTATTAAACTACCTTGAGGCCAGGTGCAGTGGCTCACTCCTGTAATCCCAGCACTTTGGGAGGCCGAGGTGGGTGGATCACCTGAGGTCAGGGGTTTGAGGCCAACCTGACCAACATGGTGAAACCCTGTCTCTACTAAAAACACAAAAATTTGCCCAACGTGGTGCCGGGCACCTGTAATCCCAGCTATTCAGGAGGCTGAGGCAGGAGAATAGCTTGAACCCAGGATGAGGAGGTTGCAGTGAGCCAAGATTGCACCACTGCACTCCAGCCTGGGCAACAGAGCGAGACTCCGTCTCAAAAAGGAAGAAAAAAAAAACTACCTTGAAATGATGTTTTTGCTTTACTAAAGCCACATAACTACTATGCATAGCAACTCTATGAGTAAGGGGTATTTCTAATAGGTGTATGGCCCTTTCACTGTATCTTTTTCATGTATAGATCTTATTTACCAGATCAATATTGTACTCTTTGTATTTATTCGGATTTAATGTTTGATCTCTGTTTCTGAGAGCTGTACCTTTACCATTTGCCATCTTCTTGGGTAGGCACCTATCTGGTATTCTCAGAATGGAGGAAAGAGAGGGAGAGAATAAGTATGTAAATACATGCATTTTCTCCTATTGAAAAATGCTTAATGTCAAATACTGTTGACATGGCAGGAGAGCTTGGCTATCACAAGCTACTCAGAGTTCTGTTCTGCTATCAGTCAAAAATTATGCTGTACCCAAAGAGCTTGAGTTTATCACCCTTAGGGGTGGTCTTCAGCATCTTCATCATCTCTTATTGTCACCTACGGCATCCGTGCCAAAGCTCTCTAGGAGCCAGGAGCTGGGTCTTAGTGAGGTGGACCCCAGCTTTGCCTGCCAGCTCTGCAATTCACTTCCTAGATCATTTGTTCCCCTGGGACACAAACTACTAGTTTGTCACTGGAACTTCTCTGGGCCTGTCTCAGAATGGGATTAACATAAAGGAGTGGAACTGTTCAGCAGAGGCAGGGAGAAATAAGTAAGTTCCCTCCTCCTCAGCTTCTCTTTCCAACCTCCCCTTGCCCATTTCCTCCTTCTTCCCCTGCCGGATTCCAGGGTTACAAATAGAGGCTTCTTTCTTCCGTTTAATTCCATAGTTACCCACCCTAGTTTGCCCTTCTCTAGAATCTCTCTACTCTCATATTGCATCCGGTTCTGTACCTCCTCCCCGCCTCCACCCACTGTACCCAATTGTCTTCCTGACCAAGGAGGAGGACAGGAAGTGTTGAATGTCAGGATCAAATGTCAGGATCCCCCTTCCCTGAGGGAAGAGGATAGGGAGATCTCTGGGCTGAGGCTGCTGTCTCCTTCCCACTGTCCTTTCTGCAGGTCCTCAGATGGCACACTAGGGTGGGCTTGCTGGTGGGTAGGCATCCCACCTCCAGTCCAGTGGAATGCTTAGTTGTACGTCTTATTATGCTGTAATGTTTATTTTTTAGGGCGTACATATGAATAGCAAGTTTTGTTGAAATAGATTATCCCCCTCCCCAACACACAAATAAATTATGTGATACCTAAATTCCCACATCACATTCATCAATCAATTCAGCTTCAAATCAGTGGCTACCAAAGGCAGAGTGGTGGGAGAGTACTGCTCTCCTGTGGGTACAAAACAGGTGTATTTTCTGTAGAGAATTTTGAAACAATAATAAAGATGACTGAAAGGTATACGCTTGTTATCCTACACTTAGAAATTCTAAAGCGTGTAAGTGATAAAATACTCCTCACTACTTCCACCATTTCAAGGCTCAGCCCCTGCTCTCAAGATATGAATGAACCTAGGCATGGAACAGGGCATTATGTTTGGGGTGTGTGTGTGTGTGTGTGTGTGTGTGTGTGTGTGTGTGTGTGTGTGGTTTTTTTTTTTTTTTTTTTCTTTTTTGAGACCGAGTCTCACTGTCTCCCAGGCTGGAGTGCAGTGGTGCAAACTCAGCTCACTGCAACCTCTGTCTCCCAGGCTCAAGCCATTCTTCAACCTCAGCATCTGAAGTAGCCGGGACTACAGGCGCCCACCAACACGCCTGGCTAATTTTGTATGTTTTGTAGAGACAGCGTTTCTCTGTGTTGCCCAGGCTGGTCTCGAACTCATGAGCTCAAGTGATCCGCCCGCCTTGGCCTCCCAAAGTATTGGGATTATAGGAATGAACCATCGTGCCCTGCCTCAAGAGATTACCTTAAATGGCACTATTTAAAGTAGTTATGCTGTGGACTTTAAGAACATACACTTGCAGGACAGATGGAAAAAAATTTACAATATAAAGCACATCACTGCTTTTATCTTGTGATAAAATTTCTAGTTATAGAATTGTTCAGACTCTAAAGTATCACAGCTTAGATGGCAATAAAATTTTATAATATTCTGGAAAATTACTGTAGATAACTAAAAAATTTGCTGTAGATGAAAAAATACACAAGTGTCTCAAAAGTTATGTAAATAGTTTAAATTTTGTGACATTTGCAGGTAGGTTGGGGTAAAGCAGCATTTCTATTTTATTTATTTTTCTGAGACAGGGTCTCCTCTGTCATGTAGGCTGGAGTGATGGTGTGTTTATAGCTCACTGTAGCCTCGAACTTCCTGGGCTTATGTGATCCTCCTGCCTCAGCCTCCCAAAGTGCTGGAATTACAGGCGTGAGCCATTGCACCTAGGCAGTATTTCTGTTTTAATATTTAGAGATACCTATTTTTTATTATATAGGAAGCTAAATTTTATATAGATGTCTCACATTTTCAAGTTGATCAAAACTTTAATATTATTTATTATTTGTTAAATATAATTATTGGGTTTCTCCCCCACTTTTAAGTAATGGAAAAGTGATTTTATCTGAATCTGTAATTTTCATGCTCTGATTTTAAAAATTTACAAATAGATCCTTCGATTATTTAGCAGGTAGCATCTAAAGGAACTGGTTTAAATCCTAATGCCAAAGTATGGCAAGAAATTGCTCCTGGAAATACTGATGCCACCCCAGTAACTCATGGAACTGAAAGCTCTTGGCATGAAATAGCAGCTACATCAGGTGCTCATCCTGAGGGTAAGTCTTAAATATTTGGTCATAAAAATCACAGTTTGGTTAAATGTATGGCCAAGCAAGTTTACTGAACTTGAGACACATCTCTTTTTTTTTTTTTTTTTTTTGAGACAGAGTCTTCCTCTGTCACCCAGGCTGGAGTACAGTGGCGCAGTCTTCACTCACTGCAACCTCCACCTCCCGGGTCCAAGCAGTTCTCCTGCCTCAGCCTCCCGGGTGGCTGGGATTACAGGCGCCTGGCTTTATCTCATGCCTGTAATCCCACACCCGGTTACCACACCCGGCTAATTTTTGTATTTTTAGTAGAGATGGGGTTTCACCATATTGGCCAGGCTGGTCTCGAACTCCTGACCTCAAGTGATCCACCAGCCTCGGCCTCCCAAAGTGCTGGGATTACAGGTGTGAACCACCATGCCTGGCCAGGATATATCCTTTGATTATTTGATTAAGTATATTTATCAATTTTTCTTCCTTTAAACATACTGCATCCAGCATTTATAAATGTTTAACATGTAGTTTGTATATAATTCTCATTTATATCTAACATGAATAGATTGCCACTAATTTCAAGTAGTAGCCGTGTTTTTGGGTCCAGCATGCAACCCATCTATAATAATTATATTTATAAATTAGTTTTTATCTACCATCATTGACTCTGCTATTTACTCACTGTTCGACCTTGGGCAAATAACTTAATTTCTCTATGCTTTTTTCCCTCCATCTGTAAAACAGAAGCAATCTTAATTACAGCACAGGATTTTCTGATAATTAAATGAATAAAGTGCATGGAGTAGTCTGATACATGGATAATGCTATATACGTTTTAGCAATTGTTGATCATTTTAGTTTATCTGTAATTGTCAAAACTTATCTCCCTCGGAATGATAACTCTTGCTTAAAACCATGCGGACATATTTCAAACTGGTAGAAATCCTTAAAATCTTTTTATAGGTGACATACTGCCCAGAGTTCCTGAGAATAGAATTTAAATAATTCCCATTTACTTTCAGTGTCTGTCTTTAATACAGGTAATGCAGAGCTCTCAGAAGATATATGTAAAGAATATGAAGTAATGTATTCTTCATCTTGTGAAACCACAAGAAATACTACAGGCATTGAAGAATCAACTGATGGGATGATTTTAGGACCAGAAGATCTGAGTTACCAAATATATGATGTTTCCGGTAAACTTTATGGTTTTATTGTTAAAATGAGAATTCAGTACAGGACACCCCCCACCCATGGTCTCTTTATACTTGTTCTGATAAACCTATGGCATTATTTTCTTATTTGAAAAGAAGGTTACGTTAATGAAATGTTAGTTGATTGTTACATTGTTTTCAGATAACATGACTTTTGTAATGTTAAGATTGTTTATGAGGGTTCTATTAAAGGAAAGCGTGAAATTAAAGATAACAGAAAAAAAGGCGGGGTGGCTCATGCCTGTAATCCCAGCGCTTTAGGAGGCCCAGGCGGGCAGATCACTTGAGGTCAGGAGTTTGAGACTAGCCTGGCCAACATGGTGAAACACTGTCCTATACTGAAAAAAAAAAATTAGCTGGGCATGGTGGCATGCACCTATAATCCCAAGATCATGCCACTGCACTCCAACCTGGGTGACAGAGTGAAACTGTGTCTGAAAAAAAAATTTTGTGTGTCTATATATAAACAACTGCCTACTTTGAACATAGAGTTGAAGTGATATGGTAAGCAATTGGTGTTTTTTTGTTGTTGTTTTTTTGTTGTTGTTGAGAGGGAGTCTCGCTCTGTTGCCCAGGCCGGAGTGCAGTGGCGTGATCTTGGCTCACTGCAATCTCTGCCTCCTGGGTTCAAGTGATACTCCTGTCTCAGCCTCCCGAGTAGCTGGGATTACAGGCACGCGCCACCACACCTGGCTAATTTTTGTATTTTTAGTAAAGATGGTGTTTCACCATGTTGGCCAGGCTGGTCTCAAACTCCTGACCTCAAGTAATCCACCTGCCTTTGGCCTCCCAAAGTGCTGGGATTACAGGCGTGAGCCACCATGCCCGGCCTTTAAGTGCTTTTAGTATTGTGCATTGTTAATTTTTTGATAAAGATAACCTTAAACTAATATGAAATGTATCTGATGAAAGAATATCTAGATTGACAGAAATTAGTTAGACTTTGAACTGTCCAAATTATAAAAATAATAAAAAATACAGTTTGGGCCAGGCACAGTGGCTTATGCCTGTGGCCAAGGTAGGAGGATTGCTTGAGCCCAGGAGTTTGAGAACAGTCTGGGCAACATAATGAGAGCCTGTCTCTACAAAAAAATAAAAATAAAAAGTTAGCTGGGTATCATGGCACAAGTTTGTGGTCCTAGCTACTCAAGAAGCTGTGGTGGGAGGATCATTTGAGCCCAGGAGGTTGAGGCTATACTGAGCTGTGATCACACCACTGTACTCTAGCCTGGGCAACAAAGGGAGACCCTGTTTCTCTGAAACAATAGCTTTGTGGTGAATTTTGATTGTAGATACTTTGTGGCTTCTGAGTACAACAGTATGTCAGATTTATCACCTCTACTAACATGCTATTAACTTTTTTTCCCTCTTCTTTTCTACCATCAGGAGAAAGCAATTCAGCAGTTTCTACAGAAGACCTAAAAGAATGTCTGAAGAAACAATTAGAATTCTGTTTTTCACGGTATTGCTGTTTCCCCTTTATTGAATTTTATTAGTAGATGTAAAATACGTGTGAAATAGAGCGCAAGGATGGTGATTATTATTTAACTAATTTTTTTTTTTATTTTCTTGAGACAGAGTCTCATGTTGTCGCTGGGCTGGAGTGCAGTGGTGTGATCTCGGCTCACAGCAGCCTCCGCCTCCAGGGTTCAAGAGATTCTTGTGCCTCAGCCTCCAGAGTAGCTGGGATTACAGGCGTGCAGCCACCATGCCCAGCTAATATTTGTATTTTTAGTAGAGACAGGGTTTCACCATGTTGGCCAGGCCAGTCTCAAACATGCAACCTCATGTGACCTGCCCTCCTCTGCCTTGCAAAGTGTCGGGATTACAGGCGTATGGCACCACACTCGGCCCCTTGTCTAGATTTAAAAGTGTAGGGTCGGGCGCTGTGGCTCATGCCTGTAATCCCAGCACTTTGGGAGGCTTCGGTGGCTGGATCACCTGAAGCTGGGAGTTCGAGACCTGCCTGACCAACATGGAGAAACCCCGTCTCTACTAAAAATACAAAAATTAGCGGGGCATGGTGGTGCGTGCCTGTAATCCCAGCTACTTGGGAGGCTGAGGCAGGAGAATCACTTGAACCCCGGAGGCGAAGGTTGTGGTGAGCTGAGATCGCACCATTGCGCTCCAGCCTGGGCAACAAGAGCGAAACTCCATCTCAAAAAAGAAAAAGTGTAGTCTCCAGTCTGATATGCAGAGGATCTATTCTTAATATAAAGATAATGAAGTTTGCATTGGATGTTTTTTCTATGAACATACTCAATTTTGGAATTGACAAAAAGTTATTTCTTAATGCATGTTTTAATAGTTGATTCTTGTAATGTTAATCATAGAGTCATTTTTGGCAAAATAGTAAGGAGTTGGACAGATAATTTATATTGCCAATGTCTTCTCTTAAATAAGGAATCCTTTCAGGCAAACATTTGGAGAAGTCTTATTTACAGATAAGAATAATGGGCCAGGCGCAGTGGCTCATGCCTGTAATCCTAGCACTTTGGGAGGGCAAGGTGGGCAGATCATGAGGTCAGGGGTTCAAGAACAGGCTTGCCAACATGGTGAAACCTTGTCTCTAATAAAAAATACAAAAATTAGCCAGGTGTGGTGGTGGGCGCCTGTAATCCCAGCTACTCGGGAGGTGGCAGCAGGAGAATCACTTGAACCGGGGAGGTAGAGATTGCAGTGAGCTGAGGTTATTCCTGGGCTCCAGCCTGGGCGGCAAGAGCGAAATTCCACCTCAAAAACAAGGAAACAAAAACATTCATGTAATATTTACTTTAGCCTGTACTTTGGGAGGCCAAAGTAGGTGGATCACCTGAGGTCAGGAGTTCAAGACCAGCCTGGCCAATATGGCAAAATCCCATCTCTACGAAAATACAAAAATTAGCGGGGTGTGGTAGCGTGGCCCTGTAGTTCCAGCTACTGGAGGCTGAGGCAGGAGAATTGCTTGAACCCAGGATGTGGAGTATGCAGTAAGCCGAGGTTGCAGCACTGCACTCCAGCCTGGGTGAATTTTACCTACTAACTAGATCATTTATGGGTCTGCTTCTATTGTCTGGGTTTCTTCTCTTGAATTATCTGTAATAATTTACTGCCTTTTTGTATGTCTTGTAAATTTTGATTTTATGCTGTACATTACATACAACAGAACCATAGAAGATGTAGGTGATATAACTCTAGACAGAGTTTGAGCTTTTTTTCTGTTAGGCAGAGAGTGATATGTTGATTGCTTCAATCCAATCAGGAACTGAGCTAGGTCAGGGCTGAGCAACAATTTTAAATGGACTCAGTTCACCTTTGATTTAGCTCTATTCCTTCTACATGGCCCTTTCAGGCTTTTGATTTAGAGCTTGGCAGTTTTGTGTCACCCTAATCTTACAAAACCAAGGAGATTTAGATCTCTAATACAGAGGTTTGAGATTTAGCTCTTTAACTTCCTACCCCATACTGCTTGAAAATCTGGCAGTGTCTTGGCCTGGCGCAGTGGCTCACACCTGTAATCCCAGCACTTTGGGAGGCCAAGGCAGGCGGATCACCTGAGGTGAGGAGTTCAGTATTAGCCTGACCAACATGGTGAAACCCCATCTCTACTTAAATACAAAAAATTAGCTGGGCATGGTGGTATGCACTACTAATCCCAGTTACTCGAGAGGCTGAGGCAGGAGAATCGCTTGAACCCAGGAGGTGGAGGTTGCAGTGAGCCGAGATCGCACCATTGCACTCCAGACTGGGGAATAAGAGCGAGACTTCGTTTCAAAAAAAAAAAAAAAAAGAAAAGCTGGCAGTGTCTTATCGGGGAGACTTGCGTTTGCCGCATTTTTGCTTGCACTGGGACTTAATCACGAGACCACATAGATTTTACTGTCTTTTCAGCCTGACTCTCAATCTCCCATCTTCCTCCTTAAAACTCAGGAAACATCTTATGGGGAAAATCAGCTGTATTGGTGGCTCCCATAATTTCCATTCATAATTCTAGTTCTTTGCCCATTACACTTACCACATACTTATACACAACTGCCTGGAGATCTGCTGGTTTCTCTATTGTCCAGGAGAGTCTGAGTCAAGATCTGCAAATGCTCTCAGGAAGGAAAGATCTTCTTTGGGGCATTTTAGTCATTTTGTGCTTGAAGCTTCCACAGCTTTCCCAGATCTCCAAAAACGTGATTTTTTTTTTTTTTTTTTTTGTAGTTTATCCCAGCTTTTTTAGTTGTTGCAGTGGAAGCTCCTACTTGTCATGATCCATCACATCCTACTCAGGACTGTGATATAGTTCGAACCAGCTGGGTAATTGACATTTGTAGCTCAGCAAAATTGCCATTAATACATATCAGGTATTACTCATGAATAATCAAATCTTAGATGTTATATCCATTAATTTGATTTACTTCTGACAAGGTACAGTTTCTTTAGCTAAGAGTTGAATCACTGTTTAAGAATAGACCTGCTAAATTTCAGAGTTCATTTAGGCTACAGCTTTTTAGTTTTGCAAAAATTATGTTTATAGTTGTCTTATTTTCAGATTCTTAAGGAATATCTTTTTTTTTTTTTTTTGAGATGGAGTTCTCACTCTATTGCGTAGGCTGGAGTGCAGTGGCACGATCTCGGCTCACTGCAACCTCTACCTCCCGGGTTCAAGCGATTCTTCTGATTCAGCCTCCCAAGTAGCTGGGAGTACGGGCACGCACAACCGTGCCTGGCTAAGTTTTGTGTTTTTAGTAGAGACGAGGTTTTATCATGTTGGCTAGGCTAATCTCAAACTCCTGATATCAGGTGATCCACCCACCTTTGCCTCCCAAAGTGCTGGGTTTACAGGTGTGAGCCACCATGCCTGGCCTCTATTTTAATAGAATGTAAAAGTAAGGGCCTTTGAGCCTGCTCCTTGCCAGGCACTAGGCAGTTGAAATACATTATTGATTGAACAGCAGCGATCCTTCATGGAACCTATATTCTGACTGTGAGAACACAAAACAAACATAATAAATAAGGAGTATGTTAGGAGATAAGTGCTATGGGAAAAAAATTAAATGCAAGGACAGGAATCAGGAATGCTGGGGTGGTTGCAGTTTTAAATAGGGTGATCAGAACAGTACTCTTTGAGAAGGGGCCTTATAAGCAAAAACTTCCAGCTATTTATAGCCAGACTGCTTCAAAGAATATTTGATGTGAATAGCAAGGTGTGAATTTGATTTTACCTAAGTTTATTAAACAAGATTTTATGTGTAAGATGCAAGTGTTTGCATCTTCTTTTTTTAATGTACCTTAAAGAATCTTTTGTGTTAATATTAAATATATATTTTTTATTTTTCTTTTTTTTTTTTTGTTTATGTTTTGAGATGGAGTTTCGCCCTTGTTGCCCCAACTGGAGTGCAGTGGCGTGATCTCGGCTCATTGCAATCTCCGCCTCCCAGGTTCAAGCGATTCTCTTGCCTCAGCACCCCGAGTAGCACCCACCACCAAGCCTGGCTAATTTTTTGTATTTTTAGTAGAGACGGGGTTTCACCATGTTGGCCAGGTTGGTCTTGAGCTCTTGACCTCTAATGATCCACCCGCCTCGGCGTCCCAAAGTGCTAGGATTACAGGCATGAGCCACCGCACCCAGCCAATGTGTGTATTTATATAAGCATGTTTGACTTAAATAATTTAAAACACGTATTTTGGACAGGGTGCGCTGGCTCACGCCTGTAATCCCAGCACTTTGGGAGGCTGAGGCGGATGGATCACGAGGTCAGGAGATCGAGACCATCCTGGCTAACACGGTGAAACCCCGTCTGTACTAAAAAATACAAAAAAAAATTAGCCGAGCGTGATGGCGGGCGCCTGTAGTCCCAGCTACTCGGGAGGCTGAGGCAGGAGAATTACTTGAACCCGGAAGGCAGAGCTTGCAGTGAGTCGAGTTTGCGCCACTGCGCTCCAGACTGGGCAACAGAGCAAGACTCTGTCTCAGGAAAAAAAGAAACAGAAATGGAAAATCCTTCTTGAGTCAGTTCACAGTTCAGCTACAGTTTTTATCATGCATATTCTAATATCACTGATGAAGTATTTATAAGATGGAACTCTGCTATATGTAATGTTTTGTTAAAGTGCTACTTGTAATATTAAACCTCTTTATGTATCAGTATAATTGTCCAATGTTGTGCTAGATGTGTTTGGGAATTGAGATACTGTAAAAGTTATATTAACTAATGTTTATGTATATATTACATTAGTATCTTTTGAATTGAACTTTTAACAACTTTTTAGAGTTCACTGAAAAGTTTAATGTTATTTCTGATAGAATAATCTTATTTCCATGCATTTAAAAAGTAGGAAAAGTGAGTAAGATACCTCTTGTTAGATGCTTTTTAATAATTGCTTGTTTTATAGGACTATTTTGTTTTTTCAGAGAAAATTTGTCAAAGGATCTTTACTTGATATCTCAAATGGATAGTGATCAGTTCATCCCAATTTGGACAGTTGCCAACATGGAAGAAATAAAAAAGTTGACTACAGACCCTGATCTAATTCTTGAAGTGTTAAGATGTATGTAAAAATACCTTTTAGCTTTTTTTTTAATTTTTAAACGTAAAATGTTATTTCGACTTCTGATCATATAGGGAATTATTTTTACTGCCCCCTCCCCACACCCTTATTTTGTTGTTTTGTTCCGAATTCTCTCTCTTTGTTTTTTTTTTTCGGGGGTTGTGGTGAAAGACAGGGTCTCACTCTGTCACTCAAGCGGGAGTGTGATGGTGCAAATCACAGCTCACTGCAGCCCCAAACTCCTGGGCTCAAGCCATCCTTCTACCTCGTAGCCTCCCAAGTTACTGGGACCCCAGGCGCACACCACCACATCTGGCTAATCTTTAAATTTTTGTATAGAGGTGGGGTCTTGGTATGTTCCCCAGGCTGGTCTTTGTTCTTTGGCTGAGTCAGTCCTCCCACCTTGGCTTCCCATTTTTACTGACTCTGTGTGTGTGTGTGTGTGTGTGTGTGTGTGTGTGTGTGTGTATCCCGCTGGTGTGTGTGTGTGTGTGTGATATGTGTGTGTGTGTGTGTATATATCCCGCTGGGGTGTGTGTGTGTGTGTATGTATATATATATATATATATATCCCGCTACTGACTGGTGTGTGGGGGTGTGTGTGTGTGTATATGTGTGTATGTATATATATATATATCCTGCTCAGCCTCCCAAAATGTTGGAATTACAGGCGTGAGCCACCACCCCCGGCCTATATACAGCTTCTGTAATAATTCTGCACCTTGGTTGTTTATCATCATGCCCACTTAAGAAGTATAAGCAATTAAGTCTCATTTTTCTGGAGTGTTAGATATGTATCGTTATCACACAACCTTTAAGACAATCTCTTTCAAGTTTTTAAACCCAAATAAGAAGTACATTTTTCGTGACAGTTCAATATACACCATATACCTACACCTGACCGAAATATTTGTAACAAACTTGTTTCTAATTTTACAACCTACTAATGAGTTGCTGTGGGCAGTTTGACAAATACTGCTCTGAAGTTTGGTAATGAATTTTTATTTCTTGATTGAAGCTTTAAGAATTTTTGCTGGATTTTGTGTCTTGTATCAGTATTTCTTGGTAACCTCTTAAGAGTGGGTTTTGTTAACTATTTGACTGAATAAGGCAGATCTTCACTTTTATATGAGATGTGTTGAACATGTTTAAAAGTTAAATATAGCAAGTCTGATAATAGACTTACAGTGGAATAGATTTCCATTTCCAGAGGATTACAAACATTTATGGAACATTACAGAGGATTACAAACATTAATGGAACATTACAGAGGATTACAAACATTTATGGAACATTACAGAGGATTACAAACATTTATGGAATCTCTCATTGGTTTGTAGAGACATCATTTCTTAAAATGACCCAATCTTGTCTGCATTAAAAGTTGGCAAAGAGAGGCAGAATCTCCCACCTGTTTAGGCTGGAACTTGGCACTTATTATACCTATGCCATCACACTTAACTGCTTATTTTATTCTACTTACCTGTTCATGGAGATCTGGTATATTAACTCCATGAAGGGACTATTTGCTACTATATTTAGTATAATATTTCCTCATAATCAGCATTTAAAAGATGGCTTTTGGGTCTCTGTAGTAGTATGCAAGATTAAGTAAGTTGAAATCCTGGATAGCTTATAATTTGCATATAGTTCTTAGTTTAAGGGCTTCTTGAACTTTAATCTTAGGAAGAATTTCTTCATATATCAGATTTCATTATACTCCTCAACATAGTGTTTGGCCAATGAAAGTACACTAATTTCTGTTAACATCCATTTGTTATCTCCTCAATGAAGAATTTGGTTATTATATACAAGAAATTTGCCTTATTAGATATATGTTGTATGCTCCCTGAAGGCAGTGCCAAACTTACTCTGTTAAGTACTCTGAATGTTTTTTCAATGAATAACATTTGACAGTGTTCTTTACATACAAATCTCCAAAAAATTGTCATACCTATAATCTTTGATTCTACAACTTAGTTTCTTTAGGATATTAACCCAGCCTCTGCAAATTTACTCAGTTGGAAATTAAAATGAATAGTTTCTTTAATGGCATTAATAATATCACTACTTGTCACGTTTGAGTGATACCCTTTCTTTTAAATTTCAGCTTCTCCCATGGTACAAGTTGATGAGAAGGGTGAGAAAGTGAGACCAAGTCATAAGCGTTGTATTGTAATTCTTAGAGAGATTCCTGAAACAACACCAATAGAGGTAAATTATTAATAATTGTTAACACTAAATGTTCTCTGTTTAAATTAAAAGAGGTTTCTTCTGCCTTTCGTGGCAAAGAAGAAAAATTGGAAGAGGTACACAAGCAAAGCATAAGTCAGTGCCTTCATCAGTTACTGTGAAAAGGTTAAATACTAATTTGTTTCATTAATTCTGAAGTACTAGGATGGTATAGAGAAAGGAAAAGATATAGTTCTATTTTCTTAGAAGGGTAGACAAAGTATTGCAGTGAAACATTCTGAATTTACTAGATTGATTCAATGGCAACTAATATATAAATAGGCTATTTTGGGAACTTGAGAATTCATCTGTAAGAATGAATGAAAAACTAGATTTTGATTAAGGATTAAGGAGGCAGGGCTGGGCGCGGGGTGGCTCATGCCTGTAATCCCAGCACTTTGGGAGGCTGAGGCAGGCGGATCGTGAGGTCAGGAGATGGAGACCATCCTGGCTAATATGGTGAAACCCCATCTCTACTAAAAATCAAAAAATTAGCCAGGCATGGTGGTGGGCGCCTGTAATCCCAGCTACTTGAGAGGCTGAGGCTGGAGAATGGTGTGAACCTGGGAGCTTGCAGTGAGCTGAGATCAAGCCACTGCACTCTAGCCTGGGTTACAGAGTGAGACTCTTTGTCTCAAAAAAAAAAAAGGGATTAAGGAGGCAGGACTAACCCTATTGTTCAGCGAAATATTATATAAAGCAAAGTTGCAGTCATAAAGATGGTATGGTACACGTACCGGAATAAAATAATATTTGAATGATACATTATAATCAATTTGACAATTAGATTCTCCCAGTTATTACTTTGCAATTATTTAAAGCCAAAGGTTTTATTGCCTGTTTTACTGATGAAATAACTGACAGTTAGGATGGTTACGTAGCTTGCTCAAGGATACAAGGGCTCTTAAATGACAGGAGTTTGGGTTTGAACATGATCTCTCTGATTCTAAAGCCCATGTTTCATAATCACTGTGCCACAGAGCTTCATGTTAAGTTGCCATGATAAGGTGATATACATTAAAGAAGATGAGGATAATTAGTAACTGACATTGTAATTGATTAGCTATTTAGAACAGAGTGTTATTTTGTTTTATTTTTTGAGACAGGGTTTCAGTCTGTCACCCAGGGTGGAGTGCAGTGGCACAGTCATGGCTTACTGTAGCCTTGACCTCATGGGCTCAAGCGATCCTCCCATCTCAGCCTCCTGAGTAGTTGGGACTACTGGCACATGCCACCATGCCTGGCTAATTTTTGTACTTTTTTGTAGAGATGGGGTTTTGCCATGTTGCCTAGGCTGTTCTCAAGCCTCTGCGCTCAAGCAATCTGTGCACCTTGGCCTCCCAAAGTGCTGGGATTACAGGCGTGAGCCACTGTGCCCCATTTCATTATCATTTTTGCGGTTATTACAATTCATATTCTGAATACATAAAGAGTTCATACACATGAAAAACAGTAAATAAAACAAGGTACCAAATGTTTTGTTGGGTTTTTGAGGAGTTTTTTGTTTTTTGCTTTTAAAATTTTTTTTTCATGTTAAGAAATTTTTCCTCAATCAATGGTTTTCTGAGACAGGTCTTGCCGTGTCACTGAGGGTGTAGTACAGTGGTACGATCATAGTTCATTGCAGCCTCAAACTCCTTGGCTCAAGCAGTCCTCCTACCTCAGCCACCCAAGTAGCTGTGACTACGGGAGCCAGCCACCATGCCCAGCCAATTTTCACTTTTTTTTGGTAAAGATGGTGTCTAGCTATGCTGTACAGGCTCATCCTGAGCTCAAGCAATTCCCCTACTTCAATCTCCCAAAGTGCTGAGATTACAGAAGTGAGCCACTGAGCTCTCAGGCTGCATTTGACCTTTGCTATTTCAGTAGATATTTTCTTTCCTTCTGTTACTTCTTAAGGATACTTAATGTTCACTTAATTTTTTTTTTTAATAAGCTTCTTTCAATCCATTAACAGTTTTACCATTTTGAGTTTTGGTAGTCACCCTTTTTCTGAATCCATATAGCTGTTGGAGTTTCTGTTTACATTTATACTAATTACGGAAAAGAGAAGATATGTTTGCACATTAACTAATGTATGTGTTGTAAGCAAAGCAACTGGATTAAATGAGAATGCGTGAAAATTTGTATTGCCTAGAAAATGTTAATGAAAGATATCACTTGTCCTGTGGGAGGCCAGGCAGGAAAAGGACAGGGGAGATTTCACTAAGCATTTAGCTTGCCACTGGAAGTGAAATACTTACGCTTTGCTTATTGTAAAATAAATCATCCCAAAATCATGTACAAAATACATCTCCTGGCCAAGTGGAGTGGCTCGTGCCTGTAATCTCAGCACTTTGGAGTGCTCAGGCGGAAGGATCGCTTGCATCCGGGAGTTTGAGACCAGACTCAAATATATCTCCTATTAACTCTGTATTTGTTTTGAAACAGCCCATCCTCAGTGGAAAAATGGGCAAAAGTTAAGTGAAGTGATAGGACCAAAGACATGAAGATAGGCTTAACATTACTAGTAAACAAACCAACAAAAAATGCCAATTATTGATGTATTTTTTAGAGTTAACTAATTTTCTTTTTCTTTTTAGGAAGTGAAAGGTTTGTTCAAAAGTGAAAACTGCCCCAAAGTGATAAGCTGTGAGTTTGCACACAATAGCAACTGGTATATCACTTTCCAGTCAGACACAGATGCACAACAGGTAAGAAGAAAACATTTTCTGATACAAGTCCATCCTAGTGGCAAAATAAGTAGTGGTATATTTTAATTGAGAAAATGTGTGTTTACACTGATGTTTATCAAGACTAGTGAGTACCTTGGTCACCCTTTTGCTTTTGCTCAATTGGTTTCCTTTTTGATCATCTTCCTAAAGTTTTTCAGTTTTGATTTAGGAAGTTTGTTTTCTGTCGATAAGAATATTAACATAACAGTTTTAAAATTAACATAGGGATCGAGAACCATGTACCTAGTGGTATTTTTAGTACATAATAGGTCTGCAATAAACAAAATTCTTGGAATTTTGACTTGATGGTTTTATTCTTTTTTTTTTTTTTGAGACGGAGTCTCACTCTGTCGCCCGGGCTGGAGTGCAGTGGCGCAATCTCGGCTCACTGCAACCTCCACCTCCTGGGTTCAAGTGATTCTCCTGCCTCAGCCTCCCAAGTAGCTGGAATTACAGGCACCCGCCACTACACCCAGCTAATTTTTTGTATTTTTAGTAGAGGTGGGGTTTCACCATATTGGTCAGGCCGGTCTCAAACTCCTGACCTCGTGATTCGCCTGCCTCAGCCTTCCGAAGTGCTGGGATTACAGGCATGAGCCACTGCACCCGGTGATGGTTTTATTCTTAATTGTTAACATGTCTTAAAGAGAAATAATCCTTTGAAACACAAATATATCTATGATAAGGGTGTTTAAAAATCACTCACAGATTTTTATTTTTTAAAACAATTTATTAGAAAGTTGATCATTTTTAAATTGGTTTCTAGGGATATTTTGGGTCTGTTTTCAATCCTAATGCATTTTGTCTGCAGTAATCCATGGTGGCTTTTCTACAATAAATATGAACTGTGATTGAGAAGGCGTTACATTTTTACTTTTTCATTCCCTGTCCACCTGCACAGTGGAATCACCTACATAATTTTGTTTTTATAGTTTAATACTAAACTCTCAACATAATAAAGATAACTTTACTGAAATGTTTGAATGCTAATGAAAGTTTTTTTTGTGCTTTGTTAACAGGCTTTTAAATACTTAAGAGAAGAAGTTAAAACATTTCAGGGCAAGCCAATTATGGTAAGAAATAGAGATCAGTGTGAAACCAGAACAGGTTTTGGTTCTCTGTATGAGAATTTAAAAAATACAGACAGATAATATTTTATAAAAACCCATAGTGACTTTCAAAAAGTTTCTGGCTTGGTCCAGGCGTGGTGGCTCACACCTGTGATCCCAGCACTTTGGGAGTCCAAGGCAGGTGGATAGCATGACGCCAGGAGTTCGAGACCAGCCTTGCCAATATGATGAAACCCCATCTCTACTAAAAATAGAAAAAATTAGCCGGGTGTTGTGGCACACGCCTGTAGTTCCAGATACTTGAGAGGCTGAGGCAGGAGAACTGCTTTAACCCGGGAGGCGTAGGTTGCAGTGAGCAGAGATTGCATCACTGCACTCCAGCCTGGGGGACAGAGCAAGACCTTGTCTCAAAAACAACAACAACAAATTTTCTGGCTTGTATTATGTGCTACTTCAGAAAATCCTTTGATAAGCCATAAAAATACTTTGTGTACAGCAATTCTTTACAAAGGGGTAACTTCAAATAGCATGAGGTTTAATTAGATGCTGATTTACAACATATGAGATAATTCCAGATCTCAAAATGAGCAATAGAAATAATTTTTAGTAACAGATGAAAAATATTCACAGTACTTTCAACCTCATCTCAATTAACTGCATCACTACGTACCATCAATACAACCATTTGGAAACCTAGGCATTGTCACTGATGACACATTTGATCCCTGTCTTTACATGTCTAATCTGTTCTCAGGTCCTGTGAAAATGCTTTCCAAAAATCTCCCATTGTTTAGGCTTGAACACTTGGAGTAGCCTCTTAACTGCTGTGTTACCAGTTTTTCCCCCCCTTAACAATCTGTTCTTCACATTGCTACCAGAGCTAGTGTTCTAAACCATAATCCAGTAACATACACTTAGTTCGACTTGATCCTCATTCCCTGTGTGCTATAGTTATTCTTATTTGTAAATGTAATACATTATTCTTACTAATCCCTCTGTGTTGAACTCTGTGTGTCACTTTCTGTTTTAAGCACTTTACATGTATTGACTCATTTAATCCTTACAGGAACCTAATGAGATAGTGCTTTTGTTTTCTTCAGTTTCCTAGTGAGGATAATAAGACACGAGGGTAACCTACCTAGTTTCACATAACTAGTAAGTGGAAGAACTAGGATAACAGTGACTTACATTTATTAAGAGGTTCTAAGAACTTACCATATTTAAATCTCATAATTGCTGTGAAGTAGGTGGGATTATTAGTTTCCATATTACAGATGAGGCTGTTTTCTAGCTGTCATTCTACTTCCTCTGTCTATGATGTTCTTCTCCCTTTTATCTTTCCCTGCTTTGAGGCTTTTATAAAGATATTCTCCTGAGTCTTCTTAATAGCTTTAAAGTTTTAAAGTATTTCAGAAGTGGGTCTTTGGTATATCTGGAATTAATTTTATATATAGTATAAGATAGGAATCTAGTTCTATTTTTCCCCATATATGGAAAGACATTTATTTCAACACTTAATTTTTTGTCATTTCTATTCTTCTGCAACTTCTGCAGCTATGAGATTTGTTTCAGATTCTCTGTTTTCTTTGAGTTCTGCTTCCCTGAACCAATATGGCTGTTTTGTTTTGTTTTGTTTTGTTTTTGAGACTGGGGTTTCTTTCTCTCTGTCACCTAGGCTCGAGTGCAGGGGCATGATCACGGCTCACTGCTGCCTCGACCTCTCAGGCTCAAGTGATCTTCCCACCTCAGCCTCCCAAGTAGCTGGGACCACAGGTGCACACCATCATGCCTGGCTAATTTTTAAATTTTTGGTAGAGTTGGGGTCTATGTTGCCTAGGCTGGTCTCAAACTCTTGAACTCAAACAGTCCTTCCATCTCAGCCTCCCAAAGTGCTGAGATTACAGATGTGAGCCACCACACCATGATTGCATTCCTGGATATCACTGTTTAATTTAATTTAATTTTATTTTCTTAATTTATTTATTTTTGAAATGGCGTTTCACTCTTACCACCCAGGCTGGAGTGCAGTGGCACAATCTCAGCTCAATGCAACCTCCACCTCCTGGGTTCAAGCGATTCTCCTGCCTCAGCCTCCGGCGTAGCTGGGGTTACAGGTGCCTAACAACCACGCCCAGCTAATTTTTGTATTTTTAGTAGAGACGGGGTTTTGCCATGTTTGCCAAGCTGCTCTCGAACTCCTGACCTCAGGTGATCCACCCACCTCGGCCTCCCAAAGTGCTGGGATTACAGGTGTGAGCCACCTTGCCTGGCCAGATATCACTGTTTTAATTATCATCATTTTATAATATCCTTATTTATTTCTGCTAGTTCTTTGTCCTTGACCCTATTTTTCAGGATTGTGTTGGCTCTTCTTAGATCATTACATTTTCAAACAATTTTAGAATATTTGTCTAGTTCCAACAAACAGCCAAACAAAATCTATAATGGAATTAATGGAATTCTGTTCAATTTATTGGTTAAATTGGGGACAGCTGGTTGTTTTAGCCTACATTATTCATTATTATGGTAACTATTATGTATTTCATTGTTAATTCAATTCATTTTTACTACTTTAAAATAATTTTGGTTGCTTTTTCTTCTTGGTGTCTTACTGATTTTTTTTAATGTTTTAATGTCTACAGATAATCACTATTTTGATTATTCCTTATACCTCCCATTTCTTATTTCTATTGCTTTTGCTGGGGGTCTCAGATATAGTAGTAAAAACACAAATATTTTATTATAAGTAATGTTTTTCTCTGCCATTTTAGTTTTTCTTTATGCTTCTTTTGATGAGCCATCACATAGCAACATAAGTTGCAAGAAAATTCACATTAACTTTTATACCATTTATTAAAATCAAATGACCTAACACCTGGAAAGACAGGTGCAGAAGCAAGGAATGCTATACTCCAATCCTGGTGGTGCTTTCTGCCACCAGCTGTTGTATCTTGAGTATGTCAGGCCAACCTGTAAGGTTCTGGTTTGTTTCTTTGTAGTGTCCATGCTCTTCATTTCTAAAGTTCTGTGATTTAGAAGTGATGACGTTGGAGGAAAGGGACATTAAGTGGATAATGTTTATCCACTCATTTCCTAATTTATTGATGATTTCATTAAGAGGCAGTGCTTCATTCTGTTTCAATTGTGATTTCTATGCCTGAAAATAACTGGTATCAGTTCCTTTCAGCCTAAGGAACTTCCATTGGTGTTTGTTACAGTACCAACCAGCAACGAATTCTCTTAGTTTTTCCTTAACTAAAAATGTCTGGTATTTCACACTCTTTTTTGAGACAGTGTCTTGCTTTATCACCCAGGCTGGAGTGCAGTGGTACAATCTCAATTCATTGCAGCCTCCTCTTGCCTCGCACCCACCCCCGGCCCGAGTTAGCTGCAACTACAGGTGCATGCCACCATGCTCAGCTAATTTTTCTACTTTTTTTGTGGTAGAGACGGAGTTTTGCTGTGTCATCCAGGTTGGTCTCTTAACTCCTGAGGGCAAGCGATCCCCCCACTAAGGCCTCCCAAAGTGTTGGGACTATAGACGTGAGCCACTGCGCCCAGCATTTGTGATGAGTATTTTCCATGGATACAGAATGCAGGGATGACAGCTAAAATTATTTTCCATTCTTTTAAGATACCATTCTGGACTCTTGTTTCTGATGAGATGTTCACCATCATTCACATGGTTCTTCCCCTGTATATGATGTGTCCTTTTTCTTTGCCTGCTGTCAAGATGTTTTATTTTTGGTTTCCAGTAGGTTGGCTATGGTGTGTCTAGTATGCTTTTACTTATTATACTTGGGAAATACTAAACTTCTTGGCTCTGTATGTTGATATTCTTTACTGCATTTGGGGAATTTCCAAATACTTGCCAAAAATTTTTTCTGCCCTCTCTTCTCCTTTCTTTTTTTGGTACTCCAATTTCATATGTTGGACTGATTGATGTCACTGAGATTCTGTTCATTTTTCTTCAACCTATTTTTGTTGTTGTTGTTGTTCTCCAGATTGGATCATTTCTGTGGATTTGGGTTCATCTTCAAGTTCACTGAACTTTTCTTTTGCTGTCCCCAATGTGATAGGACTGTCCAGTGAATATTTTAGATGCTGTATTCTAGAGTTTCCATTTTTCAAAATATTTCTTCTCTCTCTGCTGTGATTTCCCCTTAATTTCAATTTATTAGAAACATAAATGTTATCCATGAATATATGTACTTGTAAGAGCTGTATTAAAACTTTGTCTGCAGTCTGACATCTGGGTCATCTTGGAGTCCTTATTTTCCCTCCCTTTTTTTGATTCTTTTTCACCTGCAGTTCCATGCCCTGAAATATTTCTTTCATTGCCGTTTTCTTTTTTTCTTTTTTCTTTTTTTTTTTTTTTTTGAGACGGAGTCTCGCTCTGTCGCCCAGGCTGGAGTGCAGTGGCACAAACTCGGCTCACTGCAAGCTCCGCCTGCTGGGTTCACGCCATTCTCCTGCCTCAGTCTCCTGAGTAGCTGGGACTACAGGCGCCTGCCATCACGCTTGGCTGATTTATTTTTGTATTTTTTAGTAGAGACGGGGTTTCATCATGTTAGCCAGGATGGTCTCGATTTCCTGACCTCATGATCTGCCCACCTCAGCCTCCCAAAGTGCTGGGATTACAGGTGTGAGCCACCGCGCCTGACCAATTGCTGTTTTCTTGACTAGTGGTCTCTCTCTCTCCCTCTCTCTCTCTCTCTCTCTCTCTCTCTCTCTCTCTCTCTCTCTCTCTCTCTCTCTCTCTCTCTCTCTATATATATATATATATATATTTTTTTTTTTTTTTATAGACGGAGTCTCGCTCTGTTATCCAGGCTGGAGTGCAGTGGCATGATCTTGGCTCACCAAAACCTCTGCCTCCTGGGTTTCAAGCGATTCTCCTGCCTCAGCCTCCCGAGTAGCTGGTACTACAGACGCATGCCACCATGCTTGGCTAATTTTTGTAGTTTTAGTAGAGACAGGGTTTCACTATGTTGGCCAGGCTGGTCTCGAATTCCTGACCTTGTGATCCGCCCGCCTCAGCCCCCCAAAGTACTGGGATTGGAGGCGTGAGCCACCACACCCGGCCTAGTGGACTGTATTTTTAAAATAATGCTGTTTACTTGATTTTAGTTCCTTAGGGGACATTTTAACATTAAAGTGTACTATAATGTATGACATTACTTAGGTAAAAGCAATAGCCATAGTTATTTTTTAGGTCTTGTTAAAATCAGTTTGTCAAGGTTGGCCATAATTGATTTCTTATTGTTTGACTGATTGCAATTTTAGGAGTGGAGGAGGGTTCCTGGCCTATGGCTGTAAGGATCATAAAATGTATCTTTCATACATTCATTGCAGTGGTAATTTTATGCTTTCACATGTGTTATTTCATTTGATATTCCCAGCAACTTGGTGTGCCTTTGGTTTCTAATCTAACCTTCTTATATCTTCATATTATGTAGCTTGAGCATCCCAAATCCTAAATTTGAATTGCTCCAAAATCGAAAAGTTTTTGAGTACTAACATGCTGCTCAGTGGAAATGCTCATTAGAGCCTTTTGGATTTTCGGATTTGGGATACTCAACTGGAAAATACAATGCAAATATTCCTAAATACAAAAAAAGCTGGTACCAAGCATTTTGGGTAAGGCATACTCAGCCTGTGGTTTTATTAAAAGGGTCAGCAAACATTTTCTTTGAAGAGCCAAACAGTAAATATTATAGATGTTGATGGCCATGTAATTCCTGTTGCAGCAACTTGCAGGGCAAAAGCAGCCACAAGCAGTGCATAAAATGGTCTGCTTTATAAATTTACCAAGTGTTAGAGCATTTTTTTCCTTTTTAAAAGTAATATAGGAATTTGAAGCATATAAATTGATAAAATGGTATAATTAGTTACTGTTTACCCATTATCCAATTTTTTCCCCCAGTTTTATTTATTTTATTTTATTTTTTAAAGAGACAGGGTCTCACTTTGTTGCGCAGGCTGGAGTACAGTGTGCGTGATCATAGCACACTGCCACCTTGAACTCCTGGGCTCAAGGGATCCTTCTGCCTTCAGAGTAGCTAATTATTTTGTTTGTTTGTTTGTTTTTGTGGAGACAGGGTCTTGCTGTCTTCCCAGGCTGGTCTCAAACTCCTGACTCAAGTGATCTTCCCACGTTGGTCTCCCAAAGTGTTGTGATTACAGGTGTCAGGCACTGGGCCCAGCTCCGCACCACTCCCCCCCCATTTTTTTCTATTTTTTTTGAGACGGAGTCTTGCCGTGTTGCCCAGGCTGGACTGCAGTGACGCAATCTCAGCACATGGCAACCTCTGCCTCCCAGGTTCAAGGAGTTCTCTGCCTCAGCCTCCCGAGTAGCTGGGATTACAGGCACCTGCCACCACGCCCAGCTAATTTTTGTATTTTTAGTAGAGATGGGGTTTCACCATCTTGGACAGGTTGGTCTTGAATTCCTGACCTTGTGATCCACGCGCCTCGGCCTTCCAAAGTGCTGGGATTACAGGAGTGAGCCACCAGGTCTGGCCCCAGCCCCCAGTTTTAAAATTTTGGCAAAATGGACATACAATATACCATCTTAATTGTTCTTATTTTTGTTTGTTTTATCTTTTTCCCCCCATCTTAACTGTTCTTAAGTGTACAGTTTAGTGCTATTAAATACATTCACAATGATTTGCAGCCATCACTGCCATCTATCTCCAGAACTCTTTTTATAAGACTGAAACTCTATAAATGTTACCCAATTTTAACAGTTAGTAGAAAATGGCCATTGTTTCCTCTATATTCCCACTCATTTCTCTCCACAACCCCAGTCATCTTGAAGCAAATTTCAACCTTAATTTCAGATTTCATCCATAAATAAATTAAGATTTGTATCTCTATCAAGAGGGATTCTTTCCCTTTTTTTGAGACTGCGTCTTGCTCTTATGCCCAGGCTGGAGTGAAGTGTGGTCTTGGCTCACTGCAACCTCTGCCCCACTGGGTTCAAGCAATTTTCCTGCTTCAGCCTCCTGAGTAGCTGGGATTACAGGCACCCACCACCACGCCTGGCTAATTTTTGTATTTTTAGTAGAGACAGGGTTTCACCATGTTGGCCAGGCTGGTCTCAAACTCCTGACCTCAGTTGATCTGCCTGCCTTGGCCTCACAAAGTTCTGGGATTGCAGGCGTGAGCCACTGCACCCAGCCGAGATTCTTTCTTAATACATGACGACAATATCATCATTAGACTTTTAAAAATGAACAATGTCTTGAACATTATCAAGTACCTAGTCACTTTTCATATTTTCCTGATTCCCCTTCTTTCTCGTTTTTTCCTCTTTAAAAATCTGGTCTGGACACTGTGGCTCGTTCCTGTAATTCCAGCACTTTGGCAGGCAGATCACATGAGGCCAGGAGTTCCAGACCAGCATGGCCAACATGGTGAAACCCTGTCTCTACTAAAAATACAAAAATATTTAGCCAGGCTTTGTGGCTTATGCCTGTAGTCCCAGCTACTCGGGAGGCTGAGGCCCGAGAATCATTTGATCCTTGGAGGAGGAGGTTGCAGTGAGCCGAGATCACACCACTGCACCCCCAACATTGGCGGCAGAGCAAGACTGTGTCCAAAAAGAAAGTAAAATAAAAAATAAAAATCTGTAGTTTTTTCCTATAACTTTGTATTTTTTTCTTTTGGAAGTTTATGGGTAAGATAATCATTATCTGTCTTGCAGTGTTTCTTGGAATATAGATTTTGCTGCCTTTATTCTTGAGTGCAGTTTAACATGATTCTCTGTCCTTTCTCTCCTGTTTTTCATGCAAATTGGTCGCTAGATCTTTTTTTCTTTTTCTGTTTTTTAAAGACATGGCTATCATGGAAAGTAGCTAGATACTGATCTGTCTCCCATATTTCATGCATTTTGGTAGCAAGAGGCATGATGCCTTGCTACCTTGGTAGCAAGGGTTTGATTTTTGGGGCAATAGAGAGGATACAAAAGCTAGCTGCTATGCTCATTGGTCTGTTAATTCATTAGAGATTGCTAAAATTGTGGTATTTCTCTATCTATTTTTCATTTATTAGAAACTCTTACTCATCTTCATTACCCTGAGTTACAGGTTCTATGTGAAATCCATGTTACATGCTTGACTCTGGCTTTTATTACCAGTTTTTAAAAGTGTTGATTTTTTAGCCAATTTTTATCTGTTTTCGGTTTTGAATATTTAAACATATTTGGGGTGTTTACTGTTCGTGTTGATATTGGCCTCTTTGAATTGACTCCTGAGACCTTTTGTTATACAGCCATAGCAATTTTTTTTTTTTTTTTTTTTTTTTTTTTTGAGATGGAGTTTTGCTCTGTTGCCAGACTGGAGTGCAGTGGCACGATCTCAGCTCACTGCAACCTCCGCCTCCTGGGTTCAAGCGATTCCCCTGCCTCAGCCTCCCAAGTAGCTGGGACTACAGGTGTGCACCACCACGCCCAGCTAATTTTTTGTGTTTTTAGTAGAGACATGGTTTCACCATGTTGGCCAGGATGGTCTTGATCTGACCTCGTGATCCGCCCGCCTCAGCCTCCCAAAGTGCTGGGATTACAGGCGTGAGCCACCCTGCCTGGCCAGCCGTAGCAATCTTTACTGGTTACCTTGCTGTGCAGTTTGTCAAGATGTTCCAGGCTCTTACACATTTCATGCCAAAGGACTGGAGTCAACCAGTTCTTTTAAATCCTTAGGCTACTTTATGGGGAAATGGTATTTTGTGGACCACTGCCTAGACACAAGTAGTATTTGTGTCTACTGGTTTTGTCATTGTTTCTAAGCTTTTTTAGACAGAGCTGTTTAGTTTTTATGTTTTAAGACAAAAATGTAGGTTTGTACTGATGCTTACAATTTAAATTCAGGCTGTATGGTTTTCCTTTCTTCTGCCTCATGTCTGTTTCTCCTTTTTCCCATATGAAAATCTCGGAAAAAAATCCGCCTCCTGGGTTCAAGCAATTCTCCTGCTTCAACCTCCCGAGTAGCTGGGATTACAGGTGTGCACCACCATGCCTGGCTAATTTTTTGTATTTTTTTAGTAGAGATGGGATTTCACTATGTTGGCCAGGTTGGTCTTGACTCCTGACCTCAGGTGATCCACCTGTCTTGGCCTCCCAAAGTGCTAGGATTACAGGCATGAGCCATTGTGCCTGGCTGCCTTGTCTCCTGTTAATTTTTTTTTGACTTAATAGTGTATTCTGGAAGTCACTTCATAATGGTGTTTAGAGCATTTTTTCAGTTCTTTTTTACGTTTATGATACTCAGTTGTTTGGATGTACACGTTGTGTTCAACTGGTGATGGACTGTTGGGTTGCTTCTGGGGCCCATAGGTTTCCTCACCTTTTACAATTAGTGTTAGTGAATAGTCACGTGGGTATATTTTTTCCCCACAGCTTTATTAAGTTATTCTAGTTGGCAAATCAAATTGTATACATGCCTTTTTGGTATTGCAAACATTTAAAGTCAGCAATTTTGAATTACATAATACATTATTATTAACTATCATCACCCTGCTCTCCAGAACTTATTTCTTCTAACACAAACTTTATACCCTATGAAACATTTCCCCAGTCCCTGCCTCCCCCTATCCCTAGCTTATGGTAACCACCATTATACTGTCTCTATGAGTTCCACCTTGTTAGATTTCAAATACAAGTGAGATCATGCAGTGTTTGTCTTTATGTGCCTGCCCTATTTCACTTAGCATAATGTCTTCTAGGTTCATTCAGGTTGTCACAAATGACAGGATTTCCTTCTTTAAGACTGAATGGGTCTGGGCATGGTGGCTCATGCCTGTAATCTCAGCACTTTGGGAGGCCAAGGCAGGCGGATCACCTGAGGTCAGGAGTTCAAGACCAGCCTGGCCAACATGGTGAAACCCCATCTCTAGTAAAAATATGAAAATCAAGGCCAGGCGCGGTGGCTCATGCCTGTAATCCTAGCACTTTGGGAGGCTGAGGCGGGTGGATTGCCTGAGCTCAGGAGTTCCAGACCAGCCTGGGCAACAGGGTGAAACCCCGTCTCTACTAACAATACAAAAAAATTTGCTGGGTATGGCTGTATGTGCCTGTAATCCCAGCTACTCTGGAGGCTGAGGCAGGATAATTGCTAGAACCTAGGAGGTGGAGGTTGTGGTGAGCTGAGATCGTGTCATTGCACTTCAGTCTGGGCCACAGAGTGAGACTCTGTGTCTTAAAAAAAATACAAAAATCAGCCGGGCGTGTTGGTGGGTGCCTCTAATCCCAGCTACTCAGGAGGCTGAGGCAGGAAAATCATTTGAACCAGGTGGCGGAGGTTGCAGTGAGCCAAGATTGCACCACTGCACTCCAGCCTGGGCGACAGAGCAAGACTCTGTCTCAAAAAAATAAATAAATAAACAACTGAATGGTATTCCAGTGTGTGTGTACACCACGTTTTCTCCATCGATTCATTTGCTGTGGACACCGGGTTGTTTCCATATGTTAGCCACTATAAGTAATGCTGCAACACAGACAGTAGTGCAGATACCCTTCAGCATACTAATTTCATTTCCTTTGGATATACATAGGGTTGTTGGATCATACGGTACTTCTATTTTTAACTTTTTTTTGACCCAGAGTCTTGCTCTTGCCCAGGCTGGAGTGCGGTGGCACAATTTCAGCTCACTGCAATCTCAGCCTTCCAAGTAGCTGGGATTACAGGCGTGTGCCACCATGCCCAGCTGATTTTTGTGTTTTTGGTAGAGACGGGGTTTCACCATTTTGGCCAGGCTGGTCTGGAATTCATGACCTCAAGTGCTTTGCCCGCCTCAACCTCTCAAAGTGCTGGGATTACAGGCATGAGCCACTGAGCCTGGCCTATTTTTAACTTTTGAGGAATCTCCATACTAGTTTCCATACTGGCTATACTAATTTACCTTCCCAGCAACAGTGTACAAAAGTTCCCTTTTCTCCATATCTTCTCTAACACTTCCTGTTGTTTTTTTTGCTGCACCCATTTTAATAGATGTGAGATGCTATCTTGTGATTTCAACTTACATTTCTTTGATGATTAGTGATTTTGAGCATTTTTACATATGCCTGCATTTCTTTTATGAGTGAGTTTAGCATCTGTTTCATATGTTTAAGAGCCGTTTGCCTTTTTTTGTTCTGTGAACGCTGTTCATAGCATTGTTGGGCCTTTTCATGTCTGTTTTTACAATTCGTGTATTAGAGATACTAGTACCCTTGCCTGTGATGAGCTACAATTTACTGTTTTGACTTAGTTTTTTGGGAGGTTTTTACTCTGCTTGTTGTTGTTGTTTAGAGACAGGGTCTCGCTCTGTTGCCCAGGCTGGAGTGTGGTAGTGCGATCATAGCTCACAGCAGCCTCCAGCTCCTTGGCTCAAGCAGTCCTCCCCACTCTGCCTCCCAAGCAGCTAGGACTACAGGTTGCATGCCACCATGCCCAGCTTTTTTTTTTTTTTTTTCCTTGTAAGGGATGGGTCTCACTGTGGTACCCAGGGTGGCCTCGAACTCCTGGGCTCATGCGATCCTACCCCCTTGACCTCTGAAAGTGCTCAGGTTACAGGTGTGAGCCAGCACACCTGGTTATTTTGACGTGTGTTTGTGTGTGGCGGGGGGGGTTTTACCTTGTTTACTATGGTTTTTATACCATGAAAACGTTTTTATTATTTATTAATTAATTAAAGCTGTCATTTTCTTTTCTTTTGCTCTACTGATTCTACTGTAGGCAGAAATAGTATAGTCATGTAAAATATATGTTAAAATGTAAATTAAATGTATTTTTTAAAATATACACTTAATTCTTTGTTGCTATAATGTGTTCCTCTTCTAGGCAAGGATAAAAGCCATCAATACATTTTTTGCTAAGAATGGTTATCGATTAATGGATTCTAGTATCTATAGTCACCCCATTCAAACTCAAGCACAGTATGCCTCCCCAGTCTTTATGCAGCCTGTATATAATCCTCACCAACAGTACTCGGTCTATAGTATTGTGCCTCAGTCTTGGTCTCCAAATCCTACACCTTACTTTGAAACACCACTGGTAAGTGAGATCCTTACAATAAAATATAATAATATTTTTAATTTGAGCTGAAATTTGAAGAAATCAGTTGGAGTGGGAGCTCATTTATGTTGACATTGATGACTTTTTGGCCTTTATTTTATTTTATTTTTTGTATTTTTCGTAGAGATGGAATTTTGCCATGTTGCCCAGGCTGGTCTCGAACTCCTGTGCTCAGGCAGTCCACCCGCCTCAGCCTCCCAAAATGCTAGGATTACAAGCCACTATGCCCGGCCACTTTTTGGCTTTTAAACAGTGATATGGATATCTAATTCTCCATACCAAATAAATGCATATGACTAAGAGGTGAGCTATTAGAGCGCATAATTTTATTCCATAAAATTTGCTGAGTGAATTGAAAGAAGAGACTGGATAACTTTTGCGTGATTTTAAATGCATTTTAGTGTTGCGAAATGTCAGACCAGACATTCTTTACTAAGTTATGAATTGTTCATAAATCCAGTGGTACTTGAAGTGAATATTGCAGAAATGAATCAGTAAAATATTTTAAGATATTTTTGGCTTGTAAAAGATAAATTCATAAGCTCATTAAGGTTCTTGTGACCCTCACACCAGATTTTACCTTTGCCATTAATATTGTTTAAACATACATTTTTTTCTAGGCTCCCTTTCCCAATGGTAGTTTTGTGAATGGCTTTAATTCGCCAGGATCTTATAAAACAAATGCTGCTGCTATGAATATGGGTCGACCATTCCAAAAAAATCGGTAAGATAAAAACCATAGCTGTAATGTATTTTAAACAATTCCTAATGGATCTTAAGGCATTAATAGCAATGTTTGTTGTCAGGCTCAGTAATAAGGTTTGGTGGATTTTTTGTTTGTTTTGTTTTTACTAAGTGTATATGAACAGTTTAATCTAGAATTCGTAAAAACACTTTGACCTTTGAGTTGGTAATGCATGTAACAGACTTGGGATTCAGATTTTTTTTAATAATAAAAGAGAATAGAAAAAATATTTCATGACACCAGTCTCTGACAAATCTGGTGACTAATTTCCATTTAGTATGTTAAATGGGTAGCATTTTAGAGAATGAATTCTTTGAAGATATAAATGTTGTTAACTGAATTGTGTAATAAATGTTGGGATGTATGTTATTCAGGTTTTTAAAGGATTTTTGAAATGACACCCAAGAACTACAGTGCACAACAGACAGTAGCTAACATTTATTGCACATTTAATATCACAAACTCTGTTCCTAAGGGCTTTACATATTTTATCAGTTACTTTTTTCAGAACCCTTTATAGGTGCACTTATGTCTACTTTACAGATAAGGAATCTGAGATGTAAAATATCATGTCTGAGAACACACAGCTAGTAATTGGTAGAGCTAAGATTTGAACCTAGGCAGTTCAACTCCAAAGCCCGCACTTAAAGCACTATGTTCAGGATAAATTATTAAGAATCATAGAAACTATATGCTATCATAAAGATTGAGATGTATGTCTGAGGTATTTTTCTTTATGTAGACATCAACAGATAATCTCAATATTTGGTGTATGTTATGGCTTGTTGTTGTTGTTGTTGTGGGGGTAGAGACAGGGTCTGTTTATGTTGCCTGGGACGACTGGTCTTGAACTCCTGGGCTCAAAGCAGTCCTCCCACCTTGGCCTCCCAAATTGCTAGGATTACAGGCGTGATACTATGGCTTTTAACACAGTATGAGTAACCAAAGAATAAAGGACTGACATATAGTCATTTCGATTTATTTAATAGTTTCACATTTATTACTTCTCGTTTGCTGTTTTGTGAGACTCTTGGTTTTTGAGGGTTTTTCCTAATGGTTTATTTTCAGTGACAGTCTTTTGCCAGATTCGATTCTTCTAATTATTTCTTTTGGAAAGGAGACCATCTGGAGTATGTTTTTCCAAGATGACTTCTAGGAACTTAGTCCTTTTTTGACAGGTTTTTCTGAAACTTGTTTTACTGGAGAAATGAGCCCCAACAGAATGAAAAAATATTCTTCTCACTGGAAACATTGTGTACTACTCTTTAATAGTCAGAGTTTTTGGACTATTCTTGACAGACACAATTGGTTAAAGCAATTGAAGATCATTTTCAAGTGTTAGAAAAATTTTACTACTAAACATAAACACAGGCTGAGGTGGGTGGATCATCTGAGCTCAGGAGTTCAAGAGCAGCCTGGGCAATATGACGAAACATCATCTCTACCAAAAATACAAAAATTAGCTGGGCGTGGTGGTGTAGTGCATGCCTGAAGTCCCAACTACTCAGGAGGCTGAGGAACGAGAATTGCTTGAGCCTGAGAAGCACAGGTTGCAGTGAGCCGAGATCATACCACTGCACTCCAGCCTGGGTGACGGTGAGACTCTGTTATTCCCTGCAGCCACGCCCTCTCACCCCTCCCCGCTCCCCCCTCCAAAAAATAAAGGTACTGATATTTGCAGTTGCTTGACTCTGAAATACTTTACTTGGCTCCATGGTTATTTCTTTATTGTTACCTTTTATCCGTTGCATCTTTTTGGTGACAGCCAGGAATGACAGTCAAGTTATCTTTACTTATAAGGAAGTATACCTATGGTTTTGAAAATACATGGTGTGTTTAGTACATTTTTGCATGTTACTTAAAACCACTTGTGTACAGTTCTTTTCCATATATTTGACCAATACAGGTTGGTAATTTTTAATTACAGAAATAATTAGTGAATACTTTTTCTAAAAATGCAAATAAAGACCTTCTGGACCAGCAACCCAAATCCTTGTTTCCTTCTTGCTTCTAAAAAGTGACTACTTCTAAAAAGTGACTACTGCCAGGCATTTATTATTATTATTAATGTTAACAGCTAAGGACAAAGTCTTTTTTAGAGAGCCTTTTGCAATTTTTATATTAACCTGTGACAGCCCAGTGATGATCACTATTCCTACTTAGAGAGAATAGGACTAACTTTCAGAAATCCAGGCATTTTTCTACCTTTCATACTATCTTTCTTTCACTTTACTTCTCTTTTCTGTCTTTTATCACTTCTTTCTTTCTTCATTCTTTCTCTCTTTTGCCTGGATCGAGATTGTTAAGTCCCTCTCAGTGAAGGGTAAGATTATGAGATCTGAGGGCTGTATAAATGTAGTAAGTTGTCCCTTAAGCATATTGAAATGTAGTGTGAAAGTTGGATGAAGGACATTTTCTAAACATATGCAAATACCATATCTATCATATCAGTTCATTTTCAAGATGTAACAGGTAATATAAATTTTTTTTTTTGAGACGGAGTCGTGCTCTGTCACCGGGCTGTAGTGTAGTGGTGCAGTCTCTGCTTACTGCAACCTCTGCTTCCCGAGTTCAAGCAATTCTCTGGCCTCAGCCTTCTGAGTAGCTGGGACTACAGGCATGTGCTAGCTAATTGTTGTATTTTTAGTAGAGACGGGGTTTCATCATGTTGGCCAGGATGGTCTCAATCTCTTGACCTCGTGATCCACCCAGCTTGGCCTCCCAAAGTCCTGGGATTACAGGCATGAGCCACCATACCCGGCCTTTTTTTTTTTTTTTTTTTTTAAAGACGGAGTTTTGCTCTTGTTGTCCAGGCTGGAGTGCAATGGCGGGATCTCGGCTCACTGCAACGTCCGTCTCCCGGGTTCAAGCGATACTCCTGCCTTAGCCTTCCAATTAGCTGAGATTACAGACGCATGCCACCACGCCCAGCTAATTTTTTGTATTTTAGTAGAAACTGGGTTTCACCATGTTGGCCAGGCTGGTCTCGAACTCCTGACCTCAGGTGATCTACCCGCCTTGGCCTCCCAGAGTGCTGGCATTATAGGTGTGAGCCACCGCATCTGGCCTAACTATTTTTAAAATTACTTTTTATAGCCAGTGGGGTGGCTCATGCCTATATTCCCCACACATTGAGAAGCCAAGGCAGGCAGATCACTTGATCTCATGAGTTGGAGACCAACCTAGGCAACAGAGTGAAACCTCGTCTCTACTGACAATATAAAAATTAGCCAGGCATACTGGTGTGCACCTGTAGTCCCTGCTACTTGGGAGACTGAGGTGGGAGGATAGCTTGAGCCCAGGAGGCAGAGGTTGTAATGAGCTGAGATCGCACCACCTCGCTCCAGCCTGGGTGACACAGCCAGACCTTTCTCAAAAAAAAAAAAAATTACTTTTTGTTAAGTGACATACTATTTTCATTGCTATTTAAGAAATCTAGTTTGTAATATAAAGTAATTCTATGGCAAAGTGTCACTTTATGTGAAACTCAACCCAACTTTTTTTTTTTTTTTTAAGACAGTGTTTTGCCCTGTCACCCAGGCTGTAGTGCAGTAACATGATCATGGCTCACTGTAGTTTTGACCTCCCAGGCCCAATCAATTCTCCACCTCAGCCTTCCTAGTAGCTGGGACTACAGGCGCATACCACCATGCCTAGCTAAGTTTTTGTATTTTTTTTTTTGTAAAGACAGGGTTTTGCCATGTTGTGCAGGCTGGTCTCAAACTCCTGGGCTCCAATGATCCTCCCACCTCAGCCTCTTAAAGTGCTGGGGTTACAGATATGAGCCACTGAGCCCACTGCGCCCAGCCTGATAATTTTATCTTTGTTTTTGTTTGTTTGTTTTTGTTTTTTGTTTGTTTTTGTATTTTTAGTTAGAGACAGAGGGTTTCACCATGTTGGCCAGGGTGGTCTTGATCTCTTGACCTCGTGATGCACCCGCCTTGGCCTCCCAAAGTGCTGGGATTACAGGTGTGAGCCACCACACCCAGCTACTTTAAGTTTTAATAATGGTAATTTTTTATGGTCTGTAAAGAATAAAACAGGACAACTAGAGATGCTGTGGGAATTTACGTTTAATTGGTGGGGTTATAATTATTCAAGAGGTTTTAAATCCTTATTCCTAGAGTCAGGAATTGGCAACATGTGATTTATATTGTTGGTTTATAACTATGAAAATAGATTACAAAAACTGAGATATATAAACTGCAAATAATGGGCCAAACATAAATCTCACTCTTCTTAATCTGTAGATCCAAGATCCTCAGTTGCTTGAGATTTTAGGTGTTTTTGCTACTGATTAAACTACATTCTTTTTATATTAGTCAACCTTAGCTTCATCTGTTGTAAGCTTTTAGGAAGTTGGGTGCTTATACCCATCATCCAAGATAAAAACTCCCTTTGTTAAAAGCAGATTGGTTGGTTTAACCACATTGCATACCTTAATTCATGCAGTCATGCCATGCTATTGGGTGCATTGGTATTTTCCTAGTTTGCTGTCCTACATATGGATCTTTTGATAAATCTCATTTGGTGATGGATGTTTAGTAAGATGCTAGGTTTTGTTTGTTTTGTTTTTTGAGACGGAGTTTTGTTTTTGTTGCCCAGGCTGGAGTGCAATGGTGTGATCTTGGCTCCCTGCAAACTCCACCTCCTGGGTTCAAGAGATTCTCCTGCCTCAGCCTCCTGAATAGCTGGGATTACAGGTGTTTGCCACCATGCCAGGCTAATTTTTGTATTTTTAGTAGAGATGGGGATTCACCATGTTAGCCAGGCTGGTCTAGAACTCCTGACCTCAGGTGATCTGCCCGTCTCCACTTCCCAAAGTTCTGGGATTACAGGCGTGAGCCACCATGCCCGGCTGAGGCTAGGATTTTAATTATATTCCAATATTTCTTACTCTCTTCATTATTACTCCCCTAAACAGCCTTTTTAGGCATTTTCCTCCTAGTTTCTGCCTGTGAAAATTTACTACTACAGATTATTGTATGTCTGTATGTATGTAATGTATGTATCTGTGCTTTATACATAAAATGATTACTTTTTGCCCTTCCTTCGCCCCCGTTTTTACTCCCATTAGCGTGGTTTTGCTTCCATTAAGAATGCATAGCTGGGCCTGGTGGCTCACACCTGTAATCCCAGCACTCTGGGAGGCCGAGGTGAGCAGATCACCAGGTCAGGAGATCGAGACCATCGTGGCCAACATGGTGAAACCCCATCTCTACTAAAAATACAAAAATTATCTAGGTGTGGTGGCACGTGCCTATAGTCCCAGCTACTCGGGAGGCTGAGGCAGGAGAATCTCTTGAACCCGGGAGGCGGAGGTTGCAGTGACCTGAGATCGCGCCATTGCACTCCAGCCTGGCGACAGAGCAAGACTCCGTATCAAAAAAAAAAAAAAAAAAAAAAAAGGGTGTTATAGGCCAGGTGTGATGGCTCATGCCTGTAATCCCGACACTTTGGGAGGCCAAGGTGGGCGGTTCACGAGGTCAAGAGTTCAAGACCAGCCTGGCCAACATGGCAAAACCCTGTCTCTACTGAAAATACAAAATTAGCCGGGTGTGGTGGCATATGCCTGTAGTCCAGCTACTTGGGAGGCTGAGGCAGGAGAATCGCTTGCATCTGGGAGGCAGAGGTTGCAGTGAGCCGAGATTGCACCACTGCGCTCCAGCCCGGGCAACAGAGCAAGACTCCATCTCACCAAAAAAAAAAAAAAGAAGAAGAAGAATGCATTGCATAGACTCATAAGCTTAAAACCTGGCTGATTTAAACATGTCGAGAGTGCCTCCAGTGACATTAGCTAAAATCCTAATTCTGAGTATTAAGGTAGAAGTAAGTTTCTTTCAAAGAACTTTGGATTTTCCCCCGTCTCTCCAAACACAACTTAAAATATATGTATATTATTGTCTTAGAGATAGGGTTTTCTCTGATGCCTGTGCATGAATTCAGTTGTGCAATCATAGCTCGCTGCAGCCTCAAACTCCTGGGCCCAAGCAGTCTTCTGCCTCAGCCTTCCAAGTAGCTGGGCATATTATAGGTGCATACCACTGCACATTTTAATTTTTTTTTGCAGTGATGGGGTCTTGCTGTGTTGCCCCAGCTGGTGTCGAACCCCAGATCTCAAACAATCCTCCTGCCTCAGCCTCCCAAAGTGCTGAGATTACAGGCGTGAGCCACTGTGTCCAGCCCACAACATTTTTTAATGTAAAATTTACTTCACTTTGGCCTGGCACGGTGGCTCACACCTGTAATCCCAGCACTTTGGGAGGCCAAGGCAGGCATATCACAAGGTCAGGAGATCGAGACCATCCTGGCTAACACGGTGAAACCCCATCTCTACTAAACAAAATACAAAAAATTAGCTGGACGTGGTGGCTGGCGCCTGTAGTCCCAGCTACTTGGGAGGCTGAGGCAGGAGAATGGCGTGAACCCGGAAGGCAGAGCTTGCAGTGAGCTGAGATGTGCCACTGCGCTCCAGCCTGGGCAACAGAGCGAGACTCCATCTCAAAAAAGTTTACGTCACTTTTTAAAATAACATCTGGAATGTAAAAGGGGCAACACTTTTACAACATTATTCTTTTGTGTTTAACTTAATTTTTTGAAAACCCCAGTACAACAGGAGCCAATTTTTTACCTAAGGAAAGATGTTTTTCTGTCTCGATTTACTGCTTTGTGTATATCATTTTGTATTTCCTATAGTGTGAAGCCTCAGTTTAGGTCATCTGGTGGTTCAGAACACTCAACAGAGGGCTCTGTATCCTTGGGGGATGGACAGTTGAACAGATATAGTTCAAGAAACTTTCCAGCTGAACGGCATAACCCCACAGTAACTGGGCATCAGGAGCAAACTTACCTTCAGAAGGAGACTTCCACTTTGCAGGTGGAACAGAATGGGGACTATGGTAGGGGCAGGTAAGAAAATAAAGTACCTGAAAACCTTTGATAATAATGTGATCATCCTGAATAATTGAAGAACATGATCTTCATAATAATTAAATGAGCATTTAATTATTGGTATATGGTTATATTAAATAAATACGTTATTTTCAGAACATGAGTTGGTTGCTTTTTATAATTATTAAGAAATAGAGTGCCCATACAGAATATAGCTCTGAATCAGAGGTTTATAAAGTTATTCTGAAGTTCCTTATAGCTCATATAAGAAAGAATAGCTTAGAAAATTAACATATCCATTTGCCTTATGGTTTTAATTTCTTCCAGCTTTTAAACTATAGAAGTGGCTGGGTGCGGTGGCTCACACCTGTAATCCCAACACTTTGGGAGGCCGTGGTGGGAGGATCATCTCAGGTCAGGAGTTCAAGACCAGCCTGGCCAACATGGTGAAACCCTGTCTCTATGAAAAAATACAAAAATTAGCTGGGCATGGTGGCAGGCGCCTGTAATCCCAGCTACTTGGGAGCCTGAGGTAGGAGAATCACTTGAACCCAGGAGGCAGAGGTTGCAGTGAGCCAAGGTTGCACCACTGCATTCCAGCCTGGGTGACAGAGCGCGACTCTGTCTCAAAATATAAATAAACTATAGGGGTGAGGTTATATATTGCCAACTTGCCTAATTAAACAATAGTATGGTTCTGGTTTGAAGGGATCACTACTAACAAATGGGCTCATCTTACTTTATGGTGTGGTAGTAGGTAAAGTTTTTAGTAAATTGGCTCAAGATCCCTCAGAATAATATATTATCTTTTAGTAATAGAGAAAACTAGCCCCAAATGTAGAAAGATGTTTAAATTGAAATGTATACAGCTGGCCAGGCATGGTGGCTCACGCCTGTAATCCCAGCACTTTGGGAGGTGGGGCAGGCGGATCATGAGGTCAGGAGATCGAGACCATCCTGGCCAACATGGTGAAACCCTGTCTGTACTACAAATACCAAAATTAGCTGGGTGTGGCAACACGTGCCTGTAATTCCAGCTACTCAGCAGGCTGAGGCAGGAGAATTGCTTGAACCCGGGAGGCAGTTCGTAGTGAGCCGAGATCGCGCCACTGCACTCCAGCCTGGCGACAGAGCGAGACTCCATCTCAAAAAAAAAAAAAATGTGTACGGCTTTGATAGAATGTATATATCTGAAGAAACTTATGACTTGTCCCTCCACCCCACCCCACCCCCACCTTTTTCTTATTAAAAGGAGAACTCTCTTCAGAGGTCGAAGACGACGAGAAGATGACAGGATCTCAGTAAGTTTTTTAAAACTTTTATTCAGACTTTTTTCTCTTCTGTGATTTACTATGGCATTGACTTTCGGTCTTTCCTTTCTGGGTTTTTGTTTTATTGATTGTAGTCTTCAGCAAAGGTAAATAGAGCCTAAATTTAACCCTGAAATTTTTACCACCACCACCCATATACCCACCCTCTAGCACACATGTAGTAAGGAGCTTCGCTTGTGTTGCTTGCTTAAAAAAATTATTTGAAGATCTAATGTATTCACATGATTTTTAAATAAAAACACGAAGTCTTTCTAACTTTCCTTACCTTTTCTTTCTTCTTTCTTTTCCAAGACACAGGATATTACTGTTTCCCAGGGCACTGGAATTACAGGCCTGAGCCACTGTGCTTGGTACAAGATTAAGGACTTCTAGGGAGAGGCAGAGGAGGAACGGGTCTTGCTCTGTCACCCAGGCTGAAGTGCAGTGGTACAATCATGGCTCACTGCAGCCTTCACATCCCAGGCTTAAGTGATCCTCCTCTCGAGTCGGGGTCTTGCGGGCCAGGCACCGTGGCTCGTGCCTGTCATCTCAGCTCTTTGGGAGGCTTAGTCAGTGGATCACTTGAGGCTACAGGCCCCATGCAAGTGCAAAACCAAGCAGAACGGTCAGGACATCTTCAAAGCTCCAAAATACTCACCTTTGGCCAGGCATGGCGACTCAAGTCTGTAATGTCAGCTCTTTGTGAGGCTGAGATGTACGGATCACTTGAGCTCAGGAGTTGGATACCAGCCTGGGCAAGGTGATGAAACCCCATCTCTCCAAAAAAAAAAAAAAAAAAAAAAAAAAAATTAGCCAGGCACCATGGTGCACGCCTGTTGTCCCAGCTACTTGGGAGGCTGAGGCAGGCTGATCCCTTGAGCCCAGAAGGTGGAGTGCAGATTGTGCCACTGCACTCCAGCCTGAGCAACAGAGTGAGACTCTGTCTCAAAAATAATAAACAAAATAATCTCCTTTGACTCCATGTCCCACACCTAGGGTACACTGATGCAAGGGTTGGGCTCCCAAGGCCTTAGGCAGCTCCACCCCTTTGGCTTTGCAGGGATCAACCCTGGAGGCTGCTCTCATGGGCCCATGTTGAATGCCTGTGGCTTTTCTATGCCTGTTCTGGAGTCTGGAGGACGGTGGCCCTCTTCTGCCACTATGCAGTGCCCTAGTGGAGGCTTGATGTGAGGGCTCCAGCCCCGTATTTCCCCTCTGCACTGCCCTAGTAGAAGTTTTCCATGAGATCTGTGCCCCTGGAGCAGGTTTCTGTCTGGACTTATACCAGGCTGGTATAAGTTTCTTTCAGAGGATGCCATACATCCTCTGAAATTGAGTCAGAGGCTCCAAAGCCAGTCTAGGAAGTTCGTCATCTCTATCTTCTTTTGAGCCTTCCAGACTCTTCCACCCTCTACCTGTTACCCAGTTCCAGTGTTGCTTCCACATTTTCAGTTATCTTTATAGCAGTGCTCCACTCCTCAGTACCAATTTTCGTTAAGCCGTTCTCACATTGCTGTAAAGAAATACTTGAGACTGGATAATTCATAAAGAAAAGAGGTTTAATTGGCTAACAGTTCTGCAGGCTGTACAGGAAGCATGATGCAGGCATCTGCCCAGCTTCTGGGGAGGCCTTGGGAAACTTACAATCATGGCTGAAGGCAAATGGGGACCACACAGTTTATACATGGCAGAAGTAGGAGAGAAGAAACCCATTTTCAAAGAAGAAAATATGTTCCATTATAACTTAGAATTGTTTTTAGGGTATACTAAATCTTTTAAATGCTTTTGTTACCCAGGCTAGAGTGCAAATGGCACAATCTCAGCTCACTGCAACCTCTGACTCCCGGGTTCAAGCAGTTCTCCTGCCTCAGCCTCCCGAGTAGCTGGGTCTACAGTCACCTGCCACCACGTCTGGCTAATTTTTTGTATTTTTAGTAGAGACGGAGTTTCACCATGTTGGCCAGGCTGGTCTCGAACTCCTGACCTCAGGTGAGCCACCTGCCTTGGCCTCCCAGAGTGCTGGGATTACAGGCGTGAGCCATCGTGCCTGACCAACAATTCTTTTTTTGAGACAGAGTTTCGCTCTTGTTGTCCACGTTGGAGTGCAGTGGCGTGATCTCGGCTCACTGCAACCTCTGCCTCCTGGGTTCAAGTGATTCTCTTGCCTCAGTCTCCCAAGTAGCTGGAATTACAGGCGCTCGCCACCGTGCCTGGCTAATTTTTGTATTATAGTAGAGACAGGGTTTCACCATGTTGGCCAGGCTGGTCTCAAACTCTTGACCTCAGGTGATCCACCTGCCTCGGCCTCCCAAAGTGCTGGGATTATAGGCATGAGCCACTGCACTCAGCCCAACAATTCTTTCTTAGCATTCCATAGTAGCAGTCCACATGACTTCTCAAGTGGCCCTCAACAATTTGGAATAAGAGATTAGGCCCTGCATGGTGGCTCAGGCCAGGCGTGGTGTCTCACGCCTGTAATCCCAGCACTTTGGGAGGCCCCGGTGGGTGCATTGCCTGAGGGTAGGATTTCAAGACCATCCTGGCCAACATGGTGAAACCCCATCTCTACTAAAAATACAAAAATTAGCCGGGTATGGTGGTGGGTGCCTGTAGTCCCAGCTACTCAGGAGGCTGAGGCAGGAGAATCACTTGAACCCAGGAGGCAGAGGTTGCAATGAGCTGAGATCATGCCACTGCACTCCAGCCTGGGCGACAGAGCCAGACTCTGTCTCAAAAAAAAAAAAAAAAAAGAGAGATTAGATTTGGGGTTTATTCAATATGTTGTAAATGTCATGATGGAGGACTAAACATTGGGGTTAAAGAAACAGGCATGACTTCCAGTAGGTAGGTCATGGTAGAGGAGCTCTTTTGCAGGAGGGAGATCTTAGCTGGGAATAAAATTTTGGATTTGTAAGCCTTCACATAGTAATTGGAGTGATAAGCTCATGCAGAGTACTCTCCATAGAGTGGTGAAAGTGGTCTAATATGGAACCTTGGGGAATAAAGCAGCAGTGTTGGGTTGAAAAATGAGATTATTCAGCATGCTGTTTGAAGTATTCAAGCAAAATCTGAATGGACATGGGTAATGGACAAATGTTATCTCGGTTGTAGGCAAAGGCCTAGGCTGAAAATATTTAAAACCTACAATTCAATGATATTTTTGTAAATTTACAGAGATATACCGCCATCACCACCAAAAAGCAAAACAGGTTGTTTTAACAGTTGCTTGCATATAGGTAGTAGTTGAAGCCATGGATAGTGGACATCACTCAAGGAGAATATGAGAAGTAAAGAGTAATAACCAAATGGAAACCATCAAAATTTTAGAAATGGTCAGGGGAAAAAGAGCACATGTCTGTCAAATCTAAAAAACAAAAAAGGTATCACAGAAGCTAAGAGAAAAATGTGTTCCCAAGGAAAGGATGGTTAACACACCAAATGCTATATGTCAGGAAATGAGAGGTCAGGAAAAAGGGTCTGTCAGGTTTTGCATTGTTGAAGGCATTGGTGACACCTAAAATAATTTTAGTGGAGTGATGACAAAGTGGAGGAGATACAAGTAAGAGGTAAGAGGCTTGTCAGAGGATATATAGGGTGTTAGACAGGAGGGAAGCATGAGATTTTTCATATATGTTATATAGAGGAGGGATATTGTTTTCTCTTGAGATAAATAGATGGAGAAAGATGGTGATGGGCGGGCACAGTTGCTTAAGCCTGTAGTCCCAGCACTTTGGGAGGCCAAGGAGAGAGGATCACTTAAGCTCAAGAGTTTGAGACCAGCCTGGGCAACGTAGTGAAACCTTGTCACTACTAAAAAACAAAAAATAAAAATTTAGCCAGGTGTGGTGGCGCGCACAGCTACTCTGGAGGCAAAAAAGGCAGGAGGATTACTTGAGTCCAGGAAGTCAAGGTTGTAGTGAGCTATGATTGTGTCACTGCATTTCAGCCTTGGTGACAAACTAAGACCCTGTCTCAAAAAAAAAAGAGTTGATAGCAAATTTAGGTAAAGTGGGTGTTTTTGTTAAGAAGGCATAGCAAATTATGAAATGAATAGTAAAGACTGGTTAGAAGGCTTAAGGAGTATGGCAAAGTTTACAAAAGAAACAGGTGAGAGAAGTGACTAAAGAAAAGTAGAATTGATAAAGACTGATGAGAGCTCAAGTGAGATGTCAAACCAAGAATTTATGTAGGGATACAGTTCTGTGCATTATAGAGGTTTTGTTTGCTTCTTTTTCTTTTCTTGCACCTTTCAGCTTCTGTGACACAGGATTAGGGAATGAGATAGCCATGTGACCTGTTTTATTATTTGTTCATTTTAGAGACCTCATCCTTCAACAGCTGAATCAAAGGCTCCAACACCAAAGTTTGACTTATTAGCCTCAAATTTTCCACCTTTACCTGGAAGTTCATCAAGAATGCCAGGTGAACTCGTTTTGGAGAATAGGATGTCTGATGTTGTTAAAGGTGTCTACAAAGAAAAGGTAAACACCCAGCATCTGAGTCTTACCTTATGAGACCATATTTAGGCTTTATTTGCAGTGTTGTTATTTAAAATTTTACTTGCACTTAGTGTACATTTCTATCATAGTTTTTATTTATGGAGTTTTCAGCATACTTAGAGTGTTTTTTTAAAGATTCATGATGAAGCTGCACAAAGGCAATAAAATGTTTCTTGGCTTTTGCATGTCTTTGTTTTTTTTTTTTTTAAAGACATGATCTTAGCTCACTGCAACCTCTACCTCCTTGGTTCAAGTGATTCTCCTGCCTCAGCCTCCCAAGTAGCTGGGAGTACAGGCATGCGCAACCATGCCCAGCTAACTTTTGTATTTTTGTATTTTTTTTTAGTAGAGACAGGGTTTCGCCACATTGGCCAGGCTGGTCTCCAGCTCCTGACCTCAAGCCATCTGCCCACCTTGGCCTCCCAAAGTGCTGGGATTATAGGCATGAGCCACCACGCCCAGCCTTGCATGTCTTCCTGTTAGTCAATTCAGCCTGTTAGAACTGATAACTGACTAATGCAAGCTAAATGGAAGGTATCATTTCCATTTATGTGCCTATAATTCACTAGTGATGAAATGAATTCTTTCAAACAATGGAAAGTAGATGTCTAGAGGCTGAGATGCCTCATCTTATGATTATTTGGTGTGTAGACCTCTCCATATCAGAAATCCTCATGTCTCACAAGTTTTTCTCATTTTCTACCTTTATTCTAATTCAGTTTTTTTTTTAATTATAACAGTACATGTCTATAGTATATCTAGGCTTTTAATGAAAAACCTGCAACTACTTTCAGCTCCTTAGTTTTTCTCCCAACTTTTATTCCTGTATTTCTTTATTTTTTTATTTTATTTTTTCTTTTGAGATGGAGTCTTGCTCTGTAACCTAGACTGGAATGCAGTGGTGGATCTCTGCTCACTGCAACCTCCACCTCCCGGGTTCAAGCAGTTCTCCTCCCTCAGCCTCATGAGTAGCTGGGATTATAGGCATGTGCCACCACACCCAGCTAATTTTTGTATTTTTAGTAGAGACAGGGTTTCTCCATGTTGGCCAGGCTGGTCTCAAACTCCTGACCTTGCGATCCGCCCACCTCGGCCTCCCAAAGTGCTGGAATTACAAGCGTGAGCCACTGCGCCCGGCCCTGTATTTCTAATTAACTTTTTTTTTCTTTTTTTTGAGACAGAGTCTCGCTCGTAGCCCAGGCTGGAGTACATTGGTGCGATCTCTGCTCACTGCGAGCTCTGCCTCCTGGGTTCACGCCATTCTCTTGCCTCAGCCTCCCGAGTAGCTGGGACTACAGGCGCCTGCCACTACGCCCGGCTAATTTTTTTTTTGTATTTTTAGTAGAGGCAGGGTTTCACCGTGTTAGCCAGGATGGTCTCGATCTCCTGACATCGTGATCCGCCCGTCTCGGCCTCCCAAAGTGCTGGGATTACAGGCATGAGCCACCGCGCCCTGCCTAATTAACATCTTTTTATTGTAACCTCTTGGCTTTTCCATTTTCAGCAGTGTCTGTTAACTTCACTTTCTGAAGCTAAAGATTTAGCTTTCTTAAGCCAACATACTCACACTTTTCCTATCCTCCTGATATATTGTACTTCATTATATATGATATCATCAATTATAAGGCATCCATTATTTTCATATCTCTAAGAAAGTAAAAGATGTTGCTAGTTATGCTAGGACACACCATCCTTTGTAAGCCACATTTCAGTATTACAGATATTTTTCAGGGCTGAGACTCAAACATAATATACTATGATTGTTTCTCCTTTTGTGTGCACTCTCGGTGTCCTACTGCCTAGCTATGTTCCTGGGCCTTCTCTTTACCGTCACCCTGGCAATTTTCCTTACTCTTCTTTATCGATCCCCCTTTTTTTCTCACTCTTGTTTCACTCTTCCATGTTAGGGTGGTTCATATCTTCCATGGTCATGAAGTATAAATTTCTTGCATTCTGAAAATGTTTTTCTGCTCTCAAATTGATCAGTAGTTTATTTCTGTATTGGATTCTCTATCAGAAATCATTTTCCCTTGGAACTTTGAAGGTATTATTCCACTGTCTTGTTTCTTTAAAAAAATATTGTGACACGTAGTAGTTATTTCATAAGTTCTAAGATACACTTTTTTCCCCCCATGTTTTATCACCTTCAAAAATCAGACTAAAAATTATTTTTTAAAAAATGTAGGCCAGGTGCGGTGGCTTACGCCTGTAATCCCAGCACTTTGGGAGGCCGAGGCAGGCAGATCACGAAGTCAGGAGATCGGGACCATCCTGGCTAACATGGTGAAACTCCGTCTCTACTAGAAATACAAAAAATTAGCCAGGCATGGTGGCGGGTGCCTGTAGTTCCAGCTTCTCCGGAGGCTGAGGCAGGAGAATGGCATGAACCCGGGAGGCAGAGCTTGCAGTGACCTGAGATTGCGCCACTGCACTCCAGCCTGGGCGACAGAGCGAGACTCTATCAAAAAAAAAAAAAAAAAAAAAAGTAAAGGCGGGGCACAGTGGCTCAAGCCTGTAATCCCCGCACTTTGGGAGCCTGAGGAGAGTGGATCATGAGGTCAGGAGTTTGAAACCAACCTGGCCAACGTGGTGAAACCCCGTCTCTACTAAAAATAGAAAAATTAGCTGGGCATGGTGGCACGCACCTGTAGTCCCAGCTACTCTGGAGGCTGAGGCAGAAGAATCGCTTGAACCCGGGAGGTGGAAGTTGCAGTGAGCCGAGATTGTGCCATTGCACTCCAGCCTGGGCGACAAGAGCAAGACTCTGTCTCAAAAAACAGAAAAAGAAAAAAAATAAATAGGCAGGCACATTGGCTCATACCTGTAATCCCAGCACTGTGGGGGTCCAAGGTGAATGGATTGCTTGAGCCCAGGAGTTCGAGACCAATGTGGGCAACATAGAGAGGTCCCGTCTGTACATAAAGTAAAAAAAAAAAATAGCTGGGCATGGTGACGTATGCCTGTAGTCCTTGCTACTTGGGAAGCTGAGACAAGAGGATTGCTTCAGCCCAGGAGATCAGAGCTATGATGAGCTGTGATCACACCACTGTACTCCAGCCTGGGTGACAGAGCAACCTGTCTCAAAAAAAAAAAAGACTATCTTTAATCAGAAGCTATTTTAGTTTAAGTGCAGTATTTTTATTTTCTTCTCATCTTAAGGTCTGCTTCTATCCAGTGGTTTTATTTTTATTTTTCCTTATTGGTACATAAAATAATGGTGTAGTTCAACAAATAATGGCATCTCAGATTTCAGAAGATGATACACAAACACACATATATACTTTCTTTCTTTCTTTCTTTCTTTTTTTTTTTGAGATGGAGTTTTGCTCTTGTTGCCCAGGCTGGAGTGCAGTGGCGCGATCTCGGCTCACTGCAACCTCCATCTCCCAGGTTCAAGCGATTCTCCTGCCTCAGCCTCCCAGGTAGCTGGGATTACAGGCACTTGCCACCATGCCCAGCTAATTTTTGTGTTTTTAGTAGAGATGGGGTTTCACCATGTTAGCCAGGGTGGTCTCGAACTCCTGACCTCAGGTGAGCCACCGTGCCCGGCCATGTATGCATTTTTAAAGAATAATCATGAAGTGTACGTCTCCTTATAACCCCAACACACAATTATGGCCCATAAATATCCCTAGTATCTTAGCAGTGACATGTGTATCTCCCCACTATTTATAGTCATTCTGCCCCACTCTTCCCCTTCAGATATAAACATTATTCTGACTTTGTGATAGCAATTTTCTTGCCTCATTCTGCATTGACAGAATTCTTCTGTGAAGGGCCAGATACTAATAGTAAATATTTTAGGCTTTGTGGGCCATGTATTGTCACATATTCTTTGTTTTACAACCCTTTAATAACTTAAAAACCAAACCAGGCATGGTGGGTCATGCCTGTAATCCCAGCACTTCGGGAGGCTGAGGTGGGAGGATCACTTGAGGCCAAGAGTTTGAGACCAGCCTAGTCAACATAGCAAGACCCCCATCTCTAAAAAAATAATAATTTAAAAATAATAATTATAATTTACAAACCATTCTTAGCTTGTAAGCCATACCAAAACAAGTTGAAGGCTGGATTTGGCCTTGCGGGTCTTAGTTTACCAACCCTTGCGCTAGGTGATAAAACGGGGTGCCTGTTTTTGGAAAGGTTATAAATGGAATTGTACAGTATGTATTCTTTTACTTCTTTCATTCTGTATGGTTTGAGATTGATCACTGTTAATACAGATGATTGTTGTTCATTTTGAACTATTATGTGATATTCTATTGTAGGAAGTAAAATATTTATTCATTGTACTGTTAATGGACATTTTGCCATTATAAATCTTCATGTGAGCAAGAACTTTTCTAGGATTTATACATCAGCTTGTGTTCTTTTAAAGTTTTAAAGTCTTTCGAGTGTTTTTTGAGATGGAGTGTCGCTCTGTCGCGCAGGCTGGAGTGCAGCGGCATGGTTTTGGCTTATTGCAACCTCCACTGCCAGGGTTCAAGCGATTCTTGTGCCTCAGCCTCCTGAATGGTGAATACAGGCGCGCGCCACCATGCCCGGCTAATTTTTGTATTTTCAGTAGAGACAGGGTTTCGTCTTGTTGGCCAGGCTGGTCTCTCAAACTCCTGACCTCAGATGATCCACCCACCTCGGCCTCCCAAAGTGCTAGGTTGACAGGTGTGAGCCACTGCGCCTGGTCAGTGTTTCAAGTTTTGAAGAAACAGACTCATATATTTTTTTTACACATTCTGTGCACTAATCCTTTGTCAGTTACACGTAGTAGAAATAATCTTTCACTTCTGTGGTTTCTTTTCCGTCTTTAGTGCCTATAGGTTGAAACAAGTTCTTAATTTTAATCTGGTCCTATTAGTGTTTTCTTTATAGTTTGCTGTTTTTATTTCATGCTTAGGAAATGATCTAGCTTCCAGATCATGTTCTTATTTATATTTTCTACCAAGTTTTTCTGAATGTTACTTTCTAAACCTGTTGAAATTTTTATTTTATCCATCGGTTTTAATTTCTAGGGCTCTTTTCTAAATTCTATGCCAGCAGTATAAATACACATAACAGCGTTTACCATCTTAACCATTTTAAGTGTGTACAGTTTTGTAGTATTAAGTACCTTTACATGGTTGTGCACCTAAGCTCCAGAACTTACAATCTTTCAAGACTAAAACTCTATACCTATTAAACCATTACCTGTTCCTCCTTTCTCTTATCCTTCAGCAGCCACTATTCTACTTTCTGTCTCTGAATTGACTACTCTTAGTAATTCATATAAGTAGAATCATACAGTATTTGTCTTTCTATGACTGGTTTATTTTACTTAACATCCTCAGCTTTCATTCATGTTGAGCGTGAGTCAAGATTTCATTAATTTTTTTTTAATGTAGCCTACAAACTTTTTTTTTTTTGAGACACGGTCTTGCTCTGTTCCCAGGAGGGAGTGCCGTGGTACTATCATGGTTCACTGCAGCAGCTTCAACCTCCCAGACTCACGTGATCCTCTCAAGTAGCAGGGACAACAGATGGACACCCCCCACCCTAGCTAAATATTTTACTTTATTTTGTAGAGACTGGATCTTGCTATGTTGTCCAAGGCTGGTCTTGAACTCCTGGGCTCAAGCAGTCCTCCCGCCTCAGCCTCCCAAAGTGCTGGAATTACAGTCATGAGCCCCTGCATCCATCCCTATGTTTAACTTTTTTTTTTTTTTGGGACGGAGTCTCGCACTGTAGCCCAGGCTGGAGTGCAGTGGTGCAATCTTGGCTCACTGCAACCTCCGCCTCCCAGGTCCTGGTTCAAGCAATTCTGCCTCAGCCTCCCAAGTAGCTGAGATTACAGGCATGCACCACCGTGCCCAGCTAATTTTTGTATTTTTAGTAGAGATGGGATTTCACCATGTTGGCCAGGCTGGTCTTGAACTCTGACCTTGTGATCCACCCGCCTCAGCCTCCGAAAGTGCTGGGATTACAGGTGTGAGCCACTGCGCCCAGCCTATTTAACTTTTTAAGGAACTGCTACATTGCTTTCTAAAGCAGTGCATCATTTTACATTGCCACCCTCTATGTATGAGTTTTAATGTCTCCATATCATCCCCAACATTTGTTAATGTTTGTCTTTTTTTTAATTATAACCATCCTTGTGGGTATGAAGTGATTTTTCACCGTGGTTTAGCTTTGCATTTTATGATGACTAATGATGTTGACCATCTTCTCTTGTGCTTATTAGACGTGTATATCTTCTTTGGAAAAAGGTCTAAGTGTAATTTTGAAAAATCTTTTTACTTTAAGGATAATGAAGAGTTGACAATTAGTTGCCCAGTGCCTGCAGATGAGCAGACAGAATGCACTTCTGCCCAGCAACTCAATATGAGTACCAGTTCTCCATGTGCTGCTGAGCTTACTGCATTAAGGTACAAGTTATAGTATAGAAGATCTTCAACATTAAATTACTTTTTCTGGCCGGGTGTGGTGGCTCTCACCTGTAATCCCAGCACTTTGGGAGGCCGAGGCAGGTGAATCACCTGAGGTCGGGAGTTCAAGACCAGTCTGGCCAACATGGTGAAACCCCGTCTCTACTAAAAATACAAAAATTAGCTGGGCGTGTTGGCAGGTGCCTGTAATCCCAGCTAATCAGGAGGCTAAGGCAGGAAAATTGCTTGAACCGGGGGGTGGGGGTGGGTGGGGGGGTGGGGGGGGTGGGGGGTGCGGGGCGGGCAGAGGTTGCAGTGAGCCAAGAGCATGCCACTACACTCCAGCCTGGGTGACAGAGTGAGACTCCGTCTCAAAAAAAAAAATTACGTTTTCTTCTGATTAGTTGCTCAACTGTTCCTATATGCTATTCTGAGTCTAATTGCAAGCTCTTTTTTCCTTAGCACAACTCAGCAAGAAAAGGATCTAATAGAAGATTCCTCTGTTCAGAAGGATGGTCTCAATCAGACAACTATACCAGTTTCTCCTCCAAGTACTACAAAGCCATCGAGGGCAAGTACTGCTTCACCATGTAATAATAACATAAATGCAGCTACAGCTGTGGCTCTACAGGTAACTTGAAGATTTTAGTTTATGTTAAAAAAAATACAATAGATTAGATTTTTTTTTTTTTTTCACGTAACACTTTGTTAGAACAGAGTCATTTGGAAGTAGCCCAAGTTGGGGCTGACTATCAGAAAGAAGCTTAAGGAGTGTTAGGGTCACTGCAAAGAGATGGAAAGTTTTAGGCTTTTTTTTGTTTTGTTTTGGAGACTGAGTCTTCACTCTGTCGCCCAGGCTGGAGTGCAGTGGCACGATCTCGCGTCACTGCAAGCTCCGCCTCCCGGGTTCACGCCATTCTCCTGCCTCAGCCTCCCGGGTAGCTGGGACTACAGGTGCCCACCACTATGCCTGGCTAATTTTTTGTATTTTTAGTAGAGACGGGGTTTCACTGTGTTAGCCAGGATGGTCTCAATCTCCTGACCTCGTGATCCACCCGCCTCGGCCTCCCAAAGTGCTGGGATTACATGCGTGAGCCACCGCGCCTGGCCCATTCTGTTTCTTTTGATTGCTTTTTTTCTGTTCATATGGTTAAGTGAAGCTTCTTCCTTACCCACGTTAGGATGAATTTATCATTTTGGGGCTAACATAAAGAGGCCTTGTGCCTCTTGATATTCTTTTGGTTGTATATGTGATACTTAACAAGTCTATAAGTGGCCATTGAGAGGCCACTCCCATTTATCAAGTTCCAGAATTGTTTTATAGTTATATAATTGGGAAAATACAGAAAAGCAGAACAAAACACAAAATTTACCTATAATCCCTAGCATTTTAGTACAGCACTTTTAAAAATAGATTTAGAAGACTATCTTCTCATTCAATGATAGTAATAATACTAAAATAATAGCTACCATTTGAATGCTTACTATATATTATTAGGACTAGTGCTGAAGACTTTACATGTTTTATTCTGTTCTCACAATACCTCTATTCCACCTTTTTCAGTTGAGGTAATTAAGACTTTTAATGAGTCTTTTTATACCATTGGATTCTAACTGCTCTGCTGGGATTCTTTTGTCATCTTTCTTGGGGTTCTTTGTAGCAAGGAAACAGGAGCAGAAAGAACCATTTTATTTCATCATATGGCTATACCATTATTCATCTAATCTGTCCTTTGTTAGGCATTTAGGTCGCTCCCATCATTATAAACAACGCTGACATGAACATCCTTCAGTTAAATTCCTTACGTGAAATTATTGTATAATAAATAAAGATTGTACCAGTGTACTCTAAGCAGTATATATGAGAGTGCTTGTTGCCCTTTTCTGGAAGATAATCTGTGGTTTTCTTATGGTTAACACAATCATTTTTATACTTTATAATTTAAAGAATGTGTACCATAAATGTTTTTTTTTATCATCACTTCAAAGGAACCCCGAAAGTTAAGTTATGCTGAAGTGTGCCAGAAGCCCCCTAAAGAGCCATCTTCAGTTCTTGTGCAGCCACTACGGGAACTTCGCTCCAATGTGGTGTCTCCCACCAAAAATGAAGACAATGGAGCTCCTGAGAACTCCGTTGAGAAACCACATGAGAAGCCAGAAGCAAGGGCTAGTAAGGATTATTCTGGCTTCCGAGGCAATATAATCCCCAGGGGAGCAGCAGGAAAAATCAGGGAACAGAGACGCCAGTTTAGCCATAGGGCTATACCTCAGGGAGTGACTCGACGTAATGGCAAAGAGCAATATGTGCCACCCAGATCACCAAAGTAAAAAACAACAAAACTATTCAAAAACTTCACTCTCTTCCCATTAAACTTGAACTGTGGCTATATTGAACTGTTTTGGAGGGGAGGGGGTAGCCAGGAAGGAAACAAGAGAAAGTACGTCCATTTCATTATGGATTTTGGAGTTGTGAGTGATAGGATCCCAAAATTCATCTCTAATGTGGTTTTTAAATGCTGGAGGATTCCAATCAATATAAATATATATATATATATACACACACATATATAAAAAGTATAATTTTTCTATTTTTGTTTTTGGTTTTAATTTGCAGAGATTTGCTGCCAGGAATCAATTTTGAGGGTTCAGATTTAGCTTGGAAGAAAAAAAAGAAACATACATCCTTCAGTATAGGAGATGAGGGAATGAGAGAAAATATTTTTTGAAGAAGCATTTCTGTAAAATTAGAAATTACTTTTTTTAATCTATTTAAAGTTTGGCTTGAAGAATGCCATCTCTGACTATATGGCCTTGTATTGCAAAGCGGATCAGTGGCTGGGGTGCCTGTTGTGGGTGTGAGTGTGTACAAGAGCGATTGAAGCCAAATCTGTTGTCATGTTAGTAAATGATTTGAAAACTGAATGTAATACTTGAGTAGATTTTTTTTTCTAGTTTGAAATTTAGTCTGTCTTTTTGACCTTACTAATATTTCATTTAACAAGTTGTAAAACTCTGATTGTACTTAGAGATGTGACTACCAATCAGTTTGATACTCAAGGAAAGGGGGTTATTCAAGAAATTGAAAATTTCATCTTGGACCTCAGTGCATAGGTCAAATGGATTTCAGAGGTTTAAACTTCCCTGTGATTCCCCCGAATACCCCCAAAATGAGAAACAAAATTTTTTTTCTTACTCCATTTGTTACTCTCTGTTCTTTGACTGCCCACCCACAGAAAAGCAAAATAACCAACTACCTACTCAATTGTGTGTTTGTAATTGCTTTGAGCAGTCTAGTCAAATCATATAAATTGTTCTAAATTTCAGAATTGAACATTGAAGTATTAACTCTTCTGTTCACACATTTAGAATTTTAGCTCCCAAGATGGTAGGGCAGACTGACCGTACAGTAATTTATTTGTCGTTAGTGTTAAAGATTAAGCATAGTAACTGACTCTTAAGTGTTAAATAATGTAGAAGTAAAAAAATTTTTTTTAAAGGCTTAATTTGGGAGGGGGGACTTATTTCTGTTTACAGTGTATTACCTTCCTTCCCTCCTCTTCTCCCCCCACACCCAACAAAATACAGTTTGGAATTCACTGAAACAGTACCAGCAAGTCATGAGATTTTTTAGTAAAGATGAGAAAGATGGTTGAAGAAAATTAGTGCATAATTTCTCAGTGAATAAAGTTGTAGCTCTCATATACTAAATAGACAAGTTTACATGCTGTTATTTAGAAAATGACTAAAATATTAAAAACCGTGTTGTGTTAATCTGTTTTAAGTCATACCATGTTCAGAGTTCTATGTAAGGTGGGTTTTATTTTTCTTTTAAGGGATAGTTTGTAATAGTAAGAACTGTCCCATATGTTAGTAAATTACATATGTACAAATTGAAACTGTAAATTGTGAACACTGGAAAGCACCATTGTGACATAGAGTAAACATCTTAGTAATATATTAAAGTGAATGTAAATGGTGGTTAAAATTACATTACTGTGAAATTCATCTTCCAACTCTAAGTTAAGCTTTGGAGATACATGTTAGTGGTTAACTGTTAAGAGCTTTGAAAACACTGCACATATCTGTACAAGCCAGAATTACTATTTCTTTGACTTATTATTAGCTTGGCAGTTGCTTTTGATTTGATTGTTTTATGACATGGTATACTACTATATTTACTCAGTTTGAAACTATTCATTTCTACACACTATTTTTAAAAATTGCCTACTAGGTGAAACATAACAATAAAACTACCTGTGCTGAAATTTGGGGGAAGTTTAGGTCCTTTAAAAAAACATATTAATCATTGACTACATCTATGATAAAAGTGCTTATTTTGGTTTACTAAGATAATGCAGTTGGTGGAAATGATAAACGTTTTAAGTGTTAACATCCTTTGAATGCGTTGGATTTCAGAGAATAAACATTTTGTAAAAATCACTTGGTAAGGATTATAAACTTAATTACTGCACTTAAAATGAAACATTACTTTTTTTAAACAATGTGTCACAAATGTAGGTCTGTATTACTTGTATGCTTGTGTGACTTACTGTTAGTCCAGCTCTAAAAATTTAAAGGTTGTAATTGAAATACAAGAAAAGAGCCTTCTTTTAGAAGAAAGCAAGTATATTTTTGCTTTTACTTCAAATGTTATTTAAAGTAGAAATTTAATTTGTAGATATAACCTTTAAAAATTTTCTCATTAAGACAATGTTTTTAATTTAATTTGCCTCATTACATCTAATAGTTCCCATTTGATGGCATGTATAGGGAAGAGTGAGAGAGTGTGTGTGTGTGTATGTGTGTGTAATATTTATATATATTCACAGTATGTATTTAGCATTTATTTTATTACAGCAGATTTAAAGTTTGTATCTAAATAATGCCTATGAGTTGTGTGAAGCTCTTGGCTTTTTTCCAACGTTACTTTGTAACTAATGAGGGTGGATGTTCATTGTAGTTTATTTATTTGGTTCTTTAGATGGAGGAATTTAAAAAATCAAATTTTTCTCTTCACCTTTATGACTTGACATTTCCTTGATCTGTTGGAGGCTAAAAGTAGGTATAAATGATATTGAATGTTGGGTATAGTGATACTCTGCCATAGTTCTTACTGCATGAAGAGAACAAGAGTCACACAAGTTCACCACTTTGCACTTCATAGAGAAGGTACATAGAGACATTGCAAAACCTGTCTCCATTTGCTATCCTGATAATTAAGGTTTTCATAATACCTAGGGCCTGTCTCTGAGTAATTTTAATTTTGCCAAATACACTGACATTTAAAATAGTGATCCATCTAAATTTTTTTCAGCTGGGTTTTGAGGAATATAAGAGCTTTCAATGATAAAGGTTTGTTGTAGTTGTCTTATGTGCTGAATTTGCAGATGATCAGATGCTGTGCAGAATTCTGATTTATTTTTGTTTCCTAAAATTAAGATAGCTTGAATATTATTTCACATTCCTTTTTCTTTTTTAAATAAACAGGTTTGCTTTGGAAAGGCTTAATGATGGAATGTTAGCATCTTCACTAGGGTAAAGAAGAACAAAAAGAATGTTGCTGGAACGTAAAATAGTATTTAAAAGTTAATGAACACTTCTCTAGTTTTCTTAGTTATGGCCTTAATAATTAGTCTCTTGGCTTAAATGTCCACTGGTTTTACTTTGACACAGTTGAACAACACTGGGGTTAAGTCTCTGGTATTTAGGCTGGCAATATATATATTAACCATATTTTAAAAGTACCAATTTTGTTTTTACAGAAAAGATAAAACTCAAAAGAGAACAGTGTATTCCTTCTGAGGGGCTTTTATAAATTATTAACTATAATATATGATGGATTTTTTCCTAATTTTTTATATTTCCTTACAATTTTGGTGGCCATTAATTTAACTTTAGGCTTTTGGGCATATGCTAGTCTGAGCTTCCGAAAAGATACATATATGTTTCCCTTTTCATTAGCTGAATGAGGATATTTTAAGAAGTTGAAAGAGAATTTATTTTCAAGTTGTGAGTAAATCCTCCTTTGAAATTCACCTGATTATTAGATAACTTAAAGTTTATTTTTAAAAGCTGACAACTTTTTATGAATCTTCGAGTTGACAGTTCCTAAAAGCGTAACTCAGATATTAATGGGCTGTGTATTAAATGGTTTTATTTTCAGTTTTGCAGCACAGAACACTGTTGAAATATCCATATCAACTTGATTTTTTTAACCTAATTCAGGTGTCCTTTGCATCTCTTAAATGTTGGGGGTGGGGGTCAGAGCCAGTTATCCGGCTTCTGTTTTGTCGATTGCTTAGATTTGTTCCTGTTGTCAAAACTGTTACCCCCAAAATTGGTGTGACACATGCTCATGCATAAAATGTTAAAATGAGTACATCCTTGTATTTGTATTTGTTTTCAACATCGCCAAGGTGCTATGGGAAATTAACAAAATTAGAAAAAAAATAAAATTATTAAAAAGCAGGACTGGTTTCCTTTTCTCTAGGTGGTGTATGTCTAATGACTACTTCTGTCTACCTTTCAGTATTATATGTTGCCCTCGCTAATTCTATTATTATTATTGTCTAAGTTGTTTTTTGGATGATGAGGGCAGTGGGAAGTAATGGTGTTTCACTTAAAACAAGGGCAGAGAGACAAGATACAGCTTTATGATCCTGGGGTATTCTTTTAGTTATTTTAGTATCAGAAGCAGTTATTAAAGGGTGAAAAATGGCTGGGCGCGGTAGCTCACGCCTGTAATCCCAACACTTTGGGAGGCCAAGGCGGGCGGATCACCTGGGGCCAGGAGTTCAAGCCCACCCTGGCCAACATGGTGAAACCCCATCTCTACTAAAAATACAAAAATTAGCCAGGCATGGTGGTGGGCACCTGTAATCCCAGCTACTTGGGAAGCTGAGGCAGGAGAATCGCTTGAACCTGGAAGGTGGACATGGCAGTGAGCCAGGATCGCGCCATTGCACTCTGTCCTGGGTGACTGACTAATGAAACTCCGTCTCAAAATAAATAAAGGGGAGAAAAGACTGCAGTGGCCCTGTAATCCCAGGGTGCACTTCAGGGGGCCGAGGTGCAAGGATCACTAGAGACTATGAGTTCAAGCCCAGCCTGGGCAATGTAACAACCTAGAGGGTGAGGCAGGAGGATTGCCCGAGCCCAGGAGTTCAAGGCTGCTGTGAGTTATGATTGTGTCAGTGCACTGAAGCCTAGGCAAAAGAGCAAGACCCCATGAAAAAAAAAAAATAGTGGTTGGGGGACAGGAATCATGGTAATGTGTAGCTTAAAGAGTACCTTCATGGAACGATTGTGGCTTGATTTGAGTATGTGCATATCAAGCCCAGCCTAGAGTATTTGGGGCTTTTCAGAGGGAAAATTGACTAGGGAATTTAAATGAGGGTTTTTTTTGTTGGTTTGTTTTGTGTTTTTTGTTTGTTTGAGACCGAGTTGCTCTTGTTGCCCAGGCTGGAGTGCTATGGCGCGATCTCGGCTCAGTGCAACCTCAGCCTCCCTGCCCGAGTTTTGATTTTTTTAAAATGCTTCATTTCAAAGCAAAAATGGAAAAGCTGAGTCAATCTCTGGCTTTTTAACAGGTATCTGTAAATTATTGTGACACCTTAAAAATAATGGAGTGGCCGGGCGCAGTGGCTCACGCCTCTAATCCCAGCACTTTGGGAAGCTGAGACAGGCAGGTCAACTGAGGTCAGGAGTTTGAGACCAGCCTGACCAACATGGTGAAATCCCATCTCTACTAAAAATACAAAAATTAGCCCGGCGTGGTGGCTCATGTCTGTAATCCCAGCTACTCTGGAGTCTCAGGCATGGGAATCGCCAGGAGGCGGAGGTTGTAGTGAGCAGAGATCGTGCCACTGCACTCCAGCCTGGGCGACAGTGACTGTCTCAAAAAAAAAATGGAGTGGTGTTTCATGGCTATTATACCACAGTTTATTCTTGAATTGTCTTAAGTGAATTTTTTTTAATGGTGGAAATTTTTTGTGGGTTTTTTTTGAGATAGAGTCACTCTCTCCCAGTCTGGAGTGCATAGGTGGGATCTCAGCTTGCTGCAACCTCCGCCTCCCAGGTTCAAGCGATTCTCTTGCCTCAGCCTCCCAAGTACCTGGATTACAGGCACATGCAACCACACCCAGCTAATTTTTGTCTTTTTAGTAGAGATGGGGTTTCACCATGTTGTCCAGGCTGGTCTCGAACTCCTGCCCTCAAGTGATTCGCCCACCTCGGCCTCCCAAAGTGCTGGGATTACAGGCGTGAGCCACTACGCCTGGCCAGTGGTAGAACTCTTAATAAATGTGGCCTAATTTCAAATTATATTCTCAGAAATATTTACTATTCTGCCAAGTTATGTAATTTGGATATGTATGTAGATACACCTTAAGGTAACAGATTTAATTATGAGCATTCACTTTAATAATTAGCTCTTTAGCTAAGCCTTTAATTTGCAAATGAACAATTATTTATCTTAACGAAGATGGCTAATGTCAGTGAGCAAAGTGGTGCTGGTAATGACAGGTTTATGAGGGTTAAGTTCTAACAAAGCCTTAGGGGGCTTATATCAGTGTTTTAGTATGTTTATTTGGCCAAGATATGAGGGGTGCATAACTTAAATTTTATATAAAGAGCACAGTATTCTTTATAGTGGACCCAAAACCAAATTGGTAAACTCAGGTAGGCTCTCGTGTTGTATTTAAAATGAGTGATTTTGCAAAGAGTTTCATTACAGATACCTTATATTTAACTACACTTCTTGTTAGAAAATATTAATCTAAATATTATGCCTTCAAGTTTTAATTATATACCTGAAAGTTTTTTATTTTCTTTTTTTGTTGTTGTTCATTCACCATCATACTCTGATATACCTGGAAGTTTTTAAATGAAAAGTTCTTAACAGTTACTAGTAAAGAATTACGAATTTTCTTAAAACCATAGTGTCTTTAGTTTGAGAATTTTAAGGAATTGGAATGTTTTCACTTTTTTAATATTGTTTCCAAATAAGCACCCCAGTTTCTTAACTTTTTGTTTAAGAGAAGGTCTCACTCTGTCACCCAGGCTGGATTGCAGTGGCACAGTCATGGCTCACTATTCCCTCAAACTCCTGGGTTCGAGCAATCCTCCCACTCTAGCCTCCCCGGTAGCTGGAGCACATGCCACCATGCCTGGCTAGTTTTAAATTTTTTTGATTTAGTTTTTTACTTATTTTGAGACGGTCTTGCTCTGTTGCACAGGCTGGAGTACAGTGACACAGTCATGACTCATTGCAGCCTCGACCTCCTGGATTCAAGTAATTCTCCCACCTCAGCCTCTCAAGTAGCTGGGACTACAGGTGTGCATCACCACACCAGCTGACATTTATTTATTTATTCACTTACTTGTTGTTGTTGTTTGTTTGTAGAAATTGTCTCACTGTGTTGCCCAGGCTGGTCTCAAACTCCTGGGCTCAAGCGATCCTACTGCCTTGGCTTCCGAGGTGCTGGTATTACAGGTTGAGCCACTGCACCTGGCCCTAGTTTAGCTTTTAAAATGCATTTTTTAAGGCAGCTGTTCTGCAGGTCTTTGATTAAGTTCTAATTCTGCTATTTTGCATTCTAAGTTATGCCTAAAATAACTATCATCTTTTCAAAACTGAGGTTATTGACAGCATTGGAGCTAATCATGATGGAGTGTTCATTTAATTAGTATTTATTGTATGCTATGTTCCAGACGGTGCTAGGCAGCAAAAATAGATAGGATTCCTGCCCTTATGGTGCTTAGCATGAAAAAGTCATAAATAATTGCCAAGTTTAGAACAATAGTAAATATGACAGATGTAGTCTGACAGTCTATGAGATTGGAGTAGAGGATGGTGCAAGAACGAATGCTTGGAGAAACTGAGGACATACATCTGAAAGAGTAGGAGTCAATTATATGAGCAGGTAGAGGGTGCCCTTAGATGTGAGGGAACAATCTATATTACTTTATGGAAGAATTATAAGCCCCACAGCTACAGCATGGGGAATATTGTTCCATCTTCTAAGATAAGGCTGCAGAAGTAGGTAAGAGCCAAACTACTGGGATCTGAAGTGTGCATTGTGGTATTGATACAGGGTGTCATTCTGTCACCCAGGCTGGAATGCAGTGGCGCCACCACAGCTCACTGCAGCCTCTACCTGCTGGACTCAGGCAATCCTCCTGTCTTAGCCTCCTGAGTAGCTGGGATCACAAGTGCACACTGCCACCAGGCCTATTTTTTTATTTTTATGTAGAGACACACTCTTGTTTTGTTGCCCAAGCTAGTCTTGAACTCTTAGGCTCAAGCAATCCTCTCACCTCAGCCTCCCAAAGTGGATTGCAGGCATGAGCCACTGTGCCCCGCCTATGAGTACAGTTTTTAGATGATAATGATTATATTATAGCTCTTGGAAGATGTTTTATAGTCCTAACCATGGCAAAATGGGGGGACTCGGCCAGGTGGGGTGGCTGATGCCTGTAATCCCAGCACTTTGGGAGGCTGGGTAGGGCAGATCACCTGAGGTCAGGAGTTTGAGACTAGCCTGGCCAACATAACGAAACCCCATCTCTACTAAAAATACAACAATTAGCCGGGCGTGTTGGCACACCCCTGTAATCCCAGCTACTTGTAAGGCTGAGGCCGGAGAATTGATTGAAACCGGGAGGGCATCTTGCAGTGAGCCGAGGTTGCGCCACTGCACTCCAGCCTGGGCAACCAAATGAGACTCCGTCTCAAAAAAAGTCTCCTTTCCAAAATGGGGGGACAAAAATAATACTGAACCAAACCCAATACATTTTTTTTTTTTGGTTGAGACAGGGTCTCATCACCCAGGCTGGGCTCAGGTGATCCTCCCACCTCAGCCTCCTGAGTAGCTGGGACCACAAGTGCACACTGTCACCAGCCCTGGGTTTTTTTTTTCATTTGTTTGTTTTGTGGAGACACGCTCTTGTTTTGTTGCCCAGGCTGGTCTTGAACTCTAGGGCTCAAGCAATCCACCCGCCTCAGCCTCCCAAAGTGCTGGAATTAGAGGCATGCACTACCCTGCCCATCCTTCAAAACCAATCATTTTAAATCCAGTAGTTAATCTGTAGTATAGGGTGGTTTTAATTAAATTAAACTTACAGCCAATTTTGAACGTGACTGCTACGGACAGGGCTAAACATTATATCCACCCCTTTTTTTCTACCTTGATTGTTGTGTCCTTAACCCTATTCATCATTCTCTTTCCCACCTGGAGAGTCTCCAAGTCACCACTATTGTGCTAAGCATATGATATCATTCAAGACTTAATGTTTCCAGTCCTCACCAATAAGGTCTCCCACGTACTGTAGACGAATAAAAGCATTGTTTGTCATGACTTTATTACCTCCTAAAAATTTTTTTCTTCATTATCAATTTGTCATTTTTCTGTGGATCCAAAAAAGACTGATAATTCATGTCTGCTTAAGCAAACCGGTTGTGTCCAGAAGTAATAAACCCATAAATATGTCTTGAAGGTTGTGGAATTTGCATGTCTATCAAGGCTTTTCCCATGCCCTGACAGTCAAGGTAGCTCATGCCTGTAATCCCAACACTTTGGGAATCCAAGATGGGTGGATCACTTGAGATCAGGAGTTCAAGACCAGCCTGGCCAACACGGTGAAACCCTGTCTCTAAAAAATTAGCCAGGCATGGTGGCATGTGTCTCAATCCCAGCTACTCTTGATACACTGAGGCATGAGAATTGCTTGAACCCGGGAGACAGAGGTTGCAGTGAGCCGAGATCATGCCACGGCACTCTAGCCTGGGTGACAGAGTAAGACTCTGTCTCAAAAAAAAGGCCTTTTTGCCCACCTTGAAGGAAATTATAGGTGTACCATAGCCAGCTCTGCAACTGGTCCTGGTGTATTCAGGCAGGTAATTTGTTTGTTTGTTTTTGTTTTGTTGTTGTTGAGATGGAGTTTCAATCTTGTCACCCAGGCTGGAGTGCAATGGCACGGTCTTGGCTCACTGCAACCTCTGCCTCCTGGGTTCAAGCGATTCTCCTGCCTCAGTCTCCCGAGTAGTTGGATTACAGGCACGTGCCACCACGCCCGGGTAATTTTTGTCTTTTTAGTAGAGACAGGGTTTTGCCGTGTTGCTCAGTCTGGTCTTGAACTCCTGACCTCAGGTGATCCGCCTGCCTTAGCTTCCCAAAGTGCTGGGATTACAGGCGTGAGCCACCACACCCAGCCACTAGTTTTTAAATCTAGATGATGAGATGTATACGCAGGTTTAATTATCTGTTTGGAAATAGTTTCAAATAAAAATAATTTTTAAAAGCTTAAAGGGGACATTGGTTTCCAGTCTGGCATGTGAGAATCTTGGAGGTTGGCACTTCATCCTAACAAGTCAAAAACTGAATAAACTGGCCAGGCACAGTGGCTCATGTCTGTAATCCCAGCACTTTGGAAGTCCGAGGCGGGTGGATCACGAGCTCAGGAGATCGAGACCATCCTGGCCAACATGGTGAAACCCCGTCTCTACTAAAAATACAAAAAAATTAGCTGGGCATAGTGGTGCGCACCTGTAATCCCAGCTACTGGGGAGGCTGAGGCAGGAGAACTGCTTGAACCCATGATGCAGAGGTTGCAGTGAGCCAGGATCGCACTGCTGCACTCCAGCCTGGTGACAGAGCGAGACTCCTTATCAAAAAATAATAATTAATAATACAAAAGTTAGCTGGATGTGGCGGTGTGCACTTGTAATCCCAACTACTCTGGAGTCCCAACTACTCTGGAGGCTGGGAGGATCACTTGAGCCTGGAAGATGGAGATTGCAGTGAGCCAAGGTCCCACCACTGCACTCCAGCCTGGGGGATACAGAAAGACTGTCTCAAAACAACAACAACAGCAAATGTGCTCTGCAGAAGAGACTGTTGAGAGAATAAAATACAAGCCACAGACTGGGGGGGAAATTGCAAAAGATATATCTGATAAGCAACTGTTCGCTAATATATACAAAGAACTTAAAACAAATTTTTTTTTATTAGCTGGGTGTGGTAATGTGTACCTGTAGTCCCAGCTACTTGGGAGAGTGAGGTGGGAGGATCACTTGAGCCTGGGAGTTTGAGGCTGTGGTCCACTACAGCCTGGGTGACAGGGCCAGACCCTGTCTCAAAAAAAATTAAAAAGTGAACCAAAGACTTTAACAAACATCTTGCCAAAAAAGACATATCGTATGGAAAATAAGGATCTGAAAAAGGTGCTCCATATTATATGTCATGAAGAAAATGCAAATTAAAACAAGATACCTCTACACCTAATGAAAATAGCTATAATTCAGAACACTGACACCACCAAATGCTAGCAGAATGTGGAGCAACATGACTTCTCATTTATTGCTGGTGGGAATGCAAAATGGTACAGCCATTTGACAGTTCTCCACAAAACTAAACATGTCACCATGGGATCTAACAATCATATTCCTTAGTATTTACCCAAAGGAGTTGAAAATATGTTCACACAAAAACCTGTACATGGATGTTTATAGCAGCTTTATTCAAAATTATCAAAACTGAGAAGCAACATTCAGTAGGTGAATGGATCAATAAACTGTGGTACATCCAGTTAGTGTTATTCAGCACTAACAAGAAATGAGCTATCAAACCATGAAGACATGGAAAAAATTTAAATGCATATTATGAAGTGAATGAGGCCAATCTAAAAAGGCTACATGCTGTATGATTCCAAGTTATGACATTCTGGAACAGATAAAACTACAGAGACAGCAAAAAGAGCAGGGATTGCCAAAGGTGAAGAGCAAGGGATGGATGAATGGGTGGAACACAGAGGATTTTCAGGGCAGTGAAACTATATATGATACTATAATGGCGGATACATGTTGGACCATTAGACATTGGTCCAAACCCACAGAATGGCCAGCACCAAAAGTGAAGGCTAATGTAAACTATGTTATTTGAATGATAATGATGTGTCAGTGTAGGTTCATCAGGCCAGGCAAGGTGGCTCATGCCTGCAATCACGCCTGACCAGCCTGGGCAACATGGTGAAACCCTGTATCTACAAAAAATACAAAAAAAATTAGCCAGGGCCTGGTGCGGTGGCTCACATCTGTAATCCCAGCACTTTGGGAGGCCAAGGTGAGGGAATCACTTGAGGCCAGGAGTTTGAGACCAGCCTGGCCAATATGGCAAAACCCTGTCTCTGCTAAAAATACAAAAATTGGCCCTGCGCAGTGGCTCACACCTGTAATCCCAGTACTTAGGAGGCCAAGACAGGTGGATCACTCAAGGTCAGGAGTTTGAGACCAGCCTGGCCAACGTGGTGAAACCCTGTCTCTACTAAAAATACAAAAATTAGCTGGGTGTGGTGGTGGGCACCTGTAATTCCAGCTGTTCAGGAGGCTGAGGCAGGAGAATCACCTGAGCTTGGTGAAGCGGAGGTTGCAGTGAGCTGAGATCGAGCCACTGCACTCCAGCCTGGGCGACAGGGAGAAACTCGATCTCAAAAAAATAAATAAATAAATAAATTAGCTGGGCATGGTGGCTTGTGCCCGTAGTCTCAGCTGCTTGGGAGGCTGAGGCAGGAGGATTGCTTGAGGCAGGGAGGTCGAGGCTTTATTGAACCCTGATCACGCCACTGCACTCCAGCCTGGGGTACGGAGAGACCTTGTCTTAAAAAAAAAAATGTAAGTCCATCATTTGTAATAAATGTACCACTCTGCTGGAGGATGTTCATGATAAATGTCACATAGGTGAGATGTCTGAAAAGTCCATTGGATTTCACAATTAGGTGGTTACTGGTAACCATTACCAAACTGATTCACTAGAGTGTGAGTGGAAGCATGATTATGTAGGGTTGAAAAGAGGTTAGAAAATAAGCGGAGGGAAGCCAGAGGCCTACTTTAAATGTTCAGTGATAGAGCTGGATTCAAGTGTGTAATCAATTTTTTTTTTTTTTTTTGAAGTCTTAGATATTTCAGTGCTCCACATGCTCAGAGAAACTTCTCTAGTAACAAACTATGGAAATGATCCCTGAAAGTATAGTCTTTTTATGCTTTTCTTTTTTTCTTTCTTTCTTTTTTTTTTTTTTTTTTTGAGATAGGGTCTCACTCTGTCGCCCAGGCTGCAGTGCGGTGGCGCTATCACAACTCACTGCAGCCTTAACCTCCTCGCTTGGGCTCAGGTGATCCTCCCGCCTCAACTTGCATTTTTTTAGAGTCGGGATTTAGCCATGTTGACCAGACTGGTCTGAAACTCCTGGGCTCAAGTGATCCACCAGCCTCAGCCTCCCAAAGTGCTGGGATTACAGACGTAAGCCACCGCACCGGACTGAAAGTATAGTCTTTGTAATCCATCTTCTTACCCTAACCCTGTCTCTCCATCTCTCCTCTTCTCTCCAATTTATCCCTCTTATGCCCAGTCTGTTAGCTGTGTGTTGGCTTGTTTCTTAAGTGGGATCTCTCCATGTGACAGGAAAGACTGGCGAGTAACAGTTATATGTTTACACAGTCCTTGCAGACACTTCCAGATAAGGAAATAATTCTCTTCCCCAGTTTCCATATAGCAAATCTCTTCACAGGACAGATTACCTTCAGCAGTTTCAGGCTTTTATGATGATCATAGCTGTGCGCTCCAGAGATTAGGAGACATGATACTCTTAGCATCTATATATCAAAATTTAGGGATCCTGTATCTGTTATTGGTAAAATCATATTTCCTTGATTTCTGATGAAGTTTTTTGTTTGTTTGTTTTTGTTTTTGTTTTTGTTTTTTTGAGACAGAGTCTCGCTCTGTTGCCCAGGCTGGAGTGCAATGGCAGGATCTCGGCTCACTGCAACCTCTACCTCCCAGGTTCATGCCATTCTCCTGCCTCAGCCTCCCGAGTAGCTGGGACTACAGGTGCCCACCACCAGGCCTGGCTAATTTTTTGTATTTTTTTAAGTACAGACGGGGTTTCACCATGTTAGCCAGGATGGTCTCAATCTCCTGACATCGTGATCCACCCACCTCGGCCTCCCAAAGTGCTGGGATTACAGGCGTGAGCCACCGTGCCCGGCCTGTGTTTTGTTTTTTTATTTATTTTATTTATTTATTTTTTTGAGACAGTCTTGCTCTGTTGCCCAGGCTGGAGTGCATTGGCATAATCTTGGCTCACTACAACCTTCACCTCCCGGGTTCAAGTGATTCTCCTGCCTCAGCCTCCTAAGTAGCTGGGACTACAGGCTCCTGCCGCCACACCTGGCTAATTTTTTTTTGTAATTTTTAGTAGAGATGAGGTTTCACTATGTTGGCCAGGCTGGTCTCAAACTCCTGACCTTGTGATCCACCTGCCTCGGCCTCCCACAGTGCTGGGATTACAGGCATGAGCCACTGTGCCAGGCCTCTGATGAGTTTTTAAATCTTTTTATATATGTTTGTTAGCCATGTATTATTTCTTACTTATTTTTCCATGAGGTTGTCAGTTTTTGTTTACTGGCAAGCCTCTATATATTCTGAATATTTTGCTATCTGTTAAATACACTAAAAAAAAAATTCTTGCCTGTAATTTCTTTAACTTGTATGTAGGGTCTGGTATTTTCTTCTAATACTATAATAATTTTGGTTTTTGAATTTTAGCTTTTTTTTTTTTTTTCGAGATGGTATCTTACTCTGTCACTCAGGCTGGAGTGCAGTGGCGTGATCTCAGCTTACTACAACCTCTGTCTCCTGGGTTCAAGTGGTTCTCCTGCCTCAGCCTCCTGAACAGCTGGGATTATAGGTGCCTGCCACTGTGCCCAGCTAATTTTTGTACTTTTAGTAGAGATGAGGTTTTGCCATGCTGGTCAGGCTGGTCTTGAACTCCTGACCTCAAGTGATCAGCCTGCCTCCGCCTCCCAAAGTACTGAGATTATAGGCTTGATTAACCATGCCTAGCCTGAATTTTAGCTTTTAAATATATTCAGAGTTTATTTTGGTGCATTATTTTTTTCTGAATAGTCATTTGTTCCAAAACCATTATTGAAAACTGTATCCTTTCTCTCTGATTTGAGGTGCCACCTTTATCACAAAGGAAACTCTCAGTTATTCCTGCATTATTGTTTCTTCACTGTTTATCCAATGCCTTTTATCAATTCTATGCCTATCCTAATAGCTTTCTGCCTTAAATTCTACATCTTTTTTGTGTGTGTATTTTGATGTTTGAATGAGGAAGTTGCTCCTATGACTATTCTTGTTTAGCATGCCTGGCCACTCCTGTGAATTATTTTCTTCAATGTGGATTTTAGAATCACCTATTGAATTTTGTTAAGAAGTATTCTGTTAGGATTTTTATGAATATTGCATTGAACTTTTTTTTTTTTTGAGATGGAGTCTCACTCTGTTGCCCAGGCTGGAGTACAGTGGTGTGATCTCAGCTCACTGCAACCTCCGCCTCTCAGGTTCAAGCTATTCTCCTGCCTCAGCCTCCCGAGTAGCTGAGATCACAGGTGTGCACCATTATGCCTGGCTAATTTTTGTATTTTTAGTAGAGGTGGGGTTTCGCCATGTTGGCCAGGCTGATCTCGAAGTCCTGACCTCAGGTGATCCACCTACCTCAGCCTCCCAAAGTGCTGGGATTACAGGCGTGAGCCGCTGCGCCCAACCTGCATTGCACTTATATGAAGTTTTTTTTGTTTTTTGTTTTTCCTTTTGAGACAAAGTTTCATGCTTGTTGCCCCAGGCTGGAGTGCAATGACATGATCTCGGCTCACTGCAACCTCTGCCTCCCGGGTTCAAGTGATTCTTCTGCCTCAGCCTCCTGAGTAGCTGGAATTATAAGCATGTGCCACCATGCCTGGCTAATTTTGTATTTTTAGTAGAGACAGGGTTTCTCCATGTTGGTCAGGCTGGTCTGGAACTCCCGAACTCAGGTGATCTGCCTGCCTCAGCTTCCCACTGTGCCCAGCCATGGAAATTTTAGGACAACTGATTTGATAAAATATTGAGCCTTGCCACTAAAAAACATGCATGTTTATATTACCATTCATCATTCAGACTTAAGTTTTATTTACATTAACCAGCCTTCCCTTCTGATTTCTTGGTTTTTAGACTTGTAGCTTTTTAGTATGTCTTGATATCAGGTCAGGCAAAGCCCCCTTTTCTATCTTTTTTTTTTTTTACTTTCTTTGAACATTAAGTCTTCTGTTTGAACTTTAGAATCAGCTTGTCAAGTTATGATTTTTAAAAATTACAATGAGGCCGGGTGTGGTGGCTCATGCCTATAATCCCAGCACTTTGGGAGGCCGAGGCAGGTGGATCACCTGAGGTCAGGAGTTCAAGACCAGCCTGGCCAACATAGTGAAACCCCATCTCTACTAAAAATACAAAAATTAGCCAGGAGTGGTGGTGTGCCGAGACCAGCTCGGTCAGGGAGACCCTAACCCAGCGGTGCTAGAGGAATTAAAGCCACACACACAGAAATATAGAGGTGTGAAGTGGGAAATCAGGGGTCTCACAGCCTTCAGAGCTGAGAGTCCCAAACAGAGATTTACCCACATATTTATTAACAGCAAGCCAGTCATTAGCATTTTTCTATAGATATTAAATTAACTAAAAGTATCCCTTATGGGAAATGAAGGGATGGGCCAAATTAAAGGAATAGGCTGGGCTAGTTAACTGCAGCAGGAGCATGTCCTTAAGGCACAGATCGCTCATGCTATTGTTTGTGGCTTAAGAATGCCTTTAAGCGGTTTTCTGCCCTGGGCGGGCCAGGTGTTCCTCCCGTGAACCCACAACCTTCCAGTGGGGCACTAGGGCCATTATGAACATGTTACAGTGCTGCAGAGATTTTGTTTATGGCCAGTTTTGAGGCCAGTTTTTGGCCAGATTTTGGGGGGCTTGCTCCCAACATGTCCCCCTTCTTTGATTTGCAAATTGATAAAAGCAAAGGCAGCTTTGTCACAGTGAGCTACTTCTCACAGGAGTCAGGATCCACAACTGCAGACTATACAAAGACAAACAACACAGATTAAAAGCACAATCATCATTGAAATTACAGAGATTCTAAGTGTTTTTATCCATTTCCAGCTCCTTTAAGCACTCCAGTTCCTGGCATTAAGGTCAGGTATGCCTGGGATGCTTTAAATATTTGTTCTTTTAATTTTGCAATATCCAAAGACAAGTTTGTAGAGTGTCCTTCTAGATGCTTTTTTTATTCTTTCCCAAATTTTGATCTTATTAAAGCATTTAATAGTTTCCACAAATCCTTATGTTTAGCTCCTACAGCGAGCCATATCATTTGAGGTTGAGATGCCACTATACCACCATGATTCCAGATAATAGGAACTCTTGCTGTACTTCTTATCATTTCTACCATCTGACCATTTTGTTCAGACCAGCTGAACATAGTGTGGCCATGGCACGCAGACTGAGAGGTGCAATTCAAGCTAAACATCCCCTTAGGGGACCAATTAATAATGATTCCATAGGAATCATTGTGCAGCACCTCTACCTGTTCTGCAACGCAATCTTCCTAAACAAGTACATTCATTTTTTCTGGCCAGGTTCAATTTTGTTTACAAATAGGTTTTTGAGGGCAGTATGACTCAATTATAAGAACAGATTTATTATGGTCAATACTGAGATCAGAAAGCATGTGTAACTGTGTCATAGAGTGATTAAATCTAGGCATTATTGCCAGCCAAGATTGATAAATATGCCCAATAAGTATAATTGTTCTCTGTGTCAGCCCTTATTGAAGGAATACTCACGGCAGTGGTGATAACCGCTATCATAGCTACCATTAAATTATTCATTGTTACTGGTTGTCCCACTCTCCTCAGGTTTTCTTCCACCATCTGTGACAGCTTCTTGATCTGTCCCCAGGTGGGTGGCTGTGTTCAAAAGGTGTTGCTCGTGACAGTTGGGGTCCTCCTCAGCATCGGTCTCGACATGGCTGCAACCAGGGGGTCCTCGGGATCCTTCTGGAATCTCTTCCTCGGCATCTGGCTCATGATAAGGTTTCAGGTGTCTCGATGGTATCCAAATCGGCTGTTAATTTTGGCCTGGAGAAACACAAACATAACCTCTACCCCAAGTTATTATTTTACCTATTTCCCAACTTTTTGTTATCGGATCTCTCCACCAAACCAATGGTTTTGCTTCTGTCTTTGCAGCTGGTTTCTGTAGATGCTGTTCAGCTGCTGATAACATTTGTCCTTTAGGCAGGCTCAAAAAATTTAAAGTTAATAATGCTAGGTTCAGTTGCATCTGTGGGGTTCCATATTCCCTGTCTCCCCATTTCTGCTTTTGCAACTGCTGTTTTAGGGAGAGATTCATTCTTTCCACTATGGCTTGTCCTTGAGAATTGTATGGGATACCAGTAATGTGTTTAATATTCCACATAGAGAAAAATGTAGCTAGAGCTTGGCTAGTATAGACTGGGGCATTATCTGTTTTAATAGAAGCTGGAATGCCCATCACTGCAAAACACTGCAAAAGGTGATGTTTAAAACAGGCAGAAGACTCTCCTGATTGGCATGTAGCCCAAAGTGAGAAAAGGTGTCCACACGTACATGTACATAAGCTAGTCTCCCAAACGAGGGAATATGTTTGACATCCATTTGCCAAAGAGAGTTAGGTTCCAGTCCTCAAGGATTAACTCCTCCTGTAAAAGATGAGGAATGTACCATTTGGCAAGTTGGACATTGCTGGATAATAGCTTTAGCTTCGTTCCAGGTAATGCTGTATCTGCATTTGAGACCAGAGGCATTAACATGGGTTGAATTGTGAAAGTGTCTAGCATTAGATATTGCATTAGCAACTAGGTGATCAGCCATTTGATTCCCTTTGGTCAAAGGTCCTGGAAGATGTGTATGAGCCCTAATGTGAGTGATGTAAAAAGGGTGCATTCTACTTCTAACTGCTGTTTGCAATTGGGTAAATAAAGTCATCAGTTGTTCATTTGTATGAAATCATAACTGAGCATTTTCAATTAACTGTGTGGAATGAACCACGTATGAAGAATCAGAAATCACATTAATAGGCATATCAAAAGCAGTCAATACCTCAATTACAGCGACAAGCTCCGCTTTTTGAGCTGAAGTATAGGACGTCTGGAAAACTACTTTCTGAGCCAAAATAAGAAGCTTTACCATTACTAGACCCATCTGTAAAAACATTCTCAGCACCTTCAATTTGTTTAAATTTAGTTATTTTAGGGAGAATCCAATTAGTTAATTTCAAAAACTGAAACAGCTTCATTTTAGGAAAATGATTATCGAGAATACCCAAAAAGTCAGCTAAATGGGTTTGCCAAGAAAGACTATTTATAAAAGCTTGCTGTATTTGTGCTTTCGTGAGAGGGACAATAATTTTTCCAGGATCATATCCATGTAATTTAACAATCCGAGTTCTCCCAATCCCTATCATTGTAACAATTTGATCTAAATAAGGAGTTAGAGTCCGTGAATTAGTATGTGGAAGAAAAAGCCACTCTACTAAGTCCTGTTCTTGGACAGTAACACCAGTAGGTGAATGCTGAGTGGAAAAAATTAGCAAATCTAGAGTCTTCTCTGGATCTATTTATTTGAGCTTTATGGACTTGCTTCTCAGTTGTAACTCTGCCTCAGCCTCCTTTGTTAATTGCTGAGGGCTAGTGAGACTAGGATTTGCTCTAAGGATAGAAAACAGATTACTCATGGCATAGGTAGGAATGCCTAGAGCACGTCGTATCCAATTAATGTCCCCTAGTAATTTTTGAAAGTCATATAATGTTTTCAGTTGATCCCTATGTATGGTTACTTTCTGTTGCACAATGGTAGTGTCATTTACTAAGGTCCCCAAGTAGGAGTAAGGAGTAGTAGTCTGAGTTTTGTCAGGAGCTATAATTAAGCCAGCACGAGAAATCGAATTTTGCAAGTGATCATAACATTGGAGTAATATTTCTCGAGTGGGGGCAGCACAAAGTATATCATCCATATAGTGAATAATGTAACACTGTGAAAATTTTTTACGAGTAGGTTCAATTGCTTGCCCCACATAAGTCTGGCAAATTGTGGGACTGTTCAATATGCCCTGGGGCAACACTTTCAAATGATAACGCTTAGCAGGGTGCAGGTTGTTTACTACAGGAATTGTAAATGCAAACCATTCAGTCTTGCTCAGCTAAAGGGATAGTAAGGAAACAGTCTTTTAAATCTATGACTATTAAAGGCCAATTTTTTGGAATTATAGCAGGAGAAGGCAATCCTGGCTGTAATGCCCCCCATAGGTTGTATAACTGAATTGATGGCTCTTAAGTCAGTTAATATTCTCCATTTACCTGATTTTTTCTTAATTACGAAAACTGGAGAATTCCAAGGAGAAAATGTTGGAGCTATGTGCCCATTTTCTAATTGTTCAGTAACGTAATTTATCTAAAGCCTCCAGTTTCTCTTTACTTAGTAGCCATTGTTCTATCCAAATTGGCTTATCTGTTAACTGTTTTAAAGGTATAGGTTCTGGAGGCTTAACAATGGCTGCCATCAAAAATTATTTCCTGATCTTTGGTGGGAACTTTGTTTTTCTGCTTGAAGTGGTTCTTTCAAAACTTGCAAATTTTTTTCTACTCCCATACCAGGGACATACCCCATTTCATGCATCATATGTTGACTTTGAGGGCTATATAATTGTTCTGGAATTAGAACTTGTGCTCCCCATTGTTGTAATAAATCTCTTCCCCATAAATTTATAGGTACAGAAGTTATAATTGGTTGAATAGTCCCAGGTTGTCCATTGGACCCTTCACAATGCAAAATATAACTACTTTGATATACTTCAGTGACTTTACCAATTCCACCTATGTTAAATTGAGCGGGTTGAATTGGCCACGCAGACAGCCAGTGCTGTAGAGAAATGATTGAAATGTCCGTTCCTGTATCTACCAAACCTTTAAATTTATTTCCCTGAATAGTTATTTCAAAGGTAGGATGTTTATCAATTTGATTTACCCAATAAACTGCTTTGCCTTGTTTATTTGTGCTTCCAAATCCTCCTGTTCGTTTGATTTCACTTTTTCCCATTCCCACATATGGCACAATCAGGAGCTGTGCTATGCACTCTCCTGGCTCTGTTTTCCAGGCAACAGAAGTAGATATAATAATTTGAATTTCCCCATTATAATCTGAATCAATGACTCCTGTATGTATTTGTACGCCTTTTAAACTTAAACTAGACCTTCCTAAAAGTAATCCTATTGTCCCTGCTGGCAAGGGTCCACAGACTCCTGTTGGGACCTTTGGCGGGGGTTCCCCAGGCAGAAGGCTCACAGTTTTTGTGCAGCATAAACCTACTGTGGCACTACTGGCTGTGGCGGGGGACAGACATTGTACGGGGTGAGGGAATGGCCTGAGCTGGAAATGCCCTGGTTTAGAACAGGGCCCAGGACGGGCCCCTGATGGCATTTCCCAAAATCGGGTTCCCATCTTTATCAAACTTAGAGTGACAGTGAGGAGCCCAATGTTTTCCTTTTTTATACTTTGGACATATTTCAGGCTCAGCAATTTTCTTTTTTCCCCTATCTGGCAGCCTGACTTGCTGATTTTTTTCTACATTCTTTTTCAGTATGACCATGCTTCCCACAGTTAAAATAAGCTCCAGGAAATGGAGTATTTCTTTTATCCACTCTCAGTTCTGCCATTGCCTGTGCCAACAAAGTAGCTTTATGCAGATTACCTCCGATACCATCACAGGCCTTGATATAATCAACTAAATGTGCTTTCCCTCTAATAGGTCACAGAGCAGCCTGCCAATCAGGATTAGCATTGTCGAAAGCTAATAACTGCAACACTATATCCTGAGCAGCCGAATCTGCAATCATCTTTTTAAGAGACTCCTGTAACTGAGCTATACAATCAACATATGGTTCTCTTGGTTCCCGTTTTATAGCACTAAAGGAAGGGTATTTTTCTCCATGTGAAGTGATTTTTTCCCAAGCTCTAATGCACACTCTGCTAAACTGTTCTATGGCATCATCCTGCATGACCACTTGTGCATCTAAACCAGCCCAGCTGCCAACCCCCGAAAGTTGAGGTTGGGCCTGGACATTGCAAGCAGCCTGAATGGAAGCTTTATCTGCCCACCAAGTTTTAAATTGTAAGAACTGAGCAGGAGTTAGACAAGCTCGAGTAAGAGTGTCCCAGTCAGTAGGTATCATCCAACTGGAAACAGCAACATTCTTTAACAGTCCCATTACAAAAGGAGAACCTGGTCCATACTGATTTATAGCTTGTTTAAATTCTTTGAGTAATTTAAAAGGAAAAGGCTCAAATGTAGCTGTAATATTTCCCTGTTGATCTGGGGGGTGTGTTCTAACAGGAAACTGCCAAGCCTCTAAATCACCCTCTTGTCTAGCTTGCTGAATTCCTGCCTGAATAGAACTAAGAGTGGTCACTCAAGGCGCTGCTCGAACAGTCACTGGGGCAACTACTTTTCACCCAATGTCCTCCGGAAAAGAAGGATCCGGAGGGTCTTTTTCTTCAAAATAATAATGAGGGGGTGCAGAAGGGTAGGGATGAACCTCTCCCTCCTTTGCCACTTTAGCTTTAGCTAGAAAATAAACATGCTCTGTAACCACTTCTGTTACTTCTCTATACTCTCCTTCCTCCTCCTCATCAGTGTGAAAAAGTTCCAAGGTGGAATGAACCAGACCCCAAACTTGTCCCATTGTTACCCTGACGCTTCCAAGCTCCCCTTCTTGGTCACCATGGGGATTGCTTTAAGAGTACTCAGGTGTCCTCCAGCTAGTTTTCCATTCCAACTGTCGCTCTGGCGACCCTTCGACTTGGATGCGAGGCCCCACGTTGGGCGCCACTTGCCGAGACCAGCTCGGTCGGGGAGACCCTAACCTAGTGGCACTAGAAGAATTAAAGACACACACACAGAAATATAGAGGTGTGAAGTGGGAAATCAGGGATCTCACAGCCTTCAGAGCTGAGAGCCCCGAACAGAGATTTACCCACATATTTATTAACAGCAAGCCAGTCATTAGCATTGTTTTGTTTCTATAGATATTAAACTAACTAAAAGTATCCCTTATGGGAAATGAAGGGATGGGCCAAATTAAAGGAATAGGTTGGGCTAGTTAACTGCAGCAGGAGCATGTCCTTAAGGCACAGATTGCTCATGCTATTGATTGTGGCTTAAGAATGCCTTTAAGCGGTTTTCTGCCCTGCATGGGCCAGGTGTTCCTTGCCCTCATTCCCATGGGTGTTCCACCTTCCGGCATGGGCGTTAGGGCCATTATGAACATGTTACAGTGCTGCAGAGATTTTGTTTATGGCCAGTTTTGGGGCCAGTTTTTGGCCAGATTTGGGGGGAGGCTTGCTCTCAACAGTGGTGCACATCTGTAGTCCCAGCTACTCGGGAGGCTGAGGCAGGAGAATCGTTTGAACCTGGGAGGCAGAGGTTGCAGTGAGCCGAGATTGCACCACTGCACTCCAGCCTGGGCGACAGAGCGAAACTCAGTCTCAAAAAAAAAAAAAAAAATTTGCTGGGTGTAGTGGTGGTGCCTGCAGTCCCAGCTACTAGGGAGGCTGAGGCTGGAGAATTGCTTGAACCTAACCTGGGAGAAAGAGGTTGCAGTGAGCCGAGATCGTGCCACTGCACTCCAGCCTGATTGAGGCCTTGTCTCAAAAAAAAAAAAAAAATATGAGATTTGATAAATTTTTTTTTTTTTTTTAGACAGAATCTTGCTCTGTCGCCCAGGCTGGAGTGCAGTGGTGCGATCTCGGCTCACTGCAAGCTCTGCCTCCTGGGTTCATGCCATTCTCCTGCCTCAGCTTCCTGAGTAGCTGGGACTACAGGCGCCCACCACCAAACTCGGCTAATTTTTTTGTATTTTTTAGTAGAGACGGGGTTTCACTGTGTTAGCCAGGATGGTCTTGATCTCCTGACCTTGTGATCCACCCGCCTCGGCCTCCCAAAGTGCTGGGATTACAGGTGTGAGCCATTGTGCCTGGCCGAGATTTGATAAATATTGCATTGATTTTTACTGATTAAGTTTTAAAGTACTGATACCTTCATGATATTGAGTCTTCTAGAAATGGGTAATTATTCATTTAGGTTTCTTTTTCTGTTTGTTTTTCAGCTAGGTCTTCTTTCAGATCAGTTACTGTTAGAGGTTTTTTTTTTTCATATAGGTCTGTACATTTCTTGCTAGGGATATTCCTATTTATGTTATGTTTTGTTATAACTATGAATGGATTTTGCCTTTCTTTCTTTCTTTTTTTTTTTTTTTTGAGACGGAATCTCACTCTGTCACCCAGGCTGGAGTGCAGTGGCATGATCTCAGCTCACTGGAAGCTCTGCCTCCCAGGTTCACACCATTCTCCTGCCTCAGCCTCTCAAGCAGCTGGGACTACAGGCGCCAGCCGCCATGCCTGGCTAATTTTTTTTGGTATTTTTTAGTACAGATGGGGTTTCACCGTGTTAGCCAGGATGGTCTCGATCTCCTGACCTCGTGATCTGCCCGCTTCAGCCTCCCAAAGTGCTGGGATTACAGGCATGAGCCACCATGCCCGGCCGATTTCACCTTTCAATGGCAATTACTATAAGACAGGAAAGTTATTTATTTTTATATATTTACCTAATTTTAAGTTACCTTATACAACCCTCATTAATAGTCTGTTAGAACTAGAATTTAAACTCTATGTGAATATGGACCTTATTTAAACAATGTATCCCTAGCACCTAGACAATGCCTAACCTGTCACATTAACTTAATATATATTTTATTTATATTTTTTGTTTATTTATTTTTTTTTGAGACAGACTCTTGCTCTGTCACCCAGGCTGGAGTGTAGTGGTGCGATCCTGGCTCACTGCAATCTCTGCCTCCCAGGTTCAAGCAGTTCTCTGTCTCAGCTTCCCAAGTAGTTGGGATTACAGACACCCGCCACCACGCCCAGCTAATTTTTGTATTTTTAGTAGAGATGGGGTTTTTACCATGTTGGCCAGGCTGGTCTTGAACTCCTGACCTTGTGATCTGCCCGCCTTGGCCTCCTAAAGTGCTGGGATTACAGGTTTGAGCCACTGAGCCCAGCCATTAATATTTATTTTAATGAATGAATAATGTTATTTTAGTTGATTCTGTTGCATTTTCTGGGTAGACAATTTTTCCAAATTTTCAACTATTGTAATCATGAGACTTGGTAGATTGCTCTAAAATTCATGTTCTGAAGTACCCTTTCTCCTATGTATACATCAATATTAGATAAAATAGAAAAAGGTAAACTTACAAAGCTATGACATGCAGAAACAAGAACTATTTCTTTGTATTTAAAACAGTGTTTAGAGGCTGGGCAGAGTGGTTCATATTTGTAATCCTAGCACCTTGAGAGGCCAAGGTGGGAGGATTGCTTAAGCCCAAGAGTTTGAGAACAGCTTGGGCAACATAGGGAGACCCCTGTCCCCACAAAAAGTAAAAACATTAGTCAGGCTTGAGTCCGGGAGGTTGAGGCTGCAGTGAGCTATGATTGTGCCACTGCACTGAAGACTGGCTGACAGTGAGACTCTGTCTCTAAAGGAAAAAAAATGCTTATTTGAAGAAATAATCCCTGAAAACTTCTCAAATTTGATAAAGAATATTAATGTGCACATTCAAGGTCAGTTAACTCCAAGAAGAATAAACTCAAAGAGATCCACACCTAGGCACATTATGGTCAAACTGCCAAAAGACAAAAACAAAGAGAGAACATTGAATACAGCAAAAAAAAAAAAAAAAAAAAGGCAACTCATCATGTATAAGGGATCCTCAGCAAAATTAATAACTGACTTCTCATCAGAAACCATGGAGCCCAGCTGGGCATGGTGGCTCACGCCTATAATCCCAGCACTTTGGGAGGCCGAGGTTGGTGTATCACCTGAGGTTGGGAGTTTGAGACCAGCCTGACCAACATGGAGAAAACCCATCTCTACTAAAAATACAATATTAGCCAGGCGTGGTGGGGCATGCCTGTAATCCCAGCTACTCGGGAGGCTGAGGCAGGAGAATTACTTGAACCTGGGAGGCAGAGGTTGCAGTGAGCCGAGATCTTGCCATTGCACTCTAGCCTGGGCAACAGGAGCGAAACTCCATCTCAAAAATAATAATAATAAAAAAGAAACCATGGAGCCCAGAAGGCAGTGGAAAGACATTCAAAATGCTAAAAAAAATTGTCAACCAACAATTCCATATCCACAAAACTATACCTCAAAAATGAAGGAGAGGCCAGGTGTGGTGGCTCATGCCTGTAATCTCAGCACTTTGAGAGGCCGAGGAGAGGATCACTTGAGCCCGAGTTTGAGACCAGCCTGGGCAACACAGTGAGACCTCATGTCTACAAAAAAGTAAAAAATCAGCCGAGTGTAGAGGCATGAATTTATAATCCCAGATACTTGGGAGGCTGAGGTGGGAGGATTACTTAAGCCCAGGAGATTGAAGTTGCAGCAAGCCAACATGGTGCCACTGCACCCCAGCCTGAGTGACAGGGCAAGACCCCGTCTCAAAAAAAAAAAAAAAAAAAAAAAAGAAAAAAAAAGAAAAAAAGAAAAATGATGGAGAATGCAGACATTCCTAGATAAACAACAACTGAATTTGTCACTTGCCCCGCAATGTGAGCCATTCAGCCTGAAATGAAAGATTATTAGACAATAGCCTGAGTTCACACGAAGAAATAAACAGCACTGGTAAAGGTGCTGGTGCGGTGGCTCACGCCTGTAATCCCAGAAGTTTGGGAGGCTGAGGCCAGTGGATCACTTGAGGTCAGGAGTTCGAGACCAGCCTGGCCAACATGGTGAAACCACATTTCTACTAAAAATACTAAAAATACAAAAATTAGCCGGGCATGGTGGCCGGTGCCTGTAATCACAGCTACTTGGGAGGCTGAGGCAGGAAAACCGCTTGAACCCGGGAGGCAGAGGTTGTAGTAAGCTGAAATTGCGCCACTGCACTCTAGCCTGGGTGACAGAGCGAGACTCTGTCTAAAAAAAAAAAAAACGGTGACACAGTATAAACATAGTATATTTTTGTTTGTTAATTTTTAAAAGTTTTTCTCCAAAAGCATGAGCCACCACACCTGGCCTCGGAGAAAAATTTAATGTTAAACTTTTAAAATAGTCACAGAAAGAATAGCAGTATAATCTGTACCTTCCAAACCAGAAGAACAAAGAAGTACTATCTAACACTTTACTAATTCAACAATAGGAGAAAAAGGGGGGGAAGAAAGCAAAGACAGAGATTGATAAACAGAAAACATTTAACAAGAATGAAGAAATAAGTCCTAATATATCAGTAATTATATTAAATGAACTTAAATGGATTTAATTAATTTGTTACAACCAGAGTCACAGACAAAAGTTGAAAATAAAAGACTAAAAAAAGTCAGCAAGTAGTAATTAAAAAGGCTGGTACAACAATAATATCTAGACAAAAAGATTAAGGTAAAGAATAAACAATTAGAAATAAAGAGAATATAAGGAATAATCTAGCAAAAAGGTAGAATAATTTGGTGGAAGAATGCAGTAAAGGCTGGATGAGGTGGCTTATGCCTGTAATCCCAGCACTTTGAGAGGCTGAGGTAGGAGGATCTCTCAAGTTTGTTCTAAGCTTCTATAATTTTAAATAAATGTTTTACTTTAGAATGGTTTTAAATTTACTGAAAAGTTGCAAAGATAGTACAGATAATTCCTGTGTATGCTTCATCCAGTTTTTCCTTTTTTTTTTTTTTTTTTTTTGAGACGGAGTTTCGCTCTTGTTGCCCAGGCTGGAATGCAGTGGTGCAATCTGGGCTTACCGCAACCTCCACTTCCCGGGTTCAAGCGATTCTCCTGTCTCAGCCTCCCGAGTAGCTGGGATTACAGGCACATGCCACCATGCCCAGCTAATTTTTGTATTTTTAGTAGACGCGGGGTTTCACCATACTGGTCAGGCTGATCTCCAACTCCTGACCTCAGGTGATCTGCCTGCCTCGGCCTCCCAAAGTGCTGGGATTACAGATGTGAGCGACCACGCCCGGCCTTGACTTTTTTTTTTTTTTTTGAAACAGTTTCACTGCGTTGCCCAGGCTGGAGCGCAGCCGCCATGTTCTCAGCTCACTGTAACCTTGGCCTCCCGGGTTCAAGCGACGTTCCTACCTCAGCTCCCCCAGGTAGCTGGGATTACAGGCATGTGCCACTACTCCCGGCTAATTTTTGTGTTTTTAGTAGAGACGGGGTTTCGCCATGTTGGCCAGGCTGGTCTCGAACTCTTGACCTCAGGTGATCCGCCCACCTTGGCCTCCCAAAGTGCTGGGATCATAGGTGTGAGCCACTGCACCTAGCCTTGGACCCTCTTCATATTAAATTAAAATTAATGTTTTTGGAACACCTATTAGGCCACAGAGTGAGGAGGATGAGTTAAAGTAAGTTCCCTCCTTGTAAGTAGTTAGAAGTATAGAAAGAAAGAAGTGGACCTGCTCTCTATTGTCTTTTTCTTTTCTTTAGACGGAGTGTTTGCTCTCTTGCCCGGGCTGGAGTGCAATGACGCGATCTCAGCTTACTGTAACCTCTGCCTCCTGGGTTCAAGTGATTCTCCTGCCTCAGCCTCTTGAGTAGCTAGGAGTACAGGCATCCGCCACCACGCCCGGCTAATTTTTGTATTTTTATTGGAGACGGGGTTTCACCATGTTGGCCAGGCTGGCCTAGTACTCTTTTTTTTTTTTTTTTGAGTCGGAGTCTCGCGCTCACGCTCAGGCTGGAGTGCAGTGGCGTGATCTTGGCTCACTGCAAGCTCCGCCTCCCGGGTTCACGCCATTCTCCTGCCTCAGCCTCCCGAGTAGCTGGGACTACAGGCGCCCGCCACCACGCCCGGCTAATTTTTTGTACTTTTAGTAGAGACGGGGTTTCACCGTGTCAGCCAGGATGGTCTCGATCTCCTGACTTCGTGATCCACCCGTCTCGGCCTCCCAAAGTGCTGGGATTACAGGCGTGAGCCACCGCGCCCGGTCGGCTAGCCTGGTACTCTTAACCTCAGGTGATCCACCAGCCTCAGCCTCCCAAAGTGCTAGGATTACAGGCGAGAGCCACCGCGCCTGTCTTTTTAAAAGCTAAAACTGAAACGGAAACAGAGCTCCTGGCAGATAGGACCAGGAGCCACAGCGAAGGAGGTGGCCTGTGATTAGGTTTTTATAAATGGGCAGGTATTAATCAGGGAAAATGGAGTAAAGGACACGATAGACATACATTGCTAAGTCTAGTATTGGAAAAAGTAAGGCCTGGGACCCCTAAAAACTTGCTCGAGAGTGAAAGGTAAATGCTATGTGTCCACACTACTGTGGTAAAGCCGACAGTCCATACCATGAGCCCATTTCGCGCAGGGAAATTCGAGTGGTGGGCTTGGGCCCGTCGTTCTGGTAGCTTCCCAGTAGAGGGCGCCGTAAGCATATGCGTCTTCAGCCTGACTGGGCTGGAGAGGCGGTGCGTCCTCCTGGCCGGGGGGCGGGGGCCGTCGCGCTCACGTGACCTTTGCTCATGGCGGCGGCGGCGGCGGCGGCGGTGCTGGTGGTGCTCGGCGGCCGGAGCCGGATCCTGTAGCCGGGTGTGGGCCCGTGTCTGTCCGTCCCTCCTTCGGCCCCCTCTCTTGTCTTCCGGAGTGTGGCTGGCGGAGCTGGGATGGCGGAACGAGGCCTGGAGCCGTCGCCGGCCGCGGTGGCGGCGCTGCCGCCTGAAGTGCGGGCGCAGCTGGCGGAGCTGGAGCTGGAGCTCTCGGAGGGTAGGAGCCGGGCCGGGGAGAGGGCGCCCGGGGCCCTGCGGATCGCGGCGACTTGGGAGACAGGTCCCCGCCGCGCGCTCTGGCGGCCGTGCGGCGAGGGGGACGAGGGTGTAGAGAACCTGGCCTGGCGCTCCACGACCGTTTTCCCTCCTCTCCCACCCCATTAAGTGGTTTCCTGTGGCTTTCATTGTTTTCCCATGGAGGGGACTAAGTAAGGGCTTGTGGAAAGGTCCTCCCGGGCCCACACTGCTTCTGCGCTTCCTGCCCCCCAAAACCCGAGACAAAGCTGCGCCCTCCCGCTTCTGCCCAGGCGTCTGGCCCAGGTGGGGTGAGGGGTAGGGCTGCGAGGAGGGTGGCTGACAGCTTTCTCCTTTCCTCTCCCCTTTTCGTGGAGGGCTCCACGCCTTGTTCCAGCCCCCCCTTCCCCCTTTCAAAAAGAGACACATGGGAAATCCGCAGCATCATTTCTTCTCTTTCCTTTAACAATGCGCGATGCCTCCCCAGTGACAGGAGTGAGACACAAGCGGGTGAGCCATTTAGGGTCCTAGGAAGATAAGAAGCAATGGCATTAACCCAGAGAGACACACGGTGCTGCTTTTAGACCACCTTTGTCATAAGAAGTTTTTTTTTTTCCTGGTGCCTGTTATTCGGGCCGAATTTTCCGCATCTGGTCACCTTTTGGAGTCTTTGATGAAGGAAGGAGAGGAGGCTACCGTTTACTTGCAAATCCTGGCTGGCATTCTTTCTTTTGACAATGGATTGGGACAGGGAGGGTTCGATTTATTTTCAGAATTAAAAAAAAAAAATGGGATAAATCAAGCCACTGTTATTAGAGAACTCCTTGTACAACAATGAGAGAAACACAGTGCTCCGTTGTGGGCATGTGATCAGGCTTCTGGGGCAGTTGTGATCAGTTCTGTGTAAAGTTCCTGTTTTTATCACTGGCTGCCCCTGAGACAAAAGCAGCATTTTCTCCAAGCTTGATACCAGTACTTTGATTGTGTCTCCAGAGTTGCATATTCTTACTGAGTTCCTTGTGGAAGGCCCTCTTCACTAGCATTTTTCAAGTGGATCAAAAACTCTTGATTGGAAAAGAAGAATGTGACCAACTCCCAGGAGCTTATTAAACATTACTTATTGTTTACTTATTAAGGCATTATGGTTCCCTCCCCTCTGAGAATCCTTTACAATGAAAAACCAAAAATAGAGTTGAATGTTATAAATCCTGTTGGGCACTGAAGGAAATAATTATTTTTAATAACCCTTTTAATAACCCAATGTGTAGGAAAGTGCTGTTTTTACCTGTACTTAACTATCAACATGTTATTTTTCAATTAATCCAATTTTCAAGTTATTCTTCGGCCAGTCCCGGGAATCACTGGTATTAGATTAGTTTGTTTCTGTGAAGTGTTTAAGAAGATAGGAATCCTCTGGGTTTGTCTGCCCAGTTATACCTTAAGTTCCCCCCGCTTCGAAAATCGAGGAGCTTTTTGCATTACCATCAATTCTGTCTCTCAAGATAACTCATTCTTCTCCTAGACTAAAGCATTGACATTAAATCTGTGTTGACTTGCATTAAAATCTGACTTTTAAAACTGCTATTTGAAAGTAACAAATCATCTAGCTTTGATTAGAGAGAGGTTTGCCTGGATGCTTGCGTCAGAGGGAGATTAAAAATAGGAGTTGATTGCTTTCACACGGAGAGGGAAATCCTGGAAGCTCCTTATTCTGGGTATATCTGCTTCCAGCTGATTGTTGTTTACATCTCTGGGTGTTTCTAGACATCTCTAGAATGTCTAGAAACATTCTGAGGAACTATTTCTAGGACCCACACTGATTAGCTCACCTCTCTCTCCTTCAGAAAGGTGTGAAACTTCTACAAATTGTGAATGCCAAGGCTTAAACATTTTAAGGACAAGTGCATGGTTTGCTTTCCAATGAAGGATTATTTTGGTTGGCATCTGACTTGGTTTGAATTTGTTTCTTATAGATATACTACACTTCTTGTATTTCATTTGTTTTAGCAATGGATGACTGGAAAAAATACAATTGAAAAACTTGGGCCTGCAGTGTCAGCATATTGGTCATCTTTCTTGCTTAAAGTACAGGGGATGGTTGGCTGGAGAAGTGGATAGACATTAGGAATTCAAGTGAAGTTAAAATAATCCAAAAGTCCCCATATCTGTGTAGTATGGTGTTATTTGTGATGCCTGTAGCATATTTGGAGCTAAGGTTTGTTCGTTTTGCATTTTCTCTACAGTTACTCTGCTCTAACATAAGTACTTTGTCTTTTTTTGTTTTAGATGCTTTTCTTTCGTTTGTTTTTTTTGAGATGGAGTCTCACACTGTTGCCCGATTTTAGCTTACCGCAACCTCCGCCTCCCAGGGTCAAGCAGTTCTCCTGCCTCAGCCTCCCCAGTAGCTGGGATTACAGGCAAGCGCCACTACTGCCGGGCTAATTTTTTTTGTATTTATAGTAGAGACCGGGTTTCACCGTGTTGGCCAGGCTGATCTTAAACTCCTGACCTCAAATGATCCACCAACCTCAGCCTCCCAAAGTGTTAGGATTACAGGCGTGAGCCACCGCTAAAGATGCTTTTAACTGTGTGTTTATCATGCCTTGCTGACATTGGTGCACTCATTTCTCTATTTTCATTTTTTCTTTCTTTCTCTCTTTTTTTTTTTAAGGTTCAGCCTGTCATTGGTCCTAATCATAGCAATAATCTGAGCTGTATGCTGTTAAAGAATTTTCTTTGTGCTTGCCTGTATTTTCAGCTGCAGGCTTTGGTAATAGATCAGCCAACTCTGTGCTGAAATGCAGGTTTGTGCCTGCTTTGGGCTCTTTGCTGCAGAGCGTGTTGCAGAGCCCTGTGATGTGTCTGGTGCTTCAGGCAGGTCACCAGGCAGCTTCCTGGTTAAAACCTGCTTCTGTCACAAAAAGAACAGGCTGAAACTGCCTGGAAATCATTTAAAAACTGAATTTCCACATAAGGATGAGCTTTTCTATAGACGAGTTGAATAGGTAGAAGGTTTCTGCAAGTATTTCTGTGACTGAAATTTTTAATGATCCACATATTTTATTATATGCTTGACAGCTCTGTTGTTTGGACTTATGTATATGGTCTAGTCAAGTGTATGTACATAAAGTAGCACTAATGGGGAGAATTAATTTGCTTAAATCTGTCCAATAATACATTATATTTGTGTAATGATCTTTTTGTACATTGTCATTTGAGCTTTACTAAACTTCACTAGATAGAATAGGTATTGTTACCACCCACCGCCCCTTTCTTTTTTGTGGCTTAACAGAAGGGAAAACTTGTACTCAGAAAGATTGTTTTGTCTAAAGCTGCATACCTAATAAGTGTCGTTATCCTAAGCTGTCATGTGACGATGACATTGGAATGATTTAAATATTTGTGCTGTCATTGCACAAGCTGTTAACTAATTTTTTCTCTAAGGAAATGCTACCTTTTTTTTTTTTGCGATGGAGTTTCTCTTGTTGCCCAGGCTGGAGTGAAATGGTGCGATCTCAGCTCACTGCAACCTCTGCCTCCCGGGTTCAGGTGATTCTCCTGCCTCAGCCTTTCTGAGTAGCTGGGATTACAGGCATGCGCCACCACGCCTGGCTAATTTTGTAGTAGACACGGGTTTTCTCCATGTTGGTCAGGTGGGTCTCGATCTCCCGACCTCAGATGATCTGCCTGCCTTGGCCTCCTGAAGTGCTGGGATTACAGGTGTAAGCCACTGCACCTGGCCCTAAACAGTTCTATACCACAGTGTTGATTCTCTCTCTGAAATCTCTTTCAAATCCATCACTTATGCATTCAGTTCAGCAGATGTGTATTTTGTGCCTACTGTGTGCAAATGAGCAGGATACCCTGGTAGCTTTTAAGAAGCTCTGAGTCTGCCAGGGAAATCATTGAAAACTGCCAACAAAACAGTGCATGACCATGGTGGAGTTATGTACAGAGGCTGCCTTCTAAGAAAAGAGGAAGCTATCTGCTTTATCGTTGTGAGAGATAGAAGAGAATTATAAATACGAGATTGGATTGTGTGGCTAGTAGAGCGGGCTATAATTTAGCCTGTGCAGTTCAGCCATAAGTGCAACGCGAAGAATGTTCCTATACTTCTGTGGCATGCAGGAAGGAGCTCAAGTCTTTCAGTGTCTGAGAACAGTCCAAAGATGACAACTGGAAAGGTATTTAAGATAAAATAACACTCACAGGAAGGGATCCTCCCTTTTCTTGTTTGAACACTTCTCTGAGTACAAACAGTAAACATAGTCCCATCCTCCCTTTCTCCTGTCTGTTTCATCACGTAGCTTTGTGGTCCTTAAAGCATGGCACAGGGTCTGCCACGAAGGCAAAGGGATAAGAGAAGACTGCTTCCTAGGAATTGCAGTGACTTTTAATGGGGAAGAGGTGGGAGAGTTGAAGAGGAAAAAGGAGATGTTGGATAAAGATTTTACAGTCTCAGAAGGGGGCAGTTAGACTTAAGCCACCATAAAACTGGTAAATTCCTCCTGCTTTACCTATCATGGGAAACGGGGCCACTTATCCCAAAATCCGTAGCTTAGTCATAGATTCGTAGGATACACCTTTATCAAAGTTCTGTCTAAGCAGTTGTAACATCTGATGCTAGGAGTATTAAGGAAAGCAGGAATGTAGATTTTTAAATAACCAAGAATGGGCATTATCTAAGTAATCTACCTCCAGAACTTGCATGTGTGTTTTTGGTGGGCAGGAGCTCATCTTCAGAATTACTGTCAGAGCCTGTGACACATTCCTTTGAAAATCCTCATGGTGGCAGATTTCAATTCTTTGAGGGTAAAGTTTCATTTATAGGTCACTTGGAATCAAGTAGAGAAAAGCTGGTTAATATTCTTTTAGAACCCAAACTAGTTGTGACTGAAAAAATTAGAGTGATTATAAACTGATTTTAGTTGTGATTGTCAAAAAAAATCAGAATGATTGTAAACTGGTTTTGAGGGCAGTTCCAGAAGAGAATTTACAGACAAATTCACTGGAAGAATGATTCACCTTATTGAAAAGAGTAGCTTTTATGGATACCCTTGTTCTGGTGTGTATTTTGAAAAATTAATCTTGTTTGACAGCCCCATGGCATTGAGCTGGATTTTTGAATAAGATAAATCATTAATATGTCACGCTTAGCTCAGCCCTTGGTTACAACTTTCTGTCCTAGCCTGTTTAAGACTTAGCACTTCAGGGTTGAAAGTTCATATGACTGGCTAAAAAGGGCCTTCATACTATATTTGTATTCTAATTACTAGAGTTCTCCATGGTTCTCTCTCATGTGACTAATTCAGGGATACTCTTTGAAATGCTCCTTCTTGCTTATATGCACAGTTTCTCGCAAATCTTTAAGGGTTCAGCTAAAGTACCACCTTTTTTTTTTTTTTGAGACGGAGTTTCACTCTTGTTGCCCAGGCTGGAGTGTAATGGCACGATCTCAGCTCACCGCAACCTCCACCTCCTGGGTTCAAGCGATTCTTCTGCCTCAGCCTCCTGAGTAGCTGGGATTACAGGCATGTGCCACCACGCCTGGCTAATTTTGTATTTTTAGTAGAAATGGGGTTTCCCTATGTTGGTCAGGCTGGTCTTGAACTCCCGACCTCAGGTGATCCGCCCACCTCGGCCTCCCAAAGTGCTGGGATTACAGGCATGAGCCACTGCGCCTGGCTTTCTTTTTTTTTTTTTTTTGAGACGGAGTCTCTCCCTGTCACCCGTGCTGGAGTGCACTGGCATGATCTCGGCTCACTGCAACCTCTGCCTCCTGGGTTCAAGGGATTCTCCAGCCTCAGCCTCCCAAGTAGCTGGGATTACAGGCGCCCTCCACCATGCCCAGCTAATTTTTTGTGTCTTTAGTAGAGATAGGGTTTCACCAGTTGACCAGGCTGGTCTCGAACTCTTGACCTTGTGATCCGCCTGCTTTGTCCTCGCAAAGTGCTGGGATTACAGGTGTGAGCCACTGTGCCAGGCTCAAGTACCACCTTTTTTGTAAACCTATCCCTGACCAGTGTGATTTCTATTTTTTTTTTTTTTTTTTTTTGAGACAGGGTCTCACTCTGTTGCTCAGACTGTGCAGTGGCACGACCTTGGCTCACCACAACCCCCGCCTTCCGGGCTCAAGCGATTCTCCTGCCTCAGCCTCCCCAATAGCTGGGACTACAGGCAAATGTCACTACCGTCTGGCTAATTTTTATATTTTTGGTAGAGACGGGGTTTCACTATGTTGGCCAGGCTAGTCTTAAACTCCTGACCTCAAATGATCCACCTGCCTTGGTCTCCCAAAGTGCTGGGATTACAGGCATGAGCCACCAGGCCGGGCCAATCATGTATTTTCTAAGTATTTAAATTGCTTTTCATTTTATCTCTTAAAAAAATTTTTTTTAAAGTAGAAATGAGGCCAGGCGCAGTGGCTCACACCTGTAATCCCAGCACTTTGGGAGGCCGAGGAGGGCGGATCACAAGGTCAAGAGATCAAGACCATCCTGGCCAACGTGGTGAAATCTTGTCTCTACTAAAAATACAAAAATTAGCTCGGCGTGGTGGCTTGCACCTGTAGTCCCAGCTACTCGGGAAGCTGAGGCAGGAGAATTGCTTGAACTCAGGAGGCAGATGTTGCAGTGAGCCGAGATCGCGTCACTGCACTCCAGCCTGGCAACAGAGCAAGACTCCGTCTCAAAAAAAAAAAAAAAAAAAAAAAAAGTAGAGACAAGGTCTTACTATGTTCAGCCCAGGCTGGTCTCAAAGTCCTGAGCTCCTTTTACCTTGGCTCCCCCAAAGTGCTGAGATTATAGGTATGAGCCAGCCACCAAGTCTCGCCTTAGCTCAATGTAAGCTCTTTTTTTTTTTTTTTTTGAGATAGAGTCTTGCTCTGTCCCCCAGGCTGGAGTACAGTGGCGTGATCTCTGCTCACTGCAACCTCCACCTCCTGGGTTCAAGTGATTCTCCTGCTTCAGCCTACTGAGTAGCTGGGATTACAGGCTTGTGCCACCACGCCCGGCTAATTTTTGTATTTTTAGTAGAGACGGGGTTTCACTATCTTGGCCAGGCTGCTCTCAAACTCCTGACCTCCGGTGATCTGCCCGCATCGGCCTCCCAGAGTCCCGGGATTACAGGCTTGAGCCACTGCACCCAGCGTCAATGTATGCTCTTGTAGAGAGGTCCTTTGTATCTGAAATTTATTTTAAATAACTCACAACTATTTATTTCTTATATTGTTTTAGGAATACGATAAATTTTTGGTCACTTCAATTTGAATTGAAAAATAAAGTCTCAGTTTTGGGGACTTGATTTTGACATAAGGTAGTGTTGTATAATCATTTGAGAAGCACATATTTTGACATCTGGTGGGCCTGGGTTGAAGTTCTGTCTGTACCATTTATTAGCTCTGTGACTTTGGACAAACTGTCTAACCTCCCAGGTATGAGTTTCATCAACATTTAAAAAGGAATGACGGTGGTGTGCAGTGGCTCCCGCCTGTAATCCCAGCACTTTGGGAGGCGGAGCCGGGTGGATTGCCTGAGCTCAGGAGTTCGAGACCAGCCTGGGCAACATGGTGAAACCCCGTCTCTACTAAAATACAAAAAAATTAGCCGGGCGTGGCGGCATGCACCTGTAGTCCCAGCTACTCGGGAGGCTGAGGCAGGAGAATTGCTTGAACCCGGGAGGCGGAGGTTGCAGTGAGCTAGGACCGCACCACTGCACTCCAGCCTGGGCGACAGAGCGAGACACCATCTCAACAACAACAACAAAAAGGAATGACACCCTCCTTGGAGTTGTAAGGAGGTTTAAAGTAAGATAATAGAAAAGCTGAGTATAGTATGGCGTGCGGTGAGCACTCAGCACATGTAATCTTTATTGCTGCTGATAGTGAATGGATGCGTGGAGACTTGGCAGTTTTTAATATCTTGTGTTACTTAGTAGAATAAGGTTATATATGAAGTGATGAATGGAATCAATTTGTGATAAATTTTTTGAAAGTAAGCCTTCACTCCATCATCAGTTGTTCCTGTTGGCACCTATACCCTATACCCTTAGTCCAGTACATGTTGGGTCACTGCAAGCAGTTGACTAGAGCAGAAGACTTGCTGGTCTGTTTCATACAGACATCTCGCATATGTACATTTCTGAGCCTACAGATTCAGGCAAATGCCTGTGACATATAAGCTTGGTTTCTGAGACTTAGCATCTACAAGCTATGAAAAGGGACATATGGATGTTTAGAACCTTCAGAAACGATGGTTTTTACTCTTCCGTTTCATATCCCTCACTTGTCCTCAGTGAACATATCCTTCCTTTTAGTTCCTCTTTCAAAAGTTTTCTGGCTGGGTGTGGTGGCTCACGCCTGCAATCCCAATACTTTGGGAGGCTGAGGTGGGCAGATCACCTGAGGACAGGAGTTTGAGACCAGCCTGGCTAACATGGTGAAACCCCGTCTCTACTAAAAATACACAAACTAGCCGGGCATGGTGGCAGGCGCCTGTAATCCCAACTACTCGGGAGGCTGTGGCAGGAGAATTGCTTGAACCTGGGAGGCGGAGGTTGCAGTGAGCTGAGATCATGCCACTGCACTCCAGCCTGGGAGATAGAGTGGGACTCCGTCTCAAAAAAAAAAAAAAAAGTGTTCTTGATCTTCTTTTCCCTAGAGTTTATTTACCACCAGCCTCCGTGAGTCCTCTCAGACTTAATTGGTCTGATTGTAGTCTCTTTTTAGCTCTAGATTGATCTTTCATCTTTTAAAAATACTACTTTTATTTAAAACCATTGCTAAATCTAAAGCTCTGTCACTCAGTTGTCTTTTTTTTTTTTTTTTTGAGACGGAGTTTCGCTCTTGTTGCTCAGGCTGGAGTGCAATGGCATGATCTCAGCTCACCATAACCTCCGCCTCCCGGGTTCAAGCGATTCTCCTGCCTCAGCCTTCTGAGTAGCTGGGATTACAGGCATGCACCATTGGGCCCAGCTAATTTTGTAGTTTTAGTAGAGACGGGGTTTCTCTATGTTGGTCAGGCTGGTCGCGAACTCCCAACCTCAGGTGATCCGCCCACCTCTGCTTCCCAAAGTGCTGGGATTACAGGTGTGAGCCACTGCACCCGGTTGCATTATCACCTTTCATTCTCACTAGTTTATAAGGAAGACCAGACTCCCTCAGCTTCCCTCCCTAACACTTGGCAGACTCATCTGTATCAGTTCCACCCGTATCTCCTTTCTTTTCTCAGAGGAGGAACTGTCCTCTTCCTGTTCGAAGGTCTGTCCCTCCATGTTCTTACTCTCATCTCTTCTCTTTTGAGATCTTGGGATCTCACTTTATTGATTGATCTGTTCATTTACAGTCTCTCTTTGTTTCTTTCATCTTCAACCTCTCACTTAACACTTGGCCCTTGACTCTTTGCCTTCAGCCTATACATTATGTTTTTGAAACAGGGTCTCACTCTGTTGCCCAGGCTGCAGTGTAGTGGGGTGCTCACTGCAGCCTTGACTTCCTGGGCTCAAGTGATCCTCCCACCTCAGCCTCTCAAGTAGCTGGGACTACAGGTACATTCCACCATGCCCGGCTAATTTTTAAGTTTTTTGTAGCAACAAGGTCTTGCTTTGTTGCCCAGGCTGATCTTGAACTCCTGGGCTCAAATAATCTTCCCACCTCAGCCTCCCAGAACATTAGGATTACACGCGTGAGCCACCATGCCCAGCCTTCCAGCTTTAAAAAAAACACACACAAAACTTTGCCACAGTGTTGCATGAGAATATGCTTGCTTTCATGTGCTGGCCCTCTCTCCCTCTCTCGAGCCTGAAAGGTGTGGCCTACATTTCCTTCCTCTTATTTCTTACCTTTGCTTAGTGCTCAGTCCATTTCCCCTGCCTCATTAAGCTTCTGAAACAACTGTCTCCAAGGCTACCACTGACTCCTAATTTCAGACTGCAGAGAACCTGCTGGATATGGCATCTCTCTCTGCAGCATTGTACACTGTGGACCTTTTTTTTTTTTTTTTATGGAATCTCACCCTGTTTCCTAGGCTGGAGTGCAATGGCACAATCTCAGCTCACTGCAACCCCCTCTCCCGGGTTAAAACAATTCTGCCTCAGCCTCCCAAGTAGCTGGGATTAACAGGCGCCTGCCACCACGCCCAGCTAATTTTTGTATTTTAGTAGAGATGGGGTTTCACCATGTTGGTCAGGCTAGTCTCAAACTCCTGACCTCGTGATCCGCCTGCCTTGGCCTCCAAAATGCTGGAATTACAGGTGTGAGCCACCATGCCCAGCCCTACACTGTGGACTGGTATCTTTATGAAACTCTCCCCTTCCTAACCTTTGTGGCATAGTTTCCTTCTGGCTTCCTAACCTTCCTCGTGCTCTCTCTGGGGTTTCTTCTACTCTTTCTTTCTCCTGATGAGGGTATTCCTCAGATTTGTGTCTGTTCTTCACCTCACTTTACATACAGAGATAAGTAATCTTATCTGTGCCCAGGGCTTCAGCTGTCATGGCTGTGCACGTGGTTCCCTAGTCTGTATCTGTAGCCCTGACTTGCCTCTGCTCTAGACATTCCATTGGTTCCCCCATGCTAACTTGGTAAGTCTAAAACAACTCTGTTTCAACTTCCTCCTCCACCCCTGCCCCCACCTCCCTGCTTCACAGATAACTGTATTTCAGAATGTCCACTTACTATCTCCATCCATTTCTGCTGCTATGACAAAATACCTTAGACTTGGTAAATTATAAATGATAGAAATTTATTGCTCACAGTTTGGAAGCTAGGAAGTCATAGATCAAGAAGTCAGAAGATTTATTGTCTGATGAGAGCCTGCTGTCTACTTCAAAGATGGCACCTTCTTGTTGCATCTTCACATGGTGGGAGGGGCAAACAGGCTCCCTCAAGCTTGTTTTATAAGGGCACTAAGCCTGTTCATGAGCACTCCTCTTTCATGACCTAATCACCTCCTAGAGGCACCATCTCTCTCTCTCTCTCTCTCTCTCTCTCTCTCTATCTCTATCTCTATCTCTATCTCTATATCGAGAGAGTCTTGCTCGTCACCAAGGCTGGAGTGCAGTGGCGAGATCATAGCTCACAGTAGCCTTGGATTCCTGGGCTTAAGCGATCCTCCCACCTCAGCCTCCCAAGTAGCTGGGATTACAGGCGTGTGCCACCACACCTGGCTGATTTTTTATTTTTTGTAGAGATGGGGTCTCGTTATGTTTCCCAGACTGGTCTCAAACCCCTGGCCATGAATGATACTCCCACCTTGGCCTCCCAAAGTGCAGAGATTATGACTGTGAGCCACTGTGCCTGGACCCCATCTCTTAATACTATCACATTGGGAATTAAGTTCCAACATAGGAATTTTTGGGGGACACTGACATTCAGACCATAGTAACTTACCAAAGTCAAAAAAATTGAGAGTCATCCTTATATTCTAAAAATATTTTGTTTTGGCCGGACACGGTGGCTCATGCTTATAATCCCAGCACTTTGGGAGGCCAAGGTGGGCGGATCACCTGAGGTCAGGAGTTCGAGACCAGCCTGGCCAACATGGCGAAACCCTATCAGTACTAAAAATGCAAAAATTAGCTGGGTGTGGTGGCGGGTGCCTGTAATCCCAGCTACTCAGGAGGCTAGGCTGAGTTAGGAGAATTGCTTGAGCCCAGGAGACGGAGGTTGCAGTGAGCAGGGATCACAGTGAGCCAAGATCGTGCCACTGCACTCCAGCCTGGGCGACAGAGCAAGACTCTGTCTCAAAATCCGCCTCCCGGGTTCACGCCATTCTCCTGCCTTAGCCTCCTGAGTAGCTGGGACTACAGGTGCCCGCCACCACGCCCGGCTAATTTTTTTGTATTTTTTTAGTAGAGATGGGGTTTCACCGTGTTAGCCAGGATGGTCTCGATCTTCTGACCTCGTGATCCACCTGCCTTGGCCTCCCAAAGTGCTGGGATTACAGGCGTGAGCCACCGCACCCGACCAAAAAATTTGTTTTAATTAGATTTTTTTTTTTAAATTAAATAGAGATGGGGTTTTGCATTGTTTCCCAGGCTGATCTCACTCCTGGGCTAAGGTGATCCACCCGTCTTGACCTCCCAAAGTGCTGAGATTACAGGTGTGAGCCACCTTGCCCAGTGATCCATATTCTAATGGATCACTGAGTCTTGTTGTTTCTACTTCCTGTTCTCCATATCATTCCAGTGTTAGTTCAGGCACTTATTTCTTGCTTAGACTAATGAGGTAGTCTCCTAACTCATCAGCCTGTCTCGGTCTCTTCTCCCTTCAGTAGGTCTTTCTCTACCCTGTCACTGATTGATCATTCTGAAACACAAACCTAATTGTGTTCTCTTCCCTGTTTAAAAGTTTTCCTTGGCTTCTCTCAGTCACAGGATAAACTCTAAGCATCTTTCTTTGTATACCAAGACCTGCCTGCCTTTTTACCCTCATTTCCTGCTCTGTCTATATTTGTTGTCTGCTCTCTAGCCATGCCAGATGACTTGCACTTCCATGAATGCACTGTGCTTTTTTTCACTTGTATGCTTTTGTATACATTGCCATTCTCTAAAATGTCCACTCTGGTATGTTCTTCCCCTTTTTTTGCCCGGTTAACTTCTGTTTCAGTTTCCTGTGAGTTTCCAGTTAACTTCTGTTTCGTTCCAGTTTCCTTTTCTAAGCTCTTTTAAGAAGTTAAATCTCTGTATAAGTAGTCATCAGTTATTGAGAGCTTATGATGTAATAGGTCCTGTGCTTAGCACTTCATATACCTTGCCTGGCTAGTAAGTAGGTGCTGAATACATAGCTCCTATTAGCATAATGATGATGAGGGAACTGAGGTAGCAAAAAGCACCTAAACATTGCATACAATGTATCTTCCCACCTGTGGTTACACATTTCCCATAAGGTAGCATTCTGGACGCATGGCACTGGGAAGGAGCACTGAATTTAGGAGTCATGCTGAATTGGGTTCACATATGGTCTTGGGCAACTTTTTTTTTTTTTTTTTTGAGACAGAATCTCTCTCTTATTGCCCAGGCTGGAGTGCAATAGTGCGACCTCAGCTCGCTGCAAGCTCCGCCCCCTGGGTTCAAGCGATTCTGCTTCTTCAGCCTCCCGAGTAGCTGGGATTACAGGCACCCGCTACCATGCCCGGCTAATTTTTGTATTTTAGTAGAGATGGACTTTCACCATGTTGGCCAGGCTGACCTCAAGTGATCGCCCACCCCGGCCTCCCAAAGTACTGGGATTACAGGCGTGAGCCACAACGCCCGGCCCTTGGGCAAGTCTTTGAAATGTGTTTCTAATCTTAACAACTCCTAGAGATAGGTGTGCAGTTTCTGTACAGTGTGCTGGGATTGGAAACCAAGTCTGTTTGGTTCTAAGCCCTGTGGTGTTTCCACACAGCCATTTTGACCTCCATCTCCCTGAATCTTGTTTCAAGTAGTTTCAGCAGAATTCTCCTGCATCTTAACTGGTATGTCTCATTTTCCTTAGGATACAACTTCTGTCTTTTTTTGTTTGTTTTTGTTTGTTTTTTTGAGACAAGGTCTTGGTCTGTCCCCTAAGCTAGAGTGCTGTGGCATGATCTTAGCTCACTGCAACCTCAAACTTCTGTACACAAGCAATCCTCCAAGTAGCTGGGATTACAGGTCCATGTCACCATGCCTGGCTAATTTTTTATTTTTTGTAGAGACAGGGGTCTCACTTTGTTGCTGCCCAGGCTGGTCTTGAACTCCCGGGCTCAAGCAGTCCTCCTGCCTTGGCTGCCCAAAGTTCTGGGATTACAGGCATGAACCACTGCATCTGGCCACAGCTTCTGCGTTTATTTTTTTGGGGGGTAGGGCTCCCTGGAGGGAGAAGAATGGGAATGTTCTATCTTATTCTCAGAGAAAAAGGTATAGGGGTGTAATTTGTTATTTCTTACCATGCTTTGCAGGAACTAAAGGGGTTAACACTCTGTAGATTATATTTGGAGGGTTTCCTTCATACCAGTATAACTACTGGCAAGATGTGACTTTTATTTCTTTTCTTATTTCTTAAAATTTTTTTAGAGATGGGGTCTCACTGTATTGCCCAGGTTCGCCTTAAACTCCTGGGCTCAAGCGATCCTCCCTCCTTGGCCTCCCAAAGTGTTGGGATTACAGGCATGAGCCACTATGCTGAGCCTCTTTTATTTTTTTTAAAAGAATGAAAAATATGAAGTGCATCTATAAAGTGAAAGGTAATTTTATGTACTTGTCTTTTGTTGTGAAGTTACTTTTTCTTCCTTGAATTGAGATGGAGATGATGAGAAGCTGAAAGGGGAAACCCAGGATGATAATATTTTGGATGCTACATGGGACAGCCCTAAATGAAAATTCACAGGTCTAGCCTAGCATCTTTGAAAGGTCTGTGTTGTGAACAGGCCTCGAGCTTCTGGGTTATTGATTCTGGGTTGTACTTACATGGTGATGCAGAAAGAGTTTTTAGTCTTTTTTCCCCCAGGATATTTAATGTTTAATGTAAAAATTAATGTATAAATGAACATAGATGCTTCTGTGAATGACATGTACTTTAATTGGTTTTTCTTGGAGGTTTTTTTTTTTGTGGTGAAGAAATAGTGCTCTAATACCCTTTATTTTTGGAGGACTGTTGCTTTTAGGCATACATTAAAGCATCTGCAAGATTTTTTTTTCTTTTTCTTTCTAAGAATTTAAGATCATATTGTTGTAAGTTAATCATGGGCCAGAACTTATGGCTTTTAATTCAGTTCAGATATGAATAAATTTTATAGTGCTGACCAGTCTTGTCATTGAATCTCCTTTTTTTTTTTTTTTTTTTTTGAGACAATGTCTTACTTGTCACCCAGGCTGGAGTGCAGTGACATGATCTCGGCTCACTGCAGCCTCCGCCTCCTGGGTTCAAGCCATTGTCCTGCCTCAGCCTCCCCAGTAGCTGAGACTACAGGTGTGCACCACCATGCTCAGCTAATTTTTGTATTTTTAGTGGAGACAGGGTTTCACCGTGTTGGCCAGGCTGGTCTCAAACTCGTGACCTCGTGATCTGCCCGCCTCGGCCTTCCAAAGTGCGGGGACTACAGGCGTGAGCCACCGTACCCGGCCTGAATCTCCTTTTAAAAAAAATCAACCCAGCAAGGAATTGTTAGGTAGAAGCTTCTGATAGTTCTTGTTTAGTAAATCTGTGACAAAGGCAAAGACACTGTCTTAAAATTTTAAAAAGTCATTCATGATTTATTTGACTTCCTCTCTGGTTTGGAGAAACTTTCATTTTTAAGTTGAACATGTAGAACAAGCAGTGGTATGAGTTTTCCTTCCATAGTTCTTTGCTTGTTTTTCTTCAAGAAGACCAAGAGAAGTACTAGAAAATGAACATCCTGTTAAAAAAACAACTTCTCCATTTGTCGGTTCTCTGAGCTCTGATTTCTAATGTTACCCCTATATCATAGCTATTTTTAAAATTATCTTAAAGTTAGGAAATTATTATTTGCATAAATATTCTCATCTCCCCTAAGTAAGCTGCATGAGGACAGCATGCAGTGTTCTTTAGTGAAAATGCTTTTCGGTTCAGCTAGTGAATGAATCTAGATTCTGCCATCAGCCTCCCTATCTACCTTTTTTCTTACTAGTATCTGACACTCTTCTATTACAATCATATGGGTTTCCTCACTCTTTCTTGGCAAGCTCATTCCTGTCTCTGCATTTGTAGCGAGTATTTTCCCTGTCAGGACTGCTTTTTCTCCTATTAAAATCCAACCCTTGTTTCAAGGCCTGGTTGACGTTCCTCTCATCATGAAACCTGCTGACTGCTTTAGTCCATATTAATCTCTTCTATTTTTAGACTATTGTTATATTCAGCAACAGTTTTTTTTTTTTTTTTTTTTTTTTTAATTTGAGATGGAGTCTCCCTCTGTCGCCCAGGCTGGAGTACAGTGGCGCGATGTCAGGTCACTGCAACCTCTGCCTCCCGGGTTTAATCGATTCTCCTGCCTCAGCCTCCTGAGTAGCTGAGATTACAGGCGCACACCCCCACACCCTGCTAATTTTTGTATTTTTAGTAGAGAGGGGGTTTCACCATGTTGGTCAAGCTGGTCTTGAACTCTTGACCTCGTGATCCACCCGCCTCAGCCTCCCAAAGTGCTGGGATTATAGGCATGAGCCACTGTGCCCAGCTCAGCAACAGTTTTAACTCTTAATTTGCCACTGTTTGTTTCATTTATGTTATTTTTACCTTCTCAGTTAGACTTCAGGTTTCTTTCTTTTTTTTTTTTTTTTTTTTGAGATGGAGTCTCACACTCTGTTGCCAGGCTAGAGTGCAGTGGCCCCATCTCAGCTCACTGCAACCTCCATCTCCCAGGTTCAAGTGATTCTTGTGCCTCAGCCTCCTGAGTAGCTAGAATTACAGGCACCTGTCACCATCACGCCCAGCTAATTTTTGTATTTTCAGTAGAGACGGGGTTTCTCCGTGTTAGCCAGGCTGGTCTTGAACTCCTGACCTCAAGTGATCCACTCCAACCGCCCCTCCGCCCTTGGCCTCCCAAAGTGTTGGGATTACAGGTGTGAGTCACTGTGCCTGGCTTAATTTTTGTATTTTTTGTAGAGATAGGGTTTTGCTATGTTGCCCAGGCTTCTTGAACTCCTGGGCTCAAGGATTCACCTGCCTTGGCCTCCCAGAGTGTTGAGATTACAGGCATGAGCCACCACGCCCAGCCCCCAAACATTTTTTATTTAATTTATTTTATTTTTTATTTTTTATTTTATTATTGTATATTTTATTATTATTTTTTTAAGATAGAGTCTTGCTCTGTCACCCAGACTGGAGTGCAGTGGCACAATCTTGGCTCACTGCAACCTCCGTGTCCGGGGTTCAAGTGATTCCCCTGCCTCAGCCCGCTGAGTAGCTGGGATTACAGGTATGTGCCACCACACCCAGCTAATTTTTATATTTTTGGTAGAGACGGGGTTTTACCATATTGATCAGGCTAGTCTCGAGCTCCTGACCTCAAGTGATCCACACGCCTTGGCCTCCCAAAGTGCTGGAATTACAGGTGTGAGCCACCACACCCGGCCACATTTTTGAAAAATGGAAAGAAAGATTAATAAAAACAACAGGATAATTATTTATCTGGTTATTCCAGTTCAGGGTCTGGGAAGGCAGGAACCTATCCCAGCAGCTCAGGGTACAAGACGGGAACCAGCCCTGGAAAGGACTTTCCATTGCAGGGCGCACACATACATACACACACTCACTTAGACTGGGACAATTAAATGTGCCAGTTCACCTAATGGATGCATCTTTGGGGTATGGGGGAAACTAGAGTACCTGGAGAAAACCTACACAGACATGGGGAGAACGTGCAAACGCCACACAGATAGTGGCCCTGGCTGGGAATTGATTTTTTTGTTTTTCTTTTCAGCCTCTTTATAACATAACATTGAGTAAAATAAGGTTACTTCAGGTCCTGCTTGTATATACATAGTATATATTGAGAATGACAAGGAATGTGTGATATAAATGCTAAGTAAGAATCCAGAAGAAACATATTGCAAGAGAAAACCTAGTCGTCTGAAAGAAACATTCCCAGTGATTTCAGCAGAACTCAGATGTTGGACAGGGTAATGTGGTGGATAGGTGGTAAGTAAAAGCATTATTTGATGTCACTGGGATATTGGCAGGGGAAGAATGGGAATTAACTGCATTGGTGAGGAGAAAAATATTTTATTTATAAAAGTGTTAAAAATTATAAAATATTTCCTGGAATATATTTGGGAAAAAGAGAAAAATTATACAATACTTAAATATTGTAAGAAAGACATAAGATCTGTATGAAGAAAATTGTAAAACTTTAAAGATATAAAAGCAGAATCTGAAAAAATGGAAATATATACAGTTGTTCCTTTCTTCGTAGGGGATTGGTTCCGGGACTCCCCTCAGTTACCAAAATCCAAGGGTGCTCAAGTCTGCTAAAAAATGGCATGGTATTTGCATGTAACGTAAGCACATCCTCTTGTTTAAATCAACTCTAGATTACTTATATACTTGTATAGTACCTAATACAGTGAAAATACTATGTCAATAGTTGTTATTCTTTATAATTCAGAGAGTGATGACAGGAAAAAAAAAATCTGTACATGTTCAGTACAGATGGCTTTTTTTCCTCCACCTATTTTCACTTAGAGGTTTGTTTAATCCATGGATGTGGAACCCAAAGATATGGACGGGCCAACTGTACTGTGTTCCTGAATGAGAAGACTGATATATATAAATTTAATGGGAGTCCAATTAGAACTCCAATGGAAGATTCTTTAGGGAATGGAGAATTAGATAAAATGATCTTAGTGTTCACATGGAAGAATAAATAGAATAGCCAAGAAAATTTAGAAACGGAATAGTGAGGTGATACTTGGCCTTACCACATATTAAAACAGATTCTAAAGTTACTGTATTCAAAGCAGTATGGTATTAGCTTTAAAACAGGATGAATGGACAGAATACTATGCCCAAATTCTTATATATATAGGAAAACAATTACGTGTGAAAACATACAAGTTGTATTAGCTTAGTTCAGTTGTCTTCCCAATTTCCTCAAATTATAAAATATTTTAAAATAAATTTACTAGGACTCCATAGGACATCAGAATAGAGAACTTGTTGATATTCTGTTTATCCTGTCAGGAGGAGTACACTGGAGCTAGAAAGAAAAGCCTCTTCCTGCAATGTCTTTCCAGTGCCCTCTATGGACAGGCAAAGTTTAACATCATGGCAGCTGTCAAAGGAAAAATATTTAAAGGGCCCATCTCAGTTTTCACAGAGCAGCGAGGGTATATTTGGAGCTGAAAGGCCATAAATTGATAACACATCCTTGATTCCTCTCCTTCAGGCCACCTCTCTGTATCAAGTCCATCAGTGAGCCTTTTTGGTACTACCTTGAGAATATATTCTAAATCTACTTCTTTCCATGCCGAGTCACTGTTAATCATGCCCATGTCATCACATCTCTTGCTTCTTTAGCTCCTTACCTGGTGGTGTCCCAGCTTTCTTCTCTCTAACCCATTTTCCACATAGCAGGTAGAGAGCTTTTTAAACTGCAAATTAGGTCATATTACTTCCCCGCTTTATAGCTCTTCCATGAATTCAGTTTGTCTTTAAAATATAATTCAGATACGTTTCCATGGCCTGCAAGACCTACACCGCCCTGACCCCTCATCTTTTCCCCTCACCCATTGTGCTTCAGCCACATTGGCTGACTCTTCTTTCTCTTTTCCTTCCTCCCTTCTCTCCTTCCCTATTCTTCCCTCTCCTCTCCACCTGTCTCCCTGCCTCCCTCCATCCTCCCGCTTCCCTCTTCCTTTTTTTAATTTATCTGGTGTTTATTGAGTGCCTACTATGTGCCACATAGGTGCAGGTGATACAGCAGTGATTAACATGACAAACACCCCTCCCCTTAGGGGGCTTACATCTGTAGCTGTAGACAGAGAATAACAAGTAATATGTATTGCTTGTTAGATGGTAAAAATTTATTGTTATTTTTTTTGAGACAGGTTGGAGTGTAGTGGTGTGATCATGGCTCAACTGCAGCTTCCTCTTCCTGGGCTCAAGAGATCCTCCCCCTCAGCCTGCTGAGTAGCTAGGACTCCAGGCCTGTGCCACCATGCCCGCCTAATTTTTATTTTTTGTAGATACAGGGTCTTGCCATGTTTCCCAGGCTAGTCTCAAATTCTTGGGCTCGAGCAATCCTCTTGCCTTGGTGCCCTGCAGAGTGTTGGGATTACAGGTGTGAGCCTCTGTGCCTGGCCATTTGGTAAAAATTTCAATGGAGAAAAAGCATCAAGAGGGACAGAGAAGGCTGGGCACGGTGGCTCACACCTGTAATCCCAGCACTTTGGGAGGCCGAGGCGGGCAGATCACGAGGTCAGGAGATTGAGACCATCCTGGCTAACATGGTGAAACCCCATCTCTACTAAAAATACAAAAAAATTAGCTGGGTGTGGTGTTGGGCGCCTGTAGTCCCAGCTACTTGGAAGGCTGAGGCAGGAGAATGGCGTGAACCCGGGAGGCGGAGCTTGCAGTGAGCCGAAAGCGGGCCACTGCACTCCAGCCTGGGCGACAGAGCGAGACTCCATCTCAAAAAAAAAAAAAAAAAATACAGAGAATACCGGTAGAGGGTTATTGGGCACAATTTAAAAGAGGGTGGTCATCATGAGATGATACTTTGAACAAAATAGGCATTTCTTTTCTTCCTTGAACTCAACCGTGATGCATGTTGCTGCCTCTAGGTCCCCTTTTTTTTTTTTTTTTTGAGACAGAGTCTCACTCTCTCATCCAGGCTGGAGTGCAGTGGTGTACATGGAGCTCACTGCAGCCTTGACCTCCCAGGCTCAAGAGATCCTCCCACCTCAGCCTCCCTAGTAGCTGAGACTATAGGTTTGCACTATCACACCTTGCTAATTTTTTTATATTTTGTAGCTACAGGATCTCACTCTGTTGCCCAGACTTGTCTTGAACTCCTGGGCTCAAGCCATCCTCCCACCTTGGCCTCCCAAAGTGCCGGGGTTGCAGGTGTGAACCACCATGCCTGGCCACCTCTATGTCTTGTTCCTTGCTTTTCTTCTTCCTAGAATGTTCTGCTCCAACTTAGTCTCAGTTCAAAGTTAACCTCCTTAGAGAACCTCCAAGGTTAAATTAGCAACCCCTCCCATCATTCTTCATCTCACCACTCTCTTTTACTTTCTTTTTTTCCTGTTTAAAATTTTCTAATTAATACCAACATTTGAAATGATCTTGTTCATATATTAATATGATTGGATTCTTCCTCAGTAAAATGTTTGTTTTTTGAGTGCAGAGATTTTACTGTCTTGTTCCCTGCTGTCTCTCTAGTGCCTAGAATAGAAGACTCAATAGACACTTGTTCAGTGAACAAATGGACTTTGCAGGGAGAAGATTCCAATGGAATTCTTTAGATGGTGGCAGCTTTAAAGAGTAAAGAAGTGTAGGCTCTGTCCCCAGGGTCTCTGCCAGGAAGGATGGGGACCCCTGTGGAAGCTGGTGAGAGCTGCCCCTCAGGGGCCTATGTGTTTCCTGGCATTTGGTTTTTAATGTTTGCTTGTTTGTTTTTCCCTTATTTTCCTCACTATATACCCTCTGATTTTTACACTTGACTTTTACAGTTGGGTGATATGTGACAACTTTCCGTTTCTTCAGTCTGCCTGACTACTTTGCTTATCCAATTCATTTGGTATTTATTATGCAAATACTTTCAGAATACACAGCTCCAAGCCTGGGACAGTGCTTGGGTGAGAGCTGGAGCCACGCCACTGTGCTCCCTGAACAGGAGGCAGACACTTCTCATTTTTTTGTGTACTTTGCACATGCATTGATTCTCTTTTTCCTCTGCCTTTTTTTTTTTTTTTTTTTTTTTTTTTGAGACAGAGTTTCACTCTTGTTGCCCAGGCTGGAGTGCAATGGCGCGATCTCGGCTCACTGCAACCTCTGCCTCCCGGGTTCAAGCGATTTCCTGCCTCAGCCTCACCAGTAGCTGAGATTACAGGCCTGTGCCACCACGCTTGGCTACTTTTTGTATTTTTAGTAGAGACAGGGTTTCACCATGTTGGCCAGGTTGGTCCCAAACTCCTGGCCTCAGGTAATACGACTACCCCGGTCCCCCAAAGTGCTGGGATTACAGGCGTGAGCCACTGCACCCGGCCTTTTTTCCTCTGTCTTAACCAAATGTAATATCCGTAGGATCTGATCTAAAGCATAAGTTAATTAGGTGGGTTTTTCTGTAGACCAGACATTGTAATAAAACCAAAATCAGTTTTGTTTTGGTTTAATGGGTCCTGGTTGGAAAAAAACTGAATATTTCACATGCCTGGTTTTTCAACGTCTTTTCTTGGCTACATTCCATCTTTGGCAAAATGTTGGAAAACCATGGAAGTGAAATAATTAGCCATATGGCAAATATTGGTTTTGTTGAACCAAGTCAGACCTTTGGTCAGTTTATTCTAGTTTATGCAAACAGTGTGGCCAACTACCAAGGACGTTCATGGGCTGTGCATAACATGTCCAACTGTACACACAGAGTATTTGTCTCTTAGGTCCTACCCACGTTATCTCAGGTCTCTTTGACTACCTATATCTAAGGTACTGTTCAAACACTAAATTAATTGTAATTTTGCACATAGGAAAATAACAAAAATCTTATTTACTTATTATATTGTGAACTTCAGGTTTGTCTTTATGGCTGAGAGATAAAACTTGTGAAACATCTTAATAACTAAGATTATCCTTGGCCGACAGCACTTTGGGAGGCCGAGGCGGGAGGATTGCTTGAGGCCAGGAGTTCAAGATAGTGAGACTCTGTCCCTAGGTGGTTATGGTGATGTGCACCTGTAGTCTCATCTGCTTTGGAGTTGAGGCTGCAGTGAACTATGATCGTGCCACTACACTCTAGGCTGGGCGAAAGAGCAAGACCACATCTTAAAGAAAAGATTATCCTTTTTCAGTACAAATTGGAAGAAACATGATTAAAATAATTATTAAGTGTTAAAACATGATTAAAATGATTAAAATGTTAATTAACAGAAAATCACCATTGTCAGAAGTGTATTTGTTCAGAATCCTGAATTTGATTTATCTTCTTTTTCTTACAATTTCAGTTGTGGAAAAAAGTGCTTTTCATTAGAGATGGAAATTCCTTCTGTTTTTTTTTTTTTTGGAGACAGAGTCTTAGTCTGTCACCCAGGCTGGAGTACAGTAGTGTAATCACGGCTCACTGCAGCCTTGACCTCCCAGGCTCAGGTGATCCATCTGCCTTAGCCTCCCAGGTAGCTGAGACTACAAGCATGCACCACCATGCCCAGCTAGGTTTAAATTTTTTGTGGAGATGGACTTTCACCATGTTGTCCAGGCTGGTCTTGAACTCTTGGACTCAAGCAATCTGCCCACCTCAGCCTTCCAAAGTGTTGGGATTATAGACGTGAGCCACTGTGCCTGACCCTTCTTTTTTTTTTTTTTGGTAGTCAGATTTAGTGTCTCAGTGTCCTCATCCATAAAATGAAGATGATAATAGTATCTACGTTGTAGGATTGATGTGAGCACTGAATCAGTTACTATATAAAAGTATACTTTGGGAGGCTGAGGCGGCAGGATTTCTTAAGGCCAGGAGTTCAAGACCAGCCTGGGCAACATAATGAGACCTGCTTTCCAAAAAAAAAAAAGGAAAAGTATAGTGATTAGTATAGTGTCTGGCACACAGGAAGCAGTATAAGTCTATTATGCTGCTGTGCTATTTTATATTTCCAAACGTCCATCCATGCAGAAGTTGTGATTAGTGAACAGAGTATCTAAACTGGGCATATGGACCCAAATGTGTTTTCCAGCTTTATCTAAAGCAGGATGATAGTTTAAGCCATGAGAATAGATGAGTTCACCCAGGAAAGAGGGCTTAGAGTGAACAGAGAAGAGTATTTCTGATAGAATCCTAAGAAATGCTAACATGGACAGAGGAAAAGAAAGCTTGCAGAGGCGACTGCAAAGACATGGCTGGAGGTTTAGCAAGAAATCTAGAGAAGGGATGTCAGGAGAGTTGGGGGCCAGGAAGACAAGAGAGAATGATCAAATATTGCTGCAAACAAAAGAATGGTTAAGCATTAAGGTGGATTTGTTAGGTTTAGCCACAAAATGATTTGTGATTATGAACTTGGTGAGAGTGGTTTTAATGCTGTGGTGTGAGGATCAGAAGCCAGAGATTATAATGGGTTAAGGAGTGATTTGGAGGAAATGGGTAAGTTTCAAAAACAAAACAAAACAACTTTTAGTGAGTTTTACTGTGGTTAGGAGGGGCAGGACATGGCAGTACTTTCTTATAGTTATTTTGGGGGAAGATAGGATACTGTAAACAACTAGTCAGGTGTGGTGGCATGCGCCTGTAGTCCCAAAATAGTCCCAGTTACTCAGGAGGCTGAGGTGGGAAGATACCTGAACTCAGGGAGATGGAGGCTCCGGGAGCTGTGATGGCACCATTGCAACTCTTGCCTGTACGACAGAGTAAGACCCTGTCTCAAACAAACAAACAAAAACTGTAAACAGTATCTTTATTGCATAATAAATGTCATAAGGGAGACATGTTCAAGTACTTGAAGGTGCTTAGGTGCAGGGCATTAGTGTACATGTAGTATTCTGGGAAGGACTGTCCAATGGACCAAAGGAGTTTGGTGGGCTGACAGATGAGGGGAGGAGGCTGCTTTAGATTTGTCAATCATTGAAGCGTGTTTGAGGAACTGTGATGATTTAGTCACTGCTAGAACATGGAATGTAAGTCCAGTGAGCCAGGACAGTGGTTAGGGCTGACAGCATGGCAGGGGTGGGTTGTGCCTTGTGGCCACACCCATAGAATCTTACATTTTATCCTGTAGGTCTTTGCTTCCCAATGGGGATTTGTATTGATGTTCCAGGGGTACTCAGAGCTACAATCCAAAAAGTAGCCGGGTGTGGTGGCGTGTGCCTGTAATCCCAACTACTCAGGTGGCCAAGGCAGGAGACTCGCTTGACCCCGGGAGGCAGAGATTGCAGTGAGCCGAGATCATGCCATTGTACTCCAGCCTGGGTGACAGAGCGAGCCTCTGTCTCAAAAAAAGAAAAAAGAAAAAAGAAAAAAAGCTACAGGGTAAACATAGCGTGCCTTCTTAGAATATCCATTAAATTGAATTTCACGGGAAATTATTGCTATAGTAAAGCATGAATTGAAAATTAAGATCAAACATAAATTTTAACATTAAAAAATAATGCATTGTTCTCTAGTGGCTGGCTTCTTCAGGCTGTGCCTCTTCTGGGCCTTCCATTCCTCCATCACTTTCATTTTTTTTGAGACAGGGTCTCTCTCTGTCGCCCAGGCTGGAGTGCGGTGGCGCGATCTCGGCTCACTGCAAGCTCCGCCTCCTGGGTTCATGCCATTCTCCCGCTTCAGCCTCCCGAGGAGCTGGGACTACAGGCACCCGCCATCACGCCTGGCTAATTTTGTTTTTGTATTTTTAGTAGAGACGGGGTTTCACTGTGTTAGCCAGGATGGTCTCAATCTCCTGACCTCATGATCTGCCCGCCTCAGCCTCCCAAAGTGCTGGGATTACAGGCGTGAGCCACTGTGCCCTGCCTCCTCCATCACTTTCTTCAGGGGAAAGAGCATCATATAGCATCTTTGGGAAGAGCATTCATGGGAAGCCACTGAAGTATTGTAAGCAGGAGTGGATGACATCTGTGTTTGTTGGAGATCGCCTTAGAGGAGAATAGTTTCAGGTTGCTGTGTCACACAACCAAGTGATACTATTTACATAGAAAAAGTGCAAAATAGCCTTAAATAAGAGCAGGTAAGACAGGGCAGGAAGACTTACAGGAGGCTACTGAAATGAGCTGTCTCTGCAGTAGGATTAGGGAAGAGGGAATGAAAAGAAGTATTTAAGCAGGGAGAATTTACGAGACTAGTATGGAGGAGGAGGAGGTGTGCACAGAGATTTGTAGGTGTGATAGGAGAAAGGCGGACTGGTAAGTTTCTTCCTTAGGCATCTTGAGAGAAAGATGGCACCATTTCCTAAAACAGGGAATAGAGGCAGAAGAACAGTTTAGGGTGTAGGGGGAGAGAAAATTCAGTTTTACTGAATTTGAGAGGTTTTGGGGACATGCAAATGGAGATCTGTAGCAGCAGTTGGGTGTGTGGATTTGGAGTTCTGTAGAAAGGCCTGTCCTGAAGATATACATTCAGTATTCCTTAGCATGTATCGCTGATAGTGGAAGCAGTGGGCATGATTGAGATTGTCCAAGGAGAGCATATTATATATGTTGAGATGGAGTCTCGCTCTGTCGCCCAGGCTGGAGTGCGGTGGCGCAATCTCAGCTCACTACAAGTTCTGACTTCTGGGTTCACGCCATTCTCCTGCCTCAGCCTCCCGAGTAGCTGGGACTACAGATGCCTGTCACCACGCCTGGCTAATTTTTTTTTGTATTTTTAGTAGAGATGGGGTTTCACCATGTTAGCCAGGATGGTCTCGATCTCCTGACCTTGTGATCCGCCCACCTCGGCCTCCCAGAGTGCTGGGATTATAGGTGTGAGCCGCTGCACCCAGCCAAGGAGAGCATATTGAGTGAGCAGAGGCTAAACACAGAACTGGAAAGCACCACCATTTAAGGGGGAAGCTGAAAAAAAGAACCTGGAAAAGAGGTCAGAGGGGTATGAGTGACCAGAGGGAGAAGAGCAAAACAACAAGGAGTATTAAGTGTCTCTTGTTGCATAGAGTTTGAGACTAGGACTGAGAAAATGCAATTGAGATTACAAGCAGAGGTCATTGGTGGTGACCTTTGCCTAAGCTGTTTTAGTAGGGTTTAGGGACAGGGTTGGGGCAAGGAAGGGGCACTGCAGCCTGTTGAAAGTGGATAAGGAATGCAAAGCAGAGAGGAAGTGGAAGTAGAGGCAGGCGGGGTACCCTGCTGTTTCAAGCCTGGCCGTGTGAGGTGGAGAGAAAGGAAGTAGCTAGGATATATACACATTCATCTGTTCTTTGTCTCTCTCCTCACTAGAAAATAAGTTGCCTGAGGGCAGGAACTTAGTTTTATTCACTGCTTTATCTCCAGAGTAAAAAATTGCTCCTGGCCTGTAGTAGGCACTCAACAAATATTTGATGGCCAAACAAATGAATTATGTTAAGAAGGTAGAGACTTGAGTGTGTTCATTTGTTGGTGGAGGGGTAAGAGGTCTTGGGGAGGAGGAATTGAAAGTCTAGAGTAGAAAGATGTGATGGAACGAGGTCTCCCTGAGTCAGCAAAGCTTGAGACCCTAAGTGCTGCTGGAGTGATCATTCAGGATGCCAGGAATGACTCCTTTTCTGCTGAAACAGAAGGGAAGAAGGAAAGGATGGGAGCAGAGGCAGATACTCATAGGTGATGGATGAGGAAGCTGAGGGAGTTCTTGCCTAGTGGCCTTATGAGTATTCTCTGAGTTAAAAATAAGAGTGTTGGCCGGGTGCGGTGGCTCATGCCTGTAATCCCAGCACTTTGGGAGGCTGAGGCAGGCAGATCATTTAAGGTCAGGAGTTCCAGACCAGTCTGGCCAGCATAGTGAAACCGCGTGTCTACTAAAAATACAAAAATTAGCCAGGTGTGGTGGCATGCGCCTGTAATCCCAGCTACTTGGGAGTCTGAGGTGGGAGGATCGCTTGAATCTGGGAGGTGAAGGCTGCAGTGAGCCAGATCGCACCACAGCACTCCAGCCTGGGCGACAGAGCCAGATTCTGTCTCAAAAAACAAAAAACAAATAAAAATAAGAGTGTAATATATGTATCCTTGGAACATGCATTGTGAAGACATACAAAAAAACCCACCAGCATTTAAGCAGCTGTGCTTCTGTGGAAAGTCACTGTGGTCAGTGACATGAAAGGTAGGTGAGGTGAGGATGTGCCAGAGAAGATGAGTAAGAGTAGGTGAGACAAGAGGTCTCTAGTCTCAGCTGGGAATGTAGGGTGTGGTTTGACCTGAGAGAAGGGAGTGTGGGTAACCCCCTTTCCTCTAGAAGGAGCAGGGCGCTGTCCTTGGGCTCTCAGGGAAGTGGGGGAAGAAAGGGCAGTGTATAAGTCTTACTCTTTCCTGTGTGAGAAAAAACGCAGAGAAACTTAAGCCTTGAGTGAATTAGAGTAACTCTTTGTTAGTGACTCCTCTGGCCCTCACCGGGCTGGTTTTTCAGTGATCTATTTCTGATTCATTTGACAGGAAACTGCTTTCCCAACTTTTACAAGCTGTTATCTAAAATGGTTTGTGTGCTTAACAGCAAAGGTAGTAGTGAGAAGGAGGATGTGACAGAGTCACAGTGAGTCATAAAGAACAAGACATGACCATATTTGTTTACCTCATCAGGTTTTACATAGAATTAATTTAAAGAATATTAAAGTGTCCATTTTGTTTTAATTAGCAGTTGTTTAGTAATAAGTTCTCATGCTTTGGAATTCTCTGTTTTCAGTCTCATCAAATTCAAGACTACATATTTCTCATGACCTTTCTGGAAGGGAGAGGAGAGTAGTAAGGATGAGTCTTGTAGTCTTCTAGTCTTCAGTTGAAATTAAATAACCCAACCAAGATGATTGTTTTTCTTTTGCTGTCAGCCTTATCAGCCATTACTGCAGGTCAACCCCTGACAAGTTGTGTAGGGTGAGGGTAGCGTCGAACTAGAGTTTTGGCTGTTGCTGTTTTGCATTTTGTGTGTGTTTGCATGTGTTCTCTGTAAAGTGAGCAGAGGATCCTTCAGAAAGGGAGCAGATTCCAAGGGTAAGAAGGGATTTCACCTACAGGAAGTTGTGGATTCTAACCATTTTTTAACTGCCCTATCAAGGAAGACAACTTTTTTCCTTTTTTTTTTTTGAGACAGGATCTTGCTCTGTTGCCTAGGCTGGAGTGCCGTGGTGTGATCACAGCTCACTGCAACCTCTACCTCTTGGGCTCAAGCAATCCTCCCGCCTCAGCCTCCCAAGTGGGCACCATGCTGGCTAATTTTTAAATTTTTTTAGACAGAGATTCTCACTACTTTGCCTAGGCTGGTCTTGAACTCCTGGGCTCAAGTGATCTGCCTGCCTTTCAGCCACCCAAAGTGCTGGGATTATAGGAGTGAGCCACTGAGCCGGGCCTAACTTTATATTATAAAAAGTACCTGTTACTTTTTGGAGATGGGAGAAACTTTTTTCCCCCCTGTGACAGAAGGTGAAATCAGAGATTTGAGGTATGATAGTTGGAACTTGGTATTATCATAATTAGAATTCATCAATACTTAGAATTCATTTTTTTCTAAGCCATCTCCTTACTCTAACTCATTCCCCATGATTCTAAATTTTTTAGTCATTAGTCAACTAGTTAGAACTCCAATTAGGCATGTATTCTGGGGAATAAAATATGACTTTATCAGCATTTTGGGGAACTCAGGGACAAGAGATTCATCTGGTCAAGTTGGCATCAACAGGCTGAGGACTCATTTCTCATTTTCATGGAGAACCAAGTTTTAGCCAAATCCTTATTTTCTGGGAATTTATATTATGTATGTGTGTCTAAAAAAACACTTTCAAGACTTTTGAAACCCAATGACTGGACTCTTTTTACACATTCTCATTTCATTTTTTTTTTTTTTTTTTTTTGAGACGGAGTCTCACTGTGTCGCCCAGACTGGAGTGTAGTAGCGCAATCTCGGTTCACTGCAACCTCCACCTCCCAGGTTCAAGTGATTCTTCTGCCTCAGCCTCCTGAGTAGCTGGGATTACAGGCATGAGCCACCACGCCCGGCTAATTTTTGTACAGATGGGGTTTCGCCATGTTGGTCAGGCTGGTCTTGAACTCCTGACCTCAGCTGATCCACCCACCTCGGCCTCCCAAAGTGCTGGGATTACAGGCGTGAGCCACCATGCCCGGCCTCAGTTGGTTTTTAGAGAAATCAACTGGACAGCATTCTGAGATTAGGAGAATGTCAGAGACAGTGAGGTAACATGGAAAAGATTGTGGGTTTGGGTTTCACTTCTGTTTATAAGCTTTGTGACCTTGGGCAAGTCATTTAACCTCTCCTATCCTTTGGGAGATGAAGTGGCTAGATGAGAGAATCTAGTTCTTCCTAGCTCTTAGTTCCTGAGATGACCTATGATTAGATCTGTTTATCAAAGTATATGAAAAGGAGATCCTATTTTAAATTCACTGGAACAGGGCCTGGCGTGATAGCTCACTTCTATAATCTCAGGACTTTGGGAGGCTGAGGTGGGTGGGTCATTTGAGCTCGGGAGTTTGAGACCAGCTTGGGCAAGATGGTGAAGCCCTGTCTCTACAAAACAATATTAAAAAATTAGCCGGGTGTGATGGTGCATGCCTGTAGTCCCAGCTACCCGGGATGCTAAGGTGGGAGACTCACCTGAGCCCAGGAGGTCAAGGCTGCAGTGAGCAGTGATTATGCCACGGCACTCCAGCCTGTGAGACAGAGTGTGAGCCTATCTCAAAAAGAAGAAAAAATAAATTAACTGGGCAGTTATTTTTTAAAGAAAATCCAGGCCAGGCCTGGTAGCTTATAGCTGTAATCCTAGCACTTTGGGAGGCCAAGGCAGGACGATTGCTTGAGCCCAGGAATCAGGAAATTTTTTTTTTTTTTTTTTGAAACAGAGTCTCGCTGTCACCCAGGCTGGAGTGCAGTGGCACAATCGAGGCTTACCGTAACCTCTGCCTGCCAGGTTCAAGCAATTCTCCTCCCTCAGCCTGCCAAGTAGCTGGCATCACAGGCGCCCACCACCATGCCCGGCTAATTTTTGTATTTTGTTTTAGTAGAGATGGCGTTTCACCATATTGGCCAGGCTGGTCTCAAACTCCTGACCTCAAGTGATCCTCCTGCCTCGGTCTCCCAAAGTGCTCGGATTACAGATGTGAACCACCACGTCTGGCCGAGCCCAGGAATTTTTTTTTTTAAATTTTATTTTATTATTATTATACTTTAAGTTTTAGGGTACATGTGCACAATGTGCAGGTTAGTTACATATCTATACATGTGCCACGCTAGTGTGCTGCACCCATTAACTCGTCACTTAGCATTAGGTATATCTCCTAAAGCTATGCCTCCCCCCTCCCCCCACCCCACAACAGTCCCCAGAGTGTGATGTTCCCCTTCCTGTGTCCATGTGTTCTCATTGTTCATTTCCCACCTATGAGTGAGAATATGGGGTGTTTGGTTTTTTGTTCTTGCGATAGTTTACTGAGAATGATGATTTCCAATTTCATCCATGTCCCTACAAAGGACATGAACTCATCATTTTTTATGGCTGCATAGTATTCCATGGTGTATATGTGCCACATTTTCTTAATCCAGTCTATCATTGTTGGACATTTGGGTTGGTTCCAAGTCTTTGCTATTGTGAATAGTGCCGCGATAAACATACGTGTGCATGTGTCTTTATAGCAGCATGATTTATAGTCCTTTGGGTATAGAGCCCAGGAATTTGAGACCATCCCAGGCAACAAAGTGAGACCTTATTTCTACTAAATACGTGCATACATACATACATACATACATACATACATACATACGCCAGGCTGCATGGTGGCGTGAGCCTGTAGTCCAAGCTACTCAGGAGGATTGCTTGAGCCCAGGAGGGAAGGCTGCAGTGATCATAGCAGTGAGCTATGATCATGCCACAGCCTGGGCAACAGAATGAGACCCTATGTCTTTAAGAAAGAAGAAAAAATCAATTCATGTATAGTGAGAACCATCATTCCCTAATTTATACTCAGTCAAAAGTTACATGTTGAATATTCTTTTTAAAATTTTATTGACAAATAATAATTGTGTTTTGTTTTTTTTTTTGAGACAGGGTCTCACTTTGTCACCCTGGCTGGAGTGCAGTGGCGTGGTCTTGGCTCACTGCAACCTCCCTCTTCTGGGTTCAAGCGATTCTCCCACCTCAGCCTCTCGAGTAGCTGGGACTACAGTTGCATGCCACCATGCCCAGCTAATTTTTGTATTTTTTGGTAGAGACGGTGTTTCTCCAAGTTGACCAGGCTGGTCTCGAACTCCTGACCTCAAGTGATCTGCCTGCCTCGGCCTCCCAAAGTGCTGGGATTACAGGTGTGAGCCACAATAATTGTATTTTTTTTTTTTAATGTTGAACTGTCTTAATGCAAGGCATATGCTTAATTATTCAGAGTGTGTGCTGTTGTTTTGGCCTAGTGAGGATTAGGGGACAGGACTTTAGTTCTGACTCTGACACCTTGTAGCCTGTTGAATCCTTCTCCTAATCTCCTTTCTCCCCTACCCCCAAACTCATTATCCTGTGCTTTTTTTTTTTTAATTTTTTTGGTCACACTTACCAGATTGCTTGTTTATTATTCTCTAATTTTTTTTTTTTTTTTTTTTTTTTTTTGTAGAGACAGGGTCTCACTTTGTTTCCCAGGCTGGTCTTGAATTCCTGAGCTCAAGCGATCCACCTGCCTTGGCCTCCCAAAGTGCTGGGATTATAGGCTAGAGCCACTGCACCTGCCAGATTGCTTTATAATTGTTTGTTTACACTTCTCTATTCTTCCCAGAGGCTAGAAACCATGTCTTATTCATTTTTACCTTACCTGTTGTGAAACATTGAGGGAAGGAAATCGGTAGGATGTGAGGGAATAGGTAGGGATTGAGTAAAAAATGGCCCAGATTTTGAGTTTGAGTGACCAGGCGAGTGATAGTGTGTTATATATACAAACATCTGAGTTGCCGGTTTGGGGTGAAGAGTTTAATTTTGGACATGTTGGAGTCTATGACAATGTGGGAAGACCATCCCAGTCAACAAATGGCATTGGGAGGACATTCGAGTGGCTGTTCAATAGGCAGTTAGAAGTGGTGAATTATATCCTGGAGCTGTTGAAGGATTTGGGCATCATCTTCATGTGATTCATCAGGTGAATCAGATCTTTGAAAAGGAAAGTAAAAAATGAAGCTAATGAGGAATGCCTCTGTTTAGGAAGCTAGAGGAGAAAGAAGAGTCATCCAAAATGACAGGGGTGATCAGTCACAGAAGTAGGAGGTGGACTGGGGTGGGTGGTGTGGTGCTTCTGTGGAGACAAATAGTAATGTTAAACCTATGGAGAGCTTAGGATAATTCAGTGAGAGAATACAAAGGACTGGATTTGTCAGTTACAGTCCTGTGGCAGAATCAGAGGCTAGATTGAAAACGGGAATGAGGACATAGAAATGGTGAGCGCAGGCTTCTTATTTTGAAGTTGGGAAAAAGGAATAAAGAACAAGGATGGATTCAAAAGAGTACTTATTTATTTTACTTTACTATTACTTCTTAATAGATACCGAGGAGTCTTCATAGGGCTAAGGGAAAGAGACAGAGGAAAGAAAAGCTTGTGTTGGTGTGGGAGAGCTGGGCATAGGTTAGATCTCTGGATGTGTGGAAGAGGTGAGCTGCTTGAGAACAGGAGGGCAGGGCTGCTGTTCTCTCCTTCTCTAATAAGAAGAAGAGGATGAGTGAAAAATTCCACCTCAGAGGGAGGTTGGTGTGGGGATAAAGGGAAAAGGTTCAGAAAGGTGAAAGCTTAAGGGTTTGAGAAATGTGAAGAGAACAAGTGCATCAGCCATCGGGGAGTGTGAGAGGAATTAATGAAACACTGAAAGCATTGCCGATAGTCAGCATGAATTTGGAGTGGACACAGAAGTATGAAATGGAAAATAGCCCCACCCCACCTCCGTGCCCAGTCCCACTTCCCAAAATGTAGCTACTTTCTAAAGTCAGTTTTGTAGTTCCTGTAGTTAATAGTGTAACTTTCAGTAATATGTTGCAGTCAACAGTGTCTCTTGATCCCCTTCTGTGAACCATGAGAAATTTACCCATTTCTTGTACTCTTTTCTTCCTGAGTTTTTTTTTGTAATAATATTACTATTTTTCTGTTATCAAAGTAAATAATGTTTATATTCTCTTTTGTATAACAAAAATTAGTCTTCACTCTGTATGTACAAATTAAGCCTAAACATATTCCACACATACAGTTTTTGCAATATTATTAAGTAAATATTATTTACTTTGGAATCTAGAGGTGCTGTTGAATACTGGGAAAAGCAAACATAGTATTTTATTACCAAACTGCTTCAAAGAGAATGGCCCAATCATCAAGATCTAGTGAATCCTCTTTCAATTTCTTTCCAGCTTTCTATGCTCCTTTTAGGTCTTACTCAACTGCTGTTGTTTCTTATACTTTAAATTGTCATTTTTCTTGTATTTTTTAAAAACTTGGAATAGTTACTGTTTTTAATATGGGATGCATGCGTGTTGAGCTTTAAGTTCTTGCCTTTCAAAAACGTCTTTGTCTCATTTGATTGTCATTTGAATGTAGCCCACTTGAATACTTCGGAAGCTTTTAGGGTTTGCTTTTTGTCTTTGGAGTTCTGAAATTTCATTAGGATGTGTCTAGGCATGTGTCTTTTCTCTTTCATCCCGTTTGGCTCTAGGTAGCTCGCTCTTTTCTTTTTTCTTTTTTTTTTTTTTGACAGAGTCTTGCTCTGTCGCCTAGGCTGGAGTGCAGTGGCACTATCTCTTATGGAATATTACATACAAAAGAATATATATAAAGTGTATGCACAGGCCGGGTGTGGTGTAATACCAGCACTTTTGAGAAACCTAGGCGGGTGGATCACCTGAGGTCAGGAGTTTGAAACCAGCCTGGCCAACATGGTGAAACCCCGTCTCTACTAAAAATACAAAAATTAGCTGAGCGTAGTGGCAGGCGCCTGTAATCCCAGCTACTCAGGAGACAGGCAGGAGAATCGCTTGAGCCTGAGAGGCGGAGGTTGCAGTGAGCCAAGATCATGCCATTGCGCTCCAGCCTGGGCAACAAGAGTGAAATACTCTGTCTCAAAAAAAAAAAAAAAAGTATCCACAGATTAAAGAAGAATAATAGATTGAACACTGGTAGATCCATGATCTAGTTTGAGAACTAAAAGCTTAAAACACCTCTGAAGGCCCCGTGGGCCTCTTCTATTACTTTTCTCTCACCCTTAGATGTAACTGTCATCCTGAATTTTGTTAATTCTCTAGTTTTGCTTTGTAGTTTGTATAATCCTAAATAATATATTATTTAGTTTTACAAGCTTTTCTATGAATTTTCTATGAGTGGAATCATGCTGTATGAATTCTTCTGATTTGTCTTTTCTGCATTATGAGATTCATTCTTGCTGATGCAAGTTACTGTAGTTCTTTATTCCCCCAGCTTCTATGGCATCCCATTACATGAATCCATCTCAATTTATTAATCCATTCACCAGCTGGCAGGTAGTTTAGTTGTTTCTGTGTTTTTTTTTTTTTTTTTTTTTTTTTTTTTGCTATTGCAAATATCATAGCTATGAACATTTTTTTTTTTTTTTTGAGGTGGAGTTTCACTCTATCACCCAGGCTGGAGTGCAGTGGCGTGATCTCGGCTCATTGCATCCTGCACCTCCCAGGTTTAAGCAATTCTCTGCCTCAGCCTCCCGAGTAGCTGGGATTACAGGTGCCCACCACCACACCAGGCTGATTTTTTTTGTATATTTAGTAGAGACGGGGTTTCACCATCTTGGCCAGGCTGATCTTGAACTCCTGACCTCGTGATCCACGTGCCTTGGCCTCCCAAAGTGCTGGGATTACAGGCGTGAGCCACCGTGCCCAGCCAGCTATGAACATTTTTATATAGTTATTAATATTAAAAATATATTTACATCTTCAGTCATAGATTTTCAGATGCCTATATAGCAGTCTCAAATGAGGTAGAACAGAATCTCTGGATAGGACATTATGATTAAAAAAATTCTTTTTTTTTTTTTTTTGTTGAGATGGAGTCTCGCTCTGTCACCCAGGCTGGAGTGCAGTGGTGCGATCTCGGCTCACTGCAAGCTCCGCCTCCCGGATTCACGCCATTCTCCTGCCTCAGCCTACCGAGTAGCTGGGACTACAGGTGCCCGCCACGGCGCCCGGCTAATTTTTTGTATTTTTTAGTAGAGACGGGGTTTCACCGTGGTCTCGATCTCCTGACCTCGTGATCCGCCCGCCTCGGCCTCCCAAAGTGCTGGGATTACAGGCGTGAGCCACCGCGCCCAGCCAGCTATGAACATTTTTATATAGTTATTCATATTAAAAATATATTTACATCTTTAGTCATAGATTTTAAGATGCCTATATAGCAGTCTCAAATGAGGTAGCGCAGAATCTCTGGATAGGACATTATGATTAAAAAATTCTTTTATAGACGTCTTTGTGTTTTCCATAGTTTCTTCAATGCACTTAGTTTTATATTCTAGAATTTAAAAAAATCAACTTACATTAACACTCTTTTCCTTTGGAGAATATAGAAAAAGCTAAGGGTCACATGAGAGATTTGCATTAATAAATGTAGAAAGAATCAGTGTAACTTGCATGTGTTAATTACAATTTTTGGAAGCTTAATGATTTTGTAGAATCATTGACAAGGCCATATGTATCAAATAAGCCTATTTGTAAGTTCTTCCAGTCTTGAATTGTAGTGTTTCTGTGAAGTTTGTAACTTTTTAAGCTTCTTTTATTTATTTATTTTTTATCTAATATCAGTCACTCAAATTTCCTTTGTCAGCATTACATAGGATAAAGGAGACCTATCAAAAACTTTTGGAATCCAAGGACAAAGAACATTCTTTTTTTTTTTTTTTTTTTAAATCCATAGTCACCATCAACTTCTGTTGGGAGAACAGAGAAAGATAGACTAAGAGAAACAGAGATAGAAAATGTTTAATCCTGTATTGTGGCTTACTGTAGCTCTTCATATTCCCTTGAATTTTAGACTAGATTTCCTCCAAAATTCTGTGAACTTGGGGATATATATGATTGCCAGATGTCTGACACCTTTCTAGATTTGGAACTGTCTGGAATCTAATTTCTTCTGCTAACCCATAGTATATGAAAGAAAGTAACACACACACTATTAAGACAAACTAGAAAATATCATAAAGAGGCTGGATGCAGTGGCTCATGCCTGTAATCCCAGCACTTTGGGAGGCCGAGGTGGGTGGATCACTTGAGGCCGGGAATTGGAGACCAGTCTGGCAAACATGGCAAAACCCAGTCTACACTAAAAATACAAAAATTAGCCAGACGTGATGGCGTATGCCTGTAGTCCCAGCTGTTGGGGAGGCTGAGGCACGAGAATTGCTTGAACCCGGGAGGTGGAGGTTGCAGTGAGCCGAAATTGCGCCACTGCACTCCAGCCTAGGTGACAGAGACTCTGTCTCAAAAAAAAAAAGAGACCGGGCGCGGTGGCTCACGCCTGTAATCCCAGCACTTTGGGAGGCTGAGGTGGGCGGATCACGAGGTCAGGGATGGAGACCATCCTGGCTAACACAGTGAAACCCCATCTCTACTAAAAATACTACTTGGGAGGCTGAGGCAGGAGAATGGCGTGAACCCGGGAGGCAGAGCTTGCAGTGAGTCGAGATTTGGGCCACTGCACTCCAGCCTGGGTGACAGAGTGAGACTCCGTCTCAAAAAAAAAAAAAAAAAGAAAAAAAAGAAAAAAGAAAATCTCAAAATCTCATAAAGAGAATGGGAAAAGGCTGCATTTGTCTTGGAATTTATAAATGTATTCAAAAATTTTTTTCATCTTTGTTGATGCATATTTCTGTAATAGTTTTTTCCTGTCTTAATTTTCTCTCATAAAAGGAAAAGATTTGATATTCCTGAGTCATCACTCTCCTGAAATCTCAGTTTTACTCAGACCTGTGCTATATAGAGTATTATGTTCATGCCCATGTCTGATGTGGAGGGAGAGACACAGACAGGAGAGTGGGTGACTGACTCAGATGTAAATGATCTTATTATACTTGAGCTGCAACCACACCTAGAAACCTTGACAACAACAGGGCCTGTGTTTGATATATCTCACTTGTTAAATCCTGTCTGGATTTTAGTATGTCATATGTGTGTTCATCAGCAAAATTGAACAGGTGCTGGAACAATTGCAAAGCTTTAATCAGACTTATGATTACACTGTTTCTCGTTATGATTAAACTGTTTCTCATTTTGGCCAAAGAATATGACACAATAACTAAAACAAATTTCTAGTTGTTTCTTGTGTTGTTTATTCTGTTCAGAGGTTTCTTTTCTTTTTCTTTTTTATTTCTTAGACAAGGTCTCATTGTGTTGCCCAGGCTGGAGTGCAGTGGCACAGTCTTGGCTCATTGCACCCTCTGCTTCCCAACCTCAAGCTATCCTCCCACCTCAGCCTCCTAAGTAGCTGGGACTACAGATGTGTGCCACCATGCCTGGCTAATTTTTTTTTGGTCTTTTTTTGTAGAGATGGGGCTTCACCAAGTTGCCCAGGCTGGTCTCAAACTCCTGGGCTCAAGCGATTCACTCACCTCAGCTTCCCAAAGTGATGGGATTATAGGCGTGAGCCACCGTGCCTGTCCCAGAGGTGTCAATGCTACATATACATCCTCCACCAAGATAGAGTCATGGGTAAATTAATTAAGGTTAAGAGACAATTTCAATGTCTTATGCCAAGCTGTTAAAGTTTTTTTTTTTCCCCCTTTTTTATTTATTTTTGAGACAGAGTCTCGCTGTCACCTAGGCTGGAGTGCAGTGGCGCAATCTTGGCTCACCGCAACTTCCGCTCCCCAGGTTCAAGCAATTCTCCTGCCTCAGCCTCTCAAGTAGCTGGGGTTACAGCCACCCGCCATCACGCCAGCTAATTTTTGTATTTTTGGTAGAGAAGGGGTTTCGTCATGTTGGCCAGGCTGTTCTCGAACTCCTGACCTCAGGTGATCCGCCAGCCTCGGCCTCCCAAAGTGCTGGGATTACAAGCATGAGCCACCGCTCTCAGCCTATTAATGTTTCAAAAATAGCTTTTCCCTCATTATAAAAATAGCACATGTTGGGCCGGTCATGGTGTCTCACACTTGTAATCCCAGCACTTTGGGAGGCTGAGGTGGGAGGATCACTTGAGTCCAGGAGTTCGAGACCAGCCTGGCCAATGTGGATGAAACCCTGTCTCTACTAATAATACAAACATTAGCTGGGCATAGTGGCACACGCCTGTAGTCCCAGCTACTCAGGAGGCTGAGGCAGGAGAATCACTTGAGCCTGGGAGGCAGAGGTTGCAGTGAGCTGAGGTAGTGCCAATGAACTCCAGTCTGGGCGACAGAGTGAGACTCAGCCTTTAAAAAAAAAAAAAAAAAAAAGGAGGCTGGGCATGGTGGCTCACGCTTGTAATTCCAGCGCTTTGGGAGGAGGAGGCTGGCAGACCACGAGGTCAGGACATCGAGACCATCCTGGCCAACATGGTGAAACCTCGTCTCTACTAAAATACAAAAAATTAGCCAGGCGTGGTGGTTCGCGCCTGTAGTCCCAGTTGCTCAGGAGGCTGAGGCAGGGGAATCGCTTGAACCTGGGAGGCAGAGATTGCAGTGAGATCATGCCACTGCCACTCCAGCCTGGTGACAGAGTGAGACTCCATCTCAAAAAAAAAAAAGGAAATTAAAGAAGAAAATGAATATTTCCTTAATCCTAACACCCAAGTGTAAACACTAATGGTATTTAAGTAAATTCCCTTCCAGTCACTTTTCTATTCAGATATTCCGTCACTAGGGCTGGAGTGCAGTAGCACGGTCTCAGCTCACTGCAACCTCCGCCACCTGGGTTCAAGCGATTCTCCCGCGTCAGCCACCCAAATAGCTGGGATTGCAGGTGCCTGCCACTACGCCCAGCTAATTTTTTGTATTTTTAGTACAGACGGGGTTTCACCATGTTGGCCAGGCTGGTCTCAAACTCCTGACCTTGTGATTCACCTGTCTTGGTCTCCCAAAGTGCTGGGATTACAGGCGTGAGCCACTGCACCTGGCCTCAGATAACTTTCTTTTTCTTTTTTTTTTTTTTTTTGAGACGGAGTCTGTCACCCAGGCTGGAGTGCAATGGCGTGATCTCAGTTCACTGCAACCTCCACTTCCCAGGTTCAAGCAATTCTCCTGCCTCAGCCTCCTGAGTAGTTGGGACTACAGGTGCGTGCCACCACGCCCGGCTAATTTTTTGTATTTTTAGTAGAGAAGGGGTTCCACTGTGTTAGCCAGGCTGATCTCGAACTCCTGACCTCATGATCTGCCCGCCTTGGCCTCCCAAAGTGCTGGGATTACAGGCGTGAGCCACCGCGCCTGGCTGAATAACTTTCTTAAAAGCTGGAGTAGTACCAGGTGTGGTTTCTTATGACTGTAATACTAGCACTTTGGGAGGCCAAGATGGGAGAATCACTTGAGCCCAGGAGTTCAAGACCAGCTTGTATGACTGTACCACATTCATTTATTCTATTGTTGGTGAGCATTTGGTTTGTTTCCAGTTTTGGCTTTTGCGAATGTTTTGTATATGTTTTGTGGTGCCCATATTTTAGATAAAATTACTAGTAGTGGAATTGCTTGGTCTTAGGGTATGCGAATGTTCAGCTTCAGTGGTATTACCAGTTTTCCAAAGTGTTTATACCGATTTACAGACCTTTTGGCAACGTATGAGAGTTCCATTTCTTCCTGTACTTACCAATACTTGCTTGCTTGCTCTCTTCCTCCCTTCCTCCCTTCATCCCTCCCTCCCTCCCTCCTTCTTTCTTTCTTCCTTTCCTTCCTCTCCCCTCCTCTCCCCTCCCTCCCCCTCCCCTCCGTTCTGTCACCCAGCCTAGAGTGCAGTGGCGCCATCACAGCTCACTACAGCCTTGACTTCTTGAGCTCAAGTGATCATCTCACCCCAGCCTCCCGAGTAGCTGGGACTACAGGCATGTGCCACCATGCCTGGCTAATTAAAAAAAATTTTTTTACAGATAGTGTCTTGCCATGTTGGCCAGGCTGGTCTTGAGCTCCTCTGCTGAAGATAACATTTTGGGCCAGGCATGGTTACTCACACCTGTAACTTTTATTTTTTGGAGGCAGACTTTTTTTTTTTTTTTTCATAACGCTATCTGGGCTCACTGCAACCTCTGCCTCCTGGGTTCTAGTGATTCTCCTGCCTCTGACTCCCAAGTAGCTGAGATTACAGGCGTGTGCCACCGTGCCCAGCTAGTTTTTTGTATTTTTAGTAGAGGCGGGGTTTCACCATGTTGGCCAGCTGGTCTTGAACTCCTGACCTCAAGTGATCCACCCGCCTCGGCCTCTCAAAGTGTGGGATTATAGCTGTGAGTCACTGTGCCCGGCCTAAAATAAGATTTATTGAGGACTTGTGTATAGCATGGTAGAAATAAAAGCAGAATTCCTTCTCTTCATTTTACAGTTCTTTCTGTGGAAATGAGTACAACTGAATATAGCAGGTGGCAGTGCCTGTCAACTTTGTTTCCATTCTGCACTGATTGTATTATCTTATTCTAATCCCTGCCAACCAGATGTACTTCCTTCTTCACATAAGATGGAGACAGCTTATTGTATATGCACACATGTGCAAATATGCATAAGTATAGCAAAAGTTGGTCCTGCTGTTCAGAAATATCGTTAACTAGTATCAAGTGAGAGGCGGCATGGTTTACTTCAGGTACAGCATATAGTTTTAGATGCTTATTCCTCCCCTGTTGGTGGGAGTTCCGTGTTGTGAAAAATTCTTTTTTAAAAAAATTTCAACTTTTATTTTAGGTTCAGGGGGTACATGTAAATGTTTGTTACATGAGTTGTGAAGAATTCTGAGGCCATGCCTGAGATCAGTGATTCAGAAGTCCTGTCACTGAATAGTAATTGTTGCAGGGGTGACATATGTTCCACATATTTACCTTCTGTAAGTGAAGCAGAGTGAAGAACCAGACCAATGTAGATTTTCTAGCACTTATTTTTGGGCAAGTTATTTTGTTCTCTGGGCCTCTCAATGTCCTTATCTGGAAAATAGGAGGTCACATTCTTGCTAGGATTAAATACATTAATGCATGCAAAGTATTTCCTGATTGCCTTGCAGATAGATAATAGGTGCCCAGTAAATGTTAGTTCTGTCCCTTTTTTTTGTATGGGAGAGGAGGGACGAGGAGGGAGTGGGCTGTTCTTAAATAGGAATATTTTTAAAACGTATTATGAACTTATCACAGCCCCATGTTTCACTTTTCAGGGCCAATGTAGGAGGCAGTAAAGAAAGAAAAATAAATGAGACATCTCTTGTCAAGTTATAACTGGTTTTATGTATAAATAATTTAGAAACACATTACCTATAATACAAAACAATTAAAAAATATACCACTCTATTTGGCTGTATTTACTACTTTTCTGAAACTGCTTACTCGGAGGTTCGGTTCACCTTACCTCCTTATTTTTACTCCCTTCTTTTTTGACCTTCGTGGTACTATTAACCACCAACTTTGGTGAAATCCTTTCTTTCCTTGGCTTCAGTGAAAACATCACTTTCTAAACAATGAATTTCGTTTTCTACTGGACAGGGGCCCTTTATATAGAGGCAATAAACTTGTATGTTTAACTTTGATGATTGATTATTGATTCAGTTGGTAATACAAATTAAAGTTTGGCTTAAAACAGTGAAATATTTCTGGGAAGTAATTGAATGATGACTGTACAACACTAGAGTAATTTAAAAATACTTAGTGGAAATATTCATTGATACCATCTTTTTTTAGAAGCTAATTTAACAGTAACTCAAAGCAGGGTTAATTTTGTGTAACCTGGCACCCAACATTATATGTCTAGGAATCTGTCCCTCAATAGGATGAATGGTAAAAACATATGTAGAGAGATATTAATCGAAGTATTATTTGTAAGAACAAAAGATGGAAACAACTTAAACACTTGTCAATAGAAAAATAGTGAAATTATGATTTATTCTTACTATTCTTCCGTTAAAAAAGTGAGCTAGAGTGTGTGGGGGCAGAGTGTATGAGAGAAATCTCTGTACCTTCTGTTCAATTTTGCTGTGAACCTAAAACTGCTAAAAAAAATAAGTCTACTAAAAGAGCTAGAGCTATAAATGTACTGAGCTAAAAAATATCTGTAATATATTAAGTGAAAATAGGCTGTGACACTATGTATAGCATGATTTCATTTCTTTTTTTAAAAAGGGTGTGAGCTGGGTATAGTGGCTCATGCCTGTAATCTTAGCACTTTGGAAGGCTGAGGCAGGAGGATTGCTTGAGGACAGGAGTTCGAGACCAACTTGGGCAATGTAGTGAGACCCCATCTTTACAAAAAATACAAAAATTAGCCAGGGATGGTTGTGCATGCCTGTAGTTCTAGCTACTTGGGAGGCTGCAATGGGAGGATTGTTTGAGCCTAGTAGTCCAAGGCTGCTGTGGGCTAGGACAGCACTCCTGCACTCCAGCCTGGGCAAACAGAGCAAGACCCTGCCTTTTAAAGAATAAAAATAAATAAAATGTGTATATATTTTTATACATAGGAAAAACGCATTGATTTTAGTGGCAATTTCATCTAGAATTGGGTTTAGAGGGGTTAGAGTAAGGAACTTTTACTTCTTATTAGGTATACTTCCAAAAAAAGTGATAATTATGAGTGATACTTTTTTTGTGTATGCTTTTCTGATATTTTTCAAATAAAATGATCTTAAGAAAAAACTAAAAATTAATGGAGAGCAGGAAAAGGGAGATAAGGATCCAGCTAGCTACTTTAACTTTTAACAACGATGTCCTTTAAAAATGTTTGTATTTGTATGCATACTCATGTATGTTGTGTATATGTGTATATATACACAGACACACAAAATACAGAGTAACTGCAGTCTGACATTCAATTAAGCTACAGAATGCATGGTATTGGCATACATTTTTATTTTATTTATTTATTTTTTAATTAATTTTTTTGTTTTTTGAGACTGAGTCTTGCTCTGTTGCCCAGGCTGGAGTGCAATGGCACGGTCTCGGCTCACTGCAACCTCTGCCTCCCGGGTTCAAGGGATTCTCCTGCCTCAGCCTCCCAAGTAGCTGGGACTACAGGTACCTGCCATTGCGACTGGCTAATTTTTATATTTTTAGTAGAGATGGGGTTTCGGCATGTTGGCCAGGCTGGTCTTGAACTCCTGACCTCAGGTAATTCCCCGCCTTGGCCTCCCAAAGTTCTGGGATTACAGGCATGAGCCACTGCTCCTGGCCTTGGCCTGCACTTTTAAAGTGTAAGATACTAAGAGGTGTTTTTCTGCACATCACAAGGTACAGTTCTTAAATTCTTTAAGAAGTGACAGGATTTGTTCAGAAAATGTGCAGTTTTCTAGTGTTGCAGTAATGTGTGTTCAGGTTTCCTTCACACAGGTTACAGCTTATTCATAACCCCGAGTTAAAGTTTAAATTTTATGTAATTAGCCACCTATGTGACCTTTGAAACTAAGTGAGGAAACTATTCCGGAGTAGTGAAACTTTGAGTACAGCTGCTTCGGTTTTGGACTACAAATTGGAATTCTTCTATTGAGCAAGAGTCAGGGACGAAAGTGGGGGCTGGTTTAAAAAAAAAAAAAAAGGGCTGGGCGCGGTGGCTCATGCCTGTAATCCCAGCACTTTGGGAGGCCGAGGTGGGTGGATCACAAGGTCAAGAGATCAAGACCATCCTGGCCAATATGGTGAAACCCCGTCTCTACTAAAAATACAAAAATTAGAGATTGAGACCATCCTGACTAACACGGTGAAACCCTGTCTCTACTAAAAATACGAAAAATAAGCCCGGCATGGTGGCGGGTGCCTGTAGTCCCAGCTACACGGGAGGCTGAGGCAGGAGAATGGCGTGAACCTGGGAGGTGGAGCTTGCAGTGAGCTGAGACCGCGCCACTGCACTCCAGCTGGGTGACAGAGCAAGACTCTTGTCTCAAAAAAAATAATAATAAAAATTAGCCAGGTGTGGTGGCGTGTGCCTATAGTCCCAGCTACTTGGGAGGCTGAGGCAGGAAAATCACTTGAACCTGGGAGGCAGAGGTTGCAGTGAGCTGAGATAGTGCCACTGCACTCCAGCCTGGTGAAAGAGCAAGACTCCATCTTAAAAAAAAAAAAAAAAAAAAAAAAGCCATGTGGTTGTTCATGATTTCTGCATTTTTTGTTTAATATGACATTGGTAGCCTGTTTAACTTCATTTTATCATGGCCACTTATAAATAGATAGCTTAAGTCTGTGTGCACAAAATTATGTTTCATTCTGTTAAATTTTTTGTTTTTTTCTTTTTTAGATAGAGATTTAAGTTCCTTATATAACTAAGGAAAAGTCCTATTCCAAATTTAACAATCAAGGTACCTAGTTGTATGAAATTTGGAAATTTTCTTAACCCTCTCTTCTGTGTTATTGGCACTTTTTGATTTTCTAGGAGCTCTGGGGTTTGCAAGTTAAATCTGAGCCTTGAGTATTCCTGCTTTAACCAGCGGGATGGCAGCCATTTTGCCCTGTGTTAGTGCCTTGTCCAGTGAAGGAAAATGAAACGCCTAGAAACTGTGAATTTTGCTTTTTGGACCTGATTAGTTTTGTATGTAATGGATAACGTTAAGTTTTTAAAATTTCCATGTGATTTCTTGGGTTTTAAATTCAGGGCTTACTAACAGTGTACTCGTGGGGCCAGCTGGAATTTTGAAAATTGAAGCTTCCTGCATTTTATTGGCCAGTTTCTTCATTGATTTTTTTTTTCATTCATCTTTTTCATGAGGCTAGGACATTCACAACTGAATTGAGAAATTGAAGTACTCAGAATCTAACTATGAATGTTTGAGAGGCACCCAGTCTAAAAGAACGATTAGACTCTAAGATATTCATAACCATTAGTTTATTAATAGCTCTATAAAAGTTTTCCATGTTCTAGGGTCCTGAGGGGAATGGTCTAGATAACCTAACAGACTTTTCCATCCCTCATGATTCATTTTACTCTATTGAAAATTATCTTAAACAGAAGGAAACGAATAGGCCTGGTAGAACCAGATTCGAAACAGTGTTGCTTCAGTGGGAAGGGAGTGGTTTCTTAGTCAGTGCTTGTGGAGGCTGTTACTCCAGAGGCAGCCCGCTTCTCTGCAGTTAGTAAATACTACTGTAGCCCAGTGGCAGATACTGCGGACATAAATCTTAAAGCTAGTAACATGTTGTTCTTCTAGGAATTCCATTCAGCTACAGATTTAAGGTTTATCAGTAGTATTTCCAGAAAGATGGTCCGACACAGTGGCTCACGTTTATAATCCCAGCACTTTGGGAGGCCGAGGTGGGTGAATTGCTTGAGTCCAGGAGTTCAAGACCAGCCTGGGCAACATGGCAAAACCCTGTCTTTGCCTGTAGTACCCCCAGCTATTTGAGAGGCTGAGGTGGAAGAATCACCTGAGCCTGGGGAGGTCAGGGCTGCAGTGTGCTGAAATTGCACAACTGCACTCCAGCCTGGGCAATCAGAGTGAGACCCTGTCTTTAAGAAAAAAAAGAAAGAAAGAACATGAAGTATTTTAAAGACCAGATTTGAGGCCGGGCGTGGTGGCTCATGTCTGTAGTCCCAGCACTTTGGGAGGCTGATGAGGGTAGATCACCTGAGGTCAGGAGTTTGAGACCAGCCTGGCCAACATGGCGAAACCCCATCTCTACTAAAAATACAAAAATTAGCCAGGCATAGTGGCACGTGCTGGTAATCCCAGCTACTGGCGGGCTGAGGCAGGAGGATCGCTTGAACCTGGGAGGCAGAGGTTGCAGTGAGCCAAGATCAAGCCACTGCACTCCACCCTGGGCAACAGAGCGAGACTCCATCTCAGAAAAAAATCTGTGTGTGTGTGTGTATGTGTGTATTTTGAGACAGAGTCTCACTTTGTTTCCCGGGCTGGCGTGCAGTAGCATGATCTCGGTGCACTGCAGCCTGTGCCTCCCAGGCTCAAGCCATCCTCCAACCTCACCCTCACAGGTAGCTGGGACTACAGGTACATGCCACCACGCCCAGCTAGTTTTTGAATATTTTGGGGAGATAAGGTTTTGCCATGTCGCCCCAGCTGGTCTTGAACTCCTGAGCTCACGTGATCTGCCCGCCTTGGCCTCCCAAAGTCTTGGGATTACATGCATGAGCCACCATACCTGGCCCAATGTCCTTCCTTTTTAAAGCTGAATAATGTTCCATTGTATGTATGTTTCATATTTTGTTTATTCATCTGTAGATGGACATTTAAGTTGCTTCAGCCACATGATGATTGGAATAGTACTACTATAAATGTGGGTATGCAGATATTTCCTCAAGACCCTTTCAGTTCTTTTGGATGTATACCCAGAAGTAGCATTGTTGGATAATATGGTAGCTCTATTTTTAATTTTTTGAGGAAGTTCCCTACTGTTTTTTATAGTGGCTGCACCATTTTACAATCCCACCAGCATGCACAAGGGCTCTCCACATCCTCACCAACACTTGTTATTACTTGTTGTTTTTTAAAATAGATATCCTAATGGTGTGAGGCGATGTCTCATTGTGGTTTTGATTTGCATTTCTCTGATGATGAATGATGTTGAGCATCTTTTCATATGCTCATTGGCCATCTTAGCAGAAAGGTCTGTTCAGATCCTTTGCCCGTTTTTTAATTGGGTTTTTTGTTGTTGTTGTTGAGTTATAGGAGTTCTTTTTTTTTTTTTTTGAGACGGAGTCTCACTCTGTCGCCCAGGCTGGAGTGCAATGGCGTAATCTCTGCTCACTGCAAGCTCCCCTCCCGGGTTCATGCCATTCTCCTGCCTCAGCCTCCCGAGTAGCTGGGACTATAGGCGCCCGCCACCACGCCCGGCTAATTTTTTGTATTTTTAGTAGAGACGGGGTTTCACTGTGTTAGCCAGGATGGTCTCGATCTCCTGACTTCGTGATCCACCCGCCTCGGCCTCCCAAAGGTGTTCTTTTTATATTCTGGATATTAACCCTTTATCAGATACGTTATTTGGAAATATTTTGTCTCATTCTGTAAGTTAACTTTTCTCTCTGTTGATTGTGTCTTTGGATGCACAAAAATTCTTAAGTTTGATATAGTCCCATTTATCTTATTTTGCTTTTGTTTCCTTTCCTTTTGGCGTCATATCCAAGAAATTCTTGCCAAATCCAGTATTATTAAGCTTTTCTTCCATGTTTTCTTCTAGGAGTTTAAAGTTCTTTTTTAAACGTTTTTTAAATTTTTTAAAATAAACTTCTTATGTTTAGGTCTTTAATCTATTTTGAGTTATTTTATTTATTTATTTATTTTTTCCCAGAGTCTTCAGTGGTGCAATCTTGGCTCACTGCAACGTCTGCCTCCCAGGTTCAAGCCATTCTCCTGCCTCAGCCTCCCGAGTAGCTGGGACTACAGGTGTGCGCCACCATGCCCGGCTAATTTTTGCATTCTTATTAGAGACGGGGTTTTGGCATATTGGCCAGGCTGGTCTTGAACTCCTGACCTCAGGTGATCTGCCCACCTCGGCCTCCCAAAGTGCTGGGATTACAGGTGTGAGCCACTGCACCCGGCCTGAGTTAGTTTTCTATATGGTGTCAGATAAAGGTACATCTTCATTCTTCTGCATGTGGATGTCCAGTTTTCCCAGAACCATTTGTTGAAGAGACTGCCTTTTCCCCATTGAGTGGTCTTGGCACCCTTTCATGTAAGCTGTTATTAAAATTGTCATGTTGTTTTGTGTGATCATTTGAATATCTCTCCCAGTATGTTGAAGTACCATGAACGACAGATTGTGTTTGTTTTGCTGACTGTTGTATCCCAGTACCTAGCGCAGTGCCTGGCACTTAGCACAGGCACCCTGTATTCATTTATTGAATAAAGGCATTAAGCAATCCTGAATGTAACAAGAGACAGCCTGTATGTTGCAGGTCAGTTTAAGGAATATTGCCAGGTGTTATAAGGTACGACTGAATTAAGCATCTGGAGGCACTAACAGTTTTGTCTAAACAGGAATGTGATTCTGACGGCCAATATAAAGTATTGTTTAGTCTCCCTAAAAGAGGACTTTTGGTTCATTTGTGTTTTTCCTTTATTCTTTTGTTTCGTTCTGAGACAGGTTCTCACTCTGTCACCCAGGCTGGAGTGCAGTGTTATGATCACAGCTCACTGCAGCCTCGATCTCCTGGGCTCAGGTGATCCTTTCACCTTAGCCTCTCAAGTAGCTAGGACTACAGCATGTGCCTTCATGCCCAGCTAATTTTTTAAATTTTTTGTGGAGATGAGGTCTTGTTATGTTGCCCTGGCTGGTCTTGAACTCCTGGGCTCATTTGATCCTTCCACTTTGACCTCCCAAAGTGTTGGGATTGCAGGTGTCAGCCTGTGCGCTTGGGCTGTTTTCCTTTTTTCTTAATTTTTTACTGAAATTTTATTTAATAGAATTTTATTTCTATTAAAGTTTTACACACACGTATTTGAAAGAGGCAAGTAATTTTATAAGTCGTCACAACAGATAGCTCTTCTGCTTACCTCTTCTACCCAATTTTCTCTTCCCCAAAGATAACCTCTTTTACTTCCTTAACTGATTCTTTTTGGTTTTACCCTCATATCTTTAAGCAACATGCATACATTTCTTCTTAATTTTCAGTACTTTTGCATCATATACTGGCTTCCCACCTTAGCTACCCACCCATGCTTCCATACCACTTTTCCCTCCATATAGTTATAGCATAATTTTGATTAAATATTAGATTGATATTTAATACTTAAGTTATGACTATGTAAATGCTGTTGATAGCTAAATCATGTGGTATACTTTTATTTTTTTCTTTTCTGCTTAGATTTTGTTTTCTCTGTAATTGCAAGATGTTTTATTTGCTTATTTTCTATGTATTTGTCATTGATATGTCTCTATACTCTTAGTTGCATGAATCTGCCTCTATATGATCGCTCATATCAGGTATTCTGTCAGTTTCACCTTGAATAGGTTGTTCCTGGAATCTTCTGAAATGCCTTGGCTTAGATGGATTGGTCACTGGGTGCGTGGCATGGCGGTAGAATGGATCAGCCGTCTCTAGTTTCTTAGGGATTTCCTTTGCTTTGTGTATTGCATCCTGTATATTCTGTGTCTCGTGTCTTTACCTTTTTGAGCTTACTTCTTCACTTTGGTTGAGTGCATCTCTGAAAGACATCTCGCCGCTCCCCCCCCGCCCCTTTTTTTTTCTTTTGAGATGGAGTCTTGCTGTCTCACCAGGCTGAAATGCAGTGGCGCCATCTCGACTCACTGCAACCTCTGCCTCCCAGGTTCAAGTGATTCCCCTGCCTCAGGCTCCCGAGTAGTTGGAACTAAAGGCGCGCGCCACCACGCCTGCCTAATTTTTTGTATTTTAGTAGAGATGGGGGTTTCACCGTGTTGGCCAGGATGGTCTCTTGTCTCCTGACCTCATGATCTGCCTGCCTCAACTTCCCAAAGTGCTGGGATTATAGGCGTGAGCCACCGCGCCTGGCTGACATATCCCATTTTTTATCTCTTTTTTGGAATATAATATTCTTGCCCTCAACTCTTCCTAGTGTCCCCCATTCTAGAGACCCTCTGTTTGCCCTTCTAGAAAATAACTGCAGTCTTCTGTAGGGTGAGGAAAAGACATTCATTCTCTTGGCTTCCTGGAAGAGGAGAGAGGATCTAGGAGTCTTTTCTTATCTTCCTGTTTATAACGTTTTGCCACCATTTCCAGAGGGAATTGGTTCTCCCCTTCCTATGTATTTTCATAGTGTAAGTCTCTTCACCACCTTCCCATCCCTACCCTGTGTTTGCCACTTAGGATTCAGCTTTCTTGGCTCTGCTGAGACATGTATTGCTTATCTACCTGCTTTCCAAATTTCAAATTTTGTCGCTGCTATCACTTTGGTTCTTTTTTGTCCTTATGGTTAATGCTTATGTTTTCCTCCCTACTCATTCAGTGAGGTATGAGAAAGAACAGAGGCTGTGCACTCATTCTGCTATCTCTGACTGGAAGTTGCCCGAGCTGCCCTTTATCTCCTCTCTTCTCACTTTTTATCTGCCTTTTATCTATTTGTCGCCTCTGACTTCTGACTTTTACCCTCATCTTGTTCCAAGCCCAGTCATCTTTAATACTTACTTTTTCCATCTCATTGGGCCTCTCACCTCTTGTTTCCTTTCACCCCATGCTTGTTTGGCGCCTCATGTCCTCCTCTTACTTCTAGGGGCCTCCCTGAGCAGAGTAGGGAGGCCCCTTCTTTCCTTTTGCTTCTTGTCAGTTTCCCATCTCTCCTGTGCTTCTCTGCTTCACTGATATACGAAACACACATATCAAAGGATAGCCTGGCCATGTTTGTGTAGCAGCTCAAGAAACTATTCTGAACAGCAGCAAAAACCACACACCAATCTTTAGAAATTAAATCTTTGTTGATTTAGCATGTCCTGCTTCTCTTCTTCTTGCTATCTATTGTCCCGTGTCACATCTCTGACTCTTCATTGTTTTTTTTCCCCCCAAGATGGAGTCTTTCTCTGTCACCCAAGCTGGAGTGCAGTGGCGCGACGCTCACTGTAAGCTCTGCCTCCTGGGTTCAAGCAATTCTCCTGCCTCAGCCTCCCAGCCACCTGGGATTACAGGTGCCTGCCACCACACCTGGCTAATTTTTGTATTTTTAGTAGAGACGGAGTTTTACCACATTGGCCAGGATGGTCTCGAACTCCCGACCTCGTGATCTGTCCATCTCAGCCTCCCAAAGTGCTGGGATTACAGGCATGAGCCATAGTGCTGGGATTACAGGCGTAAGCCATCGAGCCCGGCCGACTCCTCATCTTTTTACTAACTGTTCACCTATTGATACATCATATTCCTTGTAGTGTTTTGCCACTATGAAGACAGGTATTTACTTTTTAAGTAAAATAAATATTACTAATAGTAAAACAGCCGTTTTACTGGGAGTTAGAAGGGCTGTTTATTGACTTAAATGACACTATGTATTGTGAGACTTTTTTTTTTTTTGAGATGGAGTCTCGCCCTGTCGCCCAGGCTGGAGTGCAGTGGCTCACTGCAATCTCTGCCTCCCGGGTTCAAGCGATTCTCCTGCCTCAGCCTCTCCAGCAGCTGGGACTACAGGCGCATGCCACCACACCTGGCTAATTTTTTGTATTTTTTTTGAGACAGAGTTTTGCTCTTGTTGTCCATGCTGGAGTGCAGTGGTGTGATCTTGGCTCACTGCAACCTCCACCACCCAGGTTCAAGTGATTCTCCTGCCTCAGCCTCCCAGGTAGCTGGGATTACAGGCATTCGCCACCACACCCAGCAAATTTTTGTATTTTTAGTAGAGACAGGGTTTCTCCATGTTGGTCAGGCTGGTCTTGAACTCCTGACCTCAGGTGATTCACCTACATCGGCCTCCCATAGTGCTGTGATTACAGGCATGAGTCACCGCGCCCGGTGCATTTTTTTGTATTTTTAATGAAGACAGGATTTCACCATGTTGGCCAGGCTGGTCTTGAATTCCTGACCTCAAATGATCTGCCTGCCTCCGCTTCCCAAAGTGCTGGGATTACAGATTTGAGCCACCTGGTCGGTATTGTGAGACTTTCTGAATCACTGAGCCTTGATTCTTTATCTATAAAATGGAGATAATAAGCTCTTCCTACTTTATAGGACTTGAAGAAGCAAATGGGAGAGGGTGAGTGAAAGTGGGAAGCTCTGAAATGATTTTTAATTTGTGTGCCCCACACACCTTGCCTTCCATAGATGGTCCAGGCTGTGGTCTGGTTGCTGCTTTCCTGTGTGTGGTGCATGGACACAGGCAGGAGTGAGTAGATTCCCAGAGGACCTACTATGGCTTGGATGATCTCTCCACTTTGGGGCGGGCACCATCCCCTCCATGTCTTCTTAGATTGTTAGATATAAAGCATCGGCTGTACATTCTTACTTTACACACTAATGTTCTCACAACAGTGGCAGGGCCTTCCTAGGCAGAGGACATCTACAAAGAGTGGATGATGGTGGCTGCCACCTGCTGAACTGTGGCTAATGGGCTGCTGGGTGGGGGGATATTGCCTGAGGGATCTGCTGGAGCCCATGGCAGGCAAAAGCCAGCAAAAATTTGTTACTGTTATTGTGACTACATCTGTATGCATGAACCACTTAGCTCTAGAGGAATTTTGGTTACATAAGCTTAGTGGTGGCTTAGTAAATGGATTCTGCAGTTCTTGTTGTTTCTCCCAGATTGAACTTGCCTTTCTGCCATATGATTGGCACTACTGATTGTTGAATCATTTCTTCCAGAACAAGGAAAAATGCCAGGCGTGGTGGCTCCCACCCATAATCTCAGCACTTTGGGAGGCTGAGGTGAGAGGATCGCTTGAGCCCAGGAGTTTGAGATTAGCCTATGTAACAGAGAGACCCCATCTCTATAAAAAACAAAAAATAAGGAAAATACATACATAAATGTTAGTGTTATAGATGGTAAAAAGTGAACAAATGTCAACACAATGCAATATAAATTATCACGTTTCAGCTGAGCGCGGTAGCGTCCTAAGCCTGTAATTCCAGCACTTTGGGAGGCCAAGGTGGGAGGATCGCTTGAACCCAGGAATTCGAGACCAGCAACATAGTGAGACCCCGTTTCTACAAAAAATATTCACAAATTTCAAGATTTATGGAGTTTTATTATATGATCTAGTTCAGAAACTTTTTAGATATGACATTGTTTTGATCAGTCTCCTGTACCCTTAGGGGTAGCACAAGTAATAGGAAAAACAAAATAGGTCTAGATGCAGCAGTGCTGGTTGAAGATGTCTGGGTGATTTAAGTTTCTGTGTTCCTGCCAGGGGTAATAATTGAGAATCATATATAAGGGAACCTTAGGAACCCTCTATTCTAACACTGTTTACAGATGTGGAAATGGAGGTACTGAGAGGTGACTTGGTTTTCTTGAGGCCACACTGTTTGCAGCACTGTATTTCTGAACTTGTATTCTAACATCTCAAGTAGCAAAAAGTGGAAATGAAAAACAATTGAGGGAGCTATCAGTCAGAGATGGTAGAATGAATATCTCTAATAGCCCCTGTTTTTTCCTCATACCTCATTAAATGACAGTAAGAAAAAGCATTAACTCAGAAGAACAAAACAGAACTGCAGAAGAGAGAACAGCAACACAATTTTGGAAACTGGCAAGTGGGTAGATGAACGATTACTGACTTAGTGGCAATGGGGGAGCAAGGCCGTTTACACTTTGAAAACCCAGAAGGCTCAGGAGTGGGTGCACCAGTTCCCTCTGGAAATGGGGGCAAAAGTGGGTTGCAAAGAGAAGGATTCACTGAAAGTTTAAGAAAAGACTCCAGAGCCTCCCTCTTCTTCTATGAAGCCAAGAGAATGTCCTTTCCTTACCCTAGCAGAAGACTGGAGATTTATTTTCTGCAAGGGGAAAATAGAGAGTCTCTAGAATAGGGAACACCAGGTGCAGGTGAGGGCAAGGAGAGCATACTGTCAAGCTCTTCCAATTTGTATATAATTCTTTCCATACCCAGTAGCATGTACCAAGGTGGATTCAGTTCTAAACTCAGAACATGGGTGATTAGGTGATCACCCCAGTACTTCCCCAAGGGACAGACTTCTTATTAACTCCTCTCCACTGAGTACATCACTAAGGCCTTTGGGTGACATTTTATTTTTCCTTTTCTTTCTTCTCCTGTAATTTAGTAGTTAATCTTCACAGAAAAGAGGAAGATGGTGTAATTATTTGTCTTTTTTTTTTTTTTTTTTGCTGGGCTGGCATAACAAAATAATGACGTTTAAAAGATTCAAGGGTAGATATTTTCTTTGGTATTATACCAATTTTATCTCAACAGTTTGACTAACCAACAATTGGTCCTTAAAAAAAATATTATTAGGCTGGGCATAGTGTCTCATGCCTGTAATCCCAGCATTTTGGGAGGCTAATGTGGGAGGATTGCTTGAGCCTAGGAGTTTAAGACCAGCTGGGGCAACATAGCAAGATCTGGTCTCCACAAAAAATTAGCCAGGTGTGGTGGTGCATCCCTATAGTTCCAGCTACTTGGGAGGCCAAGGTGGTAGGATCACTTCAGCCCAGGAAGTTGAGGCTGTAGTGCACCACTGCACTGTAGCCTCAGTGACAGAAACCACACACACACACACACACACACACACACACACACAATTTCTAGTACCATAGGTCTTTAACACTTACAAGGTATCATAGATGTTTTGGCCTTGGGAGTGGGGATGGAATACAAAGATATTTAAAATTAGTCTTTGCCCTTGTAGAGGGGTGAAATGTAGCACACCAAATTTAATACAACCGTTGTTCTTGTGTGCCTGTGTACAAGTATAAGCCGTGTAAAGATTTTTAAAAATATATCTTGTTTCCTACCCTCATAGGGTTTACAATCGAGAATGATCTTTCTCAGCCAGGCATGGTGGCTCATGTCTGTAATCTCATCACTTCGGGAGGCCGAGGTGGGTGGATCACTTGAGGCCAAGAGTTCGAGATCAGCCCGGCCAACATGGTGAAACCCCATCTCTACTAAAAATACAAAAAATTAGCCCTTTAATCCTAGCGCTTTGGGAGGCTGAGGCGGGTGGATCACGAGGTCAGGAGATCGAGACCATCTTGGCTAATACAGTGAAACCCCGTCTCTACTAAAAATACAAAAAAATTAGCCGGGTGTGGTGGCATGCACCTGAAGTCCCAGCTACTCGGGAGGCTGAGGCAGGAAAATGGCGTGAACCTGGGAGGTGGAGCTTGCAGTGAGCCGAGATCGCAGCCACTGCATTCCAGCTTGGGCAACGGAGCAAGACTCCATCTCCAAAAAAAAAAAAAGCAAAAAACTTAGCTGGGCGTGGTGGCATGTACCTGTAATCCCAGCTACTTGGGAGGCTGAGGCAGGAGAATCACTTGAACCTGGGAGGCGGAGGTTACAGTGAGCTGAATTCACTCCAGCCTGGGCAACAAGAGTGAAACTCTGTCTAAAAAGAGAAAGCAAATAAAAATAAATAAATAAAAATTCAAAAATCAGCCAAGCGTGGTGGTGCATGCCTGTAATCCCAGCTGCTTGGGAGGCTGAGGCATGAGAATTGCTTGAAGCCGGGAGGCAGAGGTTGCAGTAAGCTGAGGTTGCGCCACTGCGCTCCAGCCTGGGCGACAGAGTGAGACCCTGTCTCAAAAAAAAATAAATAAATAAAAAAGTCTTTCTCAAATTATATTCTGATGATCAGAGAATGATCTTTCTCAATTTACAGCCTGATGATCACTAATCTCAGTGAGATAGTTCATTTATAAAATTTAGTGGTTTAATTTCTTATCTTTGACAGTCATCTTAAACAGTAACATGTTAAAGGCTTAGAGAAGTGTCTGGCAAATAAACTGTTTTCACATTTTTACAACTTAATATTTCTTAAATTTATTCCATAGAATAAAACTTTAGGAAATAGCAACCTATATAAGAGTGCATTCCTCTAACCCCTATGCACATTAGATTGGCAGTAAATTATATTTGAATCACAGGCCTTTTCTCCTCTGTTTACTCAATATCAATTGTTTAAGGAAAGCTAGATAACTTACCTTTTCTTGCCCTTCCTCCATGCAGCCAAGGGTGAATATTTAAGTTTTATTTCTATGGATCATTCTTCATTAACTGTGCTAGAGGCCATCATTTAGAAGGGGAGACATTTCCAGGTTCTTAAAGCTGAGTGTATTTATATACTATGTAGTCTACATTTGTCATAATATTTCCAGAGTTATTAAAAGGTACAGGAATCTTTTGTAGATGTTTTCTAATGTTTCTGAATGCAGACCTTTATTCACTACCTCCATCTTAGGTGATGGCTTTCACCTAGTTAATTTTTTTTTTTTAAGTGAGAGCTACAAATCTGTCTTAGGGCTTCTGTGAAACTATTCAGAGTACTATCAGTTAAAGTAGCACATCCATAAACACATTGCATCTCAGATAACAGAACACCTTAATTTATGGAAACGATACTCCCGAAGATGCTGTCTATAATTTTTGCATATATAAATTTGTTGTATTATTGATTGATTGAGACAGAGTCGCTTTGTTGCCTAGGCTGGAATGCAGTGGCATGATCTCTGCTTACTGCAACCTCTGCCTTCCGGGTTCAAGTGATTCTTGTGCCTCAGCCTCCTGAGTAGCTGGGATTACAGGCGTGTGCAACCATGCTTGGCTAATTTTTGTATTTTTAGTAGAGACTGGGTTTCACCCATGTTGGCCAGGGTGGTCTCGAACTTCTGGCCTCAAGTGATCCACCCATGTCGGCCTCCTAAAATGCGGGGATTACAGGCATGAACCACCATGCCTGACCTGTTCTACCATCTCTTTTATAAATATTGGTCTGCTTCTCTTTGAAGGGTTCTTATTCTAGTAGTAGAATAAGATAGAATAAGATCATGTTTGTTATCTCTGTATTGACAGGCTTATAAGTGGCTGTTGATTGAATTTAAAGAGAATAAATAAGGTATCATTCAGATATTTGAAATCAATTTCTAAAGTGACAGTAAATTATTTTAGTTATCTCCCTGACCTTGACTGCCAGGAGCAGGCTTTGGAATACAAAGAGGTGGAGAAGAAGGGCGGTAGAGAAAGGGTAACAAGCTGTTCTTCCAGATTTCCTAGCAAGTCTTAGATAATGGTAATACCTGATTCTAGAATACAGAAGGTTATATAGCATAGTGAGGGAGTGTGTATGGTAATAAGAATAAGAGGGGAGGTTATTTAGGTCTCTTCCGTATATAGGGTTGGAGCAAATGCTTAAAAGCATAGAACAGGGCTTTCCTATCTTATTTCAGCAATGCCATTTATATATTTGAAAGTTACAGAGTTAATTTTCTTTAAAAAAAAAAAATTCTAGTCGGGCACGGTGGCTCATGCCTGCATTCCTAGCACTTTGGGAAACCGAGGGCAGTGGATTGCTTGAGCCCAGGAGTTCGAGACCAGCCTGGGCAACATGCAAAACCCCTCTCTACAAAAAATAAAAAAGTTAGCCAGGCATGGTGATGTGCTCCTGTGGTCTCAGCTACTGGAGAGGCTGAGATGGGAGGATCATCTGAGCCTGGGGAAGTTGTCGAGGCTGCAGTGAGCTGAGATCATGCCACTGCACTCCAGACTGGGTGACAGAGTGACCCTGACTCAGAAAAAAAAAAAAAAATTCTCAGGCTTTTTTATGGTCAGACTAAATTATCACCTAAATACAGTACATATGACTTTGTGGCTGTGATGTGTGTTTGTGTGTGAGGGAGAGAGACTGATTGATTGTAATACAATACTATAAGGCAAATAATTTAGCTGTGTCAGTGCCAAAAGAATAATTTTAACTCTTACGTACCACTAAATATATTCTAGCTACCTTTTAAAACCAATATCTCAGTTGGCTTAGCTGCCACAAAAAACCTATAATACTCTAATAAAATTAGTGTAGAACGATTGCTAAAAGTTTGAAGATTATTAACCACAGCTTGACTTACTCATGGAACCAACAGAAGACCTGTTCATCAGTTTTCATTTGTTTGAGTCATTTGGGAGCTGCTGGTTATCTATTTCCAACATATGCTTAAGTTTTGTTGAGATGTATTTTCTTCCACTTTGTTTCTTTTCTTCTTCTGAGATATGGTCTCTCTCTGTTGCCCAGGCTGGAGTGCAGTGACGTGATCTTGGCTCACTGCAGTCTGCCCCGCCTGGGCTCAAACGATTCTTCCACCTCAGCCTCCTGAGTGGCTAGATCTATAGGTGCATGCCACCAGTCCTGGCTAATTTTTGTATTTTTTGTAGAGGCTGGATTTTGCCATATTGCCCAGGCTGGTCTTGAACTCATGGACTCAAGCAATCTGCCTGCCTTGGCCTCCCAAAGTGCTGGGATTACAGGTATGAGCCACTGCACCTGGCCTTTTTTTTTTTTTTTTTTTTTTAAAGGCAGTATCTTGCTCTATTGCTCAGGCTGAGTGAGGCAGTGTGATTATAGCTCGCTCTAGCCTCCAACTCCTGGGCTTAAGTGATCCTCTTCTCTTGCCTAAGCCTCCCAAGTAGCTGGGACTACTGGTGTGGGCCACCATACCTGGCTAATTTTTAAACTTTTTATGGGTATGGGGTGTCACTATATTGCCCAGGCTGCTCTCAAACTCCTAGGCTCAAGCAAGCCTGCCACCTTTCCCTCCCAAAGTGTTGGGTTTACAGGCATAAGCCACCTTGCCCAGCCTAATTTTTTTTTTTTTAAAAGCTCATTCTGTGTACCTTAACTTCTTTGATCCTTCATTCTTGAAATTTTAGCAGGATATTTGCTGGATTTATTTTTTTAGTCCTCAGGTGGTAAGGATTGAGCTAATGACATCACATTTCATAACATAGCATCAGCATTGGTCTGTGCAAGTCCTCTCTCTTAGCTCTTCAGATTAATTAATTTCTTTTTTACCTCCACTTTCCACTTCTGTTCCTATTTCCCCATAGTTAAACTGTTGTAATGTATTTGGTAAGTATCCCTATATTTGTATGCAGTTTTGTAAATATGTAGTGCTGGGTTCTTGCGTGTGTGTGTGTGTGTGATTTGTTAAACTTACCTAAATGGTACTGTATTCTCTTGGTACTATTTAGGGACTGTGTTGCTGTGTATATACCTAGTTCTTTGTTTCTAATCTAACCACCATCTGCCTTTCCTTAAATGATTTGTTCTTTCGGTGATGGACACCAGATTATTTTCAACTTCCCACTGCTGCAGACGATGGGATGAACATTGTTGTGCTTGTTCTGTTATGGTGGGAGAATTTCTTTCAATGTATGCATAAGAGTAGATTGCTGTACTTAATTTGATTAAGCACTGCCAAATTTGGGCACTTTTTCAGATTGTGCAACATTTCCTATTTCTTCAGAAATAGGAAACAGAAAGCTGTTTATCCAGCTTTCTAATTGTTGTCTATCTGATGGGGTAAAGTGGTATCTTAATGTTGTTTTAATTTGTATTCTCCAGTTACTGAATGGCAGCGTTTCTTTATATACCATTAAGACCATATGAACGCCCCCTCTGTGAATTACCTGTTCATATCCCTGGCCCACTTCTTTAATTAGAGTTTCTGTCTTTTCCTGTTTGATTTACAGAGTGTTTTTGTAGAGTTTAGAATATTAGCCTGGTATTTGCCTTTTCTTCATCTGTCATAGTATGTTAATTTTGTCATTGGTACCTTTTGCTGAGTAGGGCTTAATTTTGATATAGGAAGTCCATAATCTTTTACTTTATGGTCTTCTGGAAATATGAAGATATTCTGCATTTTTAATTATGTATTTCATAAGTCAGCATTTCCCATGAGATCTTCCACCTGAGTCCATCATTATATATGACATAGAATAGTAATCCAGTTTTATTTTTCTGCACGTATTGAGGCCATTTTCCTAACCACATGAACTAGTTTGTGGTGCCACTATTTTTTTTTTGGAGACAGAGCTTATTCTTTCACCCAGGCTGGAGTGCAGTGGTGCACTCACAGCTCACTATAGCCTTGACCTCCCGACTCAAGTGATCCTCCCAGCTCAGCCCCCTGAGTAGCTGGGACTAAAGGCATGCACTGCCACACCTGCTTTTATTTTTTTGTGGAGATGAGATCTCGTCATGTTGGTCAGGCTTGTCTTGAACTCCTGGGCTCAAATGATCTGCCTGCCTCAGCCTCCCAAAGTGCTGGGATTGCAGGCATGAGCCACCATGCCAGCTGGTGCCACTATTTTTTTTTTTGAGATGGGTCACTCTGTTGCCCAGGCTAGAGTGCAGTGGTGCGATCTCGGCTTACTCCAAGCTCCACCTCCTGGGTTCATGCCATTCTCCTGCCTCAGCCTCCTGAGTAGCTGGGACTACAGGCGCCCGCCACCACGCCCGGCTAATTGTTTTGTATTTTTAGTAGAGACGGGGTTTCACTGTGTTAGCTAGGATGGTCTCGATCTCTTGACCTTGTGATCTGTGCCACTACTCTTATATATCATGTTCCCATATTTCCATGGCATTCTAAGAGCTCTGGTCTGTTTTATTGGATATAGATAACTGTAGTTATGTTTGTTACGTCAATGCCAGCTGTTTTTATTACTCTGCTTTGTGTTGTGTCTTCACATCTAGTAGGATACATCAATTAAAAAGGCATCATTTCACCCTCAAATTAATCTTAAAAAGTCAATGTAGTCCCAATTAAATTTCATCTATTTTCTCAAGGAATTTGGCAAACATTCTAAAATTTGAATGGAAAAATGAAAGTCATTTTCAAAATTGATTTACCCCTTTGGGGTCCTGTTAACTGCTTAATCTAAGTAGTTCACAGTTTTTGTGTGTGTGCCTATTTGGGCATTTTATATGTCTCGAAATTTATCCATTTCATCTTTTTTTTTTAAACAGTGAAATTTTTATTTTAGAAAAATTTTAGTTTTACAGAAAAATCTTCACTGAATTTAGAATTCTGAATCGACAGTACTTTTTCTTTTCTTTTTTTCTGAGACAGGGTCTTGCTCTGTCACTCAGGCTGGAGTGCAGTGGCATGATTATGGCTCATTGCAGCCTCAACCTCCTGAACTCAAGTGATCCTTCCACCTCAGCTTCCTGAGTAGCTGAGACTACAGGTGCATGCCACCATGCCCAGCTAATTTGTTTTTTTGTAAAGTTGGAATTTTGCCATGTTGCCCAGGCTGGCCTTAAACTCCTGGGCTCAAGGAGTCTGCCTTCCTTGGCTTCCCAGACTGCTGAGATTACAGGCTTGAGCCACCATGCCCAGCCAATAGTACTTTTCTCTTGGCATTTAAAAAATATTGTTTGCACTGTCTTTTGGCTTCCGTGATTTCTGACAAGAAAGCCCATTTATTTTAATTCTGGTTTCATTACATATAATGTGTCTTTTTTTGTTTGAGATTCTCCTTCAATCTGTGAATTTATGTTTTCCAATAAATTTGGAAGTTTGCAGCCATTATTTTTTCAATTACTCTTTCTATACCAATAATTTGTTTTCTTCTTTCCTTCTGTGGTTCCAGTGACATGAATGTTAGGTCTTTTGATAGTGTCTCACAGGTCTCTGAGGCTCTGTTAGATTTTTTGATTTCTTTTTCTGTTCTTGAAATTGAATCATATGGCTGGGCGCAGTGGCTCACACCTATAATCCCAGCACTTTGGGAGGCTGAGATGGGCAGATCACAAGGTCAGGAGATCGAGACCATCCTGGCTAACACGGTGAAACCCCGTCTCTACTAAACAAAATACAAAAAATTAGCCAGGCGTGGTGGCGGGCGCCTGTAGTCCCAGCTACTCGGGAGGCTGAGGCAGGAGAATGGTGTGAACCCCGGAGGCGGAGCTTGCAGTGAGCCGAGATCGCGCCACTGCACTCCAGCCTGGGTGACAGAGCGAGACTCCGTCTCAAAAAAAAAAAAAAAAAAAAAGAAAGAAAGAAATTGAATCATTCTATTGATCTGTATGTGCACTGACTTTTTTTTTGTTTGTTTTTTGCTATCACAATTATTCGATTTAGCTTGTATTGTGATCTTTTTATTTGACACACTTTTCTGTTGTAAAATTTCCATTTGGTTCTTTAAAAAACACTTTTATTTTGAAATAATTACAGATTTATAGGAAGTTGCAAAGATATGTACAGAAAGATCCCATGAACCCTTTTCCCAGCCTCTCCCAGTGTTAACATCTTGCATAACTGTAGTACATTATTAATACAAAGAAATTGACATTGGTGCAATCCACAGATTTTATTGAGATTTTTCCATGTATACCTGCATGTGTGTGTGTATAGTTTTCTGCTATTTTAGCACATGTGTAGCTTCATGTAACTACTGCCACAAACTACAGAACTGTACATCATCCATTTATAGCTTTTTCATAGTTTCTATTTCTCTGCTGAAAACATCTGTCTTTCAGAGTGTTTACCTTTACCTCATGGAGCATGGCTATAATAACCGCTTTAAAAATCTTTTTTTTTATTTTGAGATGGAGTCTTGCTCTGTCACGCAAGCTGGAGTGCAGTGGCGCCATCTTGGCTTACTGCAACCTTTACCACCCGGGTTCAAGCAATTCTCCTGCTTCAGCCTCCCAAGTAGCTGGGATTACAGGCGCCCGCCACCATGCTTGGCTAATTTTTGTAGTTTTAGTAGAGATGGGGTTTCGCAGTGTTGGCCAGGCTGGTCTCGAACTCCTGACCTCAGATGATCTGCCCGCCTTGGCTTCCCAAAGTGCTGGGACTACAGGCATGAGCCATCGTGCCCGGCCTAAAATTCTTTGATAATTCTATTATCTGTTTAATTTCCGTTTGGGTATCTGTTGATTGTCTTTCTCCCAAGAATTGGTCATATTTTCTTGGTCCTTTGTATGTTGAGTAATTTTGGATTATGTGTGGTTCATATTGAATATTACATTGTGAGACTTTGGGTCCTATTACAATCCTCTGGAGAATGTTGAGTTGTTTGTTTTTTTAAGCATGGAGTCAACTTGGTTAAGTTCAGATCTCGAGTTTGTTCTCACCTTCTGTAGATTCCAGTGTCAGTTCAGTTCTCAGTGTTTGCTCTGCTGTTTGACTGACCCTGCCTAAGCACTAATCAGGTCTGGGACTTGGGAGTGTCTTATAGCTCAGTTCTCAAAGCTTTTGCTGTCCTTCTTTGGAACTACTGTACATATGCAAGCTTGGAGGTCAGCCTGAGATGCATGTTTGTTATTATGTAGAATTGGGGATCCCCTTTTCCAGCTTTCTCCTGTTTGGTATATCTCCTCATTCTTGGGCTCCTAGGGGCTTCTTTTCCCAGCATAGTCCTGTGACTGGTCCAGACCTCAAGATAGGGCCAGCGGAGGAAAACAAAGGTAAAAAAAGAAGAAAAGGGTATTTAGCCTGTACTTTTTGGCTTGCCTGGCTCTTTCAGCCCTCTGAGCAGTATACGGGAATTTCTGTCAGCATTTTTAGTGTGTGTGTTCCCTGTGCTGTTTTGTAAATTGGGCCACCAGGACCAGGCCCATCCTTGGGTCTAAGCCAGGAGGTGAAGGAGTAAAAAAGAAAATAGGCAGGAAACTCAGTGGAATTGTAAGCTTTCAGTTTTGACTTACCTCTTCTATTTGCCTGCTGTTTATTTACTCTTCTTCTTCCTCAGCTAGTGGCTTATTTTATTTAGTTGAGAGTGTTGTAATCTGGGAAGGAGAGAGGCTGAGGGGAGCTTACTCCTTGGCTGACACCAGAAGTCTTTGCATCATTTTTTAAAACCATAAAATTTTGATAAAAAATTATTATTCCAAAAAAGTTGCAGGAACCAAGCTTTGTATAAATGATGTCAGAGGACATATCCTGCTTCTTCCAAATTAGAATAAAGTACTGATAAGCTTTGTTTTCAAGTGCTTTATTCATCATTTTTTTTTTTGTCCGTAAGAATTCTCTTCCCTAGTCGTGCTTCCCTCCCCTCTCAACTAATTTGAAATAGTTCCAGATTTGCATGGTGAATTTTTTTTTCCTAATCACAATCTCTGCTTTTCCAGTGGAATTTCTTTTGTCTTTTTTTTTTTTTTCACCACAGCTCTTTTTAATGCATGGGAATTTGTTTTGATAGAATATAATTTGTTAATTTCAGGGCACATAAAGTATCAGATAATAGAGAAACTAGTTAATGGCATGGATTTGTGGAAGCAGAGAACTATCTGGTCCTCAGTATGTGTTTTCTGTGGAATTGCCTCTCAGTTTGGGGAGAGCATTTAGCTGTTATCCATCAATGTGTTCAATCTTATGGGGAGATTTGAGAGCATGCACCTTTCTCTAGACCAAACATATCACTGTGACATATTAAATTACTTTTTGTTACTGAAAACCCAGGGGCGTGTTATGTGGCTGGTAATATCTTTTTAGCCTACCAAACATTTGCAGGTGGAAGGGAATGTGCATGTTAATTCCACCATCCTGAATTGTTCGTTGGGCTCCTTCCTTTGGCCTGCTGCCTTGTCACAGTTAATTCCAGTGAGTTGGCAGGGAGGCTCTAAGGGATGGCTGGCACTCTTAACTCCTTTGTAGGTGCAGTTAGAGATGGTTTAGCCTTACTGATGGCCACCAGACTGTTTTCTTTTGACTTCTCAGTATTTTACCAATTGTGGCTTGAGATTCTGCTGTGTTTTACTAAACTATACTGCACCTTTAAATAAACTATAATGATTATCTTAAGAGTTATTATATAAATATCAGGTAAATATTGACCTCTCTACAGATTTTGCTTTTGCAATTATTTTTATAATTTTTAAGAGATACATAGAGATCAGATACATGCTGGTCTTTTAAAATATTTTAGTTTTAATCATTTTTATATTTATTGTAAAACTAATAAGTCTAAAACCCATCTAACTTCCAAGATGTAACAGCTGAACTTCTGTGTTGACATCTGTTGCAAGTTGTTAAACTCAGAAATCTTTTGCAGTTTGGTTGTAGAAACTTGTCTCTTCAGTGAATGAAGTGCTCTGATTCCTTTATGAGAGATTCACTTGTTTGACTGGGTTTTGCTGTGTCATGATTGCTTTATCACTTCTGAAAATCAACTCTGGAACATTTTCCGTGCCCTGATTTAAAATGAAGAAGTTCTCCGATTTTTCCTTTAGATATCCGATTTAAAATCTTGATATCTTGAAATCTTGATATCTAGATCTCTTGGGGATTTGTCTTTTACATTCTGTAGTGTATAGTATGTATATTCTATATATGTATGTGTGTATATATGTATATTTGAATACCCAGAGTGTTCTAGCGATATTAATTGGATCAGTAAATATTTGAGCACCTACTAAGTGCGAACATTGTTCTACATGAGCCAGTTGCTGACATTTTGGTGTATAAAGATACAGGCAGTAAATGGCTGGGCGCAGTGGCCCATACCTGTAATCTCAGCACTTTGGGAGGCTGAGGCAGGCGGATCACTTGCGGTCAGGAGTTCAAGACCAGCCTGACCAACATGGTAAAACCCTGTCTCTATTAAAAATGCAAAATTAGCCAGGTGTGGTGGCACATGCCTGTAATCCCAGCTACTTGGAAGGCTGAGGCGAGAGAATCACTTGAATCCGGGAGGCAGAAGTTACAATGAGCCGAGATCGCGCCACTGCGATGGGCTGGGCAACAAGAGTGAAACTCGGTCCCCCAACAAAGAAAACAACAACAAACAATAAAATAAAGATATAGGCATTAAATATATGGATATATGATGCATAAACAAATAATTTTTTTTACAATACTTCAGGTTACTTGAAGCCTTCTTTTGAGTGACTAGATTTAAGTTTGTGAAACAAGGTTTTCAGAAGTTTTGGTTTTATTCTCTCAGAAATTTTGGCTTCATTTTTTCAACAAAACTTTTATTGACTGTTTATTTAGCAGATATTAAATGTAGCAAAATTACTATGACCCAGCTGTTGTCCACAAGGAGCTTATAGTCTAATCAAGAACCAATTTGTAATAACAATGAAATTAAAATATGATTGTATATTGAGGTAAGTGATAATAGAGGTATGAAAAGAAAATGCCATCGCAATGTAGTGGAGGGGTTGGGGAAGGATGGGGTAGTAGGGAAGGTCTCAAAGAGAATATGTTATTATTGGCAGCCTCTTTTTTTTTTTTTTTTTTGGAGATGGAGTCTTACTCTGTCACCCAGGCTAGAGTGCTGTGGCACGATCTCGGTTCACTGCAACCTCCACCTCCTGGGTTCAAGAGATTCTCCTGCCTCAGCCTCCCGAGTAGCTGGGACTACGGGTGTGCGCCACCATGCCTAGCTAAAATTTATATTTTTAGTAGAGATGGGGTTATGCCATGAAGGCCAGGCTGGTCTCGAACCTCTGACCTCAGGTGATCCACCCTGCCTTGGCCTCCCAAAGTGCTGGGATTACAGGCGTGAGCCACCACACCCCGCCTATTGGCAGCCTTTTGAAAGGCTTTGGCTATAGGTAGATGGGAATCGAATTATCTGTGACCTTTGAAACCTAGGCGTTTTTTTTTTTTTTTTTTTTTTGAGACGGAGTCTCACTCTGTCACCTAGGCTGGAGTGCAATGGCGTGATCTTGGCTCACTGCACCCTCCGCCTCCTGGGTTCAAGTGATTCTTCTGTCTCAGCCTCCCAAGTAACTGGGACTACAGGCGTGTGCCACCACGCCTGGCTAATTTTTTGTATTTTTAGTAGAGACAGGGTTTCACCATGTTAGCCAGGATGGTCTCGATCTCGATCTCTTGACCTCGTGATCCTCCTGCCTCGGCCTCCCAAAATGTGGGAATTACAGGCGTGAGCCACCGCGCCCAGCCTGAGACCTAGGCATTTTAATTATTTGTGTAACTTTAACATACAGCCAGGCCTGGAAGTTTATTTAAAAGATGCATCTGTCTTTCCAGTTCAACTTTTAGTTTAACTATTCCTTTAGGAAAAGACATTTATGGATGCAGCTGTGTGACAGCATTGCCGAAGCCTTCTCTTTAGAGTTTGTTACAACACAGCTCCAGTTATATTGCTTTGCTTAGGTTGTTCTTTGCTTTTTAACGTAAAATATTTATATTTGTCTTCATTCATTTTGTAAAAATGAAGCACAACTTTAAAAAAATCACAAATTTGGGGGTTTTACTTTATCCTCATGTGTGTTCCATTTCTCTTTAAAGCTAAAATGTCTATTATGTGTTGATATAAAAATATTATCCCCAGACTAAGACCACAGTTTCCTCAAACTTTGTTGAGTACATGCCCTCCTCCCTTTTAAAATTACATCTTGTAGGAGATTCTGGCATTTCTCATTTATATATTGTGAAGTTAAAATATATTTCCTAGAAGAAAAATATTTCACAATAAGGGGAACTGAAAGCATTTGCTAGGGAGAGAGTTAAGGGTTGCTAAACTTATGGCATGCTGGATTGGTGTGTGCTGAGAATGCTTTCGCAACAACTTGATTCAGAAAACATTTACTGAATGCCTTTGGCAAAAGGCTCCTGCTAGATGCTTTGAGGGATAAGAAAATGAACAAAACACAGGCTCAGTTTTGTTGAAGGGCCTTCCAGGTTACTACATTGACTGTTTCTGAATCTCTTCTCTTCCATTCTCCACCTTTGCCATATCCCAGATAATGAAAATTAGAGCTCTAATTTATCAATTCTGTAAGCTGAAAAGTCTATAAAATTAGTTTCCTTAAAATGTTGGTTACAGGTTCTCCTTTGTGCTGACAGAATTTAGAATAACAGAAAACATTTTGGTGTCTCAGTGCCTCCTTCCATAAATTAACATTTACTTCAGTAGATGCTTTTCATGGAGCATTATGATCCAGCCCCTCTCAAGCTGTGACTCGCCATGGACAGTATTAAATCAGATCTGAGCAGCTCTAGGAGACAGGTGAAAGTTGGAGAATATGCCCAGTGTCAGCATCTTGGCTAGAGTGTGCTGTTAAAACAGAGAACACTCTTGGCACTCAGAAACTGATCAGGCATGTGCCATTCTGCACGTGAGCTCTAAGAAATAAAGCCGCAGAGGGTGTTCTGTGTTTCCATTCCAGCTGAACTAAATGGTTAAGTATCCTTTTTAGGCATCCCCTTAAATCTACCACAGACTATCAGGTCATAATCCAGAAGAGGTAAATACCATAAAATCCCCAAATACAGCCACGTATCCAGAAGCCAGAGTTCTGGCTTCATCAGCCATAACAGTCAGTTCCATTAAACAAATAACTGCTTGAACACCTACTGTGTAAAGCTCTGTGCTGGTGCTTCAGGTTGTAAAGAGACAAATAAGATTGAGTATCGATCAAGTTGCTTACAGTTTAGTAGCGCATGCTGCTCTCCTTGTTCCACCTGCCTTGCCATTCCAAATTCTGTTTCTTCCTGGCCTACCCTGGTCTGTAGCCACCTACAACTCAGTGTAGATACAGACCCATTCAGTGTGTTTATTACAACCCAGTCTTATAACCTTATCTTTTAAAATGTGCAATAGATGTTGGAAACAGTAGAGGAGCTGTGCCCTGAGCCCTGGACAGTGTCTGGAATGATTTGTAGAAAAGCCCATTGTAGCACTAATCACTTGAGGTACTGTTTCAGGGCAATTTTATTTTTCTAATGGAATCCCATGATTGGCATAGTTCAAACAGACAGAACCCAGACAGGAGGCAGTCTTTAAAAATGGTTAGTCCAATTTTGTTTACATTTCTTCCCTTTGCAGAATGTGTATTTTCCCTTCTTCAGACTAAAAATGTCACAGTGTGATGTATGCTGTTGTGGAAGTATTTTGCATGAAATCACTAAATTCATTTATTCAAATAATTTGTCTTAGGCTTTTTAAAAGTGACCAGAGATAAATATTTATGAATCATATTTAAGTATTTGGAGGGCATTTCAAGATAAGTATATTTAAGATAATTTCCTTGACTATGTTTGATGATATTAAGGGTTCTTAGAAATCTTTTCCAAAATCTTGCAATCTGAAAGTGAATGGAACATTCAGAATTAACTGTAGTCACAATTGTGTCTTTATTGTTGGTTGGTCTTGCCTGTTTCATTTTACAAACAAATGTGAAGGACAATACTTTCTCCATCAAAATAGATAAGAAACTTTCATATAAAAGTAAGACAGGAAACTAATGTAACCTTTAAAAAAAATCTTGAATTATCTTATTAAGATTACAATAGATAATTAGATTAATCTAAAATTAGATTGTTGTTTAGTTAAACCTGATTTTATGATTTAGAAAGGCCAATAAATAGCACCTCTCTTCTCCACACGGGTTCTGGATAAATGGCAAAAAACCAAACTATTAGCAGATGAGGGCCATAATATTGCTTTTATTACTGATAAAGGTGATGGTAAAGGAAGCAGCTTAAGGTTAGAGCCAAATTGGTTTGCTAAGTGAATTCCATCATTATTCAGACCTACCCCGTGGGCACAGTGGTGCTGGATTGGAGAGGTCATATGCAGTATGCAGACCCTCCACTCAACGCAGCTTCAGCAGACAGCTTATGCGTATGAGGAAGAAGAGCATGAACAGACTATTTATCCCAAATTTACCAGTCAGTCAGTTGCTTCCCTCTCCAGGATAGAATGATCTAAGTGGCAAAGACATGCTAAAGATGTTACAACTGGTGGACCTCGATTCATGCAAGGAACCCTCAGAAGTGAGGAATGAATGTTCCCATCTGGTACTTCGTTCCCTCTTCCATGCATGGCTTTTATGAAGAATGGGTTGGTGCCAGGGTAGGAGAAGTAGCCTGACTAGGCCAATGAGCAAACCTTTGTTTTAGGGAAGAGACCTTGTAACAATTGGCCTCTTGGAAATTGCAGCCAAGGTTTGTTTATCGGAACGATGGGAATTTGTCCTTAGGCAGTCCTCTTTGCCTTTCTGAAACATCTGTGATTTAGTATTATTTCTGGGCAATAAGTCAAGGTCCACAACTTAGTTTTCTGTTGTCCTTTAACATTTTAAAATATGCCTACATCTCTTTCATTTTTAGTTTTCTTCACAGACTCCTTTTGTTTACCTCCCTCTCTGGTGTTTTGCATGATTATAGCTAACTTTCTTTTCTTTCGACATTCTCCCCTTGGACACAGTTTTAACTCTTTCATATCTTGGTGGTTACCAGATCTCTGTCTCCAACCCTGACCTCTGTTCTGAGCTCCATATTTGTATCCAGCTCTCTATTTAGCAGTTCCATCTGGGCTGTCTAAAACTAAACTCTCTTCTAGCCACCCCCACAACAACAACTCAGAAACCCTTGCCTTTTATTTTGTGATACCACAGCCTTTTCATTAGTTTAAGCTAGAAAGGGAAAGCTGGGGGTCACCACAGGCTTGTTTTTTTTTGTTTTGTTTTGTTTTTTTTTGAGACAGGGTCTCGCTCTGTCACCCAGGCTGGAGTGCAGTGACGTGATCATGGCTCACTGCAGCCTTGACTTCCCAGGCTCAAGCCATCCTCCCACCTCAGCTCCCAAACTCCAGTCCCCAGCAGCTGAGACTACAGGCACATGCCACTAGGCCTGGCTAATTTCTTATAGAGACAGAGTTTTGCTGTTTTCGCCCAGGCTAGTCTTGAATTCCTGGGCTCAAGTGATCTGCCTCAGCCTCCCAAAGTGCTGGGATTACAGGTGCCTGTGCCCAACCAGGCCCTCCTTTATTGTTTATCTCCTAGGTCAGGGGTCAGCAAACTGTGTCTACTGGGTCAAATCCAGCCAGGGACCTGGCAGCCAATATTTTTTTTTGAGATGGAGTCTTGCTTTGTCGCCCAGGCTGGAGTGCAGTGGTGCAATCTCACCTCACTGCAGCCTCTGCCCACCAGGTTCCAGTGATTCTCCTGCCTCAGCCTCCTGGGTAGCTGGGATTATAGGCACACACCACCACACCCAGCTAATTTCTATATTTTTAGTAGAGACAGGGTTTTGCCATGTTGGCCAGGCTGGTCTCAAACTCCTGACCTTAGATGATCTGCCTGGCTTGGCCTCCCAAAGAGCTGGAATTACAAGTGTGAGCCACCGTGCCTGGCCCTGATATTTTTTTTCACTTTTTTTTTTTTGAGACGGAGTTTTGCTCTTGTTGCCCAGGCTGGAGTGCAGTGGCGTGATCTCGGCTTACTACAACCTCCGCCTCCTGGGTTCAAGTGATTTACCTGCCTCAGCCTCCTGAGTAGCTAGGATTACAGGCACGTGCCACCATGCCTGGCTAATTTTGTATTTTTAGTAGAGACGGTTTCTCCATGTTGGTCAGGCTGGTCTTGAACTCCTGACCTCAGGTGATCTGCCCACCTTGGCCTCCCAAAGTGCTGGGATTACAGATGTGAGCCACTGCACCCAGCATTTTTTTTTTTTACATTTTTAAATGCTTGTTTAAAACAAACAAATATATCTGTGAAAGAGACCACATGTGGTCTGCAAAGCCTAAGTACATATTTACGGTCTGACCGCCCCCCACCTTTTTTTTCTTTTTTAGACCAAGTCTCGCTCTGTCGCCCAGGCTGGAGTGCAGTGGCGCGATCTCGGCTCACTGCAAACTCCACCTCCCAGGTTCATGCCATTCTCCTGCCTCAGCCTCCCTAGTAGCTGGGACTACAGGCGCCCGTCACCACGCCTGGCTAATTTTTTGTATTTTTTTTAGTAGAGACAGGGTTTCACCATGTTAGCCAGGATGGTCTCGATCTCTTGACCTCATGATCTGCCCGCCTCGGCCTCTCAAAGTGCTGGGATTACAGGCGTGAGCTACCGCGCCCAGCCGGTCTGACCCTTTACAGAAAAAGTTAGGCTGCATCTTTTCTAGGTCGAGTCCTATTAATTCTCTCCCTGCAAACATCCCTTGTTATTATTATTTTTTTTTGATACGGAGTTTCGGTCTCGTTGCCCAGGCTGGAGTGCAGTGGCACAATCTCGGCTCAGTGTAACATCCGCCTCCTAGGTTCAAGTGATTCTCCTGCCTCAGCCTCCTGAGTAGCTGGGATTACCACGCCTAATTTTTGTATTTTTAGTAGAGGGGGCTTTCACCATGTTGGCCAGGCTGGTCTCGAACTCCTGACTACAGGCGTGAGCCACCATGCCCAGTCAAGACTTTAAATTTTTAACTTCTTGTTCTTTATCTGTGATCATGGTTTTCCAACTTTACACTCTTAAATTATTGAGGCTCAAAGAGCTTTTGTTTAGGTAAGTTATATGTATCCCTGTTGACCCCATATTAGAAAGTAAAGCTGAGGGCCAGGCGCCATGGCTCATGCCTGTAATCTCAGCACTTTGGGAGGCCGAGGCGGGCGGATCACGAGGTCAGGAGATCGAGACCATCCGGGCTAACACAGTGAAACCCTGCCTCTACTAAAAATACAAAAAAAATTTAGCCAGGCGTGGTGGCGGGCCCCTGTAGTCCCAGCCACTCGGGAAGCTGAGGCAGGAGAATGGTGTGAACCCAGAAGGTGGAGCTTGCAGTGAGCTGAAATGGTGCCACTGCACTCCAACCTGGGCAACAGAGCGAGACTCCGTCTAAAAAATAAAAAAAATAAAAAAAAGTAAAACTGAAATGTTAAAATATTTATCCTAAATAACAATAATAAATTTATTATATTTATATATAATACACTTTTATATGAGAAATAACTATATTTTCTAAAACAAAAAATAATAGGTAGAAAAGCAGTTTTACCTTTCTGTGAATCTCTTTAGTGTCTGGATTCTTATAAATGTCTTTTCATTAATCTGTTATGATAAAGAAAATCTGTCCTCACATGTATCCCAGAAATTAAAGTAAAATTAAAAAAAAAAATCTGGCCTCATGCAGCTATGTAGTTGGAAGAGTCAGGAGTACAGCATTTTAATAGTCTTATCAGATAACTGTGGTTATTCTTCTGTGATACTGCATCAAAAGTCCACAAATAATAACTTCTTAAAGGTTAGTTACAATGTAGATTATGAAACTATATCAGTTAACTTTTCATACTGTGTTACATTTAGATTCATTGATGTGTGTTGCACTATTTTTTTCTTTTGAGACAGGGTCTGGCTCTGCCAGGCTGGAATGCAGTGGCACAATCTTGGCTCACTGCAACCTCCACCTCCCAGGTTCAAGTGATTCTCATGCCTCAGCCTCCCAAGTAGCTGGGACACAGACGTGCACCACAGCCAGCTAATTTTTGTATTTTTAGTAGAGATGGGGTTTTACCATGTTGGTCAGGCTTGTCTCAAACTCCTGACCTCAAGGTATCACCTGCCTCGGGCTCCCAAAGTGCTGGGATTATAGGCGTGAGCCACTGTGGCCGGCCTTGTTTTATACTTCGAATGGATGTGTTACCCGTACATCTTTTTTTTGTTTGTTTGTTTGTTTGAAGATTATGTGTTGGTTATTTGGAAAATAGTTATACGTACCTTCTAAATTTTGACATATTTCATTATATAGAATCAAAAAACCACGCCTGGCCCTAAACAATATTTCAATAATGATATTAAGATGTTATTTGCTCTTTTTTTTTTTTTTTTTTTTTGAGACGGAGTCTCGCTCTGTGGCCCAGGCGGGAGTGCAGTGGCGCAATCTCGGCTCACTGCAAGCTCGGCCTCCCGGGTTCATGCCATTCTCCTGCCTCAGCCTCCCGAGTAGCTGGGACTACAGGCGCCCGCCATCACACCCGGCTAATTTTTTTGTATTTTTAGTAGAGACAGGGTTTCACCGTGTTAGCCAGGATGGTCTCGATCTCCTGACCTCGTGATCTGCCCGCCTCGGCCTCCCAAAGTGCTGGGATTACAAGCATAAGCCACCGCGCCCGGCCTGTTTGCTCTTTTATACTGTGTTAAAGGCTATTTGAAAATTTTATTTTGGCCAGGTGCGGAAAATTTTATTTATTGTTCTTTATCCACAACAATGCATCTCAAACTGTACACTTTTAAATTATTTATACTAATGGTACAAAAGCAATGGTGAGTAAAATTGCTGGAAACAGCACAAATCAAGGTAGTGGCAACCTAGTCCATGCACTCACGGTAAAAGATATTGATTTTAGTACATCTTAATGCCTGAGTCCACATTTTTGTACAATTCTGTGTTGTGTCAAGGAAAAACATTTGTACAATTGTTTGAGAGTTGTGAGCTGACTTTTTAAACATCATTTCTACTTGAAAGAATAAATGAGAGATAAACTATGGTTATATATTTAGATTTGGATGTCAGCCAGATATTTTCTCAAAAATGAATGAAATGAGCCTGTTGCTGGCAGCATTTGTTGACAATTATAAGTTACAGTGAACTGATAGTGATTTTAAGCAAAAATAAAAATTTTAGAAAACCTGAATCTAGGTCAGGCACAATGGCTCACACCTGTAATCCCAACACTTTGGGAGGCCAAGGAGGGCAGATCACTTGAGCCCAGGAGTTGGACACCAGCCTGGGCAACATGGTGAAACCCCGTCTCTACAAAAAATACAAAATTAGCCAGGTGTGGTGGCAGGTGCCTGTAACCCCAGCTAGTCAGGAGGCTGAGGCAGGAAAATCACTTGAACCTGGGAGGTGGAGGTTGCAGTGAGCCGAGATCATGGCACTGTACTCCAGCCTGGGTGATAGAGTGAGACTCCGTCTCAAAAAAAAAAAAAAAAAAAAAAAAAAAAAAAAAATATATATATATATATATATATATATATATATATATATATATATATATATATATATATATATATATATATATATACATAGCTTCATGGACCCCTGTAATTTTGGAGAGACCCCCAGAAACTGTGGACCACATTTTTGGAGAACTGCAGATTGAAAGTAAAGTCATTTCTGACTCAACTGTATTTCCTTCTCACTTCCCTTATTTCTTCTCTTTGCCTTTACTTTTGATGAGATTGGCCTGGTAGGTGTGCTGATCTGGTATGGATACAATTCCTGGTCAGATCTCCACTTCTGACTGGCAGTCTTGGCACAGGCACTGGACAAATGCTGGAAATAACCATGGGCACAAAGGAGAAGACCAGTTCTTAGCTTAACCTAGACCTTGTGGGGCAAAAACAACAGGGAAGGGCCAACCTTGCTAACTTTGTTGGCTTGCTTGTGTGTACATTCAGAAATTGGTCATATCACGTGGACTTGAATCCACAGTGAGACATTAATTGTGAGTCAAGTACTTTCCTTCTGAAGAAGTCTTTAGGGCTCCAGGACAGGAGAGACTCTTAGGCTAAAAAGGGCCCTCCAGAGGTCTCAGCACTACACACTGTTGCCCCAAACCTTCTGAGTTATATCACAGTCATTTCATTCTGATTCATTCTAATTATCTCCAGGTAAAGGGCTCCAGTTTCCTGGCTTTAATAAGCCTTTGGAGTTAAGAGATTTTTCCTTATGAGTACTCCAGATGCCCTCTTTTATAATTTAAGCTAATTTCCTTTAATTTTATTTTTTAAAATAAAAATAGCCAAGAATGGTGCTCCTTATGCTTTTTCTTTATATTTTGCAGAAATTTTATTATCTATATTTTTACTCCAGTCTACTTTATCCTTTCTTTTCTTTTTCCTTTTTTTTTTTTTTTGAGACTGTGTCTCACTCTGTTGCCCAGACTAGAGTGTAGTGGCGTGATCTCGGCTCACTGCAACTTTCTTCTATTTTTAACCCAGTTCCTTCAGTTCAGTTGTTCTGAACTGAGGCAATTTTGCACCCCTCAACCGTCAGGGTACATTTGGCAAGGTCTAGAGACATTTTTGGTTGTCAGAGCTCTGGGTTGGGGGATGAAATTGCTACTGGCATTTAATGGGTAGAGGTCAGCAGAATTACTAATTGTTTTGTTACAGCAATACTTTCACACACTTTATGTTCAAATGATGGAAATATCCTACAGTGCACACAGCACCCTCCATCAACAAAGAATTATCTAGCCCAAAATGTCAACAATGCCAGCCTTGAAGGACCGACCCGGCTTTAGTCCTTCCTTGTAATTTGGTAGCTCTTTCTTAATGTTTTTTGCTGCATTATGAATTCAGTTTTACTTTGTATATTAACTAGAATTGTGGTTTTATTTTGGAGAAACTATTTTGTGTTCGGAATAACTAAATACATTTTAGAGGTCGCTCACTCTTTGGAATTCTGACTTACATTTGTGCTATAGGTCATGCCACATCATTACTTTCTGCATGTGAATGAGCACAACTACTTGATGACTTTCAAAAACACAGATTTCTGGCCCAATTGAGACTTTAAAAGAACTCTTCTGGAAATGCCTGTAATTAGCCAGATTTGGGAATCATTGAAACAGGAATTTATTCATAAGCTAAAAAATAGGCAGGCTTTTAAGACCGCTACTGCATAAAGAAAATGTCCTTTGTGGCTCTCAGAAATAATATCCACCCTCCTGGGCAACCAGTTCTGTCAGTAAAACCAGTCAGGTAACCATCAGGTTGGAGGCGCCCAATAGGAGTGTGATTCTTTCCGGCTGTATGCTGTACAGTTGACCTTGTTTGCCACAAATTAGGTTTCCAAAGAGGGAGAGTAAAAAGAAATGTGGAAGGGGGTAGAGGAGATTGCTAGTAGAATAAAATACTATTTACCATATACCCTAGGAGGGGCCTTACTCAGTGCTGATTTCTCCTCCATAGCGTCTACTTGCTACCCACATTCACCACAGTGGTAGGTGACCTTAAACACTACTTGTGGTGTACGTTATCGTGCCCAAGACAGTGGAGTCACCGGGCAGCACAAGGGATATCCACTCAACTCCTGCTGACTCAGGCATGGTTTGCTTGCCCTGTCCATACTTTACTTACTCTTGGCTGAAAGGAAAGTTAATGAAGATGAGCTCATTTGTTGCAGCAGTTTCATGAGGTATACAGTTAGAAATTTGTTGAGGAAGGGAAGAAAAGATAAATATCTTTTACTTTTTTCTTTTTTGCAGCCAGAATGTAGCCTTTAATACTGATTGAGGCAGAGCTCAGTGTGAGAGCTGTGCGAGCCTGCACTGAATCCTCGAGTTAGGCCCCCTTGTCTCAGGCAGCCCTGGACCTGGGCAGGCCTCCTGCAGAGAGGACACAGGGCATGGTGGAGCATGCTTGATCAAAGAGAAGGGCAGTAACTTTTTAGATGAAGTGAATTTTGTTTGGAAGGATAATAGCTTCTTTTTCTTTTTTTCTGTTTTTTTTTTTTTTTTTTTTTTTTGAGTGGAGTTTCGTTCTTTTTGTCCAGGCTGGGGTTCAATGGTGCGATCTCAGCTCACTGCAGCCTCCGCCTCCCGGGTTCAAGTGATTCTCCTGCCTCAGCCTCCAAGTAGCTGGGATTACAGGTGCGCACCACCACGCCTGGCTAATTTTGTATTTTTAGTAGAGACGGGGTTTCACCACATTGTCCAGACTGGTCTCGAACTCCTGACTTCAGGCGATTTGCCCGCCTTGGCCTCCCAAAGTGCTGGGATTACAGGCGTGACCCACCACACCTGGCCTAATAGCTTTTTTTTCTGATTAGTTATTAAGGAAGCAGAGTAGAATTCTATGAAACATTGTAATATTAGTTTATATTGGAAGTATAAAATAAATACTGGCTCCATCTTAGCCCTCTGGATTTCTTTTATTTTTGTTTTTACCCTTTTTAACGGAGATTTTCAAACATATACCAGAGTAGAACTGTATGGTGAATCTCCATGTACCCATCACCCACCAACAGCAGTGAAAACACATGACCCATCTACTTTCATCTGTGCCCCATCCACTTTTCTTCTCCTGCACCCTCCCCAGCCTCCAGTTATTTTAAAAACATATTTCAAGCATTAACGGATAATTTCACTTACAAGTACGTAAGCTAGTCAGTGGTCGTGTTTCCCCTGATGGTATGCACATTTTTTTCTTTAGTTAGTTGTCTGGTTTCTTTTTAAAAGATGGCTGATAATCAGATGATGTAATCAAATTTTGGGGGTGTGTGGGGTCTATAACATTCTGCTTTTTGTCAGGGGGGCATTTACCTAGATTAGAATTACAAAGATGATGTTACAAATCTAATTCTTGGTATAAATTTAGATAATAAAATTGATTGAAGGAAATGTTTACCGTATACACAAAGTGTTAGTAGGATTCCATGTAGACATAACCACAAGCCACAAATGGGCTTCATTGTTGCCTGGAAGCCCTACTGGTAAATTTGTTTCCTCATGTTCTGAGAGGACTATTACATATCTTTTCCTCAAACCCACACACATGTCCTTTATTCTCTTAGCCAATGGCCTTGTTTCATGCTTCTCTGATAAAATAGAAATCTTTCCAGAGTGATACCCTCATCTTCCCTCCACCACATCTACACGTTTTTTTTTTGGCAGCCAGACTCCTCTTCTATTGTGTCCCTCCAGTTGGTTATAGTGGTGGCGAGTACTTGTTTCATCTGAACCCCCACCTGTGCTTCAGTCCCTCCATTGGTGCTGAGCACCCCTACCTTCCCAAGGCGCTTACTGCTTCTGTGGTCTGCTTTCCTCCCCCATCTGCAGGTGCTGCTTGTCTCCCGGAGCATCCCTATTGATCATAGACAGATGTCCCGATGTAGGATTTTTTGACTTTACGAAGGTGTGGAAGTGATACAAATTCAGTACGGTCCTTTACTTACAGTGGGGTAACGTACTGATAAACCCATCCTAAGTTGAAAATACTGTAAATTGAAAACACACTTACAGTTCATGATATTTTCTATTTACGATGGGTTTATCTGCACATACCCCATCATAAATAAAAGAGCATCTGTGCAGATAACACTCTGGTGTACCCCCATCTTGAGAAATAATCCTTTATTAAATCAACCTGTCTCTCTAGTCAGTGACCCACTTTTTTCTCCCCATGACAGCACAACTCTTGGAAGAGTTGTCTACTCTTTCTTCCATTTCTTCTCTTCCAGTTTCTTTAGACCACTCAGTCCTGGCTGCCATCCTCACTGCTTCACTGAAACCATCCTTGTTGGAAGCACCAAGGTCCCCAGTGAGGGCATCCAGTCATTTTCTGTCTGCCTCACAGACCTATTCTCATTCCCTTTACTTCCATTGCCCAACCTCTGAATGCTGGAATGCCCTGGAGCTCAGTCTTGGGCTTCACTTCTCTTTATTTACACTCTCTCCCATGTGATTTCACCCACTTCCATGGCTTTAAATGCCATCTTTATGTGGATGATTTCTAAATCTATATCCACAGCCAAGGCTCATCCTCTAACTTCCACCTTGATATCAGTAACCTGTGACCCAGACCTCACAGGTACAGAGGCAAGTTCTGACTTTTTCCCCCTAGTCCTTTTTCATTTTAGCAAATGGACCCTAGTTTCTCATGCCTGAAACATGGGAGCCATCTTAAATTTTTCCCTGCCCCTGTCCAGCCCTTCAGCAGTTTTATCAGTTTCACCTCAGTACATATCTCAAATGCATTCACTTCTCTCCGTCTGCATTTCCACCACTAATCACCATCATTTCTCAACTAGAAAACTGCTAGAATTTCCTGATTGGTTTCTGTGCTTCCATTTTTGTCTCTTGTATGCTGTTCTCTTCACAGCAGGCAGAGTGTTCTATTAAAAATGTATTTGTTATTTATTTATTTTTTATATTTCTTGGAGACAGAATCTCACTGTGTGGTCCAGCCTGGAGTGCAGTGGTGTGATCTCACCTCACTACAACCTCTGCTTCCCGGGTTCAAGCGATTCTCCTGCCTCAGCCTCCTGAGTAGCTGGGATTACAGATGTGTGCCGCCACACCTGGCTTATTTTTGTATTTTTAGTAGAGATGGAGTTTCACCATGTTGGCCAGGCTGGTCTTGAACTCGTGACCTCAAGTGAGCTGTCCACCTCTGCCTCCTAAAGTGTTGGAATTACAGGCGTGAACCACCGCGCCTGGCCAAAAATGTTTAACCATATCATCTAACGCTTTGCTTAGTCCTTAATGGCTGCATTACATGTAGAATCAATTACGACTCCTTCAGGAACCTGCCTGCTTCTCCTGCTTCGTTTCTACCTTTTTTCCTGTCCCTCATTATGCTGTGGCTATACTTGTCCTCTTTCACAGCAGGATCTTTCATGCCCCAGGGCCTTGACACTTGCTGTTCCTTCTACATGGACTCTTCTGTTTCTGGCTCTCATCCTTATGCTTCAAGATGCAGATTAAATGACACTTCTTCTGAGAGCCTTTTTCTGATCACCCTTCCCAAAGTAGTGACTTATCCACCTCAATCTGTTCTTTGTCACATTATCTATTTTTCCAGCAAATATTGATTGAGTGCCTATTCTGTGCCCAGCACTGTTCCAGGCATTGGAAATAGAGCATTGGGCAAGGTAGACACACTCAGGAAGCTTATGTATAGTTGGGAGACAAACCACAGATAAATCGTGTGCTGACTGTGACCTGTGCCTTGTAGACAGATGAAGCGTGGGCTAAGGGGATGGAGGGAATTGAGGGGTAGCTGCTCTTCTAGTCAGAGTGGCCAGAGGAGGAGACATTTTGGCAAGGACTCCAATGAAGAGAGAGCATCATGTGAATGTTGGGGGGAAGAGTGTTCTGGCAAAGGAACAGCAGGTGAGGCCTCAAGGAGGAACAAGCTAGGTGCCTTAGAAGACTAGGTCAGTAGGTATGTGGCCAGAGTGGCATGAGGAAGAGCAGAGAGAACTGGCTGAGAAGTAGACAGGAGTCAGATCACTTAAGGCTTCCCAGGCCATGGTAAGGAGTTTAGTTTTTATTCAGAATGTGGGAAGTTTTGAGCAAGGTATAGACGTGATCTAATTTACATTTAAAAGGATCACTCTGTTATATGCAATTAATGCAGAGGTCAAGAGAAGACACAGAGAGACTCCCCAGAAGGTGACTTGCAGTCATCTAAGAGGATAACACTTTTGTCATTATCCTGGGCATTTACTTTTTTTCTAAAAATGAATGTATCTATCACTATAAGCTCTATAAAATCAAGGATCTTATCTGTCTGTTCACTGGAGTTCTTGATACCTAGCATAGTGCCACTTTCAGTGAATACTTTCAATTGAGTGAATGACCTGGAGGTTCCCACAAACACATGGCATTCTGAGAACTCATGCGTCCTAGATGTGGCCCATTTACTTTGTCTCAGGGCATTAGTCTTTTCATGTGTTCTGTTAATACAAGGGGATCAGACCTAGGAGGTGGTCTCTGAAGGCTCTGCCAGCCTCACTGTGGACAACAATATAGCTATTCCTGGTTTTACCAAAATGGTAAAAAAAATTACAAAGGAGGTGAGCATTCAAACAAAAATAAGATTTGCATTTAAAAAGTGATTTCAGCTAAAGTCCTGAGTAGAATGGATTGGAGGAGACAAGAGCCTGGGTTATTTGGAGGATGTAGAGAGGCAGGTCCAGGCAGATGACATGGGGCCTGGACTCAAGTGGCAGTCAAGGAGAATGCCCAAAAAGTGATGGGACTTTCCCAAACTTGTACAGAATTGAGGCTAAAACCTATACTCCCAGTTCCTAGTTCAGCACTTTTACTCTGATACTTTAAAAAAAACTTGAAGAAGTGAGTTTCTTAGAAAAGTTGTTGTAATGTATGCATATGCATAATGACAGTGATTTTACGTAAAACAAACAAACAACATTTTTTATTTGAGATGGAGTCTTGGTCTGTTGCCCAGACTGGAGTGCAGTGGTGTGATCTCGGCTCACTGCAACCTCTGCCTCCCGGGTTCAAGCGATTCTCCTGCCTCAGCCTCCTGAGTAGCTGGGACTACAGGTGTATGCCACCACGCCCAGCTAATTTTTGTATTTTTAGTAGAGATGAGGTTTCACCATGTTGGCCAGGCTGGTCTCAAACTCCTGACCTCAAGTGATCCACCCGCCTTGGCCTCCCAAAGTGTTGGGATTACAGGCGTGAGCCACTGTGCCCGGCAAAAAATTTTTTTAAATAAAAAGCTATTATAAACGTTTTGATCAAAATTTGCCCATATGAAAACATGTTTTTGCTTGTATATGCTTCTTTGGGTGGGTTCTCAAGACATCACCTGACTGTTAAACAGAAGAGGGAATGATATTTTCACTGTATGTGTCTCTTTTGTACCTTTAGATTTTGAACCATGGGTGAGTGTATTATAAAAATAAGTATCCTATTGCAATTAAAACTTAAGTTGGTCTGCTCTTAGGTTCCTTTCACTTCCAGATACAGTCACTTTGTTGTTATACCTCTACACTTTAGGTAGGCAAGCAGGATCTTTCTTCACTGCAGTTTGAAGTGTATAGTGATAAAATCAGAGCTTCCCACAAAGTCCAGGTCCCCTTTTCTCTTCTGTGAACCTTTCCCTGGTCCTTTTAGATTCTGTGGCTAGTCTGTTACTGACTCCACACAGCCTTTAGACCACCCTCTTGTTTTGTCCCTCACTTGCTATATGGACCTTATTAAGATATTTACTTGATGACTAATTAATGCAAAGCTACCTTTTTGCCATTCCTTGTTTTTGGATACCTGCGCTTACTAAAGGTTACATGACGGGGAGGGATCATTTTTCATTAGGCAGCTTGTTAAATTCTGTCCAAAATAAAACTAACTTGATACTTTAAATCATAGAGGTGTATAGAAATGCCTAAGGCCAGATTGTGATAGTCCAGGAATTTGTCAATACTCTCTCAGTATTTCAGTCCTACTTTCTCCATTTTCAATTTTTTTCTTCCTCCTTCAGTGTCTCCTATGTTTTGAGATCTTATATGGAAGCAACAACCCTAAAAATATTTTAACCTTTTACAATTTGTTTTTGAAAGCTGAAAATTAACCTGCATGTTGTCTGCCACTCATGCTTCTCTCTTCCACTCTTCCCACTGGTTCTTTTGAATTTATCACTTACTCATCAAGTATTGCAGGGGTTCTGTATACATTTCTGTTTTGGGGTCTGTCCCAGAGAATAAAAGGACAAAATTTGTTTAAATTCTGACCTAATTGTGTTTGAAAACTAGGTATAGCAAGGAAATTTCAAAAAAATTATCTCGAGATAATTTGCTTTTATAAAAATATATAGGCTTAGGATTTGTTTTGGTATCTATACAATACCAATGGGTGAAAGCAAAGCTAGACTTAAATGCTGTTACTTCTTTCCCTGAACTCCAACCTTGAAATAACACTTTGGTGAAACAGTGTTAGAAATTGATTTGTTGGTACTTCTTTTCTTTTTTTTTTCTTTTTCTTTTTCTTTTTCTTTTTGGAGACAGTCTCACTCTGTTGCCCAGGGTGGAGTGCAGTGGTGCGATCTTGGCTCACTGCAACCTCCGCCTCCCAGGTTCAAGTGATTCTTGTGCCTCAGCCTCCTGAGTAGCTGGGATTACAGGCATGTGCTACCAGGCCCAGCTAATTCTTTGTATTTTTAGAGATGGAGTGTCACTGTGTTGGCCAGGCTGGTCTTGAACTCCTCATCTCAGGTGATCCCCCTGCCTCAGCCTCCCAAAGTGCTGGAATTACAGGCACGAGCCCCCGTGCCCGGCCTGATTCATCAGTACTTATACTGTACTGAACACGAGATTGGGGGTTCCCCTGTACATTTAAAAAATTGATGTGTAGTAGTTATTTCCTTAATAGTCACTTCACTAAAGAGCAGGAGGATGTTTTTTGGGGAATGCTGTCTGAATGAGATACCTTTCTCTCCCCTTGGTTTGGGTTGCTCTGGTGGGTGGAGAACAGATGCCCATAATAAGACCATGTTAGCTAGAATTCCGTCTTAACCCAGCTGCTGGATTCTATATTTACAGCCCCTACTGCCTAGCTGGATTTGTGCCAAACTTTCTGTAGAACATTATAAATTTGGAGGATAGAGGTGGGGTTTGATGAAGTGACATGTAAGAGAAAAATCTCTTAATTTCCAGAATTTATATTTGCTCACCTTTAAAATCAGTTGATTGAATGAGACGATTGCTGTCTCATTAAATTAAAATTTGTTTGTGCTGGGCGCGGTGGCTCACGCCTGTAATCCTAGCACTTTGGGAGGCCGAGGCGGGCGGATCACGAGGTCAGGAGATCGAGACCATCCTGGCTAACACGGTGAAACCCTGTCTCTACTAAAAATACAAAAAATTAGCCGGGTGTGGTGGCGGGCACCTGTAGTCCCAGCTACTCGGGAGGCTGAGGCAGGAGAATGGCGTGAACCCAGGAGGCGGAGCTTGCAGTGAGCCAAGATCGCGCCACTGCACTCCAGCCTAGGAAACAGGGCAAGACTCTGTCTCAAAAAAATAAAATAAAATAAAATAAAAATAAATAAATAAAATTTGTTTGTCTTTGTTTTTTTTTTTTTTGAGATGGAGTACCACTCTTTTGCCCAGGCTGGAGTGCAGTGGCTTGATTCTCCTGCCTCAGCCTCTCAAGTAACTGGGATTATAGGTGCACGCCACCACGCCCAGCTAATTTTGTTCTATTTTTAGTAGAGAGGGGGTTTCACCATGTTGGCCAGGCTGGTCTCAAACTCCTGACCTCGGCGTCCCAAAGTGCTGGGGTTTCAGATGTGAGCCACCATGCCCAGCCATTAATTTAAAATTTGTGGTCATCCTTCAGGAGTAGCCTTTCTGAAGAGGTGACATTTGAGCTGAGACATGAATGAGGAGAGGGAGCCAGTTTATAAGAAAATCTAGGGAAAGTGTTTTTTAGGCACAGGAAATGATTGGTGCAAGGATCTTAAAAAGCTTGGTATATCTGAAGAACTGCAAGAATTGTGAGTCCAGTGAGTTAGGAGAGTGGTGGGAGATCGGGACCATTGACACAGGCAAGCAGGGCCAGATAATGATTGCTCTTGGGGGCCAGAGGGTGTATCCTCTGTGTTACTTAAATTTTAAACAACTGAGTAATTTAGGACCATCAGGAAGAAAAATTAAGAGAGGTTAAGAGAAGACATTTGAATATTCCAGTGGAAATATATGCTAATCGGGGATTAATTATCTTCCAAGATCCTCTTACTGCTTTCTCTCTTTTATCTGTTCTCTGCCTTTTAACTGGTGAAAGTAAGGGGGCAGAGGAGATAGGCATTTCCTGTTTCTCTCTCTCTCTCTCTTTCTCTGTCTCTCTCTGAGATAGTATCTTACTTTCTCAGGCTGGAGTGCAGTGACGCCATCATGGCTCACTGAGACCTCAAACTCCTGGGCTCAGATAATCCTCCTGCTTCAGCTTCCTGAGTAGAAGCTACAGGATCATGTTACCGTTTCTGGATAATTTTTTTTTTTTAATTTTATGTAGAGGTGGGATCCCACTATGTTGCCCAGGCTGATCTCGAACTCCTGGGCTCAGGCGAGCCTTCTGCCTTGGCCTCCCAAAATTCTGGGATTACACTTGTGTTTCTGCTTTCTCTCTGTTTTTGAAGATGCCATTTGTGGCCCCCACTGGAGAAGTAATTGAGGACAGTTGTGGCCCAAGGAGTGATTTTTTTTTTTTCTTTTTCCTGAGACGGAGCCTTGCTCTGTTGCCCAGGCTGGAGTGCAGTGGCGTGATCTCAGCTCACTGCAACCTCCGCCTCCGGGGTTCAAGCAATTCTCTTGCCTCAGCCTCCTGAGTAGCTGGGATTACAGGCACGCACCACCATGCCCAGCTAATTTTTGTATTCTTAGTAGAGATGGGGTTTCACCATGTTGGCCAGGCTGGTCTCGAACTCTTGACCTTGTGATCTACCCACCTCGGCCTCTCAAAGTGCTGGGAATTACAGCTGAGAGCCACCATGCCTGGCATGAATGTTGTTTTAATTGTCACAGCATCTGCTACTAGAGGATCATTATTATGATCATTTCCAGTGAAAGCATGTTTAAAAACAAACAAGAATTTAGACTTTAATATAAAATGTGTAGATTGATCAAAATTTGATGTTATGAAATTTTAGTGTATTTATAGACCAGAACCCATCTAGGAAACTCCACTTTCAAGTTAGATTTCTGTGTGCTATGGTTTGAATGTGTTGCCTCCAAAATTCAGGTGTTGCCAATGTGATACTTTTAAGAGATGGACTTTTAAGAGGTGAATGGACCATGAGGGCTTCTCTCTTGGGAGTGGGATTAAGGCCCTTATAAAAGAGACTTCACACAGGTTCAGCTAGCTTGCCCTTCTGCCTTCTGCCCTTTGAAAACTCAGCAAGAGGGCCCTTACCAGACACCAGATGCTTTGCTGTTGGACTTCTCAGCCTCCATAACTGTGAATAATAAATTTCTGTTCTTTATGAATTGTGCAGTCTCAGATTTCTGTTATAGCAGCACAAAATAGGCTAAGACAGTTTTTTCAAAGAGCAGGAATTCAATAATCTGTTTTACTTCTCCATGGACTTTGAAGGCCAAGAAACTAGAAGCTAAATTTAATGCCCAATTCTTGAACCTGAAGTTATTCTAGCCTTTTATGATATTGATTTTTCTTTTTGTTTACCCATCTGATTTTTTTTTTTAAATCCTAATCTTTTCCCCATTGTATTCCTTTTTTAAAATTCTTGGGGGTGAGATCCAAATTATGCATGATAATTTTTTTTAATTTATTTGAGACATTGTCTCTGTCTCCCTGGCTGGAGTACAGTGGCATGATCTCAGCTCACTGTATCCTTTGCCTCCTGGGCTCAGGTGATCCTCCCACCTCAGCCTCCTGAGTGTATCCTACAAGCACTTGACACCACACTGGCTAATTTTTCTTTTTCTTTCTTTCTTTCTTTCTTTTTTTTTTTAATAGAAACATGGTTTTGCCATGTTGCCCAGACTGGTCTCCAACTCCTGGACTAAAGCGGTCATCCCACCTGGGCCTCCCAAAGTGCTGGAATAACAGGCTTGAGCCACCGTGCCCAGCCATATGATAAAATTCTTATACTACATTGTATAAATGAGAGTTTTTGCATTCTGGCTGCTATTTTACGTATCAGGGGACTAAAACGATATTGTTTATTAACTTTTATTTCTTTATTTTTGTGTGTTTTTTTTTTTTTTGAGATGGAGTCTTGCACTGTTGTCCAGGCTAGAGTGCAGTGGTGCGATCTTGGCTCACTGTAACCTCTGCCTCCCGGGTTCAAGTGATTCTCCTGCCTCAGCCTCCCAAGTAGCTGGGATTACAGGCATGTGTCACCATGCCCAGCTAATTTTTGTGTTTTTAGTAGAGACGGGGGTCTCACCGTGTTGACCAGGCTGGTCTCGAACTCCTGACCTCAAGTGATGCATCTGCCTTGGCCTCCCAAAGTGCTGGGATGACAGGCGTGAGCCACTGCGCCCAGCCGATCTTTATTTTTATTTTTTTAGAGACAGCCTGTTGTCCAGGCTGGAGTATAGTGACACCATCGTAGCTCACTGCAGCCTCGAACTCTTGGGCTCAGGCAATCCTCTTGCCTCAGCCTCCTGAGTAGCTGGAACTACAGACAAGTGCCACCATGTCTGGCTAATTTTTAATTTTTTTTGTTGTGACAAGGTTTCATGTTGTTGCCTAGGGTCAAGCAGTCCTCCTGCTTTGGCCTCCTAAAGTGCTGGCATTATAGTTATCAGCCACTGCGCCGGGCCTTAACTTTTAGATTATTTATTTTCTTTCTTCTTTTTTTTGAGACTGAGTCTCACTCTGTCACCCAGGCTGGAGTGCAGTGGCACGATCTCAGCTCACTGCAACCTCCGCCTCCTGAGTTCCAGCAATTCTCCTGCCTCAGCCTCCTGAGTAGCTGGGATTACAGGCACACGCCACTACGCCTGGCTAATTTTTGTATTTTTAGTAGAGATGGGGTTTCACCATGTTGGTCAGGCTGGTCTCGAACTCCTGACCTTGTGATCTGCCCGCCTCGGCCTCCTAAAGTGCTGGGATTAAGCTGTGAGCCACTGCACCCGGCCAGATTATTTATTTTCTTTAGTGGTTCATAACTAATAGTATGATGCTTTTTTATAAGATCGTGCACCTGAAAGCCTCTAGCCTGTCAGTAATAGGTGCTTCTAAATGTTGGTTTTCTTCCTTTCTTTGAACTCCAAAGCAGTTGGGCATTGTCATATTCTCTAGGCACTGATGGCTGACCTGTTCACTGGAGAATTTAAATATGACAAGTTGTCAGTGTTAGTCCTTGCCATTAGACCTATTCTCCGTACTTCCTGAATTTGCACACAAGGCAACCAAATTTCAGTTTGAGCTAAACTTAAGTTTATGCTTCTACAGCCTTTCTCATTGTTTTATATACTTGGCTGGAATTAAAACCCATACAATAAGTAGAACTTGTGTATAGCCCTAGACTTAATGTCCTGGTTTAAGACCAGAGTGGAGTTCAGTCTTTTAAAAATGTAGAACTTGTTGGCTGGGTGCAGTGGCTCACGCCTGTAATCCCAGCACTTTGGGAGGCCAAGGTGGGCGGATCACGAGGTCAAGAGATCGAGACCATCCTGGCCAACATGGTGAAACCCCGTCTCTACTAAAAATACAAAAATTAGCTAGGCGTGGTGACATGCACCTGTAGTCCCAGCTTCTTGGGAAGCTGAGGCAGGAGAGTCACTTGAACCCGGGAGGCGGAGGTTGCAGTGAGCTGAGATCGCGCTGCTACACTCCATCCTGCCAACAAAACGAGACTCTGTCTCAAAACAAAAAAAAAAAAGGAAACACAAAGCAGTCCATTAAGGATATGTCCCAACCTAAAAATTATTCCACCCATTTTGCAGATGAGAAAGAGCCCATCAGAGATTACTGAATCACCTAAGGCCACAAGTAGAGATGAGATGTGGGCATTATTGGGAAATCAGTAGTTCCTACTAGGAATACACTCTTTTCTCCTCTCCTCTCCCCTCCTCTCCTCTCCTCTCCTCTCCTCTCCTCTCCTCTCCCCTCCCCTCCCCTCCCCTCCCCTCCCCTCCCCTCCCCCCCCCTCTCCCTTCCCCTCCCCTCCCCTCCCCTCTCCCCTCCCCTCCCGTCCCCTCCCCTCCCCTCCCCTCCCCTCTCCTCCCCTCCCCTCTCCTCCCCTCTCCTCCCCTCCCCTCTCCTCCCCTCCCCTCTCCTTTTCCTCTCTTCTCTTTTCTTATCTTTTCTTTTCTTTCTTTGATGGAGTTTCACTCTTGTCGCCCAGGCTGGAATGCAATGGCGCCATCTGGGTTCACTGCAACCTCCGCCTCCCAGGTTCAAGTGATGCTCCTGCCTCAGCCTCCTGAGTAGCTGGGATTACAGGTGTTTGCCACCATGCTCTGCTAATTTTTTTTGTATTTTTAGTAGAGGTGGGATTTCACCCTGTTGGCTGGGCTGGTCTCGAATTCCTGAGCTCAGGTAATCCACCCGCCTCAGCCTCCCAAAGTGCTGGCATTACAAACATGAGCCACTGTACCCAGCCTCCTTTGTTTCTTTTTAAATGTGAGGTATCAAAGCCCAACCAACCCTTCTCCACTGCCTCAATAATTAAGAGCACAGAAACAGATGTCCTGAGTTTGAATATGAACCATGACATCTTTAGCTATTTTCTCTTTGATATGAATTCCCATACCTATAAGAATAGTGTTTACCTCAAGGGATTTTATGAGAATTATTTTAGGTTTAATTTTATTGATGAGGCCTTTACAAGAAAAGAAACTCTTTTGTATTTGGCTGATGTTTCGGTTCAGTTTAGAATTCAGCAGAATTTTCTTTAATTTTGTAAAGTCAATACGTATTAGTGTTAAGCTTGGTACGTGTATTACCTCATATGATATAGTTTAGGACTTACATAACAGTATACTGCATTTATATAAGTGTGAAGCAGCTTACATGATCAGATTATTAATTGAGAGTTCAACATTAATTGTCAAATAGGAAAAAGTCATCGAAAATATCAAAATATATTTAAAAAGTTTAACCCACCTCTAATATTACATATTAAAAGATATTTATGGTTTTATATATAATAAAATGTGCGTTGCTAGTCTGTCTTGGTATTATATCAGTTTATATGTTTTGCTGTTTTTATTTCACATTACTAGTTTTTAGGTAGCGTTATCTGGCTTATTTTAACAATGTGAAATAACTGTCAGGTTTGAATGACAACTCTTAATGGGCTTGTCCTGCAGATTCCAAGATTCACCTTTTTGCATTTAACTGTAATGTAGTACTATGTGCTTTGACATTTTCTTTTTATTGAAAGAAATATCTACTTTGAATAACATGATATGTTTTAAAAATGATTTTCATACTACTGTTAAGTTAAATTGGCCATATAAATTAAGCTCAAGCTTGCATTTTAAAAGGAATAAACACATTCACAGCCATTGGCTCTAATAATGAGAGCAAAACCATGCTGACTCTGGTGATGCGTGTTTGCAAGCTAGTCGTGCACACAGTCGTACATTCTCTGACCCTTTGTGTGGTGGTGAATCTGTTTAGCTAGGAGAGTAAACTGGTAAGGTTTTTCATTTTTTAAAAATTTATTTATTTATTTATTTGTTTTGAGACAGGGTCTCACTCTGTCACCAGGGCTAGAGAGCAATGGCTCCCGATCACAGCTTAGCTCAACTGCAGCCTCAACTTGCCTCCCACTTCAGCCTCCCTGGGTAGCTGGGACTACAGGCATGCACCACCACACCTGGGCTTTTTTGTAGTTTTTGTAGAGGTGGTGTTTCACCATGTTGCCCAGGCCAGTCTTGAACTCCTAGGCTCAAGCAATCTGTCTGCCTTGGCTTCCCAAAGTGCTAGGATTACAGGCATGAGCCACTGAGCCCAGCCAGTTTTTTATTAACAGAAAGTATCAAGTACGTCAAGATTATATTTAATGTGGCCATTGAGGAGAATACTACATACATGTTCCTCTAGAACAGTTTTCTTACTTTGTGACAGTTGAACGTATTCAGCAACAAGTCTGTGTATTGATTTACATTATAAAATAAGCCATTTATTCATAGAAGTAAAATCTCCCATGGACTCAAGTAAAAATGTATGAGAAAGTAAATAAATAGCCTCTGGCACGTGACCTCCTGGGAATATATTGAAGTGCTCCCACCGTCTCCTCCTCCACTCTCAGTCTTGCCTTATCACCCTCAAGGAGTAGGATTTCTTTGTACCTTTGTGATCTCCAGTAGTTCCTGGAACATATCTTTCTGCTGTATGTAAGGAATTTATAATGTTCAGTAAAGCAGAATAATTTGATCATACTTTGCCAATAGGTGCTCCCATCTTCATGTAGTATTCTAGTCTGAGAAGTCCATGGCTGTAAGACTTTGGTTCATGTAAGAAGAATTCAAGGTCATTTATGAGTGCTTTGTAGTTGAAGTTCCATGTTTCCAAATTTACTTGTAAGTAAACTTAGTATATCGAAAGGAGTCTTTAACAGGGATAGAATTGTTTTAGAAGTATAAAAGTAAGAATTATAAGTAGAAACAAAAAATAAAAAATTGGGAGAGGGTCTTATGACTCAGTTTTGACTGTATGAGTTTGGTTGTCTCTCTTGCATGGTGGTAAAAACAGATTAACAAAAGAACAGGTATGGATGGTTGGAGGCAGGTCGTTAATATCCATAGCCAGTCTGGGCTGTGGAATCTTAGAGCTTTTCTGCTCATCTCTTCCTAATGGCTGTATAAGTGCCAGACCAGTCTGAGCTTCACTTTTGACCTGTCTCCAGGACTGGGAACCTCTCAGAAGGTTGACCTGGTTTGGATGATCCTAAAAGAGACAGTTTTCAAGTGGAATTAAAATAGACAGAATTCATGGCCAGGTGCCGTCACTGACACTTGTAATCCCAGCACTTTGGGAGGCTGAGACAGTGGATTACTTGAGCCCAGGAGTTTGAGACCAGCCTGGGCAACATGGCGAAACCCCACCTCTACCAAAAATTCAAAACTTAGCCAGTCTCATAACCCAGTCTCTAAATAAATAAATAAACAGATGAAAAAAATAGACTGAGAATTCGGTAACTAAGGAGTTGGATAACCCAAGATATTTAGATAAATCTTATTTACGTGTTTTTAAAAATAGCTGTCACTTGTCTTGGTTAGTTATATTTCCTTAAAACTTGGTGGTTATTACTTTTTATGAAAGAATCATTAGTATTTACTTTAAATGTAGTCAGATATTTATATGAGTAAATATTTCCACTAACTTCTTTTAGAAATTTAAATTTTAAAAGAAATAATTTAGTTTTTTTGTTATGTAGGTAGGGAAACTTACCAATTTCCCCAGTCTTTTGTGAATTCTATGGCCTTTTAGGCAAAACAAGAATATATACCCAGAGACACCATTTATACCAAGGCACTCCACTACACAAACTCTTCTGCACCTTGTTTTTCACATAATTATCTTAGAGAACTTTCCATGTCAACATATGTAGATTTACTTCATTCTTTTTAAGGGCTCAATAGCACATGTTGGAATGGGGAAACTATTAATTATTTGACAACATAACTACTTAAATCATTTAAAAAATATTTTAAGAAAAGGCATTTGAAAATCTGGCATCTTATATTGAAATCTTTGGATCTTTGTCAGTATCATAGTACTTCATCTAAATAATTTTCTTAGTTTATCCATTGGGCAAATAACTGGAGTACGCAGACAGCAGCTATCTCACTTTTTTGATTATTCTAAACAGGGAAAAGGTTAAAAATAAGAGTGTTACCTTAATATAGCACCATTAGGTGGTGCTGAGCCCTTCTATGCATGGAGGAGCGTTAATACAAACGAGCATCACTTCTTTGAATCAGAGGATGGGATGCGTGTTGTCTGATGGATCTGGGGGAGTTTGAGAGGAGGAGAACACAGCACATGGGAGTCAGTGAGGGTGGCTCATGCACATTTCCTGTTCAGTCCTTGACTGAGTCACAAGTGATACAGACTGGCAAGTGTGTGATGACTGCCGACTCCTGTTTAGCCGAAACAACAGAGTGCTTTAATAGTATTTTAGAGCTGCTTTTTTTGTAATTACATTTTCAGTCTTTGTGCACATAAAGTATGCATTAAAGTGAATTCTCACAATTAAGGAGAAGGATGAAAACTGAACAGTCAAGTTCTTTTGATAGTTTTACTCATTGGCTGAGCTGTTTTCAGTCTTTCAGATTTCCTTTTCTTTATGCAAACTTAGTGAGATAAAGTGAGCACGCTTGCTGAACTGAACGGGGTCACACTTAATTCCTTCAGGTTGGGTCCAGAGCAGCCATATGACTGACTGATGTAAGTTTCAGAAATAACTCAAGTAATTTCTAAATATGAGTTTGATTTAGTTTCTTTAATGCCGTCAAGTCATTTGCACCTACCCCACTTTTGCATTACTGAGCAAAGGACTTTTTCTCTTTCCTTTAGAGGAAGGAGAGACCAGGAATCCTGATCATTTATAAAAACTGGGTTAGCCACATAATTAAGGTAATAAGGATGATACTGTCTTGGAAACATTGGATTCAACCTTCATCACAAGATGTGGCCTTCTTGAATATATATATTTAAAAAAAGTTAAGTAGTTTTAATTCTAGACTTACACCCTTAGGGAGAATCTTAACACAAGTCCTTTTGTTGGCCTGCCTTCTGTTCCTCCCTCACACTACCCTCCTTTTCCCTCCCTCAACCCCCTGATTCCATCCTCTTCCTCTTAGAGACTTCTGGAACATATTATTTTACCTGGCTTTTCCACTACTTCTCACATTGCTCTAAAATGTATCCTTTTGCAACACCAAATTCCTCGTGACTGCCACTGCGTCATCTCTCTGGTCATCTATAAATGGATGCTTTTACAAAGCAGCCTGCTCTCCTTTCTCTAATGAGAATATAAAACATCTCCTTTCCCTTTTTTATTCTTTCTTTCAGTTGCAGCTTTGATGATAATCCTTTACCAGCATCTTCCAAGATGTCTTCAGATCCCCTTCCCTCCCCTCCCCCCTCCCCCCTCCCCCTCCCCTCCCCTCCCCTCTCCCCTCCCCCTCCCCCTCCCCCTCCCCTCTCCCCTCCCCTCTCCCCCTCCCCTCTCCCCCTCCCCTCTCCCCCTCCCCTCTCCCCCTCCCCTCTCCCCCTCCCCTCTCCCCCTCCCCTCTCCCCCCTCTCCTATCCTTTCCCATTGAGTGGACACATTTTTGTCTTTCTTTTGGGTAGATTCCTAGAAGAAGTATTGGGTCAACACATATAAACATTAAAAAAAAAAAAAACTCTTGGCTGGGCACAGTGGCTCAGGCCTGTAATCCCAGCACTCTGGGAGTCTGAGGTGGGCAGATTGCTTGAGTCCAGGAGTTCAAGACCAGCCTGGGCGACATGGCAAAACTCCATCTCTACCAAAAAAATACAGAAATTAGCAGGGCATGGTGGCCTGCACCTGTAGTCCCAGCTACTCAGGAGGCTGAGGTGGGAGGATTGCCTAAGCTCTGGAGGTGAAGGTTGCAGTGAACCGAGATGGCACCACTTCACTTCAACCTGGGCCACAGAGTGAGACCCTGTCTCAAAAAAAAAAAAAAAAAATTAAAATTTAAAAACTCTTGAACAGGCTGAGCACGGTGGCTCACGCCTGTAATCCCAGCACTTTGGGAGGCCAAGGTGGGTGGATCTCCTGAGGTCAGGAGTATGAGACCAGCTTGACCAACATGGTGAAACCCTGTCTCTACTGAAAATACAAAAAATTAGGTGGGTGTGGTAGTGCATGCCTGTTATCCCAGCTACTTGAAAGGCTGAGGCAGGAGAATCATTTGAACCTGGGAGGCGGAAGTTGAGTGAGCCGAGATTGCGCCATTGCACTCCAGCCTGGGCAACAGCGCAAGACTCAGTCTCAAAAAAACAAAAAACAAAACAAAAAAACAACTCTTGAACACTGCAATTGTTTCCCCTGAAGGGATGGTCTGATTTCATTATTTCTTCATTTTAACCAGCTATTCGTATAATATAACATAGAAAGCTTGACAGGGTGTAATCATAGCCTTTGTCCAGGGAACTTGGAGTCACTGTTATTTATTAGTGTAACAGCTATTATCAACACCATTTCTATAAAAATTACCTGTTTTCTGCGATGGCAATAGGAGATTTTTGAGATTATGATCTTTTGTATTGTTTTGCTCTTTTCCTGATCATGTAATTTATGACAACAGTTCTCTAAGGACATCCGTATTTATATTCACATTCAACTGCTTCCATTTCCTGCAGCTCAACTGAGCAGGGAAAAAAAATTGAAATATTGAGAACCTTTGTTTTTAATTAGTAAGCTACCTCAAATGTCAGAGATGGTGCAACTTTATAGAATCAGAAAGAACTATTTTCATGATGGTAAGTAATTAACTTTTACTCATTCAGAGTAGGAGACAAGTAAATTCAAGAATCATGTATGTTTGAATTATATCTCTGCCCCCTCAGTCTTTATAGATAAAATCAGGACAGTTGATTTAGACATCTTTTGACATCTCAAGTGATATCCAAAACCATCCCTGGCCCCTACCAGCTAGTGTTGGATGAGGACAAAATATTTTCTGTGAATTCACTTTTTAAATTATTTAACTGTGTTGATACTAGAATAAATTGATTCCTGTTCTCCACAGAAATGTCCTTGTTGTAGCGTGCATAAATGTGGGTATCAATAATACTTTGCAAATGAGAAAGACAAATCTACCTGTTATTCATAAACTAGAGGTACTTCAGGTGTTGGGAGTGAAAATCTGTTCACTGGAGGCTGGGTAGGGTGCACCTGGCCTGGGATTACTGCCTGCAAGATCATCTTTCCCCCTGTTGGACAGCTCAGGAAAACATTCACTTATCTACTGAAAGAGGTAGATAAGTTTTTAAATCAGTGGCTTGTTTTTAGAATGGTTTCTGTAAAATCTGGGTGTTGGTACTTATTTTTTTCCCCTTCCAAAAATTACCTTTTAAAGATGAATGAGTGAGTGGGAGAAGTCTGATATTTGCTTTAGTGATAAAGCCTAGAACATGTTTATGTTTCTCAATTCATTGATTTGCATAGCTATTTCCTCTTCCTGGAGGGCTCCCCCTGGAAACCTCTTCCCAAGATATCTGTAGGGCTGACTCCTCCTGGTCTTACCACCATCACCACCATGACCACCATCACCACCACCACCACCACCACCACCACCACCACCACCACCACCACTACCACCACCACCACCAGGTGTAGTTCACATCTCACATTCTCAACTGGGTCTGCTGGATTGCCTGCCTCACCCATTGGAAGCCCTCATCCCTGCTCTCTTTTTCTAACTTTTCCTTAGTGCTTTCTACCTTCTATCATTCCATATAATCTGTTTATCTGTTATGGTATAATTTGTCTTGTTCCTTCAATCTAAGCTCCACAAGGGGACCCTTGTCTGCTTTGGCACATCCCAAGTGCCTAGACCAGTGCCTGACTTTCGTAGCAGGCCCTCAGCATTGGCCAAATGAGGGATTAGTAGTAATGTGTGTTTATGTGTATAGTACAAAGTGCGTGGAACATGATGACCAGGGAAAGTCTTTTCATTTAAAGGGTGTTTGCTATATATATCTATATATTTTTTTGTTTGTTTGTTTGTTTTTTTTTTAGACAGAGTCTTGCTCTGTCACCCAGACTGGAGTGCAGTGGCGCGATCTCGACTCACTGCAAGCTCCGCCTCCCAGGTTCACGCCATTCTCCTGCCTCAGCCTCCTGAGTAGCTGAGACTAGAGACGCCCAGCTAATTTTTTTCTTTTGTATTTTTAGTAGAGATGGGGTTTCACTGTGTTAGCCAGGATGGTCTCGATCTCCTGACCTCGTGATCCGCCCACCTCGGCCTCCCAAAGTACTGGGATTACAGGCGTGAGCCACCGCGCCCGGCAGCTTTTTATATTTTATGTAAAATATTTTACATTTTTTTTTTGTATTTGGTTTTTATACTTTAGCCAGTTCGTGAACACTCCTCTTCCTTCTTTAGGCTGTTTTTGTTGGCCTTCATAATGTTTCTGTACATTCTTACTATATCTGGCTTTGTATTTAACCTGTTGTTTTTATTTTAGCTGTTAAATCTTACCCTATCTCATGCCCAGCTTCCAATGACCCCAGTCTGTTTGCATGGGAGTTTGGTGCTAGGCACCATCTTCACCCCTGTGTTCTGTGCTCCATCCAGTCCTGGTGTGCATAGTTATTGCTCCAGTTGTATAATTCAACATTCTCATTTTGTGATCAGAGAGCAAAAATTCTTTCTCATGTTATTAGCCACTCAGGGTTGAATTACAAAGGAACTCTTGGGGTTTTGGAAGTCCCGCTTGTCAGCTTTGGTCAGGTTCATGTAATTCAAACCTCAAGCTTGTATATTAATGTACTGAAGTAATTCCCACCTCTTCCCTCTTACGAATCTACTAATAGAACGAGATGTAGCAGGGCCTTGCACACTCACAAATGGTATAGTTGTACCAAAGATACTTATGTATAAGTTAATACATACATATCTCTTGGCAATATAATCAATATCTAAATTAATTTTTTTTTGAGACAGTGTCTGGTTCTGTTGCCCAGGCTGGAGTGCAGTGGTGTGATCTTGGCTCACTGCAGTCTCTGCCCCTGGGACTCAAGCCATCCTCCCACCTCAGCCTCCCTAGTAGCTGGGAATACAGGCACACACCACTGTGGCTGGCTAATTTTTGTATTTTTTGTAGAGACATGTTGCCCAGCTGGTCTCCAACTCCTGAGCTCAAGTGATCCACCCACATTGGCCTCCCAAAGTGCTGAGATTACAGATGTGAGCCACTAAGTCCAGCCTAAATTAAAATTTAATATTTAGGGGGCTGGGTGCGGTGGCTCACGCCTAATCCCAGCATTTTGGGAGGCCGAGGCTGGCGGATCACGAGGTCAAGAGATTGAGACCATCCTGGCCAACATGGTGAAACCACGTCTCTACTAAAAATACAAAACTTAGCTGGGCATGGTGGTGCACACCTGTAGTCTTAGCTACTCGGGAGGCTGAGGCGGGAGAATCACTTGAACCTGAGAGGTGGAGGTTGCAGTGAGCCGAGATCATACCACTGCACTCCAGCCTGGCAACAGAGTGAGACTCTGTCTCAAAAAAAAAAAAAAAAAAAAAAATTGGCGGGGCGCGGTGGCTCACGCCTGTAATCCCAGCACTTTGGGAGGCCGAGGTGGGCAGATCACAAGGTCAGGAGATTGAGACCATCCTGGCATACACGGTGAAACCCTGTCTCTACTAAAAATACAAAAAATTAGCCGGGCGTGGTGGCAGGCGCCTGTAGTCCCAGCTACTCGGGAGGCTGAGGCAGGAGAATGGCGTGAACCCGGGAGGTGGAGCTTGCAGTGAGCCGAGGTTCGGCCACTGCACTCCAGCCTGGGCGACAGAGCGAGACTCTGTCTCAAAAAAAAAAAAATAATAATATTTAATTTAATATTCACACATAACTATTTTTTCTCAAGCAAATGAGTGGTGACAGTTAAAAGTAGGCAAGGTCATGCCCTTTTTACACATAAGCAAAGAATATAGTGTTGCCTGTACTGTGTCCAGGTGTGAAAAGAAGACTAGGCAGGGTGGGAGGAACTGGGAAGAAAAAATATCACAGTGTAAGAAATGGACGCTTGGTTTAGTCTTAATCTTACTGCCTAGGCTACGCAAGTAAGGTATTTGAGAATTGAGTCTTTTAAAAAACATCTTGGCCAGTACGGTGGCTCATGCCTATAATCCTAGCACTTTGGGAGGCCAAGGCGGGTGGATTGCTTGAGCCCAGGAGTTTGAGACCAGCCTGGGCGACATGGTGAAATCCTACGTCTCCAAAAAACTAGCTGGGCATGGTTGCATGCTCCAGCTACTCGGGAGGGTGAGGTGGGAGGATCATTTGAGCCCAGGAGGTCGAGGTTGCAGCAAGCCATGATCATACCACTGCACTCCAGCCTGGGCAACAGAATGAGACCTTGCCTTTGGAAAAAAAAAAGACTCAAGTCATTTTGTGATATTTAGTGCAGAGAAGAGAAGGGAGAGGTATGACTTGGCCCACCATTTTATTTATTAGGAAGATTATTGGTTGTCTTTCAGGTTTTTAAGCTACTTATTCACCTTAGGTGATTAAAGCTCATTTTTCTGCTGAAGTTCTTTTTCAGAAACTGCTCAAGGATAAATTCACAATGATGAGAAAGCCATGGCCTGGTTCCAGGCCTTGGCTTGCTGAATTAGAAGAACACTTTGGGGAAATGCTGACCTTGGCATTGACCAGAGTACCAAATTCCTTTCTTGCATTGTTTTGCATCATGCAAGCTTCTGATGGATTGTACGCTCCTAGATAGTGATAGTGCATTCAACACTGTGCTATATACAGAATAAGCTTTTGAAAGAACCGAGAGCAGACAAGTTAGGCAATAATTATAGTACAAAAGGTTTTACTCTGAATCCTTTAAATAGCAAACTCTTTAATGTTCTTAAATATGATTGATTATATACAGTTTTTGAGAACCTAATGTATTAAATTTAATAAGGAAATTTGTTGGCAGCATGCAAGCATATATCCAACCTCATTTCATTTTCTTGTGAGCTAACGTTGTCAAGTGACTGTGTATATATATGCATTACATGCACTGTGTACATTATAAGTAAATAGCACAGTAGTAGACTTTTTTGTGGCTGACCTTTACAGAAGTTATCTTTTATTGATTTATAACTTGATTGCATTTTTTTTTTTGAGACAAAGTCTTTGACATCCAGGCTTCAGTACAGTGGCATGCATGTTCATGGCTCACTACAGCCTTGACCTCCCAGGCTCAAGCGGTCCTCCTGTCTCAGCCTCCTGAGTGGCTGGGACTGCAGGCACATGCTGCCATGCCTGGCTAATTTTTAAGTTTTTTGTAGAGTCAGGTTCTAGCTTTGTTGCCCAGGCTGGGCTCTAGCCATCCTTCTACTTCAGCCTCCCAGAGTGCTGGGATTATAGGCATGAGCCAGTACACCCAGCTTGATTGCATTGTTGACAGATGAAGCGATATGCCTGATACCAGTTCTTTGAATTTTTTATAACTTGCTTTATGATCTGGTATGTAGTCAATTTCTATAAATGTTCTATTTAAAAAGAATATATATCAATGAGAGTTCCACAGATAACCTCTACAGAAAACTGAGTGAACCTCTTCAGTTCTCCCAAGGATAGTACGTAGCCGGTATCACTTCAGATGCACAGGAGATAAGATACTCATTTTATGTAATGAGTAAAAAGACAGAAACATGATGAATTGCTTAAAGATTCTTATAAATGACTTGAAGTTTATATACACATACCCATTAATGTAGCCTGTTTTCTAGATGACAGTGTCTTTTGAACACCCCGATTTGATTTATTAAACTTTAGATGCAGTAAGGTTTAAAAAACCCCCAACTTTATTGAGGTATAATTCACGTATCATACAATATACCAATTTAATATATAATGGAATGTTTTTTAGTAGGTTCATAGTGTTATGCAACCATCACTGTGATCTGATTTTAGAACGTTTTTAGAACTCCAAAAGAAACCTCAGCCAGGTAAGGTGGCTCATGCCTGTAGTCCCAGTATTTTGCGAGGCTAAGGTGGGCGGATCATTGTAGGCCAGAAGTTTGAGACCAGCCTGGGCAACATGGCGAAATACAAAAATTAGCCATGCAGGGTGGTGTGTGTCCGTAGTCCCGCTACTGGGGAGGCTGAGCTGGGAGGATCACTTGAGCCCAGAAGATGGAGAATGCAGTGAGCTGAGATCACACCACTGCACTGCAGCCCGGTCAACAGAGTGAGACCCTGTCTCCAAAATAAAAAGAAATCCCATATTCATTAGCAGTCAATTCCCTTTCCCCCTACTCATCCCCTGGCAAACCTGAATCTATTTCTTTGTCTATGCATTTGCCTATTTTGGATATTTGATATAAATGGAGTCATAGAAAGTATGGTGTTTTATGAATGGCTTCTTTCACTTACCATGTTTTCAAGGTTCAGTCATGTTGCAGCATGTATCAGTACTTCATTCATTTTTCTCTTAATTTATTTATTTCCTGCTCTGCCTTTTCTTTTCTTTCGTTTTTTTTAGATGGAGTTTCACTCTTGTTGCCCAGGCTGGAGTGCAGTAGCATGATCTCGGCTCACTGCAACCTTCGCCCCCCAGGTTCAAGCGATTTTCCTAACTCAGCCTCCAGAGTAGCTGGGATTACAGGTGTGTGCCACCATGCCCGGCTACTTTTTTGTATTTTTAGTAGAGACATTGTTTCGCCATTTTGGCCAGGCTGGCTTTGAACTCCTGGCCTCAAGCAGTTCACCCATCTTGGCCTCCCAAAGTGCTAGGATTACAGGCATGAGCCACCGCACCTGGCCTTTCTTTTCTTTCTTTTGAGATGGATCTTGCTCTGTCACTTAGGCTGAAGTACAGTGATATCATCATAGCTCCCTTACAGCCACAAGTTCTGGGCACAAGTGATCTTCCCACCTCAGCCTTTTGAATAGCTATGGCTACAGGTGTGTGCCACCATGGCTGGCTAGTGTTTTTAGTTTTTGTAGAGATGAGGTCTCACTATGTTGCCCAAGCTGGTCTGGAACTCCTGGACCTCAATTAGTCCTCCTACCTTGACTTCCCAAAGTGCTAGGATTACCAGCATGAGCCACCACTCTTAGCTCTTCATTTGTTTTATTGCTGGATAATATTGCGAGGATATACCATGTTTTATTTATCCATTCATCAGTTGATGGACATTTGAGTTGTTTTTACTTTTCATTTACAATAATGATGCTATGAACATGGGTGTGCAAATTTTTCTCACCTTCAAAGGAGGTGGTTTTTAGCTGATCTTCATAAAATTCACTCATTCCAAAAAGGCATACAACTCATATCAGGACCCTTTGATTTGTAATTTTTTTCTGAGATTTTAATTTAATTTAATCTTTTTGATGGTCTCGCCCAGGCTGGTCTCCAACTCTTGCGTTCAAGCAATCGTCCCACTTCAGCCTCTTGAGTAGCTGGGACTACAGGCTCATACCACAATGCCTGGCTTCTTTTTCTGTTTTTTTTTTTTTCCTCTTGAGACAAGGTCTCATTCTGTCACCTGGGCTAAAGTTCAGTGGCACTATCTTGGCTCACTGTAGCTTTGACCTTCTGGGCTGAAATGATTCTGTCACCTCAGCCTCCTGAATAGCTAGGACAAGTGTGTGTCATCACACCCTGCTAATTTTTGTATTTTTTGTAGAGATGAGGTCTCACTATGTTGCCCGCAGTGGTAGTCTAGAACTCCTGGACTCAAGCAATCTGCCTGCCTCTGCCTCCCAAAGTGCTGGGACTACAGGCATGGGCCATCATGCTTGGCTTCTTTTTTTTTTTTTTGAGGTTTTGATGGTTGTTGGTGGAGTGGGTGGAGAGGGGAACTAACATTTATTTATTGAGTGTCTGCTTTGGACCAAGTACTCTGTTGGGAGCTTTGCGTAGATTATCTTCCTTAATCCTGTTAACAGTCCCATGAGAAAAGTGCAGATTTCCCCATTTTACAGATAGAAAAAAACAAGGACCCAGGAAACTTAACTAACATATCCAAAGAGACATAGCTAGTAAATGATAAGCCAGGTTTGGAACCTAGATGTTTCTGACTTCCACAGCATTACACAGATATGGAATGGAAGATCTAGACATTTTTAAACATTAAGACAAATTTTGAAGATAATCTCATTACTTATTTTTTATCAAATCAAGTCTTTCCTGTGATTTTTCTTCCTTTCCTTTTCTTGACAGCATCCCCTTTCTACTACTGAAAAGAAGGCCAGTGCTCTATCAGCTATATATTCAGTGGTTTTAAGATCTTTCGGCTAAGGTCAGGGTTTTTGTTCAAACACAGTCTTGCTCTGAAGTGTAATAGAATATAATCAGCAAAAGCAGAGTGGTTGAAGCTTGGAGAATTTCCTAAAATTACTAATAGCTGTAGTACAGCAAGCTCTTAGTCTGAAAACAGAGGAAACACATCATTCCTCACACAGTTTGCTTGTTTTCTGGGTTTTTTATTTGTTTGTTTGTTTTGTTTTGAGATGGAGTCTCAGTCTGTCACCCAGGCTGGAGTGCAGTGGCACGATCTCGGCTCACTGCAACCTCTGCCTCCTGGATTCAAGTGATTCTCCTGCCTTAGCCTTCTGAGTAGCTGGGACTGCAGGTGTGCGCCACTACGCCCGGCTAATTTTGTATTTTTTGTAGAGACAGGTTTTTACCATGTTGGCCAGGCTGGTGTCAAACTCCTGACCTCTGGTGATTCGCCCATCTTGGGCTCCCAAAATGTTGGGATTACAGGTGTGAGCCACTGCACCGGGCCACAATTTGCTTATTTTCAAATAAGCTGTAGTCTTTCAACAATTAGCAAATTAGTATTTGGAATTTGTGTCCACCAATTATTTTTAACTGATAGTTTATTTAGATAATATCTTGATGGGGAAGTCTTAGCATATCAAATGGTTGCTGTTTTAACTGCAAGAATAAAAAGAAACAAAAATGCAATTTAGAAAAGCCATTTTGATTATGCTGAAAACTTACGTGGAAACAGCATCTATCAGAAATAGTAACACTAGGTGCGGTGGGTCACACCTGTAATCCCAGCATTTTGGGAGGCTGAGGTAGTTGGATCACATGAGGCCAGGAGTTCGAGAGCAGCCTGGCCAACATGGAGAAACTCTGTTTCTACTGAAAATACAAAACATAGCTGGGTCCACGTGGTGGTGCGTGGCTGTAGTCCCAGCTACTCTGGAGGCTGAGGCAGGAGAATTGCTTGAACCTGGGAGGCAGAGGTTGCAGTGAGCTGAGTTCGTGCCACTACACTTCACCCTGGGTGACATAGCAAGACTCAGTCTCAAAAAAAAAAAAAAAGAAAGAAAAGAAAAGAAAACAAATAGTAACACTAGCACAGTCTATCGATCAACTAGTTCAACACTCTTAATGCGTGTTCCTAGATAATTTTACATTAGTTTAAAAGTTTCTTTGCAATACTCTGATTTCAAAGAAGTAAACCATATTTACTTTTGTAAGAATCCAGCCTAGAACAAAATTTCATTTATGTAAGCAGAAGCAGTGCAAAAAATATTTATTAGCCGGGCATGGTGGCTCACGCCTGTAATCCCAGCACTTTGGGAGGCTGAGACGGGTGGATCACCTGAGGTCAGGAGTTCGAGACCAGCCTGGCCAATATGGTGAAACCCCATCTCTACTAAAAATACAAAAATTAGCCAGGTGTGCTGATGGGTGCCTGTAATTCCAGCTCCTCAGGAAGCTGAAGCAGGAGAATCATGGAGGCAGAGGTTGCAGTGAGCCGAGATTGTGCCATTGCACTCTAGCCTGTCTGACAGAGCAACACTCCGTCTCAAAAAAAATAATAAAAAAAAAATTATCAAGAGGATTAACAATGAAAAGTTTATAAGGGATTTGTATCTTCTACATAAGAGTTAAATTAGCTTTTAAAAGTTTTAGTACCATGGTTTATGGTTCTGGTGGAGACACCAAGTAGCAGCAATTATTTGTTGCCACTTGACTGAAAATTGTCTCATTTGCTTTGTATTTGTTGGACAATGGGTTTAAGTACATGTAGTGAAGACCCCAAATAACAGGTACTTAAAACAAGATAGAAGTTTATTTCTAGGTCATGCCATGGTCTCAACTAGTACAGCAACTCTGCTTCATGAGGGTATTGGGCAACAGGCCCTTCTACCCTGTTCCTTCATCATCTACTGGTCTGGCTCTTCACCCTTTGTCCAATATAGCTGATTACCACATCCCATTTCACCCATTGGGAAGGGAGAAAGAGAAGGGAAGATACACCCATTCCATTTAAGAGCAAGATCTGGAAGTTGCACACATTCTTTCTGTTGATATCACATTGGCCAGACCTTAGTAATTTGACCGTACCTACCTATGAGGGGACTGGGAAATGTCATCGTCTTCTGAGTAGTTGATTGCCCAGCTAACCATCCTATTGTGGAAGATAAAAGAAGAGATAGGATGGACCACTTATCTCTCTTCAAATCCCTTGGCACACAAACTGCTTGTGGTTGTCTTTTTTTCTTTTACGCTTGGCTTTTATAATGATGTGTCCTGTTTCATGTTCTGTTAAAACACCATGTTCATAATTGAACAAAAACTTCATCCTGAGAAAACTGCATTACAAGAACATTTGTTATAACTAATAAAGGAAGTAAGTAAATCATATTCCAAATTCACAATGCCAAAGTATTTTTAATGCAGGAATTTTAATAAAGTTTTTAAGAATTCTGCAGATACAGCTATAACACCTAAATATAAATGACCAAACCCAACATTTGATTATTTCTAGCTTTTATTCTAGAATAATGATTTTTAAAATTACTACTATCACTGTCACCCTAAGGAATGGTTAGACTGCCTAATATCACATTTCCATATGTTGATAGCCTTGGAAGTATGTTATTTTTTCATAATATTCAGATGTGTGGTGATATTTGTTTGGGGAGTGATGGCAGGCAAAGAATGGTGGGTAGAGTTTTTTTGTTACTAGGAGTAGTGTTTTTTTCCTTTTAATTGCTAGTTTTGATTGTGATTAGTACAATGAGTGAAATACAGGAAATATCTGCTGGAACTCTGAAGTATTATTCCTTGCATTGTTGTCTTTGCTATTTTAGGATAAGGAATGTGTTGTTTCACCCCCCTCCTCCAAGTGAAACTTCAGGAAAGTAAAATTTTCTTTAGTGATATTGGAGATGTAAATATCTTTTTTTTTTTGGAGACAGAGTCTTGCTCTGTACATCCAGGCTAGAGTGCAGTGGCGCCATCTCGGCTCACTGCAAGCTCCACCTCCCGGGTTCACGCCATTCTCCTACCTCAGCCTCCCCAGTAGCTGGGAATACAGGCGCCCGCCGCCATGCCCGGCTAATTTTTTTGTATTTTTAGTAGAGATGGGGTTTCACCATGTTAGCCAGGATGGTCTTGATCACCTGACCTCGTGATCTGCCCGCCTCAGCCTCCCAAAGTGCTGGGATTACAGGCATGAGCCACTGTGCCCAACCTTTTTTTTTTTTTTTGAGATGGAGGCTCGCTCTGTTGCCTAGGCTGGAGTGCAGTGGCGTGATCTTGGCTCACTGCAACCTCTGCCTCCGTTCAAGCAGTTCTCTGTCTCAGCCTCCTGAGTAGCTGGGATTACAGGAGCCTGCCACCACCTCCAGCTAATTTTTTTGTATTTTTAGTAGAGATGGGTTCCACCATCTTGGCCAGGCTGGTCTTGAACTCCTGACCTTGTGACCCATCTACCTTGGCCTCCTAAAGTGCTGGGATTACAGGCGTGAGCCACCGCGCTTGGCCGATGTAAATATCTTTAGGGGGATAATAGACACACAAATTAAAGAGAGAAAGGATTGTATTATCAGCCAAGTCAAAAGTTTTATCTCCTAAACATTGGCGGATAGGTGTTTATAAAATTGCAAGTCATTTATAAGAATCCTTAGGCAGTTTGTCATAGTTCTTTGTTTCACTCTATTTTAAGTGCTTTCTTGCCTGCTAAAGGATATCAGCTCTTGTACTACCGAAATGCCCTGGACAGCTTTCTGTTACAAATTTATAGCTGCGAGATCATTTTTATTCTTTTTGGTTGCTTCTCCACCCTTCCTTGAGCCTCTATTCCTAAGAGTGTTATTAACGTTTAACATTTATTCTTTTGCTGAGGCTGCATTGAGGGGCGTGGGTTGTTTTTATTTAATCTTTAAAAATAGTAACCACCAGCTAGTTATTTAAAATTTTGCCAGGAAAAGAGGAACCAGAAGCAGCAGCTGACTGTCTTTGTTGACTGTGTGATCCAGAGCAGACCCAGTGGATTTGGGAGCTCCCTTTCCCTCCCCACCACTGCCTCCAGTGGTTTTATTCTCTTTTTACCTACCCCCAGTACTAGATCCCTTCAGTCGCTCTTTCACCCCTGAACTTCCACCACCACCATGTCCCCCAAAGCCATTCCCTGGACCAGCAATAATTTATTTAGTCTCTGCCCCTCTCTCGGGCTTTTAGCAAGAAATGCCCAAGAAAACTTCAGTTTTAGCATTTTCTTTACAGTCTTCTATATTCTTGATCACTTGTCGTTGCTTTTGTCTTTATGTCTAGGTGCAAAGTAAGAAAAGAAAAGCAGATACAGGCCAGGCGTGGTGGCTCTTGCCTATAATCCCAGGACTTTAAGAAGCCAAGGCAGGAAGATTGCTTGAACCCAAGATCCCGCCTCTAAAAAAGAAAAAAAAAAAAAAGCAGATATCTTGGCCAGGGGAGGTGGCTCACATGTGTAATCTCAGCACTTTGGGAGGCTGAGGTGGGTGGTACCCCATCTCTACAAAAAATTAGCAGGGCATTGTAGCATGCCCCTGTAGTCCCAGCTCCTCAGAAGGCTGAGATGGGAATGGGTCAAGGCTGCAGTGAGCTGTGATTGCACGACTGCACTCCAGCCTGGGCCACAGAGTGAGACCCTGTCTCGAAAAGAAAAGCAGATAGGGAAATAGGCAAGGAGAATTAGCCTAGGAGGAACCTTTACACCCTCCTGAGGGCCCTTCTGTGATTTCTTTCAGCATTCTTTCCTTTTGGAATCGTGTTATTTCTTCTTGAGGGTGACATCTTCTGCCCTCCCAAGATGAATTCTGAGTATATTTTTCATAATAACTTTTTTTTTTTTTTTTTGAGACAGTCTTGCTCTGTCCCCCCAGGCTGGGGTGCAGTGGTGCCATCTTGGCTCACTGCAACCTCTGTCTCCCAGGCTCAAGTGATTCTCCTGCCTCAGCCTCCTGAATACCTGAGATTACAGGTGTGCGCCACCATGCTGGGCTAATTTTTGTATTTTTATTAGAGATGGGGTTTTACCATGTTGACCAGGGTTGTCTTGAACTCTTGGCCTCAAGTGATCTGCCCGCCTCGGCCCGCCAAAGTCTTGGGATTACAGGCGTGAGCCACCACACCCAGCCTTTCCCATAATAACTTTGAAAAGTTATAGAAATTAGGCTGATAATACTGCACAATTATTTATTCAACAGTATTTATTGCTGATTGGTTGATTACTGATTAATAAATACTTGCTAGCCTGGATCATTGCTTCCTTCCATCCTCTTTTCCTGTTACACCCCAGCTCTATGTTATTCAAACCATCATCTTTCTCCCAGGCACTACTGGAGACAGTCACTAAACTGTGGAACATAACTAAAAACATTCTGTTCTCCCGTCTCCCTTGACTCTCAGCACTGCCTAGCACAGCATGTGCCTCCCGTTACTGTAGTGGCAACTCTGAATATCTTTACGCAAACCCTCTCTTCCAACTCTTCATTCCTGTCACAAAGACCTTAGAGAGGCAGCACTGAGAGGTAGGTAAGAGTTTGGATGCTGGAGCCAGACCATCTGCTTTGAAGCTGTCTCTCACAGTGTTGTGTCCTTGTGCAGGCCAGTTAATTTCCCTGTGTCTCACTTTCCCATCTGGAAACTGAGACTCATAATACTCTTCCATGGAATTGTTTTGAGGACTATATGGATTAATGTATGTGATTGCTTAGATGAATGGTACCTAGAACGAAATAGGCAGTGAATGAATGTAGAAGGGAAAATAGACAAGAAAACCTTTACTCTGATTCCTGTGCAGAAAGAAATTTAGAGGTCATTAAGCCAGAGTCCTGTCATCTTCTGTCCTCACTCCCAGTGCTCCAGCACCTACCTATACCTCCCTACCGATCCTTACCCTTTTTCGTAGAGAAAAGGTATCTCTAAAGTCCTGCAGTGCTTTAAACCTTTGATACATCCTGACAAACACAGAAAATGATAATATTTGTTCAATACAGTGGGGTAAAAAGAGTGCCTGTTTGAGGTGACTGGCCCAAGGCTTTCAGTTCCCTGAAGCTCAGCTAAACTGCCCTAAGGGACTGAGTATTAACATTTCCACACCCATAAAGCACTCACAGATCAGCGCAGATACCACATTCCCAGCCCATGTTGAGAAGCCCTGGCCCTAACCACTGACAACACTAACCCTTATCGAACTTGTAATTAAATCATTAATTATAGAATTCTTTTCAGATGTCTATGCTGGAAGAAACTATAAACTTCATCACTATGCCTATAAATGTTGGGCCCATGTCCCACTAAAGTGGTGGCTTGTATGTAGGAAGTTCTTAGTGTTTGTTGGTAGAATCGGTATCTTTCTAATAGCTGTCTTTGTAACTTACATATTTGTCCATCTTTAAGAAAAAGAAAAAAATAAAACTCACCTGCTTTGACTCTAGCCTTCTGTAATACTACCCCATATCTCTTTCCCTTTTTAACAAAACATTGAAAGAAGGAAATCTATTGCTGTCATTTCACCTCTTACTCATTCTTCAGTGTCCTAAATAATCTGTTTTCTTCCTTCACTGTTCCTTTAAAACTGTTCTTAACTGGGCTACTGATGATCTACCTGCCAAATCCAGTAGTTATTTTTTGATCCTTATTTTATATTTGTGACAGTGTGCACTCATCTTCTCCTCTCTGCCTCCATTTTCCTCATTCTCTCCTGGTCTCCCCACTGTGTGTCATCATCGTCTCCATTTCCTCTGCCTGTTCTTTAAATGTTAGTTTACCCCAGGATTCCTTTTCTGGTTGCCTTCTTTCATGCTGCATTCCTTCTGGGTGATATCATTCACACCCAAGGCTTCAGCTACCACCTCCTACGCTTGATGGTTCTAAAATCTATATATCCATTCTAGAGTTTCTCTCTCCTGTTGCCTGCTGGATATCCTCCCTTGTTTTTGACTTGCCATATGTAACAGTGCCAGACAAATGGCATTCATCCAACGTTGAGCTAAAGCAGTCTTAGAGCCCATGAGATCCTTATTCCTACAGATGAAGAGACTGAGGCCCAGAGACGTATAGTGGCTTGCCCAGTATCAGATAAATAGTTTGTAACAAAATGGGGAGGAAAACCTAAGTCTCTGGACACTGGGACTTGAACACAAGTTTATAAACCTATGCCAAACACAGAATGGTGATGTTTACTGCCTCATTGGAAAAACCCTTTTCCACTTTGGCCTAAGCGACCTGCTTTTGCGATCCCCATGCTGTGGCAGTGGCAGTATTCTCCTTACTTGTGTTTTTCCCTGTCCATCTTTGGTTTCCAGAGCAGTATGAATTGGCTACCAACAAAATTCTTCATCTCTTTAAAAGCTTTCACTTTTTTTGCGCCTGCCAAAGGAGATACTTAGATTTTGATCACTGTTAATTTTATCTAGACTATTGATAAAGAATGCCTGGCACATGCACCATTTAATTCAGATTCAGTGATTGGTATAGATACTATTACTTATTGCCTGGTTTTTAAAAATTGCTCCAATTGATGCAAGAATAAAAGCAGAATAGTTGGAAGATAACTAGCTGTTAACACTAGAAACAGTTTTCTAATCTTCAGAGAAAAATTACCAAGATAAAGGGGGAAAGAAGAAGCAATAATGAAAATTACTTTTCCGCACCCCCTCCCCCGCCATTTCTTTTTTTTTCTAGAAGTTTGGCAACATTCATAATTAGATGCACGTAGCACTGTTTTGTGCATAATAGCATGGTTTATTTACATACATTTACATATATGCATTTTAACTGATCTCTGCTCATTTCTGGTTTAGATATTTGTATACTCCTCTTTGAGACATCAGTTTTCCTTCTTTTAGGCCCTTAGCATCCAAAGGCACTAACTTTGTTGGCTCTTAGTGCTGAGTCTAGTACCATGATCTGAGTCTAGCACTGTGGAGCAACTTTAGTGATACTTGATGCGTTGTATCTTATTTTTTTAAAAGAGAATTTACCAACCCAGAATTTTCTAGATAATCCTTTTAAAGATAGTTATTCTTAGGACTTAAGGGTGGGGTTGGGGCTGGGGAGTTGTCAACTAAAACAAGTTGAGTATGTGCTGTGTGCCAGGGACTTTTGCATTTATTCTCTCATTGAAGACTCATCATAAACACTCAAGGTAGGAGTTATTCCAGTTTTACCTATTAGGAAACTAAGGCACAGAGTTGTTAAGTAACTTGTCAAGAAGCAAGTAAAACAGCAAACTCAGCGTTCGAACCCAGATCTGTTTCATGCTAGAACCCGTGCTCTTTCTATTGACTGAACCATCCCCTGGATTCCTCCTGTCCCTTTGACACCTCAGGTCATTTGTAGAGCAAACTTCTTCTTTGCAGGCATGGTTTTTCTAAGTGGACAAATAAACATACCTTTTGCATTAGATGGATTAATTTAACCAGCGCCTGATGATGAGACTTACAGATCATTTTCTCAGTGTTTTACTTTGTTGCTTTTTGTTTGAACTTGCTTGGTGCCTTAGGTGAAATACCATTTGTAAGAAGTCACATATGTTTGACCTAGAAAACAGGGCTGTGCAGCCAAAGCAATTCTATGGTTTGTGTTTGAGGAGAAAGCAGTCTGTGCTTATTCTCTAGTTCTTGACATGGAAATTGTCTAGTCATTGTCCTAAATGAGGTGAGAGGATCTCTACTGAGAATGGAAATTTGAATGTCCTAGAGTTAATTTCCTTGAAAAACCGTTTGTAAGATTAGCAAAGTTGAGTTAAAACTATAGCTTTTATAGACTGCCGGTTGAAGACTTTTAGAACCACTTATTTTATTCCAAAAAAATTAGATACAATAAAAATTCTCATCTTCTTTCAACAGATTGTAGTAGTTTAACAGAGCTTTATTTCTGGCTAAACTATGAAAATGTTATGTCTTTTTACTCTTTTCATCATAGGATCAATTCTACCTCTGTGTAGAAAGAAACTACAGAGAGTTTTTAAAATAATTCAAGGTTGTAAATTCTTTGGAGTCCTGTTGGACACTTTCAGTAAGAAACAGCAAGAGAAATAGGGGAAGACAGAGGCCAGGAGCTGGTTTAATTGTTAAGGTCCTTGTTTTGTATGACTGTGAGCTTCATTTTGTATGTTTGTGAGCCTTTCTAGATCACCTCTGGAAGGAGGATATTTGAAGATGGGCAGCTGCTATATATATTGCATTGGATGGAATTATCATTATGAAGAGAACATGATAAAATATAATAATGAAATTTTTGTCTTCTAGCCAGCTTCTCCTGGATAGTATTCACATCCTCTGCCTTTTTCAGCTTTGCTTTAAGATTGCTCTCATTCACATTCTCAGCTATATTTTTATCTCTTTCTCTTTATTTGTCTACTTGTATCCCTCATGTATGAGTAGTGATAACCCTAGTCTTACTCCCCATCTCCAGCCATAGCCAACATGAACCACCTTCCTGGTCTAAAATTTACATTTAAAGGATAGAATAGGATGATTAGGTTCAGGTATAGATTTGAAGATGTTGGCCATATTCTATGTAAATGAATATTTAGTAATGATGTATAATGATCTTTTTGCTTTTTTTTTTTTTTGAGACGGAGTCTCGCTCTGTCACCTAGGCTGGAGTGCAGTGGCGCGATCTCGGCTCACTGCAAGTTCCACCTCCCGGGTTCATGCCATTCTCCTGCCTCAGTCTCCCGAGTAGCTGGGACTACAGGCGCCCGCTACTACACCTGGCTAATTTTTTGTATTTTTAGTAGAGATGGGGTTTCACCGTGTTAGCCAGGATGGTCTCAATTTCCTGACCTCATGATCCACCTGCCTAGGCCTCCCAAAGTGCTGGGATTACAGGCGTGAGCCACCGCACCCGGCCTTTTTTGCTATTTTTAAAACACCAGTTGGACACAGTTTCCACAGTTGGCTGTCTGGTTTAAAAGATGAAAGGGGTCAGGGGCAGTGGCTCATGCCTATATTCCCAGCACTTTGGGAGGCCAAGGCAGGTGGATCACTTGAGGTCAGGAGTTGGAGACCAGCCTGGCCAACATGGTGAAACCCTGTCTTTACTAAAAATACAAAAATTACCCGGCAGTGGTGGCATTTGCCCATAGTTCCAGCTACTTGGAAGGCTGAGGCAGGAGAAGCACTTGAACCCCAGAGGTGGAGGTTGCAGTGAGCCAAGATTGCACCACTATACTCCAACCTGGGCAACAGAGAGAGACTCCATCTCAAAAAAATAAAAGATGAAGGAGATTAAAAGAGACAGTTCAGCCAGGGTCCTGTTGAGGAGCAGAATTGTTAATACATTTTCGAAAGTCATCTGTATTTTGAAGTGATTCATAGTAATTGCTTATGTTGTTTGTTTATGGACAACAGGTTTAATTTTTTTAAATTGCATCTGATTTAGGGGCCACCTACAAATAACAATGGACAAAGAACAGCAAGAAAAAGGCCAGAGATTCTAGTCTAGCTTAGGCAAGACATTTAACTTTTCACATCTCAGTTTCTTGTTCTCATGAAGGTAATGCTTTTTCCGTTTATTGAAGAAGGTTTTCAGCCAAATCAAATGAATTGATGTCAGAATGTTTTGAAAAGTTAAAGAATAAAAAATTTAAAAGAATGTTAGATTGGTGGTGGTGTTATATAGTGCCATTTTTTGAAGAGTGAAGTAAATTGATGGGTCCATGAGGTGACTATCAACCCTCAACGTCAAGTGTCTGAGGATTTCGTGGTGAGGCACAAACGGCCAAGTCCTACCTCAGGTTAGGCTGCAGGAGTAGCAGCAGGGCCATCTCTGTTCATCGGTGATTGAAATTACAGCTTCTGTGTCTGTTGTTCCAAGCATGCCACTCTTTTCCAAACTCTGGGTTTGATAAACTGTGCATTCACCCTCAGTGTCTCTCTCTCCTGACGATCATCCTTCAAGACCTAACCCAAGAGCAACTTTTGTGATGTTTTCTCAATCTTTCTGAAGTAGAATTTGGAGCGTCTCTGTAAAAATGAATATATGGTGGTGTTTAAGAGCAGGGGCTCTGGAGCCATTTCTGCCTGGATTCAAATCCTGATCACAGCACTTACTAGGTGTGACTGTAGGCAAATTGCTTAAACTTCTGTGCCTCACTGTCCTCACCTATAAATTGAGAAAAATGATGATAATATCACCTGATAGGGCTGTTGTGAGGCTCTTGGAACAGAGACTGATACATAGGAGGCCCTTGATAAGTGTTATTTTACTTATATGTTCTTATCGAGTATTATAATTTTCATTACCATTCTCTCCTTGCTCCCATGGGACTTTGCAAATAATCTTGAGTGTAGCACTTGTACTTTTATTGTAATATTTGTTTAGACTGGGAACTCCTTGAAGGCAAAGATACTATTTTATTTGTCTTTGTTTAATGACCTGCATATCATCCATTCAGTGCTCAAAAATGCTTTTCTTTCCTTCCCAAAGTCCCCCCACCCTCTATCACCACCCCTGACTGCATAGCTGTGACTTTAAAGCAGGGTTGCATGGCATATGCTCTTTTATTTCCACTGGGGCAGAAAGTTTATGGCTGCAGCTGTAACCCTTGCTCTCTGTCCATTAAGACTGCTCCCGATAGAAAAAGTTATACATATGACTTGATGACCCTCCAGAATTTTTCAGATGTTGTGTTTATTTAGCCCCTAATTGCTCAAGGTACTGCACAAGGTCATAAATGAAAGTTACTTAGCATTGCCACATTTCTTGGGAGATAGGAATCCTGAACAACTACCAAACATGGCCATGCCCATACAGAGCCAGTCAGCAGCAGAGTACAACTAGCAAACCACTAAGTGACTGTATCGTTAGGAATTTATATCACCTTTCTGATAAGAGAATGAAAAGCCAGACCCAAACCAAATGTCGTCTGCTCCGTGAAGCATTCCTTTCCCTACTCAGGCCAAGATCGTGATGCTTCCTTCTGGGTTCCAGAAGGTGCTGCATTTGTGTACGTGTCTCCCATGGCGCTTAATTATAGAGTGTTAGTCATGTTTGTTTGCCTGTGCCTCTTCTCTGCGACATAATTGTCCCCACTTGGCCAGTAGGGTAGGCTTTTAGTAATGTTTGTTGATGTTATTTTCCATAGCCCAGACCCTATATTTTAAATCACAATGAAAACTTTGCAAGGGAGAGACTGTTCCCCATTTCACAGATGTAGAAACTGAGGCTCTGCTGAGCGCATTGGTTCACACCTGTAATCCCAACACTTTGGGAGGCCAAGGCAGGAGGATTGCTTGAGCCCAGGAGTTTGAGACCAGCCTGGGCAATAGTGAGACCCTTGTCTCTATAAAAAAAACTTTTTAAAAATTAGCTGGGTGTGATAGCACACCCATCTGGTCCCAGATACTCAGGAGGCTGAGGCAGGAGGGTCACTTGAGCCCACAAGTGAGCCATGATCATGCCACTGCACTCCGGCCTGGGTGACAGAGTGAGACCCTGTCTTAGAAAAAGAAAGAAACAGATTTATCAAGAAATAAAACTTGTCTAGAGTCCTTTTGCCTCAGATGTGGTTCTGTCTAGCTCAGACCCTTGAGCTCTTCACCACAGCAGTGTCACCCACCTGACTGGTGTAAATACACACTAACTGCTCACTACTTATGCGACTGTTCTCCCTACCACCTTGTGGCTTTTAGGAGGCTTGGGTGGCTGGCAGGCTCACGCACGCCTCCTCACAGCCCTCTCTCAATCAACTTGAAGATGATTTGTGGGCCACTTGTGCCAAGCTGTTTTCATTGATCCCAGGTGGTGAGGAAAGAAGTTGGAAACATAAGTCCTTTATACTCAGCCTCACACATGTGTCTTTCTGTATGTCTGCTGCTGGCTGCTGAAGACTGTGGTAATTCTGATGCAGCTGGACAGTCTCACAGCGTGTGGGTCGCAGACTCGCCACGACCATTCTCTTGTTGGTTTAGGTCAGTGTCTTCATACAAGGCTCTATGCCTGCCTCCACTCCTGCCAAGCGCTGCAGGCACCTGGACAAAAGACGTTACTCTAGTGGGAGGGGAAGGCTAATCCTCCCTGTATTTATTTCTCAAAAAAACTTGAACAACAGGTTTACCTTATATGCCATTTTAATGCAAATTTTATATAGGTATCATTATGATTCTCCTTTTTGTTCTATATGCCAGATGGCAAAAAGTCTGTTCTGAGTAAGAAAGCCTGTGGTGTGACTCAGTGTCTGAGCTCCAGAGGTTCTGTGCTCTCCCTTGTGGCTGGATAGCCCAGCCAGCATTCTTCCCCCTCCTCCCAATCAGTTCCCTCCTCACATTCAGTCTGCAGAACCATCCAGCATACACCAGACAGGATTCCTCACTGCAGCAATTTCCAAACTTGCCTGGCTTTAGGACTCATTGGAAGATGCTTGTTAGAAGTAGAGATTTCTGGATCTTAATCCAGACTTAGTGCATCAGAGTCTCCATGGGAGGGGTCTGGGAATTCGTATTTTTGCAAGTTCCTTGGGAGAATCTTAAAAATTGGACAAGGTTGAAAAACATTGCTTTAGTGCAGCAAAATCTGTGTAAGTACAGGTGGTGAGGATGATTTAAGAGCACAGACTATAAGTGGTGGCAACCACAGAAATGTGAAATAACAGATTCTCACTGATTTCTTTCTGTCTGGTCTTGCCCTCTAGCTAAGGGATGTATCTATATCTGGCTTGGAGTTCTTAGCTTTTAGTGCCTTGTGATTTATATATTATTCCTCTCTTCAGGCAGTCCAAGCATTGCTTTTTTGTTCACCTTTAAGATCTAGCTGTCAAGTTTCGGTAAACTTCTGGTCCACTAAATTCCATTCCCTGAGCCTTTCAGCTCTTGCTAAAGAACTCTTTTTCTCCCATTTCTAGTTTTCCACCAAGTACACATGTCTGTTTGATTTATTATTCTCTCACTGCCTCCATTTTATTAATTCATTCAGTCACTTGTTCAACAAGCGTCTATTGTGCCAGGCTGTGGGTGGGCTACAGTGATAAACAAGACACAATCCCTGCCCTCAAGTGCACAGTCTAGTAGGGAGACATGGGGTGTAAACACATAATTAAAATACCAGTGGGTGCTAAGTGCTATCACAGATATGTATGCAGATTTGTAGGCGCACTAGGAGGAAGTAGTGGAAGGCATCACAGAGGGGTGACTTTTGAGCACAGGGTCTTGTAGTCAGAAAACGGGGAGGGGGAGCATTTTAAAGATACTGTAGGCCTAGCATTGTAGTCCTCGCATTCTCACTGCAGCTCAGCTTCTTCCAGGTCTCCTTAATTTCTTTGCTCGTTTGTGGATCTGATGGAGCTAATTGGCATGGCTGAACTAGACTGTCTTGATTGACCTCTTTCAAAACCTGAGGTGGTTAGTAGTTGATTAATATCCAGGATGCCAAATCTAACAGATTGTCCCACGATCATTTACTGACATTGCCTGACTGAGACTTAAGCACTGAAGAAAGCTTTTTAAAGGCCTTTCACTTTGTCACTCTGCCAGATGTGTTCTGAGCCATCAGAAGTGGCCTTTGTGCCAGGGTAGGGGGTGGAGGTAGGAGATCTTGTGAGTGGCGAATGGAACAGAAGAATGCTTTGGTATTTCTTTTACAATAAAAGACATGGTTTCCTGTTTCTAATGACGGTTTACTTGGTAGGCTTCTGTACCCCTGTTAGCTGTATTTACTGTTTGAAATTCCCTGAAGTCTTGAGTTGGCTGCTTTGAAAAGGTTTAATTAATTATTTTTTAACAAAAATTCAGTTTCTGTATTTTACTAGGGAAACAGATGAAGGACCATTGTGATTAAATTTGTATAGTGTAGTAAGTAGTCATGATTGAAGTTTTAAAATATTTATTGTTTCTTGAAATAATGTTCATTGCAGAAAAATTAGAAAATAAGAGCAAGAAGGAAAAGAAACTATAAAACCACTTCATAATCTTGCAAGCCATAACTAACCACTGTTAATATTTTGGTGGGTAAACATGCACACTTTTCCAGTGCATACACAGAAAAAAATTTTACATGTGTGCAAACACATTATTCCTTTTTTTTTTGAGATGGAGTTTCACTCTTGTTGCCCAGGCTGGAGTACAGCGGTGTGATCTCAGCTCACCGCAGTAACCTCTGCCTCCTGTGTTCAAGCGATTCTCCTGCCTCAGTCTCCTGAGTAGCTGAGACTACAGGCACGCGCCACCACTCTCAGCTAATTTTTGTATTTTTAGCAGAGACAGGGTTTCACCATGCTGGCCAGGCTGGTCTCGAACTCCTGACCTTAGGTGATCTGCGTGCCTCGGCCTCCCAAAGTGCTGGGATTACAGGCGTGAGCCACCTTGCCCAGCTATTTTTTTTTTTTTTTACCCCATCTAATGACCTATCAAAAATATCATTCTTAAAATTGAATATACTGTGTAAACCACCTTGTTAGCAAATATACACCTATGGACCGTTCGTTCTTAGAAAGATGTGTACTTTTGAATTAATATAAATCAGGCTTAGTTTTTAAAAATCAAACTCTACTAAAGTATATAAAACAGGCCAGGTGTGGCTCACACCTGTAATTCTAGCACTTTGGGAGACCGAGACGAGAGGATTGCTTGAGCCCAGGAGTTCAAGACCAGCCCGGGCAACAAAGCGAGATTCTGTCTTGAGAAAAAATTTAAAAACTAGCCAGGCATGGTGGCGTGCCAGCCACTTGGGAGGCTGAGGTGGGAAGATCCCTTGAGCCCAGGAGTTTGAGGTTGCCGTGAGCTATGATCACACCACTGCACTCCCTCCAGCCTGGGTGATAGAGGGAGACCCTGCCTCCAAAATATATGTATCTACACACACACACACACACACACACACACACACACACACACACACACTCTCTCTCTCTCTCTCTCTCTCTCTCTCTCTCACTCACCCAAGTATAAACAATTTAGTATATAGCCTTCCAGACACACACACACACACACGCACACACACACACACACACTCTCACTCACCCAAGGATAAACAATTTAGTATATAGCCTTCCAGATTATTTTCTGTGTATATGCAAACATACCTATTACTGTTTTTAAAAATTTTTTTAATTTTTTACGGAATCAGATGATGTTATACCTACTGTTCTGCAGCTTGCCTTTTACACGTAATGTATTACATCTCCTGTGGCAATATATTTGGATTACTTGCCCATTATTATATAGATTAGAGTTTTTCATCCTCAGCACTGCTGGCATTTTGGGCTGGATAAATCTTTGTTGTGGGACATTGCAGGTTGTTAGCAGCATCCCTGACCTCTATCCCCTAGATGCCAGTAGCACCTCTTCTTCCATGGTGACAAAAATGTTTCCCAACATTGTCACATGTCTCCTGGGGGACAAAACTCTCCTAGTTGAAAGCCACTGATATAGATGGTCTATAATATAAGCATCTAGATTGCTGCCAGTTTGTTTTTTTACTGTAAACAGTAGAGCACAGGATACTCTTAATGATTTTTGTGCACGTGTGTGAATGTTATCATTGAATAAATTCTTAGTACAGCTGCTGAATCAATTTTGATAGAAACTTGCAAATTACTCTAAGAGGATTGTATCATTTTATTTTTCAACTATATCCCAATGATTCCAAATCTCTCTTTCCTGAGTTCTAGATAAAACCAACTGTTGATTAGCTGTCTCTTCTTGTGTGTCCCACAGGCCTGTCCTAAGCTTAACTCTTTTCTTCGACCTCACCAAACACACACCTCAAGCAAGAAACCAGCTTCACCCTACTTTCTTTCTTTCTTTTTTCCTGAGACAGAGTCTTGCTCCATTGCCTAGGCTGGAGTGCAGTGGCGCGATCTCGGCTCACTGCAACCATCACCTCCCGGGTTCAAGCAATTCTCCTGCCTCAGTCTCCTGAGTAGCTGGGATTACAGACATGTGCCACCACACCCAGCTAATTTTTTGTATTTTTAGTAGAGACAGGGTTTCACCGTGTTGGCCAGGTTGGTCTTGAACTCCCAACCTTGTGATCCACCCACCTCGACCTACTGAAGTGCTGGGATTACAGGCATGAGCCACTGCACCTGGCCCCTATTTTCAAGCAGTCAGCAAATCCTATGGTCTTCCTCTTAATTCATTCACTTCATTCATCCCTTCTACCACTGTCTTTAATTCAAGCTACTACTTACTCTTACCCAGATCTCTGTAGTAGCACTGGACCAACATCTACTCCTTCTGGCTTTTAGTCTTGGTTCCTGACAACTCATTCTCCCAGCAAGGGTGAACTTGCTGCAGTGCAGTGTTAAGTCCTCTGCTCTAGCCCTTTTTAGTGATCCCTGCTTCCTCTCCATCATCCACTGCAGCATTGGAGGCTGAGGCCAACAGCACCTGACATTTATCACCCTTGATTGCAAATTTGTATCCGTCAGACATGCTTTTTTCCCCTAATAAGTGGATATTAAAATTTTGAATGTTTAAAGTACTTTTAATACTACAATTTGACTTTTTTTCCTGTTTTATATATTAGGTTCTATGTAAGGCTTCACAGTAAATAAAGTTATCTCTTATTTTAAAAGGTTCTTTTTCAGAAAACAGTGCTCTGTCATGTCACCTCACCACATATCTTTCATCCCTCAGCTTTAAATCACTCATTCTCCCTTAACGTCCTCTTGTTTCTCTGCATTTCCTGTTCCTTTTAACCCTACTCTCTACTCATTTATCTATTTCCGTTTCCTTAGTACCTAGTCCATTTCTTGCCACTTCAACTACAGATTTTCTCCTGTATTTATCAGTTTATCCTTATTGCATTTGTTGTATATGCACTAATTTGTGCATCATACATACTTTTAAATTTAACTTTGTGGAAAGGAGAGCCACATGAGTAAATAAGACAAAGCATTGAACCAAGGGGAGGGGATGTGGGAATTCCAGTCCCAGGTTCCAGCACAGGTGTTAGGGTACAGAAAGTCCTTTTAATTATCCCATCCAGAGCCTGAACTTTGTCTTCTCTTACTTTTATGTGGTTCGTATAGCAGTATAAGTGAATACCTCAGAAACCAGTTGTACTCATTTGGTAAATTGAAACTCCAGAGAGAAATCGTTGTCAGCCTTGCTGCATTCCATTTTGGGATATCTTAAATACCAAGGAAGCTGGGGATGCCTAGGAACTTGGGGATCTCTGTCATGGTATACAACATATTGCTATGCAAGATTGGTTTTGGGACAAGCTCTACAGTATTCTACAGGAAGTCAGCTCCAAGCCTGTGGGAAATCATACATAGCAAAATCCTTGGCAAAGAACCATACATTCCCCCCCCCAACCCCCTGCCTCTATATGGGGTAGTTCTATAACTCTGTAATTAATTTTATTTTTACAGTGGAAAACCACAGAGTAAGAATAATGCATAACCTATTTCTGTTTCTTGCTATTTTAGGGGACATCACCCAGAAGGGCTATGAAAAGAAAAGGTCCAAACTCCTATCTCCTTACAGCCCGCAGACACAAGGTAGGCAATAAAAAATGGTTTCAACTTTTTCAGTATTTTTACACCAAAAGATGCTGTCTTACAAGACCTCTATCTTTTGTTTGTTCCTGTTTTTCCCTCCCTTCCTCACCAGGGGAGAGAAAAAAACGGAAGGAAAGAAAGGAGGAAATGAATCTTAATGAGCATCTGCTGTGTGCTAGGCACTTTTAAAAATACCTAAGGTCATCAGATAATTTACACAGAACTTGGGTGGTAGTGTGTGAAAGACTATGCATAACTGAGATGATTCCATGGCAGAAAATTCCAAGCCATGGAAAAACCACATCGTATTTATGATGGTGCACAAACCGTGATGAAGAAGAGCAAGAGGGAGGAAGGAAGGACAGATCCCCTATCGAATGGCAATACTTGAGGATTGGGGGGTAAAACCCTAAATGAACTTGTAGATTAATTCAAAGCCAGACTTACTGCTTCTATAGAGAGACTAGCACATTGTTTATATATCAGAAAGTCCTGAATTAATTTCATGCTTAATGCCAAAGGGGTTGCCATAACCTTTGCCTCTAAGCAAGGCTGTCTCTAAATAATCATCATATTTTTAAAGTTACTCAGATTGCAGGATTTCCTTTGACAGCCTATTTCTGCTTATATCACTTTTACTATAGGGTGTTTTGTCTTTATTTCTGATTTTCTACCCCCTTCAACCAAAGTGTGTTTCTGCAAGCCTGTTCTTTGTGGAACTAATGGCTTTTTTTTTTTTTTTTTACTGAATTATAAATACCATGAGGACTTTGTATCTCCCACAGTTCTCATAGTAAGCTTTGCACAGGGTTTATGGCCTGTAAATATTTGTTGAATGAACAGTGGAATAAATAAATAAATAATGGTGATATACCAATATATTTCTTTGATGTGCTTGTTTTATTTCCTGTATTGTTCTTGGAAATACCTTCATAGAGAAACTAGTAGGTCAATACACTGACAGCTAATTTAAGATATCTCAATGAATAGGTGTATGTAGAAATGAATTGAGAGAAAAGAGGTGGAAATTGGGCCAGCGACAGCTAGTGAAAAGCCAGCTTTTGCTGAGCAAGGCATGACCTAGGGGTTGAGGAGGTTACCTTGATTTGCTGCTTATTGTGGATCTGGCCCATGCCTCTGAAGGCCCAGAGATTTACTTGAGTCACTTGGTGTAAAAGCAATAGCTCAGCAAGAGGTATAACTGTAAAAAGGACCACAGTTTGTTATCCGTAGTCAGGCTACGCAGAAACCAAATCATGTTCAAAAATCAATTTATTAATTTACTATGAGAAATTTTTTTTTTTTAGACAGATTCTTGCTCTGTCACCCAGGCGGGAGCGCAGTGGTGCGATCATGGTTCACTACAGCCTCAATCTCCCAGGTTTAAATGATCCTCCTGCCTCAGCCTCCTGAGTAGCTGGAACTACAGGTGTGCGCCACCACACCCAGTTAATTATTTTTTGTAGAGTTGGGGTCTCACTTTATTGCCCAGGCTGGTCTTGAACTCCTGAGCTCAAGTAGTACTGCCATCTCAGCCTCCCAGAGTGTGGGGGTTATAGGTGTGAGCCACCACGCCTGGCCTACTATGAGAAATCTGTATGGTCAGCACATTCTTGCCCCATGGGCAAGCCTATAATGGGAACCAAATCATTTGCTTAGTGAGCATGCATTTGATGAATCAGTTGTTTAATTGCAGTAGGCCAAGAGAATGTGGCATATCCCTCCCCCAGTAGGGATGGCCTTGCAGGTGACCTCACAGGGGAAATAGAAGGCATACGATGACAACTCCTTCAACTTCCTGATGCCACACTTCCAACATCTGTCCCCTTCCATGATTACTTCCTTCCTTCTGGTTAAAAAGATTATCTGTTCCTCCTGGCCAAGGACAGTCCTTCTACCTATGCTTTAGATCCCAACCCCTCCTCCTTTTCCCCAAATCTTATACTATCCAATGGCACCAAGGATAGGGCAGTGAGAGCAGTCTACCTGGTTGCAGTCAGTAAGGCACACAGTATCTGTAGAGAACTTAAAAAGCAATGATGGGCCGAGCGTGGAGGCTCACGCTGTAATTCCAGTACTTTGGGAGGCCGAGGCGGGTGGATCACATGAAGTCAGGAGTTCAAGACCAGCCTGGCCAACATGGCGAAACCCCATCTCTACTAAAAATACAAGAATTAGCCGGGCGTGGTGCTGCACACCTGTAATGCCAGCTACTCGGGATGCTGAGACAGGAAAATTGCTTGAACCCAGGAGGCAAAGGTTGCAGTGAAGCAAGATCATGCCACTGTACTCCAGCCTAGGCCACAGAGCAAGACTCCGTCTCAAAAATAAATAAATAAATAAATAAAAATATAAAAAGCAATGATGAAAACGACAAAAAATTGGTCTGCTTTTTACTAAAAAGTATCACTGTGTGCAGCAATTCTAAATGCTGTAATAAAGACCTCTCCTGCTGAGGCAGACAGCTGCATTGCCCCCTTGGTATGCCGTTGCTGTCAGGTCCTCATCTCTATCGTACAGTCATTCTCTCTGTCTCGTACAGTCACTCTCTCAGCCATATTCGTCCCTCAGCAGTTCATCATGCTTATTACTGTCTATTTAAAAAAGAATCCTCCATTTACTTGTCAGCCACTTCCATTTTCACCCTCTTTGTTTCCTGTTTCTAATCAAACTGCTCAGAACTGTCTATACTTAAACACTATTTTCTCAAATGCTCACTTCTCAGCCCGTTTTAGTTCCTTCTGGAGCTATTGCCATCTAATCTCAGTAGTATTCAGCACCCTGTCTCTCAAAACTCTTATTTTGAATCTCTCTTCTTATCTTCTTTTCTTTCATTCTTGTTTTTGTTTTGAGCAGGGTCTGGCTCTGTCGCCCAGGCTGGAGTGCAGTGGTGTGATCTGGGTTAATTGCAACCTCTGCCTCCCAGGCGCAAGTGATCCTCCCGCCTCACCCTCCCAAGTAGCTGGGACTACAGGCATGAGCTCCCACACCCAGCTAATTTTTGTATTTTTTTTTGTAGAGACAGGGTTTTGCCATGTTGTCCAAGCTGGTATTGAACTACTGAGCTTAAGCAATCCACCCGTCTCGGCCTCCCAAAGTGCTGGGATTACAGGCGTCAGCCACCATGTCCTACCTACTCTTCTTATTTTCTTACCCTTCACTTCCTGCTGCTCCTGGTCTTTCTTACAGGCTCATTTTTGTCTGTTAAATGTTAGATTTCTCAAGTTAAGGACCAAGACTTCTTGCCTTCTCACTCCATATCAGTGGTTCTCAAATTGTAGCAAGCCCTCAGAATCACTGGAGGGCTTGTTAATACACAGACTGCAGGGCCCCATTTTCAGGTTCAGAGTTTCTGATTCATCTGGTCCAGGGTGAGGCCTGAGAATAAGCATTTTTGTTAATTTCCCAGGTAATGTTGAGCTTGGTGGTCCAGGGACCACACTTTGAGAACCAATGCTGTATCTCTCTAGATTATTTCAGCCACACCTGTGACTTTAATTATCATTTGAATTTAGGTAACTCCTAAATATGTATCTTCAACCCGATCTCTTCCGAGCCCCCGATCCATAGATCCAACTGCATACTTAACATCTCCACTTATATACCTTAAAGGCATCACCATTTCAACATATCCAAAATTTAAATTTATGACTTCTGCACCCTGCCTCTACCACCATTACTAACCCCTCCCTGCATGCATTCTCCAGAAAACCAACTACAACATCCAACCTGCTCCTGTGCTTCTAGTTTTCTCTTTTGAGTGAATACAACCCACATTCATAAGCCCAGCAAGTTACAGGCTTAAAAGTCATCCTCAACGTCCCTGTCTTCCTTCCCTTCTTTTGTTACCAACCCCTATCAGTTTTCTGTTTCTTCTTGAGCCAGTTTTGGTAAATTTAATTTTTTTTTTTTTTTTTTTAATGAGACAGTCCTTGCTCTGTCGCCAGGCTGGAGTGCAGTGGCGCGATCTCGGCTCACTGCAACCTCCACCTCCCAGGTTCAAGCGATTCTCCTGCCTCAGCCTCCCAAGTAGCTGAGACTACAGGCATGTGCCACCACGCCCAGCTAATTTTTGTATTTTTAGTAGAGACAGGGTTTCACCATGTTGGCCAGGATAGTCTCCATCACTTGACCTTGTGATCCACCTGCCTCGGCCTCCCAAAGTGCTGGGATTACAGGTGTGAGCCACTGCACCCGGCCAAACTCAATTTTTCTAGGAAATTGTTTTGTTTAGTTTTCAAAGTTATTTATAATATTCTCTTTGTTTGTAAACCTTCTGCTTTATGTTGCTTGTCTCCCCTTCCCTCTTGTCTTTCTTCTCTTCTCTCTCTCTCTCTGACAGATCTGTGGATTTGTCAGTTTTCCATGTAATTCTGTCAAGTTTTGCTTTATATGTTTTAAAGCTATGTTATTAGGTACATTCAAATTAAGAATTATAATCTTCCTTGTAAATTGTTTCTTCTTTCATGAGTAACTGTGTTTGTCCCTATGGTGTTTTTTTATCCTAAGGCTTTAAAAAACAAATCTAAACATAGTTATTAGACATCTTAATTCTCTTAAAGGACACAAGGACTTTAGAATGCTTTGATGTTGATCACCACGAATTCTTTCTTTTCTTTTTTTTTTTTTTTTTTTTTTTTTGAGACAGAGTTTCACTCTTGTTGCCCAGGCTGGAGTGCAATGGCGTGATCTCGGCTCACTGCAACCTCCGCCTCCCCAGTTCAAGCGATTATCCTGCCTCAGCCTCCTGCGTAGCTGGGATTACAGGCATGTGCCACCATGCCCGGCTAATTTTGTAGTTTTAGTAGAGACAGGATTTCTCCATGTTCATCAGGCTGGTCTCGAACTCCTGACCTCAGGTGATCCACCCACCTCGGCCTCCCAAAGTGCTGGGATTACAGGTGTGAGCCACCGTGCCTGGCCATCCACCACTTCTTATCTTACATTTTAGTATCACCTTTATTTTAGTATGCCTTCAACTATCAGTTACTGTTTTATGTAGTTAACAATAGTTACTATCCATTTCTTTACTATTCCTTCTTCTGCCTCACTCTTTCTCCGGTCAGTTTCCTCCTCCTCCTTCTTTTCTTTTTTTGAGACAGGGTCTCACTCTGTCGCCCAGGCTGGAGTGCGGTGCTGTGATCTTTGCTCACCGCAACCTCCATGGACCTCCTGGGTTCAAGCGATTTTTTTTTTTTGAGACGGAGTCTCCCTCTGTCGCCAGGCTGGAGTGCAGTGGCCCAGACTTGGCTCACTGCAACCTCTACCTCCTGGGTTCAAGCAATTCTCCTGCCTCAGCCTCCCGAGTAGCTGAGATTACAGGCACCTGCCACCACACTCGGCTAATTTTTGTATTTTTAGTAGGGACAGGGTTTCACCATGTTGGCCAGGATGGTCTCGATCTCTTGACCTCATGATCCACCTGCCTCGGCCTCCCAAAGAGGTGGGATTACAGGCATGAGCCACCGTGCCCGGCCCTGATTCAAGCGATTCTTGTGCCTCAGCTTCCCCAGTAGCTGGGATTACAGGTTTGTGCCACCACACCCAGCTAATTTTCGTATTTTTAGTAGAGACAGAGTTTCACCATATTGCCCAGGTTGGTCTCGAACTCTTGGCCTCAACTGATCTGCCCGCCTCAGCCTCCCAAAGTCCTTGGATTGCAAACATGAGCCACTATGCCTGGCTAAATTTTCTTCTTCTTAAAGCACATTTTTTAGTAGCCAAATACTTTAGCGAGGGTCTGTCAGTGGTAAATTCTTTCATTTTGTGTTTTTCACTTTATTTGACCATTTTGTTCATTAACAATGTCCTTCCCAAAAAGGGGTGGGTTGTAGGGTTGGGTAATTTATGTTATATACATTCCATGTCAAAAGAAGAGATTACCCTTTGGCATATTTACCCCATATATCTTTGTAAATTTTGAAGGAAGCCATTTAATTTGACTTTTTTTTTTTTTTTCCTAAATAGAGAGAAGGTCTCACTATGTTGCCCAAGCTGTTCTCAAACTCCTGAGCTCAAGTGATCCTCCCGCCTCCGCCTTCCAAAAGTGCTAGGATTACAGGTGTGGGCTACCACACCCTGCCTAGTTTGACTTTTTAAATGGCATTGGAATGCAAATTTAAACTTTATTAAACTTTATTAAAGTTTAGTAGAGTTGGACTGGGTTCAGTGGCTCACGCCTGTACTCCCGGCACTTTGGGAGGCCGAGGTGGGCCTGAGGTTGGGAGTTCAAGACCAGCCTGACCAACATGGAGAAACCCCATCTCTACTAAAAATACAAAATTAGCCAGGCATGGTGTCGCATGCCTGTAATCCCAGCTACTTGGGAGGCTGAAGCAGGAGAATAGTTTGAATCTGGGAGATGGAGGTTGCAGTGAGCCGAGATTGTGCCACTGCACTCCAGCCTGGGTGACACAGCAAGACTCTGTCTCAAAAAAAAAAAAAAAAAAGGTAACATTCTCACTACTGTCTTTTTATTTATTTTTTATTATTATTTTTATTATTTTTGAGACAGAGTCTCGCTCTGTCACCCAGGCTGGAGTGCAGTGGCGTGATCTCGGCTCACTGCAACCTCCACCTCCCGGGATCAAGTGATTCTCCTGCCTCAGCCTCCTGAGTAGCCAGGATTACAGGCATGTGCTACCACACCTGGCTAATTTTTGTATTTTCAGTAGAGACAAGGTTTCACCATGTTGGCCAGGCTGGTCTCAAACTCCTGACCTCAAGTAATCCGCCTCCCTTCTCCTCCCGAAGTGCTGAGATTACGCGTGAGCCACTGCACCTGGTCTAATCACTGGTATCTTTTTAAATAAAAAGTTAATACTACAACATTTTATTACTGGGATTATTGTGTGCACATGCTCCTTACCTAAAAATTTAGTGAGTGATTTTTTTTCTTAAAAAAAAAAATAATTAGAGACAGGATCTCGCTATGTTGCTCAGGCTGGTCTCAAACGCCTGGGCTCAAGCGATCCTTCTGCCTCAGCCTCCTAAAGTTCTGGGATTACAGGTGTGAGCCACCTCTCCCTGCCTTGTGAATGATTTTTTTTGTGTGTGGAATTGATCTGTAGTTATCTTGGGTTGCGTATTTGTGTATATTGTATACTTCTTTTCTCAAATGTTACATAAATCTTTAAAACAGGACTTCAGAAAAAATTAACAGTGTAACAGGAAATATGGAAGATAATGCAATTTTGAAGAAAATATTTGAATAGTAAGTAATAGGGTGCTTGCTTTGGCAGTACATATACTAAAACTAGAACAATATAGAGATTAGTATGGCCCCTGTGCAATGATGACATGCAAATTCATGATGCGTTTCATCTTTTTAGAACATTAGACCTGAGTAACATGTCATTGTGTAAGGAAGAATAACATGCAAAAAATAGACCGAAAAAGGAAGTAGTAGAAATTTAGTATGGACAAGTTTGGTTAATATTAAGCATGGCTGGCTGGGCTCAGTGGCTCATGCCTGTAATCCCAGCACTTTGGTTGGCTGAGGCAGGATGATCACTTGAGACCAGCCTGGGCAACATAGTGAGACCTCATCTCTACAAAAAAATCAAAAAATTTGCCAGGTGTGGTGGCGCGCACCTGTGGTCCCAGCTACTCAGGAGGCTGAGGTGGGAGGATTGCTTGAGCCTGGGAGGTTGAGGCTGCAGTGAGCCGTGATTGTGCCACTGCATGCCAGCTTGGTTGACAGAGCGAGACCCTGTCTCCAAAAATAAGAAAAACTAACTTAATTCAGTAGCATCATAGGGATTAGGTTCTAAAGTCACTGTATGGCAAAAATCTGCTTCAAAATTACCCTAAAAAATCACTTAAACCTCCCAGCATTGGAACTGACAGTTGTTTCTTTAGTTAAACAAGAGCCATACCTTATCTGGTATTTAAGGGCCATGCTGTCTTTTAACAAATTAAAATTTATAAGATTAAAGATGAAAAATTCAGGTCCTCAAAACGCTCCGACTTTGAGAGGCATGAGAGAAATGAAGATACGGCAGATTCACACCTCCCATCTCTTGCTCATTCTGAGCTGTCTGCTCTTTGAAAGGAATGGCCCACAGAACATCTTTCAGTAGTTGGAGGCTACTGTGGCCAAGTATAAAGCTTCCCACATGTCTCAATTAGCAGACTTCCAGGGAGAAGTGGCCAGGAAATTGACTCTTTCTTTTGGCGTGGCCGAAAGAATTGAAGTTTCAGACCACACGCATTCTAACTTCTCTGTAAATTAGTCACTCTTGGCCACTCTTGTAGTTGCAGGAAAATGGAAGATTTTGTGTAGAAAGGCAATTTCCCTGTGCTGGTCCTGTGGTCTAATCTTTAAGATACTTTGGATACAAGTAACTGATAATTCCAGCTAGCTTTAATAGAAAAAGAGTTCATTCTAAACTTACAGGGGTTACTGACAAATCTAAGGACAGTATGTATTTACTGAGTGCCTACTGTGTTCCAAATACTGTTTCGACACCAAGGAGACAGCATGGGACAAGACACTGCCCAGAACCTACCTGGCTTGCTCCGTCACTCTACTTAGGGGTTTGTTCAATTAGGGAAGTCCTGGAGAGGCCCTCCTTGACCAGCCCTATAAATAGTCCCCACTTCCATTATCTGAGTTGCATTTTAAAAGAGCTGTCTTTGGCCATCCCATAGATTGTGGCCTGTTTGTGTGTCTTATTCACCTACTGGAGGAACATTATTTTTTATTTTTTTTTATTCTTCATGTCCCCAGTTTCTAGCATTAGTGCCTGATATATAGTAGATGTTCTATAAATGTTTGCACAACTAAAAAGAAAGAGCATTTAGAATTTCTGGCATTTTCTTGAGTAAACATCTATGAAGATAAAAGTGTTAGGTAATACAAGAAGCAGGGCACTCTACACATTATAGAGTGGTCTCTTGTAGATTGATCCTGGCAACTTGTTTCCACCCTCAATAGATCTTTTAATATAGACCTACTAAAACCTCAAGAGGCTGTGCAGAGTATATCAATTCTCAAATGATATTCTAGCATTTCTTTAATTTTTAAATGAAGTTGGTACATCTATTTTAAATAGTACTACAAGATTTATAACAACAGAAATGAGCAGAAAGAAAAGGAGAGGCAGGATACTGCTCATTCTGTTTTGTCTTACTGTATTTGAGATTATTTGTGACGTTTGTGTGTTTGATTTTCTTCATCCTGTGACTTACTTCGTCTTTCACTTCATTTTTGAAGTGAATTGTGTTTATCTCCTGCTTCAGAATAAGATCTTACCTTTCACATTTTCTTTCTTGACCTATATGTTTCTGCATTGTTTTTCCCCCAGATTCCTGCCTACTTATTTTTTAGGGATAAATAATAAGTTTATGAAGATAGTTATTAATATTTGTTGATGTTCTTTAGCTTGCCTTGATAAGAAGTTCTGGTCACCCAAAGGTTTTTCCCAAACGTGGCTTCCTTTTGTGATTGCTGCTTGCTGTGCTGAGTGGCAGTCCCCGGTGTTCCAGTTCCTATAAGTACACTGCACTTGGCAGCTGCTTCGTGCTCCTTTCATCGCAGTTCTTCTAGGTTCAGTCCTGCCTTTGAAGTTGTTCAAGGGTGCGAGTGTGACCAAGTTAAAATGAAACAAAGGAAAACCCTTGTGTTTTATTCTCTCTCTCAAGCCTCTAATAATGCCTCCTGGAGTAGTCTGTAACCCTATTTTCCTTAATGTCCTTGTGTAAGTATATGAAGATAATGAGAGGCACACATTTTTGCATACAACTTATATGAATTGGAGATACACAAATAAGCAGGATTTTTAGGTAAACTTTAAATGGCTATCTCAACATTTTTGTGTTTATTTTTTCCGAGCAACTACTATTATTGGTGGAGGTGAGGAGACAGACAAGATCTTAATTATTTATTTTAATTAAAATACTAAATGCTTGCAATATGAAAGACCAAGGACCAGTTACTATAGGAGATACAAGATGCTTAAGACCAGCCTCTGACCTCAAGTTATTTACACTATAGCAGGAGAGATGACAGTTACACAAATGAGGATCATAAAAGAGAGTAGAATAAGTACTGTAAGAGAGCTCTAAACAAAGTAGCGTGGAAATTCAAAGGGACGTGAACTTAAAACCAGTTTTTGAAATCAGGAACAGCATTTTGGAATGCCACAGAACATTTCCAATTGTAAATACTCGGTAGGCAATGTGCCTCTGTGTATGTATGTATGCATAGGGTTTGAGGAGTGGAATCTATTTTGTTTTATGTGTCTCATTTTGATTTAAAAGTTCCTTCCCAAATGAGGCTCATAGCATAATGGAAAGAACATAGAATCTTTTTTCCAATCCCCATTCTGCTTTCATTTGTTTGGTTTGGATGGTATTGGAATCACTATGAATTGGAGCACACATTGCAATTATATCTGCCCCCGTATATCTCATCAGAAGGAAGTCCAGTATTTTCCTCTTGGGGCTTCTTTTTCCTCCTAAATTGTCTGAGAACCCTCAGGGATTATATAGGCAGTGCAAAAGGAGAGGTAGTAGATCCAGCTTTCACACCCAAAGGGGAAAGATCCCCACAGTCTGCTGTTTGCTTTCCATCATCTCACAGGGTGCTGCTGAATAACTGGTCCTCACTGTGTGACCAGCCAGTAATGCTGAGCCTGTTCCCTGCATCGGCTACTCTGATGCATCATGGAGGAGGAGCCAGGTACTCTACTTGGACTCCCGGAGCAGAGCTCCTGGTGTTGGCTCTTTTAGCCTCATGCACTGTCATTTTCCTGATGTCAAGTGGCCAAGGAAGCTCTGGGTCAGGATCTGTTCAGACACCTACCACTTTACAGACCTGGAGCTCCCAACCCGCTCTCCTTACAGAGTCTACCCCTGGAAAACAGGCAGGTGGCCCCTTTTCCAGACTCCAGACACTAGCACTCTCGTTCCTCTCTTGCCTTCTCTAGGCGGTGAGGTTAATCACCGACCCTTCAAAGGAAGACTGTCCTCAATTACTCACAGCTGCTCTAGCCTCTCAATCAAGAGGCTAGATTGATTGAGCCTTCTTGGATGGGGTGGGAGTGAGGGCCCTATAATGATTCAAGGTGATTATTGGTTCCCTCTCACTGTGGAAAAATCTGTAACGGGCATCCTGCTTCATTAATAGTATCTATCACATGGTGCTGTTGTGAAGACATAATGAGATGGTAATAGGCAAGAGCCATGGAAATATTATTATCATTGATATTCTGTCATTTCCTGTAAATCCCTTCAAAGGCTGCCCACTCGGCTTAGGACAAGTGACCTGATGCCACTTTTCTAGTCCAGTCTCATTTTGTAACACTCTACCCTTTTGCTGTATCTTTAGCCTCACTGGTCTTAGACTTGCCAAGGCTTTTCTCCCTCACTGGGCTTCTACAAACACCATGCTTTTGAATAAAGTGGCTTTTCCTTCTCTCTGCCTAGTTAAGTTTTGCATCACTGTCTCCTTTCAGCAGACATTCATCTTCCCTGAAACTCTAATACAAGTTAAATCCTTATTATGTGGGCTGGGAGACCCTTGTTCTTTTCCTCCTTAGCATGTATCACAAGGTCAAAGGTATACATATGGTGACCACTTGTTTAATGTGTTTCTTCTCTGGACACTAGCACCAAGAACAGTAGGCATGTCTGCTCTGTTCACCTCCCAGAAGTTGAACTATTAGGTTCCTTGGTTCTCAGAGCCCATCCTGTTTCACTCTGTTACTCTTGCAGGTGAGAATATCTGTTAAATCATAAGCAGAATTAAAAGATAACATGTGGAGGCTGGTGGCTTCCTTCCATCTTCCTGAGTGGAAATGTGTAGTTTTTTGCTACTAAATACCATTTTTTTCAGATTATCATCCTTACCATATTCAAACAATAGAAACATATTAGACTCTGATGTATTTTTCTGCCAAGGAACAATAACTTACATACATATTGATCATTGAGAAGGAAGGCTTTATGTTTTTGAACCTAAAATGTGTACTTTTTATTGTTACTAAACCTTTTAACATCATCACTATTTAAACATAATGGTGACCTCTAGTGGATATTCTGCATAACAGACTGAAAGATCAGAAACCCCCGAACTGAAGCTCTTGCTTTGTAATAATCAGCAAGTTGTCTTTTTCTTCGGATCTCTGTTTTATTTTGTGCTAGAATTTAGAAGTCATAAAGAAGACTTAATTTGTGAGTCTGGCAGCTTCCATTCCAGCACGTATTTGTATTGTCTTTTAGAATTTGGTTTTATGCGTAATTCATCCTATAAGCAGAACAATGAAATTGTAAAGAAATAGAGTACCTCAATCCAAATACCTTTGGGATTTTTATGTCCCACCTGACCCTTATAATTGTATATAAATAGTTTTTACATACAGTTATAATTATATTGTGTACATAATATTTTGTGTTCTTTTATCACTTGGCATTACTTTATTTGGACTGAAGTATCTGCATAGTCTACATATTTTTCATTTGTAATGGCATATAGTATCTCATTATGTTGATACATGTAGTTAAGTTTCATCTTTGCTTTTAGCTTTTCTTTACCATGGCAGTGAAACTGTGTATATCTTATTCAAAACACAGGAATCTGTATTTTAGCACCCCAGGTAATTTCTGAGATCTAGTTGGAGTGTGAAACCATGGTCAGGGAATGATTCACCTTGAGGCAGCATCTTGCCTGCCCAGCTGACATTACATATGCTGTTAAATAATGTCCTGCTGTCCTCCCATGCCCCCATACTCCTTCCCACCTCTTTTTGATGAGGCCTGAGGTATGGGTTGAGTAGCCCTTATCTGAAATGCTTGGGACTAGAAGTGTTTCAGATTTTTTTTTTTTGGAATATTTACATTATATACCAGTTGACCATCTGAAATCTGAAAATTGGCAATTAGAAATGTTTCAAGGAACATTCCTGTGAGCATTAGACAGGAGCTCAAAAAGTTTCGGATTTGGGTATTTGGGGTGTTCAACCTGTATGTTGTTTTCTGCCCCCATTCGTGATAAATCACTGCCCTTGCAAGTGAGCCAAGGTGGGAATAAGTCTCCACAATTTTTTTTTTTTTTTTTGAGACAGAGTCTTGCTCTGTCACTCAGGCTGGAGTGCAGTGGCACGATCTTGGCTCACTGCAACCTCTGCCTCCAGGTTCAAGTGATTCTCCTGCCTCAGCCTCCCCAAGTAGCTGAGACTACAGGCGTGAATTTGGGCAGGGCTAATTTTGGTGATTATTTTGCTCTATATGGTTGCCAACTGAGGTCATTCAGTGGTTGTCTTCCCCCTCACCTAGTAGATGGGCTGCTCTGGACAGTCCAAGATGGCTCATTCACATGTTTGATGCCTTGACAGGGCAGGTGGATGGCTGGGCTCAGCCGGAACTATTGACTAGAGCCTCAACACATGGCCTTTCCAGCATGCTACCTGCTTTTTTTTTTCTTTTTAAATGATATAACATTGTCATTATGAATCTCAGTTCCTGTAATACTCTGATGCTATCAGTCTTTACTGGGCTGTGTGGCACTGTTGCTTGTACTCCCCAGACCGCTGCTTTGAGTCTTTTTTTTTTTTCCTTAATTTTTTTGCTTTATAGGCTGATTCTCAGCTGGGATCTGGAGCAGTACATTTGCTGTGTAGGTGACATCTTAATATATTAGGCATTTAATTTGCTATGTGTAAGCTGCCTTGCTGGGCATAACCGGGTGCTATTTCAGAAACTTAAGCCTTAAGGAAATCCTGCAATATGTGACAACATGGATGAACCTGGAGGACATTATGCTGAGGAAAATAAAGCAGTCACAGAAGAACAAATACTGCATGATTCCACTTATATGGGACATCTAAGAGAGTCAAGCTCATAAAAGCAGAGAGTAGAATGGTGGTTGCCAGGGCATATAGGGAGCAGGAAATGAGGCATTGCTGTTCTGCAGGTATAAAGTTTCAGTTATGCAAGATTAGTAAGTTCTGCTTTATAACATCGTGCCTTATTAATACTAATAAGATATTAATACTACTGTATTTTACACTCAAAATTTTGTTAACGTACATCTCGTTAAGTTTTTTTATTGTAATTTTTTTTAAGAAACAGATTTGGAATTAATCATTTGAGATAAAAAGGCAGGAAAACATCAGAACTTAGTGTTTTTCTGTTTATTTACCCCATCCCCATATTCTTGATAAGACAGTACATTTTGGGAGGGGAGAGTATGGGGACAGGGTAGGGTCAGTGATGAGTCCAGTTGGAAGAGGGGCTAATAGACTTGACTTGAAGCTGTGCTGCATAATCACCCTGTTTTTGCTTGTATTATGTTTATCTGGAGTGACTGACGGTATGGTAGCTAAGGCTCCCCAAGCTATTCGTTGTCTCACTGTTTAGGATTGGGGATCATATGCAGTCAACTCCCCATCAGTACTGCCTCTCCTTGGAGTCTCTGGAATGGCCTTTTAATTTACATTTGTCTTCTTGCTATTCCTCTCCTATCAACCTGTTGACATTTAAGGCTCTAAGATGATATTTTTTAGTTTGGATGTCTTTGCATCATATTTATGTATTTATATTGAAACTCTAACCCTTTACTGTAGATGGGGTAATAGTACCTAGCTCAGAGTATTGTGAGAATGCTTAAAGTGCTTTAGAAAATGTTAGCTATTACTGTTACTGGATAACCATCTTTTAAACTTCCTTTTTTAGAAACTGATTCAGCAGTACAGAAAGAACTTAGAAACCAGACACCTGCTCCATCTGCAGCTCAAACTTCTGCTCCCTCTAAGTACCACCGAACTCGATCTGGGGGAGCCAGGGATGAACGATATCGATCAGGTGAGGAGAAGCTGCAGAATGGCCAGCTGAATCGTTTTCCTAACAGTAGTATGAACTGTGTATCCTGAGAGCTTCTAATACTTGTCTTTTTTTTCCCTATGAGGCACCAACAGTTTTATATTAACTCATTCACCAATCATTTATTTTGTACCCTACTATGTATCAGGTATAGTAGGTACTCAATAATTTGCTGGAAATGGAACAGCACATAAGACTGTTTCCGGCTGGGCGATGTGGCTCACGCCTGTAACCCCAGCACTTTGGGAGGCTGAGGCGGGCAGATCACTTGAGGTCAGGAGTTTGAGACCAGCCAGGCCAACATGGTGAAACCTCGTCTGTACTAAAAATACAAAAATTAGCTGGGCATGGTGGTGGGCACCTGTAATCCCAGCTACTCAGGAGGCTGAGACAGGAGAATCACTTGAACCTGGGAGGTGGAGGTTGCAGTGAGCTGAGATCCCACCACTGCACTCCAGCCTGGGCAACAGTGAGACTGCATCTCAAAAAAAATAAAGACTGTTTCTGCCCTTAAGGAATGTAACAGTTTAAGAAGAGAACCAGACAAGCATACAAGCACAAAGGCCATGTGAATAAATAAGTAAATAAGAAAGTGAAGGGTTGGGTCTTGTGGGTGGTACTAGGAGACCTCAGTGGATTCTATTGGAAGAGGCAGGCCCTTCTGTGTTTGCCAGAGTTGTTGCATAACTAGTCTCTCTTAATTGATGGAGCTGAAAGAAAACTCACAATGAAATTTCAAATTAGTTATTTCTTCTAACCCAAGAAGTACCCACAGGAAGGGAAGGAGCAAGGTGTGCCTGCATGGCAGCGGGAGCATGCTCCTGCTTGTACTGTGCTTGGGACCACCTGGCGGCCAGTACCAGGTGTGTGGCTTTGATAAGCAGAGGAACGACTGGTAGATCCCTAGAGCACGTGTGGTGCAGCAGGCCCTTCCCATGCCCACTTCCTGTCCGCTGCACCAAGAGTAGTCTCTGCAGCACATTTCTTGTTTTAAGAAGTGGCAGAATTAAGCAAAAAGACTAATGGGGATATTATTTATTTTCTTCAGATTTTTGTCTTCTTTGTACTGACCAAGGTTGCCTTAACATTTTCTTGAACTGAAAAACACAGTCTATATCACATCCTCTCAAAAACTGCTTTAGAGAAAATGAGAAAAGGACACAGTTGAAGAGCTACATCAGCTATTTTGTGAGCTGATTTTACTAGATACATATTTTCACACACAGAAGGAGAAAAGGATGAGAAATGTTCAGTCGGGAAAAAAAAAATAGAGGTTGTAATTTTATACCTAAACTGGTCTTGAGTGATAGGAGAGGCTTGCTCAGAGAACAAAGACATCCAAGCTGAGTCATGGCAGACAAACAAGAGTTAGCCAGGGAAATAGTGTTCAGAACTTAGAATGCAAGGGTCAGAAAGAGGTGGGAGATGAGGCTAGAAAGATTACCAGAGACCAGATCTTGTGGGATCTTGAATGTCACTGAAGGATTTTCAGCAGAGCAGTAACATCATCAGATTTGTATTTGTTCCAGTAGCTCACTCCAGCTGTAGACTGCAGTGCCTGGCACAGGGCCTTCCATATATAAGAGCTAAACAGATATTTTGCAGAAAGAAGGGAATAGAAGTATTTACTAGTAGGCCAGGGTGGTGGCTCACACCTGTAATCCTAGCACTTTGGGAGGCCAAGGTAGGTGGATCACTTGAGGTCAGGAGTTCGAGACCATCCTGGCTAACACAGTGAAACCCCATCTCTATTAAAAATACAAAAAAATTTAGCTGGATGTGGTGGCAGGCGCCTGTAGTCCCAGCTCCTCGGGAGGCTGAGGCAGGAGAATGGCGTGAACCTGGGAGGCAGAGCTTGCAGTGAGCCGAGATCGTGCCACTGCACTCCAGCCTGGGCGACTGAGCGAGACTCTGTCTCAAAAAAAAACAACAACACATCGTGGTTACTAGTTAAGGAATGGATCAGAGAAAGGGAGGGCTGGAAGTAGCAAAGCATTCAGGTGCACCCCTTTGTTGCCAATCACCTGAGCCTCATTTTCCAGCCACCTAGTGTTGCCTTTTCAGGCTGGAGCCCAGGTTCAGCAGCAGCATGTTCCAACCTGTCCAGAAGGGTTTTTAGCCGTCACAGCTTTCATCCCTGGCCTTCTGGGAGTTTCTGTGTGTGTGTGTGTGTGAGTGTGTGTGTGCGTTTTGTTTTTTTAACCTTCCTTTTTCTTTGTTTTTATAGCATGTAATAAAGGATTATTAAGGATCCAAAAAGGTGATTTTCAATATTCTATATCCAAGCCAATCAAATGTAAAAAAGTTTTTTGTGAGCTCATTTAGTACTATAAAATTTTGAGCTTCACCTGTTAAAACCCAGCTGTGATCTGTAGTCCCTGCTGTTTTGCACCATTGCTTTTTGATTATCCCAAGTATTAGAAAGCGTATGCTGTGGATCAGATACTAGTCAGCTGACTGTGGAGATTGTTGGTTAGGTGCAGGTATACTAGAGAGTTTGTAACAATTGTATGTTAATCTCACTGGGAGTTTTTCTGTGTGTGTGTGTGTGTGTGTGTGTGTGTGTGTGTGTGTGTGTGTGTTTTAAAGGATAGTAGCAAAAAGTAGGCCAGAACGAGGTGAAGTAGGGGAGAAAAAGTGATTTAAAAACCCTGAAGATATTGAAAGCTATGAGGGTCCTGCAATCCTATCAGGAGGGGAACATAAAAAGAGGATGCAAGCATAGACTTTGGGTGAAAATCAAATTTTTCAGTATATTAGGAATTGCTCAACTAAATAACGAAAGAAAGCTCAGGATGTGAAAGAAATTGAGTCTCTGAGAATTCTGGCTTCTCCGAATAAGAAGAAATCAGCAGGGGTGGCTCATGCCTGTAATCTCAGCACTCAGGGAGGCCGAGGCAGGAGGATTGCTTGAGAAGAGACCCGCAGCCCCTGCAGAGGTGGAGCAGATAAGTAGTGGAGGTTGATGGGAGCTGACCTTATATCTGTTTGCTACGCCAGTCATAGAAAGGGTTACATTTACATGTCATGTGCAAAAATAGCTGAAGAATTTAGGGTATATTTAATAAAAGTTGCTAGAATTCAGAATAAAGTGATGGCTATGTAAGAAGGATTTTATATTAATGCTGGTAAGTGTAATTATAAAACACTTTCTTATTTGATGGAGGCTTATTAACACCTATAACATTTCAACCAATCATAATCAAATCTAAATAGACTTAGTGTTCACATTTCAGACACAGTATAAAGAACTTACCTTTATTCAGAGTTTAGATTATCTGACCTGATTCCATTCTTTGTGCTTTAGCCAAGAGGGAGCTTAATTTCAAGTATACTACCTTATTAGTATATTTCTTTTTCCTGCACATCCAGGCATGATTCACCTCCCTGCACACACATAGTATGGTCTCAAATGTAGAAAACACAAATTAATGCCTGAGATGGAAAGTGATCTTATTGTAAGTCATTCTGACTCCCTTGATGTTAATCTCTTGAGAAGTTAGGTACCTCAAACAAAACAACAAAAATAAAACAGGACATTAAGGGAGTATTCGTATTACCTTATTCAGCTCAAACATGAATACTGGAAAATGATACCCAGCTTCCACATGCTTCTGGGAGAGATGTCCAAAGTCACTTGTGTCTGGGGACTGAACTCCAGAAGTGACTTCTTTATCAAAGATCAAGATGAATTGTGTGGTGTTCAGTGAGTCAAATTCAGTTAAGAGAGCTGCCTGTTCTTATCAATAAGAGTCTTTTCTAATAGATAACTGAACATCTCTTTTTGACACTGGTGTATGGGTCAAGGTTTATCATGTTAGAAAATAGTTGGGTGGCTTGATTCGTTTTGTAATCTGTTGCTGTGAATGCCTGTGACAGGGAAAAACATGCTCTGTAATTACTAATTATCCAAATGTTACAGGCCTTCTAAAGCTTTCTTAATGTGTGTAATTCCCTAGCTTTGTCCAGTTTGCCATTACATATTTCATATCATATATAAAAATGCTTTTGGAAATGTACTCTTTTTAATTAATAAATGTAAGAATTTGATTTGCTGTTGTCTGTTACTTTCTCAGTAGAAGTGATTAATCATTTTTTAAGACAGCTAGGAATCATTTTTCCTTCTAATATAAGGAGGACATTTTTCTCATTTTTAACATACCTAAAATCAGAATGTTTTATACAAGATGACACCATAGATTCAATTAAATATGCAATCGTGATTCAACTAAGTAAATTCCAAGGACACTACAATTGTATAATCAGTATAAATGCAGTATAAAATTATTTCATTTCAGAGCTAAAAATAAGTTGGTAATGTCTTAAAAGTAATAGCCCAACAGTTTGGCAATATCATTAAAATTTTAAATAGTCATGTTCTTTATCCAGAAATTCTACTTCTAGGAATTCATTTTATATAAACAGTCGTGTGCACAAAGATATATACATACATATACAAAGATGTTTGTTGTAGTATTGTGTATAATACAATGGTTAAATAAGTCATAGAATGTTCACACAGTAGAATTTTATGAACGTTAAAATGAGGTAGATGTATTTGTGCAAATATGGAAGGATGTACAAAATCCTTTTTTTTTTTTTTTTGAGACAGGGTCTCACTCTGTCACTCAGGCTGGAGTACAGTGGCACAATCATGGCTCAGTGCAGCTTCTAACTCCTGGGTTCAAGCAATCTTCCTGCCTCAGCCTCTTAAGTAGTTGGAAGTACAGGCACATGCTACTGTGCCAGGTTAACTTATTTTATTTTTTGTAGAGATGGGATCTCACTTTGTTGCCCACGCTGGTGTCGAACTCCTGGTTTTAAGCAATCCTCCCGCCTTGGCCTCCCCCAAGTGCTGGGATTACAGTGGTGAACCATTGTGTCCAGCCCAAAATATACTTTTTAAATAATAAAGGCAAGACAGTATGTAGCATATAATCTGATTTTTATAAATAATATGTTTATAATTGTAATATTTATAGCATTATTATGTTATAGTAATATAAACATATGCTACTATGTTTATAGACATGGAGACCTGGAAAAATATATACCAAACTATTGAGGCAGGAGTATTTTTGGGAAATGGTGGGTCTAGGGAAAGTTTTCACTTTAGCTTTATATATGTTTAGATCTTTTTGCAATGTGTATTTTTTCAATCTTTCATTATAGTAAAATAAAATTTATGTGTATTGTAAATTTTAAAGATAGGTTTTAAGATTTTAAGGTCTTAATTATTGTTTATTTATTTTATTTTATTTTATTTTTTTTGAGACGGAGTCTCACTCTGTTGCCCAGGCTGGAGTGCAGTGATGTGATCTCAGCTCACTGCAACCTCCGCCTCCTGGGTTCAAGTGATTCTTCTGCCTCAGCCTCCCAAGTAGCTGGGATTACAGGCACGTGCCACCACACCCAACTAATTTTTGTATTTTAATAGAGACGGGGTTTCACCATATTGGCCAGGCTGGTCTGGAGCTCCTGACCTCGTGATCCGCCTGCCTTGACCTACCAAAGTGCTGGGATTACAGGCGTGAGCCACTGCGCTTTGTCTATTATTATTATTATTTTTGAGACAGAGTCTCACTCTGTTGCCCAGGCTGGAATGCAGTGGTGCTATCTTGGCTCATTGCAACCTCCGCCTCCTGGGTTAAAGTAATTCTCGTGCCTCAGTCTCCCGAGTAGCTAGGATTACAGGCACATACCACCGTGCCCAGCTAATTTTTGTATTTTTAATAAAGATGAGGTTTCCCTGTGTTGGCCAGGCTGGCCTCAAACTCCTGGCCTCAAGTGATCCACCCACCCTGGCCTCTCAATGTGCTGGGATTACAGGTGTGAGCCACCATGCCCGGCCCAGTTATTGTTCTTAATGACTTTTACTCTAAGTATGGATTCTTCTGATTTAATGCTGGGAGCTAAATGCAGTACTAACTCGCTTTGCCACCCTAATTGTGAACTTTTCTGTCTGTCCAAATCTAATCTCTGATCTGGTGATGGCTGGCACTGGCACACCAAGATCATTTTATTTCTGATATATTCCTCATGCTGTAGAAGGTAAGTTGAATTCAGTTCAGCAAGCATTTATTGTAGACTTCCTATATTTTGAGAAAAATGTTAGATTGATAGAGAAGCATAGATGAAAACACAGGAGTTTTTCTTCTGTTTTTCTTGTTTGTCTTTTTTTGGGGGGAGGGGGGTGGGGGACGCTGTGGTCCCGCTCTGTTGTCTAGGATGAAATGGAGTGACACAATCTCGTCTCACTCCAACCTCCGCCTCCTGGGCTCAAACGATCCTCCCTCCTTAGCTCGAGTAGCTGGGACTACAGACAAACCCTGTCATGCCTGGATGATTTTTGTATTTTTTGTGGAGACAGGGTTTCACCATGTTGCCTAAGCTGGAGTTTTTCTCCCCCCCGCCCAAAACAAGGTTCAGAGGTGACACAGAAGAGGGAGACGGGAAGGCATACAGTGTCAAGAATGGGCTTCAGAATGGAGGTGGTGATGTCTGAGCCATTTTGAAGGATGGATAATTATTTGGATATTCCAGGCAGAAGAAACATAATTTATCAAGGCAAGGGAATGTGAAATGGAAAATTAAAATATCCCCTCCTTTTCCTCTCCACCCTGCACAGAGTAGTGCCCTAATTAGTGTTGTGATATCCTATTTCAGAAGTTAGTCGTTGCTGCCTCTGCAAGAGGTCAGTACCTTAGAAATTAAGGAAAAATGGCATGACTGCTTGTTGGCTTGCAAGGAATTCCTTGAACAATACCTCTCTGCTTTATGACTCAACCCACCTACACATTTGCTTTTCAGTCACTCTGTCCCTATCTGTCTGTCTATGGAAAAATCCTAACAAGTAAGGTCACTTGGTCTGAGTTCTGGCCCTGGTCCTTAAAGCCCAGGTGTGCCACTCATGGATCATATGCTAACCACTTTGTAAAAATAAGCCAAGAATAGGAGCAGCTGGCCGGGCACAGTGGCTCACACCTGTAATCCTAGCATTTTGGGAGGCCGAGGCAGGTGGATTGCTTGAGGTCAGGAGTTTGAGACCAGCCTGACCAAACCCCGTCTCTACTAAAAATACAAAAATTAGCCAGGCGTGGTGGCGTGCGCCTGTAGTACCAGCTATGCGAGAGACTGAGGCAGGAGAATTGCTTGAACCCAGGAGGCGGAGGTTGCAGTGAGCCAACATCGCGCCACTGCACTCCAGCCTAGGCGACAGATCGATGCTCCAACACTCCGTCTCAAAAAAACAAACAAACAAACAAAAACCAAAAGAATAGGAGCAGCTACTTTGAAACTAAAAATAACATATTCCACTTAGTCTTTTTGGGAAAGATGAGAAAACAAATGTTTCAGTGTTATCCTTATCTTGGTGGTAAAAGTATTATTTCTTTTGTTACTAATGAGGTTGGACATTTGGAGATATGTTTACTGGCCATTTGTGCTTCTGTAAACTACCTGTCCATTGCCTAAGCCTATTTTTTTTATTATTTTATTTATTTATTTTTTTTGAGACGGAGTCTCGCTCTGTTGCCCAGGCTGGAGTCCAGTGGCCCGATCTCGGCTCACTGCAGGCTCCGCCTCCTGGGTTCACGCCATTCTCCTGCCTCAGCCTCCCGAGTAGCTGGGACTACAGGCACCTGCCACCACGCCCGGCTAATTTTTTGTATTTTTAGTAGAGACGGGTTTTCACTGTGTTAGCCAGGATGGTCTCGATCTCCTGGCCTCGTGATCCGCCCGTCTCGGCCTCCCAAAGTGCTGGGATTACAGGCGTGAGCCACCACGCCCAGCCCCCTTTTTTTTTTTTTTTTGAGTTGGGTTGTTCTTCCCCCCCCCCTCCTTACTTGCAAGGGCTTTTTTTTAATCCTAAAGATACTAACATTTAAATTGTACCATAGGTATTTGCCAGTGCAGATGGACAAGAAAAATCAGTAAGAAGTGTAAGAATTAGAAAAGAAGTAAAACTGTATTTACAGTTTATGTGATAATTTATCTAGAAAACTCGAGAGAATCAATGACAGAATTAACTTAAAACAATTTAGTCAGCAAGATATAAAGCGAGTACAGAAATCAACAACCTTAACATATGCAAATAATAAGCAGTTAAAAGATACAATAGTAGAGCAAACTTCATTTACAAAAGCAATAAAGGTAAAATATATTTAGGAATAAACTTAAGAAATGTCTAAAACCTTTATGAAAAAAACTTTAAAACCCTGAAAGACAAAAAAGTAGACCTAATAAGTGGAAAGAGATCCCTTGTTCTTAGGGCAGTTTAACACCATGAAGACGCCAGGTCTGTCTAAATTACTTTACAAATCTAATCTAATGCCGATAAAAGCTATCAAATTTATTTATAGAGTTAGAAAACTCATTTTTGAAGTTCATTTGGGAAAATAAACATATAAGAATAGCTAAGAGAACACTGAGAAAGAAAAGCTACAAGGAGTGACTGCACGTTCTAGATATTAAAACATCCTATAGAGACTAATTAAAACTGTTTAGTATGGCACACAGATTAGAAGGCAGACCATTGGAATAACAAGTTCAGAGCTAGACAGGCGTATATCTGGGAATTTAGTATACAATAAAGATTACATTACTAATCACCAGGACAAAAATGTACTTTAAATGACACTAGGACAGCTGGAAAAACATTAATTAGCTCCATATCTCACACCATGTATAAGCATAAACTTCAGGCCAGGTGTGGTGGCTCACACCTGTAATCCCAGCAAGTTGGGAGGCCAAAGTGGGCAAATCACTTGAGGTCAGGAGTTCGAGGCCAGGCTGGCCAACATGGTGAAACTCCATCTCTACTAAAAATACAAAAAAATTAGCTGGGTATGGTGATGAGTGCCTGTAGTCCCAGCTACTCAGGATGCTGAGGCATGAGAATCACTTGAACCTAGGAGGTGGAGGCTGCTGTGAGCCGAGATTGTGCCACTGCAATCCGGCCTGGGTGAAAGGGTGAGACTTTGTCTCAAAAAAAAAAGTATAAACTTCAAAAATCAGAGATCTTATGTAAAAGAGAAACCATATTAAGTGCCAAACGAGCCCGTGCACTGTGGCTCACGCCTGTAATCCCAACACTTTGGAAAGCCGAGGCGGGTGGATCACCTGAAGTCAGGAGTTTGAGACCAGCCTGGCCAACATGATGAAACCGCATCTCTACTAAAAATACAAAAAATGAGCCAGGGGTGGTGGTGGGTGCCTGTAATCCTAGCTACTCAGGAGGCTGAGGCAGGAGAATCGCTTGAACCCGGGAGGCGGAGGTTGCAGTGAGCCAAGATCATGCCATTGCACTTCAGCCTGGGCAACAAGAGTGAAACTCTGTCTCAAAAAAAAAAAGTGCCAAATGAAAACATCACAAAACTTTCCTATAATCCAGCCTATAGGAAGGCTCAGAATGCAGATGTAATTTTAAAAATGACATAAAATATTTTTGTTGTGGTTAAAAAACACATAAATTTATCCTTTTGACAGTTTTTAAGTATACGTTACCGTATTGGTAACTGTACGCATGTTATTGTACAGTAGATCTCTAGAACTTCTTCATCTTGTGTGACTGGAATTCCATACCTGTTGAACAACAACTCATTTCCCCCTCCTCTCAGCCTCCAGCAACCACCATTCTACTTCCTGCTTCTGTGAATTTGAGTACTTCATATAACTGGAATCATGCAGTATTTGTCTTTTTGTGATTGGCTTATTTTACTCTGCACAGTGTCCTCAGGTTTCATCCATGTTGTAGCATAAGATGGGATTCCCTTATTTTTTTAAGACTGAATAATATTTCCTTGTATGTATATACCATGTTTTACTTACCTGTTCCACAACAATGGGGATTTGGTTGCTTCCACATCTTAGTTATTGTGAATAATGCTGCAGTGAACATGAGTGTACAAATATCTCTTTGAGATCCTGTTTTCGGTTTATTTGGAGATATATCCAGAAGTGGAATTGCTTGGTCATATGGTAAATCTATTTTTTTAATCTTTGAGGAAACTCCGTACTATTTTCCTTAGAAGCTATATCATTTTACAATCCCACCAGTGGTGCACAAGGATTCCCATTTCTCCAAATCCTCTTCAACACGTATTTTCTGATTTTTTGATATAGAAAAAAAATCTAATGGATGTAAGTAAGGTATGGCCGTTCTAGTGGCTGTGAAGTAGTACCTCATTGTGGTTTTGATTTTCATTTCCTTGAAGAAAGTGATGTTGAGCATTTTTTCATATGATTGTTGGTTGTTTATCTTCTCTGGAGAAATGTCTATTCAAGTTCTTTGCCCATTTAGAAACTTGGGTTAATTTTTTTTGTTACTGGGTTATAGGAGGTCTTTATTTTGGATATTAACGCCCTACCCAATATATGGCTTGTAAATATTTTCTCCAATTTTGCAGGTTATCTTTTTATTCTGTTGATTGTTTCTGTGATGTGCAGAAGTTTTTAAGTTTAATGTAGTCTTATTTGCCTATTTTTGCTCTTACTGCCTGTGGTTTTGCTGTCGCGTTCAATAAATTGTTGTCAAATCCAATGTCATGAAGTTTTTTCCCTCTATTTCCTTCTAGGAGTTTAGTTTCCGGCCTTGCTGGTTAGGTCTTTAATCTATTTTGAGTCAATTTTTGTATATCATGTTAAATAAGGACCCATTTTTCATTCTTTTGCATGTGGATATTCAGTTTTCCTAACACATTTGTTGAAGAAACTATCCTTTCCTCATTGTGTAGTTTTGGCACCTTTGTTGAAGATCATTTGACCTTCTATGTGAGGGTATATTTCCGGGCTCTCTATTGTTCCGTTGGTCTTCCTGTCGGTCTTTATGCCAGTACCAAACTATTTTGAATACTGGAGCTTTGTAATCATTTTTTTTAAAAATAGGGACACAATCTCACTGTGTTTCCCAGGCTGGTCTGGAACTCCTGGACTCAAGCGATTCTCCCCGCTCAGCCTCCCAAAGTGTTGGGATTACTTCTGTGAGCCACCATGCCCATCCTGTAATAGTTTCAAAATAAGGAAATAAAGGCCAGGTGCGGTGGCTCACGCCTGTAATCCCAGCACATTGGGAGGCCAAGGCAGGTGGATCACTTGAGGTCAGGAGTTCAAGACCAGCCTGACCAACATGGTGAAACCGTGTCTCTACTAAAAATACAAAAATTAGCTGGGTGCAGTGGTTCACACCTGTAATCCCGGCTGTTTGGAAGGCTGAGGCGGACGATCACGAAGTCAGGAATTTGAGACTAGCCTGACCAACATGGTGAAACCCCATCTCTACTAAAAATAAAAAAAATTAGCCAGGCGTTGTAGCAGGCACCTCTAATCCCAGCTCCTCAGGAGGCTGAGGCAAGAGAATCACTTGAACCCAGGAGGCGGAGGTTGCAGTGAGCTGAGACTGTGCCACTGCACTCCAGCCTGGGCAACAGAGCGAGACTCTGCAAAAATATATATATTATATATATATAATATATATAATACACACACACACACACACACACACGCACACACACACACAAATTAGCTGGACGTGGTGGCACGTGCCCATAGTCCCAGCTACTTGGGAGGCTGAGGCAGGAGGATCACTTGAACCAGGAGGCAGAGGTTGCAGTGAACTGAGATTACACCATTGCACTCTAGCCTGGGCGACAGACTGAGACTCCATTTCAAAAAAAAGAAGTATGAAGACTTCAGCTTTGTGCTTCTTTTTAAATATTATTTTGGCTATTTGGAATCTTTTGAGATTCTGTGTAAAAAGTTTAGAATTGTTTTTTCTATCTCTGGAAAAAAAATGCCATTGGGATTTTGATAGGGATTCCATTGAATCTTTAAAATGCTTTGGACAGTAACGACATTTTAACAATATAAAGTCTTCCAGTCCATGAACACAGGATCTCTTTCCTATGTCTTCTTTAATTTCTTCCAGAGATGTTTTACAGTTTTTAATGTACAAGTTTTTCACCTCCTCAGTTATGTCTATTCCTAAGTATTTTGTTCTTTTTGATGTTATTATAAATGGCATTATTTTCTTAATTTTCTTTTCAGGTAATTCATTGTTAGTGTATAGAAACACAACTGTTTTTTTTTTTTTAAAGAAACGGGGTCTCCCTCTGTTGCCTAGGCTGGAGTGCAGCGGTGTGATCATAGCTCACTGCAGCCTCCACCTCCTGGGCTCAAGTGATCCTCTTCTTCAGTTTTTCTGAAAGAGTTTGAGAAAGATTTACATTAATTCATATTTAAATGTTTGATAGAATTCTCCAGTGAAGCTGTCAGGTCCTGGGCTTTTCTTTGTTGGGGAGTTTTTAGTTACTGATTCAATCTCCTTACTAGTTATAGATCTGTTGAGATTTTCTGTTTTTTCATGATTCGGTCTTGTTAGGTTTATGTTTCTAAGAATTTATCCAATTTTTTGTAGATTATCCAATTTTTGCCAGGTAATGATTCATAGTAGTCTTTCTTTCTTTTTTTTTTTTCTTTTCTTTTTTTTTTTTTTTTTTTAAGAACTCTCTGTCACCCAGGCTAGAGTGCAGTGGTGCAATTATGGCTCACTACAGCCTCAGTTCTCCCACCTCAACCCCGCCCCTACCCCCAGCCCTGGGTAGCTGGTACTACATGAGCAGACACACCCATGCCCAGCTAATTTTTGTGTTTCTTTGTAGAGACGAGGTGTTGCCATGTTGCCCAGGCTGGTCTCGACCTCCTAGGCTCAAGTGATCTGCCCACCTTGGCCTCCCAAAGTGCTGAGATTACAGGCATGAGCCTCTGTACCCAGCCCATAGTCTCTTATAATTCCTTTTATTTCTGAGGCATCCAGTTGTAATGTCTCCTCTTTTATTTCTTATTTTAGTTATTTGAATCTTCTTTTTTTTTCTCAAGAAAGCTAAGGATTTGTCAATTTTGTTGATCTTTTCAAAAAAACAACTCATTTGTTGATTTTGCACCCATTTCTCTGTTCTCTGTTTCATTTAATTCTACTGTAATCTTTATTATTTCTTTCCTTTTGCTATTTTTTTTGTTTGTTTTTGAGACAGAGCCTTACTCTGTTGCCCAGGCTGGAGTGCAGTGGCGTGATCTCAGCTCACTGCAACCTCCACCTCCTGGGTTCAAGCAATTCTCCTGCCTCAGCCTCCTGAGTAGCTGGGATTACAGGTGCACGCTACCACACCTGGCTACTTTTTGTATTTTTAGTAGAGACGGGGTTTTACCTTGTTGGCCAGGCTGTTCTGGAACTCCTGGCCTCAGATGATCTACCCGCCTTGGCCTCCCAAAGTGCTGGGATTACAAGCGTGAACCACCACGCCCAGCACCTTCTGCTAATTTTGGATTCGTTTGTTCTTTTTTTAGTTCCTTATGATGTAGTTTGGTTGTTGATTTGAGAACTTAATTCTATAATAATTTTTAAAAACCCATCTTTTGCATGGTTTAAAAAAAGCCATAAACAATGTCAAAAAAACAGATGCCATACTGAAAGAAAATATTTCTTTCTTTCTTTTTTTTTTTTTTTAAAGATAGAGTGTAACTCTGTTGCCCAGGCTGGAGTGCAAGTAGTGTGATCATGGCTCAGGCAGCCTCGACCTCCTGTGCTCAAGTGATCCTCCTGCCTCAGCCTCCTGAGTAGCTGGCCCTACAGGCACATGCCACCACATGGCTAATTTTTTATTTTTTGTAGAGGTAGTGTTTTATTATGTTGCCCAGGCTGGTCTCTTACCCTTGGGCTCATGCAGTCCTCCCATTTTGGCCTCCCCAAATGCTTGGATTACAGGTATGAGTCATCACACCTGGCCCGAAAATATAAGGAAAATTAAATAAACAGAGAAGGCTGATATAAAAAATGGCCAAGTGACATGAACATTCACTTCACTTAATAACAGACAACATAAAATGGCCCTTAAGTCCTCTGTAAAAATGTTTAATCTCATTAATGATCAAGGAAACACAAATTAAAACTATACTAGGATATGAATTCTTAGCTGTCAAGTTGGCAGCAATCAAAAAGCTAGACAACACACTCTGAAGGTTAGGCGGTGGGGAAGTAGGTATACCTGTACATTGCTAGTAGTAATGCAGTGTGGTAAAAACTGTTTTGGGGGAGGAATTTTTCAAGATGTGACAAAATTTAACACGTATTTGCTTTTTTATTTAGAATTCTCTCTTGTCAGAATTTACTCTGAAGGTAAGCCCTGATTAGTGTAAAAATATATTTGCAGGAGGCTATTTGTTGCATTATTTTTAACTGTAAAATATTAGAAACATCTACATGCCCAGACATAGGATAATAGTTGAATAAACTGTGTACAGTAGTGTACTATACAGCTGTAAAAAAGAATGAAGAGAGCTGAAAGAGAATGATTTCCAGGGTATATTGTTAAGTGGAAAAGCAAAGTGCAAAAAAATACAATATGCTTACTTTTGTGTATGAAAGACAGGGAAATGAAAAGATATACATGTCTGCTTATTTGTGTAAACAATAGTAAATATGTATGTATCTACTACCTATAGCAAAGGTGGGTGGGATTGGGGCAGAAGTGATTGTTCGGGTAGTAATACTTCTTTAAGCTAACTTTTTGGTATAGTTTTGACTTTTGGAACATGTTAACTTTTAATCAGCAAGATTGGGAAAGACTTATAGAATATAAACAAAAAAATGAACCTAACTATGTGAACTATATAACCACATCAAAGCAGGAAAGGATGAGAACTAACTCAAACAGCTTTTGACCATGATACTTTAACTATATGTCCTCAGTCTAAAGACCAAAAGGACTACAAATAAATACTGAACACTAGTTAGAAGATTTATTTTTCATATTGACGTAAGATAGCAATTTTTGGCTGGGTGCAGTGGCTCACGCCCATAATCCCAGCACTTTGGGAGGCCAAGGCGGGTGGATTGCTTGAGCCCAGGAATTTGAGAGCAACCTGGGCAACATAGTGAAACTCCATCTCTACCAAAAATACAAAAAATTAGCTGGGTGTGCACCTGTGGTCCCAGCTACTCACACGAGTTTGAGGTGAGAGGATTGCTTGAGCCTGGGATGTGGAGGTTGCAGTGAGCTGAGATCATGCCACTGCACTCCAGCCTGGGTGACAGAGTGAGACCCTGTCCCAAAAATAAAAAATAAACAATTTTTAAAATGTACTTCCTGTGTATGGTAGGATTAAGAAATGAGTAAAATATATTGAAAATGTTGTTTCATCCTATTAGAGAAGGGAATTATAAGTGGAAAGAGGGAAAATTAGAATGATATTGAATTGGAAATGGAGGTATTAATATGAACTCATCATTTTAAATATAGTTAGAAACAGATGTAGTTATATGTATATGAATTTCTTGATCCACCAAAAGGGCTTAGAAAAGATACCCCAATAGCACTGAGTACCCCTGCTTCTAAGATTTGGTTTCTAAATACCATTCATTCTTCACTAAAAGGAGCCACTTTTCCTTGAAGAAAGGTATAATTCTAGGTCTGGAGGAGGAAAAGTACCTCATGAGCATGGAATATCTTATGTCATAAAACAACTGCTCAAAATTAAGGAACTGTGTCCAAAGGACATAAGAACCCATATGAAGGGACTCCTATTGGCCAAGTCTGCCAAAATATGAGCATCAAAATAATGATAGTAACAGAATAGTCATGGAATAAAATGAGAATCCATGGGCTCATAGTGATATAAATAACTAAGGGAGAAAGGAAAGCTTTTTTTCTTTCTTTTTTTCTTTTGAGATGGAGTCTCGCTCTTTCACCCAGGCGGGAGTGCAGTGGCACAATCTTGGCTCACTGTAACCTCCGCTTCCCAGGTTCAAGCAATTCTTGTGCCTCAGCCTCCCAAGTAGCTGGGACTACAGGCATGCGCCACCATGCTCAGCTAATTTTTGTATTTTCAGTGGAGATGGGGTTTTGCCACGTTGGTCAGGCTGGTTTCGAACTCCTGACCTCAGGTGATGCACCCTCTTCGGCCTCCCAAAGTGCTGGAATTACAGGCATGAGTCACCATGCTGGCCAGGAAAACTTTTTCTTATAATAAATACCAACTAATAAATATGGAAGAAATGGTAGAGCTATAAAATTATCATATTGTAATTGTTATTATCATAATTGATTCCGTGCTCACTTCAGCAGCACATATACTAAAATTGGAACGATACAGGGAAGATTAACATGGCCCCTGAGCAAGGTGACACACAAACTCGTGAAATGTTCCATTAAAAATAAAAAATATTTTTTAAAAAAATGGCAGGTGTGGTGGCCCACACCTGTAATCCTATTCACTTTTGGATGCCAAGGCAGGAGAATCCCTTGAGCCCAGGAGTTTGAGACAGCCTGGGCAACATAGGGAGACCCCATCTCTATTTACAAAAAAAAAAAAAAAAAAAAAAGTTGATTCCACCAAGAATTATCAATGGATGCTAAAACTAGTGAGTTGAAAGGTTGACAAAGTATGTAACATTTATATAGTCTCAAAAGTATCCTCCCATGAATTACTTATTAATTGCAAACGGAAGAATGGTTAAGTTTACAGTGAGTTTATTTAGCAGATACCATAGTGACCAAAGTAACCAACTTTGCAATTAGAGTTATGTTACCATAGTGGAGCAGACACCTCCTGACATCATGTTTTGAGAAAGACATTATTTCTGGCTGGGCATGGTGGCTCATGCTTGTAATCCCAGTGCAGCATTTTGGGGGCTGAAGCAGGAGGATTCCTTGAGACCAGTAGTTGGAGACCAGCCTGGGCAATGTAGTGACACCCCATCTTTACAAAAAAAAAAAGAAGAAGACAACAAATTATTTCTATGGTATTTCTGCCAAATTGCATAACCTGAAATTAATTATAAGGAAATATCAAGCAAGCCAAAATTAAAGAACATTTTACAAAATAACTAGTCTGTACAAAAATATCAAGATAATAAAAGGCAAAGTAAGGCTGAGAAACAGTTCTGGATTATAGGGGAATCAAGAGACAGGACAACTAAGTAGGATTTCCTCCAGTAGATCCCAGATCAGGAAAAAAGGTGGGAGGGAAAACCTATAGAGGACATTATTGGGACAATAGACTATGTTGGAATATGGATTGTGGGTTAGATAATAGTTTGTATCAATGTTGAATTTCTGTATTTTGGCTGGTAATCCCAGCACTTCGGGAGACTGAGGCGGGTGGATCGCTGGAGCCCAGTTCAAGACCAACCCTAGGCAGCATACATAGCAAGACCTCATCTCAAAAAAAAAAAAAAAGAAAGAAAAAAAAGAAAAACAAGAATTTCTGGGGTTTGTTGTTTTGTTTTTTTGAGACAGAGTCTTGCTCTGTCGCCCAGGCTGGAGTACAATGGTGTGATCTCGGCTCACTGCAACCTCCGCCTGCTGGGTTCAAGTGATTCTTCTGCCTCAGCCTCCTGAGTAGCTGGAATTACAGGTGCGTGCTACCATGCCTGGCTAATTTCTGTATTTTTAGTAGAGACAGGGTTTTACCATGTTGGCCAGGCTGGTCTTGAACTCCTGACTTCAAGTTATCCACCCACTTAGGCCTCCCAAAGTGCTGGGATTACAGGTGTGAGCCATTGCACCCGGCCAATTTTTCTGGATTTTGAATAATGTCCTGGGGTTATATAAGAGAAAATTCCTTATTTTTAGGAAATATGTTTGAAACATTTCTGAAGAAATAAGTACATATACTTTGATCTCAGCAGTTTTTGTAATTAATTCTAAGAAAATAATTAGACATGTGCTAAGGTGAAAATACTGAATTATTCTTTCTATGAATAATTTCAAAAATTTGGAAATAACCTAGTATCTGATAATAAGGAATTGTGTAAGTAAATCATGGCACATTCATGCAGTGAAATACTATGCAGCCCTTAAAAGTTATGTTGTTGGTCTGTACACAGTGAGGTGTTTCTCCTTGTATTAGTGGAGGTTTTTTGGTTGCAAGAAACAGAAGCTGGCCGGGCGTGGTGGCTCACGCCTGTAATCCCAGCACTTTAGTAGGCCGAGGCGGGCAGATGACAAGGTCAGGAGTTCAAGGCCAGCCTGACCAAGATGGTGAAACCCCACCTCTACTAAAAATGCAAAAATTAGCTGGGCGTGGTGGCGTGTACCTGTAGTCCCAGCTACTTGGGAGGCTGAGACAGGAAAATGGCTTGAACCTGGGAGGCAGAGGTTGCAGTGAGCTGAGATTGCGCCACTGCACTCCAGCCTGGGCGACAGAGCGACACTCCATCTCAAAAAAAACAGGTCAACTTACATAGGCTACCTTAAATAGCTGAGGTAGGTCATAGAAACAAATCAACATTTGAAAAACCCCTAGAAAGGAGAGATAACTCTGGGAATCTCAACCTTGAAGTTTAAAACCTTCCTTCTTTCTAGGGCATTGTCACATTGTCGTTAAAGTGATTCCATTTAGGACCTGCAGTTTCTTGATTCAGAGTTTAAATTTAAAAAAGAGGATCTCATTGGTCTAGCTCTTATAAGGGGTATATTTACTTTACAGAGCGGTATGGAAGGATAGTTTGTTTGTGGATTAGGCCCATTCCTAGACAAAAGGAAACTATTTTTTTTGTGACTTAGGAAGCTACCTCAGCTGTTATCTACCTCAGTAAGATTTTGTAAGAGTTTTTTTTTTTTTTAGCGGGATACAAAATACTGTGTACAGTATGATTCAATTTTGTGGAACTATAGAGTGACCTTTGGAGTGGGGGTAGAAAATGAAGAGTTTTGTTTGGATGTGTTAATTTTGAGATTCCTATTAGACATTCAAGTAGAGAGCTGAAATTTTTTGTGCCCAAAGTGGCAAACAATTAACATCTGCCCTTATGTTTTTCTAGATCAAAATAAATCCTTCTCTTCCTGTGGCATAGAACTGAGGGGTCTCAACCAAGTTTTCTTTCAGACTTGAAAGAAATTTTCTTTCAGTTAAGAAAATCCTAAGCTTCTTTTCTTGAAAAATAATGAGTGTTCTCCAGGCACCTGCACAGCGCTCATTCCATTTGAGGCAGAATTTCCTGCTTGGCACAGATGCATGTTAGACTCAGTATTCTGTCCCCACCCACCTCCCCACATCTCTGTCAACTCTTTGTCTGGTGTGTTAAGGAGTCACACATCATTCTGGACTTCATTTTCCTCCTCCGTAAAATTATCCCTGGCTTCTTTTATTTTTGTTTTTGATTTTTATTTCTAATTGGTCTTAATCAAATTATAAATAAAAATCATCTGAACGTCCCCTTTACCTTTTTTTTTTTTTTTAAACAATTGAGGCAGTGATAGTTCAGCTCACAGTGGTAAACACTTTCAAGAGCCGGAAGCTAATAAATGCAAATGTTTGCTTTTTCAGATATCCACACAGAAGCAGTTCAGGCTGCACTGGCAAAGCATAAAGAACAGAAGATGGCTTTGCCCATGCCAACCAAAAGGCGATCCACATTTGTTCAGTCTCCTGCAGATGCCTGCACACCTCCTGGTAGGTTTATCAGAGCTTTTTCTCTCTGACAGTTAATACCTTGATGTTCCTGAAATAAGTTCTGCTTTTTCTTTTCTGAGGTAAGAACCAGAATCTTCTCCCCGCCATTAGAGGAATGTAAGAGAACACTCTGAGGTGGCAGATTTTGCTTGTCATCTCGTAAACAACACACAAAAAGATGTCTTAAGAGTAAAACTATTCAAAACTAAACAAAAAAACTTTCCTTCTGAATTTCCAGTCTTTTTTTTTTTTGGCTGTAATCCCCAGACTTATGTAGTCATAAATACAGGCCAAAGCTTAGGCCAAAATCCTGCTGTGTTAAATAGCCACTTTCATTGTCACCCAATATACTACTTGTAGTCATATATCTAATTCATTTGTACTCCTAAACCAAATGCTTCGTCTCTGCAGCAGGCATGAGAATTGTTGGACTTGGGACAAAAGTTTTTGTGTCATTAACAATTATGGAAGAGCAATCATGCAAAGTTGTGATGGACCTGCAAAACGTATATAAGTGTGTTTATGTGTGTGTGTGTTAATGTATTTTGTACACATTTATTTATTTTTTAAGAATCTACTTTTTATAACGGGGTCATGAGATCAGTGAGAACTAGGTATCTTCATCCCATCCCTGTTCACCAGACTTCAATCCTTATGCTCCCTAAGGTAAATTTAAAGAGTTATAACTTCATATTTGAGGAATAACTAGAAACAATCTAAGTTGTCTTGTCTGTTCAGAATCTCTCCCAAAGTTTTTTTAAAACCTTAAAAAAAATTTTTTTTGAACTTCTCTAGTGGAAGCTCGAAAAAAATTTTTTTTAGATCGAATCCCAGACAAGATCTTGATATAGGCCTTTGAGACTAAACATAGTAAATCTATTTCAGAGCCTCAATATAGTGTCTCTCTTTCTACTTTCATGTTACTGGTAATGAAATCTTTGAGAACAAATTTCCCCATACTTTTTTGGCCTAAACTACTTAATACGTCTTTGGGGAGATTCCTAGGTTGCCTTATGGTTGACTTTGATTCACAGCTGTCAAGTTGTTGAGCTGTTCATACTGATCCTATTCCCTGATCCAGATTAATATTAATAGTTTTCTTCTCGGTTTTGGCTAACTTCTCAGAGCATTTGGGTATGCTGTGGGCTCATTTACTGTGTGTGCTTTTTTTCTTCACATCTGTGGTGTCAACATGTTTGAAAGAGAAATAGCTCTGTGGCTTCAAGTGTTTCTCAAAATGTATCACAGGGTACCTCTAGCCGGCTATCACAGTAAGACAGTTTGTGTCTATAATGGTGCATACCTCAAACCTACTCATTGAAAATCTTGGATGGTTTCCCTTCCACATTAGTACAGCACAAGTTGGGTCCTCATGGACAAAGGGGGCTCTCAGTTTAGTAGCTATTCCTTTTTGGCAGATTACACTGCAGTGTGGCTGAGGGTTCAGTTGCAGTAAATGGCAAAGGGTAGGGAGCAGCATGACATGTAGTTCTTGGAAATAATCCCCTCCAAAGCTGTATCAAAGACATGCAGTTTCAGAGTAAATAGGCTGCCCTTATGGCTTTGGGTGAAATGTGAGAATGCAGCAAAGACCTTGAGAATGCTCAGAAGGAGTGGAAACCTTTTTTATCCGCTTTTACAAAAGTCACTGCCTGAGGGGAATTCACGAACTCTAGAAACAAATCGCAGCTGTTCATTGCTGAATGAGACTGTAGTCCTTTGAAATTAACTATAGGCCTCTGTATTTCTAGACACTAATGTTCTCCTCTGTCTGCAGCCTTGACGTTGTGGCCTAATGTTCTTGATCATATTATATGTTTTATACATAATAATTTCATGATTCCAAAGATACAATCCTTTCTCCTAAGACTTGTATTCAGCAGAACAGAGTAATAAAAAGGTTCTGTACCCATTTATCTCCTGTTCTGGGGATCTCTGGGTAGTATCTGAGAAGGCTTCATGTGCTGTGAGGGACATCTGTGTTGTCAAATAGAAGAGGAATTCTCTCACAACAAGGGGAAACATTGAGCGCACCCTGCATAGTGATTTCTCACACAGCCCCCACATGGGATATCTTGATGCTGTCATGCAACAATTACACACATGCCTAAGACAAATACTTTGCTCTAGTGAGGAAATTTGGGAAGAACTCTTATCATAAGGCTTCCATTAGCCCCTTTCATTTTAGGGAGTAGAATTTGCTGTTCCCACATTAGGAATCGATTCCATTCTCTCCAAGATCTTAAGAGCTACCAATTGGCTGTTTCCAATGCCTAGTTGTAGCTTAATCCTACATCAGTATCTCCCAGAACTTGTTACAGCCTAACCCAGCGATGTGGAATAGGTTTTATCTCGCATATGTACTCTGATAGCCATAGAAACACTGAAGCTTAGAAGATGCCGAGGCTGTGTTCAAGGGAAGGGAGGAGGAAGAAAACTTACATTAATCATTGCCATTAAAGTCTTTAAAAAAAAAATGAGCTTCTGGCCAGCTACCAAAGTGACCTAAAGCGGGGTACGGTGGCTCATGCCTGTAATCCCAGCACTTTAGGAGGCTGAGGCAGGCAGATCAGGAGGTCAGGAGTTCGAGATCAGCCTGACCAACAAGGTGAAACCCCGTCCCGGCTAAAAATACAAAAATTAGCCAGGTGTGGTGGTGCGTTCCTATAGTCCCAGCCACTCAGGAGGCTGAGGCAGGGGAATTACTTGAACCCGGGAGGCAGAGGTCGCAGTGAGCCGAGATCGCGCCATTCAGTCCAGCCTGGGTGACAGAGCGAGACTCCATCTCAAAAAACAAAACAAAAGTGACCTAAGAACAGTTGTGGTGCCGGGCGCAGTGGCTCACGCCTGTAATCCCAGCACTTTGGGAGGCTGAGGCGGGTGGATCACAAGGTCAGGAGATCGAGACCATCCTGGCTAACACAGTGAACCCCGTCTCTACTAAAAATACAAAAAATTAGCCGGGCGTGGTGGCAGCGCCTGAAGTCCCAACACTTTGGGAGGCCGAGGCGGGTGGATCACAAGGTCAGGAGATCGAGACCATCCTGGCTAACACAGTGAACCCCGTCTCTACTAAAAATACAAAAAATTAGCCGGGCGTGGTGGCAGCGCCTGTAGTCCCAGCTACTCGGGAGGCTGAGGCAGGAGAATGGCGTGAACCTGGAAGGCAGAGCTTGCAGTGAGCCGAGACCGCGCCACTGCATTCCAGCCTGGGCAACAGAGCCAGACTCCGTCTCAAATAAATAAATAAATAAATAAATAAAACAGTTGTGGCCAGGTGTGTTGGCTCATACCTGTAATCTTCACACTTTGGGAGGCTGAGGTGGGAGGATTGCTTGAGCCTAGGAGGGGACCAGCCTGTGCAATATAGCGAGACCCCATCTCTACAAAAAATTAAAAAGTTAGCTGACTGTGGTAGTGCATGTCTGTTGTTCCAGCTACTTGAGAGGCTGAGGTGGGAGGATCGCTTGATCCCCAGAGGTCAAGGCTGCAGTGAGCCGAGATCAATCAACCGTACTCCAACCTGGGAGACAGAGTGAGGCCCCATCTCTTTAAAAAAAAAAAAAAAAAAAAAAGCAAACAAAAAGTTGTACCACTCTTGCAGGGAAAAATTAGCCTAATAGCCTAATATTTTACAGGATTTAGTTGCATCTTTCTTTGTACACTGCCTGAGATGTTACAGCATACATCATAAAGCACATCTTGGGTCAAGGCTGTCACTCTGCACTTGCTGTCTTGTATGCACCTGGTTTCTGGGATAACTTCTAGAGTGCACCAGCCAGTCAGCTTCTTTGGGAGGCACTCAATACGTAACTGTTTGAATTACTGAACTGATGAAAATTTAGAGCTGCTCTTTTTGAGGGATTTAATAAAAAGGATTAAGGAGTAAAATATGTCAGATATTTTGGCTTTATTTATAGTATCATATAGTCTGGAAAATATGGTAAATAGTTGGCATGGGAAATAATTTGTCTTTTGTTCACAAATCACCTGATAAGATGTCAGTCACCCTAAAATTTGCTTATTGAATTATGTACACTAATTTCTATCTTGTGAATTAGAAAATTTAAATTCTCTAAATTGGTAGCAATCTATGGTTCTTTTAGTGCTTGTGGCCTTTTTCAGAGTCTTTTAGACTGCTTGAATTACTGCCATCCAGTTCCCTTTATGTGCTGAAATCATTTACTAATGTCATGAGGCAATTACCTCAGCTCTTTCTTTGTAGGGGTTCTTTGTGTAATGCTATTACTCATTCATACGGAAAAGCACAACGCAAAAACTACAGCATATATTTTTTCCCTCTAAGCTTTTTCCGCACCCTTGTGGACTTACCCTTTGCTGCGTTCTGAGAGTGCACAGATGACCAAATAGACCACATAATGACCCTAAAGCACAGTAAGCTATTTCAACTAGCTTAAATTTAGAAGTCTGTCTCACACAGGACTCTGCTTGAGAGTAGCTAGAGTAATTCATAGGGCCAGAAGACAAGGAGAATTTCCCTCCTTTTTTGGTTTTTGTTTTTTTTTTTTTTTTTTTTTTTTTTTTTTTTTTTTGACACAGTCTCTGTCACCCAGGCTGGAGTATAGTGGCTCAATCACAATTCACTGCAGTCTCAAACTCCCAGGGTCAAGCAGTCCTCCCACCTCAGCCTCTCTAGTAGCTGGAACTGCAGGTGCATGCTGCCACACCCGGCTAATATTTTTATTTTTTGTAGAGTTGGAGATGGGGTCTCACTGTGTTGCTCAAGCTGGCCTCAAACTCCTGGGCTCAAGAGATTCTCCAAAGTGTTGGGATTATAGGCATGAGCCACCACACCCTGCTCTATATTTCTATATATGAAAATGATACCCAGCAACAGATTGGGATATTATCCTTTTAACCTACTTTAATAATGCTTCATGGAATTATAGTACATTATGGTATGCAAAGAACTTTCACATACTAATGACCGCCCTGTGTCATTTGTTTCTCATAAATACTCTGTAAAGTAGGAAGGGCAGATTTAGAGATAAGGAAATAAGCAAGTTCATAGTCGCTAAGTAATTTGCCCCAGGTCAAATAGCAATTAAGTGTCAAACTCAAAATCTTGATTGTGTTCATTATTCCACTGAAGTGTCATGTTTATTTAGAAAATTCTATTTACTTTATAGCCGCGACTCATGCCTATAATCCCAGCACTTTGGGAGGCTGAGGCCCGAGGATCCTTTCAGCCCAGGAGTTTGAGACCAGCCTGGGCAACATAGCAAGAGTTATCATCTCTACAAATAATTTTTTTTAATTCCTTCATAGTGCTAAATAAAATAAAAATTTTAAAAATTAGCTGGGTATGGTAGTGTGTGCCTGTGGTTGTAGCCACTCAGGAGGCTGAGGTGGGAGAATCACTTCAGTCAAGGCTGCAGTGAACCATAATCACAGCACTGTACTCCAGCCTGGGTGACAGAGTGAAACCTCAACTGAAAAAAAAAAAAAAAAATTCCTCTTTCCCTAATAGATACTCACGTGTATGCATGGTACTGGAATGAGCATTTTTACAACCAAATTAAATAACTGTTGTCTTCTGAATGGTTATAGTCCTAAATATGTATCAGTCAGTTAATTTGAACTTAGAATACCTGCTGATTTACCAGGTTGGGGAGTCTTTCCTAAATATTCTAATTTTAACCTAAACCACAAAGTAAACAAAGTTGGCAAATCAGACCTCCATAATAAATGTGCTCTAATTAATAGAGTCAGATCATTTTAATAGTGTATTTTATGATTGGTGTGGGGTAGGACCAATGGTCCACAATTACTTGGGAGACTAGTGAATATCCAGTGTTCTTTAAGCCAAAGTACAATAAAAACCCACTGTATCCGGTTGAATTTGTTTCAATACCTGATTGTAAAATTTAAGGTTTGCTGATAAGAGTAATGTTATGGTTACCATTTATTGCATGCCCTCAGTGTACCAGTCAAAGGGCTAAGTGCTTAACATATATTTTTTTCATTTTTAGTTCACTCAACAGTTTTCTACCCCATTTTACAGAAGAGAAAACAGGTTTAGAGAGGCTCAATAACTTGCCCAGACTTCTGTTTTTAGACATATCAGTTAGATAACCTGAAAATTATCTCCTAGAAAGATAGGGGAAAGAAAATGTTCTTTTAGAAATACTGGGTAAAATGTAACCAGCTTTTTAAAAAATGTATACAGGAGCAAGGGAGAATGATGAACACTGAAAAATCAGAATGGTGAGGTGGTGCTTACTTCCGCTGGGCTGTAGGGAGGAGAATCAGCAAGCCAGGGACCTTAATGTTAACTATAATGATAAAACCTTGGGCCCATCTAAGGTTGCAAGCTGGAATTAAGATCCCTGGAGGGACTTGCATCTTTAGCAGTTGGGTGAATTAGAAAAAAGGAACCTGTCAAAAAAGCTTGCCTGAGGCCGGGCGTGGTGGCTCACGCCTGTAATCCCAGAACTTTGGGAGGCTGAGGTGGGTGGATCACGAGGTCAGGAGATCAAGACCATCCTGGCTAACACGCTGAAACCTTGTCTCTACTAAATAATACAAAAAATTAGCCGGGCATGGTGGCGGGCGCCTGTAGTCCCAGCTACTCGGGACGCTGAGGCAGGAGACCCTGTCTCAAAAAAAGAATAAAAGGAATTAGCAAATTCCTGGGCTCAGGCCATCCTCTCAAGTAGCTGAGACTATAGGCACACACCACCACACTTAGCTAAGTTTTGCATTTTTTGTAGAGACAGGTTTTTGTCATGTTGCCCAGGCTGGTCTCAAACTCCTGAGCTCAAGCAGTTCATCCGCCTCAACCTCCCAAAGTGCTTGGGATTACAGGCGTGAGACAATGCGCCCGGCCAACATGCTAATTGTTTATATGTTTACTAATTGGTTATAGATGGATTGTAGGCTTCTGGTGACCAGTATTCAATGGTGCCTTGTTAAAATCACAGCAGATTATAAACTGAAAGGCAAACTATGTTTTCAGAATTGTTTTCTGTTGCGTATTCGTTATATATAAGAGCTTAGGGAAGATGTTTTATTTATAAGTGATAACAGTCATGAGTTTATTTTTAATCAGAGCAGAATCAGTAGGGAAATGATAAATTTCTATTATTTAATTTTGCCCAAATTTCTACAAATTCATAACAATTTCCTGGGTGACAAATTGCTTTTAAAATAATATTTAAGGGACCTTGTTTTGATTTTTAAAAAGATACAATCCCAGAGCAGTGCTACATTTTATGTAGACTTCACTACATAATCGTCTTTTAACTTTACCCGGATAGTTTCTTATCTGTGACCATAGGTTGAGTTATTCATAGTAAGCACCTCATTTCTCAGGTGGCATCATTTGGCACAGTATTATTTTCTTCTACCAACTGTTAGTCAGTTTCTGCTATCTTTCCCTTCATGTTTATAGGAAGCAATTAGCCATTTAAATTACTCTTAGGAAAAATTTCAGGTTATTCCAAATCAAAAAGAAATACACATTCCTTTTAACCATTCTCCTGGGGATTAGAAGAGGAATTAATGTTGATTGGCCAGGTGCTATGGGCTGGCACCAGTATGGGTGCTTTCTGTACAGTGTCTTTGTTCATGGTCTCCCAGCTATGGTTAGGATAAAGGCAAGTTTCCTTAGCTTGTCTTACAAGGCCCTTGGTGGCCCAATGCTACCTACTTGTCCAGTCTCATCTCCATGACTATCAGTCTTGCATCTGTGCTCTGGCTAGTCTCTGTTTCTTTAATATCTTTAAAAAGTTTTCTGTCCCCTCCAAGCTTTCTCGCGTGCAGCCCCCTCTACCTGACGCTGCACTCTCCCTACCTCTGGGCCTTTCATAACTAATCCCTACTTAGCCATCAGGCCTTGGGTTAGGTCTTACTTCCTTGGGTGCCTGCCTTGAACTCCTCTAACTCATCTCAGTCCCATAAGAATAGGGACTATGTCTTCTTGCCCAACTTTTTATTCCTACCAACTACTGTAGTGCTTAGTGTGTTTGTCAAATGGACGAATAAGTAAACAGTCTTCTCAGATGGGTAATTTTATCCCCAAGTCACATAGCTAGTAAGAGGTGGATCCTAGAGTTTGAATGGAAGACTGACACCAAAGCCATGTTTTTTTCCACTACGCTAAGCTGCCCCATAGTTGTAAGTCATTAAACACTGAAGACTGGCAGACAAACAGGGTAACTGAATTGAAACAATACACCTAATTGCATAATTGATCCAATATAGAAACATAATGAAACCCATTTTCCATAAACCTAATCATGAAAATACTGGTTTTACTGTCTTTTTAAAATTGGGTTATTCTGATTTTAAACTTAAACAAATTAAAATACATATAAATGATACAATAAAATGATACAATAAAAGCAGCCCACAAATCCAATGGAGATTGTGGAATCTTGAGATAACTTACCTTGAAAATACTTTATTCTTAAGGTCAAATTCACCTATCCTAGGGGCCCTATCCCAACTTCCTCTCTGTTTTTTTTAACATGTTTGCTAAGACAGGAATATTTGTGTCCCGGGGTACAGTTGAAATGTTAGAATATTTTCTGAAAATTACACAAAATGCTTTCCTTAAAGGGGTACAGATGTGATTACTTCTTTTTTTCTTTAAATTTTCTTTTAATCACCCCCCTTTTGCATGATAGATCTCATTCTTCTTTATGGACCTCATCACTTTATCTCTTTGGGATCTGGTCACTATTTATCTCTCCACCCTCATTTTTTTCATTTTTTTGCCTTACTCTTCAAAGTCTTTGCTCTATGTACAAAGAAGTACTTGAAATCCCTGACTGTGGTTGGTTCCCATCCTGCGAAACCCTTTGATTACTCCCGTTTCTTAGCATCTGTTTTATTCTTTTGAAATTATCTGTGGGCTTCTGTGTCTCCTGTAAGCCTTTTTAGGGCACTTACTGTGTCATAAGCACTCATACACTTCACAACCCCTAGGACTTGACATAGTTCCTGGCACATGTTGTGATTAGTACTTTTTAAAAAGCAAAAACAGTCACAGGCTTCAGACCTTCCTCAATATGAAATAATAAGTTGGAGGTAGTACAGAACAAGAAGCAAGGGTATAGTCATTATATAACTTTCTGGGTTTTTTGTTTTTGTTTTTGAAATGGAGTCTCACTCTGCCTCCCAGGCTGGAGGGCAGTGATGCTATCTCTGCTCACTGCAACCTCCGCCTCCCGGTCTTAAGTGATTCTTGTCTGCCTCAGCTTCCCGAGTAGCTGGAATTACAGGTGTGCACCACCATGCCTGGCTAATTTTTGTATTTTTAGTAAAGACAGGGTTTCGCGATGTTGGCCAGGCTGGTCTTGAACTCCTGACGTCAAGTGATCCACCTACCTCGGCCTCCCAAAGTACTGGGATTACAGGCCTGAGCCACTGCATCCGGCCCATTATTTTAACTTTCTCTCTTGCTCTGGACCTGCAGAATTTGACTTCTAGATTAGATGAGTCTTTTGTGGTTCAGGTTCCCATTGTGAGGTGCCAGCAGTTTTCCAGCCCCATTGGTTATGTATTTGGCTCTTTGAACCAAAGCAGAACATGAACCTACAGTGTCACCTGAGTTAGACGGAAAGGGTTCTGCAGTACTAACCACAGAATGTTTAATTTTTAAAAACAATGAAATTCAATCCACAAGTTGTAAATCATAACACCCAGAAATCATTTAGAAAGGTTTATCTCACATTAGACCAAATGCCCTCTTTAACTGCGTGCTTCATAAGCTTAGAACCCTGAAATAAATTCCTGACTTCTGTTTTCCCCGGCTTTTGCTTCCCTATATTTGGTTGAGTTTTTTTACCCACCCCCCACCCAGCACGCTTTTCTAATTTAGGCCTATTTTCCTGAAGTCAGAGCCAAGCTGAATACAGACATAAGTGGATTTCTCACAATTCTTCTCCAGCTGAAAATTAAAGAAAGAAATACTGATGCTGTGCCTTCTCCTGTCATGCTTGGAAAGCTTACCTGTGCACCCTGACTGGCTGCCTTTCCTACTAAGGCCATGAATAAGTCCAGGCTAAGGATTGTTTACGCCACTTCATTCCCTAGCACCTAGCTCACTGTTTGGCACGTATGTTTTTTGTTTTTTGTTTTTGTTTTTGAGTTGGAGTCTCGCTCTGTTGCCCAGGCTAGAGTGCAGTGGTGCGATCGTGGCTCACCGAAACCTCTGCCTCCGAGGTTCAAACGATTCTCCTGCTTCAGCCTCCCAAGTAGCTGGGATTACAGGCATGCACCACCATGCCTGTCTAATTTTTTGTATTTTTAGTAGAGATGGGGTTTCACCGTGTTGGCCAGGCTGGTCTTGAACTCCTGACCTCAGGTGATCTGCCTGCCTCAGCCTCCCAAAGTGTTGGGATTACAGGTATGAGCCACCACGCCCGGCCTGGCACATACGTTTTTAGCAAGAATTAAGTTTTTATGTCTCCCTGTCAAGATCATTTCCTTAGAGACTAATAAGTACTTTGTCAAAATCAATGTAGCAACATACCACAAGAAGAGATTCAGGAAGACATATAAGTACTTCAGTATTATTTGAACATAAGTAGATGGACTAGAAAAATTTAGATACTGATTAAGCTTACAACAGAAAAGCAGGGAATAAAGTTTAAATGTTTTGAAAGAGTTTAAAAGAAAACAATTAAAAATTACCTATGGAGTTAGGCTATTTTATTTTTGTAGGCTTTGGTCCATAGACTTTTCCTTGAGATTCTTGAGAAACTTTACATATTAATCTACCTTAAGAATGCGAATGTTTTGCTGGTGTCGAAACTGAATGTGTGATCAATGAGCAAGAACTGAAAAGTCTCTGTTCTAGGTAGGATCGAGAACTTCTTTTTTTCTAATTCCACACAGACACATCTTCGGCCTCTGAGGATGAGGGCTCTCTGAGACGCCAAGCTGCGCTCTCTGCTGCCTTGCAACAGAGCTTACAGAATGCTGAGTCCTGGATCAACCGTTCAATTCAGGGATCGTCCACTTCTTCATCCGCATCTTCTACGCTGTCCCACGGAGAGGTCAAAGGAACCAGTGGGTCTCTAGCTGATGTATTTGCCAATACTCGAATAGGTAGGAGCTGGATCTACCCAAGAAGCCCAAATTACATTCCATTTGGCTCCCAGTATCCAGGAAATAGTTTATGGTTTGTGTTAGGTTTTTCAGTATGGCCTAAAAAAAAGAATTAGAGAAAACATGACAGTTAATGAGGAAAAGATGGAAACACCAGCAATACATTTGTCACAGGAATAATAGATAACACCTGCATTATTGGTGCGTAGTTTTGCCCACCTGAAGCCATAGCTATTTCCATAAGCAATGCTCAAGCTGCAAGATATAACACCAGTCTCAGTGTGGAGTTATCCCAGCTGAAGAATATTCGATCTATTAAAAGGTTAAAATATGTAACATCTTAGATTTTTCCCAGGATTGTTACCTATATTCTGTTAAACCAAAAACACTAAACCTGAGCAAAATCTATACTGAGCCAATATCAGTGAGGACTTTTGTCTTGACTGGATTTGTTGTCCTTGCTGCTGTGATATTGCTACACTGGAGTGTGCAGGCCGAGGATATTGGTACTCTGAGCTGCTATCGATACACTGCAGATGCTACTATACAGAGTGTAGCTTTTGCTTGCCCCTGCTTTATGTTTTGTGTGTGTGTTTTTTTAAAGAGTTGTGACATCTGCAGATAAAGATACAGCTCAGATCTCTGCTTTTGCTTAATTGGTTGTTACAAATTACACCAAGTAATGTGTGTTAACATTATGTGTCTGTGATATCTTTCCCTTTTTTTTCTTGACAATCAGTGCATTTTGGTGTCTTAATTTTCATCTCAGTGACCTGTCTATATCACCTAATATATCTTTATTCTGTTAACTGATTTCTAAAAAAAGAAAAACTTGGAAAAATTTCAATTCAAGACTATAATTTTTAAAGAAATAGCTACCTTGAGGGTATGATTGCCCTCCTTAGAGACCCATGTGCCAACAGCTGATGACTTGTCTTGCACGCTTAGCTCTGCCCTGCCCTGCCATTTCCTGAGCCTCCTGAAGCAGCTACAAAGATTTGCGTATTCACCACCTCTCCAGTCGTGGAGCAACAGAGCCATGGTTGCTGAGGTTTTATTTCCACATCTGTCTAAAAGAGACCAGTATTACTTGTTAAATATATTATCCTAATACCCAGTTAACTTTTACCTGGATTTTTGTTAACAAGATGTCTCATCCAACCGTATATTTTTCATTGCTTCTACTACTCTGTGAAAAGTTACTGGTTCAGTTACTCACAGAAACCATTTTATCCACATTATTGCTTTTTGGATGTTTGTTGTAACAGGAGTAATTCATGATCCTAATAGAAAAATTCAAAAATATAGGTAAAAGAAAAGTAAAATAACCTATAATCCTACCTCCCATGGGTAATACTTTAGTATTATTACTGTAGTGTATATTCTTCTAGATTTTACTTACATATGTAAGGTTTTGGTTTTGATTTTACAAAAATGAACTGTCCTAAACATAATGTTAATAACCTGCTTTTCTTAGCAGTATGTGATGAACATCTTTTACATCATTATGTTACACTATTATTTTTATGGTTTCAATATACACTATTGTGTGACTCTCTGCCCTGGTTTATTTGGCCATTCCCCTATTAAATAGTGTCCAATTTTTTGCTATTATAAAAACTATTGGATTGAACATGCTTGAACACACAACTTTGTACATTTGTCTGATTATTTCCTTAGCGTATATTCCTATAAGTTTGAATTGCTGGACCAAATAAAAATGTCTGTTTTAATGCTTTTTGTTACCACATTATCCTACAGAAAGGTATACCGGAATATACTCATGTTAGTATATTTAAAATTTTAAAAACTATTCAACTAATAATTACAGACTTAAGGGGCATAGAGACCTTACCCCCAAATCTATTTTAGAAATTGTTTGTATTATGCTTTTTTCCTTTTTTAAGTTTTACAAAAAACTTAGAAGAAAACATCTGGAGAAGTAAGAAGAAGGAAATTAGAGGGAGGAAAATGTATGATTTACAAGAATCACAGAAAGCCACTAAAAAACTATGTGGTGTTTTTTGTTGTTGTCGTTACGTGTCCCTGTTGAACAGGGATCTTTTCCAGTTTACTCATTCAGTTTCTCCATGTTAAGAATCTTGAGACCTGGTGTGGTGGCACACGCCTGTAATCCCAGCACTTTGGGAGGCATTGGTGGGAGGATTGCTTGAGCCCAGGAGTTCGAGACCAGCCTGGGCAGCATGGCAAGACTCCATCTCTACTAAAAATACAAATATTAGCCTGATGTAGTGGTGTGCACCTGTGGTCCCCATACTTGGGAGGCTGAGGTGGGAGGCTTACTTGAGCCCAGGAGGTTGAGGCTGTAGTGAGCTGTGATTGCACCACTGCATTCCTGGCTGGGCAACAGCACAAGACCCTGTCTGAAAAATAAAAAGAATCCCTATGTGCGGTAGAGTAGAATAACACTATTTAGTCTCTACCTGGAGCAAAGGAAGAACCTTGTCTGTCAAGGAGATCCAAATTACCTATGGATTATTGTATGATCCAAATTACCTATGGATTATTGTATAATCCGTAGGTAAAAGTTAAAAGTGGACTTTATCTAGTGTTTTTTCATCTGGAAACTTGTGCAGCCTGACCCACTTTCAAGATACGAGTTTGGTCTTTGGTAGAAGGGGAAACATTCTAGATAAACTATAACAATCAAGAAATGTTCGAGAGACTGCAATATTAGTAGCCAGTTATGATCTTATTTGGTTCCATTTTGAGGTCACTGCAAGTTTTATTATGATTATTTTATAACACTGGATTTCTACCAGCCTTTCTGTGTAGAAAATGATGTTTTGAGAAACATTGAATGTGAGATTTGATCTTACTAAGGCTACTCAAGTCTTACAAAATAATAATTTTGGAAAGCTGATATACCCTGGCTTAACTTACTGTTCTCCCATTGTGTCTTGCTAATAGATTCTGATTTTTAAATGTTGTTTTACAAGAGCCAGTGCCCCCATTTATGTACTTTTCTTCCTTGTTAAAAAACAAAACCCCAAAGATTTGAAGGTTCTTAGTTTTGCTGCTAATATAATTCTAAACTTTGTTTTCTCCTCTCAGAGAATTTCTCTGCTCCTCCTGATGTCACTACAACTACCTCTTCCTCCTCATCATCTTCCTCAATTCGCCCAGCAAACATTGACCTGCCCCCCTCGGGGATAGTTAAAGGCATGCACAAAGGATCCAACAGGTCCAGCCTTATGGATACAGCTGATGGTAAGGAGTTGTTTTTGGTAGCTCAATTGTAGTGTAAACTAAACTAGAAAAATTCAAATTATGAATGATAGCTCCTAACTAGCCCAGCAGCTGCAGAACTGCATTGTAGTTGGCCCACTAATAACTAATCCTGGGTACCTTTTTTCCATCATCTGCACAGTGACAGTATTGCCACTTAATTGAACTTAGTGGATACTTCCAGATGATACTTTGAACAAAAACCTAAATGTGGAAAAAGAAAAGAATAACAGAGGGCCGGGCACGGTGGCTCACGCCTGTAATCCCAGCACTTTGGGAGGCCGCGGTGGGCAGATCATGAGGTCAGGAGATCGAGACCATCCTGGCTAACACAGTGAAACCCCATCTCTACTAAAAATACAAAAAATTAGGCGGAGCTTGCAGTGAGCCAAGATGGCGCCACTGCACTCCAGCCTGGGGTGACAGAGCGAGACTCCATCTCAAAAAAAGAATAACTGAAAAGGAAGATTAGGTGAAATCCTTAAGCTATGTATTAATAATAGCACCATATTTGTTCTCTATTGTCATAAAACTTGTTGTGTACATATTTGGTCCACTTGAAAGAGAAGGAAACTGGACAAACGCCAAACATCCTTAGAAATAAAAGCTCCTGAGGGAACTGAGGAACTAAAATATCCTTACAGTCAATGAATTTTAACTTAACCATTTTTTCCCTTATAGGTGTTCCTGTCAGTAGCAGAGTATCTACAAAAATCCAGCAGCTTCTGAACACTCTGAAACGACCCAAAAGGCCTCCCTTAAAGGAATTTTTTGTGGATGACTCTGAAGAAATTGTGGAAGGTAGTAGTAAAAATACCAAAAACATATATTCATTAAATAAATATATCTTAAGCAGTTACTATGTGTTAGGTACTGTAGGGTTAAAGAATGAACAAGACACAGTTCTTGGTTCAAAGAGTTCATCATTTTCTGCTCTTTTTTCCCTAATGATTATCTGTATTTTAGATCTTAGATGAAAATTAAGGAGGGAAGGAAGAAGAGGGAAGAAAGGCAAAGAGATCACCATGGAGCATAGAACTGTCTTTGGAAATAAACTCTTTGAAATTAGGAACTATCCCAAATACATGATTTTACGAGTTATTTATATTTGGCATTTTCTCGGATGTGGATATCAAATTCAGCCTCAAAAGTTTGCCTACTCTGTTTTCATATAATGTAATCCTTTTATGAATCAACCAATCAATACATATTTCTGCTTTCTACAAGGCAGCGTGTTAGATGGTGAAAAGGTTCAAAGATTTATAAAAATACAGTTATTTCCTTCATGTTGTTTACAATTTAGACGGGTGCTAAAATATATCCATGTGAATACTTAGTTTAAGTATTAAGTATCTATCAGCCAATATAGGCACTTCTGAGAAGGGAAGAAATCAGTTCCTTCTGGGTTAGGAAAGGCTTCACAGAGGAAGTGTAACAGTGATTTATTCATTCAATAATTTTTAAATTATGGATAAAACCATATATCTAGGATTTAATAGGGAAGGGGAATGAGTGTGAGTATGGATAAAATGAGAATGGCCATTTGATAATTATAGAGTGATGACGATAGATCTAGACAAATAGATCTACCTAAGAAAAGCTTTTGTTGAAAGAGCTAAGCGTTGGTAGCTTTGTAGTCTGTTTTTATGTCCTGAGACTAATAGTAATAGGTTTTGATCACATCAGCTTGTTAATAGAATTAGGTACATTGGTAGACTAGATCTGGTCTTAGCCCAATTTATACCGCAGAAAGCAACCTGACATATGAGGTTAAGATGAGTATCTGTTTTTTTAGGAATCACTAAACTCATTGAATGGTGGACGTCTTTCATGATGTACTGATGTTCAAGATGTCCACGCCAGCAATAGCCTTTCCAGTGTTTTTAGCATTGGGTATTGACCAGGCACATGAAGGTCACGGTTTTTAACAGGAATCTTACCTGAAAAAATTGCATTGGCAGAATAGAACTAACAACTTTCCATTAATTACTAATATAAATAGGCAATAGTTGCTTGTTTGAGTAATTGTCACCTTTGGAAAAGAAAAATACCAGTAGGTCTTTGGAAATCTGAAAGAGCATGCCCCAGAATCTGCATTGAAGCCTAATGGATAATGGCGATAATGTCAGCTTTCATGGCAGGAAACAATGCCTACTATATACATAGTCTGTCCAAACAAATACAATACTTATTTAGAAACACCCATGTTTATTTTTTTTAGTTAATCTGGTGGTTTAGCGTCTGGGAATGTACAAAGCAGAAGGGCAGTTGAAACATTTATTATTTACCCTAAGGCAGCAAATTGGGGAGTGAAACTATTTCATGAATGTTACGTTAGTAGAAAAATGAATCAAGGCATTTTAAGTACAATCCCCAGATTTGTCATTGAGCTATAAAACATTTATTTCATATTTCATTTGCCCATCTAAGATTTGTTGCTCATTCTGTCCCTTCTCCCTTCCGTGCCTCTTTTCTCATCTCTTGTTCACCTGGCTAATTCCTGATCATCCTTTAAGACTCAGCTCAGACATTTCCTCCTCCAGGTGGAGACGTGCCCCACTTCTCACGCACTGCTCATGTTGTCCTAGCCTTAGCGCTGAGTCTGTGTGTGTTTATGTCCCCTGGTGCACTCTATCTAGAGTGATTTGTTCCACGTGTAAATTATCTTTCCTGCTATGAAAATGTAGCATTTGGCCGGGCGCGGTGGCTCACACCTGTAATCCCAGCACTCTGGGAGGCTGAGGCGAGTGGGAATTCAGGAGTTCAAGACCAGCCTGGCCAATATAGTGAAACCCCGTCTCTACTAAAAATACAAAAATTAGCCAGGCGTGGTGGCGGGCGCCTATAATCCCAGCTACTCAGGAGGCTGAGGCAGGAGAATCTTTTGAACCTGGGAGGCGGAGGTTGCAGTGAGCCGAGATCGCTCCACTGCACTCCAGCCTGGGCAACAGAGCAAGACTCTGTCGTGGGGGTAGGGAAGGAAATGTAGGATTCTTTTTTTGATTTTTATTATTTGAATAATACTTGTTCATTTTAGAAATTAAGAGGACTTTTGTTTTATCTGTGAAAGGGTATGAAATATTCACCCCCAATCTCTGGAATAAGCATGTTAATAATTAGTTCCCCACTAAACACACAACCAAATTCAGTCCAGTTCAGCTGACATTGTTGAACAACCGTGAAGTATTAGGCACTACAGCCAGTAAGGGGAGTAAGAGCCACCCCTTTCCTCAAGAAGCCATCAGCCTTTGTGGGGGAAAACTTGTACAGTAAAAGAAGTCCTTAGGATGCTCAGTGCTTTCCTAAGGGCAACGTGGGAGCACTAAGGAAGCAGTAGTCTCCTCAGGGAGTGGTTGGGAATGGTTCCCAGAGAATGTGCTGTTTCAGCCAAGTCCTGAAAAGGATGAGGAAGAGTTCACCAGGAGGCAAAGGGATTGGCCATACGAGATGAGTGCAGAGGTCTGGAGACATGGGATATTGTGGTTTATGCCCATTGTCTGTTTGAGTGAAGTAATGACCCTGAGGTATAACTGTTACTATCCCCGTTTTACAGATGAGGAAAGCCAAGCTCAGGTAAATCAATTGGCCTAAGGTAATACTAGTAAAAAGTCAATGTAAACTTGGGCTTTCTGACTCACAGTATAATGCTTTCTCATTAAACATAATCTGCTGTAGTAGAACCTGGCTGTCTCACACTGGACACAGACTGTACAGATTTAAAAACAAATTTGCTAAAAATTGTGAAATTGCTACAAAAAATGTATATTTTGTGCTATTCTATATATGCAGTGATTTGCTTTGTCAGGGTCAGGATTTGTTCATTGCATAAAACGAATATGATTTCACATTTAAGTGGAAAATTGAATTAAGGCCCAGTTTGTGGACCACCATTTCTAACCATGTCCTTTCTCAAAGTGAGTTTAAACCAGGTAAATATGAAGTGAAAAGGAAGATGCAGTTGAGATTAGAGACCTAAGTTGTGTTCATTGGTATTTGTACTCATTTCACTCATTGGGATTTTCCTGGTACAGTACCTCAGCCAGACCCCAACCAGCCCAAGCCGGAGGGACGGCAGATGACCCCTGTGAAAGGAGAGCCTTTAGGAGTCATCTGTAACTGGCCTCCTGCTCTTGAATCTGCCCTGCAGCGCTGGGGTACCACTCAAGCAAAATGCTCCTGTCTGACTGCACTGGACATGACAGGGAAACCAGTTTACACTCTTACATATGGTGAGTCTGCAAGATTCCAGATCCTTCTCTCCTGAGAGTTCTTCAGAATATCATGGGTAGTGTTTTTATCTAGATACTTAGCAGTTGCTGGCCATTATGTTTCAGTAGATTTTTTCAATAATTTAAAAGGATCCTAAGCTCTAAGTAAAGCTATTGCCAAATATTTTCATTTGCTAAAGCAACATTTGCAAGCCAGCTAATATTTAAAAGACAGCAAAAAGAAGAGAGACTTTGTACATCCATAGATGTTTTAACATTACAAGAGGATTTTAGAAAAACATTTGGTATTGATGTATGGTGAAAATCAGATGGTTTTATCTAACAGTTGAAACTGATTACTTGTTAAATCTTTATTCCATCCTGCTTCTTGATTATAATAGGCACAAAATTCTGTAATGAACAAAGAATGAGTACTTTTCCGTTTAATTTTGCATACTAGCTAAAATTTTTCTTTTTAAAATAACTTCAAGGAAAAATGGGGTCAACCCTGGGCTATGAGATTTTGTACTAGTTTATTCAAACAGATTCCTTTTCTCCTTTGCAAGTGGAGCACAGTGTCCATAGACCTAGATGGAAAATAATCTTTGAGGAAAAACAAGGTTTTATTTAAAGAATTACGCAGGTTGACATAGTTTAAACTTTGGATGCCCCTCTGAATAAATTGTATGTAAAATAACGTAGCTATTTAAAATAACATGATTTCCCTTATCTCATAATCTAAAATAAGAATTTCTAAGAGTGGTTGAGGGAAGGGAGTAGGAAAAGAAAAGCATTTTTTGTTTGTTTTTGTCAAAATTGTTTTAACATTCACCTCAGAAGCTGTATATACATTTCATTCATATAACCCTTAAAGAAAGCATTTAGCTGGCCAAATCTTTGCATGTTTATTTAACATCTATGAATACATCCATATGTTCATACAGATAATTTCCATTTTAATGTTTGTTTTTACTAAATTACAGCAGTATGGAATGTTTAATCATTTGAGTCATGTTTTTGCTTTGCAGTTTCCTCAAGTGTCTGATACCACCTATGTAAGTGGTTTTTCAGAAAAAGCTTACAACATTTCTGAAGATATTTGTAAATTTTTTAAAAAACTGGCCGGGCACAGTTGGCTCATGCCTGTAATCCCAACACTTTGGGAGGCTGAGACAGGTGGATCACCTGAGGCCAGGAATTTGAGACCAGCCCAGACAACATGGCGAAACCTCATCTCTATTAAAAATACAAAAATTAGCCGGATGTGGTGACACACACCTGTAGTCCCAGCTACTTGAGAGGCTGAGGCAAGAATTACTCAAACAGGGAGACAGACAGAGGTTGCAGTGAGCCGAGATTGCACCACTGCACTCCAGCCTGGGCGACAGAGTGAGACTCTGTCTTAAAAAAAAAAAAAAAAAAAAAAACTTAGAACAGAAGTATTCTTCTGATTTTCAGTCTTGTAATTAAAAATATTGTTTTCCTCCCTTTCAGTATGATCAGTTTGCATCAAATTATTTCTAAGGATATGCAGATTCTTTCAGAAAAGAATTTGAAATATTATGTAAACCAGGATGAGCATCTGGTGATGTTTTATTTCTGTTTCAAGGCATGACTGGCTTTTGTAAACTAGAATGAATAGAAAGCTTTTGTGGGGAGGCCTACTGTGTGTTGGGGGTGAATGACACTCATCTAACCCATCATTTGGAAGTGGCCATTGTCTCATTAACTACACTGATGATCTGAATGTTCTTTCATTGAGGTAGACCTGTTTTTTTTTCTATATGACTGTTGTTTTTTTTTCCTTTTTTTCCAGGAAAGTTGTGGAGCAGAAGTTTAAAGTTGGCCTACACACTTCTTAATAAACTGGGGACCAAAAATGAACCTGTGTTAAAACCTGGAGACAGGGTAATTGGTGTGATTTTGGTTTTAGGGAGGTGGTGTTTATTGTTTTCTAATATGCTAATATTCTAATATTCTGGAGTTTTCATATACAACAGGAAAATTTATGTAACTCTTATTTTTGGAAAAATAAAAATGGTTTGGTTCCAACGCAGGTTAGCCCAATGCCAGATGACAATTCTCACATTCCTGGGTTGAAGGAAATTCGCATGTCCTTTCCTGTAGCTGCCAATCAGTAATCTCTTTAGGTGCTAATAAAAAGAAAGAGAAACCTTAGTCTTTCCAGAAATAAATATTTGAATCTTTAGACAATAAGAAAACAGCAACAAAACTTACTCTCTGATTTTTTTATTTTATTTTTTCCTCCTCTTCACAAAATGCCTCAAACATGGGCTGGGTGCAGTGGTTCACACCTGTAATCCCAGCACTTTGGGACACTGAGGCGGGAGGATCACTTGAAGCCAGGAGTTTTAGACCAGCCTGGGCAACATAGTGAGACCCCATCTCTACAAACAATTTTTTTTTTTAATTAGCTGGGTGTGGTGGCATGCACCTGTAGTCCCAGCTACTCGGGAGGTTAAGGCGGGAGGATTGCTTGAGCCCAGGAGTTCAAGGCAGCAGTGAGCCATGATCTTGCCACTGCATTTGTGTGGGCAACAGAGTGAGACCCTAACAACAACAACAACAAAAAAAAAGCCTCATACATCTTTTAAAACATTTTTCTGTGGTCTTATGTAAAAAGAGAGGAAGATTCATGTTACTTTTAAGAAAAAACCGATTGACAGAGTTTTATTTCTCCTTTAATTTGAGGGGACATTATACTATTTTTTTAATTTTTGAAGATATTTTTCCTATTAATGACTTTCTAAATATGATTACTTTTTACCATTACTTTTCATTTGGAATTCATAGAATGAAACACCAACTACACAATAGACTTATTTTGATTGGGCTTATGATTATGGAATCTCTTAAACTAGACCTGTTAAAAATACTTTTGCATTGTGACAAAGGGCACATAAAGGATGGCTTTTACTTATAAATGTGACACATGAGTGTTTCCTAGTCCTCCTGAACCCTAAGCAGGTGATTTTGTGTCTCCCTAGCAAGATGGACACTGTGCAGGAAGGAAATGGGTTGTTTAAATGTCTTGTGGAATTAATTTTCCAGAACCCTAGGAAAATTCAGAAGTTCAAAAGTGAACTTCTCTTGGGAGTGAGTTAACAGAATTTGAAAGCAAAAGAAGGGGAAACAAGTCTCATGACGTAATTAAGTTTCAAATATTAATCTGTGAGTATCCAAACCAAGTAAGAAACTCCGCAGTGGTAGTGACTTTTACGTTTTTGCATTCCTTGAGTGAATTAGGAAAAGTCACTTATCTCTGTGATGTGTTACAGGTGAGATCACAGGTTTGAACTTACTATAGAGGTTTCACGGTTTATGTTCTATTAATGAATTAACTGTATATCCATACGGTTTCCACCAGTATTGTTTACACCTATTACCAGATGCCCTCCTGCTAGAACATTTGCATTGTTGGGTAAGGGAACAAGGATTAAAACAATGAATTAAAGAGTAAGAAAACTGGCCGGGTGGGGTGGCTCACGCCTGCAATCCCAGCACTTTGGGAGGCCAAGGCAGGCAGATCACGAGGTCAGGAGATCGATCGAGACCATCCTGGCTAACACGGTGAAACCCCATCTCTACTAAAAATATTAAAAATTAGCCAGGCGTGGTGGCAGGCACCTGTAGTCCCAGCTACTCGGGAGGCTGAGGCAGGAGAATGGCGTGAACCCAGGAGGCGGAGCTTGCAGTGAGCTGAGATCGCACCACTGCATTCCAGCCTGGGCGACAGAGCGAGACTCTGTCTCAAAAAAAAAAAAAAAAAAAAAAAAAGAGTAGGAAAACTTATATTGGCCCTAACATGGTGATCAAGTCAGTCTACAGTTGTAGGCTCTCTCTGAGAGATGTAAGGCTTATTCTTTAATATGCTGTTCTATCTGGAGAGATCCATTACATTTATTTTATTGCCTTAGCCCTACACTAAAGTAAATTGCCTTGGGTTTCCTAAGTAATTAACTTAATGCTTAAGATGGTTTGTTTGTTGCTAAATCACCAAAAGGATTAAGTGAAAAATTGTGATGAGGACGAGGATGAATGCGTTATAGTTCCCAAAATGTGTAGTATAATCGTGGGCATGTCGGAGATCTTTTTAGATGTGTGTCTCTATCTCAGTAACTTAATTTCCTTTAGAGCAGATGGCTGTTAAATAGTTTGATTTATTGTGTTCATGATAAATATTACATACTTAGACAGTGACATTGAAAGCATTAGTATGTTTTTATTCCTCTGTTAAACTGAATATCATTATGAATTTTAGGTAGCCCTGGTTTACCCCAACAATGATCCAGTCATGTTTATGGTGGCTTTCTATGGATGCCTCCTGGCAGAAGTGATTCCAGTGCCTATAGAGGTACCTCTTACCAGAAAGGTAACATTGCTAAATTTAAGAGGAATGTAGCCTGATGTGACATGGCAGGCATTGGGTTCTTGGATAGATGTAGTCACAACAGTAAAAACTGTTCGACCATTTTTGGAAGTACTCAGCTTCACTTTCTAAAAACAGGAAATTTGTAGAAAAATTATTTATTAAATATTCACAAGTTTTATGCAAATAACATATTTTGTATTAAGATAGAGTTTGTATAGTATTGCATATCATTTAAAATATCACTGGGGCGAGGCCGGGCGCAGTGGCTCACGCCTGTAATCACAGCACTTTGGGAAGCTGAGGCGGGGGGATCACAAGGTCAGGAGATCGAGACCATCCTGGCTAACATGGTGAAACCCCGTCTCTACTAAAAAATACAAAAAAATTAGTTGGGCGTGGTGGCGGGCGCCTGTGGTCCCAGCTACTCGGGAGGCTGAGGCAGGAGAATGGCGTGAACCCTAGAGGTGGAGCTTGCAGTTAGTTGAGATCGCGCTATTGCACTCCAGCTTGGGCGACAGAGCAAGACTCCGTCTAAAAATAAATAGATAAATAAATAAAAAATAAATAAATATCACTGGGGCAACTGGACATGGTGGCTCACGCCTGTAATCCTAGCACTTTGGGAGATTGAGGTGGGCGGGTTGCGTGAGCCCAGAAGGTTGAGAGCAGCCTAGGCAACATAGGGAGACCCCATCTCTATAAATAGTAAAAAAAACTAGCCATGCGTGGTGGTGTGCACCTGTAGTCCCAGCTATTTGAGAAGCTGAGGTGGAAGGATTGATTGAACCCAGGAGATTGAGGCTGCAGTGACCTGTGATTGCGCCACTGCACTCCAGCCTGGGCAATAGGGCAAGCAAGACTCTGTTTCAGAATATAAAATAAAATATCATGGGGGCATACTTGACTTTCAACACTGATCATTTATAAAGAATCCCACTCTTGCTTCAGAGACTATAGATAATCCACATTTATAGTAGTTGAGACCTTTTTTAAAGGGATTTCCTCTAACTGTATCATATGACCTAGGATTTCCATTAGGTGGAAAGTGATGGTGTGATGACATGTTACTTCTCTGGATTATAAGATTTTACTTTGACAATACATCAGCCCAACTAAAATGAAGCATATGTAACAGATTTCCATGTTTGACTGAGTGATTTCTCCATGAGCCACTTGATGCTAATTTTGTCATGCAGTTTATTTCTGAGGGCTGATGTCAAAGATGAATATGTTGGAGGATGTGGATTTATAAGAAGAAATTGGCCAGGCACAATGGCTCACACCTGTAATCCCAGCACTTTGGGAGGCCGAGGTGGGTGGATCACCTGAGGTCAGGAGTTTGAGACCAGCCTGGCCAACATGGTGGAACCCCATCTCTACTAAAAATACAGAAATTAGCCAGGTGTGATGGCACAAGCCTGTGATCCCAGCTACTCAGGAGGCTGAGGCAGGAGAATCGCTTGAACCCGGGAGGTGGAGTTTGCAGTGAGTCAAGATTGCGCCACTGTATACCAGCCTGACAAAGTGAGATCTTGTCTCAAAAAAATAAAAGAAGAAATCAGCCGGGCCGCAGTGGCTTATGCCTGTAATCCTAGCACTTTGGGAGGCTGAGGCGGGTGGATCACTTGAGGTCAGGAGTTCAAAACCAGCCTGGCCAACATGACGAAACCCTGTCTCTACTAAAAATACAAAAATTAGCCAGGCATGGTGGTGCGCTCCTGTAGTCCCAGCTACTTGGGAGATTGAAACAGAAGAATAGCCTGAACCCAGGAGGTGGAAGTTGTAGTGAGCCGAGATCATGCCACTGCACTCCAGGTTGGGTGACAGAGAGAGGCTCCATCTCATAAAAAAAGAAAAGAAAAAGCATTTCTGAAAGGAATAAAAAACAAATTGATAACATCCCCTAATCTCTAGTTGTTGGGATGTAGTATCCTTCATTTGATCAGGAAATCATATGATTGTTCTTAAATTATTAAGTTGGCAGAATTTGTGTGGTTTCATAATGATGCTTGTAAGATGATATTTTAATGGAAATGTTTTAGACTATATCTTTTGTTGTTTTTGCTGCTGTTTTTGTGTAAGGCTTAAATCTACCCCCTTTAAAAACAGAAAAATAAAAGGATTATACAGATTTGGTATATCCATCCATTGACTTTCATTGTCAGCTTGGACATTTAGTATCCATTTACATTATTTATTTTGTTCATACCTGACTTGCTTTTCTCTCGAATTTTGGAGTGAGGCTAGGGGAAGATAACCATGTTAGCATTTATTTAATTTGCTGGAAACTAATCTAAAATAGGATCATTGCTGACTCTTGAATAAAATGGTTACATTTGTCTGGTAGGATTTATCATTTGTAATGTCTGGTTAATAAAATACTTGATTTGTGCTCAGGAAATGTTTGTATTGTGGAAATTATTTGGAAGAACACATTGTGATTGGATTTTGACAATTGCCAGATATTGGTGGGGCTCCATGAATGTTATCAAACAAAATGCCAGAGCATTACTAAGTGTCAGATATGGGCATGAGTGTGCTCACATTCGCTCCCCTACCTATGTTCATTATCATTTCTCCACAGGATGCTGGAGGTCAGCAGATTGGCTTCTTGCTAGGAAGCTGTGGTATTGCCTTAGCTCTTACCAGTGAAGTTTGTCTAAAAGGACTGCCAAAAACCCAGAATGGAGAAATTGTACAGTTTAAAGGTTAGTAACATTGTACCTGAATTATCAGTTAAAAGTTAAAACTGAGTGCTTTAATTAGCTTTTTAATTTAGTAATAGCTAGGTACTTTACATATATGTTCTATTTAATTCTCATAGTCTTATGAAGTAGGTACCATTATTATCCCCATTTTACAAGTGAGGAAACTGAGAAACAGAGAGGTTAAGTAACTTGCCCAAAGTCACAGCTAATAAATGGCAGAGCAGCAATTTGAACCCAAATCTGTCTGATTCCACAGCCCACACCCTTAACCTTTATGCCGATGGTTGGAAAAAGCTACCACTCTGTACATTAAAGCTAAATGCTACATGTAGAGACAGAGGATAGACCACTAACCTCAGTGGACTTCCACTGCCAAACGGACCTCCCAGTTGTTGAGGTAATGTCAAGGCCTGGAATTAGCATGTGGAACGATTGTACTTTTGAAAGAAGGTATAATTGTCTGGTGATTTGCCACTAAAAACTAATAAAAACTAAGTATTTTATTGATTATAAAATGATCTTAATTTGGTCTCTTGATATTTAAAATGACCAGTTCAGTGTGAATTCATTCCCTGATGGCTTAGGCAATTCAATTTTCACTTTGGGTTTGATTTAGGTTGGCCCCGGCTCAAATGGGTTGTAACAGATTCCAAGTACCTTTCAAAGCCACCGAAAGACTGGCAGCCACACATCTCACCTGCTGGGACAGAACCGGCATACATTGAGGTAAGTCCTAAGATGTAAAATATGCTTTCAGGCTTTTCCTTGGGCTTTGCTTGCCACCTTTCAAAATATAAAACTGAATTTTTGCAACGTTAATGTTAGAAGATCCTCCTGCTTTGTGAGATTTCCATCTTTTGGCTTGTAAAATGCCTTGTAGTGGATCTTCTATCCTAATTATTTTGATCATAAGTATACATTCAAGAGAATGACGGCAAAAAAAAAAGGATTCTTCATGTAAGAAAGTTACAAAAGACTTTAGGGAAGTACAAGCGTTTAGGAAATGATGTACTGGCAGAGAAATTTCTCTGCTGCTTATTTAGAGAGGTTGGGGGTAAGAGAACGGAGAAATGAGGAGGGAAAATAGCTCTGCTTAAAAGAACAGATTAGTAGATGAAAGATAAAGAGCAAGAATAAACAAATGGCTGGAAGGTTTGATATTGAGGTTGGTATAGAAATGCAATTGGCAACATGATCCCATTAATGGATTAAGCAAATCCAAGTGCACAGCAGGCACCAGGCTGAATGCTTTAAGTGCATTTTCTCATGTAGTCCTCACAAGTACCCTGTGAGGTTTGGATTATTACTAAACTTACTTTATAGATGAGGAGACTAAGACTTAAAAGAATTTCCGTAGCTGAGCAAAGGCCACATGACTCAAAAATGGCAGAGCTAGACTCAGAGTTAGGTCTAACTCTAAAAGCTGTGGCCTTCACCACTCTGCATCCTGCCTGAGACATATGCTCACCAATTGTTAAGTTAATGAACAGGCAAATCAATAAAAATTTTTTTCAAGATCTGGGGGAAAATCATCTAGCCTTGAACACTGTGGTGATAAGTAGAGAGAACTTCAAAAAATTTTGGATATAGAAAAGAGAGGCTGGGAGAATGAGTTCATGTCCTTTGCAGGACATAGATGAAGCTGGAAGCCATCATTCTCAGCAAACTAACACAGGAACAGAAAACCAAACACTGCATGTTCTCACTTATAAATGGGAGTTGAACAATAGGAACACATGGACACAGGGAGGGGAATATCACACCGGGGCCTGTTGAGGGCTGGGGGGCAAGGGGAGGGAGATCATTAGGACAAATACCTAATGCATGCGGGGCTTAAAACCTAGATGACGAGTTGATAGGTACAGCAAATCACCATGGCACACATATACCTATGTAACCTACATGCAAGTTCTGCACGTGTCCCAGAACTTAAAAGTAAAATTAAAAAAAAAAAAAAATAGAAAAGAGAGGCTGGGGTGGGACACATTGGTTCACGCCTGTAATCCTGGCACTTTTGGAGGCTGAGGTGGATGCTCCTGAGGTCAGGAGTTCGAGACCAGACTGGCCAACATAGTGAAACCCCGTTTCTACTAAAAATAAAAAAAATTAGCTGGGCATGATGATGCACGTCTGTAGTCCCAGCTGCTTGGGAGGTTGAGGCGGGAGGATCACTTGAACCCAGGATGCAGAGGTTGCAGTGAGCTGAGATCACGCCACTGCACTAGAGAGGCTGGATGCAATGGTTCACATCTGTCTGTAATCCCAGCACTTTGGAAGGCCAAATAGGAGGACTGCAAAGAAAAGGAAGAGAGTGACCAGTAGCTCTGAGAGGTGATGGGGGTATTATTGGATGCCAGGATGATTGTTTTTAAAGGTGAAACAGATCTAAGTATCTTTAAAAGACAGACAGATAGGCCAGGTAAGATGGCTCATGCCTTTAATCCCAGTATTTTGGGAGGCTGAGGGAGCTGGATTGCTTGAACTCAGGAATTCAAGACTAACCTGAGTAACATAGTGAGACCCTGTCTCTACAAAAAATAAAAAATTAGCTGGGCCTGGTGGTATGCACCTATAGTCCCAGCTACTCAAGGAGTCTAAGGTGGGAGGATCACTTGAGCCCAGGAGGTTGAGGCAACAGTGAGCTGTGTTCATGCCACTGCACCCTATCCTGGATGACAGAGCACAATTCTGTCTCAAAAAAGAAAAAAATACAAATAAGCAATTAAAAATACCAAATTTAGTGATCAGCTCTCAATCTATGTCATGTCTCAGTGATGACATGGTTCATCACTCGGTCCTCCTTAAAACTCCAGTCCTGGCTTCTTGGACTCCTCTCTCAGTTCCTCTGCCTCATTGGCCATTCCTTCAGTTGTCTTTATTGGCTCTCCGAAAGGTGGAGGGTCCTCCATTGTGTGGCTCTTGCTTAGCTCTCTGGCCTTATTAGAACTTCTACCCTCTGTCTTTCTAGGTGCCTGTTATTTTGAATTAACTTGCAGTTCTTGCTTGGGATCCTCCTATTACCCACAGGACTCTACTAGTGAGTTTAAAGCATCTCTGGGTAATAGGGAGTTATTAAAGGGTTGTCAGCAGGAGAGTGACAAGAATGAATTTATTATAAGAAGATATATCTGGACTGGTTGGGTTAAGAAAGGAAATAAGGGCTGGGCGCAGTGGCTCACCCCTATTATCCTAACACCTTGGGAGGCTTAGGCAGGCGGATCATTTGAGCTCAGGAGTTCGAGACGAGCCTGGGCAACATGGCGAAATTCTGTCTCTACAAAAAATAACAAAAATTAACCGGGTGTGGTGGCACATGCCTGTAGTCCCAGCTACTTGGGAGGCTGAGCCTGGGAGCTCAAAGCTGCAGTGAGCCATGATCGTGCCACTGCATTCCAGCCTGAGCGAGACTCTGTCTCAAAAAGAAAAAAAAAGGAGACCGGCTTTACAGTTATTCAGGTGAGCCCAAGCTTATGGTAGAGAGCAGAGAGCAAAGTAGATGGAGCTTCAGACAGTAAGGAAATAGAGCAGGCAGGGCTTAGTTACTGATGCTGGAGAGGGAGAAGGCAAGACAGACTCAGGTTTCTTGCTTGAGCAACTGGGATTGATGGCAGCATCCTTCACTAAGATAGAAAATACAACAGGAAGAGTTTCCAGGGGCAGGGACGGGGGTAAAGAAGTCAGTGATGGATATATGAGTTTCACAGGATTACTGGACATTCCAGGGGATTAGTTGACTCTGTCAGTCTGGATCTCTCTGGAGGAGAGGCTGGGTTGAAGATAGAGAACAAGGAGTTACTAGGAATGCAGTAACCTAATGGAATAAAGTGAAAAGAGATAAGGGTGGAGAATATGGAGGAGCAGTGGGAGAGAGACAGACACACAGAGACAGAGACTAGAAGAGAGGAGTATCAAAAAAGCAAAGGAAGGAGAAAACATCAAGAAAGAGAGTAGTCAAATTTTGCAGAAAGGTTCGATAAGGTATGCAAAATGTCCTTTTGATATAACAATCAAAAAATTGGGGCTGGTCCTAAGGTAGTTAATTATCTCAGTTGACTGTTCACAGTCAGGTACAGATCAAACTCCTATTCTACTCTTTCTCCCCTTCTCATTATTGACCTTGGGAACACTTAATTTTTTTTTTTTTTTTTGAGACGGAGTCTCGCTCTGTTGCCCAGGCTGGAGTGCAGTGGTGTGATCTCGGCTCACTGCAAGCTCTGCCTCCCAGGTTCACGCCATTCTCCTGCCTCAGCCTCCTGAGTAACTGGGACTACAGGCGCCCGCCACTACGCCCGGCTAATTTTTTGTATTTTTAGTAGAGACGTCGTTTCACCACATTAGCCAGGGTGGTCTCGATCTCCTGACCTTGTGATCCGCCCACCTTGGCCTCCCAAAGTTCTGGGATTACAGGCGTGAGCCACCGCACCCAGCCAAAATTTTTTTAAAGTTGAACTGGGCACAGTGGCATATGCCTGTAGTTCCAGCTACTCAGGAGGCTGAGCTGGGAGGATTGCTTGAGCCCAGGAGTTCCAATCCAGCCTGGGCAACATGGTGAGACTCCATCTCTTAAAAGAAAGAAAGAAAGGAAAGTTGATAGTCCTGGTAAAAAGCAACTTGAATGGAACATTAAGGGTAAAAGCAAAATTATAGTTGAATGATTTGGAGGAGCAAATAGGCCATTCGTTTCTAGTTCTTCCTTACAAAATTGGGTGCTTCTAACGCACAGAGACCGCGTCTTACATACCTTTCACTCTGCAGTGCTGTGCTTGACTTGTATTTATTTGATATTGTGTTTCTATTCATATAGCTCCAATCACTTGTTTATTTTAGCTTTTGAGCAGCCACTTCACACTGATGACTATTAAACTTTGAAGTCTTTTTCACATATATTTTTGTTGAGCTTTGTCATCCTCCAATCCTATCTTTGTGTGATTTGAGTTTGAGACCCTAGTACATTGCCTTAAATATTCATATTAAACATGTTAAATTCAGCCCATTATGATGGTTTTTCTGGGTTTTGTTTTTGGATTCTAGTTTTGTCATCTGAAATAACCCATTTTATTGTGTTTCTTATGTTTCTGTTTTTGTTTTCTAGTATAAAACAAGCAAAGAAGGGAGTGTAATGGGAGTTACAGTATCCCGGCTTGCAATGTTGTCTCACTGCCAAGCTCTGTCGCAGGCCTGCAATTATTCTGAAGGTCAGACCTCATCCCATGACTGCCCTCATTGTTACCTTCAGAGATGTGTGACTGTGAGCACAATGCTCAGTGATTGGACCTCATTTAATGACCGAATTCAGAGTGAAATGTCCCAAGACACATTCTTGGCTTGCTTTTGTTTTCTTCTTCTCAAAAATATGCTGTAGTTTAAAGGAACCAAAATTCTGGGCAAACCAAAATGTAAAGCATAATTTCTAGAGTACAGCAGTAGAAAACCCTAATTAAAATCCTGTTTTTGTTAGCTGTGGAATGGCAGGTATCTCCATCTTCCCCTGCCTGTATAGTGGGCTACCAGCTATACATTTGGAGTCAAAGAAATTCAGCTACCAAAAAGCATAAATTAAAACACAAAAATGTATTCGATATTTTTGAACTTTAGATAGGTTGATACATAATTGCATAAACCACTATTTGCCTCAGAATGTTCTTTGCAATATTAATTTTTTTAGTGTTTTCCCTTTATAAAATGAAACAAGTTAATAAATGGTCATGATAAAATTTTTAACCAGACAACAATGTTCTATCATGAAATTATATATATATACGCACACATAATGGAAGCAATCAAAATGCCCTTAAATAAGGATTGATTAAGTTATAATACATTCAGACCAGGCGCTGTGGCTCACGCCTGTAATCCCAACACTTTGGGAGGCCGAGGCAGATGGATCACCTGAGGTCAAGGGTTCGAGACCAGCCTGGCCAACACGGTGAAACCCCATCTCTACTAAAAATAACAAAAAATGACCAGGTGTGGTGGCTTGTGCTTGTACTCCCAGCTACTTGGGAGGCTGAGGCGGGAGAATCACTTGCACCCTGGAGGCAGAGGTTGCAGTGAGCCGAGATCATGCCACTGCACTCTAGCCTGGGTGACAGAGCAAGACTCTGTCTCAAAAAAATATATATATATATAATACATTCATATAATGGCTGGGACATTAAAATTTTTATTTTTGAATATTAAAGATATGAAGAAATTGTTTCAATGTATCATTAAGCAGGAACAAGTTAGATACCAAGCTTTGTATACCAGTTTGTCACATTAGATATCTATCTAGATGTAAATATGCCTAGAAGTATATGTGTGTGTATAGATAGAATGTTTAGAGATATATACATATACACACCAACTTTTTTTTTTTAGGAAGTATCTTTTAGGAAATTTATATTTGTCAAACTTCCCAAGTTTCTAAAATAAGCATGTATTCTCCGCATATTTAGGAAAAAAATACCTCTTGGAAGAAATGCCTAAGTCACAAGAAGTTTCTAACTCCTTGGCTCTGTTGTAACCACATTACCCTATGAGCAGTCCTCTACCCGTTTTGAGGAGACCCTCAAAAACCCGTGAGAACTTTTAGTCATTTCTCTAAAAACATCAAATCAGGCTGGGCGCTGTGGCTTATGTCTGTAATCCCAGCACATTGGGAGGCCGAGGCAGGAGGATCACTTGAGGTCAGGAGTTCAAGACCAGCCTGGCCAACCTGGTGAAACTCCCTCTCTACTAAAAATACAAAATTAGCCGTGCATGGTGGTGTATGCCTGTAATCCCAGCTATTTGGGAGGCTGAGGCAGGAGAATTGATCGAACCTGGGAGACAGAGGTTGCAGTGAGCCGAGATTGCATCACTGCACTCCAGCCTGGGTGACAGAGGTGAGACTCCATCTAAAAGAAAAAGCAAACAAACATCAAATCAGTTGTTTATAAGAGGCAAGTGACATAATTTTGCTACTTAATACTAAAGATGATTTCTTTGTCTTCCTATTTTTTCTATTTTAGGGGAAACAATAGTAAATGTCTTAGACTTTAAGAAGGATGCTGGGCTGTGGCACGGCATGTTTGCGGTAAGCTACTCAGATTTAAGGCCCTTAGTGTAAATTGTGCTTGAGATAAGGCCAGCATGTTGTATAACTGGAGCATCTCTCAGTGCTTGTTTGAAATTTAAATCCCCAAAAGGTCAGTAATATTTTCCAGAGGCTATATAACCTTTCCACTGGACAGAATGTTTTGAATGACTGCCATGCATAAGCTGCATGCTGCAACTGAAGAAGAGTAACAAGGTAGATGGGGATTCTCCCCATCAGAGAGGAACAGGTAGCATACTATGGGTGTTAGAAAAAGGTGACTTCCTTCTAGGTCTGGGCTTCAAGGCAGTTTTTGTGGAAGAAGTGACAGCTGAGTTGGACTTTGAAAAATAGGTAAGCTTTAGACATACAGAGATTTTTGTAAGGGGATATAGAGGTAGAGAGAGGGGACATTTCAAGTGGCAAAACTACTATATGTAACATGCCATATAGGTGGAGAGAGAAAAAAAATACAGGGTTACCTGAATTGTAAAGGACTTCAGAGAGCCTCTAGTCTCACTTTCTTGATAATGCAGGAGCTGGGAAAGCATGGGAAATGAATCATGAGGGAAGAGGAGGTGGATCCCTTTTCACCCAGAACCCTCGAAATCTTCAGTAAATTTACTTTCTAGCTCTTTTCTGAAACCTTTTCCATTTTCTTCTTTATCAGAAGTTAAAAATCCTTTTGAGGAGGTAAGAAGAATCTCTTCTCTGTGATACCAAGTGCAAGATAGGGACATGTGTGAAGAATTGAGTTATAAACACCAGCCTTTTCCTGAAACCAAAAGTTTCTCACCAGAGCTAGAAACTTGGAGAGAGAAAACAGTATCTTGCAGTAGTATCTTGGTTTCTTTGGGCAAGTTAGAGAGTGAGCAAAATGGCTAATCTCAATACGAAGGCTTGGTTATTCTATGAGGCTGGGTCTGTTTGGGGACAGGGTGTCTTGTGTATGCTTGATTAGAGTGGCAGGAGAGACCCTAAATTGCATGACCCCTCAACACCTTCAGCTTTATCTAACAAAAAAAAATTAACAGATGTAGGCAGGACCTCCTGTAAGAAACAGGGACATTTCGATTTCTTGCTTTGTGATGCCCAGCTAGCCCCTTTGTGGCATGTGGCAAGTACGAACATGATAAAAGCATTAAGTGGGTTGGAGGGCAGTTTGGCAGTGTCTGTTAGCATTTTAAAAGCATATACCACAGCCGGGCACTGTGACTCAGGCCTGTAATCCCAGCACTTTGAGAGGCCAAGGCAGGCGAATTACTTGAGGCCAGGAGTTCAAGACAAGCTTGGCCAACATGGTGAAATCCCAACTCTACTAACAATACAAAAATTAGCTGGACATTGTGGCGCACACCTGTAATCCCTGCTACTCAGGAGGCTGTGCAGGAGAATTGTTTGAACCCAGGAGGCAGAGGTTGCAGTGAGCCGAGATCGCACCACTGTACTCTAGCCTGGGCAACAGAGCAGGACTCTGTCTCAGATAAATAAATACATACATACATACATACATACATACATACATACATACATACATACATACATACACCAGTCCCAGCTACCCTGGAGGCTGAGGCAAGAGAATCACTTGAGTTCAGGAATTGGAGGCCAGCCTGGGCAACATAGTGAAACCCCTGTCTCTTTTTTTTTTTTTTTTTTAAAGCATATGCCATATGACAGCAGTACTACATGTCCATATAGGGAAATACTTGCACAAGTCCAGGGAAGGAAGTAGGAATGTGCTCCTTGAAACATTTTTTGTAGTAGCAAAAAATTGTCATTAATAGGGAAATGCCTAAATAATTGTGATATAGCCAAACAATGGAATACTGTGCCGCAGTTCAAAAAGAATTATGTAGATCTCTTATACTGATATGCATAGATTTAGCTTTAGAACAATTTAAATGAAAAAAACAAGTTACAGATATATGTATAATATGATGTCTTTTATGTTAAAAATACTTATATATTTCTATGGGAACAAATATCTATGAAAATGCATTGAAAAAAGATTGGAAGGATATCTGTCAAATTTGTAACTGATTATCTCTGGCGAGGAGAGGAGGGAACCAGGTTTGAGGGTAGGTATTAAAGGAACTTCAATCTTATATTTAATATTTAAGATTGTTTTCAAAGAGTGTGTATTTGAGTATTACTTGTATAATTAAAATTGCTAACAAAATACCAGCTCAATTTTAAAATACTAAGTATGTATTTTGTATTGATTACTTTTCTTCTTTCTTTGTTTTTCAGAATGTAATGAATAAGATGCACACAATCAGCGTACCCTACTCTGTTATGAAAACCTGTCCTCTCTCTTGGGTCCAAAGAGTACATGCTCACAAAGGTAGTCACCTGCAACATCTGAGCTTTAATTATGTGACTGTTTGAATTAAGATTTCAGGGATTTCAGAGATTTTCAAATTGCCCTTGTATGCCCCTGTCCCTTAACAAATTGTAGAGTTTAGTTACTACAGAATTAGGTACCTTGCCTGTTCATCTCACTGATGTCCTCTCTTAAGCATTGAGATGAATTTTTTCCAAATGCGAGCCTTGAATTAGATTTGACTGTCTTGGTATTCACAGTTTCCTTGGCTGGGACACTGTGACCTGCCTAGAGGGTCTCAGTGAACAAACAATTGTAGGTCCAGTCAGTTGTCTAAATGTGATAATTTCTGCCTCTGAGCTATTGGCACAATCTCTTTGAAACCGTTTTTATCTTCTCCAAGCAAATATCATGATTCCCCAAATAAGTAAAAATGTTTTTATTGTGGTGTATTACATATGTCCCAAATTTATTGTGTATGTTAACTTCATCCTTTTTGAATTTATAGCCAAGGTAGCTTTAGTAAAATGTCGGGACTTGCACTGGGCTATGATGGCACATCGGGACCAAAGAGACGTGAGCTTGAGTTCCCTCCGAATGTTAATTGTGACTGATGGAGCTAACCCCTGTGAGTATTTCTTCATTGTGGATCTGGGAATATCCTGTGTTTTGATAGATTAGGGTTTTTCGCCCTGTACTAAGATATAATTCACATACTGAAAAACTCACTCATTTAAGATGTGTAATTCAGTGGTTTTGGTATATTCACGAGTTGTGTAACCATCATTACAATCTAAGTTTAGAACATTTTCATCACCCAAAAAGAAACCACATGCCCATTATCAGTCACTCGCCATTTTTCCTCCTGCCCCAGCCCTAGATGACTGCTAATCTATTGCCTGTCTCCCTAGATTTGCCTATTCTGAACATTTCTTATAAATGCAGTCATGCAGTATGTGGTCTTTGTGATGGGCTTCTTTTTCTTAGCATGTTTTTAACGTTCATCCATGTTGTAGTATCTGTCAGTACTTCTGCATTCCTTGTTACTACCAGGAAATCGTCCATTGTATAGTTATACCACATTGTATTTACTCATTCATCTTTTGATGGATCTATAAGCTTTTAAGTCATTCTTTTTTGCTCATTCATGTATAACCTCTTTCTATCATGTAACTGGGTATTCCTGTGTTACCTGCTTTTCTCTACAAGCCCCCAAATCCTGATCCTTCACACAGTAGAATCAGGTAGAGCACTACACTGTTTGTCATAAATGGACTTTGTTAGTAGTCACATTGATCATCATAGTTTAAAACACAGACATGGGCTTGACCTTAATATCATATAGAAGGTGGAGCTAAGCCAATATTAAATTGCACTGGCTATGACAGTTCCTCAGGAAGAGTTGCTAAATTATAAACTGGCTGCATATTGCCTGCAGTGTTATCTCTGATACTGATTTGTCAGTTTAATAGGAGCAGCCTTATTCCAAGGTGTAATTTTAAATAGTGTCAGTGACCTTTTATGGGCTGGATGAGCATTAATTTGTCCTTGAAATATATCAAACCATCTCACAGGGACAGTAAAATATTTGCGTGGAATTAACAATATACAATATGAGTTCTCATGAGAAATAAGTATGTCAGCTTTCTATTCTTTACCATTTTCCTACAGTAATGAAAAGCATAATTTCAGCTTCAGGTTGATCTGTTCCAACTCCTTAGGGTCCGTGTCATCCTGTGATGCCTTCCTGAGTCTGTTCCAAAGTCATGGACTGAAGCCTGAGGCCATCTGTCCGTGCGCCACGTCTGCTGAAGCCATGACTGTAGCAATCCGCAGGTACTGTTCAGGATGTCAGATGCTCTTGATGTATGTTACAACTTGGATGAAATGTGCAGTATTTACCAGGTGATGACCAACGGATGTTAACTAATTTTCTAAGCAGTTTCAAGCATCTCATTTTTCCCACTCTTGCTCAAAGTGTATGCAGTAAACTGAAAAATTTAATTGATATCATTTCGTATTTGTGAATTAGCTCTTTTTCTGTGCCATTTTGCTCTTCGGAATCCATAGCACCTTAGATTAAAAATAGACTGTTCTTGATTGTAGCTTAAGTATGGATAGTATATCTATAGTATATTCAAGACCATTATGTATGTAAGTATCAGTGAATGTGTGTGTGTGTATATAGATATACTTTTTTTTTTTTTTTTTTTTTTTTTTTAGATAGGATCTCTCTTTGTCACCCAGTGGCATGATTATGGCTCACTGCAGCCTCAACCTCCTGGGCTCAAACAGTCCTCCTGCCTCAACTTCCTGAGTAGCTAGGACTACAGGCATGTACCACCACGCCTGGCTAATTTTTAAATTTTTTTGTAGAGATAGGTTCTTGTTATGTTGCCCAGGCTGGTCTCGAATTACTGGCTTTGAGCAGTCCACCTTCCTTGTCCTCCCAAGTGCTGGGATTGTAAGCATGAGCCACCAAGCCTGGCCCAGTACGCAATACTTGATGATGATGATAAATGACCATTTTGCTGGTTTATGTGTTTACTACACTACATTTTTTTTAAATTTAATTTTTGAGAGATGGGGTCTTGCTCTGTTATCCAGGCTGGAGCACAGTGACACGATCATTGTAGCCTCAACCTCCCAGGCTCAGATGGTTCTCCCACCTTAGCCTCCCAAGTAGCTGGGACTACAAGCATGTGCCATCATACCCAGCTAATTTTTGTATTTTTTGTAGAGATGGGGGTCCCACTGTGTTGCCCAGGCTGGTTTTGAACTCCTGGCCTCAAGCAATCCTCCTGCCACAGCAGTTGCTGGGATCACAGGTGTGAGACACCACACCCAGCTCTAATTTGGCATATTTTTGGGAGAGAAAATGGAGAATTTTTTTGGTATTGTAGCCAGAGGAAATTTGTCTTCCTATGTATTTGTATTTTTCCCTTGATGTTATTTCATTCACCAAACTTGATGGGTTCTTCTTTTCAGGCCTGGAGTTCCAGGAGCCCCTTTGCCAGGAAGAGCCATTCTCTCAATGAATGGATTGAGCTATGGGGTAATACGGGTCAATACTGAAGATAAAAATTCAGCACTGACGGTCCAGGATGTAGGGCATGTAATGCCTGGTGGTGAGTCGCAAGGAGCATCATTTGGTTTTTCATAAAGATTTGTCATCAGAGATAATAGAGCCTGATAAAATACAGAATCCCAAACGAGGAACCCTTAATTCAGTACTTAACGCATTTAATTTCTCAGAGCCTCTCTAATAGTTAAGTCATTATAATTATGCTGACCTTCCAGCAGTATTGTATGACTTACCAGTTGTGAATGCTTCAAGTCCATTTCTTTACCTGGAAGGCCAAATACTGAGAGATGTTAAAGTTACCTGGTTTTCACTGTAATTGCCAAGCCATTGGGACTGGCAGAAAATTAGAGCATACTGCTTCCAAGAGTGTTTGAGTTTGACCTGCCTAAGGGTAACACCTCATTCATCTAACCTGTTTATTTGGGCTTTGCATTCATCGTTAATATGTCACTGTCTCTACAAGCTTTACATTTCAAATATACCTATGTAGTTTCAGGTTTATGTTTAGCATTCCTGTCTGGTATTTTTACTTAATGCCACTCAGTAAAGGCAGGACTTTCTTGGGTTCACAGGATGAAGCTGTTATTTTACAAAAGTTTTCTAGAATCTTTGTCCTTTAACCTGTATTTTCTGTACGTTAGGGATGATGTGCATTGTGAAACCAGATGGACCTCCCCAGCTCTGCAAAACAGATGAAATTGGAGAAATCTGTGTTAGCTCCAGAACTGGAGGCATGATGTACTTTGGGCTTGCTGGTGTGACAAAAAATACATTTGAGGTACATGATATTAACATTTCACAGGGAAAATGTTTGGGGATTTCAGGATGTTACGAGGGCAGATCCCCTGGTTGATGGGACATAGCATAACATGTGGTTGAGAGTGTGTACTCTGGAGCTAGACTTGCCTAAGTTCAAATTCTGAACTTAGGTCACTAGCTGACCTTGGGTGAGTTGGTTAACCTCCCTGTGCCCCAATTTCCTTATCTTTAAAATGTAAGTAATAATTGTACCTATGTCATAGGATTGTTGTGAGCACTAATTGAGTTAATGTTTTATAAAGTGCTTAGAAAGAGCATCTGGCATATAGGAAGTGCTGTTGTGTATCTGTTAGATTTTTTAAAAGGGTAAGATGAGCTGGGCATGGTAGCTCATGCCTGTAATCCCAACACCTTTGGAGGTTGAGGCGGAAGGATTGCTCTTACTGAGGCCAGGAGTTTGAGACCAGGCAATGTAGCAATGTAGCAAGGCAATGTAGCAAGATCCCATCTCTACCAAAAAATTGAAAAAATTAGCCAGACATGGTGGTGCATGGCTGTGGTCCCAGCTACTCGAAAGGCTGAGGCAGGAGGATCCCTTGAGCCCAGGAGTTCAAGGCTGCAGTGAGCTATGATCATGCCACTGCATTCCAGCCTAGGGGACAGAGCAAGACCCTGTCTCAAACACACACACACACACACACACACAACAAAACCAAAAAAAAAAAGGGTAAGAGGCCTCACAAAAATTCACTGTGGTGAATTTGCCATGGTTTGAGCTTTGTAAATTCAAATTTAATTTCGAGAGTAAACTCCAATTATGCTCAGTTACTAATTAAAAATGAAGACTGTCCTTTCACAGGAGTCAGGTTGCTCATATTATTCAGTCTTTCAGTCAGACAAATATTTTTTGAGCACCTTTAATGTGTCTGGCAATGTTCCAGATGCTTGGGGTGCATCAGAAAACAAAACAAAACTCCTTGTGGAGCTCACGTTCTTGTGGGGCCAGCACATTCTAGCTAGACTCGCACACGGTTTTCCTGCAGGCACTTCTGCATGCGAAGCCAGGTTGTAATGGAAACTTTGCCTAGTGAACCTGGAAGTCAGAACAGGGGCGGTTAATTGTCTACATTTAATAATTGGAATTAACCTGTCTCAGGATACATTTTAGGGACGAGAGAAATTCAGGTGGCAGCCACATCCCTCTTCACACAAGACAGAGCTTATATAAGCACTCCTATTTTTCAGTTCTTTGAGCTTCTTTTTCTATAATCTAGACTAGTGATTCCCAGGATGGAAGGTTACAGGCATCTACTGTCCCACTTGAAATCAGTGCATGTGATTACATACTAACAGATGTAACTTCAGAGAAAGTATCATCTCTGTGATACCATATCTATGCTCTCCATGATGTGGTACCTGAAAAGGGCTAAGAGCTCCTGGGCTGAACCTTATCTTTGTGTTTACCCAACCTAAAATGGCTTATATCACTTACTAAATGTCTTTCTCATAACTATTACTACTGTGCTCTTGCCCAGCCTTCAAAAGCTGTGTGCAATTCACCATGCCAGGAGTGGGCATTCATAAGCTCTTCAAGCATGTGTTTACTGCCAGTCTCTTGGTTTACTTTCCTAGGTGATTGATTTACCTCCCTTGAGTGTATATACATTTAACTAATTTAAATCTCACCCTATTTATTTCTGTCACCCAGGCTGGAATACGGTGGCTCAATCATAGCTCACTGCAGCCTTCAACTCCTGGCCTCAGGTGATCCTCTCATCTTGGCCTCCCAAAGTGCAAAGATTACAGGCATGAGCCGTTGCGCCTGTAATTTTTCTTCATTGACTTTTCCTTACTAAAAACAAGAGCCTCAAGCAGTGTTTGAAGATACTGATATTTTATTTCATTACCTTTCCAATGAGGCAGTTCACTAGCCAGAATTCTCAGACTTAATACCAAACTGCTAGGTCCATAGTGTTGAAGAAAATTTAAAATCTGCATTATAAATTTAGTGATAGTGAAGTAGAATAAAAATTGTACCAGAAAAGGACAAAGCTAGTATCTGGGTTTTCCAAATTAAAGTTCCCAGTATTTTTCTTACTGGCTTCTTAAATTTAAATCCTGAGAGAGTTTACCAATGTAGTTAACATTTCACTGGAGAAAAGATCTAGGTTTTAAATTTGTTTTGTGGTTTGTTTTTTTGTTGTTGTTGTTGTTTTTTAGGTGGGGTCTTGCTCTGTCGCCCAGGCGGAGTGCAGTGGTGCAATCTCGGCTCACTGCAACCTCTGCCTCCCGGGTTCAAACAATTCTCCTGCCTTAGCCTCCCAAGTAGCTGGGATTACAGGTGCCTGCCACCACGCCTGGCTAGTTTTTTTGTATTTTTAGTAGAGATGGGGTTTCACCGTGTTGGCCAGGCTGGTCTTGAACTCCTGACCTCAGGTGATCCACCCTCCTCGGCGTCCCAAAGTGCTGGGATTACAGGCATGAGCCACCACACCAGGCCAAGATCTAGTATTGACTAGTCAGAAAATAAAAATATTTTATAGATAATGCTACCAGGGAGAAAAACTTTTGTGACATGTATGACAACAGTTGATTTTCCATCACTCCCATGTGCTAGCTATTTGAGGCAAGTGAAACTCACTTCATCTGTAAAATGGAAATACTAATGCTGTTTCTATAGGATTAATTTGAGGATTAACTGTAAAGCAAGTAAACCTGTTCCTGGTACTGATAAGCATTTAGTGTTGTTATAATTATTATTTTATATAAAAAATAAATTTTAAGAATTATACAGATGAGGCTGGGAGCAGTTGCTCATGCCTGTGATCCTCGCACTTTGAGAGGCTGAGGTGGGTGGATCACCTGAGGTCAAGAGTTCAAGACCAGCTGGGCACGATGGCTCACACCTGTAATCCCAGCACTTTGGGAGGCCGAGGCGGGCGGATCACGAGGTCAGGAGATCGAGACCATCCTGTGAATGGTGAAGCCCCGTCTCTACTAAAAATACAAAAAATTAGCCAGGCATGGTGGCGGGCGCCTGTAGTCCCAGCTACTCGGGAGGCTGACACAGGAGAACGGCTTGAACCCGGGAGGTGAAACTTGCAGTGAGCCAAGATTGTGCCACTGCACTCCAGCCTGGGCGACAGAGCGAGACTCTGTCTCAAAAAAAAAAGAGTTCAAGACCAGCCTGGCCAACATGGTGAAACCTTGTGTACTGAAAATACAAAACTTAGCCGGGTGTGGTGGCAGGTGCCTGTAATCCCAGCTACTCAGGAGGCTGAGGCAGGAGAATCTCTGGAACCCGGGAGGCGGAGGTTGCAGTGAGTCGAGATTGTGCCATTGCACTCCAGCCTGAGCAACAGAGCAAAAAACTCTGTCTTAAAAAAAAAATTATCCGGGTGCTGTGGTTCACACCTGTAGTCCCAGCTATTCTGGAGTGTGACACGGGGGATCACATGGGCCGAGGAGTTCAAGGCTGTACTGAACCATTATTACGCCTGTGACTAGCCACTGCATTCCAGCCTGGGCAACATAGTGAGACCTCATCTCTTAAAAAAAAAAAAAAAAAAAAAAAAGGAGGGGTGGGGAGCAGCTATCAGGTAGAAAAAATAGGTAAGAGACATGAATAGGCTACTCACAAAAGAAATACAAATGCTCGGCAAACGAAGGAAAAGAAATTCAGACATATTACTTATAAAATGCAATTAAAGCAATAATGGGATTAATGTCTACTGTCTTGAATTTAAAAAAATTTTTTTAAGTCTGAGTATGGTGGCTCACTCCTGTAATCCCAACACTTTGGGAAGCCAAGGCAGGAGAATTGTTTGAGGTTAGGAGTTCAATACCTCTGGACAATGTAGCGAGACCCATCTCTACAAACGAATTAAAAATTAGCTAGGCGTGGTAACCCGCACCTGTACTCCCAGATCCTTGGGAGGCTGAGGTGGGAGGATTGTTTGAGCCTAGGATTTTGAGGCTGCAGTGAATTATGATTGCACCATTGCACTCCAGCCTGGGCAACAAAGTGAGACTATATCTCATTTTAAAAAAAAAAAAAGATTTTTTTTTTAATAAATTAACAATAGGATATATTTTTCGGTACCAGATTGGCAAAGTTTGGAAAAATGGATAGCACATAGTACTAGCCAGGACATGGGAAGAACCAGACATTCTAGTATGATATTAATGAGTGTAAATGGATACGACAGTTTTATAGGCCAGCCAATTAAAATTGAAAAGACTCGTGCCTTTTGTACAGATGCATAAATGAATACAGCAATATTCATTAAAGCACCTTTATAATAGTGAAAAATTATAATGGCCTATCCAGCTGTAATAAAAGACTGGTTACATTCTAATAGCTACAATTTCCTGAATACTGATTCTGGGTCAGATACCGTACTTGTTTCTGCAAATCTTTTTGCATTCCTTAATCTTTACTCCAAGCCTGTGAGAGGCACAGAGTACTCCATTAAGTGGCTGCAAAACAGGGCTCAGAAAAATCCAGGCACTTGCCTAAAGTCTATGTTACTAGTAAGTGGCAGAGCCAGAAATTGAATTGACACCAACGACTATGCTGTCCTGTCCCCCATGGAGTGGCTGAGTGGGCTAAGTCAACTCTTACTAACTTGGAAGGGTATCTGAGATATATTTCGTGGAAAAGCAAGTTGCAAAAAGTATAATATCTGTTTGAAAAAAAAAAAAACTCAGCACATTTATTTATATATACATATTTTTTATATGTTTTATATATATATTTATATATGTATCTTCTTAAAAGTCTAGAGAGGTAAACAATAAATTGTAATTATTTCTTATCTCTAAAGGGATGGAATTACTGGATTCACTATTACATTATTTTTTCACTGAGCATGTATTTTAATAAAACTTTTTAAAAATCACATATACTTTCTAAGAAAAAGCAAAGTTTTTCACTTACTTCATTTTGTCTCTTAGGTAATTCCAGTGAATTCTGCAGGCTCTCCTGTTGGGGATGTGCCATTCATCCGATCAGGATTGCTGGGGTTTGTAGGGCCGGTAAGTGATGCTTTCATGTTGATTTTGTTACATTTGATCCAAATATTTGGACTTTAATTCACAGAACAGAACAAATTCTGATTAGTCCAAGAGTGTTACAGAACCACTTCACTTATATTTAAAGCAGTTCTTGTAAGGATGTCATAAAATGAGTTAGTGTTTATCATTTCCACTACCCAAGTTCATTTGACTCCTTCAAACTAAGACATTTTTTATTTTCTTTTTTTCCCCGCTGAGATCAGAAGACATGATGAGACTTTTTTTATTTTAAGAACTCTTTTCACTTATTCTCACTATCTCGCTCTGATTTGATTAACATGTTGCAATAAGTTAGAAGAGTGCTGGAAAAAGTTATCTTCAGTAGCAAAGACAAACTATAATACATAGTATACAGAGCATTTTCATGTAAATGATTGGCACTATGTGATGTGTAATAGTGATCCTTTGAGTGAAAACAGTTTGGGCCGGGTGTGGTGGCTCATGCCTGTAATCCCAGCACTTTGGGAGGCCGAGGTGGGCGGATCACCTGAGGTCAGGAGTTCGAGACCAGCCTGGCCAACATGGCAAATTCTGTGTCTACTAAAAATACAAAAATTAGCTGGGTGTGGTAGCATGTACCTGTAATTCCAGCTACTTGGGAGGCTGAGGCAGGAGAATCGCTTAAACCCAGGAGGTGGAGATCACGCCACTATGCTCCAGCCTGGGCAACAGAGCGAGACTTCATTTCAAAAAACAAACAAAAAAAAAACAAAAAAGTTTGTTATTCAGAACACAGTATTTATAGGTACAAGATTAGAGACAATCAGGACATTAAAAGCCTGTTCTCAAAGAGCTCACAGTGAACTTGATGAGCCAGAGGATGGCAGAGATCTAGGTCATGGAGGGGCTTTGCATGACATCATGGGAAGTAGGATTTTATTTTGTAAGTAATAGTCATTATTCCTAGCTAAGCCCATATTACTCCATTCATCTCTAATTACCTCCTACCCTGTCTTCTTTTCCACTTAACATCTTCAGTCATATAAGAGATCTAATTTTATTTTATTTCTTCCTTGCCATTTAATGGAGGGGCAGGGTGGGTGAGGACATAGATCTAGGAGAATCAACTCTCTACACCTTTGTCTTGACTTTTTCACTTAGCACCAGGAAATTCTCAAAGACCCACCTCCTTTTAGCTTACAGTTCCATGATTGATGTCCAAAATGGAGCTCCAAGCCTTTCATCTGTATTCCAAGAAACAGGGAAAGGTGCAGTCCTCCTCTTTAAAGGAAGATTCCTTGAAGCTGCTGTGCAACACTTTCACTTATTGGTCTGAACTAGTCCTGCAGCCACACCTAGCTTCAAGGGAGACTGGAATGCAATCTTTATTTTGGTCAGCCATGCCCAGCTAAAAATTATCCTACTGTGAACGAAATGGAGAAATGGACATTGAAGGAATGACAGTGACTGTCTCATTCTCTTACCAACACTGTGGCTTTTCAGCCTTTGTTGGAAATGGCTGCTTTTTTCCTGACATATGGGTTGAACCAGTAGCTTGTTGAGGATATGGGTTATGTCTTACATGGCCCAGTCACTGTGTAGGGCACTACATTGTGCTTAGTAAATCAGTGAGTGACATTCACGTGGAAATAACTGCTAGGTAGGTGAATGTATGTAAATGGACTAAGAAATTTAGAAATTCTGTAATGAATGAGAAAAGTTAATTTGCTGCAAATGAGTCTGGGAAGATTATTTATACAGTGATGCTTTTGGGGATTTCATAGTAGTTCCCTGCTGCTTTGTTTTCTTATTGGAAAAGAAAGGCACCTACAGCATTCCTTAGACCTTTCTTTATTAGCCTATTTCTAATACTGCCGGATGGAAACAGCATTACCCTTACCAACCTGAGACGGTCATTCTCCTATTTATACTGTTTTAATCTCCTCCTAATTCCAACAGTAAATGAATACATTTTTCTTCCTCTGTATCCTCTGAATAGAAACATAAGCAAACTAACACATAAATCATGGCTGGGAAAATCAGCTATGCTTGGGTGGAATCCTAGTTGCTTTCTTAATGAAGTTCCTCCCTAAAATAAATATGAGTAAATTCCCTTCTTAGGTATCCTGTGAGACTTCATTGGCTGTAAGATGCCACTCTTTTCCCAGCTGATTTCAGAGATGTCAAGATGTGAAATGCTTTCTCTAGAATCCGTAAAATATGGCAGTTGTGTTTTTAATACTTTTTAAATGAGATTTATTTAAAGGCAGGAAGTTAAAAGATGTCTGTTTTACTATTTAAATCATGGAAATCAAGGTAAATCATCATTACCTTTCAGGGTAGTTTGGTGTTCGTGGTTGGGAAAATGGATGGCTTACTGATGGTTAGTGGTCGAAGACATAATGCTGATGACATTGTTGCTACTGGATTGGCTGTAGAATCAATAAAGACTGTTTATAGAGGAAGGTGAGTAGTACAAAATTCAAATGTTAGCACCTTTTAATGGAATCTAAATACATCTTCACATGGTGATTTCAGTGGTATTTTGTAGGTTCTCTTTCCAAGTGATCAGATTGTTTTTGTTAAGCATTGCATAAGCCTGGCTTTTTTTTTTCTTCTTCTTCTTCTTAGCCTGGCTTTTAATATATATTTTACAACATCTGGTGCTTCAGCTGTAACTAAGAGGATTAAGATGCAACTATATCCTTTACTTCAGATTTAACTTCAGATTTGTTGAATCCTGAGGACTGAGGAGAATTCTAAAACATTAACTTCCTGCATTTCTTCAATGCAAAAGTAGTGCCATTCAGACTAACTGATATAGATGCTACTCTGTAGGCATTTACATCTAAGAATTGTTTCTCTTGTTTCTAATTAAATTATACCGTTTTAATGTGGGGATTGACATAGTGCATAATTTCAAATTCCATGGACAAAGTCAATTAGATATCTTTTTTCTTTGCTTATTAATGTAAGAAAAGATATTTGCTACATATTTGAGTAGTTGATGTCCTGTTCAGCAATTTGCAATCGTAGATGTGTCTCTTTAAGGCAAACTTAGTGTCCCTTTAGTTTAAGAAGTACAAAAAATTAGTGAAACAGTTTCTGAAATGTATAGTTTTTTTTGTAGTGGTGTGGCTTCCTATGAGATGTAAAGTCCATGGGGCACTAGATCTGCCTTTGGTCACAGTCATATCCCAGCAATCAGTAGTGCCGGACACCTGGTAGGTGTTGGGTGAATGTATGTGGAAGGAAGGAAGGAGGGTGTCAGGCAGACATGCCGGCAGACTCTGCTCTCCGGTGCCTTCCCATTCTTTCATGCATTCATTCAACAAATATTCATTGGGTGCCAACACTGTGCCGCTGTCCTGGAGGCTTCGGCTGTGGCAGTGAACAAAACAGGCCAAGTCTCTGCCCTTGTGAAGCTCACATGCTTGTTGTGGGAGACAGACAGGAACCACATAAACAGGGCAATAGATAACATGTGAGACAGTGACAAGTGCTATGGAGAAAAACACATGGGGGTGGGGGTGGCCTGCCAGTTTCTATGAGGTGTCCTGGGAGTGCCTCGCTAGTAAGGGGACATTTGAGCGGAGACCTCCCTCAGAACCAACTTCATCCTCCCTCCCATGGCCTCTCAGGTCCACTGGGATCTGCCCTGGCCTGGGTCTGACCTCTCTCCCTCCCGGTCTCTGCTTCACCACTTTGCTCCAGGCACACTGGCCTTCTTGCTGTTCCTCAAACCTGCCAAGCTCGTCCCTACCTCAGAACCTTTTCGCTTTCCGTTCCTTCTGCCCGGAAACCTCTTCCTCCAGATCTTCGCGTGGCTCGCGTCCTCACCTCATTCAGGTCTCTGCTCCAATGTCCGCTCCTCAGGGAGGCGCCCCCCGAGCCACCCTGCCCTCAGTAATACGCCACCCTACACACCACTCCACCCCCTGTATATTGCAACATGGCATTATTCTGTATTTATTTGTTTGTTCTGTCTCTAACATATAAGTGCCACAAAGACAAGAACTTTGTCTTATTTACCACTATGTCCCCAACATTCATGACAGTTGTGCTTAATACATATTATTTAAATGAATGAATGCTCATTTTGAGAGTAATGATTATGACATTTTCTTTTCTAAGCTACTCGTTTTGGGTAGCATGGTGGGGTTGTCTCCTCTCTGTAATTCCAGTTAAACAAAACAAATAGGACTGGTTGTGAAGGGAGTCCTGATGTGTTTGATCTGTCTCTCTTAGAATTGCTGTGTTTTCTGTGTCTGTATTTTATGATGAGCGCATTGTGGTGGTTGCGGAACAAAGACCTGATGCTTCTGAGGAAGATAGTTTCCAGTGGATGAGCCGCGTGCTGCAGGTGAGCACACTTTGGGGTCTGTGTCAGGTCAGCGGTGGCAGCAACCACTGCCTAAGCATTTCATTTTCTTCGATCAGCCAGTAATGCCACCTTACTTCTTGCCAATCATTGCTCACATACTCTGGGTACTACTAGCAAAATCAGATAATTAATACCATTTCTCCTTGTGGACCACATGGTATTTTTCTGCTCAGGTTGCCAAAAATAATGGAATTGACTTGCCTCAGCAAATTCTTTCATGCCTGAGTGTTTACTACTTGTGAAAGTTTTAACTGTCATATGTGGAACACATCTCTGGCAGTAATCAATCCACTTGTCAACAGTCAGTCACAGTTTTACTGTGTGTCATAAGTGGTGCCGATGGTGTGAGGGATCCAAGAAAATACAGCTATTAGCTTTACTCTGAAGGAGCTTTCCTATGGGGCTAGAGATGCTAGGTGAGATAAACCATGAGGGAAGGAGAATGCTTTGGGCACAGTCTAAGCAATATGTCTGTGGTGGGGAGCAGGCTAGAGTGATGACAAGAGCCTAGTCTTCACTTAGAATCATAGACTTGGAATCCCAGCTCCACTTCTTACCAGATATGTGCCCTTGGGCAAGTCATTTAACCTCACTGAGTTTATTTCCTAACCTGCAAAGTAGGATAAAATTATCTGTTTTATAGAGCTGTTGGAAGGATTAAATGAGGTAATTAATTGAAGTATATAGTACCTGCACTCAGTAAATAATGATGGTGATTGTTATTATCCATCTTTACCAAAAGTTTTTTTCTAAATTATCCAGGCATAGGCCAGGCGCAGTGGCTCACGCCTGTAATCCCAGCACTTTGGGAGGCCGAGATGGGCGGATCACGAGGTCAGGAGATCGAGACCATCCTGGCTAACACGGTGAAACCCCGTCTCTACTAAAAATACAAAAAAAAAAAATTAACTGGGCGTGGTGGCAGGCATCTGTAGTCCCAGCTACTCGGGAGGCTGAGGCAGGAGAATGGCTTGAACCCAGGAGGCGGAGCTTGCAGTGAGCCGAGATCGCGCCACTGCACTCCAGCCTGGGGGACAGAGCAAGACTCTGTCTCAAAAAAAAAAAAAAATTATCCAGGCATAGTTGTGTGCACCTGTGATCCCAGCTACTTGGAAGGCTGAGGTGGGAGGATCACTTGACCCAGTAGGTCAGCACTGCAGTGAGCTATGATCATGCCACTACAGTTCAGCCTGGGTGACAGAGGAAGACCCTGGCTCAAAATAATAATAATAATGATAGTAATAATGAGCCAGGTGCTGTGACAGGCACCAGTAGCCCCAGCTACTCAGAAAGCTGAGGTAGGAGGATCGCTTGAGCCAGTGCTGTAGTGCACTATGGTCGCACCTGTGAATAGCTACTGCACTCCAACCTGCGCAACATAGCAAAAACCCATCTCTCAAAAAATAAAAGATTGTAAGAATAGTCTCCAATTAGAGAGGACCACTTCCTCTCAATTAATATTCCCTTTCATTCTCTGTCCCTTCATTCTTCTTTATTTTTCTACTTAGCACTTAACATCTTGTATATTTATTGTTTTCTACATCCACTGTAATATAAGGCAAGGCCAAGACTTTTTTGTCTCTTTTGTTCAGGGCTCGATCCCCAGAGCCCGGTAGCTATGCTAGCGAACGTCATAGTAGGCTCAGTAAATATTTGTTGGCTAAGTGGATGGTCCAAAGAAAGTGTGGCCTGTCCTTGCTGTACTTAGGTATCAGTGGAAGTCTTCCCAAGATCTGTAACTTCTCTACTTGGGGAATTTGAATTTATTAACTGCTAGTTAATAGCAGTGTTGTAGAAACAATGCAAGCATGAGATGGTGGTATTGCTAGATGACTGTTTTGTTTTGTTTTTTTTTTTGAGATGGAGTTTCTCTCCTGTTGCCCAGGGTAGAGTGCAATGGCACGATCTTGACTCACTGCAACCTCCGCCTCCTGGGTTCAAGCGATTCTCCTGTCTCAGACTCCCAAGTAGCTGGAATTACAGGCACCTGCCACCATGCCCAGCTAATTTTTTGTATTTTTAGTAGAGACAGATTTTCGCCATGTTGGCCAGGCTGGTCTCGAACTCCTGACCTCAGGTGATCCACCCACCTCGGCCTCCCAGAGTGCTGGGATTATAGATGTGAGCCACGTCACCTGGCTGCTAGATGACTTTTAATATTTCTTTCTATCCTCAGGGTCTGTAATTCTGAATTATCAGCTGATACTGTGTAGGCTATTTGTAGTAGAAAATCAGAAAAGAAAATATATTGAAGATAGACTAGTCAGGAAAGACTATGAAGAAGGTAGAACGGGGCAGATCTCTGAAAGATGGCTAAGGGGCAGACGTGCAAAGAGAATATTTTTCATACCAATCATATTTTCAGTCAGAAACCTTATTTTGTTCAGAATGAACTTTGGGGCATGTAATGGTAGAAGCTTTGGTGAATTACGTATTTTCTTCTATTATAGAAAAGTGAGTATACCTGACATCTCCCAAGATATTTGCTACTTTTCCCTGGAAAGCAACTATAGGAATTAAATACAGTGCCAATTTACTAATCCAAACTCTTGTGAAAGTCACTTGGGTTCCAATTTGGGCATGAGATAACAGGCCATTCTTTTCGCAGTCTTTGTAACTTACCAGCTCGGAGCATTCGAGTCCATAGCAGAACAGTAAATGACGCCATGTATTCTAATAGATTAAAGGCCAGAGGTTGTTGAATTCCAGGTCCGTGTATAACATAAACTAAATACCTAACTCAGCACTTTCTAAGGAAAGGCAGTTAGTAGATGACTTATCAGATGCGTTTTTAATGAGGAATTCAGGCTACATGTAGCACATTTGCTAACTTTCTGTGTATTCTAAAAAAAACACAGAAACTTAGGAACTCTGCCAGACTTTCCATTTCCCAGTCATCTGTATTGGTTGGTAGGATAGTCTGAGGATTGTGATTTTCAAGTTTATTCTTTTGCCCTTTTAAATTTTTGTTTGTTTGTTTGTTTGTTTTGTTTTTGAGATAGAGTTTCACTCTTGTCTCCCAGGCTGGAGTACAGTGGCACGATCTCGGCTCACTGCAACCTCCACCTCCCGGTTTCAAGCAATTCTCCTGCCTCAGCCTTCCAAGTAGCTGGGATTACGGGCACTCGCCACCACACCCAGCTAATTTTTGTATTTTTACTAGACGGGGTTTCACCACGCTGGCCAGGCTGGTCTCAAACTCCTGACCTCAGGAGATCCACCCACCTTGGCCTCCCAAAGTGCTGGGATTACAGGCGTGAGTCACTGCACCTGGCTCCTTAAATTGTTTTAATAAAAGGCCTTGGCCACGCATGGTGGCTCATGCTTCTAGTCCCAACAATTTGGGAAGCTGAAGCTGAGGGTCACTTGAGTTCAAGACCAGCCTGGGACAACAGAGCAAGACCCTTTGCTCTACAAAGAATAAACAAATGAATAAATAAATTAGCTAGACGCCACTGCCTGTGGTCCCACTTACTTGAGAGGCTGGGGTGGGAGGATCACTTGAGCCCAGCAATTTGAGGTTATAGTGAGCTGTGGTCATACCATTGCACTCCAGCCTGGGTGTCAGAGCAAGACCCTGTCATTCATACATACATACATACAGCCTTGTCCTTTTTTTATGTTTGACCTTTATAACTGTGGGTTCATTCTACTTCTAAGATTGTATCTCTTGTTCAATAAGACCTATGGGTAATACGGTAGAAACCTCCTAACTAGTATTAACAGTTGGTCAGTTTTAGCCAGGCATGATGGCTCATGTCTGTAATCCCAGCACTTTGGGAGGCCGAGGCAGGCAGATCACTTGAGATCAGGAGTTCAAGACCAGCCTGGCCAACGTGGTAAAACCCTGTCTCTACTAAAAATACAAAAATTAGCCAGATGTGGTGGCACACACCTGTAATCCCAGCTACTTGGGAGGCTGAGGCAGGAAAATTGCTTGAACCCGGGAGGTGGAGGTTGTGGTGACCCGAGATTGCGCCACTGCACTTCAGCCTGGGAGAAAAAGCGAGACTCCATCTTAAAAAAACAAACAAACGAAAAAGGGCTGGGCACGGTGGCTCACACCTGTAATCCCAGCACTTTGGGAGGCCGAGGCAGGTGGATCACGAGGTCAGGAGTTCGAGACCAGCCTAGCCAACATAGTGAAACCCCGTCTCTAATAAAAATACAAAAAATTAGCCGGGCTTGGTGGCGGGCACCTGTAATCTCAGCTACTCCGGAGACTGAGGCAGGAGAATTGCTTGAACCCAGGAGGCGGAGGTTGCAGTGAGCTGAGATCACGCCATCGGACTCCAGCTTGGGTGACAATGCAAGACTCTGTCTCAAAAAAATAAAATAAAGTTGATTGGTTCCATAAAAATGAGAAATTCTTCAAGTATTAAATTTTAATAGAAAATATCTAAGTATGTATTCCTTTGATGTAGAGAAGTGTGATTACGAATATACCAACCTGAAGTCCAGGTCGGCTTACTTCTATAAACTATATCAAAATACATTGTCTTCAGTTTCTGGTTTTTCTTTTTAAATTTTTTTAAAAATTAAAATATAGAGATGGGGTTTTGCCATGTTGCCCAGGCTATTCTCAAATTCCTGAACTCAAACTGTCTTCTCACCTTGGCCTCCCAAAGTGCTGAGATTACAGACTTGAGTCACCATACCCGGCCTGGTTTTATTTTCTGTAAGTTAGCACCAGAATGTGGGTATTTGAAAAATGACTTGAATGGGTATCTTCACTTTTAGGATTAACTTGCCTGACCTATGAACAGAAGTTTTTTAGGAGCTAACTTTTAGTGTGTCTTTCCAAAGCATAACTCCTTCTGTGTTTTTGCATTTGTATTTTGTCAGTTAACATAATATTTAATTACATTATGTGAAAACAACAAGAACAGCTGTCAAACAGTGTAGGAACACAGCTGACTTTAAGCAAACATGCAGTTACATGGCTGCGAGCACAGGTACGCTCAGGGTAGCTTGTGGCCTCCAATGCTCGGTGTGCTATGGGCCTCACCCCAGATGTTTTTCAGAGGAGATGCATGGTAACATGGTGAATCACTTAAGTGGGGGCTCCTTTAGAGAGCTGCTGTTGTGTTCATAATAAAAATACCTTACTTCTGTTTAATTAGGCTTTGTTGGCTGATAGCTAAAAGATTAAAAGAACCAAAACAAATTTCTAGGTTTTTGACATTATCACTTAAGAGAGAACATATTGGCTGGGCATGGTATGACAGTAATCTCAGCACTTTGGGAGGCCAAGGTGGGAGCATCACTTGAGGCCATGAGTTCAAGACCAGCCTAGGCAGCACAGTGAGACCCCATCTCTCCAAAAACCTTAAAATTAAAAAAAAGAAAAGAAAAAAAATTATTTTAAATTAGCCAGACGCAGTGGTGCATCCCTGTAGTCCCAGCTTCTTGGGAGGTTGAGGCAGGAGGATCACTTGAGCTTAGGAATTTGGGGCTGTCATGGCTTGTGCCATTGCATTCCACCCCAGCTGACAGAATGAGACCCTGTCTCTAAAAAGAATAAAAACTTAAAAAGAGAACATACTGAGTTGCAAGTCAATATCCACCTTTGTCCATTTAGATTGTATCTTACCTCTCTTCTTTTAATCTCTGCCACAGCTGAAAGATGTGTATTATCTTAATGATTATCTTTAAATCTCTAGATATATGGAATCTTAGTGATCTGCCAGATTCTAGATCTAGAATGGGTAGAGTAAGAAAAATTGTAGCGTAAAATAATGGATTATACCAGGAATATGTCAAATGTAATAGAAGTGATCTCACTGAGTATTTTTGTTTGTATTTTTCTAGGCGATCGATAGCATTCATCAAGTGGGGGTTTATTGTCTTGCTCTGGTGCCAGCCAATACATTGCCAAAAACTCCACTAGGAGGAATCCATATATCTCAGACGAAACAACTCTTTCTGGAGGGATCACTGCATCCTTGCAACATCCTCATGTGCCCCCATACATGTGTGACAAACTTGCCAAAGCCCCGGCAAAAACAACCAGGTAATATGCTGGCTTCCAAGACCTGGCACTAAAATTCCAACTTCAAGAAGCTGGGTTCTCTCAGTGTGATTCTTTCTCTACAATTAGTTTACAAAGACTTTGGGAGGCCAAGGTGGGAGGGTCGTGTGAGCCCAGGAGCTCGAAAACAGCCTGGGCGACATGGTAAAATCCTGTCTCTACAAAAAAAAATGGAAAAAATTAGCCAGGCCCGGTGGTGCACACCTGTAGTCTCAGCTACTTCAGAGGCTGACAGAGGATGGCTTGAGCCTGGGAGGTTGCAGTAAACCGAGATTGCGCCATTGCACTCTAATCTGGGCGACAGAACCAGACCCTGTCTCAACAAAAAAGAAAGGGAAGATGGAAAAGGTGTGTTAAGGCAGCCCGGAGGCAAACATATCCTTGAGATGCTTTTGGAGCTATTGTAGAAAGAAAGAATGTGTTTGTTAGGACTAGTCTTGGCTGCAGGTTGCAGAAAAACATAAATTGCAGCTCAGGCAAGAAACAAGCATATTTTTGTCAGGTAAAAAAAGTTCAGAGCTAGGTAGTCCAAAGGCTAGGATAGTCACTCCTCAATCATGTTCTTCTAGCTTCCCATCTTTTTGCTCTGGTGTTTTGTCTGTCACCTCTTGTCATAGATACGCTACAGAACAAATAACCCTAAAACTCAGTGCCTTGAAGTAGCAAGCATTTACTTTTTACTCATGGAATGTGGATCTGCTTGGCTTGGCTGGGATCCACTGGACTTGACTTGGCTCCAGGCTTAGGTTGGGTTCAGAGCTGTTCCATGTGTCTCCTCATCATGGGACCAGCAGCTACCTGGGCCGTATTTTTTTCAAGGCAGATGGCAGAAGCAACAAAGCAAGCCAAGCCACATGAGCATATTTAAAGCTTCTGTTTGTGTCACATGTCCTAACATTTCATTGTCCTAAACAAGTGAGACCATGAAGTATACTTATCCCATCCAGCCATAACTAAGACAAGAAAGAAAGGAAGGATTGTGGGAAAATAAAATAATCGGCCACAGCCATCATTAGCAACTGCCCCAGGGCTCATTAGGCTCCCCAACCTCTACATCCCAGCCAGCAGGTAGGAGGAAAAGGTAAAGAAAGGATACTCTTCCCTTTAACATATTTTCTAGAAATTGCACATATTACTTCCTCTTACTTATTATCCTCCCACACTAAAGAATATAGTCTTTATTCCAGGCATGTGTCCAGCTAAAAACTGGGGGTTCTGTTATTAAGGAAGAAGAATAGGATACTGGAATTGATAACTAGCAGTTTTTGCCATAAGACGTTTACAGAATTTTATTGGAAAATCAGAAGGCATATTTACAGGTACAGCAGTGTCTGCAATTAGCTTCCTGGAGTTACTGCTTTCAGTATCTTTCATTCTCTGTGACCCACAGACCCATAGACTCACGAAATGCACACAGAAGAACATCCAGGAACTGCTGCTGAATTAGTTTTATTGTTTTAAACTACTGCAAAATTCACTTTTTAAAATATGCCTTTATTAATTTTATAATGTAAATCCCAGAATGCACAGTTTACATAAATACACTCTGAGTCCCTGCCTGTATTAAAAGGCTGTCTCCAACATGATATATCTATAATTTGTCATGAAGTTTCTTAGGGAGGAATATTGCATATTTACTTAAAATTGTAGTAGACACTTTGTAGACTAAAACTGTTCACCAATTGGAATACTTTATCTTTTTTGAGTTTTCTGTTTTATTTTTAAATTTTTTAAACTTTACATTTTGAAATAATTTCACACAAAAAAGTTGCCACATGTCGGGAGGCTGAGGCAGGAGAATGGCGTGAACCCGGGAGGCAGGAGAATGGCGTGAACCTGGGAGACGGAGCTTGCAGTGAGCCAAGATTGTGCCACTGCACTCCAGCCTGGGCGACTGAGCGAGACTCTGTCTCAAAAAACAAAACAAAACAAAACAAAACAAAAAGTTGCCACATGGTACAAAGATTTTCCTTACACCCTTTACCCAGCTTCCCCAAATATTTACCCTTTGAAAATTGATTATATGATTTAAGTGATTTTGTCTCATCTGTTTCAGTATATTCAGGATCAACAGATTTTGATAGAATAAAAGATTTTTAATATTAATCCAGTATAGCATCAGCCTATTTAAAACCTAGCTGGCAATAAGCTTTGTTTTATCATCTTTTTGCCATCTTCTTAGTTCCGTGAGGCGGATGACCATGAAGAGAGCAACCTAGCACTTTTTTCTAGAGAGGGAGTGGGCTCCCCCGTTTATTTTGAAGTGTCGAACCTATGGAAAAGTTAGACGAATAGTATAGTGAGGAACACCCATGTAGCCTATCCTAGATTTACGAATTGTTGCTTTTTTTTTTTTTTTTTTTTTTTGAGACAGAGTTTGCTCTGTTGCCCAGGCTGGAGTACAGTAGCGTGATCTGGCTCACTGCAACCTCTGCCACCCAGGATCCAACCACTTGAGTACCTGGGATTACAGGTGTGAGCTACTACGCCCAGCTAATTTTTGTATTTTTAGTAGAGATGGGGTTTTGCCATGTTGGCCAGGCTGGTGTCAAACTCCTGTCCTCAAATGATCTGCCCCCCTCTGCCTCCCAAACTGGTAGGATTACAGGAGCAAGCCACCACGCCTGGCCTTGCTGACATTTTTTTCCCTGAGTTTTTTGTTCGTTTGTTTTTGTTTTTTGAGACAGGGTCTTAACACTGTTGCCCAGGCTGGAGTGCGGTGGCATGATCTCAGCTCACTGCAGCTTTTTTTTTTTTTTTTTTTTTTTTGAGATGGAGTCTCGCACTGTCGCCCAGGCTGGAGTGCAGTGGCGCGATCTTGGCTCACTGCAAGCTTCGCCTCCTGGGTTGACGCCATTCTCCTGCCTCAGCCTCCCAAGCAGCTAGGACTACAGGCACCCGCCACCATACCCGGCTAATTTTTTTTGTATTTTTAGTAGAGACAGGGTTTCACCGCGTTAGCCGGGATGGTCTCGGTCTCCTGACCTTGTGATCCGCCCGCCTCGGCCTCCCAAAGTACTGGGATTATAGGCGTGAGCCACCACGCCTGGCCTGCAGCTTTGAACTCTGGCACAAATGATCCTCCCACCTCAGCCTCCCAAGTAGCCTGGACTAAAGATGTCTACCACCATACCAGGCTAATATTTTTGTATTTGTAGAGACAGGGTTTTGCCATGTTGCCCAGGCTGGTCACAAACTCCTCGGCTCAAGTGATCTGTCCGCCTCGGCCTCCTAAAGTGCTGTGATTACAGGCATGAGCCACCGTTCCTGGCCATTATTCACTTTTTTTTTTTTTTTTTTTTTTGAGATGTAGTCTCGCTCTGTCGCCATACTGGAGTGCAGTGGCACGATTTCGGCTCACTGCAACCTCCACCTCCTGGGTTCAAGCAATTCTCCTGCCTCAGCCTCCCGAGTAGCTGGGACTACAGGTGTGTACCACCACGCCCAGCTCATTTTTGTATTTTTAGTAGAGAAGGGATTTCACCATGTTGGCCAGGATGGTCTCCATCTCTTGACCTTGTGATCCTCCCGCCTCGCCCTCCCAAAGTGCTGGGATTACAGGCGTGAGCCACCATTCCCGGCCATTATTCACTTTTAATTGAACAAATTTAATATTCTAGATAAACTCCCTCAGGCCTTGTAGATGACAAATTTCTTTCCAGGCCAGATATTCTTTATTGTTAAGCCCTCTTTTAGGGTTCTATTATGATTGGAGAAGATTAAAATATTAGTAGGAACCTGTGCAACCAGCTATCACCTCCTCAGAGTGAAAAATTCCTGTATACCCCAAACTAGAATAGCTGCCTCCTTCCCTCCACCCCAATCCCTGTCCCTCCTGTTTTCTTGTTTGTTTGGTTTTTTTCCAGTACTTTGCACTATTTATGTTTATTTATTTGTGTATGTATTTCTTGGTTACCCTTCTTCAGAATGCAGGCTCTTTGCCCTATTTGCTCCTGGGTTCCCAGTGCCTAGAAGAGTGTTCAGGCAGTATTGTTGGATGAATATTTGAACCAGTTTTGGTCAGTCTGGAAATGCTCTGGATACTTAGTTGGAATCGCCATCTCCAGTGAGTTGGGTTTTGCATTTATTTACAGGTGTAGGCCCTGCTTCCGTGATGGTTGGGAATCTGGTTGCTGGAAAACGTATAGCACAAGCTGCTGGAAGGGATCTGGGACAAATAGAAGAGAATGATTTGGTGAGGAAGGTAAGTGTTCCTGAAGTGTTACCTTCTTACAGTCAAGTCAAGGACAGAACTTACTGCAGGTAGCAGCTGGGGGATGCATTATATGACTTGTTATAAGTTGCTGACCCTGAGTCCTTTTTCTGGTTTATGACTTCAGCACCAGTTTCTGGCAGAGATCCTACAGTGGCGAGCCCAGGCGACTCCTGACCATGTACTCTTCATGCTGTTAAATGCCAAGGTATTAAAAATTCAATGGTATATCTAATCAGCTGACTACTATAGGACCATCTTAGGCACTCTTGATCTCTTTCTTTCATCAGAAAATTTCTGTTGCCATCTCTGAAGAAGGAGTTAATGGCTTTCTCCTTGCTTTGGCATATGAGGGTAAACTGTGCAATCACTTTAAGATTGGACTGAGACCTCCTGGAGTGCTATGTAATACTTTCTTTTCTTATGGTACAATCACGTCTTCTTTATTCAGTTCTGATAGGAGAAATGGAGCCAACAATGCAATTACATAGATACACAGATGTTCACAATGTGTTATGTCATACAGTTTTTTTACCCAGTGGGACTTTTAATTATTTGATTTCTGCCAGGAAGAAAATGACCTTAGACCAGCATTTTAAAAACCCTAAGTTATTTCTGGTACATAGTTAAATGATTTATTGCTAACAGATAAAAAGCAAATTGAAAATTACTCAAAGAGCACATTTAACTACTGGTTTCTGATGGATGGTTCGTTATAATACTGTATTTTAGGACTGGGCACAGTGGCTCACACCTGTAATCCCAACACTTTGGGAGGCCAAGGCGGGTGGATCACTTGAGGTCAGGAGTTCAAGACTAGCCTGACCAACATGTGAAACGCTGTCTCTACTAAAAATATAAAAATCAGCTGGGCGTGGTGGCGGGCACCTGTAATCCCAGCTACTCGGGAGGCCGAGGCAGGAGAATCGCTTGAATCCGGGAGGCGGAGGTTGCAGTGAGCCGAAAATGCGCCATTGCACTCCAGCCTGGGTGACAGAGCAAGACCCTGTCTCAAAAATAAAAAAAGAAAAAATATATATATTATATTAAATATAATAATATATATTACATTATAATATATAAATATATATAAAGAAAAAAATATATATATGTATTTTTTTGAGATGGAGTCTTGCTCTGTCACCTGGGCTGGAGTGCAGTGGTGCCATCTCAGCTCAGTGCAACCTCTGCCTCCTGGGTTCAAGCGATTCTCCTGCCTCAGCGTCCCGAGTAGCTGGGATTACAGGTGCCCACCACCAGGCCCAGCTGATTTTTATATTTTTATTAGAGACGGGCTTTCACATGTTGGTCAGGCTGGTCTCGAACTCCTGACCTCAGGATCCACCTGCCTTGGCCTCCCAAAGTGCTAGGATTATAGGCTTGAGGCACTGTGCCCGGCCTATATATTGTATTTTAAAGTTATGCATTCTGTGGGAGTCAGCTGAATTTTTGTGTTGATGTCTGAGTCACAGGCTCAAAGTCTGTGACCATGTGGATAGTAGTATTTCTCCCCAGCAGGGGAAGACTGGAAGTGCCTATTGGATCTCTTAGGGGACTTATCCAAAGTATACCCATCTCCTCCATCCCCCTGGAATCTGATTTTTTTTTTTTTTGAGAATTTATGCAATAATAGAACTTAATGAGAGGAATATGTTGTGCATCTTATTGAAAAGTCGTTAAAAATCTTAAGAACCATTACTTTTATGACAGAAAATTTGGGGACTTTCTTGTTCCACCTCTGCATGAAGTGAGCTTCTTTTCAAGCCCACAGATTCATTAGGGTTCTCATATTTCATTTAAAAATGTCAGCCAGGCACGGTGGCTCATGCCTATAATCCCAGCTTCTTGAAAGGATGAGGAAGGAGGATGGCTTGAACCCAGGAGTTTGAGGCTGCAAGCTGCAGTGAGCTGTGATTACATCACTGCACTGCAGCTTGGGCAACAGCAAGACCATGTCAGAACAAAAAAAGAAAGAAAAAGCGTCCCATACATGTCTTTTTGTTTGATTTTATTTTATTATTATTTTTTCTTTTTTGAGACAGAATCTCGCTCTGTCGCCCAGGCATTGGCTCAAGTGATCCTTCCACTTCTGCCCCTTGAGTAGCTGGGACTACAGGCATGTGCCACCACCACACCTGACTGATTTCTTTTTTGTATTTTTAGTGGAGAGGAGATCTTGCTGTGTTGCCCAGGCTTGTCTTGAACTCCTGGGCTCAAGCAGTGCTCCCACCTCATCCTCCCAAAGTGCTAGCGTTACAGGTTTGAGCCACCCTGTCCAGCCCCACACGTCTTTGATGCTAAGGGAATTTTCACTAGAATTGATAACTTGCTAAGGATAATCTACAAAAGCACAAGCCTTTCAGGTATGATGTTGAATTGGCTGTGCTTATTACTGTTTATTTCCTTTCTGAGCTTTGACCCGCTTATCCTTTCTGTTGTTTAAAGGGAACCACTGTATGCACAGCCAGCTGCCTTCAGCTTCATAAGCGAGCAGAGAGGATTGCATCTGTTCTTGGTGATAAGGGACATCTAAATGCAGGAGATAATGTGGTGTTGCTCTATCCACCTGGTAAGCATTGGATTGGCAGACTAGAGTTTAAGCTCCAATACTAGACTGACTACAAATTATAAAAGGATAGGCACTCAGAGCTACTCTCTATGACTTGCAAGCAGTGTACTTCCCAACACTTAGAAGACCATGCACACAGGCCAAAGTGGGAACCAATCCTCACCCCCCAAGTTGTGCAGTACAGTGGCTCTCCTGGGACCATGTCTGTTTTTGTACCTTTAGATTTCTATTAGTGCCTGGCACATAAAAGGCACTCAGTAAATAATGAATGAATGAAGTCTTCAGCTACTTGGCTTTTGGAAACCTTCAAAACAGATGCTTTGTTTCTATGAATGTTCAGGAATGGGGCAATTTCACCCAGTCCCCAAAGAAATGTTGTGCGTGAATTCTGTGAACATTTTTCGTATTATGATTGATGTTACTCAGGAGGAATAACTGCAGAAACCAGGAACGGTTAACTAGGAAAATAAAAGAATGGAGAAAGGAGAGGTGAGGAAGCCCTGAGCTTTTTAAAAATATTTAGAAAGCTGATGTATAAAAAGCCATCAGACTTCTTAGATGTTGTTGAAGGGGTGTGAGTTTTGAAGGGGTGTGAGTTTTCATATTACGATTTAGTCTTCTTCTGTTGTTGCTACTTTCATGTTCTGATTTAATTCAACAACCTCATCTTCATAGTAAGAGGGGTTCAGAATTATTTGGTGACAATTTGGTGTAAAGATTCAAAATTCTGGGTGAAATATTGGAGTTTTCCCTTCATTATTTCTGTCACCTAATCCACTCATACATCCAGCTTTCTTTGGCCTGTTATCCCCCCACACTTCATATTGTTCTGTGATTTTTTTTTGTTTGTTTGTTTGTTTATTTTATTTTATTTTATTTTATTTTATTTTATTTTATTTTATTTTTGAGACGGAGCCTTGCTCTGCCACCCACTGCAACCTCCGCCTCCCTGGTTCCAGTGATTCTCCTGCCTCAGCCTCCTGGGTAGCTGGGATCACAGGCACACGCCACCACGCCCAGCTAATTTTTGTATTTTTAGTAGAGATGGGGTTTCACCATGTTGGCCAGGCTCGTCTCAAACTCCTGACCTCAGGTGATCCACCTGCCCCAACCTTCCAAAGTGCTGGGATTACAGGTGTGTGCCACCATGCCTGGCTCATTATGTGATTCTCATGTGCTGCCTTATTTACCTAGATACTGAGATTTCGTAGAAGATCATGTGATAAAGCAGTCCCCACCATTACATGCCCAGGAGATGGCCTTGCACCTGTCAGTCGGTGAGAGGCCACGGGGAAGGACCTGAGCTCTTCCTGACGAGGCCTCTGCCCAGAGTCTTCCTCAGACTGAGTCACACTTTGCTCCCTAAAACTCATACCCCTTCAACAACATCTAAGAAGTCTGATGGCTCTTTTTAGAGCAGCCTTCTAAATATTTTTAAGAAGCTCAGGGCTTCCTCACCTCTCCTTTCTCCATTCTTTTATTTTCCTAGTTAACCATTCCTGGTTTCTGCAGTTATTCCTCCTGAGTAATATCAAGCAATAATATCAATATACCTTCTTCAGAAATATTTCAGGAGTTTACTGCTGATTTCCTTCCTTTTTTGTTAATTGTTTTCTCTATATTTTCTAAAGTTTTATATGCTTCCTTCTTTCACTTTCAATATCTTCTGCTAGGGTCTTTGTTAAATTATGGTCTACAGAACCTGTCTGGCACATGATTTAATTGTTTTGGAAAATTTGCCTTTTAGTTTCTCAGTGCTCTTAGGCAGTTCAGTGACTCTCCTGACAGGGTCCTTTGTCTTGCAGGCATTGAGTTAATCGCCGCCTTCTATGGCTGCCTGTATGCGGGCTGTATACCTGTGACCGTCAGACCTCCACATGCTCAGAACCTCACGGCCACGCTGCCCACTGTCCGAATGATTGTTGATGTAAGTACCAGCTGTATCTTGCCTTGTCCTCATCTCCTAAAATCCAGATTCAGACAACTAAGGATCCTTACTAATTTTCCAATTTTGTTAAGTCAGGAATTCAAATTTGTCTTCTGGAGACTACCTCCTTTTTGTTAATCCAGCCAAAGCAGTCATCATTATTCAGTGAAGGAACTGGGGGAAAGTGGTTATTGGTGAGATACAGAATTGTGTGCAGTTATCATGAACATTAAAGAGGTGAAGCAGCCATTAGTATTTCTACAACAAAAACACAAAAGGTAGCCAGGCATTGTGGCACTTGCCTGTAGTTCCAGCGACTCAGGAGGCTGAGGTGGGAGGATCCCTTGAGTCTGGGAGGTGGAGGTTAGAAGTGAGCTGAGATTATGCCACTGCACTCCAGCCTGAGCAGACCCTGTCGCCAAAAGAAAAAAAAAAAGTGTTTCCCCCTCCCTTCTGTCTAAAACGTGCTGTCTGATATTTTTCCTGCAAAATTATCTAGGCGATTTTAAATGCCAAACTGAATTATCCCCAGTGTCAAGTCACTTCTATTTTAGTTACTTTTGTGAATTTACTTGGTATAGCATTAAAAGGTGTCCAGAACTTGCTCTGGAGATGATAGAAGTTTTTATAGGATATGAGAGTTAAAGAAAATAAGATAAGTGTGTATTGCATGAGATCCTAGTGTTTACAGCAAGGGGAAGCCTTGGCCAGTGCTGACAGATTACAAAATTCCAGTTCATGTAGCATTTGCTTCTCTGAGAACTGCTGCTCTGTCAGCAAAAATGGAGCCCACAGTATAAAAGCCATGATCACCATAGATGATTTTATTACAAAGTGTAATTCAGCAAAATGCCCTTGTTATATTCTACAAAGTGGGCCAGAAAAGCAGGGAGGGGAGTTGCTGTTGATGCAGTTCGTGGGCAAAGTAGGTCATAGGTCACTTTGCATTTCTGTGTATAGCTGGGCAAGAGAACCTAGTTTCTGTGAGAGCTTATATCAGCATCAGGGTTCCTTAGGTTCAGTGTATGGGCTAGGTGTAGTAAGTCTCATCATTCACTAGAGACTGGGGCAGTCTCCTTCAAACATGGTTATCCGATTCTTCTCATTTCCTGAGCACTACAAAACCCACATCTTTATTTAATTGTGGTCTTCATGAAATCTTGGGATTGTGGGATCTATACTGAGATTATAACTGAAATACTTTGAGAATCACTGTTATAAATGATACAGTGTATTGTGAACAGGTCCATCATTCTGAGAGAATTAAATGTCACACATTTCCAGAAGGAAACATGCAAGGGAGTAACACTGACCTCGTCTGTCTCACATGTGTTCTTTGAAACTGTCCTGTCCAGTGTGGTACATGAGTGGCTTTTAGCAGCAGCCAGGGCCTGTGGTGCCATGTTGGGGCTGAGCCTCCTGATGCTTATTGCTGTCCATTTGTTTTCTAGGTCAGCAAAGCAGCCTGTATTCTCACCAGTCAGACCCTAATGAGGCTACTGAGGTCCCGAGAGGCAGCAGCAGCTGTGGATGTGAAAACCTGGCCAACCATCATTGACACAGGTGAAAGGGAGACTTCTTCTGAGGGTGGAGGGACTGAGAGCTCACAATACCTGAGATCTCCTCCATTCTCATGCCAGACGTGTTTACCCTGCCTTTATGTCTTCTGCCTGCTAAGACAGAGGCAAAACCTAGGATCAGTAAGCTTGTGCAGGACTAGACACTGACAGCAGATGCAAAGAGCCAGATCACAGTCTGCTAAGAGCTCTCCAAACAAAATTGTTTTGCTGTTACTCTTGGCATCATAAAAAGGTGGTTAGGTTTTTATGCTACATGTGACTATGTACATGTAGGGCCAAGTAAAATATTGAGACAATCTGATCCTTTCGTTCGAGATGTGATATTGTTGAAACAATACTGGACTAGGAGTCAGGTGATTTGGGTTCTGGCTCAAGCTTCATTACCTACTGCTTGTGTAATCTTGACTGAAATTACCCTTTCCTAAGCTACTGCCTACCCCTGCCTGACTTGAATATTTATTGAGAAGATGAAATGCAGTATAATATGAAAATGCTATACTTCGAAAGCCATAAAGTGCAGAATTTTTAGATAGTATTCGTATTAAAGAAGGGGATAAGATAAGGGAATAGCTGAAAAAGCTGTGGTATAGGAAGAGTGTGGGTGTTGGAGTCAGGCAGGTAGGGTTTAAGTCCTGCTGTATCTGCTACTCTCTGAGTATCCGTACTAACCTGTCTATAAAGTGGGAGTTGTAAAGATTAAATGATGTAACACAAAGCTTCTAGCATGTAATCATAATGATAACATCTAATCTTCATTGAGCCCTTATGATATGTCAGTCATTTAATGTGTTATATAATTTTATCCTTACAATAACCCTGTAAGTTGCTATTTTTATCCTCATTTTGCAGATTAGAAAACTGAGGGAAGTTAAATAAGCAGCAGAACTGAAATTCAAATCCAGCCAGTTTGGCTCCATTCCCAGCCTCTTAACCATTAATGTCCTCCCTACCCTTTTTTTTTTTTTTTAACTCTGGATTCAAATGCAGGAATGACATGTATTTGTGGTTATTGTGTACCAGATGCTGAACTGGGTTTTTTAAATATTTGTTACTGAAGGATAGAAGCACAGTTATATACAATATTTATCACAAATGGATTGTGTTGGTGTTAATGATGCTGGTAGGTCTATGGTTAATGGGCTCAATCACAACAGGAAGGTTTCTTTAGGCACTTGAGTGGTCATAGGAGTGACCCTTCCCTGCACAAAGGGAGGTCAAAGGTGTTAGTCTTTCATTTGACCAGAAATGGGTGCCCCATGTTATGGTGATTTAAAACTCAGAGTCAGACATCCTTCTTGATCCAGAAAGCCAAAGGAGCCATTGAAGAGGTATGGCTGGAGCCAGAGGAAATCTTTGACATCCCTGGTTTTGGCATACTTATAAAGCACATGGGGGGAAGCAGAGGAGGTATCATAAATGAGTGAAAGCAGCGAATTCCCAGTTCTTGGCTACCATTCTCTTTTGGAGACGGGGCCCTCACTCTGTCATCCAGGCTGGAGTGCAGTGGCGCGATCTCGGCTCACTGCAACCTCCACCTCCTGGGTTCAAGGGATTCTCCTGCCTCAGCCTCCCGAGTAGCTGGGATTACAGGCATGAACCACCATGCCTGGCTAATTTTTGTATTTTTAGTAGAGACAGGGTTTTGCCATGTTGGCCAGGCTGGTCTCGAACCCCAGTCCTCAAGTGGTCTACCTGCCTCGGCCTTCCAGAGTGCTAGGATTACAAGTGTGAGCCACCGCACCTGGCCACCATTTTTCTTTCTTTCTTTTTTTTTTTTTAAAGAGACATGATCTTGATATGTTACCCAGGTTGGTCTCAAACTCCTGGGTTCACACAACCCTCCTGCCTCAGCCTCCCAAGTAGCTGGGACTACAGGCCTGAGTCACTGCACCCAGATAGATTACTATTCTTAAAATTCTGCCAGGTTAGCCAGGTGCAGTGGCTCATGGTTGTAATGCCAGCACTCTGAGAGGCTGAGGCAGGAGGATCACTTGGGCTCAGGAGTTGGAGACTAGCCTGGGCAATACAGTGAGACCTCACCTCTACAAAAAAAATTTTTATTTAATTAGCTAGGCATGGTGGCATGGACCTGTAGTCCCAGCTGCTCAGGAGGCTGAGGTGGGAGGATCATTTGAACTCAGCAGATGGAGGTTGCAGTGACCCGAGATCGAGCCACTGCACTCCAACCTTGGCAATAGAGCAAGACTCTGTCTCAAAAAAAGAAAAAATCTGCTAATTTAACTTAGAGAAATACTTTCCAACTTTTAAATCCATACATGATTAATATAACACATACTAAAGTGTAAATAATGAACTTTAACTTGAAACCAGCATAACAGCTAATGCTTTTTGAGCATTTCTTCAGTCAGTTGCTTTAAAAGTGCTTTATGTGAATTAACTTCCCAACAGTTCTATGAGGGTAGGTATTATTTTAGAGATTCATTTTAGAGAAAAAGAAAACAGACACAAAGAGGTGAAATAACTCCAAGGTCACGTAGCTGAGGGTAGAGCTGGCATTTGAACAGCAGTCTGCTTCCTACTGTGTTCTGTTTCCCCTTACTAAGCTGCTAGCAGATACATTTACCTGATGTAGATTTGCTTGCCTGTGTTGTCTAGTGTTGTCCTCAACCCCAGCCCACCTCTAAGAATGACATATGTGAGCTACTTGGTTAAATATGAGAGGCCTAAGCTTTAGCAAATCTGCGAAGCTAAATTTGGCCATAGCAAAGCCACAGAAGAGCAATGATTTTCATGTTCCAGCATGTTGGATTGACATCAGGTTTTTTCTTTTCATGGCAGATGATTTACCCAGGAAAAGGTTACCTCAGCTGTATAAACCGCCCACTCCTGAGATGTTGGCATATCTTGATTTTAGTGTCTCCACAACTGGCATGCTTACAGGAGTGAAGGTAAGGTGCATGCTGGAAAAATGCCACATCTGCCAAAAAATAGAGATGACCACTGCCCCAGAAACTATAGATGCAGAGGCCAAGTGGTTGTACCAGAGACCGGTAGGCAGAGTGAAGATCTAAGTCGCTGCTCTATTTAAATAAAGGCATTGGCTCCTCTGGAATGAGTTATCACAAGGAATTTGTATTATTAAGCGTCTGAACCTAGCATAGAAGCTGAAAGAAAAAGAGTTTTAGTTAAAATATGTATGAAATCTGATATTTAGATATCATAAAATGCAGTATTCGCTGGGCACGGTGGCTCACGCCTGTTATCCCAGCTCCTTGGGAGGCCAAGGCGGGCAGATCACCTGAGGTCAGGAGTTCGAGACCAGCCTGAACAACATGGAAAACCCCGTCTCTACTAAAAATAGAAAATCAGCTGGGCGTGGTGGTGCGTGCCTGTAATCCCAGCTACTCAGGAGGCTGAGGTTGCGGTGAGCTGAGATCGTGCCATTGCACCGCAGCCTGGGCAACAGGAGTGAAACTCCATCTAAAAAAAAAAAAAATTCATTATTAACTAATGAACAGAAATATGTTCCCTTAATGGAGTCTTAGATTAGGCTTTGAAGCACTAAAAATTATGCATTGTTTTGAGGAGTTTAGGGAATTGAAACTCCTCAAAGCTGTCGTCAGAGCTGTTACTCTGCCTGTGGGATAACAGTCCCAGCCTGTTCCATTTTCCATACTTTCCAGATGTCCCACTCTGCAGTGAACGCTCTGTGTCGAGCCATCAAGCTCCAGTGTGAGTTGTACTCTTCTCGGCAGATCGCCATCTGCCTTGACCCTTACTGTGGACTTGGCTTCGCGCTCTGGTGTCTCTGCAGGTAGGGATGGAAAAGCCAAGGAGACAGAATGTGTGGGGGTATACTTTGTGGCCATGGCCATCTCATCCTTCCCTTTGCTCCCTTAATTTGGTAAAGTTTCAGTAAAATGCTAGTGTTTCCAGAATTTATGGATCTACTGTGTCTCTGAAGTTTGTTTAAAAACAGTTTTGTCTGTATTCCCTTTGTTATTTTCTGTTAATTTTATTCCTCATACAAAATGGCAGTGATCCTGTTACTTGCTCTCTGCTCCACCATGTAATCCTTGCTTTAGAAGCAAAGCCAAGTAGAAGGATGATTCTCGGATGAAATATGTCATGCTTTGACAGCCAGCACGTACCCCCTCGGCTTGGCAGGAAGGAGCACAATGGGATGGGATGACAGCATGTGGATGGAAAGTAGCACATTTGCCCTGGCCAGGTTGCTCCTTGCAGAATACAGATCCCAGCTCCTCTCACCATTCCCCCAGGGAACCTCATCTCAGACCTGCATTTTCACCTCCTTGGTGTACATCATGAATGCTTCACAGATGCCTGCAGCTCAAGCTCAACGTTCTCCTCCTGTTCTCTCTTTGTTAGGATAGGATCATCCATGTAGGGGCCCACACTAGAAACATGGGTCTTATCTTCAGATTCTGTATCTTTATGTCTTGTGTCTAATCAAATGTATGTCCTTTGGCTCGGTTGTGCTACACCTGTATGTACATAAGAATCACCTGGGGGTCTTTTAACAAAAATTAATGGGACTCCCCAAGACTTATTAACCTTCATCTCCAGAGGTGGAGACCACACCACCAGTATTTTTAAATACAGGATTCCTGAGCTTCTAGTGACTCTGATCTATAAACAGGTTTAGGCATAAAATCACTGCCATTTTGTATGAGCCAAGAGTTTAAGCTTTGTGGCTATAGATGAGACATGATAGGAACTCTGTTCCTTCCTGTTTTTTCTTGCTTAAAAACAAAAAAAAACATTGTGTTGATAGTTCTTCCTGTGATGGACTGAATATGGATATGAGGATCCATATTTCCTTTCTGTCCTTTTTTCTTTTTTTTCTTTTTCTTTTTTTTTTTTAATCAGTGTCTTGCTCTGTTGCCCAGGCTGGAGTGCAGTGGTGCAGTCTCGGCTCACTGCAACCTCCACCTCCCAAGCTCAAGCGATCCTCCCATCTCAGCCTCCTGAGTAGCTGGGACTACAGGTGCACACCACCACACCTGGCTAATTGTTTTGTAGAGACAGCGTTTCGTCATGTTGCCCAGGCTGGTCTTGAACTCCTGGACTCAGGCAGTCCGCCTGCCTCGACCTCCCAAAGTGCTAGGATTATAGGTGTGAGCCACCACACCCAGTCCCATTCCTTCCTTTTTATCCTGGGATACACTATTGGGTTCAAGCCTGTTATCACCTCTCACCTGAACTATTGCAGCCTCTCCTAACTGTCTCTCAAGTTTCAGTGGCTCGTATCACCAATCCCTACTCCGTATGTCCATATTGTCAGTGTTGCCCCAACTTAAAGTGGCAATGACTGCCTGCTGGGTGAAGTCTAAACTCCTTCATAGGATGGTTAAGCCCTTTCACAGTTTGGCCTTAGCCCTTCTGGCCTTACTTCTCCATTCACCCTGTATGCTACGATTTCAGTTGAATACTCTTTCTTTTTCTTCTTTTTCTTTCTCTCTCTTTCTTTTTTTGTTTCTTTCTTTCTCTCTCTCTCTTTTTTTTTTTTTTTTAAAGGAGACAGGGTCTCAATCTGTCACCCAGGCTGGAGTGCAGTGGCACAAATCACAGCTCACTGCAGCCTCTCGGGCTCAAGTGATCCTCCCACCTCAGCCTCCCAAGTAGCTGGGACTACAGGTGTGTGCCACCACGCCTGGCTAATTGTTAAAAAAATTTTTTTTGTAGAGGCATGAGTTTTGCTCTATTACCCAGGCTGGTCTTCACCTTCTGGGCTCCAGCGATCCTCCCATCATGGCCTCCCAAAGTACTGGGATTACAGGCGTGAGCCACCGTGCCTGGCCACTTGAATACTATTAATATTTCTGATCGCTTCAAACATGCTGTAATTATCGGCCTTTGTAAATGTTGTTCCTCTGCTTAGAACACCCTCACTACCGTCCCCACTTCTTCTGGCCACTGCCAAATTCATACTCATTCTTCAAGCTGCAGCTCAAGTGTCACCAGCTCAGTGAAGCACTACCACTCCCCTACCCTGGCTTATCGAGCTTGAATGAACTGCTCTTTATTCTGTGATGTCAGTGTTCTTGATTCACATCTCATATTCAGAGCATCAATAAAATGGCTATAAACATCTTTAAAAGAAACCATAGGAATAAAATCCAGTCCACACATAAGGTTTCTGAATAGAAAGAGGAAAAAATGCTACTCCATCAGGGTTTTAAAGATTAGTTATTAGGAATTACCTTTCCAGAATGTTTAGTATCATCTTGACCATATTAATTAGCTTGAGGGCAGCTGTAAGAATGTTATGTAGACTTAAGTGACCTACCACAGTCTGCTTTATTTCATAGTTGCTCCTTTTGCGAGTTGCATAGGAACAAGACTGATTCTTAGAGCTTTATATCTCATATGTCCCTACACTGTCCTTTACACTCAGTAAATATCTGTGGAATTGGTGGGGTTCTGAAGCATCAGGTATCCAGGATGAATTGATGATTCCAGCTCTTGTCTCTTTCACTGCAGTGTCTATTCAGGCCACCAGTCTGTCTTAATTCCTCCTATGGAGTTAGAGAACAACCTTTTCCTCTGGCTCTCCACAGTCAACCAGTACAAAATAAGGGACACTTTCTGCTCCTATTCAGTGATGGAGCTCTGCACCAAAGGTCTTGGGAACCAAGTGGAAGTGCTAAAGGTAAGAAGCAGCTCCAGCAGGTGGCCAGTCCCAAAAGGTTCTGAAGAAATGCGCCAGGACGTAACAGGGCCAGAGCAGGGGCTAACAGACATGTTTGCTTGCCTTTTTCAAGTCACTCAGTTAAAAAAGGGTGTATTTTAAACTTTGGCAAGTTTATCTCTTCCACCTTCCTAATTTAGTGCACTCTTCCACAGTTTAATATGATTCTTACTTTGTGGACAAGAAGCGGAAACTGGTTGGGAGGCTAACTGGAAAGACTTTATGTAAACATAAAAGGGAACTGTGGCTTCCAATACTTTTTTTTCCTAATAGAATTTGAAACCTCAAAATATTAGGAATTCAGAATATCTCCAAAGATAAGGGTAACTCATTGATTCATGTGTGTGTCAAATGATGATCTGTCTGACTTGCAGATGAGAAAGTCAGAAGATACTGAATTTTCTTTGATAGAAAAATATCTTTGGAATGCAAAAAGAGATGAGATTAGATCGCCAGAGTTCTAGATTAATTTTTCTCTCAGTCTCATCAAATAGGGGGACATCTAAGGTACAGAAATGAGGAGGGATAAAAACATTGCTGAAGAGCCTTAGATTTTTAGAAGAAAGAGGAAAGAACTAGAGAATGAGCAAATTTACCAGCAGATAGTGATTTTAATGGGATGCCTTGTCCGTTTCTTCTTTTCTGAAAGCTGCTTTTTTCTCTGTGTGCCTGAGGTGAGAATACACAATTGCTTGGCTTTTCCTGACCAAGGAGCTAGAACAGTGGCCTTACCTGTTCAGTTCTTTTATGATCCTACTGACTTGGCTCCCATATAATGGTGTCTTGCAGACCAGAGGGATCAACCTCTCCTGCGTCCGGACCTGTGTGGTGGTGGCGGAGGAGAGGCCCCGCGTTGCACTCCAGCAGTCCTTCTCTAAGCTCTTCAAAGACATCGGGCTGTCCCCGCGGGCTGTCAGCACCACTTTTGGATCAAGAGTCAATGTAGCAATATGTTTACAGGTGACCCTCATGAAATCTTGTCTGTTGACAAATGGGAGAGGAATATGGAGTATCCCAGAGCATGGGCTTTGGAGCCAGGCTGCCTGGGCTTGGGCCCCAGCCGCACTTACTTGCTTTGGAACTTCGGGCTTTTAAATCTCGATTTCTTTGTGTCTCATTTTGCTCATCTGTAAGGTGAAGGTAGCAGTACTGTGCTTCCCCAGGCAGCTTGCACAATCACTGAGCTGCCAACTCGGAGTTCTTGGAGCAGTGCTGACAGTGAGCGCAGTGTTGGTGTTTACTTGAGTCATCGTCGTGTGGTCATGATGACGAGTCACAAAGATTTGAGTCCTATTTGGATTTTACTTGTATCTGACCTGTTTTTCCTTTTTCTTTTTTTTTTTATTTGAGACGGAGCCTTGCTCTGTCACCCCAGCTGGAGTGTAGTGGTGCAGTCTCAGCTTACTGCAACCTCCACCTCCTGGGTTCAAGCGGTTCTCTCACGTCAGCCTCCAGAGTAGCTGGGATTACAGGCGTGTACCACCACGCCCGGCTATTTTTTGTATTTTTAGTAGAGACAGGGTTTCGCCCTGTTGACCAGGCTGGTCTCAAACTCCTGACCTCAAGTGATCCAGCCGCCTCAGCCTCCCAAAGTGCTGGGATTACAGACATGAGCCACCGCGCCCGGTCTGACCTTCTGTTTTTCTGTCTCTATATTCTATACCATTTTTTTTCTTTCTTTTTTTTTTTTTTTTTCCAAACAATAACCTTGTATTCTCTTCTCTACCCAGATGGCAACTTTGTCATGTTATTCTTGATGGGTAAATAACAGAAAAGGGACTAGAACTGAGACTAATTTTATGTATTAATGTGTAATAAGGCAAATATAGCGCCAGGTGTGGTGGTTCATGGCTATAATCCCAACACTTTGTGAGGCCAAGGCAGGAGGATTGCTTGAGCCCTGAAGTTTGAGACCAGCCTGGGCAACATAGTTGAGACCTCATCTCTCCCCTACCCCCACCACTCACCTGCAAAAAATATAGATGGGCTTAGTGGTACATGCCTCTAGTCCCAGCTACCTGGAAGTCTGAGGCAAGGGGATTGCTTGAGCCCAGGAGGTTGAGGCTGCAGTGAGCTGTGATTGTACCGCTGCACTCCAGCAACCTGGGCAACAGATTGAGACCCTGTCTCTTAAAAAAATAATAAGGCAAATATAGGCATGGACAAAGTGAGTGAAAGAAGATAGCACACATGGGTGGATTATTTCAGGTCTTCTGTGACCTTCTTCTTTCAGAAGGGTCTTGATGGTTTAAACTTGAGCCCCATCATAGCCCTCTTGCTGTCACTGTGGCCAATACTGGTTTTGCAAGTCCCTGGGTTGCCGACCTGTGTCACCTCTGCTTTGAATCCAGGGATGAAAGCCCTCCTCAGCATGGAAATGTTTCAGTGCTGCCACAGTCCCCGTGATAAGAGTGAGAGCAGGGGGCCTACTCTCAAGGGGAGGAGAGGTGAAAAGAGTGTGGATTTTTCATGTATATGGCTAAATTATTTCTTGGTTTGAAAATGTGAAATACAGTTTATCGAAATTCTAAACAACGCATTGATTTGTCTTTCTTTAGGGAACCTCAGGGCCTGATCCGACTACTGTGTATGTGGATCTGAAATCACTAAGACATGACAGGTACAACAGATTTATTAATGCTCCTTTCCTACTAGTTCCTAAGCATAACAAATTCGGAACCTCAAAGCCAGCATTTTCCCTCATTCCTTTTGTTCATATATTCCAGGAGGGGAATGGGAAGAGGGAAGGAATTTGTTTTTATCATTAATACATAAGATTTACATTTATAAGAAAGCTTTAATTCTCTCAGTTGCTACACTGTTCTTTAATATTAAAGTATAATAGTTATTGCCCATATAAAAGTATTTTGTGACATTTGATATAAATTAAACTAAAATGGATAGTCTCTTTCCTCTAAGAGTTTAAAAATAATAGGACAGATAAGATAAATGAGTCAGAGTAGGGTTTTTGAAACAACACTTTATCTGAGCCCCATGGGTAAAAGCCTGCCTCCTTAGCCCAGAAGGGAATTTTAGCTGTGTCCGGCAGTGAGCGCTGGCCCAGGGCTCTAAGACTTCTCTTCCCAAGCCCCACTACCCTGGATGTGTTATCTGGAGTGCCCCACTGCACTGACCTAGCCTGCATAGGTGGAACATCTCTCTCATGCAGCAGTTTGAAACCTGGGAAGATTTTGCCACCCTAGAGGAGATTTGACAATGTCTGGAAACATTTTGGGTTGTCATAAAAGGGGGCTTGCTACTGACATCTAGTGGGCAGAGGCCAGAGGTGTTGGTAAACACCGCAATGCACAGGATAGCCCCTTTCAACAAAAAATTATCTGGCCAAAATGTTAGTAGTGCTGAGTTTGAGAAACCCCTCTGTAGTATGAGGAAGAGAGACAAGTTAGAGGTTGTGGGAAGGCAGCACCGAGCTGCAGGAACATGGCGACTTCTCCTCTTAAAAGCCCTATATATAGTAAATACCGTTCTTCTGCAGGGTTCGTCTCGTGGAACGTGGCGCCCCTCAGAGTTTGCTTCTCTCAGAGTCTGGAAAGGTAATTTGTTCTGTTGACCATGGGGAAGGTGGGCTGTGTGGAGAAGTGGTTCAGTTTAAAGAAACCAGAAGCCATATAATATATTAGTGTCCAGGGCAAGCCTTAATTGAAATCTGGAGATAATTTCAGCTTGGCTAATACTTTCAAATTCATATGGGTACATAGATAAGAAGAATAGTAAATTTGAACTCTCTTAATTTCCATCGATTTTTAAAAATCCAACTGACATGTTATTCTTATTGACAGACCAGCAAAATGCAGTGCTCATTGTATGAAAGGTGGATAGAAGAGCTGGTTCTATGTTTTTTTTTCATGGTTTTTTTTGTTTTTTTGTTTTTTGTTTTTTGTTTTTTTTGAGATGGAGTCTCACTCTGCCACCCAGGCTAGAGTGCAGTGGCGCGATCTCGGCTCACTGCAACCTCTGCCTCCCAGATTCAAGGAGAACTTGCCTCAGCCTCCGAGTAGCCGGGGTTACAGGCACCTGCCCCCACGCCCAGCTAATTTTTGTGTTTTTAGTAAAGATGGGGTTTCACCATGTTGGCCAGGCTGGTCTTGAACTCCTGACATCAGGTGATCACCTGCCTCGGCCTCCCAAAGTGCTGGGATTACAGGCATGAGCCACTATGCCCGGCCCGGTTCTATCTTACAAACGTCACAAGGAGAAAGCTAGGAGAGGCCGAGATGGGAGTGTGGTTTAAGGTCAGGGAAGACACACATGCATTTAAAGTTGAAAGGAAAATAAAAATGGGGATGAGATTAAAGATATTTGAGAGTTAACATCTGTGGGAGTAAGATTTCTTAGATTAGAATGAGGCTATAAAACGTCAAAAGAGAGATTTAGTGAGAAGCAATTTACTAAGGATGATAGGAAACCCACATGCATTGTCAAGACAAGTGGGAATTTCTCTGCCCTTTGATGAGATAATGATGATACCTCAGAATCCTGTCTAGTAATTCTGAAGGGCAGTGAAAAAATTGTGGAGGGAAAAAAAGAATCCCTGCCAAACCTACTTGGTGGTGTATCACCCCATGGGGCGCTTACTCCAGTCTCACTTTCCGTTTGCATCTGCGAGCAGAGGGGGATTTGGCTGATTTTGTCACTGCCTTGTCACATCTTCACTTGCCTCAGCAGCCAAGCACACCTCACGAGCATTAGCCTGTGCCCACCCTGGACTAAGGGAACCGTCTCATCTCTTCCTTGAGGTTTTAGATGTTTGCACCCAGATAATTATTGAGGGCTTCTCAAGTAACCTCATACTTTAGAAACCCAAGATAAAAAGGGAGTTTGAAGGGGGCAGAATATGGGTAACCAGAGAGGCCCTTCTTTTGTTAGAATGGCTGAGCCATTCCCTCAGCCAGCGTATGTGTCTTCCTTTTCCTTCCTGAGGAAGATCCTAGGGTCAAGGATATCCTTCTGTCCTGCAAAGCTGCTGCTGTCCTCTGTCACTCTTCACATTCCTCCAACTCTAGCACCAGCTGGAGTCTGGAGTGGAGTGACTTAGGCTGTCCCTGCCTGCTGCCCTTTCTGTTTTAAAGGGTTTCACTGCCATCATTCCAGTGAATGAGAAAGAACATGAAAAGGGAAAGGTTATTCTACAAATTCTACTGTTAAGGTCCTGATCTGCAATTTCTCATCCCTTTGAAGAGATGGCAGACTGGCTCCCATTTTATTTTTGAGGCTGAGTTTTATTAGACCTTTCGTCTTCAATGAACTGAGGAAGGTTCAGTGAGAGCAAGACACAAGGTCTCTGCCATGATCCCCTCAGGGTAGCTGCTGTGATGCCGCTACAGCTGGCTCGCCATGTGTGCCTCTCTCACCTCTCCAGCAGGTAACTAACCGTGCGTTTCCTGGAGGTCATTAGATTTCACTGAACTCAATCTTTGTATTTTCCCTTTGATTCTTAGATTTTACCTGGAGTGAAAGTGGTTATTGTTAATCCTGAGACCAAAGGGCCGGTTGGAGACTCTCACCTTGGAGAGGTTTGTAATAATTTTCATTTTTACTCTGAAAAGTCAGCAGTAAAAATCTCTAGGGTTCACATTTTAGAAATCAGTAAAACTGTGGATTTAGCTTTCCCCCGTTGTGAATGGAGTTAATTTTTTTCTGTAAGGCATGAGACTGAAATTGACAGAAGAGGGAGATTGAAACTGGGATCCAGGGAAGATTTAGGCACCCAAACTGGAAATGGTACCAGATTTGTCCACTGACATGCCCTTAGCTAGAAAGGAAAGTGAGCAAATCCTACATATTCCCACCTATTAAGGTATGAAACTGAAAGGAGTCACATACTTACAAATTTTTAAGGTCATTCAGATGTTATATTGTATTCTAAAATGTATCCATGTTTGCATTAACAAAAAAATTCTAGGCCCAGCCCTTTAACAAAAAATATTTATATATAAATACATATTATTTGTATATAAGTATATAAAAATTAACTATATAAAATAGTTAATTTTTCTTCCCCCAAATCTTTGTTTTTGTTTGTTTATTTGAGACAGTCTCACTCTGTTGCCCAGGCTGGGCTTACTGCAACCTCCGCCTCCCGGGTTCAAGTGATTCTTGTGCCTCGGCCTTCCCAAGTAGCTGGGACTACAGGCACGTGCCACCATGTCTGGCTAACTTTTTGTATTTTTAGTAGAGATAGGGTTTTACTATGTTGCCCAGGCTGGTCTCGAACTCATGAGTTCAGGTGATCCGCCTGCCTTAGCCTCCCAAAATACTAGGATTACAGGCATGAGCCCCCATGCCCAGCCTCCCCAAATCTTTGAAGGATGCTGATATTTCATTACGTAGCTGAATGGGAGGAGTCCTGTAAGTGCAGGAGCCAGATGACCTCGGCTCTGCCACTTACAAGCTTCTCAGTATTGGACAGGTTAATTTCTTGGGGCCTCAGTTTCCTCATCCATAAATAATAATAGCACTGGTGGCCGGGCGCAGTGGCTCACATCTGTAATCCCAGCACTTTGGGAGGCCAAGGCGGGTGAATCACGAGGTCAAGAGATCGAGACCATCCTGGCCAACATGAGGAAACTCCGTCTCTACTAAAAATACAAAAATTAGCTGGACATGGTGGCGTGTGCCCGTAGTCCCAGCTACTCAGGAGGCTGAGGCTTGAACCTGGGAAGCAGAGGTTGCAGTGAGCCGAGATCACGTCACTGCACTCCAGCCTGATGACAGAGCAAGACTCTCAAAAATAATAATAATAATAATAGCACCATCCAGGTGCAGTGGCTCAGGCCTGTAATCCCAACACTTTGGGAGGCTGAAGCAGGAGTTTGAGGCCACTCCACTTTGAGGCCAGGAGTTTGAGGCCAACTGGGCAACATAGCAAAGACCCCATCTCTACTTCGAAAAATTTTTTTTTTCTGAGACAGTGTATTGCTCTGTCACCCAGGCTGGAATGCAGTGGTGCCATCTTGGCTCCCTGCAACCTCCATCTCCCCAGTTCAAGTGATTCTCCTGCCTCAGCCTCCTGTGTAGCTGGCATTACCAGGCGCACACCACCACGCCTGGCTAATTTTGTATTTTTAGTAGGGGGTTTCACCATGTTGGCCAGGCTGGTCTTGAACTCCTGGCCTCAAGTGATCCACCTGCCTTGGCCTCCCAAAGTGCTGGGATTACAAGCGTGAGCCACCACGCCCAGCCTATTTTAAAAATTTTTAAATGTTAGTAGTAGCACCTACCTCACCTCCTGAGTAGAATCATTATAACAATTAAATGTATTAACACCTGCATCTGTAGTGTACATGGAACAGTGTCTGTCACATAATGATTCTTAGTAACATTATTGTTAGCTATCGCTCTGTTTATATTATAAACTCAAAACACCCCATGGTGTTTCCCTGTGGGCTTCCACAGTTATCCCGGAAGCACAGAAACGATCCCTGATGTGTTCGTGGGACTCTGGAGGAGAGTGAGAAATGAGCCAGGGAGGCAGGGTAGCCTTGTGGGTGAGAGCACGGCCTCCGGAGCCACACGGGCATGGGTGCGAGTCTCCTCATTTCTGCATGTTAGGTGAATTAGTTAACTCCTTGTTTTTTCATCCGTAAAATGGGAACAACATTGTATGAACTATGTTGTCATGTCATATATATCAGGATGGATGGAGATTAGGTACATGATGAGCACGTGGTAAATGTCAGCTGCCTTTATTGATGCAGTTGTGTTGTTGTTAATATAAAAATGAGATTTAAAAAATCAAAATAACCTGATCCAAGAGAATTAATACAGTTGTGTGTCCCCAGTGAGTTGTGATCAAAGCACTTTTCTTGTAGATTTGGGTGAACAGTCCCCATACAGCCAGCGGCTACTACACCATCTATGATAGCGAGACTCTTCAAGCTGATCATTTCAACACTCGCCTCAGCTTTGGAGATGCAGCTCAGACACTCTGGGCTCGGACAGGATACCTTGGTTTTGTCCGCCGGACCGAGCTCACAGCGGCCACTGGAGGTACTTCTGCAACAACTCCCCATTGACCCTGCTTTGTGTTTCTGTAGCACTAGCTGACCTCCTTCAGCCTGCGTTGGATTGTGGAGTGTGTCTATTTAGTTACTCCCTTCGGTGACTCTTAAACCCATAAGTGACTCTCTCTTCATTTGGAGTCATGCCTTGCCCCATGAAGAGTGTCTAAGAGGTGAGCGCTTGGGGCAAGCCCAGGAGCATCCCGAGCTGTGAGTCAGAGAGATGTGCCTGATGGCAAGTGAGCGTCCCTGGCTAAACAGACTTTCAGTCCCTGCAGGGCTGATTCACATCCGGGACAAGCATTACATCTTATAGCTCTTCTACCCTGCACACCACTTGGGGAGCAGGAGGAATGGCCCTATTCCCTGAGAGGGGCGTCAGTTCCAAGGAGCCATCTTGCTGAGGCATGGCAGTGCCTCAGTGTCTTGCGTTGGACACAGCCTGCTTCCTGGCCAGGCCTCTGGTATGAGGATTCCCTCCCATCACCCTCTGCCCAGTTGATTGTCACAGCTTCACTGCTGCCCGCCATCACTCTTTCTTCCAGACTGACACTTATAGCCATTTAAAAATACCCAACACTGACTATATCCTGCACTTGAAGAAGTGATAGATATATAACTCACTGGATTTTAAAGTCCTAAATTCTCCATAGTTCCATACTGACCAGCATCCATAGTTCCCCAGATTTCATGGAGAGGCAGGGGCAACCCAGGGGAGCAGAGGGTGGCATCCCTGCCTGGTGCCCTGGTTTTGCAGCCCACCTCTGCCACTTGCTGGGTGACCTTGAGCAATCACTTAGCCTCTGTTTCCTACTTAGAAAATGGGGATGACTGTGTTTCTTGCCTCATGGAAATGATGTGAGATTAAAGGACATGATGCATTTAGATGCCAAGAACGGTGCCTGGCACACAGGAAGCACCCATTAGTCATTCACTGCTATGTTTCTCTTGTTTTTGTCATCAGTCTTCATGAGCTCACCAGGTGATGGGAGCCTCTGCTGCACCTCCTGATCCTTTTCACTCCAACAGCTTCAATCACTTTGTTTTGCTGAATTTTTCAGAAATCTGCGTTTTTCCAGAAATTACTGCAAAATAATCTTCCTTCCTTCTGTATCCTAGCTGGATTACAAGCCTGTTAGAAACCAGGACTAGTTTCCTCCATGTTCTACAACCCTCCTTCTTATATGTGTATTCCATGAAGCTACCTAGAAAAAATGACACTTGTTCATCTCCTCTCCCTCTCAAGTCCTGTCTTTCCTCTGTCCCTCCCCTCTGGCTCAGTCCTGTTTGTCCTTAAAAGCTCAGCTCTGCCCTCAGCTTTTCCAGGTGCCTTCCCTGAACCTTTGAGCTAGACTCAGTGATGTCCTCTGCCCCTCCGAACCTCATGCACACTCCTGTCGCTGGGCTTGTTACATTACAACGGAATGCCTCTTTGTGTATCTTTTCCCCCACCTCAGCTGTAAGGATCTTCAGAGAAGGAATTGGGTTTTGTCAGTTTTGTCTCCCCAGCACATAACACAGTTCCTAACATGTAATAATACTAACAGCTAATTTCTGGTATCATTTACAAAATACCACATACCATATTAACTACTGTGCATGGATTAACTCACAAATCCTCACAGCAGCCATTGATTATTATTCCCATCTCACAGAGGAGCAGCAGGATTCAGAGCCTTAAGGAATTTGCCCAGAGTTACACAGTTGGTAGGGGCAGAGCCAGGTGACAGGCAGTCTGACCCCTGTGCTGTGGACTCCAGTGTTATGTTGCACTCAGTATATGTCCAAGCCACATTTCTCTCTTTTTCTTTCTGTCAGAGCGTCATGATGCATTGTATGTGGTGGGAGCGCTGGATGAAACACTGGAGCTGAGAGGATTACGATACCACCCAATTGATATTGAGACCTCGGTGTCCCGGATCCACAGAAGCATTGCTGAATGGTAACTCCCTCAGCATACACTGTGCTTCCCACTTCAGCTTTAGTCATAATCTCAACTGATCTAATTAATTGGTCATTGGGACCACATACCTACCTTGAAACATAGAGCTCCATGGGAGGAGTAAGGAAATAGACTGATTCTTGTCTTGGGTGTGCAATCTGCTGTGGCCAACAAAGCCTATCCACAGGAGCCAGATGAGGCCATGAGGCCCCTGGGGAATACTCTGATACCTTCTGTGGAATGCTGGAACTGAGTCCTTTTTTAGTGATAGACTCTCATAATGGGAAGGGACTAACAGATCATTGATCTCTTGAAAGTCAGCATAATATGGTGGAAAGAACCAGCTTAAAGGCTCTCCTCATCTGTAAAACACTCTCTCTGCTACTTCCTAATTATCAGAAGCATCAAATGAGAATGTGCTTTGTAAACTATTAAATGGTAAGCAGATGAAAAGGGTAGTTGATATTATCTCATCCAGTTTCCTGCTCTTTGCAGGAATTCCCCCTACATTTTCCCTGATAAAGGATCGTCCAACCACATATTGACTTAAAATCTGTAAAATTAAAACTGTGGTTTGGCCGGCCACAGTGGCTCACATCTATAATCCCAGAACTTTGGGAGGCCAAGGCGGGCGGATCGCTTAAGCCCAGGAATCCAAGACCATCCTGGGTAACATGGTAAAACCCCATCTCTACAAAAAAATTAAAAAAATAGCCAGGTGTGGTGGCATGCCTGTAGTCCCAGCTACTCAGGAGGCTGAGGTGGGAGGATCACTTGAGCCTGGGAGGTTGAGGCTACAGTGAGCCAAGATTGTGCCACTGCACTCCAGCCCTGGTGACAGACTGAGACTGTCTCAAAAAAAAAAAAAAAAAAAAAAAAAAAACCACCTCTGTAGTGTTTACCTACTGGCTTTCATTCTGGGTTCTTAACCAACACAGAATCCGTTCGGTTTGTTTCTACCTATTTTAGTGAATATGTCCTTCTTCACCACTTTTCCCCATGCTAAACAGCCACAGTTCTTTTGATGGTTGCTCATGCTTTCCAGATACTTCTTTGTCTAAAAATGCTCTTGTCGGCCGGAAGTGGTGGCTCACGCCTATAATCCCAGCACTTTGGGAGGCTGAGGTGGGTGGATCACCTGAGGTCAGGAGTTCAAGACCAGCCTGGCCAACATGGCAAAACCCTGTCTCTACTAAAAATACAAAAATTAGCTGGACGCAGTGGCAGGCACCCGTAATCCTAGCTGCTCGGGAGGCTGAGGCAGGAAAATTGCTTGAACCTGGGAGGCGGAGGTTGCAATGGGCCAAGATTGCGCCACTGTACTCCAGCCTGGGCAACAGAGCGAAACTCTGTCTCAAAAAAAAAAAAGATGCTCTTGTTTTCATAGGAGTCTCTCCCCAGACCTGAACAAGACTCTGACCAAGACAAGAACATCTTTAGACATCTGGAAAGCATCCAGGGAAGCTGGGTGCTGTGGTTACTTTGTCATTTTAGACATTTGACTCTTAATGGAACCAAATATTGTGTACATTTTTAATTACTGGAATTTGGTTTTGTTTGTTTTTTTTGTGAGACAGAGTCTCCCCAGGCTGGAGTGCAGCGGTGCGATCCCGGCTCACTGCAACCTCTGCCTCCTGGGTTCAAGCGATTCTTCTGCCTCAGCCTCCCGGGTAGCTGGGACTACAGGCACACTCAACCATGCCCGGCTAATTTTTGTATTTTTAGTAGAGACGGGGTTTCACCATATTGGCCAGGCTAGTCTTGAATTCCTGACCTCGTGATCCGCCCACCTCGGCCTCCCAAAGTGCTGGGATTACAGGCGTGAGCCACCGCACCCAACTGAAATCTGTTTTTAAAGCAATTTAGCCCTGCATACCAAGTCAGGCCCTACCTTCTAACCCAGTAACACCACTCGGTGGAAAGTGGCTTATGGCTCTTTTATACAATAGGAGACACTTGCGTGGGGCACTAATAACTCATGTGAGTCAGACAGACACTCTTCCTGTTGGGTTTAAGAATACTGCCTTAGGGTGGTCTGAAGGTAGTGAGTTAATTTAATTGATTGTTAATAGTCAATTACAAATCAATCAAACTATTCGTTCTACTCTTTCCCTCTTTCTCACTACTGCACTTGACTAGTCTAAAAAACAAAAGAATATTTTATTAGTCAAAGCTCTTATGGGGCAAATAACAGGCTCCCTTCAAAAAAGCTTAAGTGAAAGAATTAATGGAAAGAATACCTGGCTATCTCAGACATTCCAAAAAAACTAACTCTGGGTCTCAGGAAAGGTAGAAACAAGGGAATGGTAAGGCCATCAGGAATCACTGTCGCCTTACTTTCTAGAGCCATATGGGCATTCCCTTCTTTCTTTTTCGCCTCCCTGAAGAGGGATTCTCTCTGCTTCTCTGTGCCCTGGGCTACCCCAGAATATTCAAATCCATGTCACTGGTTCAAATGACCAGTTAACAACTTTTTTTTTGAGACAGAGTCTCACTCTGTTGCCCAGGCTGGAGTGTAGTGGCGCAAACTTGGCTCACTGCAACCTCCGCCTCCTGGGTTCAAATTATTCTCCTCCCTCAGCCTCCTGAGTAGCTGGGACTACGGGTGCTCACCACCAAGTCTGGCTAATTTTTGTATTTTTAGTAGAGGCGGGATTTCGCCATGTTGGCCAGGCTGGTCTCGAACTCCTGACCTCAGGTGATCCGCCCATGTCGGCCTCCCAAAGTGCTGGGATTATAGGTGTGAGCCACCGCGCCTGGCCTGACAACTTTAAATTCCACTTTCAAACTCCCAGGAGATTCTGGACAACTCAGCTGTGTTCACAGGGGCAAGATGTCTCTCATATATATATATATTCATTATATAATTTTTCCCTCAGTCTTATCAGGTAAAATTGAAAGGTGTCATATATGGTAGACATGACTGCTGACGTTCTGGTTGGGATTGAGGGGAGAAGGCGGGGAAATGGGCTAAGTCTGGGACAGATGCTATAAAAGATAACTGAAAAATGTAGTGACAAGTTAATGAATTGTCATTGAAATTTCAGTGCCGTGTTCACATGGACCAACTTGCTTGTGGTGGTTGTGGAACTGTGCGGCTCTGAACAGGAAGCCCTAGATCTGGTCCCATTAGTGACCAACGTGGTCCTGGAAGAGCATTACCTCATCGTTGGCGTCGTGGTTGTGGTGGACCCAGGTGTCATCCCGATCAACTCCAGAGGAGAGAAGCAGAGGATGCACCTCCGTGATAGCTTCCTAGCTGACCAGTTAGACCCCATCTACGTGGCTTATAACATGTAACCAGCCTTGTGGGGACTGCAGTGGGCCATTCTGAAGAATCACAAAGACAGAAGACCTCTGGCTAAGAGCAGGCTTCAAACGATGTGAAATAAGCTGAGATGGCTACATGATATTCTTCATCTCATCCTGTGGGATTCTGCAATCATAAAACACAGGAAAGGGGAATTCTGTGATGGCAAATGAAAAAAATGTTAACATTTGGTAGACATGTGCTTTGACATAGCGTGAGCAGCACATTACTAAAGCAATTACATGCATGTTGCATTTTTTTCATCTGTTGTACATAGTTGTATTTTTATCTAATGCCATTTTAGAATTTTCTAAGGGAATTTAATGAATTCACATGAAAGGGGTAGTCTGAGTGACACAGTTCCCCACTCCGTACTGTATTTTGCCATTCTGCCGTAGCTAGATGTTCTGTGGGGTTTGTTAACATGGAACTACTCAGCTTTCTTTCAGTCAACCCATAAGCAAATCAGATAACCCACTGACTATGAGAATTACTTTATATAGATAATTCTTGACTGTAAAACATTTTGACCAGTGTTTTACAACATGTACATAAGAATACACATAATTCAACTAGAGATTTGAAGAATTGGCTTGTATAGTTATAACAACCACAGTAGAAACATTTCTACTTTGAGAGAATTTCAATATTCTCTTAATGTTGTGTAATTGATTAGGTAACTAAAAAGCGCAAATTGTTGGCAGGTTTTGCTGCACATTGTTCTATGTCTTTGTTGGCTGGTGTATTTTATAAACTAAAGCTGCCTATGTTTCTTTTTAAAGCTCGCATTCCCAGAATCAGCTTAGGCTTCTATGAATTCAGCCTGTTTCTAAAAGCTGAAAATCTCAGTTTAAAAATCAAAATGTTAACACAAAGCTAAGATTCATCAGAGCCCACCCTATTCTAAGGAACCACAATAACTTACTCTGGCCCCAGTGTTAAAACGATCTTTCAGATTTAGAGTGACTATGTAAGAATTTAGGATTTCCTCTTTTCCAGGCACATTGTAAACTGTGTCTACAGTTTATCCATATAACTTCTCTTCTGAAAACTGAGGAGTGTCCTCTGTTCTTCCAGTTCACGAGGGCAGGGGGTTTAAAACAAGAATGATAGGCCAGGAAGGCAGTGGGGATCCACCATCACATGGAACTGTAAGGCCATATAACTACACAAAACTGACCAATCTGGGTTGCCAAAGCAGCCAGGCTTATGCTGAAACCGGGGAAGTCTGACATATGCAGGAAACTCTTTTGAAATAACTTTGGTGCCCAGGCCAAGTAGAATGAGATGAGACTGAGTTTGGCCTCTGGCTCGGTTTCCTTTCTTTGGTCTGATACTTCATGTATTTGAATATAGTTAAATCGTATTATTTTTTTCTTAACAGAAATATTTTTAAAAATGAAAAAGTACTCAAAAGTGAGAAGAGTTAACTTGTCAAAGCAGAATGGTTCTCTTTGACCCACTCTGGTCTATTGTGTAAATATTTATTTAGACTATTTTAATAATACATATTATTTACCCCACTGTAACATCATGTAAACTAAGTATGTTTTTAAACAATTTTTAAGACTTGTAATTACCCTGAAAATAAGGTTTATAATGCAAAGACCAGCTCCTTTGCGGTGGCAGTGCTCTAGGGCTGCCATTACACGGTCTTGTGATGTGACTAAAAGCCACTTTGTGACTCCCTTCATGTAATCCTCTTTTCCTCCCCACTCCTCCACAGAGGGCAGAGCTCAGGACATTTGCCAGTTCCAGATCTCTTTTTCAGCATTTTCATGGAATTAATTTACACGTAATGAGGGAAGTCCTAGGATGGATAGAAAAAAAGCACTTACATTGGGGCACACAGGAAATCCCAGTGTCTAGCAATGGTTTGGTTTGCAGAGAACACAGCCTGATACTTAATTTTCTTAAAACTATTTTTAATGATCCACTAAACAAAGCAGGGGATCCTGAAGCTGATATAAATAAGTCTAGCTCTATAATCCCCAAGTTCTAAAAGTTATGGTTAGATGCTATTCTGTGGGTTGCTTTGATAATTCTTACTAACACAGATTAGGGTATAGGCATCTAGAGATGCACTGTCCACTGTAAATACTATAATGAGAGCCACATCTGTAATTTAAATGTTTCTAGTAACCACATTTTTTTAAAAGTAAAAAGAAACCCATGGTATTGATTTAAATATATTTTATTTAACCCAATAGCTCAAAAACACTATCATTTCAACATAGGATCAATATAAAAATTATTAATGAGTTATTTTACTTTTTTTCATATTAGGCCTTTGAAATTCAGTGTGTATTAAACACATCTCAATTCAAACCATCACCATATTTCAAGTCTTTGTAGCCAAATGTGACTAGTGGCTACCATATTAGACAGTGCAGATCTATACTCATTCCTTCAAATACATTACTCTGTTAATCTCAAAGTGTGGCCAACTCCCATTTACTTAGAGGCTGATTATCTAGTTTTGTAGTTCCTCAGGCCTCTAATTTATTTTTTGCTTTCTGCTTTATTGATCTTTTGCATGTCCCCCAAAGCCAGAATCTGCTCATGGAGGAAGGAAGGCTAAGAACTGTCCTTGAGGAACTTCATCAGTAACTCTGGTAAAGCATCCTGTGGAGGGAGAGGAGAGCCCAGTCATTTGCTTAGATGGTGTTTGTGGGATCACCTGCAGATTTAAAGCCTACTCTGCCACAGACTCGAGTAAGAAAATGTTCTCTTGATGACACAGTGCTCCTACTCTATCCACATTAAGTAGCACTTTTGTGGTAGAACTGATTCTTAAGGCAGGCCTGAAAGGCCATTACTAATAGAAACACAGCCTTTCCAATCCTCTGGAACATATTCTGTCTGGGTTTTTAATGTCTGTGGAAAAAAACTAAACAAGTCTCTGTCTCAGTTAAGAGAAATCTATTGGTCTGAAGGTTTCTGAACCTCTTTCTGGTTCTCAGCAGAAGTAACTGAAGTAGATCAGGAAGGGGCTGCCTCAGGAAAATTCCTAGATCCTAGGAATTCAGTGAGACCCTGGGAAGGACCAGCATGCTAATCAGTGTCAGTGAATCCACAGTCTTTACTTCCTGCCTCATAAAGGGCCAGGTCTCCCCAGTACCAAGTCCTTTCCTCATGAAGTTGTGTTGCCTCAGGCTGTTTAGGGACCATTGCCTGTCTTGGTCACATGAGTCTGTCTCCTTACTTTAGTCCCTGGGCAATCCTTGCTTAATGCTTTTGTTGACTCAACAAGGGCCCGAGGCCTTAGGTTTTCTATTAAGGTCTCTGCCCCAGGCATGGTGCTCTATATCTTGGCCAAATAAATTACTTTCCTTGAATATCCAGGAATCTTTTAGTCTAAAGCAATGAGGAGTTATCACCTCATCCTCAAACTCCAACAAGATCTATGCCTTAGTGTTGTTTTTGTTGTCTGCTTTGATGTAAAAGCAAGAGTATTTGGAGCAAGAAGCTGCAATGCGCCAAATACACAATAGGCCTTTTCTTTATCATTCATACGACATTTCTGGTTTAGGTGTATGTAGTTGGGCCATGTTACTTGTCCAGAGGAAGAGACTAAAGATATAAGAATAATTTTTTAGTCCTAAATGCTGTTTTGTTTACTTTCTGTCAAGATATTTACCCGTGTCAAATTCAAACTACAGTACTGTGTAATTATGTATAAAGTTTTTTTATTTATTTGAAGTTAGACTAGATATACGTTTTTAAATTTAACATCTGGCTGGACAGTGTTCTATTAACTCATTGAATGTGTTTCCTTTGTCTTGTGTTAATAAATATTGATGCCTGATTCTGTTTAATCCTTCACACATTGGGTGGAGGCTAGGGAATTGATAGATTTTAAATTTAACTTTAGATGGTAAGACCCAGTGATAGCTGGGGTAGTCTAAGGAAAGTGAACACAGAGATCCAGAGTCAGTGCTATTAAAGGATACTAGGTCAGGGAATCAGGGTGTCACTTTGAAAACTAAGGAGCCTGTTGTCAGGACTCTTCAAGGTAATAATTATAGTTTAGTCTTCCTCCCACTCATGTAGCATTTGGTAGTTGTATTTTCTTTTTTAATTTTTTGAGACAGAGTCTCACTCTGTCACCCAGGCTGGAGTGCAGTGGCACAATCTCAGCTCACTGCAGCCTCCGCCTCCTGGGTTCAAGCGATTCTCCCAAAGTAATCCCCAGTAGCTGAGATTACAGGCATGCGCCAACATGCCTAGCTAATTTTTATATTTTTAGTAGAGACAGGGTTTCATCATGTTGGCCAGGCTGGTCTCAAACTCCTGACCTCAAGTGATCTGCCCTTCTCAGCCTCCCAAAGTGCTGGGATTACAGGCGTGACCCACCATGCCTGGCCTAAATTTGAATTTTTTCTAATCTGTAATTAGGCTGGATTTTAGCTTTTCCTAAAATGAGATTTCATTTGCTCTTCCAATTCCTGGTTTCAAGAAACTTGGTGGGAGCCCATCAAATTGTGCATGTTTTCAGACACCGAAAGTGGTCCTTGAATTATTTCATTGATCCAGACTACTCTGGCAGCTGAGAACATTTTTTCATGTCACAGCACTGTGATAAGAGCTGAAGCCAGAGAGAAAAAAATATCAAGTCACTGCTCTCAAGGAGATATAGGATAACAATCACAATACAATACAAGGGTTAAGAGCAGACATGCATTGTGAGAGCAGGCAGGCAAGGCACATAGTCTGATGGTAAGGGAGGATAGTGAGGAGTAGGGAACCTCTGACCTGGGTTTCAGAGGATAAGACAGCCAGATAAGATAGTGAGCAGGAAGGCAGAGTCGCATATTCTGGGAACTAGAATTCATTATTGGGATTACTGTGGTTTGAATGTATGTGTCTGCCCAAAATTCATGTTAGAAGTTAAGACCCAATGTGATAGTTTTAAGAGGTGGGGCCTTTTGGGAAGTGATCAAGTTACGAGAGCTGTGCCCTGGTGAATGGATTAGTGCCCTTGTAAAAGTACTAGAGAGAACTGGTGAGGCCCTTTTGCCTTTCTGTCCCTCCTCCCATGCGAGGACATGGTGTTCGTCCACTCCAGAAGAAGCAGCATTTAAGGTACCATTTTGGAAGTAGAGACCAGGCCCTCACCAGACACTGAAACTGTCAGCACCTTAATCTTGGACTTCCCAGCCTCCATAACCATGAGCAGTAAATTTAAGCTGTTTATAAATTATCCAGGCTTAGGTATTTTGTTGTAGCAACACAAAAGGACTAAGATAAGGATACAAGGTTTGAGGGGAGAAAAGTAAAAGATAATTATGGAGGCTTGAGCCAGGGACAGATCACTGACGGTCTTGTATATCATGCTAAGAATTTTGGACTTTTATCAAAGGGGCAAAGGAGAGTTAGTGAGGGATTTAAAGCAGGGGGATAACATGCTCAGATTCACAATGTAGAAGATTATTCTGGCAGTCATATAGAAAATAAATTGGGGCTGGGCATGGTGGCTCGCGCCTGTGATCCCAGTACTTTGGGAAGCTAAGGCGGAAGATCTCTTGAGCCCAGGAGTTCAGGGCTACAATGAGTTACAACTGCGCCACGGCACTCCAGGCTGGGTGACAGAGCAAGACCCTGTCTCTGAAGAAAAAGAAAAAGAAAAAAATAGATAGGAATAGATAGGGAAAAGGAGATAAAACTGGAAAGACTAGTTGGGAGACCTTTGCAGTAACCACAGTGATAGAGTGCTACGATTTGAATGTGTTCCCTCCAGATTCTTCTGTTGAAACTTAATGGCCAAGGTGATAGTTTTAAGAGATCATTAGGTCATGATGGCTCCTCCCTCACAAATGGACTTAGAGCTCTTATGAAAGGCTTCATGCAGCAGCACTTGACTCGCTTACCTTCTGCCCTTTACCACCAGTGTTCCTCCCCTCTGGAGGACACAGCAACACAGCACTCTCTTGGAAAGAGAGCAGCCCTCACCATACAAGCCAACCTGCCAGTGCCTTGATGTTGAACTTCCTGGCCTCCAGAAGTGTGAGAAATACATTTCTGTTCTTTATAAACTACCCAGGTTCAGATATCTTTGTTACAGCAGCACAAAACAGACTAAGACATAGAGCAAGGGTACTTCAAGGCAGTAAGAATGGAGAAGAGAGGCCATGCATGAGAACTTTGGTGGCATTAAGATTCCAACTGCTGGCCGGGCGCGGTGGCTCATGCCTGTAATCCCAGCACCTTGGGAGGCTGAGGTGGGTGGATCACCTGAGGTCAGGTGTTCAAGACCAGCCTGATCAATGTGGTGAAACCCCATCTGTACTAAAAATACAAAAATTAGCTGGATGTGGTGGTGGCGCATACCTGTAATCCCAGCTACTGGGGAGGCTGAGGCAGGACAATCGCTTGAACCTGGGAGGCAGAGATTGCAGTGAGCTGAGATTGTGCCACTGCACTCCAGCCTGAGCGACAGAGTGAGACTCTGTCTCAAAAAAAAAAAAAAAAAAAAAAAAGATTCCAACTGCTGAATATTCAGGGTAAGGAAGAGGGAATCCAAAATAACTCCTAGATTTCTGGCTTGGGGGTTAGGTGGATGTGGGGCCATTTACCAAGGCAGGGGAGAAAACAGGAGGAATAGATTTGGGAAAGAAGACACTGTGTTCCATATTGGTCATGTTCCTTTGAGGTGCTGTGGAACATGCAGGAGAAGAGGTCCAACAGACAGCTGAATACTGAGGTATTTGCCTCAGGAGAGCTCTGGCCTAAAACTGTAGATTTAGGAGACAACATTTCAAAGTGGATGATACTGTCAAGGAAGAACATGTAGAGTGAGAAAAAGATCAGAGTCATGGCAAACAACAGCATTTAAAGGTTCGTGAGGGCCGGGCACAATGGCTCATGCCTGTAATCCCAGCACTTTGGGAGGGCGAGGCGGGCGGATCACCTGAGATCAGGAGTTCAAGACCAGCCTGGCCAACATGGTGAAACCCAGTCTCTACTGAAAATACAAATTCAGCTGGGCCTGGTGGTGGGCGTCTGTAGTCCCAGCTACTTGGGAGGCTGAGGCACGAGAATCGCTTGGACCCCGGAGGTGGAGGTTGCAGTGAGCCGAGATCGCACCATTGCACTCCAGCCTGGGCGAAAGAGTGAGATTCCATCTCAAAAACAAAATTAAAAGAGGAGGGAGTGCTCAACAACCCAAAGGCCACAACAAAGCTGAGTAGAACAGGGATTGGATGGCATCTGCTGGACCTGTCAACAAGGGAGTCCCTGGTAGCGTTGATGAGAGAGTTTTAGTGCAGCTGTATGGGCAGAAGCCTGAAAACTGGTTCAGGAGAGAACTGCTGGGAGGTGAGACTGAACAGAGGCCCCTCTCCAGAGGCTTTATCTGCAACTGCACGTAGGAAGGAGAAAGAGGGGACAGTAGTTAGAAGAAGGATGTAAAATCAAGGGGGGTCTGTTTTGAATATGGAAGAAATAAACATGTCGGAGAAAAAGCCAGAATAGAGGGAAAGTTTCTAAATATAGCAGTAAGGGACAACTGACAAAGCAAGGTCACTGTCACTGAGGAAGCTGGAGCGGACGGACTCCAGTGAGCAGGTGGAAGGATTGGCAGCAAGGGAGGAAGCACACTTTTTCAAATAAAACTGAGTATGAGCAAGATCCTAATAGAAGTTGCTATTAATAAAAGTCTACCTGATGACCTCATTCACTTCTCTGAATCTCCATTCTCAGTCTCCAAAGATGAACACTCATTTCTGAGATCATTTCTATAAATAAATAACTCCCATGGTCAGACAGACCTGACAAAGCAGAACATAGACTCTGGAAATGATGGTGGTTACTAAAGAAGCAGGTAAGAGGGAGTTCATAGTGCATGCATTAAAGAACAAACAAAATGAATTAGTTGTATTCAATTTCAGAATCTAGGAAAAGAATAAAACCCACTAAGAAAGTTGAAAGAAGGAAATAACAAAGACAAAAGCAGACATTAATAAAAAAGGAAGAAAACAGAAAACAGAAAAAGGTTCAACAGAACCAGAAACTGATTTCTTACAACTATTCTAATCACAGTAAAATCCATTTAACAAAAGGCATGCGCACATGTACACAAAAAGTAGGAAACACAAAAGGGAACATAACTACAGATACAGCCCTTGGGCTTCTATTTCAAGGGATTATTTTTTCAGTAAATTTCCGTTTTAAATGGATAATTTTCTAAAAATTATGTAACTTTGAAAATTCACTCAAGAAATAGAAAATCTGAATTTCACCACACTCACAAAGCAAATAAAAATCCTATTTTCATATATAAAAGAAAAAGCCATCCAACTAATCTTACCAACTTAGTATAAGGCAGATACCAAAGTCACACTAAGGCAGTTTTTAAAAATTCTAAATCAATCTCACTTGAGAAAAGACACAAAATGATAAAGTCTAGGCCAGGCATGGTGGCTCACACCTATACTCTTCAGGCCAAGGTAGGAGGATGGCTTGATACCAGGAGTTGGAGACAAGGCTGGGGAACTTAACGGGACCCTATCTCTAAGAAAAAAAAAATTAAAAATAGCTGGGCATGATAGCACGCGTCTGTGATCCCAGCTACTTAGGAGACTAAGGCGGAGGATCACTTGAGCCCAGGAGTTTGAGGCTGCAGTGAGCCATGATTGTGCAACTGTACTCCAGCCTGGGCAGCAGAATGAGATCCTGTCTCATAAAAATAAAAATCTCAGTGTTTCAGTGATTTATTGCTGTGTAACAAACCACCCCAACTTAGTGGCATAAACCACAGCTGAGTAGAAAGTGATATAAAGTGAGCATCCTCCTCACAGTCTTGACTTTTCTAGTAGTGCTTCTGAAGTATCACCATTGTGTATTCTTCTTACTATATGTTGTTGATAGATGTGCTTTGTCAGTTAAAGAATTCTAGGCCAGGTGCAGTGGCTCACGCCTGTAATCCCAACACTTCAGGAGGCCAAGGTGGGCGGATCACCTGAGGTCAGGAGTTTGAGACCGGCCTGGCCAACACAGTGAAACCCCATCTCTACTAAAAATACAAAAAAAATAGCTGGGCTTGGTGGCAGGCGCCTGTGATCCCAGCTACTTGGGAGGCTAAGGCAGGAGAATCACTTGAACCTGGGAGGCAGAGGTTGCAGTGAACTGAGATCACGCCCCTGCACTCCAACCTGGGTGACAAGAGCAAGAACCCATCGTTAAAAAAAAAAAAAAAAAAAAGGCCGGGCGTGGTGGCTCGCGCCTGTAATCCCAGCACTTTGGGAGGCCAAGGTGGGCGGATCACGAGGTCCGGAGACCGAGACCATCCTGGCTAACACAGTGAAACCCCGTCTCTACTAAAAATACAAAAACAAAATTAGCTGGGCGTGGTGGCGGGCTTCTGTAGTCCCAGCTACTCGGGAGGCTGAGGCGGGAGAATGGCGTGAACCCGGGAGGCGGAGCTTGCAGTGAGCCGAGATTGCACCACTGCACTCCAGCCTGGGCGACAGAGCAAGACTCCGTGTCAAAAAAAAAAAAAAAAAAGTCTATTCTGGCTGGGCGCGGCGGCTCACACCTGTAATCCCAGCACTTTGGGAACCGAGGCGGATGGATCGCTTGAGGCAAGGAGTTCAAGACCAGCCTGGCCAACATGATGAAACCCGTCTCCACCAAAAATTACAAAAGTTAGCCGGGTGTGGTAGCGGGTGCCTGTAATCCCAGCTACTCGGGAGGCTGAGGCAGGAGAATTGCTTGAACCCGGGAGGCAGAGGTTGCAGTCAGCTGAGATTGCCCCACTGCGCTCCAGCCTGGGTGACAGAGGAAGACTCCGTCTCAAAAAAAAAAGAAAGTCTATTCCGTGCCTGCTGGATTTTTTTCATTAGTGTTGAAGTTTATCTTTTCCTCCCCACTGGGTCTATGAGAGGATCACATAGTTTTTTCCTTTAAGCTGTTAAGATGTATTATATAAATAGATTTTACTAATTTTTTAACGTATCTGTAGCAGCCAGAGATGATTCTAATATTGAACCATCCTTGATTTGACCCCTTTTGATCGTCATCTACTATTTCTTATACACCACTGGGTTTGCTTTGCTAATGTGGAGACGACTGTATTTTCCAATATATCTTCACATATTATCTTCCATCCCATGTGCTCTTTGCAATGTTACCCTGACATTCCCTCAAGAGGTACAGTCCTTTCCCCTCAAATATGGTCTGATCAATAGAATGTGGCAGAAATAATGTGCATGACTTTTGGTGTGGATGAGCAGCAGCTTGAGCTTAAAATGCTGACTTTCCTGATGCTCCCTTTTAGAACCCAGCGCTATACTGTAAGAGGCCCAAGCTCTGAAGAGGCGCTATGTTTAGGTTCTTTGGTCAATAGTCCCAGCTGAGCCCAGTCTGCGAATTATCCTAGCCTGGGTCTCAGATGAGATTATAGCTAGCATAGTTAGGGAAAAATAAGTGAACCTCCCGAGTACCTGGGATTCCAGGCACCCGCCACCACGCCCAGCTAGTTTTGTATTTTTAGTAGAGATGAGGTTTGTTGGCCAGACTGGTCTCAAACTCCTGACCTCAGGTGAAAAAGAATAACTGAACTTTAAGATAGATAGATCAATAGATTATCTAATCTGAAGAACAAAGAGAAAAAAGATTGGAGAAAAAAATAGTGCCTCAGAGACCTGTGGGAAAATATTAAGTGGTCTGACATATTGTAATTGCAGTTCCAGATGGAGGAGAGAGAGAATGGGACATAAAAATATGTGAAGAAATAATGGCAAAAGCTTCCCAGATTTGGAAAGACATACATTTACTGACTGAAGAAGTTCAAGAAGCAGCAAGCAGTATAAATACAAAGAAAATCACTTAGGCAGAGTCATGGGCAAACTGCTAAACTTTTAAATAAAGCAAAAGTCTTCAAAGAAGCCTGAGAAAATGACATGTTACATAGCAGATAACAATGATACAAATGATAGCCAACTTCTCATTAAACACTATGGAAGCCAGAAGAACACAGAATACGTTTAGGCTACTAGGAGTTAAAGACTGTCAATTCAGAATTCTATATCCAGTGAAACTAGTCTTCAAAAATGAAGGTGGGCCTGACACAGTGGCTCACACCTGTAATCCCAGCACTTTGGGAGGCTGAGGCAGGAGGATCGCTTGAGCCCAGAAGTTTGAGACCAGCCTGGGCAATATAGTGAGACTGCATCTCTAAAAAAAAAAAAAAAAAAAAAGATGAAGGTGAATTCTAAATCTGTTAAAGACCATCTGTGAAAAACTCACTAACAAACACCCCACTTAATAGTGAAAAACTGAATGCTCTCTCCCTAACATTGGAAACAAGGGAAGAGAAAGTCTGTTCTCACCTCTTCTATTCAATGTTGTACTAAAGGTCTATCCAAAGCGATTAGGCAAGAAAAAGAAATAAAAGGCATCCAGAGGAAAAGAGGAATAAAAGCTATCTCTATTCACAGATAAAATGACTTGTACATAGAAAATCCTAAAGAATACACAATTAGAATTTAAATAGGGTGACTATAGTCAGTAATAACTTAATTGTATATTTTTAAATAATATAATTGGATTATTTGTATCAGGATAAATGCTTGAGGGGATGGATATCCATTCTCCATGACGTGCTTATTTCATATTGGATGCCTGTATCAACACATCTCAAGTACCCCAGAAATATATACACCTACTATGTACCTACAAAAATTTTTTAAAATTTAAGAAAACACTAAAAGGAATAAGTGACTTTCACAAGGTTGAAGAATACAAGAGCAACATAAGTCAATTTTATTTCTATTCACTAGCAATGAACTTTCCAAAAATAAAATACACAAAACAATTCCATTTGAAATAGCATCAAAAGGAATAAAATACAGTCTGTGACTTATGATGGTTCAACTTAACAATTTTTCAACTTTACAATGGTGCAAAAGTGATGCAGTCAGTAGAAACCATACTTTGAGTACCCATAAAACCATTCTGTTTTTCACTTTCAGTGTAATATTCAATAAATTAAATGAGATAGGGAGCCATGGGTGGGGAGATGTTGGAGTGGAGGCTTGACAGGAAGTGGGATCGGTGCCTGGCAGATGTGGCCATGATGATAAGTACTAGTTTTGAATTAGCCTTCCTTCCCTTCCCTCCCTCCTTCCTTCTCTCCCTCCCTCCCTTCCTCCCTCCCTCCTTCTTGACTGAGTTTCGCTCTTGTTGCCCAGGCTGGAGTGCAATGGCGCAATCTCAGCTCACTGCAACCTCTGCCTCCCAGGTTCAAGCAATTCTCCTGCCTCAGCCTCCCAAGTAACTGGGATTACAGGCACCTGCCACCATGCCTGGCTAATTTTGTATTTTTAGTAGAGATGGGGTTTCTCCATGTTGGTCAGGCTGGTCTCGAACTCCTGACCTCAGGTGATCCACCCACCTTGGCCTCCCAAAGTGCTGGGATTACAGGCGTGAGCCACCGTGCCCGGCCTACTTACCTTCTTTAAAAGACGAGTGTGGCCATTAGCCTTCGGTTCTGGCATGGGATTAGAAATGGCTTACTCCAACTGTCAGCATGATTTCCAGGTCCATATCTTCTACATGGAAAATATGTCAAACAGCAGGAGCAGTGACTTCACCTGACAACATCCCAGTGGGAGGAAAAGAGAAACTGTGTTTATTCCTCAGGAATACTGAAGTGCCCTGGAGTAAACTGACATTCTTCTGTAACAGTGCTATTCAAAAAAAAATAGGCTGGGCACAGTGGTTCACACCTGTAATCCCAGCACTTTGGGAAGCCGAGGTGGGTGTATTGCGTGAGGCCAGGAGTTCGAGACCAGCCTGGCCAACATGGTGAAACCCCATCTCTACTAAAAATATAAAAATCAGAGCTGGGCGTGGTGGTTCATAACTGTAATCCCAGCACTTTGGGAGGCTGAGGCAGGTGGATCACCTGAGGTCAGGAGTTGGAGACCAGCCTAGCCAACATGGTGAAACCCCGTCTCTACTAAAAATACAAAAATTAGCCAGGCATGGTGGTGCATGCCTGTAATCCCAGCTAGTCAGGAGACTGAGGCAGGAGAATCGCTTGAACCTGGGAGGCAGAGGTTGCAGTGAGCTGAGATCGCACCACTGCACTCCAACCTGGGCAATGGAGTGAGACTCTGTCTCAAAAAATATATATATATATCAGCTGGGTATGGTGGTGCACGCCTGTAATCCCAGCTACTCAGGAGGCTAAGTCACAAGAATCTCAAGGGAGACTAGCCTGGATAACATTTATATAAATAAATAAATAAATAAATAAATAAATAAATAAATAAATAATAAATAAATAAATAAATTTAATCAGTGCAAATTCATACACTGAAAACCACAAAACGCTGTGAAATTGAATGAGATCCAAATTAAAGAAAAGTCATGGTGGGGCATGGTGGCTCACGCCTGTAATCCCCGCACTTTGGGAGGCCAAGGCAGGCGGATCACGAGGTCAGGAGATCGAGACCATCCTGGTCAACATGGTGAAACCCCATCTCTACTAAAAATATGAAAATTAGCTGGGCGTCGTGGCACATACCTGTAATCCCAGCTACTCAGGAGGCTGAGGCAGGAGAATTGCTTGAACCAAGGAGTCGGAGGTTGCAGTGAGCTGAGATCGCAGCACTGCACTCCAGCCTGGGCCGGACTTGGCTGGTTGATGTCAGCCACCTATTGACTTCTTGGAACTGGTACAATGAGCATATGAATGGAGCAGCCACAGTGGCAGAGGTGGAGGCTACGCATGGACTCCTAAAACTGATTTAATAACTACTGTCTCTGAAACCTTAACTAAACACTGACCGAGACCAACAGTGAGCTCCCAATGTTGCACTGTTTCTTCAGAAAACTACTAGGCCACTTCATAGCAAGCTGACAACATCGGGCTTCTTTCATAGTAGAAGGGCCAGTGATTTGTTCTCACGTGAACAGATTTACTTTTTCTGGGTAAGGGTTTGACTCTTCTGCCCTCATAGCTTCAGTCACCATCACTACCTGGGGGCTTAGAAAGGTGTGTGAAACCTGCAGGCTGCTCTGACCAACATCAAGAAGGTTCTGGCCAGGCTCTGTGGCTCACGCCTGCAATCTCTACACTTTGGGAGGCTAAGGTGGATAACTTGAGCTCAGGAGCTCGAGACCAGCCTGGGCAACATAGAGGGACCCTATCTCTACAGAAAACTTTTAAAATTGGCCGGGCACGGTGGCTCATGCCTGTAATCTCAGCACTTTGGGAGGCCAAGGCAGGCGGATCACGAGGTCAGGAGATCGAGACCATCCTGGCTAACATGGTGAAACCCCGTCTCTACTAAAAGTACAAAAAAGAAACAGCCGGGCGTGGTGGCGGGCGCCTGTAGTCCCAGGTACTCCGGAGGCTGAGGCAGGAGAACGGCGTGAACCTGGGAGGCAGAGGTTGCAGTGAGCCAAGATCGCGCCACTGCACTCCAGCCTGGGTGACAGAGCGAGACTCCATCTCAAAAAAAAAAAAAAAGAAAAAGAAAAAAAAAATTAGCTGGGCGTGGTGCTGCACATCTATAGTCCCAGGTACCTGGGAGGCTAAGGTGGGAGGATGGCTTGAGCCTAGGAGGTCAAGGCTGCAGTAAGCTGAGATCGTGCACCACTGCACTCCAGCCTGGGCGACACAGCAAGACCGTCTAAAAAAAAATCCAACATTTATTTAGTGCTTACTATATACTAGGCACAGCTCTAACTTTACGTGTATCAAAGTAATTCAGTCTACAAAACCCTATGGGATAGGCAGTGTTATTAAATCCATTTCATTATAACCTCTTTTTTTAAAATTTTTTTTTAATGGGATGGAGTCTCCTTCTGTTGCCCAAGCTGGAGTGCCATGGAGTGATCTCAGCTCACTGCAACCTCTGCCTCCTGAGTTCAAGTGATTCTCCTGCCTCAACCTCCCGAGTAGCTGGGATTACAGGTGCATGCCACCACACCTGGTTAATTTTTTTTCTTTTTTTTTTGAGACAGAGTCTTGCACCATCACCCAGGCTGGAATGCAGTGGCACAATCTCAGCTCACTGCAACCTCTGCCTCCCAGGTTCAAGCGATTCTCCTGCCTCAGCCTCCTGAGTAGCTGGGATTACAGGTGCACACTACCACGCCTGGCTAATTTTTGTATTTTCAGTAGAGACGGAGTTTCACCATGTTGTCCAGGCTAGTCTCAAACTCCTGACCTCAGGTATCCACCCGCCTCGGCCTCCCAAGGTGCTGGGATTACAGGTGTGAGCCAATGCCTGGCCACATCTCTCTTTTCTAACAACAAAAAAGTGTGCCAGAAGAGCCAAAGTGGTGCTACCACAGGCTTGCCCAGTTTATTTTAAAAAAAACAATTACTTTTGGCCAGACACGGTGGCTCACACCTGTAATCCCAGCACTTTGGGAGGCTGAGGCGGGCGGATCACCTTAGGTCAGGAGTTCGAGACCAGCCTAACATGGTGAAACCCCATCTCTACTAAAAATACAAAAATTAGCCAGACGTAGTGGTAGGCGCCTGTAATCCCAGCTACTCAGGAGGCTGAGGCAGGAGAATCCCTTGAACCCAGGAGGCAGAGGTTGCAGTGAGCCAAGATACCCCCACTGCACTCCAGCCTGGGCGACAGAGCAAGACTCTGTCTCAAAAAAAAAAAAAAAATTACTTTCGGCTCTAAGTTTCTTTTTCTTTTTCTTTTTTTTTTTTTGAGGTGGAGTCTTGCTCTGTCACCCAGTCTAGAGTGCAGTGGCACGATCTCGACTTACTGCAACCTTCACCTCCTGGGTTCAAGGGATTCTCCTGCCGCAGCCTCCCAAGTAGCTGGGACCACAGGTGTGCTCCACCACGCTCAGCTAATTTTTTGTATTTTTGGTAGAGGCAGGGTTTTGCCATACTGGTCTTGAATTCCTGACCTCAAGTGATCCACCCACCTTGGCCTCCCAAAGTGCTGGGATTACGGAGGACGTGAGCCACCCTGCCCGGCCATGGCTCTAAGTTTCTTTGTTTCACTTTCCTTGCTTCTAATATTAAAGATCTGTCCATCTGATTTATGAAACTTACTATTCAGATAAACTGCATGCATCAGAACCAAGACCTCTTTTTTTTTTTCATCTAGTTATCACAGTTCAGAAGACTGGTAGGCACAGTTTATGATACTTCAATGAGAAAGAGACAAGAAAAGCAGAAGTATTTTTGAGGGGCAGTGTTGAACAAGCATAACTTTTTTTCTTCTTTTCCTCTGTCAACTGAGTCGTGGTTTTTTGTTTTTGTTTTTTTTTTTTGAGATGGAGTCTCACTGTTGCCCAGCCTGGAGTGCAGTGGCACGATCTCGGCTCACCACAAATTCCGCCTCCTGGGTTCAAGCGATTCTCCTGTCTCAGCCTCCCGAGTAGCTGGGACTGTAGGCTCACGCCATCACGTCTGGCTAACTTTTGTATTTTCAGTAGAGACGGAGTTTCGTCATATTTGCCAGGCTGGTCTCGAACTCCTGACCTCAGGTGATCCACCCACCGCGCCCTCCAAAGTGCTGGGATTACATGCGTAAGCCACCGTGCCCGGCCTGAGTTGTTTTTTAAACAATTTTAAAAAAAATTATTTTAGAGGCTAGGTGCCGTGGCTCATGCTCGTAATCCCAGCACTTTGTGAGGCTGAGCAGGCGGATCATTTGAGGTCAGCAGTTCGAGACCAAGACTGGCTAACATGGTGAAACCCCGTCCCTACTTAAAAAACTACAAAAATTAGCCAGCTGTGATGGCACACACCTGTAATCTCTCAGCTACTTGGAGGCTGAGGCAGGAGAATCACTGAAATCCGGGAGGTGGAGGTTGCAACGAGCCAAGATTGCACCAGTGCACTCCAGCCTGGGCGACAGAGGCAGACTCCATCTCAAAAAAAAAAAAAAAATTAGAGACAGTGTCTCATCTGTCATGTAGGCTTGAGTGCAGTGGCATGATCACAGCTCACTGTATCCTCAAACTCCCGAGCTCAAATGATCCTCCTGCCTCAGCCTCCCCAGTAGATGGGATTACAGGCGCATGCCACCAGGACTGGTCGAGCGTAACATTTGATTTAGACCTAAGGCACTAAGGAAGAGGAGCTAAAGAAGTAGTCAAGGCACATTTTGAAGGTTTCATTTTTCAATAAAATTTCCAGGTTTTTATTTTTTTTCTTTGGAGACAGTCTCCCTCTGTGGCTCAGGCTGGAGTGCAGTGGCGTGATCTTGGCTCACTGCAACATCTGCCTCCCAGGTTCAAGCGATTCTCATGCTTCAGCCTCCTGAGAGGCTGGGATTACAGGTGTGTGCCACCACACCTGGCTAATTTTTGTATTTTTAGTAGAGACGGGGTTTCACCATGTTGGCCAGGCTGGTCTCGAACTCCTGACCTCAGGTGATCTGCCCTCCCCCACCTCCCAAAGTGCTGGAATTACAGTCATGAACCACGACGCCTAGCCCCTCCCCCGCTTTTTACTGATCAACTTTTGTTAAGCATTCTGTGGTCCACGGAAGAAAAAACCAAACACCAAAGAACAATAAACTTGTACAACCAGCCTTCCAGCCATCAATATTCTGGATTCCAGAATGATTGAGGCTGGACTTTGTTAATCATCGAAGGCTGGTATCTGAGAAACTCTTCCTCTCCCTTACCTTTATAGGCCACTTTTCTTTCAGTAATGCTGAAACACTGACTTAATAACAGTTGTCCCCTGGTCTAGCATTTAATAGGTAATCCACAATTTTTGCTGAATGTCAATAGCTAAACGTTAGTGACCTCTTAAGACTGTCTGGCAGAGTAAATCTTCGGCTTTATATCACATTCTCCGACCCAAAGGGCCAAAAATAGGCAAAGCTCTCTCCACTAAATCGGTTTCCTAAATTGGGGATCTCAAACTAGTAAAATTTCAGAAAACTTTCGGAACTTTTGTCAAGAGCATACTAAAAAAGTTTATCTTTTGTCGTTTACTATCATTAAAGCCATAAAACAGCATTTTACAAGGAAATTTTAAAAATTAAGAATAAGGCATAACTCCCTTCCAGAGAGGTAGACCCAAAAATATTCTGAAGTTTTTGTAATGCATTAAAATGACGGCATAACATTTTATTAACACTCTGTTACGTTTCTTTTTTCTTTTTTTTTGAGACAGTTTTGCTCTTGTTGCCCAGGCTGGAGTGCAACGGTGCGATCTCGGCTCACCGCAACCTCCGCCTCCCGGGTTCAAGCGATTCTCCTGCCTCAGCCTCCCAAGTAGCTTGGATTACAGGCATTCGCCACCACACCCGGCTACTTTTGTATTTTTTAGTAGAGACGGGGTTTCTCCATGTTGGTCAGGCTGGTTTCGAACTCCCGATCTCAGGTGATCCGCCCTCCTGGGCCTCCCAAAGTGCTGGGATTACAGGCATGAGCCACCGCGCCCGGCCACATCGTTATGTCTCATTGTAAATCCGTTTCTGTAGAAAATCCTTCCACATGGGTTAAAGGACACAACTCATTGTTACTTTATGGGATTAAGAAAAATCTGAGTAAGGCCGGGCACGGTGGCTCACGCCTGTAATCCCAGAACTTTGAGAGGCCGAGGCGGAGGATCACTTGAGCCCAGGAGTTCAAGACCAGCCTGAGCAACATAGAGTCCTCATCTCTTCAAGCCGAGCGTGGTAGCGCGCGCCTGTGGTCCCAGCTGCCCCATAGGCTGAGGTTGGAGAATCGCTTGAATCCCGGGGTTGGAGGCTGCAGTGAGTCGAGATCGAACCACTGCACTACAGCCTGGGCCACAGACCCCCGTCTCAATCTCGGAAAAAAAAAAGAGACTCCATCTAAAAAAAAAAAAAAAAAAAAAAAGCTGAGGAAGTCAAAGCCTTCACTCTTCATTTCTCCTTCCAAGAGGACAGGGCCGGCGTCGGTCAAGGTCAATTGGCAGGTGAGTTGACAGCGCCGCCACTAATCGATGAAAACGCCCCCCGCGAGCACCCAGCTGCTCATGGCCTCCGGAAGCGGACGTAGGGCGGGTGGGGTACAGCTCCTAAGGAGAAACGGAACCGCAGGCACCGTCCCTCTCCCGCTGCAGCCTGAGGAACGCGTTCCGAGGAACCCCTAGCCACAAGTCAGGACCGCGTACAAGATGGCGGCGCGTCACGTGGGCAGCGCGGTGACGCAGGACGGCGGCCCGCGCGGAGGCAGCGCCATAGCCTACCCCAAACGCACACTAGTGCTCAGTTTTGCCCCCCTCCCCTCCCCCGCCCCCGCCCCCGCCCCCAGGCTTGTGTAGATCATGCCGCCAGTAGCGGCCCTGACTGCCGAGGAAACGGTAGCTTAGGACAGTTGGCTGTTAAGTGACACTGATTCTCCCCGCCCCGCCTGACCCCCGAGAAGGAGGCTTGTCCCCCGCTGCGTGAGGGGGTGGGGAAGTGGGTAGTGAATTCGGATCTACCTGGGAGGGGGGAGTGGAAGTTCCCGCCCCGGAGAGCGGCGAGGCGGCAGCCACAGGTAAGTGGGGGGCGGGGAGGGACGTGCCCCGTGGCCCGGGCGGGGAAGGACGCGGGAACGTGGCGCCGGCGGGGACGCAGCGCGGGTCGCGCGCCTGGTGGGGGTCGCGCGCGGTGGTGGCGGTGGGGGAGGGGCGCAGCGGCAGGGGGAGGGGCCGCCCGCGCTTCCGGCCTCCGCGCCTCGGTGCAGAGCTGCGCTGCGCCCTTCCAGTCGTGCGTCTCCTCCTTTCCCTCGCCCCCAAATAAAAGTAAAGCCCGAAACCGCCCGCCGCGGGGTGGCTTTCGCCTCAGAAGCCGCCCTTTGCAGTCGCAGGCGCTAGCTCTCCGTGGGAGGTCTCGAGGTTGGGCCCGGAGCCGGGCGGAGGGCGGCGCGGATATGGCCTCGGCGCGGTGTCCGCCGAGCGGAGCCCGGGTCTGGTTAACCCCGCGACAGGGTCCTCGAAGCGCGTCGGCGCTGGCGACCCTGAGGGAAGAGGCGCGCCCCTTACCCTCCTGGAGCTTGCAGTCTAGCGGGCAACCGACGCACGGGCATTGCGCACGCCCCAGACAGTCCTGGAGAGATGCGCCTGGCAGCGGAGACAGAGTGGGGACAGTAGGCGGCTTTACCCCTGGCTAGGAATGACACAAGGGCGTCTGTACCCTTTGGGATGGGCGACCCAGCCGAGGGTGACTTTCTCTTTGATCTTGTATGTCAAAAAACGAAGCCTGGCATTTCTCACTTTGATCGACGCCGTGCAGCTGGCGGCTGAATCGCTTTGAAATGATTGCAATGTGAAATAATGTCTGGTTGTGGCGCTAGTGTTTTGAAGAGATTGGGCAACTGGTAGTCTTTGAGAACCTTTAGGGTTCAGAAGCTCGGCGTGGATCTGGCAGGCATCTTTGTCAAACTGGCCTCACCTGTGATGAGTTCGTAGGCATTTATGTCTCAGAATGCATTTTAACCTGAGGTTTTTGTTAACAGAAATGCGTTCTTCTAAAATGCTCTTTTTTCTTGGAGTTTATCATATGCAGTTATCTCCGTGTCTTAATTAGAATCAATACTGTTGCCCTAAAGTCGAATGTATTAGCTCTTTAATACTTGCCGTTATCTTTTAGGGTTAGGTTTGGTCTGTGAGCTATCTGTCCATTCCTACCCGATCACCAGCAGGTGGCAGTCCCTTCTGACTTTAAATATAGGGTGTGCTATCTTTGCCAGTTTTTGTTTTGTTTTGTTTGTTTGTTTGTTTGTTTTTAAATAGAGATGGTGTCAGAGGCGTGTGAACTAGAACAACTCCATCTTAAACAGGAGCTGGGTAAAATGAGGCTGAAACCTACTGGGCTGCATTCCCAGACAGTTAAGGCATTCTAAGTCACAGGATGAGACAAGTCAGCACAAAATACAGGTCATGAAGACCTTGCTGATAAAACAGGTTGCAGTAAAGAAGCCGGCCAAAACTGAAATGGCCACAAGAGTGACCCCTGGTCATCCTCACTGCTACACTCCCATCAGCGCCATTTACAAATCCCATGGCAATGTCAGGAAGTTACCCTATATGGTCTAAAAAGGGGAGGCGTGATTAATCCACCCCTTGTTTAGCCTATCATTGAGAAATAACAGTAAAAAGGGGTAACCAGCAGCCCTTGGGGCTGCTCTGTCTATGGAGTAGCCGTTCTTTTTATTCCTTTACTTTCTTCATAATGTTACTTTTACATCGCACTGTGGACTTGCCCTGAATTATTTCTTGCGCGAGATCCAAGAACCCTCAGTTGGGGCCTGGATCAGGACGCCTGTCCTGTAACATATTTCTGGCGACCACAAAGGGACTATAGTGCAGAAACCCTGACCCAACGGCTACCTTTGGGTAAGTGTTGGGGTCCTGTAACGTATTTGTGGTGGCCACAGAAGCGACTATACTGCGGAAACCCAGTATTTATGTTTAGGAGTCTCTCCTAAGACAGTGGGTTCGAGGCCCCTCTTAATAAAAGGCAAGGACGCTTAAGCTTGACTGACCTTGGGTTGGAGGCCCTTCTAAGATATAGGGAGTTAGAGTCCCTCTCAGGTAACTCCCTCTCAGCTAAGAACAGGTTTGGCACTATGGGATATTAACTGCTGTTCTCTTTGGATTAATCTGCCTTGCGCTCTTTGCTGATGGCTGTGGGTGACAGAGTTAGGCATGAACAGGATCGTGGGACATGGGGAGCTTTTTCCTCTCTAAAAGGGGAGTCTTTTTTTTTTTTAATTTAAGTTTTAGGGTACATGTGCACATTTTGCAGGTTAGTTACATATGTATACATGTGCCATGCTGGTGCACTTCACCCACTAACTCGTCATCTAGCATTAGGTATATCTCCCAATGCTATCCCTCCCCCCTCCCCCCATAAAAGGGGAATCTTGAGAGCTGATGGGACTGCTGGAAAAGGTCCCTTTGCTGCGTACAAGCGGCTGCCTGAGGTTTTCATTGTCGGCTGCAATGAGTGGGTCTTTTCTCTGGCCTCCCTAAGCTCTTCAGCTTCCCCACCCTGCCACAGGCAATACTTTTCTTATCTACTTTGCGTTTCTTATTTTTTCTATTACTCAGGGCAACCATCTTACCTAGAGGCCACATGTTGAAACTCCAAGTCGGAGGTTGAATTAAAGATGACAGGCCCATCTGGGGGCAAATTTAAGCCTTGCTAGTTTGATATTGGGTGCTAAGCGGAGTGGCTAATGTCTTTGTTTTATCACACGTATTTTGCTCTGGCCAGAATGGAAAAAACATAATTTTCCTTTATGATACGGCTTGGCCCCCAGGGCAATGATGCTGCAAGCTTGAACACTAGGACCACTAAGGGAAAGGGAACCCAGAAGCCTGGGATGCTGGCAAAAGGGTAAGAATGTATTACCAGTCAGATTTCTGGCTTCTCTCTCACTGTACAAATGGTTAAGTGAATGGTTAAAAAAAAAAAAATCAGCCTGGCACGGTGGCTCAGGCCTGTAATCCCAGCACTTTGGGAGGCTGAGGCTGGTGGATCCCCTGAGGTCAGGAGTTTGAGACCAGCCGTGGCCAACATGGTGAAACCCTATCTCTACTAAAAATACAAAAAATTAGCTGGGTGTGGTGGCGTGCGCCTGTAGTCCCAGCTACTTGGGAGGCTGAGGCAGGATAATCACTTGAACCCGGGAGGCGGAGGTTGCAGTGAGCCGAGATCGTGCCACTGCACTCCAGCCTGGCAACAGAGCGAGACTCCATGTCCATCTCAAAAAAAGAAAAAAAAGAACACCTGTAAGCTCGCTTTTCAAGATGACCCAGCAAGCTGGTCAGTAAGATACTTGGCTGCAGGTCCCTGTAACAAATAAAAGACTGGATGAAGTCTCCACCTTGTTTTACGTCCTTGGGAGCTTGACCTTTTAACCATGTGGTGGTACTTTCTTTTGGTCCCCACCTTCAGAGAACAGGAATTTCAGGATTCATGTCATAGTTAGCTCTAAAAATAATATTAAATAGTTAAAAGCCCTTATAAGCTCAAAATTAACTACTCTAGACTCCTTCTGGGAAGGTCAACAGAGACTGCCCTGTGCTGTAGCTCAGTAGCTAAGCTTTTGCACTTTCTTTTTTTTTTTTTTTGAGATGGAGTCTTGCTCTGTCGCCCAGGCTGGAGTGCAGTGGTGCGATCTCAGCTCACTGCAACCTCCGCCTCCCGAGTTCAAGTGATTTGCCTGCGTCATCTTCCCAAGTAGCTGGGATTACAGGTGTGTGCCACTACGCCCAGCTAATTTTTGTATTTTTAGTAGAGATGGGGTTTCATCATATTGGGCAGGCTGGTCTCGAACTCCTGACCTCAGGTGATCCACCTGCCTCAGCCTCCTAAACTGATGGGATTACAGGCATGAGCCACCGCACCCAGCCAGCTTTTGCACTTCCGTGGCAACAGTCCAGGTTCAATTACCCACCTAGGAAGTAAGTCGTTTCTGGTTTAATATCTGCATGACTTTGTCTATTCTCTTCTCCTCTGTGAACTGTCTTATATTTTCCTTTTTCTAAGCACCTGGGAGGTTACCTTTGATAAAATTCAAAAGCCAGAAATACCAGCCGTTTGGCATAAAAACTTCTAAAAGGACTTTATTAAAGAGTGCTATGGTTAAAATAAGTTTAATTAAAAGTGGATATTCAAGCTCTAACAGCCTGGACTCCTTGGGAAAAACAAGAGGCACCAGAGACCCCTTTCGTGGCCCTGTTCTTCCAAGGGCTCCACCCTGAAGCCGGTAATCCAATTAAGAAACTTAAAAACTGGCAAATGAAAAATCTTACAACCACTGTTATCATCATCATCTGTCTTTCTGTGTAGCTATATAGGTGTCGTGTGTAATATTTATATAAAAGAGCTCTGATTAATCAGCTTAAACAAAAATAAACATTTAAATCAAATATTTTGAAAGCAAAATAACTAATGCCTTTTAGTTCATGTAACTTTAGTAATCTTTAGGAAATAAACACATCTTTAAAATTGATAAAAATGTTAATCTTAATTATGCAGGTCAGATATTAAGTTTGTTAAATGATTTGAGGTCATAAACTGTTTCTTTGACTTTTAAAAATTGTTCAATTTACCCTACCTTAAAGCCATTAGATTCTAGATAAGGCCTGGGGACATGTGGAGTTAGCCACGCCCCTAAGCTGTGCTGGAGAGTCAGCTCTTATCTGCACTTCTGCCTGGTGTGTCCTAGGCTAGGCTCCACACCTAGTACATAATTAAAATTGCTTACTAACCAGGGTTTTCACCAAAAGTAAAAGTCGCTAAAAGTTAAAATTGGAACATGTAACTGAGACTATTGAAGAGACAGTTTTACATGTAAGGTGTGTAGTAAGGAAAATAGAATGTACTTTTGGTAAAAGATTATAAGAAGGCATGGAAATGTGGGGTTTTTTGGCTAAAGAGTTAAATAATTATTCTAAGTTGGCCGGGCACAGTGGCTCAAACCTGTAATCCCAGCACTTAGGGAGGTCGAGGCAGATGGATCACCTGAGGTTAGGAGTTTGAGACCAGTCTGGCCAACATGGTGAAACCCCATCTCTATCAAAAAATACAAAAGTTAGCCGGGCATGGTGGCGCACACCTGTAGTCACAGCTACTCGAGGCTGAGGCAGGAGAAGCGCTTGAACCTGGGAGGGGGAGGTTGCAGTGATCTGAGATTGCACCACTGCACTCTATCCAGCCTGGGTGACAGAGCGAGACTCCATCTCAAAAAAAAAAAAAATTCATACAGGAAGCATTATCAAATGTCAAATGGTGTTTTGCTTTCTTTGGATTATATTTACATAACTGTATTATTGGTATATGTTCCAAAGTTATGGGAAACTCCTATAATTCTAATATGATTTAGTGTATGTTATTAATAATTATAATTGTTATGCAAAATATTGTGTGCCACAGAAGTAACCAAATTTCCTTATCATTTCTGGCTTTAATAGTGGCTCTCCTAAAACTTTTTATCATCCACAGACAATTGTTGTCTTGTTTTAATCCTGTTTAGAAGATGATTTATAATCAGCTATAGAACTCTAGCAGGTGTTCTTAAATGCAGGTTTCTAATAACTTTGGAAATTGTAACATTAGAATAGAGGAAACAACTTTCAGAACTCATGAAGAGCTAGAATGTTCATGAATATCAAATGAAACATGAGTTAATTGAATCAACTGAACCAATAGAAAACTGAAGTAATCTTTGATTAAAATGTTGCTGATCCTTTGTTTTGTTTTTCAGAGTCAAGGAAACTTTTCATTTGAGCTATTTACAGTTCATAGCAATTGAGTAAAGTATACTGCTGTGAACGAAATTTGGAACATATTTGTTTCTCTATATCAGATTTCTCCAGAATTTGGAAACTAGTTGTGAGTATTCTTAACTTATGGCAATGTAATTATTTGCATAAGTGCAATAAGAATCTGTTTTCTTTTGTAACAGAATACAATTGGAGAAAGTGGTTATTTTACCAAGGCTTTGACTGAAATGGTGTGCTTTTCTTTAAGGAATCAAACTTGACTTGTAGAGCCAATAAAAGCCCTTTGGGGAACTGGCCTCATACCTTGCCTACACAGTGCCTGTACAGGGTTTCTGACCTATGGTAAGTAAAGAATGTCACTTTCTCACCTGTCCAGGAGCCCCAAGTTATCTTGGGACCTCAAAAGGAGAGAAATTTACCCAAGTTATAGGTATTTAAGGGTACAAACCCATGTCAGGGCTTGGCTTTTAAAAAAGTCTTATCTGAGATTCCTTATGAAACAGAGTTCCATCAAAGCCAATTAAAAAGCCTATGTGAAAAATTATTATTCTTGCTGCACTTTATACAAACAATCAGGCCAAGTATAATAAAGCAAGTCAGTCTTACCATAATTTGTCTTTAGTAAAAATGGGAAACTGGAGAGAGAAATACTATGTTTCAAAAACTATGGTACACTTGTTATTAAATTCTGGTCTCATTAATTGTTTTTAAGTTTGTTTCTGCAATTTAGGCTAACCCTGCGTATTCTTGTAAACCAACCAGTAATCTCTAATTGTTGCTCAGAAGAAATAAGAGGGATGGGTAATTTAAAAATCTGGATCAGTATTCTGATTCTGGGCACATTACAATCAGCTAACAACCCGATATCAGCTTAGTTCCAGTGGTTGCCTGGTTCATGAAAAGTCTTCTAATTTAGTTTATTTGGAATAACTTTACTTATTTTGCTTTACTCTTTTTTTTTTCTTTCTTTCTTTTTGAGACAGAGTCTTGTTCTGTCGCCCAGGCTGGACTGCAGTGACACCATCTTGGCTCACTGCAGCCTCCGCCTCCTGGGTTCAAGTGATTCTCCTGCCTCAGCCTCCCAAGTAGCTAGAATTACAGGCACACATCACAACGCCCAGCTGACTTTTATATTTTTAGTAGAGATAGGGTTTCACCATGTTGGCCAGGCTGGCCTCGAACTCCTGACCTCAGGTAATCCACCTGCCTCGGCCTCCCAAAGTGCTGGATTACAGGTGTGAGCCACTGTACCCAGCCTATTTTGCTTTACTCTTGTGGAATATATTGCTGTTATACTTTTTGTGTAGGAATACAGGACAAGCTTACTGAACGTTTTCTTACTAATTTTCCAGATACCACCTTTTGTTGAAACTTGAGTTATGAATGAACCTTACCATACTGATGCTTTCTGACTGAGCTCCTTTTTACCCTGAATGCAAGAGACCCTCATAGGCAGGCAGGAATATCATTGCCCTATTTAGCCTGAAGAAGTTATAGAAGATGGATCTTCGTCCCTCTGCAACCCTTAGGATTAAGGGTTCTCTTAGACGGGGGGAAATGTCAGAGGCGTATGAACCAGAGCAACTCCATCTTAAACAGGCTGGGTAAAATGAGGCTAAAACCTACTGGCCTGCATTCCCAGATGATTAAGGCATTCTAAGTCACGGGATGAGATAGGAGGTCAGCACAAAATACAGGTCATAAAGACCTTGATGATAAAACAGTTGCAGTAAAGGAGCCGGCCAAAACCCACCAAAACCAAAATGGCCACGAGAGTGACCTCTGGTCGTCGTCACTGCTGTGCTCCCACCAGCGCCATGACAGTTCACAAATGCCATGGCAAAGTCAGGAAGTTACCCTGTATGGTTTAAAAAGGGGAGGCATGAAAAATCCACCCCTTGTTTAGCATATCATCGACAAATAACCATAAAAATGGACAACCAGCAGCCCTCGGGGCTGCTCTGTCTATGGAGTAGCCGTTCTTTTATTCCTTTACTTTCTTAATAAACTTGCTTTTACTTCACACTGTGGACTTGACCCATTATTTCTTGTGCGAGATCCAAGAACCCTCTGTTGGGGTCTGGATTGGGACCCTGTCCTGTAACAATAGCGTCTCACTGTGTTGCTCAGATTGGTCTCAAACTCCTGGGCTCAAGCGATCCTATCGCTTAAGGGTACAAAGTGTCTCCCAAAGTGCTGGGATTACAGGAATGAGCCATCGCACTTGGCTATATTTTTGCAAGTTTTGTTGTGCCTGAATTGCTCCATTCCTTTTTTTTTTTTTTTTTTCTTTTTTGAGATGGAGTTTCACTGTTGTTGCCCAGGCTGGAGTGCAATGGCATGGTCTCGGCTCACCGCAACCTACGCCTCCTGGATTTAAGCGATTCTCCTTCCTCAGCCTCCCAAGTAGCTGGGATTATAGGCATGTGCCACCACCCCTGGCTAATTTTGTAGTTTTAGTAGAGACCGAGTTTCACCATGTTGGTCAGGTTGGTCTCGAACTCCTGACCTCAAGTGATCCACCCACCTCGGCCTCCCAAAGTTCTGGGATTACAGGTGTGACCCACTGTGCCTGGCCAAGTTGTCCCATTTCTAAAGCTGGGGTGAGGTAACTGTCTAAATATATTTTTCTCTCTCTCTCTCTCTCTTTTATTTTAAGAGACGGGTGTCTCACTTTGTTACCCAGGCTGGAGTGCGCCTAGCCTTTTTTTTTCCCTTCAACTTTTAAGTTCCAGGGTACATGCACAGGATGTGCAGGTTTACTGCATAGGTAAACATGTGCCATGATGGTTTGCTGCACAGAACAACCCATCACCTAGGTATTAAGCGCAGCATCCATTAGCTGTTCTTCCTGATGCTCTCCCTTCCCCCACCGCACCCTCCTCCACAGGCCCCAGTGTGTGTTGTTCTCCCACCATGTGTCCCCGTGTTCTCACCATTCAGCTCCTACTTATAAGTGAGAACATGCAGTGTTTGATGTTCTGTTCCTTTGTTAGTTTGCTGAGGATAACAGCTTCCAGCTCCATCCATGACCCTGCAGAGGACATTATCTCTTTCCTTTTTATGGCTGCATAGTATTCCATGATATATATGTACATGTTCTTTATCCAGTCTCTCATTGATGGGCATATGGGTTGATTGCATGTCTTTGCTATTGTGAATAGTGCTGCAGTGAACATATGTGGGCATGTATCTTTATAATAGAATGATTTATATTCCTTTGGGTATATACCAATAATGGTATTGCTGGGTCAAATGGTATTTCTACCTGTAGGTCTTTGAGAAATTGCTGCACTGTCTTCCACAATGGTTGAACTAATTTACACTCCCACCAACAACGTAAAAGCATTCCTTATTCTCCAAACCTCGCCAACTGTTGACTTTTTAATTGCCATTCTTTTTTTTTTTTTTTTTTTTTTCGAGACAAAGTCTCATTCTATTGCCCAGGTTAGAGTGCAGTGGCACAATCTTGGCTCACTACAACCTCCGCCTCCTGGGCAGCCTCCCAAGTAGCTGGGACCACAGTCACCCACGATGCCAGCTATTTTTTTTTTTCTTGAGACTGAGTCTTGCTCTCTTGCCCACGTTGGAGTGCAGTGGTGCAATTTCTGTTCACTGCATCGTTTCCGCCTCCTGGGTTCAGGCGATTCTCCTGCCTCAGCCTTCCAAGTAGCTGGGACTACAGGTGCCCACCACCACGCCTGGCTAATTTTTGTATTTTTAGTAGAAATGGGGTTTTGCCATATTGGCCAGGCTGGTCTCAAGCTCCTGACCTCAAGTGATCTGCCCGCCTCGATCTCCCAAAGCGCTAGGATTACAGGTGTGAGTCACCATGCCAGGCCGGTAATCGCCATTTGACTGACGTGAGATGGTATCTCATTGCGGTTTTGATTTACATTTCTCTAATGATCAGTAATGTTGAGCTTAAAAAGCTCTTAGTTTATTGCCTAACATATAATGTTTCTTTCTTTGCAAGTTTTCTTTTCTTTTTTCTTTTTTTGGAGATGGAGTTTCACTCTTGTTGCCCAGGCTGGAGTGCATTGGCACTATCTCAGCTCACTGCAACCTTTGCTTCCTGGGTTCAAGCAATTCTCCTGCCTCAGCCTCCCGAGTAGCTGGAATTACAGGCATGTGCCACCATGCCTGGCTAATTTCTTTTTTATATTTAGTAGAGACGGGGTTTCTCCATGTTGGCCAGGCTGGTCTTGAACTCCTGACCTCAGGTGTTTCACCCACCTCGGCCTCCCAAAGTGTTGGGATTACAGGCGTGAGCCACCGCGCCCGGCTGCAAGTTTTCTTAAAAGGGCCCTGCCTTCCCTGACATTCTCTCTATGTCAGCAAGATCTCAGCCCACCATTTCTCAGTTCCTTCTATTCCCATTGATGGTGCTTTTGAAGCGGTGTTTCACTACTCCCTTGTTTCTGCCTGACTTTGGGTTATCTCCTGTTAAGCTTATATATGCTAACTGGGGGCTTACTTTATTTTTACAGAAAATGCATTCGTACATATAAAATTTATTCTGTATTGAACAAGTTTTTAACACATTGTTAATCTTAACCTTAATTTTAGAAATAATAGCTTTAAAAAAGTGAACAAATAAAGGTTACATTCTGATAACATCAGTAAAACAGTATGTACTGTTGTTTATGAGATGAAACTATAAAATTTTTATTTTGGAAAAAAGAGTTTTTTGTTTTTGTTTTTGTTTTTTTTTTTTTGAGACGGAGTCTCACTCTGTCGCCCAGGCTGGAGTCCAGTGGCTTGATCTCGGCTCATTGCAAGCTCCGCCTCCCGGGTTCACGCCATTCTCCCTCCTCAGCCTCCCGAGTAGCTGGGACTACAGGCGCCCGCCACCACGCCCAGCTAATTTTTTGTATTTTTAGTAGAGACGGAGTTTCACCATTCACAGAATGGTGTCGATCTCCTGACCTTGTGATCCGCCTGCCTCGGCCTCCCAAAGTGCTGGGATTACAGGCCTGAGCCACCGTGCCTGGCCAAGAGCTTTATTTGATATGTTGATTCTTCATGTATACAATAATGGAAAATATGTTATCTTTTGTTTTTTTTTTTTAATTGAGATAATGGGCTGTCTCTGTGTTCCCCAGGCTGGTCTCGAACTCCTGGGGGACTCAAGCAATCCTCCTGCCTCAACCTCCTAAGTAGCTGGAATTACAAGTATGCACCCTGTTAGTTATCTTTTTTGTAGGAAAGGTGGTTATAATTATTGTCTAAAATGTTACTTGCTGATTATAGTGGCTTTTACTGTTGATATGTGTGTTTTTTTTTTGATCATATTAGTTTCTATTAGAAGTAGGAATGTATCTTACTTTTCTGAAACAGGGTCTTGCTGTCACCCAGGCTGGAATGTTAGTGGCATGATAATGGCCCACTGCAACCTCAACCTCCTGGGCTCAAGTGATCCTCCAGTATCAGTGGGCACCCCCATCTCCAGCACCCCCACCTCCTGCAGTATCTGGGACCACAGGCATGCGCCACCACACCTTGCTAATTAAAATTGTTTTTTTTTTTTGTAGAGACGAGGTCTTGCTACATTGTCCAGGATGGAGAAGTAGGAATTCTTAAGGATATTGTTATGGAGGGAAAAAAATCAGTGAGTCAGAGCAAAACAAAAGTATCATTTCTAGTAATTAACAAGATTATAAAAACTCTTTTATAGTTTCAGTGCTTTAGGATTACATCTTTTTTCTTCTTTGCTCTGTATTCTAATTTATGTCTTCTGAAGTGGAGTATTTAAAAGGTATTTTTAGTAGAGATATTTGCAGAAGGTACATGATTTTGTCTTTTCTGTTTTTATATTAGTCTGTGGGATTACCTTGTATTAGTGTAGATTAAAAAGCACTGAATTGGCCAGTGTGGCTGATGGCCTGTAATCGCAACACTTTAGGAGGCCAAGGTAGGTGGATCGTTTGAGCTTAGGAGTTCAAGGCCAAAACCTCGTCTCGACAAAAAATTTTAAAAATTAGGCTGGGCACGGTGGCTCACGCCTGTAATGCCAGCACTTTGGGAGGCCGAGGAGGGCGGATCATGAGGTCAGGAGATCAAGACCATCCTGGCTAACACAGTGAAACCCCGTCTTTACTAAAAATACAAAAAATTAGCTGGGCATGGTGGCGGGCGCCTGTAGTCCCAGCTACTCAGGAGGCTGAGGCAGGAGGGAGAATGGTGTGAACCCGGGAGGTGGAGCTTGCAGTGAGCCGAGATCGTCCCACTGCACTCCAGCCTGGGTGACAGAGTGAGACTCTGTCTCAAAAAAGAAAAAAAAAATTTTTTTTTAATTAGCCAGATATGGTGATGCATGCCTGTGGTCCTAGCTGCTTGGGAGGCTGAGGTGTGAAGATCACTTGAGCCCAGTAGATTGAGACTGCAGTGAGCTGTGATCACACCACTGCACTCCAGCCAGGGTCACAGAGCAACACCCTGTCTTTAAAAAAAAAAAAAAAAAAAGAAGGAAAACACTTGAGACTCTGGTAAATGGATGGACAAATGATATGACCAGATAACTCATACAACTAATGGAGAATTAAAGAAATATGAAACAATGTATATTTTTTACCTATCATTAATTATTTTAAAAAAATTTCTATTGCTTTCTTACGTGCTTTTGATAAACTACAATTCATTCAGAAAACTTTAAATATTTCCAATTCCCTTACATTAAGTAATTCTCTTTTTTGGAACTTACAGAAAAAAATCTTAATTACAGAGAAAGGTTTATGCACCAAAGATGTTCATGACAGTATTGTTTTAGTAAAAAATACAATTTATGCACATTCCCTGGATGCTGTATTATAAAGCCTTTATTTATTTATTTTTGAGATGGAGTCTGGCTCTGTTGCCCAGGCTGGAGGGCAGTGGGCAATCCCAGTTTACTGCAACCTCTGCCTCCCGGGTTCAAGCGATTCTCCTGCTGAGTAGCTGGGATTACAGGCATGCGACACCATACCCAGCTGATTTTTTGTAATTTTAGTAGAGATGGGGTTTCACTGTGATGGCCAGACTGATCTCGAACTCCTGACCTCAGATGATCTGCCCACCTCGGCCTCCCAAAATGCTGGGATTACAGGCATGAGCCACACTGCCCAGCCTATGTAGCCTTTAAATATGTTTCTATTTAAAACCTAGAAAATATGTATGATAAATGAAAACAGGATACAAAATATGAGGATACAAAGTAGTACATGTAGTATGGTTATGACTTTAAGAAGTTGTGGAAATAGAAGACTAAAAGAAATTAGACAATAATGTGATTAATATCTGTCATCCTTTTTTCTTTCTATTGTGTATTTTCCATGTAAGAAGAAAAAGACTAGTGGTGTATTTGAGGGGAAAAAAAATTTAAACTACTTTCTGTCTGAAGCGATTTCATGCTTTTCTCCATTGACTAAAAACAAGAGCTTCAATTCATTTGTTAAAAATGAATTTGGGCTGGGCATGTTTACTTATACCTGTAATCCCAGCACTTTGGGAGGCCGAGGCAGACAGTAATTACTTGAGCCTACGCATTCAAGACCAGCCTGGGCAACATGGCAAAACCCCATCTGTACAGAAAAGACCCCCCCCAAATTAACAAGGCATGGTGGTATGCACCTGTAGTCCCAGCTACTCAGGAGGCTGAGGTGGAAGGATGGGTTGAGCCTGCGAGGTCAAGGCTGCAGTGAGCCGAGGTTGCACCACTACACTCCAGCCTGGGCAACAGTGTGAGACCCTGTCTCAAAAAAAAAAAAATGTTTTCTGACTTAGAAAAAAGGAAGAAGAAAATATGTAGGCTTAAACTCCACAGTTATTAATTCAATGAAGCCTGGCAGCTACCTAGCTGCCCTCTCTCTCTCTAATTGTGGAGAAATATACGTACCGTGGAATTTACTATCTTTTTTTTTTTTTTTTTTGAGACAAGGCTGAAGTGCGGTAGTGTGATCTCAGTTTACTGCAGCCTTGACTCCTGGGCTGCAGCAATCCTCTCGCCTCAGCCTCCTGAGTAGCTGAGACTACAGGGGCATACTACCACGCCCAGCTAATTTTTTATTTTTTGTAGAGACGGGCTCTCACTATGTTGCCAGGTCTGGTCTCAAACTCCTGGGCTCATGTTATTCTTGTGCCTCAGCCTCCCAATGTGTTGAGATCATGGGCGTGAGCCACCACACCTGGCCATATTAACCTTTTTTTTTTTTTTTTTTTTGAGACAGAGTCTCACTCTGTCACTAGGCTGGAGTGCAGTGGTACGATCTCAGCTCACTGCAACCTCCACCTCCCGGGTTCAAATGATTCTCCTGCCTCAGCCTCCTGAGTAGCTGGGACTGCAGGCACCTGCCCCCGTGCCGAGCTAATTTTTTATTTTTAGTAGAGACATGGTTTCACCATGTTGGCCAGGATGGTCTCGATCTCTTGACCTCGTGATCCACCCACCTCGGCCTCCCAAAGTGCTGAGATTACAGGCGTGAGCCACCGCGCCTGGCCATATTAACCATTTTTAAACATACAGTTCTATAGTGTTAAGTACATTCACAGTGTGTACAACCAATGTCCAGAACTTTTTTTTTTTTTGAGACAATCTCCCTCTGTCACTCAGGCTGGAGTGCAGTGGCACAATCCACTCACTGCAACCTCCACCTCCCGGGTTCAAGCAATTCTCGTGCCTTAGCCTCCCAAGTAGCTGGGATTACAGGTGCTTGCCACCACCCCTGGCTAATTTTTTTTGTATTTTAGTAGAAACCATGTTGCCCAGGGCTGGTCTTGAGCTCTTCAGCTCAGGCAGTCCGCCCATATTGGCCTTCCAAAGTGCTAGGATTACGGCCTTGAGCCACCATGCCCAGCCCAGAACTTTTTCATGCCCATTAAACAGCAGCTCTCCATTTGCTCCTTCCCTTAGTCCCTGATAGCCACCATTCTACTTCCTGTTTCTGTGGAGTTTTGCTACTCTAGATACGTCAAGTTAGTGGAATCATAAAGTTTTTGTATTTTTATGACTGGGTTATTTGACTTAGCACAATATGCTCAAGGTTCATCCATGCTGTAGCATGTGACAGGAGTTTCTTCCTAAGGCTGAACAATATTCCATTGTATGTACAGTCACTATTTTATTTATCAATTCATCCACTGATGAATATTTGGGTTGCTTCCACCTTTTGGCTATTGTGAATAATAATGCTGCCATGAACATAGGTGTACAAATATTCTTCTCCTTGAGACCGTGCTTTCAATTCTTCTGGATATATACACCACCAAGTGAAATTGCTCTATTTTTGTTTGAGGAACTGCCATAGCGTTTTCCATAATAGCTGTACCACTTTACATTCCCACCAGCACAGTAGTGTACCAGGGTTCCAGTTTCTCCACATCCTTGCCAACACTTAGTATTTTCTGTGTCTTGATATTACCCATTCTAATGGGTATGTATGAGGTGATATTTCGTTGTAGTTTTCAGTGCATTTCCTTAATAGTGATATTGAGCATCTTTTCATAAGCTTTCTGGCTAGCCCTCTCTCTTTTTTTTTTTTTTGGCCTTTCCAGGTAACCTTTAAAAACATTAAATTCTGTCTAAATCTTTTACCAGCTTGTTAGTGGTTCTCTCCCTATTTGCCGTATTTGATCTCTCATAGCTCATTTATTCTCATTCTTACCTAGCCTACATATCCTGAAGTTGATTATCTAAGTTTTCTAGAACTTATTTAGAACCTCCTTAGGTATAGTTTTATTTATTTGTTCAACTTTTACTCAGTAAATTCTCTATATAAAAAACTATATGTACACTTAGAAACTTCCCTAGACTAGAGACAGATATGTTTGTGTCCATAGACAGGAGGACTGTCATCATTCTTCAATGGGATAACGTTTGCAAACTTAGTCATCATAATTTATGTTTATATGTGCCTTTTATTAAACTTAAACATGTTTTTGTGGGCCAAAATTCAAAAAATTTAAAGAAAATGCACAGTCCCCTTTCTATCTCTATACCATTGCTACCAGTTCTTTTCCATTGAGGCAACTAAATGATCAATTTTTATATGATTCTATAGTATACTGTAAACATTCTGTATCATATTTAATTTTAACGGACTTTTTTCCCCCTTATAGTTGATTATGGAAGATTCCCACAAGAGTACCACGTCAGAGACAGCACCTCAACCTGGTTCAGCAGTTCAGGGAGCTCACATTTCTCATATTGCTCAACAGGTAAGGGAGGGACTGGCCAAAATACTGAGCTTGTTAGGAATATTTTATATGCAGATTAATCTCGTTTCAGACTGATTATTAATGTGTTTTATTTTGGTTTTTGTTTTTTGGGTTTTTTTTTTCGAGGCAGATTTTTGCTCTAGTTGCCCAGGCTGGAGTGCAGTGGCATGATCTCGGCTCACTGCAACCTCCACCTCCTGGGTTCAAACAATTCTCCTACCGCAGCCTCCCAAGTAGCTGGGACTACAGGCATCTGCCACCACGCCTGGCTATTTTTTGTATTTTTAGTAGAGATGGGGTTTTACCATGTTGGCCAGGCTGGTCTCGAACTCCTGACCGCAGGTAACCCACCCACCTTGGCCTCCCAAAATGCTGGGATTACAGGTGTGAGCCACCAGACCTGGCATTAATGTTAAAAAAAAAAAAAAACAAAACAAGCAAAGGCCAGGCGCAGTGGCTCACGCCTGTAATCCTAGCACTTTGGGAAGTCAGGGCGGGCGGATCACGAGGTCAAGAGTTCAAGACTAGCCTGACCAACATGGCGAAACCCTGTCTCTAATAAAAATCAAAAATTAGCCAGGTGCAGTGGCGGTTGCCTGTAATCCCAGCTGCTCGGGAGGCTGAGGCAGGAGAATCGCTTGAGCCTGGGAGGTGGAGGTTGCAGTGAGCACAGACTATGCCACTGCACTCCAGCCTGGGCAATAGAACGAGACTCCATATCATAAAAATAAATAAATAAAAAATAAAATAGAAAAACAAGCAAAAAAGACTGTATAAAATGTTAAAATATAAGAAAAGAAGGTGGACTTTAAATATCTTGTCAAGATCATTTAGTTTTATTTTCTTTTAAACGAAGTATATAGTCATCTCTCAGTATCTGTGGGAGACTGGTTCCAGGACGTCCACAGATACCAAGATCTGTGATGCTTAAAGCCCCTGATAGAAAACGGCATGGTATTTATATATAACCTACATATTTTCCTGTATACTTTAAATCATTTCTAGATTACTTTTAATACCTAATACTATGTAAATGCTATGTGAATAGTTATACTATATGACAAGAAAAACAGTCGGTACATGTTCAGTATAGAGAAATTTTTTTTCCTGAATATTTTCAATCTGTGGTTGGTTGAATCCACAGATGTGAAACTCATGGATGCAGAACCCATGAATAAAGAGGCCTAACTGTATTTAGAGTTGTTTTCTTTGTTTTTGTTTTTGTTTTTCAAGGCAGGGTTTCGCTCTGTCGCTCAGGCTGGAGTGCAGTGGTACGATCTCGGGTCACTACAACCTCCGCCTCCCGGGTTCAAACGATTCTCCTGCTTCAGCCTCCCGAGTAGCTGGGATTACAGGCGCCCACCACCACACCCAGCTAATTTTTTGTATTTTTGGTAGAGACGGGGTTTCACCTGTTGGCCAGACTGGTCTCAAACTCCTGACCTCAGGTGATCCACCCACCTCAGCCTCCCAAAATGCTGGGATTACAGGCGTGAGCCACCGTGCCCGGCCAAAAAATTTTAAAAATTAGCTGGGTGTGGTGGCACTACAACACCTGTAGTAACAGCTACTTGGCTGAAGCAGGAGGATTGTTTGAGCCCAGGAGTTCAAGGCAGCAGTGAGCTATAATCATGCCACTGCACTCCAGCCTGGGTGACAGAGTGAGACCCTATCTCCAAAAAAAAAAAAAAAAAAATCATGCATGAGTGTAAGAGCCATTTAAAGTGCAAGATGAGACTAACGGATTTTAATGTTAACAATACACAAAGTTCAGACTGTACATGGCAAATAACCTTTAAGAAACTATAACTTGCTGAGTTTTGCTGCTGTATCAAAGAATACAATGAAATGAAAAGGCTTTTAAAACACTACACATCTTTTCTAATTGCATATCTATGTGAGGGCAGATTTTCTTCATATAATTCAACCAAAACAATGTATGATAACATAATTAATGTAGAATCAGATAAGAGATTTCAGCTGTTTTCTTTTTCTGTTTTTTTTGTTTGTTTGTTTATTTGTTTGTTTGTTTTTTGAGACAGTGTCTCGCTCTGTCGCCCAGGCTGGAGTGCAGTGGCGCGATCTCGGCTCACTGCAACCTCCGCCTTCCAGGTTCACGCCATTCTCCTGCCTCAGCCTCCCGAGTAGCTGGGACTACAGGCGCCCGCCACCACGCCCGGCTAATTTTTTGTATTTTTACTAGAGACAGGGTTTCATCGTGTTAGCCAGGATGGTCTTGATCTCCTGACCTCGTGATCCACCCGCCTCAGCCTTCCAAAGTGCTAGGATTACAGGCCTGAGCCACCACACCCGGCCTTTTTTTTTTTTTTTTTTTTAGTAGAGACAGAGTCTCACTATGTTGCCCAGGCTGGTGTCAAACTCCTGGGCTCAAGTGATCCTCAGCATCCCAAAGTGCTGGGATTATAGGTGTGAGCCACTGTGGCCAGCCTTTTTTTTTTTTTTTTTTTTGAGACGGAGTCTTGCTCTGTCGCCCAGACTGGAGTGCAGTGGTGCGATCTTGGCTCACTGCAACCTCTGCCTCTTGGGTTCAAGTGATTCTCCTGCCTCACCCTCCCGAGTAGCTGGGAATACAGGTGCCCACTGCCACGACCAGCTAATTTGTGTATTTTTAGTAGAGGTGGGGTTTCACCATATTGACCAGGCTGGTCTTGAACTCCTGACGTCAAGTGATCCACCCACCTTGGCCTCCCAAAGTGCTGGGATTACAGGCATGAGCCACTGCACCCGGCTGATTTCAGCTGTTTTCTATTAAGCCAGATATTAAGGAAATTTGCAGAAATGTAAAACAATGCCATTTCTCTCACTAATTTTTTTTGAAAATGTATTAATGGAAATAGGTATGGTAACGTGTAATGGATTGTTATTGTATTTTGAAATGAACTGCTAATTTTTTAAATTTAATTTTAAATATGGTAAGTATTAATAAATATAACTGAAATAATAATTTTGGGGGGTCCTCAATAAGTTTGAGAATGTCAAAAGGATTTGTGACCAAAAGGTTTGAAAACCAGTGACCCAAAGGGGTTAGTCCTTTAAGCTTGATATATCCTTCTGCCTTATTTGGCTATATCTGTGAAGAATAGCAGTGTCTTCTCCAGATGGTGCTAGAAAAATAAGGTGGAGTCTTTCTTTGATTATTTTTCTGTTAATAGAGCACTTTACAGAAATGTTCTAATTCAGTTGGCTTACTTATATCTATATTTCAGTTATTTTAGTTAGATGTGACTCTTCAAATTTCCTCAGAAGCATATTTACGGTGAAGTGGAATAAATACATTTCTAGATAGTAAATCATTTTATAGTGATTTTTAAAAATAATATGGTTGGCAGGCTGGGCACAGTGGCTCATGCCTGTAATCCCAGCACTTTGGGAGGCCGAGGCGGGTAGATCACGAGGGCAGGAGTTCAAGACCAGCCTGGCCAAGATGGTGAAACCCCGTCTCTACTAAAAATACAAAAATTAGCTGGGCATGGTGGCATGCACCTTTAATCCCAGCTACTCGGGAGGCTGGGATAGAGAACTGCTTGAACTGGGGAGGTGGAGGTTGCAGTGAGCCGAGATCATACCACTGTACTCCAGACTGGGCGACAGCGCAAAACTCCGTCTGAAAAAAAAAAAAAAAAAATGGCTGGCCACGGTGGCTCACACCTATAATCCCAGCACTTTGGGATGCTGAGGATCACTTGAGCCCAGGAGTTTGACACCAGCCTGGGCAACATAGTGAGACTCTGTCTCTACTAAAAAATAAAAAAATTTAGCCAGGTGTGGTGGCGTTTGTCTGCAGTCCCAACTACTCAGGAGGCAGAAGGGAGAGGACCACCTGAGCCCCAGAGGTCAAGGCTGCAGTGAGCCGTGATTGCACCATTGCACTCCAGGCTGGGTCACAGCATGATCCTGTCTCAAAAAAAAAAAGAAAAAAATTATGTAAAGGAAACAGTATTTTATAATAATTCAGTATAAACTGGGGATATAGCAGTGAACAAAATTCTCAGCTTTCATGTATCTTATATTCTAATTTTGGAGAGACAGGCAACAAAACCTATCAGTTGGTAATATGTGCCATGGAGACAAATAAAGCAGGATAGGAGAGATAGGGAGTTGGTGGTGGGGACAGGGGACTTCTCTTTTTATACAAGGTAGACAGAGACATTTGTCTGAGGAAATACTTGTTCAATTATATGGACCAACAGTTGTAAAACTGTGAGACTAATATGTGCTTGATATGGTCAAGGAACACTGAGGTGGCCAGTGTGTTGGGAGAGGGATGGATAGAGGATGAGGCAGAGAGGGTTGGGGTGCGAAGAGGGGAGAGTGCCAGATAATGTAGGCCATATACCACTGTAAAATTTTTGTGTTTTGATCTGGGTGACGTGGGGAACCTTTAGAGTGTTTTGAGTAGAAACGTTATCTGGCGTATCTTAAAAGAATCACTCAGACTGCTTTGTGGAATAGAAACAGGAAACTAGTTAGAAGGCATTACAGTAATGTACATGGGAGATGACAATGGCTTGGACCAGTGTGGTAGCTGGGGTAGTGATGAGACAAAGTTAGATTCTGGATATATATTGGTTGTAAAGCCAATAGTATTTGCTTTTGGATTGGATGTGGAGTTTTATTTTTTATTTATTTATTTATTTATTATTTATTATTATTATACTTTAAGTTTTAGGGTACATGTGCACAATGTGCAGGTTAGTTACATATGTATACATGTTCCATGCTGGTGTGCTGCACCCATTAACTCATCATTTAGCATTAGGTATATCTCCTAATGCTATCCCTCCCCCCTCCCCGCTGGATGTGGAGTTTTAAATAAAGGAACGAGCCAAGATTGACGTCACAGTTTTGGTTTGAGCAACTGTTAAGAATGAAATTACTTGACCCGGGCGTGGTAGTGCATGCCTATAATCCCCTCTGCTTGGGAGGCTCAGGTGGGAGGACTCCTTGAGCCCAGGAGTTCCAGACCAGCCTGGGCAACATAGTGTAGACTCACCCCATCTCAAAAAAAAAATTATATATATACATACACACACACACACACACACACACACACACACACACACACACACACACACACACAGACGTATATATATAATTGCCATTTATTGAGATGGACAATGCTGGATGATGTTTTCCATTTCTTTTTGGGGGAATGTTGGCAATCAGGAATTTGGTTTTTAGGCATGTTATGTCTGTAATATTATCTGTGTTGGTTTTCTGTGCTGCAGAACAAATCACCACAAAGCTAATAGCTTAAAACAACACACATTTATTATCTCACAGTTTGTGTGGGGTCAGGCATATCTTAACTGGGTTCTTTGCTTTGCGGTCTCACACCAAACTGCAACTGAGGCATTGGCTAGGGCTGAGTTCTTAGCAGGAGGCTAGACTAGAGAAGAATCTACTTCCAAGGTCACTTAGTTTGTTGGCAGAATTCTTTTCACTGTGGCTGTAGGACTGAGTGCTTCAGTTTTTTGGTTGGTTCTTGGCTGGAGGCTGCCCATAGCTCCTAAAGGCCACCAGTAACTCCCTGCCACGTGATCCTCTCCGTATGCAGTTCACAGCATAGCAGCCTGCTTCAAGTCCAGCAGGAGAGTGAGAGCAAGTCTGCTAGCAAGACAGTCTTATACATAATATAATCAAAGGAATGACATCCCATTTCCTTGTGATAAAACATGACATCCCATCATCTTTGCTTAATAAGGTTGGTTAGAAGCAAGTCACAAGTCCCTCCCACTCTCAAGGGGAGAGGATTAGACAAAGTCCCAAACACCAGGAGCTGCAGATCATGGGGGCCACCCTAAAATCTGTTGGGCAGACCATCCAAGTAGATTTATCCAGTAGGCAGCTAGATATATGAGTCTGGGGTCCAGGAGAGAGGTCCAGACTAGAAATCTAAATTTAGGAGTTGTGGCTATATAGGTGGTATTTATAATTATGGGATGATTTCCAGACTCCCCCAAGATGCAGAAAGCTGGAAAGAATGTTACTCTTACCCTGAAACAAGAATAAGTTGTATGTTCTATAAAATAATAAACTCATAGAGGTGGGGTGTGGGCATGGCTCACCTGTGGCAGAGCACAGAAAATAAGCAGGGCTGCGTACTAGCAGGAAAATTAATGAATTGCTAAAGTCCAAGTGTAGGCAAGCGTGAGCGTATAGAATCCTTGGGAGCTGCAGACACAAAGACAGTTCATACCCTCTTGTAGGTTTTTCTCCAAGGACCTCCAGCAGTTGCTTAGGAGAAAAATGGGGCTGGGGACACAAGGGAGACCAGAGAATGCCTTGGTAGGTGGTACAGGCCCACTTGGACCTTTTTTTCCTTTGGAAAAAAAGGCTTTAAGCCGCTGGGAAAAAGGAAATAAACCCAGTTTTCCATTGTGTCTGGGAAAAGTAAAAAGAAAAAGAAAACCCACAAACCCTGAGGGAACGGCAGGAAACTGTTAAGGGCTTAGACTATTAGAGTTTTTCTGCCACTGGGAGAAAGCCCCAACCCCTGTAACCCAGGGACATAGGGCCTACCTGAGACTGAGACTGGGCCAGGACAACAAAGAACCTCCCTGTTGGTGCTGTCAAGTCAAGCAACAGCAATCTACCCCTGGGGGAGGGACAAGAGTATGGAAAGAGCCTCTTTGGGGCAGATGCAGAGATGAAGCCTAAGGCTGAGTGTGTGGCAAGAACAATGAGAAAAACCCTCTGACATACCAGCCCCACCCTAAGCAGAAAGTCATACTAGAGGAATTTGAAGCTGGTAGTACACTTAAGGTAATCCAAACAACAACAAAATCCAAACCCAGCTCAGTTCCTGAATAGATGACTCAACCCCTTCCCTACGCACACACACACCCTAGTGAAGAGGTGTACTCTCTTGTTTTCCCATTTCTGAAGATAAATACTATTTACTTTAGTCTCTAGTGTCTTACCCATGATGTCTGTCATTCAGGCAAAAATTATAAAACACATACCAAAAGCACACAAAGAAGCAACTCACTGTCAAAAACCAAAACAATAAACAGAACCAGACTCAGGATAACCCAGCTGTTGGAACTATCAGAGAGTGAATTTCAAATAAGAATGAATAATATGTTAAAGGCTCCAGTGGGAAAGGTAGAAAACATGCACAGACAGCTGGGGAATTTCAGCAGAGGGTTAGAAACTATATGAAAAAGTCAAATGGAAATGTTAGAAATAAAAATGGTGTGGTGGCTCACGCCTGTAATCCCAGCAATTTAGGAGGCCGAGGCAGACAGATTGCTTGAGCTCAAGAGTTCAAGACCAGCCTGGGCAACATGGCAAGCCTCCATTTCTACTAAAAATACAAAAGAAAAAAAAAAAGCCAGGCATGGTGGTGCACACCCTGTGGTCCCAGCTACTCAGGAGGCTGAAGTGGGAGGATTGCTTGAGCCCAGTGGGCAGAGGTTGCAGTGAGCCAACATCGCACCACTGCACTCCAGCCTAGGTGTCAGAGTGAGGCCTTGTCTAAAAAAAAAAAATGGTGACACAGGTGAAGTATATGTTTGGGTTTATTAGTAGACTTGACACAGCTAAGAAAAGAATCAGTGAACTTGAAGATAGGTCAGTAGAAATTACCCACAACGAAAACAGAGAACAAAGGAAAGGGCAGGGAGAAAAATAGAGCATCCAAGAACTGTGGAATAATATCTCTTTAACATAGGTGTAGTGTGATCAAAGTCATGTGACTAGATGGGATTACTGAGAGGTAAGTATTGTAGAGATGAGTCAATGGATCTGGGCTTCTTTAGCATTTGGAGTTTGGGGACATTGAAGAGGGATTGTCAGTGAGGTAGGAGGAAAATCAAGAGTAACTCAAATATTGGAAATCAGAATGAGTGATGGTCAGCTGTGTAAAATGTGGCTGATAGGTCAAATAAGATGAGGAATAAAAATTAACTATTTTATAGCCAATCTTTTTTTTTTTTTGACATAGGGTCTCACTCTGTCACCCAGACTGGTGTGCAGTAGTGTGAACATAGCTCACTGCAGCCTTGACCTCCTGTGCTCAAGCAATCCTCCTGCCTCAGCTCCCCAAGTAGCAGGGACCACAGGTGTGTGCCATCACATCCGGCTAAACTTTTTGTATTTTTTTGTAGAGATGGGGTTTTGCAGTGTTGCCCAGGCTGGTCTCAAACTCCTAAGCTCAAATAATCTGCCCACCTCAGCCTCCCAAAGTGCAGTGCTGGTATGCGTGAGCCACTGCACCTGGCCCTGTTTTTTTTTTTTTGGAAACCGAGTATTATTCTGTTGCTTAAGCTGGAGTGCAGTGGCATGATCATATTTCTTTGGCCTCAAATTCCTGCCCTCCAGTGATCCTCCTGCCTTTGCCTCCTGAGTAGCTAGAGCTGGTTCCTATTATTCACAGATTCTGTATTTGCAAATTTGCCTACTTGATAAAATTTATTTCTAACTCCAAAAACACTCACGGCACTTTTGCGGTCATTCATGGACATGTGCAAAGTGGCAAAAAATTTGAGTCACTCCTATATTCCTGGCTGAGGTCAAACAAGGTGATGCTGTGTCTTCTTGCATCAGCTCTCATAGTATAAACAATTGGCCTCTTTGCGGTCTAGTTAGTATAACTACATTTTTTGCATTTTTCTCCTTTTTGTTGGTGATTTTGCTATTTAAAATTGACTCCCAAGTGTAGTACAAAGTGCTATCTTGTGTTCTAAGTGCAAGAAGGCTGTGATGTGCCTTATGGAGGAAATACATGTGTTAGATAAGTTTCATTCAGGCATGCGTTACAGTGCTAGCGACTGATACGTAGTTCAGTGTTAATGTATATTAAATGAGGTTTTTTTTGTTGTTTTTTTTTTTCGGAGACAGAGTCTTGCTCTGTTGCCTAGGCTGGAGTGCAGTGGTGCAATCTCAACTCACTACAACTTCCACCTCCACTTCCTGGGTTCAAGCAGTTTGGGTAGCTGGGACTACAGGCGTGCGCCACCATGCCCCGCTAATTTTTGTAATTTTAGTAGAGACGGGGGTTTCGCCATGTTGGCCAGGCTGGTCTTGAACTTCTGACTTCAGGTGATCTGCCCACCTCGGCCTCCCAAAGTGATTACAGGTGTGAGCCACCATGCCTGGCCTGTTTACTATTTATTTTTATTTGTTCCTGCTCTATTTTAGATTTTGGACTGATAATTTAGAATCTAGAATCTTTATAATGTAAGTGAACCAGTGGACAGAGAAGTAGTATGAAGTTCTGGCAGAGTGCAGTGGCTCACACCTGTAATCCTAGCACTTTGGGAGGCGGGCGGATCACATGAGGCCTGGAGTTTGAGACCAGCCTGGCCAACATGGTGAAACCCCATGTGTACTAAAAATACAAAAATTAGCCGGAAGTAGTGGGCGCCTGTCATCCCAGCTACTCGGGAGGCTGAGGCAGGAGAATCGCTTGAACGCAGGAGGCAGAGGTTGCAGGGAGCCGAGATTGTGCCACTGCACTCCAGCCTGGTTGACAGAGTGAGACCCTGCCTGCGCCCTCCCACCAAAAAAAAAAGATTGGGGGACCAGGTCCTCCCTTTCCTCCTTTGAAAGGTCTCTCAATATTTAGATTATCAGGTTTGAGAGTGGGGTTGGGAAGAGAATCAGGACTTTGAGACCCTGAGTAATGAGCATTTTGTGAGGTTAGACGAACCGTAGTAATAAGGGATAGGGACTACCACTAGCTAAATCAAAATCTGGTGCCTATTTTCCTTTTCAACCTGACAGACCCATAGCCTGCATTAAATCACATGGATTGCCAGAAACCTTTGAGGAATGATGGCCCTTAGTCTTTTAGAAATGTAGATTAATCCTATCATACGCTCTCTCCATTAGCTGAGTGGCTTCAGTTATTGAAAGGTGGGGAGACGTTTTGTTAATGTTTTCCAAGTGTAATGGTAACTCTAGAGCTGGACTCTCAAGACTTGTGGGTTCTATTTTTTTTTTTTTTTTTTTTGAGACAGTTATTACTTTGTCACCCAGGCTAGAGTTGGAGTGCAGTGGCGCAATCACAGCTCACCACAACCTCCACCTCCTGGGCTCAAGCAATCCTCCCAGCTTAGCCTCCCACATAGCTGTGACGATAGGCATGCGCTGCCAAACCTGGCTAATTTTTGTATTTTTTGTAGAGACTGCATTTTACCTATGTTGCCCAGGCTGGTCTTGAACTCCTGGGCTTCTCTTGTCCTCCTAAAGTGCTGGGATTATAGGTGTGAGTCCCTGCACCCAGCTCTTTGTTTATTCTTATTCTTCAATTTCTCTATGCCCATATTGGGGTACTGTCAAAGAGGAACAGAGCTGGACATATGTTAAAGGCAGCAAGACAGATTTTATCAGATTACTGCAGTATAGGAGAGAAACTCCAACATAAACTGAGCTCAGCTCCACTGAAACAGATGGAAAGCTTTTTAAATATTGGGGTGTTCTAAAGGAAAAGTACATAAGATGTTTGGGGGAGGGAAGGAATTGTCACTATGATTAGCCGTCCTGCTTGCTCATTGGCACTTGTCAAAGTTGGCTCCTACTCTCCCACAGACTGGGAGACAGGGACCAAATCTTTTCTTTCTTGGTTACTACATTTACAGGCCCAAAGAAAGATTTCTAGGTTTTAGAATGTCTACATCTCATGGGACAGAGAAAGGATTCATAACAGCAAGTTTTCTAAAATGCTGTAAGAAAAGTGAGGATGGGGCCTATAGTCAAGTTTTGGCTGGAACAAACAGTAAAATTTTTTGGTAGAATTGAACTTTCTCAGGCAGGTGTTTTAAGGGGGCTCTGGTGTCATTCTAGGGACACAACCTTGGCATGACAAAAGCCATTGGTCAAGAATTTGGTCAGTTAGAATGGCATTGTTTGTGCTACAAATGGAGTTTACAGTTCTTAGTGGCTGGATAAATTTTATACAGAATTTCATGACCCTAGGCATTTTGAGGGATGATGAGACTGGGGTTTGTTTAATCTAGTCTTGGGATGAGGAAAAGAACTTTCAGTGAAAGAAGAAAGGGAACAGGAAGGCTGGGTGCGGTGGCTCACGCCTGTAATCCTAGCACTTTGGGAGGCGGAGGTGGGCGGATCACCTGAGGTCAGGAGTTCGAGACCAGCCTGGCCAACATGGGGAAACCCCGTCTCTACTAAAAATACAAAAATTAGCTGGGCGTGGTCACGCATGCCTGTAATCCCAGCTACTCTGGAGGCTGAGGTAGGAGAATCGTTTGAACCCAGGGGTGGAGGTTGCAGTGAGTCTAGATCGTGCTACTTCACTTCAGCCTGGGAAGGAGTGAAACTCAGTCTCAAAAAAAAAAAAAGAAAAACAGGGAAAGCAGTATTCTTGGAGCCCAATGTGAAGAAGGAGAACAGGGGAGCAGGAAGGAAGCTTACTTTCAAGTCCTGAGAAGTAGTCCAGGATTTTATTTTGTGATTTAAATCCAAGAGTAATGGTATGGACCAGAGTAGTCCAGAGGAAGGCATGAGATCTCTGTTAACTGAAAATATTTGAGAAAGCTTTTTGGAAGAGGTAGGACCTGAGGTGAGCCTGGAGGGATGATGAGTGGACTTTTCTTAGTTTAGCATTTTATCATGGTATTTCCATGAAACCGCATCTGATTTCAACAGAAATAAATTACAATTTCATGATTCAGTCATTTACTTGAAATATATATATATATTTTTTCAAGATGCTGCCCGAAGTTGGTGTTTCACTCACTTTTTGTCTCTTGGTTTCTTGGTTAGTTTTCAACCATATCTCTTCAGAATAGCATGTGCTAAAGATTCTCCATGTTTTTGCACAATCAGTTCCTCTGCCTAAAATACCTTCCAGTCCCCTAACTCCTGCCCCTCCATACATACCCTCAGGTAATTGTTAATTATTCAAAACCCAGATGAAATAACACCCTTTCTTTGCTCCCACAGAACAGTACTTTGTAATTTTCCTCTATTATAACTCTTACTCTATTTGTTATAGTTAGTTTGTACTCTCAATCCCTAGTTCAGCCTCTGGTCAATAGAAGGTACCTAATGTTTGGTTAATGATGCGATTAAATATAATCAGCTCTGAAATGTGTTTCCAGTGTTAAGAACTCAGCTATCTTATGTGCATAGGTACAATATATATTTTGTTAATTGAATTTGTATTTGTTCTATTGATGTCATTAAATGGATCTGCGCCAGTGACAATTATACGTCTTCCTGGAGAGCAAGTACAGATTCAGGGGGTCATCCAGACAGCCCAGTCTTCTGTAATTCACCCACCACATGTGCAAATGATACAGAAATTTGAAGACTTAGTGGTCGAGAGTTGGAACTTTTATACCCTGAGTCTTCAGATACATTTCAGTTGCTGTACCTATAATATATAAACCAAGATAAAGTTGTCTTACAAATTAGACTGCAGACCAAATCAGGCAAATAGAAAAGTTTTAGAATTTCTAGTTTCATGTATATAATACCTAGTGAAAATAGAAGACAATTTTAGGGAAAGTTATTGCTTATGATTTAAGGAAATGAGGGACTTTTTTTTTTTAAAGGGAAAGCACCCTTTTATCCCAGGTATTTTCTATATGCTTTATGGAGTTAGTACCTACCTACCACATGCTTTATGGAGGTCAAATAAAAGAGTTCTCTTGTAGTAGAGGAAAGTTCTTATTTGTATTTATCTACCTTCATATTAACACCTTACAAAAGTACGAAAGAAAGAGCCATCCTAGATTCCTTTTCTTTCTACTTTTCCCATTTTATAGTCCCAGAATACCTTTGGTCATCTCTCGTTTTTAGAAGCAGCTCTCCTAGAAGAAAAGCTATATTCCTCCTTTCTTCTCCTGATTATGGCAATGTTGTAAAAACTAGAGCTGCATCTTTATGTGGTACTCCCATGTGAAAGGAGGTGGCTGCATGGATTTTTTTAGTGTTTATATGGAAATTTTAGTCTTATTTGCTGGTGCTGTTATTAAAGATAAATTTTTGATTTTAATTACAAGTAATTCCTTAGTTTTACAATTTATTTTCTTAAGTTCAGTGGAAGGCTTTGGAGTAAGCTTAGGAACAGACAGTGTAGTTAAAGAATTAGATTAGAAATGAAGTATTTTATGGCCAGGTGCGGTGGCTCATACCTGTAATCCCAGCACTTTGGGATGCTGAGGTGGGCGGATCACGAGGTCAGGAGTTCGAGACCAGCCTGGCCAACATGGTGAAACCCCATCTCTACTAAAAAATACAAAAATGAGCAAGGCATGGTGGCAGGTGCCTGTAATCCCAGCTACCCAGCTACTTGGGAGGCTGAGGCAGGAGAATCGCTTGAACCCGGGAGGCAGAAGCTGCAGTGAGCCAAGATTGTGCTATTGCACTCCAGCCTGGGCGACAAGAGCAAGACTCCATCTCAAAAAAAAAAAAAAAAAATTTATGATGCTTGAGGAAAAGAAAAGTGACAGATTTTTCTTAATTATTGGTTATTTCTTAATTATTATTGGGTTATGACTAATTCTTTTCTGTATAATGATATAGATTTAATATGAAATATAAATGAGTAGTTATATACTAGAACTCATTTTTGAAGGAAATAACATATAAAAGAAGCCTCTCTGGAAATTTCATGTCTAAATAGTTTAGGGGAAGGCTTTCTATAGATAGTAACTAATGTGGAGAATTGATTTCTTATGTCCCTTCTAAAGGCCTGTTTGGGTTATTTTTTATTTATTTTTATTTTTATTTTTTTTGAGCGGGAGCCTCGCTGTGTTGCCCAGGCTGGAGTGCAGTGGCGCGATCTCGGCTTACTGCAAGCTCCACCTCCCAGGTTCACGCCCTTCTCCTGCCTCAGCCTCCCGAGTAGCTGGGACTACAGGCGCCTACCACCAGGCCCGGCTAATTTTTTGTATTTTTAGTAGAGACGGGGTTTCACCGTGTTAGCCAGGATGTTCTCAATCTCCTGACCTCGTGATCCACCCACCTCGGCCTCCCAAAGTGCTGGGATTACAGGCGTGAGCCACCGCGCCTGGCCTGGGTTATTTTATTTTTAAAAATTAAGATGAAGTCGGCCAGGCACAGTGGCTCACACTTGCAATCCCAGCACTTTGGGAGGCTGAGGCAGGTGGATCATGAGGTCAGGAGTTTGAGACCAGCCTGACCAACATGGTGAAACCCCATCTCTACTAAAAATACAAAAATTAGCTGGGCGTGGTGGCACGTGGCTGTAATCCCAGCTACTCAGGAGGCTGAGGCAGGAGAATCACTTGAACCCAGGAGGTGGAGGTTGCAGTGAGCCAAGATCGTGCCACTGCACTCCAGCCTGGGCGACACAGTGATACTCCATCTCAAAAAAAAAAAAATTCAGATGAAGTCGGATATCACAATCTAACTTTGGACAAATGTTGGAAAGTTTTAATACGCTTAAAAAATTGAGGCCAGACATGGTGACCCATACCTGTAATCCCAGCACTTTGGGAGGCCTGCTTGAGCCCAGGAGTTTGACACCAGCCAGGGTAACATAATGAGACCCTGTCAGAATAAAAAAAAATGAATTAGCTGGGCATGGTGGTGTGCACCTGTAATCCTAGCTACTCAGGAGGCTCAGGCTGGAAGATTGCTTGAGCCCAGGAAGGCGACGCTACAGTGAGCTGTCATTGCACCACTGCACTTCAGCCTGGGTGACAGAGTGAGACCCTGTCTCAAAAATAAAAAAATTAAAAATATTTAAAAAAAAATTGAAAACAACTTGTTTTCTCAATTGTAAAATATTGCTATAACTTGCATATTATATTGATGTAGTTTATAAAAATTAACATTGTATGCATGCCAAGTGTTGCATGTATTAACTTGTGAAATGAGATAAAATTGAATCATACAGATTTTAAAATGGCATATATTTATACCTGCCATTGCCAGTGACCTCCACCTTGCTAAATCGAATGGTCTGTTCTCAGTCTTTATTTTATCTCAGCTTGTAAACAGCATTGGACATGGTTGATCATTCTTTTCTCCTCAGTATGCTGTCTTCACTAGTTTTCCATGGACAGCTCAATCATTTGGTTCTCTTCTTTACTGGTGACTCCTTAGTCTCATTTGCTGGTTCCTCCTCTTCATCCAGTCTCTTAGTGTTCCTGAGGTTAGTCCTCAGTCCTCTTCTATTTACCCCTATGAGCTCATCCAGTCTCATGGCTTTAAGGACTCTAAAAAGCTAGACCTCCAAAATTTATGTATCTAGCCCAGACCTCTTCCCAGACCTACAGGCTTGTATATTTAATATTCGTCTCAATGTCAGCAGTTGAATATATAACAGGTTTTTCAAACTTAGCATGTCAGGTAGATTAGTAATAAAACAACACTTTTAAGTAATGTGCATCAGTGTAGAAATAGGGTGGAGAATGACATCAGAGCCTGGTCTTTTTAACTCTGGTAAAATAGTACTGCTTCATTTGGGGGACAGACTTTATTCTCAGCTCTGGGCCTGCTATATTTGATATTCCTTTAATAGGTTGGGCTCCTGGAATAAACTTTCTCATTTTTCCTTTTCCTTTTGTTCCTTTCTTTTAGACTTTAGATTTAATGTACAAATGAATTGGAGTGGCAGGAGACAGATCATTTTTTTCTAAAAGTAAAAATTCAGTTGTTTCTTTTCCCACCTGCATTGTTCATCATGTTAATGCCAGTTCTTTTTTAGGTATCATCTTTATCAGAAAGTGAGGAGTCCCAGGACTCATCCGACAGCATAGGCTCCTCACAGAAAGCCCACGGGATCCTAGCACGGCGCCCATCTTACAGGTGAGTACTCTCTTGTATGAAGCCCTGCATGTTATGATAGTACCAAATGAGTTCAAGAGGTGCTGTGCAAAGTACACTAAAGAAGTTAGCACGCGTCAGTGTTAAGAATGAAATTGGTTGGCCCTCGCCTATAATCCCAACCCTTTCGGAGGCCGAGGTAGGATTGCTTGAGCCCAGGAGTTCAAGACCAGCCTGGGCAACATGGCAAGACCCTGTCTCTTCAAAAAATACAAACCTTAGCTGGACATAGTGGCGCACGCCTGTAGTCCCATCTACTTAGAGGCTAAGGCGGGAAGATGGCTTGAGCCCAGGAGTTTGAAGTTACAATGATCTGTGATTGTGTCACTGTGCTCCAGCCTGGGTGATAGAGCAAGATCCTGTCTCCAAGAAAAAATGAAATTGGACCTTTGGCCGGATGCAGTGGCTTATGCCTGTAATCCCAGCACTTTGGGAGGCTGAGGCGGGCAGATCACCTGAGGTTAGGAGTTTGAGACCAGCCTGGCCAACATGGTGAAACCCCGTCTCTAATAAAAATAGAAAAATTAGCCGGGTGTGGTAGTGCACACCTGTAATCCCAGCTACTTGGGAGGCTGAGGCAGGAGAATCACTTGAACCTGGGAGGCGGAGGTTGCAGTGAGCCGAGATTGTGCCACTGCACTGCAGCCTGGGCAACAGAGCAAGACTCTGTCTCAAAAAAAAAAAAAAATGTAAATTTAATCTTTATCTTACACCATTACACAAATCAACACCAAATGGATAAGAGACCTAAATGTTAAGACCTGAAACCATAAAAATCCTAGAAGAGAACATAGGCGATAAGCTCTTCGACATTGACCTTGGCAATGATTTTTTGGATATCACACCAAAAGCTTAGGCTACAAAAAAATAAATAAATGGGACTACGTCAAACTAAAAAACGTGTCTGTGTAGCAAAGGAAACAAAGCAACAAAATGAAAAGGCAACTTACGGACTGGGAAAAAATTATTTGCAAACCACTTATCTGATAAGGGGTTAATACCCGTAACTGAAGACAAAATGAGAGAACCTGAGGATACAGCTCTGAGTAGATTACCTAGAATGGAACACAGAAAGACAAAGTTAAGATAGAACACAGAATGAGAAGGTCCAGTACACAACATACATAGATAAAAGGAGAGAAGAGGGAAGGGCACTTCCAGCTTCTAGTCTCTCCAGGAGAGAAAATGATAATGACTGCAATTTCCAGGATATGAATTTCTCAGCATAAGAAAGCAAGGTCCCAAACAAGATAAATTAATAGAAACCTACATCTAGGTGTATGTTGTAAAGTAAAACTGGAGAACACCAAGGATAAACCTGAGATCTTAAAAGCTAAAAGCTTCCAAGTGAAAAGACCAATTACCTAGAAAGGAAGGACCAGTAAGCTGACAACAGATTTTTGAAGTACAGTATAAGACAATGAACTAAAATCCTTATTTTTATCTTTAAATTATTACATGTTTTTTTGAGACGGAGGTCTCACCCTGTTGCCTGGGCTGGAGTGCAGTGGTGTGATCACAGCTCACTGCAGCCTCAACCTCCTGGGGTCAGCTCCTCAGCCTCCTGAGTACCTGGGACTATAGGCATATGCCATGATGCCCACCTAATTTTTTTTAATTTTTGGTAGAGATAGAGTCCCACTATGTTGACCAGGCTGGTGTCAAACTCTTGGGCTCAAGTGATCCTCCCACCTCAGCCTCCCAAAGTGTTGCTATTACAGGCATGAGCCACTGTACTCAGGCTCCAATATTTAAATTCAAAGAGAAAGTAACTTTTGACCTGGAATTCTGTGCCTACTGAACAGTCTTTCAAAAATGACGGTGAAATAATAATCATTTTCAAACTGATTTAAGAAACTACTTAAGGAGGCTGGGTACAGTGGCTCACGCCTGTAATCCCAGCACTTTGGGAGGCCGAGGCGGGTGGATCACTTGAGGTCAGGAGTTCGAAACGAGCCTGGCCAACATGGAGAAACCCTATCTCTACTAAAAATAAAAAAATTAGGTAGGCATGGTGGCACATGCGTGTAGTCCCAGCTTGAACCCAGGGGGCGGAGGCTGCAGTGAGCTGAGATCGTGCCACTGCACTCCAGCCTGGGTGACAGAGTGAGACTCCATCTCTAAAAAAAAAGAAAAAAGAAACTACTTAAGTGTATACTTCAGGAAGAAGAAAATGAAAGGAATATAAATGTGAGAAAGTATGGTGAACAAAGACAATTCATTTCAGTTAGCATTGGCTTTTTAGAACAATAGTAATAATGATTAATTTGGGTAGTTTCATGGTTGTTGTTTTTTTTTTGAGATGGAGTCTCGCTCTGTCATCCAGGCTGGAGTGCAGTGGAGTAATCTCGGCTCACTGCAAGCTCCGCCTCCTGGGTTCATGCCATTCTCCTGCCTCAGTCTTCCGAGTAGCTGGGACTACAGGCGCCCGCCACCACACCTGGCTAATTTTTTGTATTTTTTAGTAGAGACGGGGTTTCACTGTGTTAGCCATGATGGTCTCAATCTCCTGACCTCGTGATCTGCCCACCTTGGCCTCCCAAAGTGCTGGGATTACAGGCGTGAGTCACCATGCCCAGCCTGAACCTGAGATTTCTTTATTAAGTAGGGGTCTCTCAGGAAGGCTATAACATCTGAAAAGAAACTTCTCAAAGTTAAGCTTTCTGGATTGCCACAGATTAGTATAAATCAAATACGAATTCACTCAAAAATCATCAAACGTGCAAGGACATAAACCACGTAAGTGAGAATTGGCAGAAACAATACAGTCAACTCAATAAATGCTGGGAAAAAAAGTATTTGATTAAATCCAGCACCTCATACATTTCTACCAAAAATGAATAAAAATGGGCTTCCCTAGCATATGTAGACTTTTAGAACTTAACTATGTATAGGACAGATCACCATTGCCCAAATTCTAGACTGGCCACTACCTGGTGCACATGTGTAATAGATATGAATAGCATTGCAAAGACTTTGGAAACTGAACTGACATTGGAACCACAACCCACAGAAGGCTGATCAGAACTTGTGGCCTGGACACAACCAGATTGATACCTTCTAAAACAAGAATATAGTCTAGGTCTGTGGCTCATGCCTGTAATCCCAGCACTTTGGGAGGCTGAGGTGGGAGGACTACTTGAGTCCAGGAATTTAAGACCAATCTGTGTAACATAAGGAGATCCTGTCTCTACAAAAAATACAAAAATTAGCTAGGTATGGTGGTGTGTACCTGTAGTCCCAGTTACTCAGGAGGCTGAGGGCAGAGGATCACTTGAGCCCAGGAGGTTGATGCTTCAGTGAGCCATGATTGTGCCATGCACTCCAACCTGAGTGACAGAACGAGTCCCTGTCCCAAATACACACATGCACATGCAACAAGAATATAAAACATTTTTTATTAAACAAGACCCAGAGTCTGATAGCATAATATTCAAAGAGTCCAAAATTACTTGGTATCAAAGAACAAGGAAAAATCTCAACTTGCACGGGAAAAGACTGTTGACAGAAGCCAACTCCTAGATGATACAAATGTTGGAATTATATGACAAGGACTTTAAAGAAGCTATTATTAAACTGTTCCAACAAGTAAGTGAATTTTCTTGAAATGAAAGGTATAAACTCTCGGCCAAAAATAGAGCATATAAAGAGAATAAAATAGAGATTTCAGAGCTAAGAAACACAGTAACAGAGATAAAACCTCATTGGATGGGTTCAATAGTAGAATGGAAATGAGAGAAAAAACGATCAACTTTGAAGATTATTCAATGGATATTATCCAATCTGAACATAGAAAAGAGATTGGAAAATTATCTAATTCTCAGCGACCTGTGCGACAATAATTAAAGATCTAAGATTTATGTCATTAGAGTCTCAGAAAGAGAGGAAAAAAGTATAGCGCAGAAAAAATACTTGAAAAAATAATGGCTGAAAAATTACCAAATTTGGTGAAAGACGTAAACCTACAGGTTCAAAAACCTCAGCAAACTCTAAACAGGATAAACACAAATAAATCATTGCCCAGACTTACCATAATCAAACTGCTGAAAGCTAAAGTTAAAGAAATCTTGTGAGTAGCCAGAGAATAATGGCACATTACTTACAAGAGAACATTGTGAATGACTACAGAGTGCTCATCAGAAACTATGGAGGTGAGAAGATAATGGAATAGCATTTTTAAAGTGCTAAAAGAAAAAAGAATTATCTCCTGGGTCTTGGCACCCAAAATTCTATGTCTACTGAAAACATCCTTCAGACTTGGAGGTCAAATAAATATTCTCATCAAGGGAAACTAAGGGAAATAATTGCCAGCAGACCTGCTGTAAAACAACTGCTAAGAAAATTCTTAAGACGAAAGAAAGTTAAGGAATGAAGAAACAGCAACAGAAATATCTGGGCAAATATAATGGACAGTTCCTCTCCTATTGAATTCTTTAAAATAGGGGTCCCCAAACCCCAGGCCGTGGATTGGTACCTGTCTGTGGCCTATTAGGAACCAGGCTGCACAGCAGGAGGTGAGCAGCGGGTGAGCGAGCCTTAGCACCCAAGCTCTGCCTCCTGTCAAATCAGTGGCATATTAGATTCTCATAGGAATGTGAACCGTGTTGTGACCATGCGAGGGATCTAGGTTGCATGCTCTTCATGAGAATCTAATATCTGATGATCTGAGATGGAACAGTTTCATCCTGAAACCATCCCCTGACTTCCCTATCCATGGAAAAATTGTCTTCCACGAAACTGGTCCCTGGTGCCAAAAGGGTTGGGAACTGCTGCTTTAAAATATATTTGATGGCTGGGCGCGGTGGCTCATGCCTGTAATCCCAGCACTTTGGGAGGCTGAGGCAGGTAGATCACCTGAGGTCAGGAGTTTGAGACCAGCCTGACCAACATAGCAAAACCCCGTCTCTATTACAAAGATAAAAACTTAGCTGGGCATGGTGGCAGGCGCCTGTAATCCCAGCTACTCGGGAGGCTGAGGCAGGAGAATCACTTGAACCTGGGAGGTTGCAGTGAGCCGAGATCATGCCACTGCACTCCAGCCTGGGCGACAGAGCGAGACTCTGTTTCAATCAATCCATCAATCAATTTGATGGCTGAAAACAAATTATGAAATTCTGATGGGGTTTTTAATGTGTGCAGAGGTAATATATAAGACATCTACAACATAAAGAGGGAAATATAAACAGTTCTAATATGGTGGTAAGGTTTCTACATTCCACCTGAAGTGGTAAAATAGTGATTCTATGTAGACTATAAAAAGCTAGGTATCTATATACCCCTAGAGCAACTACTAAAAAAAAACTACACAAAAAGATTTAGTCAAATATACAGTTGCTTAAAAATTAAATTTTGAAAAGTCTTCAAATAATCCAAAATAATGCAGGTGCAGGAACACAGAAGAATTTTAAAAACAGAATAAACAGAAAGCAAATAATAAAGTGGAAGATCAGCCAATACTGAAGATGGCCTACACTCACCAATTAAAAGGCAATTGTAAAACTAGACCAATATCCTTCATGAATATAGACACAAAAAATCCTCGACAACATATTAGCAAACCAAATCCAACAACATGTAAAAGGTAGTATATGCCATGACCAAACAGGATTTATCCCTGAAATGCAAAATTGGTTTAATAATTGAAAATCAATTAATGTAATACATCATATTAATAGAATCAAAACAAAAAACATATGATCATCGCAAGACACAGAAAAAGCATTTGACAAAAATCCAGTTACCATTTCATGATAAAACTGCTCAACAAATACATAGAAGGCTGCTTCCTCAACCTAATAAAAAGGGTCTACGAAAAACCCACAACTAACATCCTAATAAGAAAATAATGTGGATATCCCCTCTCACCACTTCTAAACATTGCACTCAGGGAATTAGTCAATAAATTAAATAAAAGGCATCCTGATTGGAAAGGACTAAGTAAAACACTTTGTACATGACAGTATCTTATATATACAAAATCCTAAAGAATTATTAAAATAGAACTAATCAACAAGTTCCAGCAAGGTTGTAGGATATAAGATCAATATAACAAAAATCAACTGTATTTCCATATACTAGCAATGACTAATCCAAAAATGAAACTTAAAAACAATTCTATTTACAATAACAAAGTATAAAAGGTTTAAAATTAAATTTATAAATTTAAATTATACTTAGATATGAATTTAACAAAAGAAACAGAACACATATACTGGAGGCCAGGCACAGTGGCTCATGCCTGTAATCCCAACACTTTGGGAGGCCGAGGCAGGCGATCACCTGAGGTCAGGAGTTTGAGACCTGCCCGGCCAACATGGTGAAACCCCATCTCTTCTAAAAATACAAAAATTAGCCAGGCCTGGTGGCACGCGCCTGTAGTTCCAGCTCCTCAGGATGCTGAGGCGGGATAATCGCTTGAACCTGGGAGGCAGAGGTTGCAGTGAGCTGAGATTGTGCCATTGCACTCCAGCCTGGGTGACAAGAGCAAAACTCCATCTCAAAAAGAATACATATACTGGAAACTATAAAACCTTGTTGAAAGAAATTTTAAAAGATCTAAGTAAGGCTGGGAGCGGTGGCTCACATCTGTAATTCCAGCACTTTGGGAGGTCAAGGTGGGGCAGATCACGAGGTCAGGAGTTCGGGACCAGCCTGGCCAATATGGTGAAACCCTGTCTCTACTAAAAATACAAAAATTAGCTGGGTGTGGTGGCCCGCACCTGTAGTCCCAGCTACTCGGGAGGCTGAGGCAGAAGATTCACTTGAACCCAGAAGGCAGAGTTTGCAGTGAACTGAGAATGCACCACTGTACTCCAGCCTGGGTATCAGAAGGAGACTCCATCTCAAAAAAAAAAAAAAAAAAAAAAAGATCTAAATAAGTGAAAAGACATCTCATGTTGATTGATCAGAAGACTAAATATTAAGACCAAATTAAAAAATGAGCAAGGAGGGGGCTGGGCATGGTGGCTTATGCATGTAATCCCAGCACTTTGGGAGGCCAAGGTGGGTGGATCACCTGAAGTTAGGAGTTCAAGACCAGCATGGCCAACATGGTGAAACCCCGTCTCTACTAAAAAAAAAAAATACAAAAAATTAGTCAGGCATGGTGGCGGGCACTTGTAATCCCAGCTACTAGGGAGGCTGAGGCAGGAGAATCGCTTGAACTGGGAGGCAGAGGTTGTAGTGAGCCGAGATCGCACCACTGTGCTCCAGCTTGGGTGACAAGAGCGAAACTCTGTCTCAAAAAAAAAAAAGCAAGGGATTTGAATAAAAATTTCTCCAAAGAAGATAAACAAATGACTAATAAACCTATGAAAAGTTCAACATTTATCGTTAAGGGAATTGCAAATCAAAATTGTGAAATACTGCTTCAAACCCACTAGGATGACTAAAATAGAAAAAAAAGACCAATAATAAGTGTTGGTGATGATATGGAGAAATTAAACCTCTCATACACTGCTGGTAAGAATGTAAAAAAAAAAAAAAATAGTACAGTTGCTATGGAAAACAGTCTGGCAGTTCTTCAGAATACTAAGTTACCATATGACCCACTGCTTCCTATGCTACTTATATACCCAAGAGAAATAAAAACATACATTTATATGAAAACTTGTTCATGAATGTTTATAGCAGCATTGTTTATAATAGCCAAAACATGGAAACAACCCAAATGTCCATTAAGTGATGAATGGATAAACAAAATGTGGTGTATTCATAAAATGGAATATTTTTACTTAGCAATTAAAAAGCAATGAAGTGCTAATACATGCTACAACATGGATAAACCTTGAAAATATTAAACTAAAAGAAGTCATTTGCAAAAGATTGCATATTGTATGATTCCATTTATATGAAACGTCCAAAATAGACAAATTTATAGAAACAAAGTAGGCAAGTGGTTGGTTAGCGCTTGGGAGAGAGGACAGAAGAATGGATTGACTGCTAATGGGTACCAAGTTTCTTTTAGGGGGACAAAAGTGTTCTAAAATTAGATTATAGTGGTGGTTGCACAACTGTTAATATACTAAAAACACTGAATTGTATGCTTAAATGAATTGTTTGGTATGTGAATTATATCTCAAAGCCACTTTTCTTTAAAAAGACAAAGATTATTAGAATGGATTTTAAAAATGATTCACTTCAAAAATTATATAGCTAGTCTAAAGTAAAAGGATGGTTAAAGACATACCACGAAAACACTAATGAAAAAAACTAACATGGCTATATTAATGTCATATAAGATAGACTTCAGAATAAGGAAAATCTGCAGAGATAAAGGACATTACATAATGATAAGAGTTCACCAAGAAGACATAATCCAAATGTGTATGCATCTAACAAAAGAGCTTTAAAATATATTTATCAAAAACTAGTAGGGCAGAGCCCAGTGGCTCACACCTGTGATCTCAGCCCTTCCAGAGGCCAAGGAGGGAGGATTGTATGAGCCCAGGAGTTCAAGACCAGCCAGGGCAACATAGTGAGACCCTGTCTCTTCACAAAATTAAAGTTAGCCAGGCGTGGTGATGTGTGCCTCTGGTCCCAGCTGCCCAGGAGTTGGAGGCTGCAGTGAGCTATGATTGAGCCACTACACTCTAGTGTGGGTGACAGCAAGACCCTATCTCTAAAAAGAAACTAACAGAACTGAAAAGAGAAATAAACAGGTCCACAGTTGCAGTTGATGATTTCAGTAAACCTGTCTCAGGATACATTAGAACTTACAGTCAGAAAATCAGAAAGATTATAGAAGAACCTAATGCCAGATGATATCAGAAGCCAACAAGATCTTTTTTTTTTTTTTTTCCCGAGACGGAGTCTCACGCTGTCACCCAGGCTGGAGTGCAGTGGCGCGATCTTGGCTTACTGCAACCTCCGCCTTCCAGGTTCAAGCAATTCTCCTGCCTCAGCCTCAAGTAGTGGGGACTACAGGCGCCCACCACCACGCCCAGCTAACTTTTTTTGTATTTTTAGTAGAGACAGGGTTTCACTATATTGTCCAGGCTGGTTTCGAGCTCCTGTTCTTGTGATCTGCCTACCTCGGTCTCCCAAAGTGCTGGGATTACAGGCATGAGCTTGGCCTAATTGACATTTTTATAACACTTGACCCAGCAGCTGTAGAATGAAGAAAATCTGCCAAAAAGTACCACATTCTGGGTCATAACAAATCTTAACAAATTTAAAAGAACTGAAATCATGCACAGTATGCTCTGTGATCATACTGGAATTAGAGTAGAATAATAGGTACAGGAAGGCTAGGCACGGTGGCTCATGCCTGTAATCCCAGCACTGTGGGAGGCCGAGGTGGCCAGATTGCTTGAGCCCAAGAGTTTGAGACCAGCCTGGGCAACATAGGGATACCTTGTCACTACAAAAAAATACAAAAAATTAGCTGAGTGTGGTAGTGCATGCCTGTAGTCCCAGCCACTCGGGAGGCTGAGGTGGGAGGATCACTTGAGCCTGGGAGATCAAGGCTGCAGTGAGCCGTGATTGTGCCACTTTACTCCAGCCTAGGTGACAGAGTGAGACCCTGTCTGTCTCAAAAAAAAAAAAAAAAAAAAACCTTTTGTGATTCTTAACCCATTGTGACCAAATGGTTCTTAGGTAGGGAATGTCTATGTAGTAAGTCTCCTTATTAATATTTTCAAGCATGAATAATTAGTTCTTTCCAGTGTGGTTCTTACAGACATTTGCAGGGTTACCATGTTTTCCTTCCTTATGAACACTCCCATCTTTACACTGAATTTGGAGTTTTCAGGTCTTGCTCTTAAGTCAGATATCAAAAGAAAGACTGAGAAGCAGACTTGGTGGCCAATTATTTGCATTACAGTGTTGAGAAAAAAAATAAAGCCAGGCACAGTGGCTCACATCTGTAATCCCAGCACTTTGGGAGGCCCAGGTGGGCAGATCACCTGAGGTCGGGAGTTCAACACCAGCCTGGCCAACATGGTGAAACCCCGTCTCCACTAACAATACAAAAATTAGCCGGGTGTGGTGGCGCACGCCTGTAATCCCAGCTACTCAGGAGGCTGAGGCAGGAGAATTGCTCGAACCTGGGAGGCAGAGGTTGCATTGAGCCGAGATTGCACCACTGACTCCAGCTTGGGCAACAAAAGCGAAACTGTCTCAAAGAAAAAAAAAAAAAAGAAAAAAATAATTGCTAGTAGATGTTTTTTCCTAAATCATTTAGCATTTACCAACTGTCCAGACCAAAGGTCATTTTCAGCTAGGAAAGTTCTGATTTCAACCTCTCCATTGGCCCATACGCAGCACAACTTATCCTGTTCCCAAGTACTCATTGAAGAACTTGTTTACTTGGCTGTCATTGACACCAGATGGGCTTGTAGACACAAAATGCCATAAGGATGACAGTTATCAGCAGGATGCTGACAATGGTTCCCATCAACACCAGGTTCTGCCTGCACAGCACCACACAGGGCGGGCTTTGCTCCAGCAGATCCATGGGGCTCAGGGCCTCTGCCTGCCCCACCAGGAGGCTGCACAGGCCAAGGCACAGCCACGGCAACGCCAGATGCAGCATCTTCCCCTGTACTTTTCTTTATACTCAAAGTGTTTCATAATTTAAAATGGAAAAATAAATGGGTGCAGCATTCCACAGTCTCATGATAGACTGGCTGTAGGACCATGCAGGCATTGGACAGAGGTGTACTTGTGAAAAAAAAAAAAAGACCATGCAGGCAGTTTGTTAAATGGATCTGGAGCTCTACTCTAGACCTACTTACTCAATGATTATGGCCACCAGATGGGAATCTAGATTCAACAAACCTCTCCAGAATGATTCTGTTACATAGGCAGGTTTAGGAAGCACTCTGACTATTCTACAGAAATGCCTAAAACAGAGTCCTATAGGACTGACACCTCCATTGTGCTTCCTGTGGAACTTCTCTTAATATAGTCTACAGTTGTATTAGCTCTTGGTGGGACGACAGTCCACAGAAAGGAGACAAACTGGAGAAGGATCTTCAACATGTTATAGAAGAACACGTGAAAAAACTGAAAGTATTTGGCCTAGAATAAGGAAGACATGTAGCAATTATCAAATATCGCAAAGTAGGGCATGGATATAGAATTGGGATTAGGCTTAAATTTCTTGCTGTGACTCATGCCTGTAGTCCCAACACTTAAGGAGGCCTAGGTGGGAGAATCACTTGAGCCCAGGAGTTCAAGAACAGCCTGGGCAACATAGGCCCCATCTCTACTAAAAAAATAAAAAATTAGCCAGGTATGATGGCGTGTACCTATATTCCCAGCTGCTTGGGAGGCTGAGGCAGGAGGATCGCTTGAGCCTGAGAAGTCACGGTGGGGTGAGCCATGATCATGCCACTGTACTCCAGCCTGGGCAACAGAGTGAGGCTCTGTCTCAAAAGAAAAGAAAAAAATAATAAATAAATTTCTTTAGTTTCACTGGATGGAACCAGTTTTGGACCCAAAGAAGGAAAGGCTCTAACTATTCAATAATAGAATGGTTTACTTTTTGGAAATAGTGGGTGCCTTTTTCCTGGAAGTAGAGGTTTTCAGGAATGTTAGAGAATTTCTCCATGGGCTGGGAAGTTGGCATAGATAAAATAAAATAGCCATTTTCATTCTAAGGGCTTTCTTTTTCCTTTGTGGATTATTTTTTGTTGTTGTTTTCACGTAAGTATTTCAGTTTTCTCATTTTTCTACAGTGAACATAGAATTCTTAAGCATTTCTTTTTTCTTTTTTCAGAAGCAAACAATGCATATTGCCTACTCTTTCCTCTACCCCCAATTGTGTGTGTGTTTTTTTTTTGTTTTTTTTTTTTTTTTGAGAGAGTCTCACTCTGTCGCCCAGGCTGGAGTGCAGTGGCATGAATTCCACTCATTGGAGCCTCCACCTCCCGGGTTCAAGCAATTCTCCTGCCTCAGCCTCCCAAGTAGCTGGAATTACAGGCGTGAGCCACCATGCCCAGCTAATTTTTGCATTTTTAGTAGAGATGGGGTTTTGCCAAGTTGGCCAGGCTGGTCTTGAACTCCGGACCTCAGGTGATCCGCCTGCCTTGGCCTCCCACAGTGCTGGGATTATAGGCGTCAGCCACTGTGCCCATCCCCAATTGTCTTGAAAGACCTTTCTTTTCAGCAAGGAATACTTTTTCCATCCCTTATTCCTGTCATTAGTGCCATTTCACCAAGTCTGAGGGATACCCATGGGATCATATTTACCTCTTTTTGTTAAAATAAGCAATTTTATTCATCATTGATACGCTGTGCATTTTATAGTTTTTCTTACCTACTTCGTTTGGAGAACTGTTTTATTGTTTTTTTTTGTTTGTTTTTGTTTCTTTTGAGATGGAATCTCACTCTGTCGCCCAGGCTGGGGGTACAGTGGCACCATCTTGGCTCACTGCAACCTCCGCCTCCCAGGTTCAAGCAATTCTTCTACCTCAGCCCCCCGAGTAGCTGGGATTACAGGCTCGCACCACCATGTCCAGCTAATTATTGTATTTTTAGCAGGGATTGGGTATCACCATGTTGGCCAGGCTGGTCTCCAAACTCCTGACCTCAAGTCATTCGCCCACCTCAGCCTCCCAAAGTGTTGGGATTACAGATGGGAGCCACATGCCCAGCCCTCTTTACTCTTTAAACTAATATGTAATCAGCCTGGAGCACATCATTATAATAATATATGCTAAATAAAAGCATTCTTTGGTGTAATAGTTTAAGTGTCTGGTAGATTATTGTAATTTTTTTTTTTTTTGAGGCAGACTCTCACTCTGTCGCCCAGGCTGGAGTGCAGTGGCGCGACCTCGACTCACTGCAACCTCCGCCTCCGGAATTCAAGCGATCCTCCTGCCTCAGCCTCCCAAGTAGCTGGGATTACAGGCGCCTGCCACCATGCCCAGCTAATTTTTGTATTTTTAGTAGAGACAGGGTTTCACCATATTGGCCAGCCTGGTCTCAAACTCCTGACCTTGTGATCCGCTGGTCTCGGCCTCCCAAAATGCTGGGATTACAGGTGTGAGCCACCATGACTGGCCCGATTATTATAACTTTTACCTGAGATTGAAAAAGTTTTAGGAATTTCTTTTTGTGGCCGGGCATGGTGGCACATGCCTGTAATCCCAGCACTTTGGGAAGAGGAGATGAGTGGATCACTTGAAGCCAGGAGATCAAGACCAGCCTGGCCAACATGGTGAAACCCCGTGTCTACTGAAAATACAAAAATTAGCTGGGTGTGGTGGCTCACACTTCTGGTCTCAGCTACTTGGGAGGCTGGGGCACAAGACTCTCTTAAGCCAGGGAAGCAGAGGTTGCAGTGAGCCATGATGGCGCCACTGTACTCCAGCCTGGGTGACAAAGCAAGATCTTGTCTCAAAAAAAAAAAAAAAAAAAAAATTATTTTTGTGAAGTCATTCACATTACCAATGTTTAATAGAGTTCTGGTTTTTTTTACAGAAAAATTTTGAAAGACTTATCTTCTGAAGATACACGGGGCAGAAAAGGAGACGGAGAAAATTCTGGAGTTTCTGCTGCTGTCACTTCTATGTCTGTTCCAACTCCCATCTATCAGACTAGCAGCGGACAGTACAGTATGTATAGGAATCAGTTTCCACATTATAAACACACAAAACCTGACTTTTCTGTAGAAAGAAATGGTGTTAGGAAAACTGTAATACTTTGATAGTGATGATTATTAAAGGATGTTTTCAGCCAGGAATAATGCGAAGTACTGTTTCAGCATTATTTACTCCTTATAACAACTTTGTGACATAGGCAATTATCAATGTATGAGGGAACTGAGACCTACAACATTAGATACTGTTTTGTTTTGTTTTGTTTTGTTTTGTTTTGAGACAGAGTCTCGCTCTTGTTGCCCAGGCCGGAGTGCAGTGGCACAATCTTGGCTCACTGCAACCTCTGCCTTCCCGATTCAAGTGATTCTCCTGCCTCAGCCTCCGGAGTAGCTGGGATTACAGGCGTGTGCCACCACGCCCGGCTAATTTTTGTATTTTTAGTAGAGAGGAGGTTTCACCATATTGGCCAGGCTGGTCTCGAACTTTGACCTCAGGTGATCCGTCCACCTTGGCCTCCCAAAGTGCTGGGATTATAGACATGAGCCACTGCGCCTGGCCTTATTTTGTTCATTCTTATATCTATGTAGTTCCGTACATAATTGCTGTATATTATATTAGTATAATTCCTTTCAGAACATTCCTGGCTTTTTTTTTTTTTTTTGAGGTGGAGTTTCGCTCTGTTGCCCAGATTAGAGTGCAGTGCCATGATCTCGGCTCACTGCAACTTCCACCTCCCGGGTTCAAGTGATTCTCCTGCCTCAGCCTCCCAAGTAGCTGGGATTACAGGCGTGTACCACTTCGCTTGGCTAATTTTTGCATTTTTAGTAGAGACGGGGTTTCACCATGTTGGCCAGGCTGGTCTCAAACTCCTCCTGACCTGAAGTGATTCACCCACCTTGGCCTCCCAAAGTGCTGGGATTACAGGCGTGAGCCACCACGCCTGGCCCCTGCCTATTCGTTAAAAATATTTATTGTTTGATTTATATACAGTAAAATTCACTCTTTGGGGAGTTTAAGTCTATGAGTTTTGACAAATGTGTAGAATAGTATAACACCGCCAATCAAGATTGAGTTCTGTCACCCTAACGAATTTACTTGTGCTGCCCATTTGTTATCTCCCCCTCCACTCCTAACATTAATCTGTTTCATTCAGTCTTGCCACAAAATATATGTCCCATCTGACCACCTCTTGCCGTCTCCAACCACCACCGCCTTGGTTTAGGCTCTCATCTTAATTACTGAAGTAGGCATCCAGTTGGTCATCTTGCTTCCATTCTTGCTCTAATAATCAGTTTTCCATACTGTGGCCAAAGTGATTTATTTAAGATGTCAACTAGATCACATCGCTCCTGCCCAAAATCCTCTAGTGACATTTTATCACACTTAGAATAAAATCCGGATCTTACAAGGCATTACATTTAGGATCTGCCTACCACTCTGACCTCATCTCCTGCCACTTGGTGGCATTCTGACCACCCCAGACTTCCTTACTGTACCTCAGACACACGAGCTTGTTTCTGCCTCAGGATCTCTGGAGTTGTCATTGCTCATGCCTGGCATGTTCTTCCCCCAGATCCTTATGTGGCTACTCTGCTTAAGTGTCACCTCCACAAAGAGACCACTCTCTTCAAATATGTGGCTCCTCCCTTTAGTTTCCCTTAACCTCCTATATTTTTCTTTATAGCATTTACATATAACTAAGTCAGTACATATTAGTTTAATTATAGATTGTATGTATGTAATTATAGATTAGCTTATTCATGATCTGTTTTCCCCACTAGAATATAAGATCCTTAAGGGAAAGAACCTTTTGTTTCATTCACAACTACATCCTTGACATATAGGACCTGGCATATAGTAGGCTTTCAGTTGTTTGTTATGAATTAATTAAATAATATATATATAGAATACCTCTTGAGAAACTGGGGGCCAGGCACTGTAGTTCATGTCCGTAATCTCAGTACGTTGAGAGGCTGAGGCTGGAGGATTGCTTGAAGCCACATTCAGGACCAGCCTTGGCAACATAGCAAGACTGTGTCTTCACAGAAAAATGAAGAAAAAAAAAAAAAAAAAAAGCCGGGCATCATGGCATGTGACTAGTCCCATCTACTCGGGAGGCTGAAATGGGATCTCTTGAGTCTGGGAGTTCGAAGTTACCGTGAACCGTGATCGTACCACCGCACTCCAGCCTGGGCAATAGAGCAAGACCAGTCTCAGAAAAAGAAGAAAGAAAGAAAGAAACTGGGAGCAGTGGTTGCAAGGAAAGAAGCTTGGGAGCAGAGATCAGAGGTAGTGGGGAGGTTCACATGTTATCACTGAAATAAGTGTAGTACAAACTAGTATTTAGGGCAACATAGGCCAATAGAACTTCGTATGATAATGGGAATGTTTATATCTGCATTGTCCCAGAATAGTAGCCACTAAACCATGTGTGACTGTTGAGTGCTTGAAATATGGCTGGTGGGACTGAGAAACTGAAATTTTAATTTTGTTTAATTTTAGTTAATTTAAATAGCCACATGGAGCTAATACCCTATCAGACAGCTCAGTTTTAGAATAAATACAGCACATTAACAGGTAAATACACATGTTAAGAACAGGAAGATATGTTGCAAAAATGAAAATATGTATTCACACATATTTAATATCAAAACATTTGCATCTACAGGTATGTATTTTGATATATTAGGTTGGTGTAAAAGAAATTGCAGTTTTCACCACTGAACATAATGGCAAAAGTATATAAGTCTGTATAAGCACAGGAAAATAATGGGAAGGATGTGCACCAAAAACAATAATTATCTCAGGATGGCGGTAAAAGGGGGAAAATGAAATAGAGATAGATAATGGGACCTTTAATTTTATTTATGTTGATACTTATATAAATAAATGTGTATGTGTATATATGTATATAATAATGTGTTGCAGGGAAGAAGATTGAAACTAATTGCTAATATAACTTCACAGCAAATCTCAGCCTGGCGTGTTGGATCACGCCTGTAATCCCTGCACTTTGGGAGGCCAAAGTGGGAGGATCACTTGATTTCAAGACCAGACTGGGCAATATAGGGAGACCCTATCTCTATAAAAAATTTAAAAATTAGCTGAGCATGTCCGTGTGCATCTATAGTTCCAGCTACTTGGGAGGCTGAGGTAGGAGGATTGCTTGAGCCCAGGAGGTAGAGTGCAGTGGTGAACCAGGACCACACCACTGCACTCCAGCCTGGGTGACAAGTGAGACCCTGTCTCAAAAAAAATAGCCAACATATCCCTGTATCTAACATTTAAAAAAATATTTTGAAACTCATAAATTAAAGTTGGGGCAGTTGGGGAGGGATAATTATGAATGCGTGAAAAAAAATATTTTTCCATCACACACATATACATATACATGTATTTTGGCTTCCTGGTAGCCAAAGCATAAAAGGAAAAAAAAATGTTTCATAACTGTAATCTGAAAAGAGGGTACAGAGATGAGGCATTCGATTCTGAAGAGTATATGGGAATTGAATAATGCTAAAATGTTTTCTATTTGATCATGCCTTATGGGCATTTAAGGGCTGAGGAGAAAGCATGAACACAGGTATAATTCAGTGAAAAAATGTTTGTGGGGAGCTAAGTAGTATTTTCTACACAGTGGCTTTCTGCTATCTTTATTAGTGATTTTCACTAGGAAGTAAATGAATAGATTACATTTCTTAACTATCACTTAAGTAAATATCTTAATAACATGTAATACATTTAACAGTGGTACCACTAGAAAATGAAGCTAAGAAACCATATAAAGATGACTTATTTTCTCATTATATAACCTTTTATTCTATTGAATTTTTTCCATAAGCATGTTATCTATTCAGAAATATTTTAAAGTAATAATATTTTTAATGCTTTTGACTCAAAATTACAAACTATGTTTATGTTTCCTTTTTATTTTTTCTTAAAAATTAACTATCATGGGGCCAAGTGCAGTGGCTCATGCCTGTAATCCCAGCACTTTGGGAGGCTGAGGCGGGTGAATCACCTGGGGTCAGGAATTTGAGACCAGCCTGGCCAACATGGAGAAGCTCCGTCTCTACTAAAAATATAAAAATCAGCTGGGCATGGTGGCGCACACCTGTAATCCCAGCTCCTTGGGAGGCTGAGGCACAAGAATGGCTTGAACCCAGGAGGCAGAGGTTGCAGCCAGCCGAGATCGTGCCACTGCACTCCAGCCTGGGCGGTAGAGCGAGACTCCATCTCAAAAAAGAAAAAAAAAAAAGAAATGCTGTTTTATTCCTTTTACATGTAGTTCACCTAAAGTAAAGTAGTCTGCAGTTACCAAGTAGAAGTGCATTCATACCTGTTTTAGTAAATAGTGTTTGTGGGCTTTTTGCCACTCCTTTGAATTAGTGTATTATATAACCTTACAATAGCTATTTTCTCTTTTTGATTAAAGTTGCCATTGCCCCAAATGGAGCCTTACAGTTGGCAAGTCCAGGCACAGATGGAGTACAGGGACTTCAGACATTAACCATGACAAATTCAGGCAGTACTCAGCAAGGTACAACTATTCTTCAGTATGCACAGACCTCTGATGGACAGCAGATACTTGTGCCCAGCAATCAGGTGGTCGTACAAAGTAAGTATGCTTTCTGTCTACAGAAAGTCTCCTAACACTGTCAGAGACACTTACTAACTAACTCATTCACTCTTGTTTACCATCTAGCTGCATCAGGAGATATGCAAACATATCAGATCCGAACTACACCTTCAGCTACTTCTCTGCCACAAACTGTGGTGATGACATCTCCTGTGACTCTCACCTCTCAGACAACTAAGACAGATGACCCCCAATTGAAAAGAGAAATAAGGTTAATGAAAAACAGGTAGGTAGTAAAATCGTAGTACCAGAATGGGTAATGTTTTTACAAATCTCACAACATAACCAGATGTTAACTGGAACTGTATACAGTCATGGGCTGCATGACAATGTTTAAGTAAACAATGGACCACATAAATGAATGACGGTGGTCCCATAAAATTATAATGGAGCTAAAAAGTCCTGTGCTAATGTCATAGTGCAACACATTACTCACGTTTGTGGCAATGCTGGTATAAACAAACCTATTGTGCTGCCAATCATATAAAAGTGTAGCACATGCAATTATGTATAGAACATAATACTTGATACTATAATAAGTTAATATGTTACTGGTTTATGAATTTACTATACTTTTAATCATTATTTTAAAGTGTATACCTTCTACTTTTTTTTTTTTTTTTTTAAAGTTAACTGTAGGCCAGGCATGGTGGCTCACGCCTGTAATCCCAGCTGAGGCGGGCAGATCACGAGGTCAGGAGATCGAGACCATCCTGGCTAACGTGGTGAAACTCCATCTCTACTGAAAATACAAAAAAATTAGCTGGGCGTGGTGGCGGGCGCCTGTAGTCCCAGCTACCCGGGAGGCTGAGGCAGGAGAATGGCATGAATCTGGGAGCCGAAGCTTGCAGTAAGCTGAGATTGCGCCACTGCACTCCAGCCTGGGCAACAGAGTGAGACTCTGTCTCAAAAAAAAAAATTTTTTTAACTGTAAAACAGCCTCAAGGCAGCCCCTACAGGAGGTATTCCAGAAGAAGGCATTGTTATCATAGGAGATAACAGCTCCCTGTGTGTTATTGCCCCTAAAGACCTTCCAGTGGGATAAGGTATGGAGGTGGAAGACAATGATATTGATGATCCTGACCCTAGGCTAGTTAGCCTAGGCTAATGTTGGTGTTGGTGTCTTAATTTTTAACAAAAAAGTTCAAAAAGTAGAAAAGTTATATTTGGTTTTTGTGATTTTTTTTTTTAAGACAAGGTCTCACTGTGTCACCCACACTGGAGTGCAGTGGCACAATCTTGGCTTACTGCAACCTCTGCCTCCAGGGCTCAAGTGATCCTCCCAGCTCGGCCTCCCAAGTAGCTGAGACTACAGATGTATACCACCACACCCAGCTAATTTTTTTTTTTTTTCTTGTAGAGGTGGGGTTTTGCCATGTTGCTTAGGCTGGTCTCAGACCTGGGCTCAAGTGATCCATCCACCTGCCTCAGCCTCCCAAAGTGCTGGGATTACAGGCATGAACCACTGCACCCAGCCCCCAAAAATTTAAAATTAGCTAGTACAACCACTATGAAAACCAGTATGGAGACTTCTCAAAAAACGAAAAATAGAAATCTACCCAAAGGAAAAGAAATCAATATATCAGAGGGATACCTGTACTCATAAGTTTACTTGCAGCACTATTCACGCACAATAGCTAATAGAATCAACTATGTGTCCATCAGTGGATAAATGGATAAGAAAGAATTAAATCATGTCATTTGCAGCAACATGGATGGAATTGAAGGTCAGTATCTTAAGTGAAATAAGCCAGGCACAAAAAGAAAAAATATCACATTCTCACTTATATGTGGGAGCTAAAATATTTGAACACATGGAAGTAGAGAGTGGAAAAATAGGGCTGGGCGTGGTGGCTTATGCCTGTAATCCCAGCACTTTGGGAGGCCGAGGCGGGAGGATCACTTGAGCCTAGGAGTTCAATGCAAGCCTGGGCAACATACCCATTGCTACAAAAGATAAAAAATTAGCCAGGCATGGTGGCGTGTGCCTAAAATCCCAGCTACTCGGGAGGCTGAGGTGGGAGGATTGCTTGAGCCCAGGGGGTTGAGGCAGCATGATCGCACCACTGCACTTCAGCCTGGGCAACAGAGCAAGACCCTATCTCAAGAAAAAAGAGAGAATGGAAAAATAGGTAACAGAGACTGGGAACGGTGAGGGGCAAGGAGGAGGATGAAGAGAGTTAAAGGGTACAAACCCATACACAGTAAGATAAAAGGAATAAATTCAGTGTTTCATAGCAGAGTAGGATGACCACCCTTAACAAAAACCTATTAATACTCAGGTGATGGACACCCTGAATCCCCTGACTTGATCGCTACACATTATATACATGTAACAGATTTTCTCATGTGCTCCATAAATATGCACAGAAACATTTTAATGGAAAAAACCATACAGGCCAGGCGTGGTGGCTCACACGTGTAATCCCAGCATTTTCGGAGGCCAAGGCAGGAGGATCACTTGAGCCCAGGAGTTTGAGACCAGCCTGGGCAATATAGGGAGACCCCATCTCTAAAAAAAATTTAAAACATTAGCTAGATGTGGTAGAGGCAGGAGAATCACTTGAACCTGGAGGCAGAGGTTGCAGTGAGCCATGATCACGCCATTGTACTTCAGCCTGGGCAACAGAGCAAGACTCTTGTCTCAAAAATAAAACAAACAAAAAAAAACACACAAGTAGTTAATAATCATATAAAAGACTACTCAGCCTTATTAGTAATCAAAGAAATACACATTAATGCTACACATTTAGATACCCTTTATACCCACCCAATTGGCAAAAATTTTAAAGTCTAACCAAGAGTTGGCAAGGATTTGGAACAATGGTCAGGAATTCATAGATACTACTATAGGAGTGTAAATTGATGCAGCCATTTTGGAAATTAGGCCTTATCTTGTACAGTTGACGTGGGTATACTCTGTGACCCAGCTGTTTTAGTCTGTGTGACTGAGAGGAACTTGGAGGAAGTATGTATAAGAATTTTCATAGCAGCAAAAAATCAGGAAACAACCTCAAGATTCATTGATAACAGAATAGGTACATATTGAGCCTAAACATAAAAATGGGGGGAAAAAAGAATAGGTACATAAATTGTGACTGTATTTATAGAATGGAATGTTTATTTGTAATGACTGAATGAATAATCATTTCAACATGAATAAATCTTAGAAAAATTGAATGAAAAAACAAGTTGCAACAGAATACACAAAGTATGATATTTTATAATTTTAGAAAATAAATGATAGCAGTTTTAGGGTCATATACGTATATACTACAACTATAAAAATAAGAAATGAGATGTCACGTAGCAAAAATTATAAAGTGGTAATACTGTCTGTCATTGGGCATATAAGGAAAAGGGTACCTCACATACATTACTGAGGGAAGTACGGAGTTTTATGGTATCTACTTGCCCCAACATTTCTACTTGTATGTGACAAAAGATACCATAAAGAAACTTAAAAATAAGTCTGTTAACTGGGAAAAATATTTGCAACTTTTATATAAAGAGAAAGAATTACGAGATGTATAGGTTATATAAAGATTTATTTCTGTAAATAAGAGACCTAACAGAAGGAAACCGGTCTGTGAAAGATGGCCTTGTAAACATGAAATTATTCCAAACTTTGTGCATAATGAGGGAAATGTTAAAGCAGTGAGGTTCGCTTTTTGTCAGCCGCTAGACTGACAACCATTTTAAAATGTTCATAACAGGCACTCTCATGTACTGCCCCTGGGAATGTAAATGGTACAAATACTCTGGAGGACATTCTGGCATTTTTTCCCTTTTTTCTTTCTGGTTTGACTCTGGGATTTTTTTCCTTCCTTTTTTCCCCCCTTATTTCTCTGTACTTCAATGAATATAAATTGGCACTATCTCTTGACTTTAAGTGAATATAGCTTGTGATCCTTCAAGAAATACATGTGTAGAAATACACGTAAAGAATGGAGGCTGAGTGGGTGGCTCATGCCCATAATCCCGACACCGTGACCAGGAGTGAGACCAGCCTAGGCAACATACTGAGACCTCATCTCTACAAAAATAAAATTAGCTGGTGTGGTGGTGTACACCTGTAGTCCCAGCTACTTGAGAGGCTGAAGTGGGGATATCTTGAGTCCAGGAGGTCAAGGTTGCAATGAGCTGTGATTGTGCCACTGCACTCAGCCTGGTTGACAGAGTGAGACCCTGTCTCAAAACAAAAGAAGAAAAAAGAAAAAGAATGTTTACTGGAAACCACTTAAAACAAACAAACAAACAGAGCTTAAAGGTAAAAATAAAGTCTTTTTGTGAGGGGAAAGATTTTGTACAGTCCTTTTAAAGATGTGTACTAAAAAGCAAGTTGCAAATAGTATCTACATATATAGCATAAAAATCTTAAAATAGTACTGTTTCTTTCTTTCTTTCTTTTTCTGAGACAGAGTCTTGCTCTGTTGCCCAGGGTGGAGTGCAGTGGCGCGATCTTGGCTCACTGCAACCTCCACCTCCCAGCTTCAAGTGATCCTCCTGGGTCAGACTCCCAAGTAGCTGGGATTACAGGCATGTGCCACCACAGCTAATTTTTGTATTTTTAGTAGAGATGAGGTTTTGCCATGTTGGCCAGGCTGGTCTCGAACTCCTGACCTCAGGTGATCTGCCCGCCTTGGCCTCTTAAAGTGCTGGGATTACAGGCATGAGCCACCATGCCTGGCCAATACTTCCGATTTCTATATGTATATAAACTTACATATGACTTCACAGAAATGTTTTAAGAGGACATGCACAGAACTGAGTATTTGCTCAAGCATTGTTTGTAATTTGAACTTAAATAAAAGAAGTCATGTGTCAGAAGTTAACCAGAGGACCCATAATTTCACTCTTTGGTATTTATTCAAGAGAAATGAAACCTTTCTACAAAAAGACTGGCACAAAAACATGCCTATGCAGCTAACCCTAGAAACATCGCAAGAGACTGGATACACAAATGGTGGTTATATTCATACAGTGAACTATGTCCAGCAGTGTGAAGGAACAAACCCCCATGCAGCAACATGGATGAACCTCAGATGGGCTGAGTGAAGGGACACCAGAGTACATAGTGTATGACACTCTTACATGAGGTTCTAGAATAGGAAAAAAACTAATCTCTGGTGATAAAAATCAAAACGATAGTTGCTTGGAAGGGGGCTGACCAGGAAGGGGCATGAGGGAACTTTCTGGGACAGTGGGAATGTTCTGTTGTCTTGACAGAGGTGTGGGTTATACAGGTATACACAATTGCCAAAACTGACTGAATTCTACACTTAAGATCTATGTATTCTCTGTGTGTAGATGATACTTTAAAGAGAAAAAAAGGTGACCACGGAAAATTACTGAAGAACATTTACCATTTAAAGAATGTGAAGTTTTTTCTAACATTGTTTTTTTAATGCTCATATTTAGAGAAGCTGCTCGAGAATGTCGCAGAAAGAAGAAAGAATATGTGAAATGCCTGGAAAACCGAGTTGCAGTCCTGGAAAATCAAAATAAAACTCTAATAGAAGAGTTAAAAACTTTGAAGGATCTTTATTCCAATAAAAGTGTTTGATTCCTAAGAAAGAAAATATTTTTGTGGACATGCATAAAAATTAAATGGATTTCCTAGTGGAGTTTTATAAATTAAAAGGTCAAAACTGAAGCTTTTTATTTAGGCTTTTCCAAATCAAGGATAAATATCTTACGCACGATATCTAGTGACAGAGGAGAAAGTGGAAAATGACCTCAAGGAAGCTACGGGCACAACTGGAAGCTTTGTAGAAATTAAACATATTCAAGGAGCAAGAAATGAACTTTCAGCAGTCTAAATTTTCTAAATAACCAATAGTTGCCAATCTAAAATGGCAGAGAAGATGAAATTTGATAAACTGAATTTTTTTTAAAAATCCATTTACCCTACAGGTTTGCATTTGTTTGCTGAAATTTACCTTTTTTTAGTTATATATATGTGTGTGTGTGTGTGTAATTTCTGCCAATAAATTCTAAATTACAAAGGTAAGAGAAAACCTAGTACATTACTAAATATATAAAGTATATGTTCTGATTATGTATACTTGTTCTAGTGTCAAGTCTTTTTAAGTGGGTTTTTAAAAGTTTGTTATTGGACTTGAATGGATTTTTGAGACTAGGTTAATTATTTTTGAGGTCTTATCCTAAAAGGCATCTAAGGTACATGAATGGAGTATGGTGATTTTATAACATTTTTTATCAGAATGGAAAAAGAACTGTTTAAAAGTTTGATACTTTTAAATAGTTGGTTTTTTTGCTTACTCTGGTAATGATTTTCTACAAATACATAATAAATTGTTTTTTTGAGTCTATATTCTGTATGCAGTTGAATATCCATTACTTATTCTGCTGTGCTTTAATAGAATGGAATGTTTACAGGCCCTTAAAATATTATTTTTAAAAAACCTTCTGAAGATACATACCAAAGTTTTTCCAAGAAGATTTTATAATCAATTTAATAATGTAAGGTTTATCAGATTCTATAATAGTATAGTTATTAAGGCAATTTTATGTTAGAGACTATTTTGTAATGTAGTGAGTGGTACCTTTATAAGAAAAGTGACTGCCAATATATTTTTATAGCTGATCTTTATAAATTCTAATGTTGAGTTTTTAATGATTATTTTAAATGTTTATATAGTTTAGTAAAATTTGCATCTCAAAGTATCATTTTTATATTATGGGACGTTTTCAGATTGGCTAATATTTGCATTGTAAATTTTGTATGCAGTTTATCTAAAATTCAAAAATACTGTCAGTACACCAGCGTTTAACATCTATATTCCAATTTGTATACAGTTTAAAATTGTACTGCAAAACTATTGTGTGCTCTTACACAGTATGCATCATATTGTTGTCTGTGAAATTAAAGGACATTTGATAGTCTACTGAATGTAAAATATAATGCTTGGTATATGAATGATAAGCTTGCTCCTGGCCATGCTGTTAATTATCCTAATGCTACGTAGAAATCTTCACTTAACTGATACATTTGTGTTTGACCCTCCTGATGAAATTTCTCATTAGAAGGGTCTTTTAAAATGGGACTCTGTTGACTTGGCAGCACTTTATGAAAAGAAAAAAAAGTTTGATCGCCAGGGGGATTACTTATATCACTTACTACCTTGTGTAAAGCCAGAATCTCAAACTGGTGGCCCGTTAGGCCTAAGAATATGAGGAGGTATGAGGTCACTGGGTTATGTCAAAAGACTTTTTCAACAGATGATAATATATTATTGGGTAGACACCGTGCTTGTTTACAACAGAGGTAGCCTAGCTCTTAGTGCCTTAACAGCTGGACATCTGCAAATATTTGTAAACTCTGCTGCCTTCAGACTTCTGGTGTAGGGCCTTGCTAACTAGACCCAGTTACTTACTCTAGCTGTATGAAACAGGTCAGGGCAAACCATTAATGGTTCCATAAATGCATAACAAATTATTTTCCTGGGTGTTTTTCTAATTGGAATCCAATGTGGGGCTTATCAAATTTTTAAGTGATTATAGTCCAAACATGAAATTAGACTTCCAAAATGCAAAAGACTAATCAAATTATTTCCTTAGTTCAACTTGCTATTTTACTTATCAATTTACTCATTTATATATTATATTGATAGAAATAGATTATTGTCCACAAACACATATAGGGCATATAAGATATTCCTTTAATATTGAACAGAGCAGGAAGAATGGGCATTTGTTAGCATTTTGGAATTCTTACTGTATTTATTCATTCAGCAATTATTATATTGCAACTACTAGGTTAAACCTGCATTCTCCAATTAAAATATGAGGTCACAGTAGTGATATAAAAATGTGTATTAGGCCAGGCGGGTGGCTCACACCTGTAGTCCCAGCACTTTGGGAGGCTGAGGCATTGGGATTGTGTGGCACCAGGAGTTTGGGACCAGCATGGGCAACATGGTGAAACCCTGCCTCTACAAAATGTGCAAAAATTAGCTGGGCAAGGTGGCAGGAACCTGTAGTCTCAGCTACTCGGGAGGCTGAGGTAGGAGGATAGCTTAAGCCCAGGAGGTCAAGGCTACTGTGAGCTGTGATTGCACAACTGCACACCAGCCTAGATGACAGAGCAAGACCATGTCTCAAAAAATGTGTATTATGGCTTGGAATTATATAATGAGTTGTCATGATGGCAGTTCAAATTCCCACAAAAGATGCTATAAAGCTGATAAAAAGTGAATTAGACTAAGGGCTTGACAGCTACTTTAAAGGAAAAATCACAGGTTATAGTAAAACAAAAATTATTTCATAGCTTTACGAAGTACATCAAAACCTAATCATAATAATCATTACATTATTTACTCTGTTGTACAAAGTAGAGTTTTTTTGTCGTTTGTTTGTTGTTTTTTTGAGACAGAGTCTCGCTCTATCACCCAGGCTGGAGTGCAGTGTCCCACTCTTGGCTCACTGCAACCTCCGCCTCCTGGGTTCAAGCAATTCTGCCTCAGCCTCCCAAGTAGCTGGGATTACAGGCGTGCGTCACCACGCCAAGCTAATTTTTGTATTTTTAGTAGAGGCGGGGCTTCATCATGTTGGCCAGGCTGATCTCGAACTCCTGACCTCAAGTGATCCGCCCACCTTGGCCTCCCAAAGTGCTGTGATTACAGGTGTGAGCCACCTCGCCTGGCCTGTTTTTAATAAGTACTGTTTGTTTTACTATAAAAGTGAAGGAACGCATACCTCAAGGTAGTAGAATTCAGAAGGCTGTTCTAGGAGAGTTTGGCAGGAATTTTTGAGGGACAGTCATTTGGAGGAGGTTTAGGCCATTTAACACCCCCTCCTCCCACTTTTTTTTTTTTCTTCTGGAGACACAGTCTTGCTCTGCTCTGTTGCCCAGACTGGAGTGCAGTGGTGCAATCTTGGCTCACTGCAACCTCCATCTCCCAGGCTTAAGTGATTCTCGTGCCTCAGCCTCCCGAGTAGCTGGGGTTTATAGGCCTGTGCCACCACACCCGGCTAATTTTTGTAGTTTTTAGTAGAGGTGAGGTTTCTCATGTTGGCCAGGCTAGTCTCGAACTCCTGGCCTCAAGTGATCCACCCACCTCGGCCTCCCAAAGTGCTGGGATTATAGGCATGAGCCACTGTGCCTGCCATCCCCTCCTCCCACTTTTGAGAGAGAGATTCTGATAACCATCTCCCTTTATTGGTGTAAATTTTTTTGTAGCAGACATAGGTAGGCATTAGAGACCGTATCTCTCTGCCATTGCGTGGTTGAGATCCTTTTCCTCTCTCTATATAGAGGAAATATATAAATATATGTATATTTTTATATATATAATCTATTATATATAATATAGATTATATAATCTATATTATATAATCTATATTATATATAATATAGATTTTATATATATAATCTATATTATATTATATATAATATATATTATATTATATATAATATATATTTTAATTATATATATAATAAAAATATATAATTAAATTATATAATATATATATAAATATATATATATTTTCTTTTTTTGAGGTGGAGTCTCACTCTGTCGCCCAGGCTGAAGTGCAGTGGCACGATCTTGGCTCACTGTAATCTCTGCCTCCCGAGTTCAAGCGATTCTCCTGCCTCAGCCTCTCGAGTATCTGGGATTACAGACGTGCGCAACCATGCCTGTCTAATTTTTGTATTTTTATTAGAGACGGTTCTGCCATGTTGGCCAGGCTAGTCTCGACCTCCTGACCTCAGGCGATCTTGGCTGGGAATACAGGCGTCAGCCACTGTGCCTGGCCTTCCCTCAATATTGATAGGGTTACATGCAGCAGTTTGCTGCCTTCAGTAAGTGTATATAACAATTTTTAACTGGTAAATTATGTATCAATCTAAAATTGTTTTAAGTCCAAGGTTCCCTATGTACATAATATACATAGTCATGTAATTTCCTTAATACTAAAATTTATTGAGTGCTTAGGCGCCAGGAAATGTGTTCAGGTAATGCTAAAGTAGTGCCATTCATACATTCAGCAGATACTTATCGAAGGCCTTTTCTATTCCAAGCATTACTAGGAAAAAAGTGATGAACGAAGCCGTGTTACAGCTCGTGTTGAACTTAGGTCTTAATGTCATCCTTGAGACTGGTATTTGCCTAAGGTTATATAAGCATTATTAAGGGATCTAAGATTTAAACCCAATTTCTAACTGCCCACTCTAAAATATTAATAGTAGTCCCTCCCCAGTACCCCTAACACAACCCTTATTAAACTCTAGGAGGAGACTGTCTAATTTTGTGCTCTGCTATCTCCCCACAGTCTAGGAAACCATCCCCACAGTCTAATCTAGTTCACTGGAGGGCTTCATAATGCAGATGCTCCTTTACTGTTTTATTGTTTGTGGTTTTTGTTGTTGTTGTTGCTGTTGTTTATTTGAGACGGAGCTTTGCTCTTGTTGCCCAGGCTGGAGTGCAATGGCGTGATCTCAGCTCACTGCAACCTCCGCCTCCCGGGTTCAAATGATTCTCCTGCCTCAGCCTCCGGAGTAGCTGGGATTACAGGCACGTGCCACCACGCCTGGCTAATTTTTGTATTTTTAGTAGAGATGGGGTTTCACCTTGGTCAGGCTGTTCTCGAACTCGTGACCTCAGGTGACCCACCCGCCTTGGTCTCCCAAAGTGCTGGGATTACAGGTGTGCACGCCTGACCTCCTCTACTGTTAATGATGGAGTTATATCCTGATAAACCCATGGTAAGTTGAAAGTATTGTAAATTAAAAATTCATTTAATACACCTAACCTAGCAAACATCATAGCTTAGCCTGGCCTACCTTAGACGTGCTCAGAATGCTTAGATTACCCTATAGGTAAATCATCTGGCAACACAGTAGACTGCAGAGTAACAGTTGTTAACCCTCTTGATCACATGGCTGACTGGGAGCTGCGGCTCTCTGCCACTGCCCAGCATTGCCAGAGTATTATACTGAATATCACCAGCCCAGGAAAAGATCAAAATTTGAAGCGTGTTTCCTAATGAATGAGTATCGTTTTCACACCATCATAAAGTCAAAAAATTGTAAGTTGAACCATTGTAAGTTGGGAACTTTGTTAAATCAATGAAGGTCTGAGTTCAAACTCACTAAGGTACAGACAGGTTTGAAACTTTGCCCAAGGTTACACAGTAAATAAGAAAACCAGGGTTCATACCTAGGTCTGATAAACTCCAAAGTTGTTTTAACTATCAGAATATACCTTCTTTCTTACGTGTGGTGTGGAAGAGTCTGAAAAACTTTATTCCATTGCGTCATAACCTATTATGAAAGACTTTAAAGGTTTTATTTAAATGTGTCCACTAGATGGCAACCCTCCATTTTAAAATCACAGAAGTTTTACACACTGATTTACACAGCTCTAACTCCAAAATTACTTTTTTTCTTTCCTGTTTTTTTTTTTTTTTTTTTTGAAACATGGTCTTGCCATGTTGCCCAGGTTGACCTTGAACTAGTGAGCTCAAGCAGTCCACCTACCTTGGCCTCCCAAAGTGCTGAGATTAGAGGCATGAGCCACCATGCCCAGCCCAGTCCCTGTTTTAATATTTACACAGATCCATAAATAATGCATGCTGGATTGCAGTATTTTTTTTAGAAGTTTATAAATGGTACCTTAATACTGTATCATTCCATAAATGAACGATCAAGTAGACCAGAGGAAATTTAGTGAGGAACGTAGGTATGGTGATTTAATAATTAATTTTGGAACAAAATGATCAAAGTTTTGCCCAACTGACAGCTCTTAGAATTTAATGCCGCATCTGGGGAAAAGGCTTGCCAATTTTTTTTTTTAATTCAGAAAAGCTGCAAATAACATAGGCTAAGTTTACAAAACATTTAAACAAAAACTGCCTTAGAGTTCTTAGCAATAAATTTTTTAAAAGGAAAAGGCCACATCTTGCCAGCTGTAGTCAAAGATAATCAAAATAAATGGAATTCCTATGAATTAACTATGTACTAAGTATTGTGGTAGGTGAAGGATGCCAAATACATATGAACCATGGTTTTTCACAAGCTCAAACTCTGCTTCTGGAGATGACAAAAGAGAACAAAAGGGCCCTCAACTTTTCACTTTATCATTGTGCACAAACACCTAGAATTCTATACCCAGTAAAAACACTCATCAATCCAAAAGACAAGAAAGGAGAGAAAAAGAAAGAAACAGGTGGGACAAACAGCCCAAAATAAGATGGTAGAAATCAATCCATATGTATCAATAATCATAATAAATGTAAACAAACTGGGCATTTTAGTTAAATGACAAAGATTGTCAGGTTGAATTAGGAAATAATATCTAACTATATGGTACTTATAAGAGGTAAATCTAAAATATAAGGAAACAGCAGGGCTGAAGACTTGGTACTTTAAGTAAAAACATGGAAAAAGTTATACCAAATATTAGCCAAAAGCAAGCTGGCATAACTATATTGAACAAGATAGACTTTAAAGCAAAAATAATTACTTGGGACAAAATCAGCCACTAAAAAAAATAAAAGACTCAGGTCTGGCGTCATGGCTCACACCTGTAATCATAGCACTTTGGGAGGCCGAGGTGGGCGGATCACCTGAGGTCAGGAGTTCGAGATCAGCCTGACCAATATAATGAAACCCCATCTCTACTAAAACAATAAATAAATAAAAAATACAAAAATTAGGCAGGCATGGTGGCATATGCCTATAATCCCAGCTACTCAGGAGGCTGAGACAGGAGAATTGCTTGAACCCAGGAGGCAGAGGTTGCAGTGAGCCAAGATAATGCCATTGCATTCCAGCCTGGACAAGAGTGAAACTGCCTCAAAAAAAAAAATTTAAAAATAAAAATAAAAGATTCAATTAACCTAGAAGATAAAACACATCTAAACTTCAGCACACCTAATACAGGACCTGGATGTTAAGCAAAATAAATATGAGAAATTTTTTTAAAACTACAATCTTAGTAGATTTTTAACATAGCTCTCTTATAATTGATATAAAAGGCAGGAAAATATCAGCTAAGATGGGGAGTTGAACAATGAGTAAACTTGACCTAATAGATATACTGAATTTCATCAATTGTAAGGCACCACTGATTGTAAGGCACACTATTATTTTAAATACCACTAAGAAAGAAAAACCACTGCCAAGTAAACTATGCCATTGTCATTGTGGTAAGATGCATGCTGATTCCAGAGATGTTTAAATGTGATCTGTGTGCACCTATAATCAGTGAAATTCGAGGCAGAATACACTACACAACTTCAGATAGTTCTTTTCAAACACGAGTGTTTATGAAAACATACCACATATTGGACAATAAAGTAAGTCTCAACAAATAATTTTCAAAGGATTGGTTTCACAGAGACCATATCCCGCCGATTTATATGTGTTTATCCTTTCAACAAAATCATACTATCTTGATTACTGGAGCTTCATAAAAAGTCTTGAAGTCCAGTTATGTAAGTTCTTTAAATTTTGTTGTTTTTAAAAAAATTATCTTGGCTATTCTAGTTCCTTTGTCTTTTTATATAAATTTTAGAATCAGCTTGTCTATATTCACAAAAAAAAAGCCTGCTGGGATTTTGATTAGAATTGCTTTAAACCTATGTACAATTTGGGAAGAACTGGTATCTTAACAATATTGAGTGTTTCCCATGAACACAATCTCTCTCTCTCCATTTATTTAGTTTATTTGGTGAGGTCATGTGTTCCTGGATGGTGTTGATGCTTGTAGATGTTCTTTGCTATCTGGGCATTGAAGAGTTAGGTATTTATTGTAGTCTTCACAGTCTGGGCTTGTTTGTGCCCTTCCTTCTTGGTAAGGCTTTCTAGATATTTGAAGGGACTTGGACCCCAAGCACAATAACGCCGTGGTTTTTGTAGGCTTACAGAGGTACCGCCTTGGTAGTCTTCGATAAGATCCAGAAGAATTCTCTGGATTACCAGGCAGACTCTTGTTCTCCTCCCTTACTTTCTCCCAAACACACAGAGTCTGTCTCTCTGTGCTGAGGCATCTGGAACTGGGGCTGTGGTGATGCAAGCACCTCTGTGACCACCACCACTGGAACTGCACTGGGTCAGACCTGATGCCAGCACAGCATTGGGCTTTGCCCAAGGCCCTTCCCTTCAAGGTGGCAAGTTTCCCTAAGCCCAGGCATGTCCAGAGATGCTGTCTGGGAGCCAGGGATTGGAGTCAAAAACTTTAGCAATTTACCTGATGTCCTATTCTACTGTGGCTAAGCTGGTACTCAAACCACAATACAAAGTCCTTCCCACTCTTCCCTCCATTTTCCACAGGCAACGGAGCCTCTCCCTGTGGCCACCACCACCACTGGCCCATGGGTGGTTCTGCCAGGCCACTGCCGATGTTTGCTTAAAGCCCAAGGGCTCTTCTATCAGCTTGTGGTCAATGCTGCCAGGTCTGGGACTCACCCTTCAGGGCAGTGGGTCCCCCTCTGGCCCAGGACAGGTCCAGAAATGCTATCCAAGAGCCTAGCCCCGGATTCAGGGAACCCCAAGAGCTTGCTTGTTGCTCTAGCCTACTGTGGCCGAGCTGGTACCTCGGGTGCAAGAAAAAGTCCCCTTTGCTTTCCCCTCTACTTTTCTCAAACACAAGGAGTCTTTCACCATAGCCACCACAGCTGGGAATGTGCTGGGTCTCCCTTGAAGCCAGCATGTTTCTTTAGTCAGCAGGTGATAAATCCTGCCAAGATTGGATCCTTCTCTTCAAGGCAGCAGGTTCCCTTTTGGCTCAGGGTGTGTCTAGAAATGTTGTCTGGGAGCTCAGGCCTAAATGGAGGCCTCATGACTCTGCCCAGTGCCCTACCCTTCTGTGACTGAGCTGGTATCCAAGATGCAAGACAAAGTCCTCTTTACTCTCCGCTCTCCTCTCCTTAAACAAAGGAAGGACTCACTTTCGTTGCTATGAGATGTACTGCCTGGGGCTGGGGGAGGGATGGTGCTAGCCCTCCCTTAGCTGTGCCAGCTGGTGTCACCTGAGGTCATGTGCCACCCTAGTTCACTGTCTCTAAGCCCAGCCTAGCACTAGGGGTTGCCTAGGAATTGCAGTCCTTGTGTCCTAGACTGCCTTTCAAGTATACCTGGGACTCCAGAGCACTACAGCCCGCGGTGGTGAGGCTTGCTGTGAAACTCAAATTCCAACTGCTGGGATGGGCAATTTTTCCTAGCCCCGGCTAGGGCTGGTCCAAATGCCCCCTCTATGCATGGGCACTGGTTCCACTCTCACAGGTCAGCACTGAGTTCAGTGTAAAGTCACTGTCACTCCCCAAAGCACACAGATGCTCTCTGTGCGCTGCAAGGCCACTGCCAGGGGACTCTGGAGGGGTGTTAGACTCAAGATTGTCTCTCCTGCCCTCCTAATGCCTCTTTTGGCAATGCGAAGTTAAAACCAGGTACTGTGACTGCTCACCCAATTTTTATTTCTTGTGACAGTGCTTTTCTGTGTGCAGTTAGTTGTTAAATTTGGTGCTCCAGTGGATGGGAGATGAACAGTTTAGGCTTCTATTCTGCCATCTTGCTCTGTGCCTCTCTCCATTTATTTAGATCTTTGAGACAGGGTCTCACGCTGTCACTCAGGCTGGAGTGCAGTGGTGCCATCACAGCTCACTGCAGCCTCAACCTCCCCAGCCTCAAGCGTTCCTCCTACCTCAGCCTCCCAAGTAGCTGAGACTACAGGCACGTGTCACCACACCCAGCTAATGTTTTCGTATTTTGTAGAGATAGGGTTTCAGCATGTTCCTCAGGCTGGTCTCGAACTTCTGGGCTCAAGTGATCTGCCTGCCTTGGCCTCCTGAAGTGCTGGGATTATAGGTATGAGCTACCTGCCTGGCCTTATTTTCTAATATTGAACCACCAGTCTTGTATTCTCAGAATAACCACTACTTGGTCATGATATATTATCCTTTTATATAATGCTGGACTTAATCTGCAATATTTTATTGAAGATTTTTGCATCCCTCTTCATAAAGGATATTTTTCTACAGTCTTCTGTCCTTGTAATGTCTTTGATTTTTGGTATTAATGTAATGCTGGCTTCATTTAATGAGTTGCTATTAAATAATTATAATTCATATTAAAGTATAATAGTGTGATTTTTAAAAGATCTTATGTTTTCAAAATAAGTATTAAAATACTTATATTATTCTTAGATTTTCTTATCAAATTTACTTTTATTAATAAAAGTTATATTACTTATATATGTATACAAACGGTTAGTGAAAAAAACATTATTGTCCCTTTTCCAGTGTACAGGAGCACACAAAACATACCTCGGTGATATTCTGCAACAATGACCCATGCTGGTGTAGAATTCTCACTTTTTAGTAGAACCTTTAAAAACTCAAGTGAGCTGTACGACACCTTCATTGCTTTAACTCCAGTGAACCGTGGAGTTATAAAGAAGCTAGGGTTCTTTGTGATTCTTCAATGCCAAAAATAAAGTTGGAAACTTGGATTCCTGTTTGACTCTACTGTATTAAGTGATCAGAATAAAATTATGGTAAGGCTAATCTTCAACCACTTCATGTTTTTCACTCCTGCTTTCTATAGTGAACATCTGTTGTTTCTATTTGCTCTAAACCCCTTTCCTTTGGGGATCAGGCCCACTACTCATCCAATGTGATTCTGACAGGAGTTATCAATGACAGTGCATATGGCCCAGGCCTGGCTAAAATCACAGGCTCCCATCCCTTCTTCCACAGGGACTGGTCCAATGCAAGGGCAGAAGATCCTGGGAAGACCAGAGTCCTTTTATAGGATTTGATTTGTGGACCCTGGAAAAGGACGTTCTCTCTCTCCCTTTTGAGTCATGGATGGTAAGGATGTGGACTTGTATCTGACGTTGACCCATTATGTGGAGAGGGCCAGCATGAAAATGAAACCAGGAGACAAAAACAGTCAGGAGGTGATGGTAAAGAGCCTGGGCAACAGCATCTGAGGCTTGGCATCAGCTACACCAATGGATGCTATTAAAGTGTTGATGTTGTTACTTCAGTGAATCAGAGCACAAATGAAGTATTTCTTCACTAAGGAATCAAACACAATATATTTTAGAACTAGACAGGACAGATTGAACTAAACTTTTTTTTTTTTTTTGAGATGGAGTCTCACTCTATCTGGAGCACAGTGGCACAGTCTCAGCTCACTGCAACCTCTGCCTCCCAGGTTCAAGCGATTCTCCTGCCTCAGCCTCCTGAGTGGCTGGGACTACAAGCATGGCCACCACACTTGGCTAATTTTTGTATTTTTAGTAGAGATAGGGTTTCACCATGTTGGCCAGGCTGGTCTCAAACTCCTGGACTCAAGTAATCCACCCACCCTGGCTTTCCAAAATGCTAGGATTACAGGCGTGAGCCACCTCTCCCAGCCTGATTCTTAGAATTTACTTCCAAATAATTTTGGAAGTTGGGGAAAGTAGATGGAGATAAAATGTAGTAAGATTGGGCATGAAATGTTAATTGTCAAAGCTAGGTGATGGGTACATGTGGTTTATTATTCTATTTTTGTATATATTTGACATTTTCCATACAGAAAAGTTTAAAAGCTAAATGGCATTGGAACAATTAGTTATTCATATAGGAAAATAAGAAAATTGGATTTCTACCTTACACCATACACAAAAATCAATTCCAGGTAGATGGAAGAAAGAAATATGAAAGACAAAAACTATAAAACCTTTATAAGATATTGTAAGGAATAGCTTTATGACCTCAACTTAGAGAAGGATTTCTTAAGTCACAAAAAGTAAAAAACAAAGGAAAATACTGTTAGATTCAATTATGTTAAAATTAAGAATTTCCTCCTAGCCAGAGCAATCAGACAAGAGACACAAATAAAGGGCATCCAAATTGGTAAACAAGAAGTCAAAGTGTTGCTGTTTGTTGATGATATTATTGTATACCTAGAAAACCCTAAAGACTCATCCAAAAAGCTCCTAGATCTGATAAATGAGTTCAGCAAAGTTTCAGGATACAAAATCGATGTACACAAATCAGTAGCACTACTATACACCAACGGCCAAGTTGAGAATCAAATCAAGAACTCAACCCCTTTTACAACAGCTGCAAAAAAAATAAAATATTTAGTAATATACCTAATCAAGGAGATGAAAGGTCTCTACAAGGAAAACTACAAAGCACTGCTGAAAGAAATCATAGACAACACAAACAAATGGAAACACATCCCATGTTCATGGATGGGTAGAATCAATATTGTGAAAATGGTGATACTGCCAAAAGCAATCCACAAATTCACTGCAATTCCCATCAAAATTCTAACATTGTTCTTAACAGAACTAGAAAAAACAAACCTCAAATTCATATGGAACCAGAGAAGACCCTGCATAGCCAAGGCAAGACTAAGCAAAAAGAACAAATCTGGAGGCATCACATTACCTGACTTCAAACTATGCTACAAGGCTATAGTTACCAAAACAGCATGATTCTGGTATAAAAATAGGCAAATAGACCAATGGAACAGAATAGAAAACCCAGAAATAGAGCCAGATATTTACAGCTAACTGACCTTGGACAAAGCAAACAAAAACATAAAGTCGGGAAAGGACACCCTATTCAACAAATAGTGCTGGGATAATTGACAAACCACATGTAGAAGAATTGAGCTTGATATGGTTAGGCTTTGTGTCCCCACCCAAATCTCATCTTGAATTGTAGTCTCCACAATCCCCATAATCCCCACATGTCATGGGAGAGACCAGGTGGAGGTAACTGAATCATGAGGGTGGTTGGCCCCATGCTGTTCTCGAGATAGTGAGTTTTCACAAGATCTGATGGTTTTATAAGGGTATCCCCCTTATAAAATGGTTTTATAAGACGTATCCCCCTTTGCTTGATACTTCTCCTTTCTGCTGTCTTCTAAAGAAGGTGCCTTGCTTCCCCTTTGCCTTCTGCCATGATTATAAGTTTCCTGAGGCCTCCCCAGCCATGCTGAACTGAGTCAATTAAACCTCTTTCCCTTATAAATTACCCAACCTCAGGCAGATCTTTATAGCAGTATGAAAACGGATGAATACAGTAAATTGGTATTGAGATAGTGAGGCACTTCTATAAAGATACCCAAAAATGTGGAAGCAACTTTAGAACTGGGTAACAGGCAGAGACTAAAAGAGTTTGGAGGGCTCAGACAAAGATAGAAGGATGTGGGAAAGTTTAGAACTTCCTAGGGACTTGTTGAATGGCTCTGACCAAAATGCTGATAATGATATGGACAAAGAAGTCTAGGCAAGGTGGTCTCTGATGGAGATGAGGAACTTGTTGTGAACTGGAATAAAGGTGACTCTTGCTATGCTTTAGCAAAGAGGCTAGTAGTATTTTGCCCCTGCCCTAGAGAACTGTGGAACTTTGAACTTGATTGAGATGATTTAGGGTATCTGGCAGAAGAAATTTCTAAGCAGCAAAGTGTTCAAGATGTCACTTGGGTGCTCTTAAAAGCACTCAGTTTTATGCATTCACGAAGAGACGTTTTGAAACTGGAACTTATGTTTAAAAGGAAAGCAGAGCATACAAGTTTGGAAAATTTGCAGCCTGACAATGCGATAGAAAAGAAAAATCCATTTTCTGAGAAGAAATTCAAGCCAGCTGCAGAAATTTGCATAAGTAACAAGGAGCCAAATGTTAATAGTCAAAACAATGGGGAAAATGTCTCCAGGGCATGTCAGATGTCTTTACAGCAGCCCCTCCCATCACAGGTCCAGAGGCCTAGGAGGAAAAAATGGTTTTGTGGGCCAGGCCCAGGGCCTTGCTACTTTGTGCTGTCTTGGGACTTGGTGCCCTGTTTCCCAACTGTGACTAAAAGGGGCCAATGTACAGCTCAGGCTGTGGCTTCAGAGGGTGCAAGCCTCAAGCCTTGGTGGCTTCCATGTGGTTTTGGGCCTGTAAGTGCAAAGAAGTTAATAATTGAGGTTTGGGAACCTCTGCCTGGATTTCAGAAGATGTGTGGAAATGCCTAGATGCCCAGGCAGACGTTTGCTGCAGGGGTGAAGCCCTCATGGAGAAATTATGCTAGAGCAGTGCAGAAGGGAAATGTGGGGTTAGAGCCCCCAGACAGACTCCCCACAGGTGCACTGCCTAGTGGAGCTGTGAGAAGAGGGCCACCATCCTCTAGACCCCAGAATGGTAGATCCACTGACAGCTTGCACCATGCACCTGGAAAAGCTGCAGACACTCAATGCCACCCTGTGAAAGCAGCTGAGGGGCAGGGTGGGGGAGGTGACTGTATGCTGCAAAGCCACAGGGGCAGACTTGCCCAAGGATGTGGGAACCCAACTCTTGCATCAGCGTGACCTGGATGTGAGACACGGAGTCAAAGGACATCATTTTGGAGCTGATTTGACTCCATGATTTGACTGTCCTACTGGATTTCAGACTGGCTTGTAGCCTGCAGCCCCTTTGTTTTGGCCGATTTCTCCTATTTGCAATGGGTGGCATTTACCCAATGCCCATACCCCCATTGTATCTAGGAAGTAACTAACTTGCTTCTGATTTTACAGACTCATAGGCAGAAGGGACTTGCCTTGTCTCAGATAAGACTTTGGACTTGGACTTTTGGGTTAATGCTGAAATAAGACTTTGGGGGACCGTTGGGAAGGCATGATTGGTTTTGAAATGTGAAAGGGACATGAGATTTGGGAGGGGCCAGTGGTGGAATGATAGATACAGTTAGGCTTTGTGTCCCACCCAAATCTCATCTTGAATTATAATCCCCATAATCCGCATGTGTCAAGGGAGAGACCAGGTGGAGGTAACTGGATCAAAGGGGTGGTTCCCCCATGCTGTTCTCATGATAGTGAGTGACTTTTCATGAGATCTGATGGTTTTATAAGAGATTCCTCCCTTTTCACTCAACACTTCTCCTTCCTGCTGCCTTGTGAAGAAGGTGCTTTGCTTCCCCTTCCCCTTCCACCATAATTGTAAGTTTCCTGAGGCTTCCCCAGCCATGCTGAACTGTGAGTCAATTAAATCTCTTTCTTTTATAAATTACCTAGTCTCCAGCAGTGCTTTATAACACTGTTTTAGTCCATTTATGAAAATGGACTGATAAAGCACTTTATAGTCCATTTATGAAAACAGACTAATACAGAGCTAGATCCTCATGTCTCACCTTATTCAAAAATCAACCTAAGATGGATCAATGACTTAAACCTAAGACCTGAAACTGTAAAACTTCTGGAAGATAACATTGGAAAAACTCTTGTAGACATTGGCTTAGGCAAAGAGTTCATGACCAGGAAACCAAAAGCAAATACAACAAAAACAAAGATAAATAGATGGGACCTGATTAAACTAAAAAGCTTCTGCACAGCAAAAGAAATAATCATCAGAGTAAATAGACAACCTACAGAGTGGGAGAAAATATCTGCAAACTACGCATCTGACAAAGGACTAATATCCAGAATCTACAATAAAATCAAATAAATCAGCAAGAAAAAAAGCAAATAATTCCATCAAAAATTGGGCAAAGGATATGAATAGACAATTCTCAAAAGAATATACAAATGGCCAACAAACATATGAAAAAATGCTAAACATCACAAATTATCAGGGAAATGCAAATTAAAACCACAATAAATACCACCTTACTGCTGCAAGAATGGTCTTAATAAAACAATAAAAAATAATAGATGTCGGCATGGGTGTGGTGAAAAGGGAACACCTTTACACTGGTGGTGGGAATGTAAACTAATATGACCAGTATGGAAAACAGTATGGAGATTCTTTAAAGAACTAAGAATAGAACCACTATTTGGTCTAGCAATCCCAGAGGTATCTACCCAGGGGAAAATATGTCATTATAAGAAAACAACAACAACAACAACAACAACAACAACAACAACAAAACACTTGCACATGCATGTTTATAGCAGCACAATTTGCAATTGCAAAAATATGGAACCAGCCTAACTATCCATCAACCAAGTGAATAAAGAAAATGTGGTACATATATATATATATACATACATACATACATACATACACACACACACACACACCATGGAATCCTACTCAGCCATAAAAATGAACAAAATAATGGCATTTGCTGCAACCTGGATGAAACTGGAGACTATTATTCTAAGTGAAGTAACTCAGGAATGGAAGACCAAACATCATGATGTTCTCACTTACAAGCAGAAGCTAAGCTATGAGGACAGAAGGCATAAGAATGATAAAATGGAGTTTGGGACTCAGGGGGAAGGGTGGGAGAGGGGTGAGGAATAAAAAGACTACACGTTGGGTACAGTGTACCCTGCTCAGGTGATGGCTGCACCAAAATCTCAGAAATCACCACTAAAGAACTTTTCCATGCAACCAAACACCACCTGTTCCTCCCAAACTGTTGAAATAAAAATAAATTTAAAATTTAAAAGAATTTCTTAAGAAGATACCACATTCTTTATGGTAGCTTCATGAGAAGCTACCATAAAGGATGTGAAAGGTAAGCTACAGAGTAGATTTTTTTTTTTTTTTAAGACAATGCCTCGCTCTGTCACCCAGGCTGGAGTGCAGTGGTGTGAATATGGCTCACTGCAGCCTCAATCTCCTGGGCTCAAGTGATCCTCCTGCCTCAGCCTCCCATGGTGCTGGGACCACAGGTGTATGTCACCATGTCTGGCTAATTTTCTTTTCGTTCTTTCTTTTTGTAGAGATGGGGTCTCGTTTTGTTGCCCAGGCTGATCTTGAACTCCTGACCTCAAGTGATCCTCCCACCTCAGCCTCTCAAATTGCTGGGATTACAGGTGTCAGCCACTGGGCCTGGCCAGGAAATATTTATAACAAAAATTGACAAAGGATTTGTAGGAAAACAGCTGTTGAATGGCAAGAGTGATGTCATCTTGAAGCAAAACCACCATAATGACTGATATTTGACTCCTGCATGCCAAGGTATTCTGCAGCAATGTCTTTAAACAATACCCTTAGTAGAGATAACTCCTCATAAAGATGTATATCTAACCTACCCAGTTGTCACAAGTTCCATAAGAAAGTCAGATGTGACCAGCTGCACATCTTAACCCTAAAAGCTTGCTATCTATACTTTCTGGAGGTTGGGTGCCCTCTCTCAGCTACCAGAGACATTACTTCTAAGTCCCTATTAAATATTTCTGAGAAACTGGATTTGTCAGCCTCTTTCCTTGTCCTATTGGCTCCCTCAAGCCTTTGGGGGTAGGTTTGCATAGACCTGCTCACCATGGAACAGGAACAGGATTATTATCCGGACCTATAAAAATCTCTTATGATTCAATATGTGAATCTCATGATGGCAAGGACTTTTGTTTTGTGTTCTGTTATAGCCTAAGCTCTTACAACAGGGTCTGGCATGGAGAAGGCAGTCAATGAAATCAACATGCAAAGACAAAGATGAGCAAATAAATGACATAAATTGGTACTCAACATGAAATAGTCAATGAATGTTCCCTAAAATATGAAAAGATATTCAAATACTCAAACTCATTCAAAATCAGAAAAACGCAAACTAAAACCACAATTCCCAACTCCTGCCCACAAGATAGGTAAAAAATTAAAAAGCATTTGTTACAACCTGGCAGAACCTATAGAAAAAGCGAAAGAAAAGAAAAACAATGCCTAAAGGCCAGGCGTGGTGGCTCATATCTGTAATCCCAGCACTTTGGGAGGCCGAGGCGGGTGGATCATTTGAGGTCAGGAGTTCAAGACCAGCCTGGCCAACATGGTGAAACCCCATCTCTATTAAAAACACAAAAATTAGCCAGGTGTGGTGGTGGGCGGCTGTGATCCCACCTACTCGGGAGGCTGAGGCAGGAGAATCACTTGAACCTGGGAGATGAAGGCTGCAGTGAGCCGAGATTGCACCACTGCACTCCAGCCTGGGTGACAGAGTGAGACTCCGTCACACACACACACAAAGAAAAAGCATCGGTGAAGACATGAGCAATGGGAACATTTATATGTTGCTAGTTGATGAGTATGTATATGTGTATATATATGTGTGTATACGTATATATGGGTGTGTGTATATATCTGTATATATATAATAATTATTATTTTTAGGGACAGGGTCTCACTCTATCACCTAGGCTGGAGTACAGTGGCATGATCATGGTTCACTGCAGCCTTGAGCTCCTCCTAGGCTCAAGTGATCCTCCCACCTCAGTTTCCCAAGCGGCTGTGATTACAGGCATGTGTCACCATGCCCAGCTAATTTTTTAAATTTTTTGTAGAGATGAGGTCTTGCTATGTTGCCCAGGCTGGTCTTGAACTCCTGGCTTCATGCAATCCTCCCACCTCAGCCTCCCAAAGTGCTGGGATTACAGGTGTGAGCCACCATGCCTGGCTTGAAGAGAATATTGGTGAAACATTCTGGAAAACAATTTGGCATTATTTGGAGAAGATGATGGTATTCTTTATGACTCAGTAATCCTACCACTAGTATGTAGTCCAGAGAGACTCATCTCATATGCATAGTAGTATTAGTTGTAATAGAAAAAACCTGGAAATAATGCAAATATCCATCAATAATAGATTCCAAAGTAGATAAATACATTGTGGCATATGCATATGATGTGTGGGAGAGAGTAAATGAATTGCAGTTAGATAACCACAGAAATGAATGTAAAGAACCTAATGCTGAGTAAAAAAACAAAAACTAGCTGCAAAAGAAAATTTATCATATGATTCCATTTATATAAAGCTCATGTAATGATTAATCTTATGTGTCAACCTAATGGGGCTAAGGGATATCCAGATGGCTGGTAATCACAACTTCTGGGAGTATCTGTGAGGGTGTTTCCGTAAGAGATGTGCATTGGAATCAGGAGAATGAGCAAAGAAGATTGTTCTCGCCACTGTAGGTGGGCATCATCTAATCTGTTGATGTCCCCAGCAGAACAAAAAGGTGAAAGAAGAACAAATTATTTCTCTTGAGCTGGGACATCTTCTCTTGTCCTCAGACATCAACACTCCTGGGTCTCAGGCCTTCAGACTCAGACTGAATCACACTGCCAGCTTTTCCTGTTTCTCCAGCTTGCAGATGGCAGACTGTGGGATTTCTCAGCCTCCGTAATTATGTGAGCCAATCCCTAAAATCTCTCTTTCTCTTTTTTTTTCCTCACTCTCCTGTTGGTTCTGTTTCTCTGGAGAACCCTGAGTAATAAAGTTCAAAAACATGCAAAACTAAAAAATATATTGTTTAAAGCAGTGCTGTATAATAGAACTCTTCACAACGGTGGAAATATTCTACAACTATGCTGCCCAGTATGGTAACAAGTGTCATGTGGCTACTGAGCACTTAAAATATGGCTAATGTGACTGAGGAACTGAATTTTTATTTAATTTAAATTTGAACTTAAATTGTCACATGTGGTGAGGGGCTACCATACTGTACGGCAAGGTTTATAACGAGAATAAATGAAATAAATACAAAATCCAGAATATTGGTTACTTCTGAGAGAAAAATAAAGACAGAATGAGGGAGAGATACACAGGGGATTTCAAAAGCAAAAATAATCTTCTTTTTCTTAAATGGGTATTCTTCTACTGTTATTCTTTAAACTGAGCATATATTTTATAAATATCCTTTTATATGTATTAAATATTCAGTAAAACAAATGTAGTGAATGGGGTGGTGTATACATGGATGTTTGTACTGTTATTAAATTCTGTGTAATCAAATAGTTTTATTTTCATAATTGCTAGCACTGAGACATGCCCCAGGTGGGAGGATAAAGCCTCCCCAAAGCCCAGGCCCCAAGCCCTGGTACTAATGCTCTTGTCCTCCATAACCATGGATCTTAAGCTTTCACTTGGAAAGGAGAGGTAGGATGTTTTGTTTTGAGGCTCACTTAATTTTCTCTAAAAAATTTTAATGGGGTCAAGGCGCAGTGACTCATGCCTGTAATCCCCGCATTTTGGGAGGCTGAGGTGGGCTGATCGCTTGACTCAGGAGTTCGAGACCAGCCTGGGAAACACAGTGAAACCCTGTCTCTACCAAAAAATACAAAAAAAAAAAAAGTTAGCCAGGTAAGGTGGCACATGCCTGTAGTCCCAGCTACTTGGGAGGCTGAGGCAGGAGAATCACTTGAGCCTGGGAGGCAGACATTACAGTGAGCTGAGATCATGCCACTGCACTACTGCAGCCTCAGTGACAGAGTGAGACTCAAAACAAAGAAACAAAAAATGTAATGGGATGAAGTTGGTTAAGCTAAGAGAGCTTCTGTGGACAAGGTCTCTTTTTCTGAGAGGAGAAATAAAGTCCTGCTTCTATTCTTAAAAATTAACAAAAACCAACAAAATTTTTAAAAAACAAAGATGGGAATAAAAGGTGAAGAAGTAGGCTGGGTGCGGTGGCTCACACCTGTAATCCCAACACTTTGGGAGGCTGAGGTGGATGGATTTCTTCAGGCCAGGAGTTTGAAACCAGCCTGGGCAATGTAGACCTTGTCTCTACTAAAAGAAAAAAAGTTGAGGAAGTGGAAAGTAGAAACTGTAATTGTAAACAACTTCTTGGGTGAAATTTTGCTATAGAGGAAAGTAGGGGATATAAAGTCAATTGAAGATTTTTCTAAGGTGGGAGAAACCAGATGTATTATCTGTTGCTGCGTAACAAATTATCCCAAAATGCAGTAGCTTAGAACAACAAAAATTTATCTCGTATTTTCTGTGGGTCAGAACTTTTAAGTGTAGTTTGGCTGGGTGTCTCTGACTTAAGGTCTCTCATGAGGTTGCAGTTAGGGTGTCAGCCAGCACTGTGGTCTCATCTGAAGGTGTGATCGGGGAAGATCTGCCTCTAAGCAGATCATGCGGTGTTGCATGATTCAGCTTTTCGTGGCTGTTCAACTGAGGACTTCAGTTCCTCAATGGCTCTTGCTGGCAGCCTCTCTACAGGGCCACAGGGCAGCTTACAACATGGCAGCAGCTTTACCTTAGAGCAACAGGACTGCAGAGAGTGCTCAGGACAGAAGTCACAATCTTTTTATAACCTAATCTTGAAAGTGGTAGCCCATCACCTCTACTTTCTATTTACTAGAAGTGAGTCACGAAATCCAGCCAACACTAAAGGAGAGGGAACTGACTAAGGCTGTGAATACCAGGAGACAGGGTTCATTGGCGGGCATTTTGTAGGCTACCTACCATACCAGAGGATATTTGTCTGCAGATAGGAGTGATCCCACCAAAGACAGGAAATGACAATGCAGGAGAGGAGAAAAGGCAGAGGAAATCCAGGAAGAAGACCTCTGCAGTTATTGATCCACTGCCTTTTTCATTTTATTTGGAGAGATGGGGTCTTGCTTTGTTGCCCAGGCTGGAGTACTGTGGCTATTCACAGGCATGATCTCACTACCAATCAACACAGGAATTTTGATCAACTCCATTTCCAGTCTGGGCCAGTTACCCCTCCTTAGGCAACCTGGTGGTTCCCCACTACCCGAAGGTCACCATATTGATGCCAAACTTAGTTGACCAGTTGACATAGCATACTACAGTCCAGAACTCCTGGGCTCAAGCAATCCTCCTGCCTCAGCCTCCTGAGTAGTAAAACTAAAAAATATATTGTTTAAAGCAGTGCTGTATAATAGAACTACAGGCATGTGCCACCGTGCCCAGCCCACTGCCTGTGTCACTGCTATTTGATGACTTGGCTGCATATACTTGCTTTATGAGTATGTTAAACCTCTACTATCTGTCATAGCAAGACCCGTCATCCTTATCACGTTGGCTATGGGTTTAAAAAAAGAAAAAAAAAGTCATCTTGCCTTGTTTACAAAGGCATACACAATCTGACCACATCTCACACACACAGAAATACACACACCCCAACTGTGTTTTTCTCCTCCTAATATCACCTTCCACTAAAATATCTGGGGAATAAGGACTTTGTTTCTTGTCAGCCCTCAGAGATCAGCTCATGCTGCAATTTGTTTCTCCAATATCACCTCCTCCACCCCAATTTCGGCACAGCTCTGAGACTCTGCTCCCTTCCCCACATGTTACCATGTGTAAGCCCCAAACTCATATACTCCTTTTATCTAATGCTGCCAACTGCACCAGCCTCGGAAGGATGGTATGAGCAAGGCAACTGTCCTTTTATTGACCTCTACGTTAACTCTCCACCACCTCACCAACTTCCCACAGCCCACACGGTCTTCTTATTACTGAAGGTGTTGGGTTAACAAAGGCAAAGTTCAGTATAGGTCAAGATAGGAATGACAGAACAATTTAAAACTGAACATTAGGTATCACTCTTAAAAACTCTGGGTTATGTTAAAGAAAAATTATTCAGTGATACTCATTAAAGCACAGCAAGGCAGACTTTATTCAGGACCATCCAGATAGGGATAGGGACCATGGCAATGGGATTTTGTAATGGGTAGAGGGACTGGGCTAAAATCCAAACAGAGCAGAGCCAAGGGAGAATTTACAGCCACGGAGCAGGAGAGACGTGTCAGTGGATGGAAAATTACTAAGAGGTAGCATCAGGAGTAATGGCATTCCGGCTAACCGACCTAACAGGATTCTTGCTGGACAGGCCAGGGTGATCAGACATCACCTGGGGGATAGTGGTGGATGAGGAAGCCGATCAGACCTTGAGGGTGAGGGGTTCTTTCTAAACTGACCTACCTATTCCTCGGCCGCCTCCCACACCTCCGGGCCTCACTCGCGCCTCCCCGCCAGGCCGTGCGCCCCGCGTGCCCAGGGCGGGTGGGAAGTACCTGCCGCCATCTTGCTCACCAGCCTCCAAAATGCGGCTGGGGCTCCTGAGCGTGGCGCTGTTGTTTGTGGGGAGCTCTCACTTATACTCAGACCACTACTCGCCCTCTGGAAGGCACAGGCTCGGCCCCTCGCCGGAACCGGCGGCTAGTTCCCAGCAGGCTGAGGCCGTCCGCAAGAGGCTCCGGCGGCGGAGGGAGGGAGGGGCGCATGCAGAGGGCAGTACCTGTTCGTGCCTGTCTCTGGGGAGCCTCTCTTACCTTTTCCCCACCGCTATAGTCTTTGAATTCGGGTTTCTCCTTTTCTGTTGTCCCAATGGCCTTTAACCAAAATTTTACATACCTAAGCAGTTTCTAGACCGGCTGTAATAACAGTAGTTGTAATAGTGAAATGACACATTTGTATTGTGAATCTGTATTTTCTCCTCAAAACATTCTGGGTTTTATCATCCCCATTTTATAGATTAATAAGTCAGGGGATAAAGAGTTGAAAGGGAGGGCTATTAGGTGACCATTTCATACTATAGTTGAGAAAAATTAGCCCAACAAGTGAAATGGTGAGCATTAGAATTTGCGGCTCTCGACTCACCGTTCCCAGGCTCTTTAACTGCTATTTCACACAGGGAAGAATGTGATACGTGGCCAAAAATTTTTATTTTTATATTTTTGGGGAATAGAGTTTTAAAATTAATGAATTGTGTTGACTTCATGTCTATTTGTAAGTAATCGATTATGGCATATTTGTCTTAACTCTCCAAGTTTCTTTCAAAATATGGGCGTGTCTCCGGTATGTTAGCTTGCTTTGTGTTTTTAACATAGGAATTTAAAGGATTGCATTAATATGTTCAGCTTAGGAAGTAACACATACTATAGATGCTCAGTCCAAATAATATATCATTTTTATTTTTAGATTGTGGAACAGCACCGCTTAAGGATGTGTTGCAAGGGTCTCGGATTATAGGGGGCACCGAAGCACAAGCTGGCGCATGGCCGTGGGTGGTGAGCCTGCAGATTAAATATGGCCGTGTTCTTGTTCATGTATGTGGGGGAACCCTAGTGAGAGAGAGGTGGGTCCTCACAGCTGCCCACTGCACTAAAGACGCTAGGTACGTATTCAGAACACAACTATTTTTATGCTCTTAGGGGATATTTTGAAGTGATAGAGGACCATTTAACTTCAGCCATTTTCAGCTAAGCTATGTTTGCAAATAGCCATAATGCCTTATATATAGTACAGTGTATTTGTTGAAAGGAATCCTTTATTTATTATTATTATTATTATACTTTAAGTTCTGGGGTACATGTGCAGAACGTGCAGGTTTGTTACATAGGTATACATGTCCATGGTGGTTTGCTGCACCCATCAACCCATCATCTAACTACATTAGGTATTTCTCTTAATGCTATCCCTCCCCTAGCCCCCTACCCAGGAATCCTTTATTTTTTACTTTTTTTTTTTTGAAATGGAGTGTCACTCTGTTACCCAGGCTGGAGTGCAGTGGTGCAATCTTGGCTCACTGCAACCTCCGCCTCCTGGGTTCATGCGATTCTTCTGCCTCAGCCCCCGGAGTAGCTGGAATTACAGATGCCTGCCATCATGTCCAGCTAATTTTTGTATTTTTAGTAGAAAAGGGGGTTTCACCATGTTGGCCAGGCTGGTCTTGAACTCTTAACCTCACGTGATCTGCCCGCCTCAGCCTCCCAAAGTTCTGGGATTACAGGTGTAAGCCACCATGCTCGATCATGGATCTTTTAAATTAGAGGCTGGTAAACTTCCTATAAAGGTAGTAAATATTTTACACTTTGAAGGTCATATGGTCTCTCTCACAATTGCATGAAAACCAGCACTGAAAATAAGTAATTGAATGAGTGTGGCTATAATCCAATAAAACTTTATGAACACTGAAATCTGAATTTCATATGTTTAACGTGTCATGAAATATTGTGGTTGATTCAGCCATTTAAAAATGTAGAGTAGGGCATGTTGGCTCATATTTGTTATCCCAATGCTTTGGGAAGCCAAGACGGGAGGATCACTTGAGGCCAGGAGTTTGAGACCAGCCTGGGAAATATAGCGAGACCCTGTCTCTATATTTAAAAAAATTGTTAATGTAAAAAACATGCTTTATGGACTGTATGAAAACAAGAGACATGCCAGATTTGGCCTTCACTATTAGACTCTTTGAAAAAGAGACTCTCTTTGCTTCATCTCCATTGACCCATAAAATCCAACTGCAGTCTGATTTTTGTGGCCAAATGCTGTTAAAGATCCACTTCCATGCCAAATCCAATGACTTCATCTCAGTTCCCATCCTTTTTGACCTCTACAGCCTTTGGCAATGTTGACCACATTCTCTTCTTGAAATTATCTCTTTTCTTGATTTCTAAGACACCATTCTCTACTTTTTTCTCCTGCTTCTTTGATGAGTCTTTGTCATCCTTTACATTGCAGTGTTTTCTAGAGTTTGCCCTCTGCCCTCTGTCATTCTGTACTCTTTCCTAGAGATGTCTAATCTACCTCTGTTTCAGCAATCACCATGTGCTGTCAACTCCTAGGTCTCTCCTGATGAGTCATATTTCCAGCTTTATTGGAGTCACATTTTAAATAAGTCCAAAATGGAATTTACTTTCCTCTGATACTATTTCTTCTCTATTTTCTCAGTTGATAGCATCATCAACAGCTCCATTACCCAGAGAGTTATCTAATTTCTCCCACTTCAGCTATCCAAGTAGTCTCCAAGGCCTGTGAAGGCTCTCTGTGCAGTATCTTACATTTGCTTCTTCTGTCCCTCCACCCTCCCTACTGATTAAAAGTACATCCAGAATATCAGTCTCTATATTCCTAGCTTATGACTTATCATACTTATATTTACACTACTACTTTGATAATAACTATCCTAATTAATATGAAATGGTAGCTCATTGTGGCTTTTATTTCCATTTCCCAAATTACTAGTGATGTTAGGCATCTTTCTATGTGCTTATTGGCCATTTGTATATCTTCTTTGGAGGAATGTCTATTCAAGTCCTTTGTCCATTTTTGAACTGGGCTCTTTGCTTTTTTGTTGTTGAGTTGTAGGAGTTCTTTATGTATTCTGGATATTAATCTGTTGTCAGACACATTATTTGCAAATATTTTCTCCCATTCTGTGGGTCATCTTTTCACTCTCGATATTGTCCTTTGATACACAAAAGCTTTTAATTTTGATGAAGTCAAATTTATCTATTTTTTTTCTTTTGTTGCCTGTGTTTCTGGTGTAATATGTAAGAAATCATTATATCAAATCCAGTATCACGAAGCTTTTCCCCTATGTTTTCTTCTAAGAGTTTTATAGCTTTAGCTCTTAGATTTAGGTCTTTGATTCATTTTGAGTCCATTTTTGCATAAGGTATCAGGTAAGGGTACAATTTCATTGTTTTACGTGCAGCTATCAAGTTTCCCCAGCACCATCTATTGAAAAGTTTGTCCTTTCCCCATTAGATGGTATTGGCATCTTCATTGAAAATCAATTGATCATATAGAGAGGGTGTATTTCTGGGCTCTCAATTCTTCTCCACTGATGTATATATCTGTCCTTATGCTAGTATCACACACTCTTTGGATTAGTATGGATCTATAGTAAGTATTTTTTCTTGGTGGTGTTTTTGTTTTTTGTTTTGTTTTTTAGACAGAGCCTTGCTTTGTCACCCAGGTTGGCATGCAGTGGCATGATCTCAGCTCACTGCAACCTCCACCTCCCAGGCTCAGGTGATCCTCCCACCTCAGCCTCCTGAATAGCTGGGACTACAGGTGTGCACCACCATGTCTGACTAATTTTTGTATTTTTTTGTAGAGACAGAGTTTCACTATGTTGCCCAGGCTGGTCTGAAACTCCTGGGCTCAAGTGATCTTCCCAGTTTGGCCTCCCAAAGTGGTAACTGCAGGTGTGAGCAACTGCATCCGGCCTGCAGTAAGTTTTGAAATCAGGAAATGTGAGCCCTCCAACTTTGTTCTTATTTTTCAAGATTATTTTAGCTATTTGGAGTCTCTTAATATTCCATATGAATTTTAGGATGGGTTTTTCTGTTTCTGCAAAAAAAAAAATGTCATTGGGATTTTGATAGGGATTGCATTCAGTCTAAAAACTTTTTTTTTTTTTTTTTTTGAGACGGAGTCTCGCTCTGTTGCCCAGGCTGGAGTGCAGTGGCGCGATCTCGGCTCACTGCAAGCTCCGCCTCCCGGGTTCAGGCCATTCTCCTGCCTCAGCCTCCCGCGTAGCTGGGACTACAGGCGCCCCCCACCATGCCTGGCTAATTTTTGTATTTTTAGTAGAGACGGGGTTTCACCGTGTTAGCCAGGATGGTCTCCATCTCCTGACCTCGTGATCCGCCCGTCTCGGCCTCCCAAAGTGCTGGGATTACAGGCGTGAGCCACTGTGCCCGGCCCCTAAAAACTCTTTAAAAAGTTTACAGTCTACAGAGCAATATGGGGAAGTCCACTTTTTCCCATATTGGGGAAAAGATTGCTTTGGGTGGTTCTGTCATCCTTTTGTTTTTTTTATTTTTATTTATTTTTATTTTTTATGAGAGGGAGTTTCGCTCTTGTTGCCTAGGCTGGAGTGCTACAAGAAGACATAAATGAATAAATGAAAATACATCCTGTGTTCATGGATTGGAGGACAGTATTATAAGATGACAGAACCTGCTGGGTGTGGTGGCTCACACCTGTAATCCCAGCACTTTGGGAGGCTGAGGCAGGAGGATCACCTGAGGTCAGAAGTTTGAGACCAGCCTGGCCAACATGGTGAAACCCTGTCTCTACTAGAAATACAAAATATTAGCCAGGCGTGGTGGTGGGTGCCTGTGATCCCAGCTACTCGGCAGGACAATCACTTGAACCTGGGAGGCGGAGGTTGCAGTGAGCTAGATCATGCCACTGAACTCCAGCCTGGGCGAAAGAGCGAGACTTCATCTCAAAAAAAGAGAAAAAATATATATATATATATACACATATATATTCTTCAACTAGATCAGCGTGAGGGAGATGCTTAGGTCTGAGTTCTTTCACCAGTAATATGAGGTACGGGACTACTTGGCCAAGTTTAGTTATTAGTGTCTAGTTTTTTACACTAGTTACTGGAAGACAGGCTTGTCCTTTTTCATCAAGTTTATGGTGATAACTTTATGTTTTAAGTATTTTTTGCAGGTTTGGAAACTCTGTTGGAAAGTTGATTTCTATTTTGAAGGCCCCTTTATCAAATAAAAGGTTGTCAGGAAAAAAAAAAAAAGCCTTGCCAAGTCAATAAATGAGATTTATCAAGTTGGATGCTTGTTATTATAAAGTATTTAATTTCACATTGGTAGATATCTTCAAGCTCCCTCATCGACTTCCTGCTGGCCACTGTGTTGGATTTGCCTTCCCCACTTCCCACCCAGAAATCGGTTTAGTCTCTAAGAACCAGTCATGGTCTTTACTCCTTTTCAAAGCACTGGATTCTGATATGCAGCCAGATTCATCACATGAGGAATGATATTTGGGGCGGAGCTGTCTATAGCTAGGTGTCTCTGAAGGGATTGTTTTTGTCGTTGTTGTTTTGTTTTTTGTCTGCCCTTTTTCTCCCTTTCACTGAATGGCTTCCTTATAACATGAACTTACATATGATGTGTTATCATTCTACCTCATAATCTTTCAGTTTCAGCTCCTATTGCCAACTGGCCTTCTCATCAATTTTCATGGTGAATTATCTGATTATCCCAACCCAGCTTTTCAATCAGGTGATACCACCATTGCTCAATTTATGAATAAACCTTTATTAGAGGCCCACCCCTTTCCCAGAGAGCTGTGGTCAGGGGATCTGGGGTCATGTATTAAATGAGAGCACCTTGACAACAGAGTGGGCAGGGCACTCATCCTTGCATAGGATATGGATATGAGTATATAAGCACCAATGGATATTTCTTTTTGTTTGTTTGAGACAGGGTCTTGCTCTATCACCTAGGCTGGAGTGCAGTAGCACAGTCTTGGCTCACTGCAGCATCAATCTCCCAGGATAAATTGGTCCTCCCACTTCAGCCTCCCCAGTAGCTGGGACTACAGGCATGTGCTACCATGTCTAATTTTTGTGTTTTTTGTAGAGATGGGGTTTTGCTATATTGCCCAGGCTGGTCTCTAACTCCTAAGCTCAAGCTATTTTCCTACCTCGGCCTTCCAAAGGGCTGGGATTACAGGCATGAGACACTGCATACAGCCACCAATGGATATTTTTAGAAAAGGGAAAGAGGATACTGTTTTAATTATCTCTATGTAACTGGAACTGAGAAAGAATATGTTGTAGTCCAGCAGCCCACTGATATCTACTAAAACCTAGAGGCTTTTTCGTACAGCCAGTCCTAACTCACATTAGTAGAAATGACCTGTTGGATCTATTTTTCTTTTCTCAGTTTTCTCACTTATGCACTTATTTTCTTTTTAAAGTTAAGGCATAATTTACATGCAGTAAAATTCACCTTTTAAAAAATGTTCTGTTCTACAACTTTTGACAGTGTAGATAGTCATGTAATTACTACAATCAAGATTTAGAACAGTTCCATAACCTTAAATCCTCTCATGACCCTTTGTAGCCAACCCCTGCCCCTGCATCCAGCCCTTGGCAGCCATTGATCTGTTGTCTATCCCTTACAGTTTTTCCATTTCCAGGATGTGATATAAAGAGAGTCATGCAATGTATAGCCATTTGAGCTTGGCTTGTTTACCTAGCAGAATGCATTTGAAATTCATCCATGCTGTTTTGTGTGTCAGTAGATCATTCCTTTTTAAAAAAAAAAAAAGACAAAAATAATTTTATTAAGATATAACTTAACATGTAGTAAAATTCATTATTCTTAAAGTACAGTTCTGTGAATTGGACAAACGCATACAGTCATGTGATTACCAATAGAAGGCACAGAACAAATTTCTTCACCTCCAAAAATTCCCCCATACCCCTTTCAGGTAAACCCCCTCCCTCCTTCATTGCCAGGCAACCACTGATCTATTTTCTGTCTTTATAGTTTTTCTTTTTCCAGAGTGCCATATAAATGGAATCATATGGTATGGAGCCTTATGAGTTTGGTTTCACTTAGCATAATGCATTTGAGATTCATCCATGTTATTATGTGTGTCACTACTATTTGTTTTTATTGCTGAACAGTATTGCATTGTACGATGATATAGTTTGAGTGTCCCCTCCAAATCTCATGTTGGAATGTAATCCCCAGTATTGGAGGTGGGGCCTGGTAGGAGGTGACTGGATTGTGGGGGCAGATCCCTCATGAATGGCTTACAACCATTCCCTTGGTGATAAGTGAGTTCTCATGAGATCTGTTTGTTTCATAATGGATAGCACCAGCTAAGTGCATTGGCTCACACCTGTAATACCAGCACTTTGGGAGGCTGAGGCAGAAGGATCTCTTAAGGCCAGGAGTTCAAGACCAGCCTAGGCAAAATGGCGAGACCCTGTCTCTACAAAAAATTTTAAAAATTAGCCCGGTATGGTGGCTTATGCCTGTGGTCCCAGCTACTAAGGATGCTGAAGTGAGAGGATTGCTTGAGCCTAGGGGGTTGACGCTGCAGTGAGCCATGTTCACTCCACTGTACTTCAGCCTGGGTGACAAAGCAAAACCCTGTCTAAAAAAAGTGTGTAGCACTACTGCCACCAGTGCACACATGTGGACCCTGCCATGCCTGTGCCCCACCACTGCTGGCACATGTGCAGACTCCACTGCACTTCCACCACCAGTGCACACACACATGGACCCAGCTGCACTGCTGCCCTGCTACTGCTGGCACATGCACACAAGCATGAACCCTGCTGCCACTGCCCGGACAAAGTGCTTTTGCCAGCATCCCTCATTGCAGCCTTGTTGCCGGTGGACCAGGAACACCTCAGGTCTTCCAGTGCAGCAGATGCCCGACCATGAGAGGCCAGAGTACAAAGCCATGAGCCTGTCCCAGTCCCCCAGGATTAGACCTTATAGCCCAGGCATGCTGAGCTGAGTCTTGTCCCCCTAAAATCACTTAGAAATGATGCCAGTTGACTAAACCCAACTTATAACACAGTCAAACCCTCAAGGGCATCAAAGAATATAAAAGCAAAAAGCCCCATCCAAAGGACAGCAACTTCAAAGATTAAAGGAATAACAGTCCACACAGATGAGAAAGAACCAGCACAAGAACCCTGGCAACCCAAAAAGCCAGAGTTTCTTCTTATCTCCAAATGACTACAATAGCTCCCAAGTGATGGTTCTTAACCAGACTGAAATGGCTGGAATGAGAGACACAGAATTCAGAATCTGGATGGCAATGAAGATAAACAAGATTCCAGAGAAATCTGAAACCCAATCCAAGGAATCTAAGAAATCCAGTAAAATAATACAAGAGCTGAAAGATGAAACAGCCATTTTAAGAAAGAACCAAACTGATCTATAGAGTTAAAAAAAGAACTCACAAGAATTTAATAATACAATTAGAAGTATTAACAGCAGAAAAGGCCAAGCTGAGAAAAGAATCTCAGAGCTGGAAGACTAGTTCTTCAAATCAACTCAGACAGAAATAAAGAAAAAAGAATAAACAAAACTTCCAAGAAATAGGGGATTATGTAAAGAGACCAAACCTACAACTCATTGACATCCCTAAAAGAGGGACAGAGAGCAAGAAACTTGGAAAACCTATTTGAGGATACTGTCCATAAAAATTTCTGCAACCTTGCTGGAGAGGTTGACATTCAAATTCAGGAAATTCAGAGAAGCCCTGTGAAATATTATACAAGAATACCATCCCCAAGACATATAGTCATCAGATTCTCCAAGGTTAATGTAAAAGAAAAAATATTAAAGGCAACTAGAGAGAAAGGGCAGGTTGCTTACAACAGGAATCCCCATCAGGCTAACAGCAGACCTTTCAGCAGAAACTCTACAAGCCAGAAAAGATCGGGGCAGTCTATATTTAGCATCCTTAAAGAAAATTAATTCCAACCAAGAATTTCATATCCAGCCAAACTAAGCTTTGTAAGTGAAGGAGAAATAATATCCTTTTCAGACAAGCAAATGCTAAGGGAATTAATTACCACCAGACCTGCCTTACAAGAGATCCTTAAGTGAGTACTAAAAATGGAAATGAAAGACCATTACCAGCCACCACAAAAACACACTTAAATACATAGACCATTGACACTATAAAGCAACTACACAATCAAGTTTACATAAACAAGCTAACAACACAATGACAATATCAAATCTGCATATATCAACTTTTAATGTAAAAAGGTTAAACACCCCATTTATAAGGCACAGAGTGGCAAGTTGGATAAAAAACAAGACCCACCTGTACATTGTCTTTAAGAGAGGCACATCTCACATGCAATGACATCCATATGCTCAAAGTAGAGGGATGGAGCAAAATCTATCAAGTAAATGGAAAACAAAAAAGAGCAGGGGTTGCTATTCTTATTTTAGACAAAATAGACTTTATTTATTTTTTTGAGATGGAGTCTTTCTCTGTCGCCCAGGCTGGAGTGCAGTGGCACAATCTTGACTCACTGCAACCTCTGCCGCCCAGGTTCAAGCAATTCTCCTACATCAGCCTCCCCAGTAGCTGGGATTATAGGCGCCTGCCACCACACCCAGCTAATTTTTGTATTTTTAGTAGAGACGGGGTTTCACCATCTTGATCAGGTTCGTCTTGAACTCCTGACTTCGTGAACCATCTTGGCCTTCCAAAGTACCGGAATTACAGGCATGAGCCACCACACCCAGTCTGACAAAATAGACTTTAAACCAAAATGACCAAAAGGGACAAAAAAGAGCATTACATAATGATAAAGGGTTCAATTCAACAAGAAGACTTACCTATCCTAACACTGGAGGACCTAGATTCATAAAACAAGTTATTGGAGACCTATGAAGAGACTTAGATAACCACACAATAATAGTGGGAGACTTTAACACCCCACTGACAGTATTAGACAGATCACTGAGGTAGAACACTTACAAAGATATTTGAGATCTAAACTTGACGCTTGACAAAATGGACCTAATAGCTATCTACAGACACTCCACCCAAAAACAACAGAATATACATTTTTGTAATCCACACATAACACATACTCTAAAATAGACCACACACTCAGCCATAAGACAATTCTTAACAAATTTTTAAAACCCAAAATCATACCATCCACACTCTTGGATCACAACGTGATAAAAATAGAAATCAATGCCACCATCTCTCAAAACCATATAATAACATGGAAATTAAACAATCTTCTCTTGAATGATTTTCGGGTAAATGCTGAAATTAAGGTAGAAATCAAGAAATTCTTTGAAACTAACAAAAACAAGGATACAACATACCAGAATCTCTGGCAAACAGCTAAAGCAATGTTAAGAGGAAAGTTTATGGTGCTAAATGCCCACACCAAAATTAGAAAGATCTCAAACTAACAACCTAACATCATACCTAGAGGAATGAGAAAAATGAACAAACCAACCCCAAAGCTAGCAGAAGAAAAGAATTAACCAAAATCACAGCTGAATTGAATGAAATTGTGACACAAAAAAACATACAAAAGATCAACAAAACCAAAAGTTTTTTGAAAGAATAAATAAGATTGATAGACCACTAGCTAGACTAACAAAAAAAAAAAAAAAAAAGAAGAAGGAGAGAGAAGATCCAAATAAACAAAATCAGAAATGACAAAGGGGACAGTACCACCAACCCCACAGAAATATAAAATACCTTCAGAGACTATTATGAACATCTGAATGTACACAAACTAGAAAACCTAGTGGATAAATTCCTGGAACATACAACCTCAAAAAATAGAACCAGGAAGAAATTGAAACCCTGAACAGACCAATAACAAGTTCCAACACTAAATCAGTAATAAAAAAAGTACTAACTGGAAAAAGTCCTGGACCAGAAGGATTCACAGTCAAATTCTACCAGGTGTATAAAAGAGGTGGTACCAGTCCTACTAAAACTATTCAAAAAAATTGGAATTAGGGACTCCTCCCTAATTCATTCTACAAAGCCAGCATCATTTTGATAACTGAAACCTGCCAGAGACACAATCTAAAAGAAAATTTCAGGCCAATATTCCTCATAAACACAGATGCAGAAATACTCAACAAAATACTGGCAAACTGAATCCAGCAGCACATCAAAAACTAATCCACCATGATCAAGTAGGCTTTATTCCTGGGATGCAAAATTGGTTCAACATATGCTGGACTAAAACAGAACTAAACAAACTAAAAACAAAAACCACATCATCTCAATAGATACAGAAAAGGCTTTTGATAAAATTCAACATCTCTTCATGTTAAAAACCCTCAACAAACTGGGCATTAAAGGAACATACCTCAAAATAATAAGAGCCATCTATGACAAACCCTCAGCCAATATCATACTGAACAGGCAAAAGCTGGAAATGCCCTTGAGAACTGGAACAAGACAAGGATGCCCACTATCACCACTCTTATTCAACATAGTACTGGAAGTCCTAACCAGAGCAACCAGGCAAGAGAGAGAAATAAAAGGCATCCAAATAGGAAGAGAGGAAGTCAAACTATCTCTGTTTGTAGACACTACGATTCTATACCTAGAAAACCCTATAGTCTCTGGCCAAAGGCTCCCAGATTTGATAAACAACTTCAGCAAAACTTCAGGATAAAAAAAAAGTCAATGTACAAAAATCAGCAGCATTTCTATACACCAATGAAGTCTAAGCTGACAGTCAAATCAAGAATGCAATCCCATTCTCAATAGCCAAAAAAAGAATAAAATATCTAAGGATACATCTAACCAGGGATGTGAAAGCTCTCTACAAAAAGAATTATAAAACACTTCTGAAAGAAATCATAGATGATAAAAACAAATGGAGAAACATTCCATGCTCATGGATAGGAAGAATCATTATTGTTAAAATGGCCATACTGTCCAAAGCAACTTACAGATTCAACACTATTCCAGTCAAATTACCGACAACATTTTACACAGAATTTTAAAAACTATTCTAAAATTCACGTGGAACCAAAAGAGAGCCCAAATAGCCAAAGGAATCCTAAGCATAAAGAACAAAGCTGGAGGCATCATACTACCTGACTTCAAACTGTACTGGAAGGCTACAGTAACTAAAACAGCACAGTACTGGTACAAAAACAGACACACAGACCAATGGAACAGGTTAGAGAACCCAGAAACAAAGCTGCTGGCAAGGACATCATGACAAAGACTCCAAAAGCAATTGCAACAAAAACAAAAATTGACAAGTGGAACCTAATAAAACTAAAGAGCTTCTGCACAGTAAAAGAAACTATCAACAGAGTAAACAGATAACCTACAGAATATTTATGAACTATGCATTCAGTAAAGGTCTAATATCTAGGATCTATAAGGAACTTAAATTAGCAAGCAAAAACCAGACAACCCCATTTTAAAATGAGCGAAGGACATGAACAGACACTTCTCAAAAGACATACATATGGCCAAGAAACATATGAAAAAATGCTCAACATCACTAATCATCAGAGAAATGCAAATCAAAACCACAATGAGATACTATCCCACACCAGTCAGAATGGCTATTCTTAAAAAGTAAAAAAATAACAGATTCTAGCAAGGCTATGGAGAAAGCAAATGCTTATACACTGCTGTTGGGAATGGAAATTAGTTCAGTCCCCGTGGAAACCAGTACGGAGATTTCTCAGATAACTTAAAACAGAGCTATTGTTTGACCCAGCAATCCCATTACTGGATATACACCTAAAGAAATATAAATAATTCTACCATAAAGACACATGCATGCATATGTTTATTGCAGCACTATTCACAATAGCAAAGACATGGAATCAACCTAGATGCTCATCAATGATGGACTGGATAAAGAAAATGTGGTACATATACACCATGGAATACTACGCAGTCATGAAAAAGAATGAAATCATCTCCTTTGTAGCAACTTGGCTGGAGCTAGAGGCCATTACCCTAAGTAAATTAATACAGGAACAGAAAACCGAATATTACATGTTGTTATCTCTCATAAGTGGGAGCCCAACATTGAGTACACATGGACATGAAGAAGGGAATAACAGACACTGGGGCCTACTTGAGGGTGGAGAAGTGGATTGAAAAACTAACTATTGGGTACTATGCTCATTACATGGGTGGTGAAATAATCTGTACACCAAAACCCTGCCACACACAGTTTACCCATGTAACAAACCAGCACGTGTACCCCCGAACCTAAAATAAAAGTTAGGGAAAAGATATAAATAAAAGTGTTTGGCACCTCCCCACTTGCTATCTTGCTCCTTCTCATCATGCAATGCTCCTGTTCCCCTTTCCCCTTACCTCATGATTGTAAGTTCCCTGAAGCCCTCACCACAAGCAATGCCAGCACGATGGTTCCTGTGCAGCCTGCAGAACTGTGAGCCAATTAAATCTCTTTTCTTTATAAATTACCCAGCCTCAAGTATTTCTTTATAACAAAGCAAGAATGGCCAAATACATATGAATGTACCACTGTTTGTTAATCCATCTACTATTTGAAGGATATTTGTTTCCAATTTGGTCAATTATGAGTAAAACCACTATAAACATTTGTGTGAATCTAGGTTTTCATTTCACTTCTGTAAATACCCAAGAGTGAGACTACCTTGTCAAATGATAAGTGTATCTGCTGTTTTATATTAAAAAAAAAATAAGTAGAACATTTTTGTGGTTTTTTTGTTGTTGTTGTTACTTGTTTGTTTTTGAGACAGGGTCTCACTCTGTTGCTCAGGCTTGAGTGCAGTGGCATAGTCATGGCTCACTGCAGCCTTAACCTCCTGGGCTCAAGCAATCCTCCCACCTTAGCCTCTCAAGTAGGTGGGACTACAGGCATGTGCCACGACATCCGGCTAATTTTTGTATTTTTTTTTTACAGAGACAGGGTTTCGCCATGTTGCCCAGGGTGGGCTCAAACTCCTGGGCTCAAGCAATCTGCCTGTCTCGGCCTCCCAAAGTGTTGGGATTACAGGCATGAGCCACCATGCCCGGCCTAGAACATATTTAATGTAAGAAAATGAGAAAACAGAAATGAGAAAAAAATAAGAATCATTTATTACACTTCCTAGAAATAATAGCTGTTAATTTTTTTTACATAGTTTTCTAGATTTTTCTAGCCATATATGCAAATTATTTTATATAACAGGCTTATATAGCTAAACTGTGAAATAGCCTTTTACATTAAATTATATAACATAAGCATTTTTCCTTGTCAACATATGTATTTTGCTCCTGTATTCCACTTTGTAGATATGCCAAAATTTCTGTGGTAAATATTTTTATAGCTAAATTTTTGTGTTCATCTTTTATTTCCTTGGGATAAATTCTAGGAAGCAGAATTGCAGAGTCAAATGCAAATGCAGCTTTTTTAGGCTATTGATACACGTTGCCAAATTGCCCATCTATTTACACTTTCTGCCATGAATAAGAGTACCCTTGTTCCTCTAACTCGTCTGCACTGTTATCATCGAACACACACACACATATGCATGCACTCACATAAACATTGCCAATTTGAAGGATGAAAAGTTATCTGTAAGCAACAGTGTATAAAGTGAAAGTTCTTCCTTCCTAATTTGATTCCAGAAGTTAACTACTGTTAACCTCTCGTGGTTTTAATTGTTGATTGTTTCAATTGTTTTGGGTTTAGTTTTTTGCTTGCTTGCTTGCTTGCTTTAAGATGGCCAAGATCGATGAGTTGCTTCTTGTTTTTACCTTTAGTGTCATGCTTTATCAAATCCTTTCTTGCGTCAATGTTATATATTCATCTAGATTTTTTTCTGGTTTAGTTTTTTGTTGTTGTTGTTGTTGTCGTTGTTGTCGTTGTTGTTGTTGTTGTTGTTGTTGTTTTGAGACAGAGGCTCGCTCTGTCGCCCAGGCTGGAGTGCAGTGGCACGATCTCGGCTCACTGCAAGCCCCGCCTCCCGGGTTCATGCCATTCTCCTGCCTCAGCCTCCCGAGTAGCTGGAACTACAGGTGTCCGCCATCACGCCCGGCTAATTTTTTTGTTGTTGTTTTTTGTATTTTTAGTAGAGACAGGGTTTCACCATGTTAGCCAGGATGGTCTCGATCTCCTGACCTCGTGATCTGCCTGCCTTGGCCTCCCAAAGTGCTGGGATTACAGGCGTGAGCCACTGCACCCAGCCCTGGTTTAGTTTTTTAATTCACATGCTAAGTTAATATCCAAATGTTTCATTCCAGTAAGTTTCAAAAAAATTATAAAAGTAGAGGGAATATTTTATCGATCTCCCATGTACCCATCACCTAGCTTCCCGTTATCAACTGATACCTGATCTTGTTTCACCTATACCCTCACCATTCTCCCTCCAATTATTTTGAAGCAAAACTCAGACATATCTCTTTGTGTATCTCTAAAAGATGGGAACTCTTTACTAAATAGATTTGTACATTTAAATATTTAATCCATTTGGAGTTTATTTTGGTGTTTAGTGTTATTTCAGGGATCTAGTTTTATTTCTCTTTTCAAACAGCTAGTTGCCCCAATACCACATATTGAATAATTCATTCTTTTGTCCATTGGTACAAAATGCTGCCTTAATAACATATTAAATTCTCATGTACTTGAATCAGTTTCTGGATTTTCTGTCCCATTGGTCTTTTTCTCCTTCCCTAGATCATGATATTTGTGTTATTTGATATTTTATGTCACATGAAACTGGAATTAAAGTTTTTTATTAATCTAACATGAGAAGAAAACTAGTGGGAGATTAAGAATATGTACTTAGTTAATTAAAGATATTTATAATAAGAATGTTTACTTTCTTTCAGCGATCCTTTAATGTGGACAGCTGTGATTGGAACTAATAATATACATGGACGCTATCCTCATACCAAGAAGATAAAAATTAAAGCAATCATTATTCATCCAAACTTCATTTTGGAATCTTATGTAAATGATATTGCACTTTTTCACTTAAAAAAAGCAGTGAGGTATAATGACTATATTCAGCCTATTTGCCTACCTTTTGATGTTTTCCAAATCCTGGACGGAAACACAAAGTGTTTTATAAGTGGCTGGGGAAGAACAAAAGAAGAAGGTAATTATGGTCTGAATTTTACTGATACACATTTTCCTGATTATGGGCAGAGGAAGGTCAAACCTTTTATATACATTCATGTGCCACATAATGACATTTAAGTTAATGACAGACCACACACACGATGGTGGTCTATAAGATTATTTTTCCGTATTTTTATGGTACCTTTTTTTTTTTTTCCAGACAGAGTCTTGCTCTGTTGCCCAGGATGGAGTGCAGTGGCACGATCTCGGCTCACTGCAGCCTCCACCTCCCAAGTTCAAGTGATTCTCCTGCCTCAGCCTCCCAAGTAGCTGGGATTACAGACATGCGCCACCATGCCCTGCTAATTTTTGTATTTTTAGTAGAGACGGGGTTTCTCCATGTTGGTCAGGCTGGTCTTGAACTCCCAACCTCAGGTGATCTGCCCACATCGGCCTCCCAAAGTGCTGGGATTACAGGCATGAGCCACCGCACCTGGCATTCAGCTAATTTTTGTATTTGTAGTAAAGACAGGGTTTCACCATGTTGACCAGGCTGGTCTCGAACTCCTGGCCTCCTGTGATCCACCCGCCTCAGCCTCCCAAAGTGTTGAGATTACAGGCATGAGCCACTAAGCCTGGCCTACTGTACCTTTTCTGTGTTTAGATATACAAATGCTTTCTACTGTATCACAGCTGTCTACAATACTTAGTACAGCGGAACAGGTGTGTAGCCTAGAAGTAACAGGCTATACCATCTACCCTAGGTGTGCAGCAGACTATACCATCTAGGTTTATGTAAGTGCACTCTTATCATGGTTGCACAACAAAATTGCCTAACGATGTATTTCTCAGAATGTTCTCCATCATTAAGTGATGCCTGACTGTGTTTCACTCTGTGTATTTTTTTATCACTTTATGCCATGAGATTGAAAAGTATTATAGGTTCTTATAAAACACTGAAAACAACTTTTTGAGGGGTCTATTTTTCCTTGTGGGATAGGAGAGAAAATTCTTTTCCAAAGCAGAAATAGAGACTTTCTCTGATTGTACATGCCAAGATACTTGAACGTTAAGATAGAATGATAGTTCCAAGTGTTTCTGTAGTTTGAACTCACAGATGGTGAAGCCAGCTCTGCAGCAGAGTTCTCTATTTTAAGTAATAAGCTTCTGGCTATGAAGAATCATATTTAGTTTCCTTTTAATTTAATGCCTTGTTTAGTATCAGGCAAGATGATTGCGATATATTTTTTTAGTGTACTTAGGGGCAGTAAATGTTAACTGACCCAACTAATGGGAGGAATAAAAACATAGACGACACAGTCTCTTTGGTAATAAGAGCTACCACCATTTGGGAGCATTTACCATGTTTCAGGCCCTGTTTCTGTTCTTGTTGTTATTTAAAACACTTTTTTTTTAGAGATGGGGGTCTCACTCTGTCTCTCAGGCTGGAGTGCAGTGGTATAATTATAGCTCACTGCAGCCTCAAACTCCTGGGCTCAAGCAATTCTCCTGCTTCAGCCTCTCCAATAGCTGGGACTACAGGCATGTGCCACCACGCCCAGCTTTTTAAAACGTATTATGTATGTATAGATGTATGTTTTGGTTTTTTAAGAGACATGGTCTTGCTGTGTCACTCAAGCTGGAGTGCAGGGACACGATCATGGCTCACTGTAACCTTTACCTCCTGGTCTCAAGTAATCCTCCTGCCTCAGCCTCCCAAGTAGCTAGGACTACAGGCATGTGCCACCATGCCCAGCTAATTTTTTCATTTTTTTGTAGAGACAGGGTCTTGCCATGTTTCCTAGACTGGTCTTGAACTCCTAGTCTTAAGAAATCCTCCTGCTTCAGCCTCCCAAAGTGCTGAGATTACAGGTATGAGCCATTGTGCCCAGCTTTTGTTTGTTTGTTTTTAAGAGATGGTCTTGCTGTGTTGCTCAGGCTGGTCTCAAACTCCTGGCCTCAAGCAATCTAGCCGCTTCGGTCTCCTGAGTAGCTGGGTTTATAGGCATGAGCACCATGCCTGTCCTGGGTCCTGTTTTAAATATACTGCTTTATCTTATGCCCCCAATATTCCTAAAAGGGAGTTAATGTTATTTTTACCCCATTTAACAGACCAGTAATTGAGAATCTTAGAGGTTAAGAAGTTGGAACTCAAATCCAAGTCCCAAGTCTTTTATTCTAAAGCCTGAATATTTAATAACTATATTAAACTGCTCTTGAGGGAATCATTGTCCTGTTAGGAATATATGAGGTTAAGTACTAAGACTTCTTTTTTCTTCCTATTCCCCACAGGCCCTAGCCATTTAAATATTTGTGGATTATTTAGCTAGGATGTAGATAAATGTACGAAAGACCTGTGAATTATTATTTTTCTTTTTTTTTTTTCCATCTGTGAATACTTTTTAAAGAAGATAAGGAAAGCAACATGGTGTAGGGAAAGGAACATGGGCTTTAGATTCACGGACTTAATTCTGAATCCCAGCCTGCTGCTCTGTGCTAGCTGAATGACCATGGGCATGTTATTGACTCTTTAATAATAATTAGAACAATAATAGAAGCAACTACCGTTTGTTTAGGGCCCAGTACTTAATAAAATGCTAAGCATTGCAATGCATTATCTCATTTAATACCCCCAGCAACACTACAGAAAATACTATAAAATGAATGAGTAAAATAAAGCTTAAAGAGGTTAAATAAGTTGCTTAAACTAATAAAATAACTAAACGATGAAGTCAGAATTCAAGCCCAGTTCTGCCTGTTGCAAATCTCATGTATTTCCACTGTATTATTAATATATCTTTTTTTTTTTTTTGAGAGGGAGTCTTGCTCTGTCTCCAGGCTGGAGTGCAGTGGCGCAATCTCGGCTCATTGCAACCTTTGCCTCTTGGGTTCAAGTGATTCCTCTGCCTCAGCCTCCCCAGTAGCTGGGACTACGGGCACGTGCCACCACACTCGGCTAATTTTTTGTATTTTAGTAGAGACGGGGTTTCACCATGTTGGCCAGGATGGTCTTGATCTCCTGACCTCGTGATCCACCTGCCTCGGCCTCCCAAAGTGCTGGGATTACAGGCGTGAGCCAGGTGCACCCGGCCTAATATATCATCTTTCACAATGTCATACAGTTTCATGATCTTTAAAGTGAGAGCAATGATACCCATCAGAGAGTTGTTTTGAGAATTAAATTAGTTCTCCAGCAACATGGTAGTTTACATGTACATACCAAGCTCCCCACTGAAAACTATTAAAGAGGGAGAATACATAGGTTAAGGACTCGGTGTGACGATAGAAACTTAGACAGGGAACTGGAACACGGAAGTTGACTTTGATCTTGAGGGTATTCGCCAAAATGTTAACTTTTAATATTGACTTCAGTGGTTTCATAGGCCTTGGAAGGAAATGGTTAAAGAATAAAACTTGTCCAAGTTGGGAAGTAGGGAAGACACTCCCATAAAGCTGGAGTCTGTCCCATGGCTATACTTTAAAAATGAGTCACACTCATGACCCAGCATATAATTTTTTTTTTTTTAAAGACAGAGTCTTGCTCTGTCACCCAGGCTGGAAGGTGGTGATGCGATCTCAGCTCACTGCATCTTCCGCCTCCTGGATTCAAACAATTCTTGTGCCTCAGCGTCTCCAGTAGCTGGGATTACAGAGGTGTACCACCACGCCCAGTTAATTTTTGTATTTTTAGTAGAGATGGAATTTCGCCATGTTGGCCAGGCTGGTCTCAAAACTCCTGGCCTCAAGTCATCTGCCCACCTTGGCCTCCCAAAGTGCTAGGACTACAGGCGTGAGCCCCTGCACCCGCCTTGTTCTTATATATATAGTATACTTCAAATGTGATCTAGGTAGGTTAAAAAAAAAAGGAGGGAAAAATACACATGGCTACATTAATCAAAAGAAAGCTGGATTACACGTGTAATCCTAGCACTTTGAGGGGCTGAGGTGGGAGGACTGCTTGAGGCCAGGAGTTCGAGACCAGCCTGAGCAACATAGGGAGACCTCGTCGCTAAAAAAATTAGCCAGGTATGGTAGTGCATGTCTATAGTCCCAGCTATGTGGGAGGATCACTTGAGCCCAGGAGTTCGAGGTTATGGTGAGCTATGATAGCACCACTGCACTCCAGCCTGGGTAACAGAGAAAGACCCTGTATCCAGACAAAAAAAGGAAGCTGGAATGGAAAAAAGAGAAAGTAGGAATGGCTATATAAATATCAGATAAAGTAGACTTACAGCAGAGAAGATTACAAGGATGGTGAGAGACATTACATAATAATAAAAGGCCCTCAGTCCACCAAGAAGACATAGCAATGCTAAACGTGTGTACACCAAAAAACAGACATATGGTTTCTTAAAAACATACATGTGAACATACACTTACCATATGACCCAGCAATTGTACCCCTAGATATTTATCCCAGAGAAATACAAATGTCCACACACAAAAAAACTATTTACAGATGTTCATGAAAGCTTTATTTTAAAAGCCAAAAACTAAAAACAACCAAAATGTCCTTCAATAGGAGAATGCTTAAATAAACTAGTATAGCCTTACCATAGAATATAACTAAGCAGTTAAAAGGTATGAACGATTGATAGATGCAACAAGTTAGATGGACAAGGGCATTATGTTGAGTGAAAAGAAGCCAATTTTAAAATGTCATATATGATTCCAAGTATATAACAATGAAATGACAAAATTATGCAGACAGAGAATAGATTAGTAGTTGCTAGGGTTAAGAAGGTTAGGTAGCATGAAGGAGATTTTTGTCCTGATGGAATAACTCTATGCCCTGTTTTTTTGTGGTGGTTTCATGAATCTACACACACATTGTATTAATGTCAGTCTCCAGATTTTGATACTGTATTTCAGTGACAGAGATGTAACCATTGTAGGAAACTGCATAAAATGTACACTTGACTTTTTAGTGCTATCTTTGCAACTACCAATAACTCCATAATTATTTTAAAATAAAAAGCTTTTTAAATGAACCACATATAACCAACAAATCCTCACCTCCTATCGCCATCCCCATGTTTACTGGGAAAACTGCCTAATGGAAGGGGGAAAAGCTAGAAATTCCCTCTCCCCAAAATATGTAACTATAAATACCACTCACACGGATTTGCTATCCAAAGTAACACTGAGTAGACTACAAAGCTTCAAGCTGAGAATTTAGTTTAAAACAGGTTCTAGCTTAGTAACATCCCAAGATTTGATCCTGACAACATCAAATGCAAATTATTTATATAGAAACCCAACTTCATCTAAGGCTTCAAAGAATATAACCAGATAAAGTTGCAGTGAAATCGAATGGATTACAATAAAAAGATCACAAATAATTAATATATTTAACATACATATCTAATATAATTAAATATAATAACTGAAATTAATTCAATGGGCTAAAGTTTAGAAGCACTTAAGATCCCACAGATTAAAATCAACCAAATATCAGTTCAAAGATCACCAAACACATAAGGAAACAAACCATTAATAGTGAAAGCCAACAGAAACAACAAACATATTAAGCCTCCCAAGGACTTCAGATATTAATATTTTTAGGTATAGAATAAAAAAATATGTAAATTGTTTAAAGAACTAAAAGGTAGAATTAAAAATGAGCAATAGACTATTGTTTTGTTTTGTTTTGTTTTTTTGAGACGGAGTCTTGCTCTGTCACCCAGCTGGAGTGCAGTGGCGAGATCTTGGCTCACTGCAAGCTCCACCTCCAGGGTTCACGCCATTCTCCTGCCTCAGCCTCCTGAGTAGCTGGGACTACAGGCGCCCACCACCACACCCAGCTAATTTTTTGTGTGTTTTTAGTAGAGACAGGGTTTCACCGTGTTAGCCAGGATGGTCTCGATCTCCTGACCTCGTGATCCACCCACCTCGGCCTCCTAAAGTGCTGGGATTACAGGTATGAGCCACAGGGCCCGGCCAAAAATCAGCAATAGACTATTTAGAAGGACTAGGCACTAGAATCTTTAAAAATGAAAAACGTAATTGCTAGTATTTAAAACTCATTGGATAGGCTGGGTGCGGTGGCCCATGCCTGTAATCCTAGCACTTTGGGAAGCCAAGGCAGGTGGATCACCTGAGACCAGGAGTTTGAGACCAGCCTAGCCAACATGGTGAAACCCCCAATCCACTAAAAATACAAAAAATTAGCCAGGCATGGTGGTGGGTGCCTGTAATCCCAGCTACTTGGGAGGCTGAGGCAGGAGAATCACTTGAACCAGGAGGCAGAGGTTGCAGTGAGCCAAGATCATATCTTTGCACTCCAGCCTGGGCAACGAGAGCAAGACTCTGTCTCAAAAAACAAAAACAAAACTCATTGGATAAACTAGATATCATATTAGACACAGCTGAAGAGAGGATTTGTGAACCAGAAGATATATCTGAAGGAACTTCCTAGACTGTAGCACCGAAGGGAAAAAAGAGAAAACATGAAATAAGGTATAAGAAGGATAGAATGAGAAAATCTAATATACATCTAATGTGAGTGCCAGAGAGGAAGGAATAAAGAGGATAGAGGAGAGGCAATATTCAATGGATTTGGGTTGAAATTTCTTAAAAATTGATGAAAGACATGAATCCAGATAAAATATTAATAGGCACAATATTAGCCAAAACAAAACGTAATCCCCTTTCATACATTATACTGAAGTTGAACAACAAAGAAAAAAAAAAAACAGAAGATCTGAAATGTAGCCAGAGATAAAAGAAAAATCTTTATAATAGAATTACAGATTAGTTTTCAGACTTCTCAGTAGGAATAATGAAAGCCAAAAGACACCCTCTCCTGTTGCCGTGTGAAGATGTGCTTGCCTCCCCTTTGCCTTCTGCCATGATTGTAGGTTTCTTGAGGCCTACCCTCAAGAAACATAGCTTGAGTACAGACTGCAGAACTGATTACTCAGATTATCATGGCAGATGGGAGGCAGAACTAGATTGCAGCTCCAACATGGAGCTTCTGTACAGACTGCAGAGCTGATTATTCAGATTATCATGGCAGATGGGAGCCAGAACTAGATTGCAGCTCTAATGTGGATGGACAGAGCAGCGTGTGGAGGCTGGCATCATGAATTTTAGCTCCAGAATGACTGCAGAAATAAATCGAGAATCCCAAGACAACCCACAGACCCTCTGAAGGAAGCAGACTGCTCCTGCAGGACTTGGGAGACACCCCAAATACTCTGGGAGGTGGGTAGCCTGGGGCAAGTTCTCAGCCCTGCTTGCCCACTGTCTGGAAAGAGACTTGGTGCTGTTGAGGGGCATGGTGGGAGTGAGACTGGCCCTTTGGATTGTGTGGGAGCTGGATGAGGCCTGTGATTGCCAGCTTTTCCCCACTTCCCTGACAACCTGCATGACTCAGCAGAGGCAGCCATAATCACTTGGTATACAACTCCATTGACCTGGGCACCTCACCCCCATCCCTCACAGCAGCCTCAGCAAGACCCACCCAAGGAGAGTCTGAGCTCAGACATGCCTAGCCCCACCCCCACCTGATGGTCCTTCCCTACCCACCCTGGTTGCTGAAGACAAAGGGCATATACCCTTGAGAGTTCTAGGGCCCTGTCCACCACTGGTTTCTCTCCATAATACCACAGCTGATGCTCTCTGGAAAGCACCACCTCCCAGCAGGAGGCCAACAAGCACAAAAATAGGACATTAAACCACCAAAGCTAAGAACCTTCACAGAGTCCATTTCAACCCCCTGCCATCTCCACTGGAACAGGTGCTGGTATTCACGGCCGAGAGACCCATAGATAGTTCACATCACGGGACTCTGTGCAGACAGCCCCCAGTACCAGCCCAGAGCCTGGTAGACTTGCTGGGTGGCTAGACCCAGAAGAAAGATAACAATCGCTGCAGCTCGGTTCTCAGGAAGCCACATCCATAAGAAAGGTGGGGAGAGTACTACATCAAAGGAACACTCAATGGATAAAAGAATGTAAACAACAGCCTTCAGCCCTAGACTTTCCTTCTGACAGAGCCTACCCAAATGAGATGGAACCAGGAAACCAACTCTGGTAATACGACAAAACAAGGCTCTTTAACACTCCCCAAAAAATCACACTAGCTCACCAGCATTGGGGCCAAACCAAGAAGAAATCCCTGATTTAACTGAAAAAGAATTCAGGAGGTTAGTTATTAAGCTAATCATGGAGGCTCCAGAGAAAGGCGAAGCCCAATGCAAGGAAATCCAAAAACTGGTACAAGAAGTGGAGGGAGAAATATTCAAGGAAATAGATAGCATCAAGAAAAAACAAAACTTCAGGAAACATTGGACACACTTACAGAAATGCAAAATGCTCTGGAAAGTCTCTGCAATAGAATTGAGCAAATAGAAGAAAGAAATTCAGAGCTCAAAGTCTTTGAATTAACCCAATCCAACAAAGACAAAGAAAAAAGAATAAGAAAATATGAACAAAGCCTCCAAGAAGTCTGGGATTATGTTAAACAACCAAACCTAAGAATAATTGGTGTTCCTGAGGAAGAAGAGAAACCTAAAGTTTGGAAAATATATTTGGGGGAATAATCGAGGAAAACTTCCCCAGCCTTGCTAGAGACCTAGACATCCAAATACAAGAAGCACAAAGAACACTTGAGAAATTCTTTGCAAAAAGATCATCATCTAGGCACACTGTCATCAGGTTATCTAAAGTTAAGGTGAAGGAAAGAATCTTAAGAGCCGTGAGACAAAAGCACTAGGTAACCTATAAAGGAAAACCTATCAGATTAACAGCAAATTTTTCAGCAGGAACCCTACAAGCTAGAGGGGATTGGGGCCCTATCTTCAGCCTCCTCAAACAAAACAATTATCGCCAAGAATTTTGTATCCCGTGAAACTAACCATCACGTGTAAAGGAGAGATAGAGTCTTTTTCAGACAAACAAATGCTAAGACAATTTGCCACTAACAAGCCACCACTACAAGAACTGCTAGAAGGAGCTCTAAATCTTGAAACAAATCCTGGAAACACATCAAGATGGAACCTCTTTAAAGCATAAATCTCACAGGACCTATAAAACAAAAATACAGTTTAAAAAGCATAAACAAAAAATCGAAAACCAAGGTACAAGGCAACAAATAGCACGATGAATGCAATGGTACCTCACATCTCAATACTAACATTGAATATAAATGACCTAAATGCTCCACTTAAAAGATACAGAACTGCAGACTGGATGAGAACTCACCAACCAACTATCTGCTGCCTTCAAGAGACTCACCTAACACATAAGGACTTGCATAAACTTAAAGTAAAGGAGTGGAAAAAGGCATTTCATGCAAATGGACACCAAAAGAGAGCAGGGATAGCTATTTTCATGTCAGACAAAACAAACTTTAATGCAATAGCAGTTAAAAAAGACAAAGAGGGACATTATATAATGGTAAAAGGCCTTGTCCAACAGGAAAATAACACAATCCTAAACATATATGCACCTAACACTGGAGTTCCCACATTTATAAAACAATTACTAATAGACCTAAGGAATGAGATAAACAGCAACACAATAATAGTGGTGGACCTCAATACTCTACTGACAGCACTAGATAGGTCATCAAGACAGAAAGTCAACAAAGAAACAATGGATTTAAACTATACCTTGGAACAAATAGACTTAACAGATATATACAGAACATTGCATCTAACAACTGCAGAATACACTTTCTATTCAACACTGCATGGAACTTTCTCCAAGATAGACCATCTGATAGGCCACATAATGACCTCAATAAATTTAAGAAAATTAAAATTATATCAAGAACTCTCTTGGACCACAGTGGAATAAAATTGGAAATCAACTCCAAAAGGAACTTTCAAAACCATGCAAATATATGGAAATTAAATAACTTGCTCCTGAATAATCATTGGGTCAAAAACAACATCAAGATGGAAATTAAAAAGTTCTTCAAACTGAATGACAATAATGAGGCAACCTATCAAAACCTCTGAAATACAGCAAAGGTGGTGCTAAGAGGAAAGTTCATAACCCTAAATGCCTACATCAAAAAGATTGAAAGGACACAAACTGACATTCTAAGGTTATACTTCAAGGAACTAGAGAAACAAGAAAAAAAAACAAACCCAAACCCAGCAGAAGAAAGGAAACAACGAAGATCAGAGCAGAACTAAATGAAATTGAAACAAAAAAAAAATACAAAAGATAAGTGAAACAAAAAGCTGGTTCTTTGAAAAGATAAATAAAATTGATAGGCCATTAGCAGGATTAACCAAGAAACGAAGAAAGAAAATCCAAATAACCTCAATAAGAAACGTAACAGGAGATATTACAACTGACACTACAGAAATACAAAAGATCATTCAGTGCTACTATGAACACCTTTATGCACATAAACTAGAAAATCTAGAAGGAGTGGATAAATTCCTGGAAAAATACAACCCTCCTAGCTTAAATCAGGAAGAAATAGATACCCTGAACAGACCAATAAAAAGTAGCGAGATTGAAATGGTAATTTAAAAATTACCAACCATAAAAATCCAGGATCAGATGGATTCATGGCAGAATTCTACCAGACATTCAAAGAAAAATTGCTACCAATCCTTTTGACAATATTCCACAAGATAGAGAAAGACAGATTCCTCCCTAATTCTTTCTATGAAGCCATCATCACCCTAATACCAAAACCAGGAAAGGACATAACCAAAAAAGAAAACTACAGACCACTATTCCTGATGAACATAGGTGCTAAAACCCATAACAAAATACTAGTTAACAAAATCCAACAACATATCAAAAAGATAATCCACCAGCTGGGCACAGTGGCTCACACCTGTAATCCCAGCACTTTGGAAGGCCAAGGTGGGCAGATCACCTGAGGTCAGGAGTTTGAGACCAGCCTGGCCAACTTGGTGAAACCCTGTCCCTACTAAAATTAGAAAAATTAGCTGGGCATGGTTGCAGGCGCCTGTAATCCCAGCTGCTTAGGAGGCTGAGGCAGGAGAACTGCTTGAACCCAGGAGGCGGAGGTTGCAGTGAGCTGAGATCGTGCCACTGCACTCCAGCCTGGGCGACAGAGGGAGACTCCCAGCTACTCAGGGGGCTAAGGCAGGAGAATTGCTTGAACCCGGGAGGCAGATGTTGCAGTGAGCCAAGATTGTGCCACTGCACTCCAGCCTGGGCAACAGAGGGAGATTCCATCTCAAAACAACAACAACAACAAAAAACAAAACAAAACAAAACAAAAACCATGATAATCCACCATGATCAAGTGGGTTTCATATCAGGGATCCAGGGATGGTTTAACATACACAAGTCAATAAATGTGAAACACTACATACACAGAATTAAAAAAAAAAATCACATGATCATCTCAATAGATGCAGAAGAGGCATTCGGCAAAATCCAGCATCGTTTTATGATTAAAACTCTCAGCAAAATCAACATACAAGGGATATACCTCAATGTAATAAAAGCCATCTATGACAAACCCACAGCCAACATAATACTGAATGGGGAAAAGTTGAAAGCATTCCCTCTGAGAACTGGAACAAGACAAGGATGCCCACTGTCACCTCTCCTCTTCAACATAGTACTGGAAGTCCTAGCCAGAGGAATCAGACAAGAGAAAAAAATAAAGGGCATCCAAATCAGTAAAGAGGAAGTCAAAGTGTCACTGTTTGCTGACAATATGATTATTTTCCTTGAAAACCCTAAAGACTCCTCCAGAAAGCTCCTAGAACTGATAAAAGAATTCAGCAAAGTTTCCAGATACAAGATTAATGTACACAAATCAGTAGCTCTCCTATATACTAACAGCAGAGAATCAAATCAAGAACTCAACCCTTTTCATGATAGTTGCAAAAAAAAAAAAAAATACTTAGGAATATACCTAACAAAGGAGGCAAAAGACCTCTACAGGGAAAACTACAAAACACTGCTGAAAGAAATCATAGATGACACAAACAAATGGAAACACATCCCATGCTCATGGATGGGTAGAGTCAATATTGTGAAAATGACCATACTGTCAAAAGCAATCTATAAATTCGATGCAATCCCCATCAAAATACCACCATCATTCTTCAAAGAATTATAAAAAAGAATTCTAAAATTCATATGGAACCAAAAAAGAGCCCACAAAGCCAAAGCAAGATTAAGCAAAAAGAACAAATCTAGAGGCATCAAACAACCTGATTTCAAACTATACTATAAGCCCATTGTCACCCAAACAGCATGGTACTGGTATAAAAATAGGCACATAGACCAATGGAACAGAATAGAGAACCCAGAAATAAACCCAAATACTTGCAGCCAACTGATCTTCAACAAAGCAAACAAAAACGTAAAATGGGGAAAGGACACCCCTTTCAACAAATGGGGCTGGGATAATTGGCAAGCCACATGTAGGAGAATGAAACTGGATTCTTGTCGCTCACTTTGTACAAAAATCAACTCAAGATGGATTAGGGACTTAAATCTAAGACCTGAAAGTATAAAAATTCTAGAAGATAACTGGAAAAACCCTTCTAGATATTGGCTTAGGCAAGGATTTCATGACCAAGAAGCCAAAAGCAAACGCAATACAAACAAAGATAAATAGCTGGGACTTAATTAAAGAGATTTTGCATGGCAAAAGGAACAGTCAGCAGAGTAAACAGACAACCCACAGAGTGAGAGAAAATCTTCACAATCTATACATTTGACAAAGGACTAATATCCAGAATCTGCAACAAACTTAGACAAATCAGCAAGCAAAAAAAATCCCATCAAAAAATAGGTTAAAGACATGAATAGGCAATTCTCAAAAGAAAATATGTAAATGGCCAACAAACATATGAAAAAATGCTCAACATCACTAATGATCAGGGAAATGCAAATCAAAACCACAATGCAATACCACCTTACTCCTTCAAGAGTGGTCATAATCAAAAAATTAAAAAAAAAAACAGTAGATGTTGGCATGGATGTAGTGATCAGGGAATGCTTCTACACTGCTGGTGGGAATGTAAACTAGTACAGCCACTATGGAAAACAGTGTGGAGATTCCTTAAAGAACTGAAAGTAGAACTGCCATTTGATCCAGCAATCCCACTACTGGGTATCTACCCAGAAGAAAAGAAGTCATTATTCAAAAAAGAAACTTGCACACGCGTGTTTATAGCAGCACAATTCGCAATTGCAGAATCGTGGAACCAACCCAAATGCCCATCAATCAACTAGTGGTTAAAGAAACTGTGAAGGCCGGGCGCGGTGGCTCACGCCTGTAATCCCAGCACTTTGGGAGGCCGAGGCGGGTGGATCATGAGGTCAGGAGATCGAGACCATCCTGGCTAACAAGGTGAAACCCCGTCTCTACTAAAAATACAAAAAATTAGCCGGGCGCGGTGGCGGGCGCCTGTAGTCCCAGCTACTCGGGAGGCTGAGGCAGGAGAATGGCGTGAACCCGGGAAGCGGAGCTTGCAGTGAGCCGAGATTGCGCCACTGCAGTCCGCAGTCTGGCCTGGGCGACAGAGCGAGACTCCGTCTCAAAAAAAAAAAAAAAAAAAAAAAGGAACTGTGAAAAAAATATATATATATGCCATATATATGTACATATATATGACGTATATGTACATATATATGACGTATATATGTACATATATATGACGTATATGTACATATATGACGTATATGTACATATATATGACGTATATGCACATATATATGACGTATATGTGTACATATATATGACGTATATATGTACATATATATACGTCTATATATGTACATATATATGACGTATATATGTACATATATATGACGTATATATGTACATATATATGACGTATATATGTACATATATATGACGTCTATATATGTACATATATATGACTATATATGTACATATATATGACGTATATATGTACATATATATGACTATATATGTACATATATGATGTATATATGTACATATATATGACGTATATATATGTACATATATATGACGTATATATATGATGGAATACTACTCAGCCATAAAAAAGAATGAATTAACGGCATTCGCAGCGACCTGGATGAGATTGGAGACTATTATTCTAAGTGAAGTAACTCAGGAATGGAAAACCAAACATCATATATTCTCGCTGATATGTGGGAGCTAAACTATGAGGATGCAAAGGCATATGAATGATGCAATGGACTTGGGGGACTCAGGGGAAAGGGTGGGAGGGGGGCGAGGGATAAAAGTCTACAAATAGGGTGCAGTGTATACTTCTCAGGTGATGGTTGCACCAAAATCTCACAAATCACCAGTAAAGAATTTACTCTTGTAACCAAACACCACCTGTACTCCAATAACCTATGGAAAAATAAATAAAATAAAAAAGAAAGCCAAAAGACAATGAAATATCTTCAAAATGCTGAGAGAAAGTAACTATGAGCCTACAATTGTGTATCCAGCAAAACTATCATTCAATAATATCTGTGAACAAAAAGTGAATTTACTACCAACAGTCTTTCACCAAGGAAGTAAAAGAAATATCAGAAAGAATGTAAATGATGCTAAAAGGGAAGTATAAGACGTAAGAAGGAACAAAAAAAGACATGGATAATATATAGGTAAATGTAAATAAACATTCTCCGTACACAACAGTTGTTCTCACTTGGGCATAATTTTGCCCCCAGGGAACATTTGGTAACATATCTGGAGAAAATTTTTGGATGTTAAAACTGGGCAAGCGGATAAGTTTGCTACTGGCATCTGCTCAACATCCTTCAATGCATAGTATAGTTCTCCCATCTCCCACACAAAGAATTGTTAGGCCCAAAATGTCAGTAGTAGCAAGACAGAAACCTTAAAATCATAAAAATAATGTCTAAGTTGTGGAGGAAAGGCAGGTATTTCAGGAGGGGTGATCAGAGTCAAACTGGTTTCAGGTCCCTGTATTATTCAGGAGAAGTATTTAAATACTGATTAACATTATATTTGTTACACATAAATGGTCAAATTTTAGTAATAGCAATAAATTCCTAAAAGGAAAAAAATTATAACTGGCTCAAGAAGAAATGAATATCTGAATAAACTTGTAACAAGTACATAAATATAATTAGTAATTTAAAGTCTTCCCATTTAAAAAAAACCCAAGCCCAGTTCACTTCACAGGTGAATTACATCAAATATTTTAGGAAGAGATAGTTCTAATATTACACACTCAGAAAATAGAGAAGGGAGTATTTCCCAGATAATTATATAAGCCTAGTATTATTATCCTGACACCAAACCAAAAACATTACAAGAAAACTACAGAGAAACAGCTTTCATGAATAAAGACTCAAAAATCATCAACAAAATGTTAGCAAACTGAATACAGCAACATATAAAAAAGGATTATATACACTACCTAGTGGAATTTCTTCAAAAAATGCAAGTTTGGTTTTACATCTGAAAATCAATAAAATAAAATAAAGCCTATATTAATAAAAGATAAAAATGACAAGATCACTGCAAATAATGTGGAAAATGTATTTGATAAAATCCAACACCATTCTAAGTTTAAAAATTCTCAAAAGAAATAGCAATAAGAAGTCCTAGCCATAGCAATTAGGCAAGAGAAAGAAATAAAAGGTAACCAAATAGGAAAAGCAGCCAAACTATCTGTCTTCACTAATGGTATGATTCTATGCCTAGAAAACCCTAAAGACTCCACCAAAGGCTCCTGGAACTGATAAATGACTTTGGTAAAGTTCCAGGATACAAAATAAATGTACAAAAATCAGTAGCATTTCTATACATCAATAACATTCAAGTTGAGAGCCAAATCAAGAATGCGATGTCATTTAAAATAGCCACACACACCAAAAAAACAAAAAACAAACATACAAAAAAATCCCTAGGAATACATCTCACCAAGGAGGCGAAAGATCTCTACAAGGAGAACTACAAAATGCTGCTGAAAGAAATCATAGATGACACAAACAAATGCGAAAACATTTCATGTTCATAGACAGGAAAAATCAATATCATTATAATGTCCATACTGCCCAAATCAGTCTATAGATTCAATGATATTGCTATCAAGCTACCAATGTTGTTTTTTCACAGGTCTAGAAAAAACTTTTCTAAAATGTATATGGAACCCAAAAAGAGCCCAAGTAGCCAAAGCAATCTTAAGCAAAAAGAACAAAGCTGGAAGCATCACATTACCCAACTTCAAACTATACTATAAGATTACAGTAACATTGGACATGGTGACTCTTGCCTATAATCTCAGCACTTTGGGAGGCCAAGGTGGGCGGATCACTTGTGGTCAGGAGTTTGAGACTAGCCTGGCCAATATGGTTCTAACCTCGTCTCTACTAAAAATACAAAAATTAGCCAGGTGTGGTGGCACACACCTGTAATCCCAGCTACTTGGGAGGCTGAGGCAGGAGAATCGCTTGAACGTGGAAGGGGAGGTTGCAGTGAGCTGAGATCATGCCACTGTACTCAAGCCTGGGCGACAGAGCAAGACTCCATCTCAAAAAAAAAAAAAAAAAAGACTACAGTAACCAAAACAACATGGTATTGTTACCAAAACAGCATGGTATTGTTACAAAAACAGACACATAGACCAATAGAACAGAATAGACATCCCAGAAATAAAGCCACACACCATCTGATCTTTGACAAAGACAATGGGCAAAGAACTCCCTATTCAATAAATGGTGCTGGGATAGCTGGCTAGCCATATGCAGAAGAATGAAACCAGACCTCTATCCTATCACCATATGCAAAAATTAACTCAAGATGGGTTAAAGATTTAAATGTAAGAGCTCAAGCTACAAGAATCCTAGAAGAAAACCCAAGAAACGCCATTCTGGACATTGGCCTTGGGAAAGAGTTTATGACTAAGTCCTCAAAAGCAACTGCAACAAAAACAAAAATTGACAAGTGGGAACTAATTAAACTGAAAAACCTCTGCACAGCAAAAGAAACTATCAACAGAGGAAACAGACAACCTACAGAATGAGAGAAAATACTTGCAAGCTACATATCCTACAAAGGTCTACTATCCAGGATCTATAAAGAACTTAAACAATTGAACAGGCCAAAACCAATTAACCCCATTAAAACACGGGCAAAAGACATGAACAGATACTTCTCAAAAGACATACAAGCAGCCAACAACACATGAAAAAATGTTAAACATCACTAATCATCAGAGAAATGCAAATCAAAACCATAATGAGATACTATCTCACACTAATCAGAATGGCTATTGCTAAAAAAACCAAAAAACATGCTGCCAAGGCTGTGAGAGAAAGGAATGCTTACACACTGCTGGTGGGAATAGAAATTAGTTCAGCTTCTGTGGAAAGCAGTTTGGAGATTTCTCAAAGAACTTAAACCAGAATCACCGCTGCACCCAGCAATCCTATTACTCTGTATCTATCCAAAGGAATATAAATCATTCTACCAAAAAGACGCATGCACTCCTATGTTCATCGCAGCACTGTTTGTAATAGCAAAGACATGGAATCAACCAAGGTGCCCATCAACAATAGACTGGATAGGCCGGGTGCGGTGGCTCACGCCTGTAATCCCAGCACTGTGGGAGGCTGAGGCGGGCAGATCATGAGGTCAGGAGATCGAGACCATCCTGGCTAACACGGCGAAACCCCGTCTCTACTAAATATACAAAAAATTAGCTGGGTGTGGTGGCGGGCGCCTGTAGTCCCAGCTACTCAGGAGGCTGAGGCAGGAGAATGGCGTGAACCTGGGAGGCGGAGCTTCCAAGGAGCAGAGATCGTGCCACTGCACTCCAGCCTGGGTGACAGATCAAGACTCTGTCTCAAAAAAAAAAAAAAAAAAAAGACTGGATAAAGAAAGTGTGGTACATATGCACCATGGAATACTATACAGCCATAAAAAAACAGAATCATGTCCTTTGCAGCAGCATGAATGGAGTTGGAGGCCATTATCCTAAGTGAATTAACACAGGAACAGAAAACCAAATACTGCATGTTCTCACTTATAAGTGGGAGGTAAATAGTGGGTACTCATGGACATAAAGGTGGTCACAAAAGACACCAGGGACTACTAAAAGAGGATGGGAGGGAGGGGCCAAGGGCTAAAAAGCTAATTTGGGGGTACTATGCTCAGTATATGGGTTCAATTATACCCTGGGTGACAGGATCAGTTGTACCCAAAACCTCAGCATCATGCATATATCTAGGTAACACGTATCCCCTGAATCTGAAATAAAAGTTGAAATTCTTTTTTTAAAAAAATAGCAGTAGAAGGAAGCTTAAACTGATAAAGAGCATCTATAAAGAATAAGCTAACCATCCTACCTAATGGTAAAATAATGAATGCTTTCCCTATAAAATCAGGAACAAAGCAAGGATTTTAGCCTGTGCAATGGGCAAGAAAAAGACATTAAAGGCACACAAATTGGAAATCAAAAAGGGAAACTTTATTCACAGATGACATGATTATGTAAATGTAGAAATGCTTAAGGAATCTACAAAACAATCTAGTAAAACAAGTTCGTTGAGGTTATAGGAAGACAAAAATCAATATGTCTATACTTGCAATAAACTATCTGAAAACAAAATTTAAGAACACAATTCCATTCATAATAGCGTTTATTTATTTATTTTTATTTTTTGAGACAGTCTCACTCTTTCACCCAGGGTGGAGTGCAATGGTGCAATCTCAGCTCACTGCAATCTCTGCCTCCCAGGTTCAAGCGATTCTCATGCCTCAGCCTCCTGAGCTTCCTGAGTAGCTGGGATTACAGGCATGCGCCGCCACGCGTGGCTAAGTTTTGTATTTTTAGTAGAGACGGGGTTTCACTATGTTGGCCAGGCTGGTCTCAAACTCCTGGCCTCAAGTGATCCGCCTGCCTTGGCATCCCAAAGTGCTGGGATTACAGACATTAGCCACCATGCCCGGCCCATAATAGCATTTAAAATAATGAATAATTAGGAACAGATTTAACAAAAGATGTGTAAGACTTGTACACTGAAAACTACAAAAACATCACTTAGAGAAATTAAAGAAGACTTAAACTAAATGGAGACTCATACTGCATTCATGGGTTAGAAGACTCAATGTTGTTAATACGGCAATTATTCACAGATTGGCCTATCAAAATGCCAGTAGGATTTTTCGTGCAAACTAACAAGCCGATCCTAAAATGTATATGGAAAGGCAAGGGATCTAGAATAGCCAAAATTATTTTGGGGAAAAAAAAAAAAAAACTGAAGGAGTTAGACTGTCTGATTTCAAAACGTATTATAAAACCACAGCAATCAACACATTGGGATAAAGACAGACCTGTAGAGGCTGGGAGTGGTGGCTCATGCCTGTAATCCCAGCATTTTGGGAGACCAAGGCAAGAGAATGGCTTGAGCCCAGGAATTTAAAGACCAGCCTGCGCAATACGGTGAGCCCCTATCTCTGCAAAAATAAAAAAAAACAGGTGTGGTGGTACGCAGCTATAGTCCCAGCTACTTGGAAGGTTGAGGCAAGAAGGTCACTTGAGCTCAAGAGTTTGAGGCTTCAGTGAGCCATGATCATGTCACTGCACTTCAGTCTTGGGTAACACAATGAGACCATCTCTAAAAAAATTAATTTAATTTTTGAAAGATAGACTGTAGATTAATGGAACACAACATGGAGGGGGAAAAAAAACCTTATATTTATGGCCAGTTGATTTTCACAACAGTGCCAAGGCAATATAATGGAAAACAGTCTTTTCAACAAATGATGCTGGGACAACTGGATATCCTTACGCCGCGAAAAAAAACCCTTGGAGCTTTTCTCCGTACTATATTCAATAGTGGTACAATCTGAATGTTTGTGTCCATCCAAAATTCATATGTTGAAATCCTCACTCCCAAGGTATGATATTAGGAAGTAGGGCCTTTTGAGAGGGCAGAGCTCTCATCAGCGAGATTAGTGCCCTTATATGAGAGGCCCCAAAAAGCTGCCTTGCCCTTCCACCACGTAAGGATACAGCTGGAAGTCACAACTTATGAACCAGAAAATGGCCCTAATCAGACACCGAATCTGCCAGTGCCTTGATCTTCAATTTCAGCATCCAGAATTGTGAGAAATAAATTCCTGTTGTTTATTAAGCAACTGTTTATAAGCAGTCTATGACATATTTTAGCAGCACAAAGAGACTTAGAGAAATAATTAACTCAAAATGGATCATAGACCTAAGTATAAGAGCTACAGTTGCAAGACTTCTAGAAAAAAGCAAAGAGAAAGTCCTTGAGTCATTGGATTAGGCGATGATTTCTTAGGACACCAAAAGCACAACCATTAATAAAAATAAAAATGATAAATTGGACTTCATCAAAATTTAAACATGTATCCTCTTCAAAAGCCACCATTAAGAAAATCAATGGAAAAAGAGCTGCAAATATCTCCAGCAGTGTATAAAAAAAGATAATACATCATAACCAACTGGCTTTTTGCCAGGAATGTAAATGCTAATTTGACATATTATTATCATTCTGAAAACCCTTTCCTTATTACGTTTTTGTTGCATGCATTTCCATTTCAATATGATATTAGTAATTTTATTGGCCTCCCTGAACCAAAATGATGTAAAGCAAAATATATGGTTTATTAAGAAGGGTCTGACTAGAAAAGAAGGCTGAAAGTAGTCATGTGTAAATTGTTATCATTAACGAGAATTTTTAAGGAAAAATTTGTTTTAAGGCCAGGCAAAGAGGCTAATGCCTGTAATCCCTAAACTTTGGGAGTCTGAGGCAGGTGGATCACTTGAGCTCAGGAGTTTGAGACCAGCCTGGGCAACATGGCAAAACCCCGTCTCCACAAAAAATACCAAAAAATTAGCAGGGCATGGTGGTATATGCCTGTAGTCCCAGCTACTCAGGAGGCTGAAGTGGGAGGATCACTTGAGGCCCACGAGGTTGAGACTGTAGTAAACTGTGATTGTGTCACTGCACTCCAGCCTGAGCAACAAAGCAAGAGCCTGTCACAAAAACATTAAAAAATAAAAAATTGGATAAAGATTTGAAAAGATAAGTCACCATAGTGTTTGCAGAAACAAAAAAGATTTGAAAACACATTTCACCAAGGTAGGTATACAAATGGCTAATAGTACATGAAAAGCTGTTAACACTGGCTGGGTACAGTGGCTCACACCTGTAATCTCAGTGCTTTGGGAGGCCAAGGTGAAAGGATCACTTGCAACCAGGAGTTTGAGACCAGCCTGAGCAACAAAGCAAGATCTCATTGCTACAAAAATTAGCTAGGCACAGTGGTACATGCCTGTAGTCCCAGCTACTTGAGAGGCTAACACACAGGAGGGTCACTTGAGCCTAGGAGCTCAAGGCTGCAGTGAGCTATGATCGCTGTACTACACTCCAGCATGGGTGACACAGCAAGACCTCATTTCAAATATATATTTATGTTAATATCCTTGAAACCTCAATGAGATGCCACTATGCAACTGCTAGAATGATAATCCAAAAGACTAACAAATCAAGTGTTAGTAAGGATGTGGAGAAACTGGAGCCCTTATACATTGCTGAGGAGAATGTAAAATGGTAAAGCCACTTAGGAAAACAGTTTGACGGTTTCTGGGAAAGTTAAATATGCACTTACCCTGTTAAGCATAGTTACCATATGACCTAGCAATTCCATTCCTGGATATCTACCAAAGACAAATGAAAACATGTCCACACAAAAACTTATGAACGCTCATCATAGCATTATTAATAATACACCAAACAGGAAACAATTCAAAGTCCACCAACTAGTGAATGGATATACAAAACATGATATATCCATTCAACAGAACACTATCCCACAACAAAAAGGAAGAAAGCTATCCTGCAATATAGATGAACCTTGAAAACCTTGGTATATAGCTAAATGAAGGAAGCTATATACAAAAGACTACAAATGTGTGATTCCATTTATATAAAATTTCAAGAAAAGGCAAACCTATAGAGACAGGAATCAGTAATTTCTTTTTTTTTTTTTTTTTTTTTTTTTTTTTTTTTGAGACAGAGTTTTGCTCTTGTTGCCCAGGCTGTGTACCATGGCACAATCTCAGCTCACCACAACCTCTGCCTCCCGGGTTCAAGCAATCCTTCTGCCTCAGCCTCCCGAGTAGCTGGGATTACAGGCATGTACCTCCATGCCTGGCTAATTTTTTATATTTTTAGTAGAGACGGGGTTTCTCCATGATGGTCAGGCTGGTCTTGAACTCCTGACCTCAGGTAATCTGCCCGCCTCAGCCTCCCAAAGTGCTGGAATTATAGGCGTGAGCCACTGAGCCCAGCCCATCAGTCATTTCTTAAGTGTGGGGCTGGAGCTGGGAATTGATTACAAGTGAGCATAGGAGGACTCTGTGAGGTGAAGGAAATACTCTAAAACTGGATTGTGGTGCTGGTGTAAATTTAGCAGAAATCACTCAACTGCATTGGTACAATGTGTGATATTCATGTTATGTAAATTAAACCCTAATAAAGCTGTAAAAAAATGACAAAAGGGTAAGCTTTTTAACATCACACATTTGGAGAATTCAAAACACACTACTAAATGACTCATATGTCAAAGAGGAAATCATAATAATTTTAAATACTTAGAATTGAACAATAATGTATATGGTACATAACAAAACTTGAGAGCTGCAGATAGAGGTAAAACATAAAATTTAAAGTTTTAGAAATATATATTTTTAGTTTGAGTCTAGGTGCTGTGGCTCACGCCTGTAATCCCAGCACTTTGGGAGGCTGAGACGGGCAGATCACGAGGTCAAGAGTCCGAGACCAGCCTGGCCAACATGGTAAAAAACCTGTCTCCACCAAAAATACAAAAAATTAGCTGGGCGTGGTGGCGTGAGCCTGTAATCCCAGCTACTTGGGAGGCTGGGGCAGGAGAATCACTTGAACCCCTGAGGCAGAGGTTGCAGTGAGCCAAGATAACGCCACTGCACTCCAGCCCAGGGCGAGACCACTTCAAAAAAAAAAAAAAAAAAAAAAAAAAAAAAAAAAAAAATATATATATATATATATATATATATATATATATATATATATATGTTTATTTAGTTAGTTAGTTTGAATCATACGGAAGAGCAAACATTTGACCTAATATTGAAGAATAAAGTCTGAACACTATGAATTCAAAGTCTAGCTTTTTTAAAGTTTAAATAAACATTGCACTGGCCAAGCACAGTTGTTCACACCTGTAATCCCAACACTTTGGGAGGCCAATGTGGGAGAATTGCTTGGGCCCAGGAGTTCAAGACCAGCCTAGGCAACAGAGCAAGACCCCATCTCTCTAAAAAAAAAAAAAAAAAAAAAAAAAAAGAATATTACAGCCAGACATGGTGGTACATGTCTGTAGTCTCAGCTACTATGGAGGGAGGCTAAAAAAAGAAAGAACATTCTAAACCCATAGAAAGCAGAAAAAAAGACATAAAGGTAAGCACTGCAGTTAATGAACAGAAAATAAAGATAGAAAAGAGAAAACCAACAAGCCAAAATCCAGTTTTCTGAAAAAACAACAAACCACTGGTAAGACTGGTGACAAAAGGAAAGAAGGCACAAATACAAATTAATATTATGAACTAACATATAGCACAGTACTTTTTAAAATGTTATGCTGTAAATTTTAGTACTTAGACAAAACGAATAAATTCCTTTGTAAATAACCCAAACTGAAATTAATAAATTGACTAAATATGAAAATGGTAACTAACCAAAACTGACCAAAGAAGAAATGGAAATCCTCTATAGTCCTATAGAGTGTAAAGGAATTGAATCAGTAGATTTCTTTTTCAAAAATAAAAAACCAGAACTCAGAACAAGTGAGTTCTACCATAATACCAGAGACAGATCATCTAAATCCTATACATACGCTTCCAAAGAATACAAAAGGAAGGAATATACTCCAGCTCAGTGTATGAAATAATCATATTATTGATTCCAAAATCAAGTAAACGCAGTAAGAGAAAGCCCAACGTTATAAATGCAGGCATTTCAAACAAATTATTAGTAATAACACACTAAATCTACAAAGTATATTATAGATAGAATTGATGGTCAGGTACAGTGGCTCACATCTGTCATCTCAGCACTCTGGGAGGCCAAATTAGGAGGCTTGCTTGAGGCCAGGAGTTCAAGATCAGCCTGAGCAACATACTGAGACACTGTTGCTACAAAAAAAACCAAAAAATTATCTGGGCATAGTGGTGCACACCTGTAGTCCTAGCTACTCAAGAGGCTGAGGCAGAAGGATCACATGAGCCCAGGAGGTTGAGGCTGTGGCAACCTATGACTGTGCCACTACACTAGGCACCAGCCTAGGCAACAGAGCAGGACGCTGACTCAAAAAAAATAGAATTAATCATAACCAAATTAGGTTTATCTCAGGAATCCAAGGGTTTAAAATTAGAAGTCAGCCAGCTGTGGTGGTTCACACCTGTAATTCGAACACTTTGAGAGGCCAAGGCAGGAGAATTGCTTGGGCCCATTCAAGAATGGCCTGGGCAATATAGCAAGACCTCAACTCTACAAAAAATTTAAAAATTAGCTGGGTGTGGTGGTACACACCTGTAATCCCAGCTACTTGGAAACTAAGGAGGGAGGATTACTTGAACCCAAGAAGCAGAGGTTGCAGTGAGTACGTCACTGCACTCCAGCCTGGGTGACACAGCAAGATTCTGTCTCAAAAAGTAAATAAATAATAATGAAATAAAATAAAATGAGAAGTCTCAGCTGGGTGCAGTGGCTCATGCTTGCAATCCAAGCACTTTAGGAGGCCAAGGTGGGAAGATCACTTGAAGCCAGGAGTTTGAGAGCAGCCTGGGCAACACAGCAAGACCCCATCCCTACCAAAAATAACAATTAGCTGGGCATGATGGCACATGCCCATAGTCCCAGGCACTCGGGAGGTTGAGGTGGGAGGATTGCTTGAGCCCAGGAGTTTGAGGCTGCAGTGAGCTAATTGTGCCACTGCACTCTGGGACCCAGGCAAGAGGGCAAGACCCTGTCTCAAAAATAATAATATAAATAAATAAAATTAGAAGTCTCTTGATGGAATTCATCACAGATTGGTTAAAGGATAAAAAATATTTTCTGAATAAATGCAGTAGAAGCATTGTTAGAAACTCTTAACAGTCTAGACATAGAAGGGAATTTCCTTAACCTAATTAAGGTTAATGACCTCTAACCTACAGCAAACATCATTACAGTAAAACATTCCTTTAAAATCAAGAACAACTTCTCCACTTGTATTCAATACTGTAGAAGTACTACCAAGTGTGTTAATACTAGAAGAAGGTACACACACAACTTACAAAGGAAATAACAAAATATTCATTAGTCACAGATGATGTAACTAAAATAGGCTCTAAAATCCATTGGAATTAACAGAGTTTAGTAATACAGCCAGCATAAGACCATATACAAAATCTACTCCATTTCTATACACTAGCAGTAATTTTAAAACAGCCTCCCAAAGTGCTGGGATGACACACAAGGATGACTATAATTAAAAAGTTAGACAATAACAAGCATTGATGAGGATGTGAAGAATTTGAAACCCTCGTACTTTGCTAGTGGGAATATAAAAAGGCACATCTGGCCAGGCATGGTGGCTCACACCTGTAATCCTAGCACTTTGGGAGGCCGAGATGAGTGGATCACTTGAAGTCAGGAGTTCGAGAACAGCCTGGCCAACATGGTGAAACCCCATCTCTACTAAAAACACAAAAATTAGCTGGGCATGGTGGTGAGTGCCTGTAATCCCAGCTACTCAGGAGGCTGAGGCAGGAGGATTGCTTGAACCTGGGAGGCAGAGGTTGTAGTGAGCCGAGATCACGCCACTGCACTGCAGCCTGGGTGACAGAGTGAGACGCCATCTCAAAAATTAAAAAAAAAAAAAAAATTAGCCAGGTGTGGTGTTGCACACCTGTAATCCCAGTTACTCAGGAAGCTGAGGCACAAGAGTTGCTTGAACCCAGGAGGCAGAGGTTGCAGTGAGCCGAGATCACGTCACTGCACTCCAGCCTGGGCAATAGATCAAGACTCTATCTCAAAAACGAACAAACAAACATTTAGGTAAACATTCTTCTACAATCTTCCTAGGCATACATACATATTCATACACATATATATGAATATAATTTTACATAATTATTGCATCAGTCACTTTGGAAAGAAAACATAAAACACTAACATTTAAATCACTGTAAAAATGTCTGCTCCAAGATAACTTACTGGTATTTTTTGTTAACAGGTAACGCTACAAATATTTTACAAGATGCAGAAGTGCATTATATTTCTCGAGAGATGTGTAATTCTGAGAGGAGTTATGGGGGAATAATTCCTAACACTTCATTTTGTGCAGGTGATGAAGATGGAGCTTTTGATACTTGCAGGGTAAGACCAAGTAATTTTCCTTTAAAATATTTTCTGAAGCCAGAAGGGAACTTGTCAAACAAGGCCTTTGATAACTTTCTGGTGGTCTTAATTATCAGGCCTAAAAATAATAAATCATTTTTTCTCCTTTTTAACTATTTCAACAATCCAAATCTTCTTGGTTCCTGATTCCATGGTTTCTGCTGTCATCAGTAGGCAGAATTTACCTTGAATTCTTTTTTTTAATCATTACCTTTGAGATATAATTCACCTAGTTAAAAGTGTACAGCTCAATTTTTTTTTTATTTGAGATAGTCTCGCTTTGTCACCCATGCTGGAGTGCAGTGACACAATCTCTGTTCACTGCAACCTCTGCCTCCCAGGTTCAAGCGATTCTCATCCCTCAGCCTCCTAGGTAGCTGGAATTACAGGCACACATCACTATGCCCGGCCATTCTTTTTTTTTTTTTTTGTATTTTCAGTAGAGACAGGGCTTCACCTTGTTGACCAGGCTGGTCTTGAACTCCTGACCTCAAGTGATCTGCCCACCTTGGCCTCCCAAAGTGCTGGGATTACAGGGGTGAGCCACTGCGCCCAGCCTGTTACTGTCTTTTTTATTATAACCATCCTTGTGGGTGCGCAGTGGTATCTCATAGTGGTTTTAATTTGCATTTCCTTAATGACTAATGATGTTGAGCATTTTTGCATGTATTTATTAGCCATTTATATATCTTCTTTACAGAATGTCTATTTGGATCCCTTCCTCATTTTTAAATTGAGTTGTCTTTTTATCACTGAGTTATAAGCATTTTTCATATATTCTGGATACAAGTCCCTTACCAGATACATAATGTACAAAATTTTTCTCCCATTCTGTAGACTGTTTTTTCACTTTTCTGAGGTTATCATTTGCAGCACAAATGTTAATTTTTTTAATGAAGTACAATTGATCCATTTTTTGTTTTGTCTCATGCTTTTTTACTCTTCCTTTATTCCTCTTTTCTTCACTATTTCCAAAGCTACTAGTCCTTCACTCCTGAGTAACCCATGCTCTCACCTTTTCCTACTCATTCTCATTTCTGCAATCTAAAGTTTATCTTTTCTGTGTCCTTTTCCTTAAAAATCTTGCTGAATGAAATAGTAAAGAATCCAATCTAAGTGAATTGCATTCCTAGGCCAAACATCCTCATCATCAAAAAATAATTATTCAATGCCTGCCTTATATAGAGAATCGGAAACAGTTATCTCAGTGTCCTTGTTGTTTTCAGTGCATTAACAGGCCTTAGTAACAGCATTTGGGTGCATTCCTAATTTTGTATAGACTATGAAAGTGACCTGTCATTTATAATACTACTGAGAGGCTTTGCCATTTATGCTCATTTTCCTGCACTAGCTATTGTCAACACTTAGAAACTTGTCTTCTATTGCAAGATGCCAGTTTACTCCTCTCCCTGGCAAGCAAACCACACACGTGCCTAAAAGAATCCTTCATACATCTTAAAGTTATCCTTTCCACACGCAGTATTCAGCAAGAGAATATTCTAATAATAGACAGTTTTGACAATATTTTGCACACTTCCTAAATTATATTTCTCCTAAGTAATTATATTTAAAAATCCAAACAATTTGATTTATAGTATTCTGGCTCAAAACCAGGCAGATGAGAAATTTATCTACCAGCTATATGGTTCCTCCAAATACCTGGGTAAAATTGAATTCCTCCTGTTTGAGTTGGAAGTTTAAGCTCAAAATCTAGTGATCTTTATAAATTGGGGGTATATTGAAAATGTGTATTTATATAAATGTATGTTTGATGTAAATAATTTATTCCAGTGTTACTGTTGCTTGAAGAATACTAGAAGTAACAAACACTATTTTGGGACTTTTTTGACAGGGTGACAGTGGGGGACCATTAATGTGCTACTTACCAGAATATAAAAGATTTTTTGTAATGGGAATTACCAGTTACGGACATGGCTGTGGTCGAAGAGGTTTTCCTGGTGTCTATATTGGGCCATCCTTCTACCAAAAGTGGCTGACAGAGCATTTCTTCCATGCAAGCACTCAAGGCATACTTACTATAAATATTTTACGTGGCCAGATCCTCATAGCTTTATGTTTTGTCATCTTACTAGCAACAACATAAAGAAATTCTGAAGGCTTTCATATCTTTATTTTGCATTGTGTCCCTTTCTATGTTCTATATAATGAACATCATTTATTCTTCTAGCAATTAATTGCCTACATTAGAGATTTCATGTGAACATTTTATGGGCTATAAGTATTGTGACAGATATACAATTGTAATTTTGGCACTGAATCACATGTCTCCTTGAAATATCTTGATTATTTTATAATCATAATTCTGTATCTGGAATACTCATAGAGTTTGTACAAAATATTCAGTTAAACATATATTTTATGTGTATAAATGCCAAATAATAGTTTATAATTAAAATGAAAGCTGTCATTTGGTTAAATTAATAAAAATTCTTTCTTAGATTTTATTCTAAAAAATGTTTGTATGATTTTTTTAAATTATAATCTTGTTTCCAATTCTCAAAGTATATTTAGAGAAACAAGTATTTATCTGTTATTTAAATTCTAATTAAAACCATTTATTTAATATCAGTACTTCATTTCCTCTGCCAAGAGAGCTATGGTATACACACCCCCAAATAATTTACTTTTTATTTAGAAATTTATGACTTTTTTTCAGGAGTATAACCTACTTTCTAAACTTTATTTTCTTGAAGCCCATGCTAAAATTTTGTATCCCATGGGGCCTCTGAATTAACTGTGAGCAGCAACTGGAAAGCATGCCGGGTAAAAGAGGGACGCCAACCTGGGATAAACTTTATGATAACTAATGTATAAAATGAATTAAAAGAAACAAAAGAAAATGAGGGCCAGGCATGGTGGCTCTCACCTGTAATCCCAGCACTTTGGGAGGCCGAGGTGGGCAGAATCACTTAGGTCAGGAGTTCAAGATCAGCTTGGCCAACATGGTGAAACCCTGTCTCTACTATAAATACAAAAATTAGCGAGGCATGGTGGTGCATGCCTGTAATCCCAGCTACTTGGGAGGCTGAGGCACGAGAATTGCTTGAACCCGAGAGGTGGAGGTTGCAGTGAGCCAAGATTGCACCACTGCAGCTTGGGCGACAGAGCTGGACTCTGTATCATACACACACAAAAAATGAAACAAAAGAAAATGTTGATTGAATTATATCTACTATTAGTCAACTCTCATTTCCCTTGAACTTAGGAGAATCCATTTAGCAAAGGAGAAATAGTTATTTTCTTATCCTTCTTTTTACATTCAACATCTAAAACCAAGTGTTCTTTGTTGTTGTTTTGTGTCAACCTAATTTCAGGATTTAAATGAAATTAAGCATGAATATCCCATGTATTAATTTCTTTCATTACTGGTTTGACACTGGGATTATTGTTTATTGGTTTAATATTGGGTTAATGTTGTTTAATATTAACATTTAATATTGGGTTAATATTGCTAATATTGGGATATTGTTTATTGGTTTAATATTGGGGTTATCTATCCCACTCAAGGAATATATGACTATGCTTTTTATAGACGAAGCAACACTGATGGAATGTTGGTTGTTCTTTCTTGAAAGAGCTCCTAGTTTATCCATCGACAAGGTCTCACAGATGGTAATGCTTATATAGCAATTAGCATGATGCACTAGTCTTTTCCTATTTATACTACCTGAATATCACTCAGATTCACTTGAAAGCTCTGAATGTTAATAAAAAGAAATTCTTCTAAAATGTACTGCCAGAATTAGAGGAGAAACCTTTGCTTTTCACTTTAAAGGCATCTTCTAATTACTCTTTAGGTTTACGTTTCTTATCTATGTATTTATTTTGGAGGTGGAGTCTCTCTGTTGCCCAGGCTAGAGTGCAATGGCACAATCATTGCTCCCTGCAGCTTCAATCTCCTGGGCTCAAGCAACCCTCCCACCCCAGCCTCCTGCATAGCTGAGACTACAGGTGTACCCCACCACATCCAACTGTTTTTGCATTTTTTGTAGAGACAGGGTTTTACCATGCTGCCTAGGCTGATCTTGAACTCCTGGGCTCAAGTGATCTGCCCACCTCAGCCTCCCAAAGTGCTGGGATTACAGGGGTGAGCCACCACTCCCAGCCTAGGTTTACAATTCTATTCTTTTTTTTTTTTTTCCTCCTTTTAATTCTAATCTCATGACAGATTAGATTACATTTCTGATCGGGGAGAGCTATTATCTGCTATTTATCTTTTTGCCCAGCTTAGTTTACTATGTCAGCCAGCTGGAATCCAATTATAAAATTTCTCTCTATCACAAGAAACTACCAGAGTATAAACTTTGGAAATCTAAGACAGACTTTGTTTCAACTTTTGTTTTAACATTGTGTCCTTTTTTTTTTTTTTTTTTTTTTTAAGAGGCTCTGTCACTCAGGCTGCCTAGGGTGCTGTGGCATGATCATAGCTCACTCCTGGGCTCAAGAAATCCTCTGGCCTCAGCCTCCCAAGTAGCTAGGACTATAGGGCCCAGACCACCATGCTCAACTAATTTTTAAATTTTTCATAGAGATGGAGTCTCACTATATTGACCAGGATGGTCTTAAACTTCTGGCCTCCAGCCATCCACCCACCTCAGCCTCCCAAGGTACTGGAATAACATACATGCACCAAGTTGCTTGGCCTTTGTTTCCATTTTCACTCTGTTATTTAGTATCTATAAAAGTTTAGATAATTATTAATACCTATTTACAACATTGTTGTGATGACTACAAAAGTTGAGTATATGAAATTCTTAACATTTGAAAGATGCCAGTAACAGGTTTCTATTATTATATTAATATCCCATCTATCATTCACACACTCTTTCTCATTACAAAGATCACTATCCTATTGGATGTCTCATATATCATCCCCCAAAATTACTGAAACAAAGGATCCTTTTCTGCTTATAAATTCAAATTTTAAAATATGCTATTTTAAAAATAATTTTCATAATTCCCCAAATATTATATCCTTATTATTTAAACTGAGAAAGGGCCAAGCATGGTGGCTCATGCCTATAATCCCAGCACTTTGGGAGGCCAAGGCAGACAGATAGCTTGAGCCCAGGAGTTTGAGACTCCTGGGTGAAACCTCGTCTCTACAAAAAATGCAAAAATTAGTCAGGCATGTTGGCATGCGCCTGTAGTCCTATCTACCTGGGAGGCTGAGGTAGGAGAATCACCTGAGCCCAGGAGTTCAAGGCTGCAGTGAGCCGTGATCACACCACTACACTCCAGCCTGGGCAACAGAGTGAGAACCTGTCTCAAAAATAAATAAATACATAAATAAAATTGAGAAAGCACCGACAAGTAGAAAGAAAATCATCAGCTGAGCGTGATGGCTTACACCTGTAATCCTTGGGAGGCTGAGGTGGGGACAGATTGCTTGAGCCCAGGAGTTCGAGACCAGCCTGGGAAACATGGCAAAACCCCATCTCTACAAAAAGAATTAAATTAGCCAGGTGTGGTGGTATGCCTGTAGTCCCAGTTACTGCGGAGGCGGAGGTGGGAGGATGCTTGAGCCCAGGAGGTAGAGGATGCAGTGAGCTGAGATCATGCCACTGCACTCCAGCCTGGGTGACAGAGCCAGACCCTGTCTCAGAAGAATGAAAAGAAAATCATCCATAACCCTATTATGTAAAGACAGCTGCCATGAAATCCTACCTTTTTCAGTTACTATAATGGGTATTTTTACAAACCTTTATTAAACATTATTTTACCCCAACTATTTTGAAAAATTTCAAACCTACTGAAAGTTGAAAAATAGTACTATGATTACCTGTATATACTTTACCTTTTTCCCCCAAATATTAACATTTTGCCGTTTACACTCATACTCTCTCTCTCCAAACACAAACACACACAGACTTACACAGACATATTATACACACACAAACTCTCTCTCTTTTGTTTTCTGGTTGAAAAATTTGAAAGTAAATTGCTGGCATCATGTTACTTCATCCCTAATACTTCAGCATGTATCTCCTAAGAACAGTGACATAATCACAACACCATCATCACACCAAAGAAATTTAACACAGATTTGTTCTATTTTATAAATTGTGCACTCATTTCTTTGGTTTATTAATCTATTGCATAGATATTCCATTATTTTATATTGTTTCATTCTGATTATAAAAGTACAGTATATGTTCACTATAAAGAAAAAGCACAACTATTACAGAAACTATTTGGGCTGCTATAACAAAATATAATAAAATGCTGGCTTATAAACAACAGAAATTTATTTCTCACAGTTCTGGAAGCTGGGCAAGGCGCCAGCTATTTCGGTGTCTTCTGAGGTCCCACTTTCACCTTCACAGAAGGCATCTTCAAACTGTGTCCTCACATGGCAAAAGGGGCCAGGCCACTCTCTGGAGCCACTTTATAAAGGAACACTAACCCCATTCACGAGGGCTCCATTCTCATAATGAAATCACCTCCCAAAGGCCTCACCTCCTAATAGCATCACATTGATGATTAGCTTCCCAACATGAATTTTAGGTGGCCACAAACATTCAAATCATAGTACTTTTTAAGTAAAATTTTAGGAATTAAGTCAAAACCACAGACTGAACACATGTTCTAGCCACCTTCCTGTTCCACATTCCTAATTTGAGAGTATTATATTTATTTTAAAATCAGTAATAGTATTTCCTTAATCTATCCACTGGAAAGGCCTAGATGCAACAAACAACCAATAATAACATGTACCCTAGCACCCAGATTCTAGTCTCTCAATGTCATTCCCCTATAAAACGATCCAAGGCTCCTTAGAGATATGAATGATTTCAGGTCTAGGGCAGGAAATATATGGGATAAATCTCAGATAAATCTTTGATAACATGGAAGTTATCAAAGACTAGATAGTCAAACTGCTTTAAAAATATTGAAAACAGTCACTAGAAGGTGGGGAAACAAATTACATATTACGATATAATGATATTATTGATTGACTTCTCATCAGACACAATGGCAACCAGAAAAAATCTGAGTGACGACCAGGCGCAGTGGCTCACGCCTGTAATCCCAGCACTTTGGGAGGCCAAGGTGGGTGGATCACAAGGTCAGGAGTTCAAGACCAGCCTGACCAACATGGTGAAACCCCGTCTCTACTAAAAATAAAAAAAATTAGCCAGGCATGGTGGAGTGCACCTGTAATCCCAGCTACTCAGGAGGCTGAGGCAGGAGAATCGCTTGAACCCAGGAAGCGGAGGTTGCAGTGAGCCCAGATCGCACCACTGCACTCCAGTCTGAGTGACAGAGCGAGACCCCATCTCCAAAAAAAAAAAAAAAAAAAAAAAAAAAAAAAAAAATCTAAGTGACATATTCAAAGTGCTAACAGAGAAAAAACAATTATTAACACAAAATTCCATATCCAAAAAAATTAATCTCCAAAAAATAAAGGTGAACAAGGACATTTTCAGATAAATGAAAACTGAGAGAATAAATTGCCAGCAGACCTGCATCGTCAAAAATGCCAAAGGAAGTTTTTCAGACTGAAGGGAAAGGACACAGGGTGGCACCTTGCATTTACAGGAAGGAATATGACATGAGAAATCTTAGTGGGTAAATATAAAGGACTATATTTCTTTTCTTCTCTTAAATTACTTAAAATACCTATGACTATTTAAAGTAAAAATTATGACACTATATTGTTGAGTTATAACATCTGTAGATGTAAAACATATAATAATGATAAGAATAAATGGAATGATATTATTTCAAGGTTCTTTTATCTAAAATAATTTCATATTAATGATTATTAGATTGTAATAAATTCGGATGCATGTTGTAACCTCTAGCAATCAGTAAAAATAAAAAAGATGTAGCTGAAGACCTAGTATTTGATAGCACAACAGGGTGATTATAGTCAAAATAATTTAATTGTATATTTAAAAATAACTTAAAGAATATAACTGGATTGTTTATAACACAAAGGATAAATGCCTGAGAGGATAGATACCCTATTTTCCATGATGTCATTATTACACATTGCAAGTCTGTATCAAAGTATCTCATGTACTCCATAAACATATATACCTACTATGTACTCACAAAAATTAAAAAGGATGTAGTTGGCCGGGCGTGGTGGCTCACGCCTGTAATCCCAGCACTTTTGGAGGCCGAGGCAGGCAGATCAAGACATCAGGAGATCGAGATCATCCTGGCTAACAAGGTGAAACCCAAACGCCATCTCTACTAAAAAAAAAAATTAGCCGGGCGTGGTGGCACGTGCCTGTAGTCCCAGCTGCTTGAGAGGCTGAGGCAGGAGAATCGCTTGAACCCAGGAGGCGGAGGTTGCAGTGAGCCGAGATCGTGCCACCTTACTGCAGCCTGGGTGAAAAAATAAAAAATAAAATAAAAAGGATGTAGTTAAAACACCAATTGAGATATTAAAATGAAATGCTAAAAATAATACCAAAAATAAGCATGAAAAAAGGGGAAATAAAAAGCAGATGAGTCAAATAGAGAGCAAATAGCAAAATGGAAGACTTAAATCTAAGCATGTGAATAATCAAATTAAATATATTGGATCAAACATTTCCAAAAAGATGGTAATTAACACCCACATCATAGCAACAAAAGTAAATACAGATTAATCAAACTACATCAAAATTAAACACTTCTGTTCATCAAAGGATAATTCAACAAAGTGAAAACCTACGAAATGGGAGAAAATATTTGCAAGTAATACATTTGATAAAGAGTGAATATACAAAATATATATTTTAAAAAGTTCTACAACAATAAAAAACCTGAGTTTAAAATAAACAAAAACTGGAATAGATATTTCTCCAAATAAGATGTACAAATGGCTAGTAAGCACAAAAACAGGTGTTCAATACCATTAACCACTGGGAAAATGAAAATCAAAACCACCATGAGAATATAACCTCACGTCCATTAGGATGGCTAATAATATCAAAGAAACAAAATAACAAACGCTGATGATGATGTGGAGAAATTGGAACTCTTATGCACTGTTGGCTGGAATGTAAAATGGTGCAGCTGCTGTGGAAAACTGCATGGCAGTTCCTAGAAAAATTAAAAATAGAATTACCATATGATCCAGCAATTCCACTTCTTTTGACATACAGCCAAAATAATTGAACACAGGATCTCAGAGACATTTGCACACCAACGTTCACAACAGCATTATTCACAAAAGCCAAAAGATGGAAACAACCCAAGTGTCCAACAATGGATGAAGGGACAAACAAAATATGGGATATATGGACAATGGAATATTATCCAGCCTTAAAAAGTAAGAAAATCCTGTCGCATGCTACAAACTGGATGAACCTTGAGGACATTATATTAAATTAAATAAGCCAGTCACAAATGAACAAATATAGTATGACTCTACTTATATGAGGACCTGGCAAAGTCCAGTTCATAGAGATAGAAAGCATGGTAGTTGTCAGGTACTGGGGTAGGTAGGAATGGGGAATTATTGTTTAATAGATACAGAGTTTCAGTTTTGTAAGATGAAAGAGTCCTGCGAATGAATGGTTAGTATGATGACGTGAATGTACTTAATGTCACGAACTGTATACTTAAAAATGGTTAAGATGGTAAATTTTATGTTACGTGCATTTTACTACATTATTTTAAAAGTTTTTTTAATCCAGTAATTATCAGATGATATAAAAAACAAGACCCAGACTAGGCATAGTGACTCACGCCTGTAATTCCAGCATCTTGGGAGGCCGAGGCAGGTGGATTATTTAAAGTTAGGCGTTTGAGACCCAACTGGCCAACATGGTGAAACCCTGTCTCTACTAAAAATACAAAAATTAGCTGGGTGTGGTGGTACACACCTGTAATCCCAGCTACCCGGGAGGCTGAGGCACAAGAATCCAAGAGGTGGAGGATGCAGTGGGCTGAGATCGCGCCACTGCACTCCAGCCTGGGCAACAGAGTGAGACTCTGTCTCAAAAACAAATGAACAAAAAACACAAACCAATCACACATGCTGTCTACAAGACACATTTTAAACATAAAGACACAAATAGGTTGAATTTTAAAAGTTGGAAAGAGCATAAGAAAGTATAAAGAGTGGCTAAGTGCCTAACAGACAAAATAGACTTCAGGACACAGAAGATCACTAAAGACAAAGAGGGACACTACATAATAATAAAAAAATGAATATATCAGGCAGCTATGACCATAAAAATATACTCATGCCTACTAACAGAGCCTTGAAATACACAAAGCGAAAATGGAAATAACTCAAAGGAGAAACAAACTCACACTCTATAAATAATTATAGATGTATCACCTCTCTCAATAACTGATAATAGGGATACAGAAGATCTGAATGACACTATCGATTACTTTAACCTAATTCACATTTAATTCATACTGCACACACAAACAACACATATACAACTGGCCAAAAAGCACACAAAAAGATGCTCAACACCATTCACTTTAGAGGAATCAATATGTAAAAATTACATCCAGGTGAAATTCAGGTTACAAATATAAGATAAACATAAAATAACAATATACTTCTGGCTTAATAACTAATTCACATTTAACAACCTCTTTTTAAAAATCTTACTCTATATATTAAGAGCCAGGGTCTCACTATGTTATCCAGACTGGTCTTGAACTCCCGCCCTCAAGCAATCCTCCAGCCTTGGATTCCCAAAGTGCTGCGATTGCAGGCATGAGCCACCATGCCTGGCCCTAACAACTTCTGAATAGAATTACTTTCAAGTTTGAGCCCAGGAGTTTGAGACCAGCCTGGGCAACATAGTGAGAGACCATTTCCATTAAAAAAAAAAAAAAAAAGAAAGAAAGAAAAAAAGTTTAAGAAAAAGAATTACTTTCAAGAGTACATGGATCATTTCCCAAGAAAGACTATTCTGCACCATAAAACAAGTCTCAATTTCAAATGACTGAAACCTTACACAGTATGTTCTGTGATGGAAACAGAATTAAAATTAAATTAAAATATCTATCAGCAGATACTTATGAAACCCCAAATATTTAAACAACTTCTAAGTACCCCATAAGTCAAAGAAAAAAATCACAAGGAAATTCGGAAAATATTTTAAATTGAATGAAAATGAAAATACAGCACATCAAACTATCCACCAAAAACAGTGCTGTAAGAAATTTGTAGCTTCAAATTCTTACATTGAAACAGAGGAAAAGGATCATATTAATGATCATAGCTTTCACTTCAAGAAGGTAAAAGAAGACCAAATTAAACTCAATGAAAATAGAAGGAAAAAAATAATAAAACAGAAGGACAAACACTCAAGGAAAATCAATGACACCAAGTCTAGTTCTAGATCTATAAAATTGGCTGAGCGCAGTAGCTCACGCCTGTAATCCTAGCCCTTTGGGAGGCTGAGGTGGGAGGATCACCTGACCCCAGGAGGTCAAGGCTGCAGTAAGCCATGATTGTGCCACTGAACTCCAGCCTGGGTGACAGAAAAAAAAAATGAATAAAATTGATAAACCAGATAAACTGACAGAAAAAAGATGCAAGCTATCAATATCAGTATTTAAGAGGGGACACTTCTACATATCCTACAGACATTAAAAGGAAAATAAGAGGCTGTTATGAACAACTCTATGTCAATAAATGCAACAATGTAGAATCAATGGGTGGCAAATTCCTGAAACACCAATTACCAAAACAGACACGAAAAGAAATAGAAAATCTTAATATTCCTATATTTACTAAAGTAGCTAAACTTGTAATTAAAAGCATTCTCAGGCCGGGCATGGTGGTTCACGCCTATAATCCCAGTATTTTGGGAGGATGAGGCAGGAGGATCACTTGAGCCCAGGAGTTGGAGACCAGCCTGGGCAACATAGCAAGACCCCATCTTTAAAAAAATGCAAAAACATTAGCTGGGCATGGTGATTAGCACCTGTAGTCCAGCTACTCAGGAGGCTGAGGTAGGGGAATTGCTTGAGCCCCGGAAGTCAAGGCTGCAGTGAGCCATGATCATGCCACTGCACTCCCACCTGCGTGACAGAGTGAGACCCTGTCTAAAAAAAATTAAATATAATTTAAAAATCTCATACCAAAAACTTTAAGCTAAGAGTGCTACACTGGTGAATTTCTTAAAGGAAGAAATAGTAACAATCCTACACAAATTCCTTAAGAAAAAAAAGAAGAGAACACTTCCTGGCATATTTTATGAGGCCAGCATTATTCAGATACCAAACCAAAGATGTTAGAAAAAAAAGAAAACTACAGGCCAACATCTCTCATGAACACAGATGTAAAAATCCTTAACAAAATATTAACAATCAAGTGTAAAAATAAAATGATAAAACATCATTTGCAAGTAGGTTTATTCATTGATATGTAAGATTGATTTAATACTCAGAAATCAACTTTGTGAATACACAACTACCACTGAATTGTATGCTTTGTAAATAGGATTAATTTTATGGTATGTAAATTTTGCCTCAATTTAAAAAATCAATCATTACAATAAGAGAATAGATGGAGAAAATGTGATCATTCCAATAAATGCAGAAAAATTTTACATAAAATTCAAATACCCATTCATTATAAAAACTATGAGAAAATAGGAATAGAAGGGAAATTACTCATACTGATAAAGGATATCTATAAAATAACTGTAGGCTGGGCACAGTGGCTCATGCCTGTAATCCCAGCACTCTGGGAGGCCGAGGCCGAGGCAGTGGATCACCTGAAGTCAGGAGTTTGAGACCAGCCTGGCCAACATGGTAAAACCCCATCTCTACTAAAAGTACAAAAATTAGCTGGGTGTGGTGGCGGGTACCTGTAGTCCCAGCTGCCTGGGATGCAGAGGCAGGAGAACTCCTTGAACTCGGGAGGCAAAGGTTGTAGTGAGCCAAGATTGCACCACTGCACTCCAGCCTGGGCATCAGAGCAAGACTCTGTCTCAAAATAAAAATATAAATAAACCCTAAAGTTAACCTCGTGCTTAATAGTAAAAAAGCAGATTATCCTTCTAAGATCAGGAACAAGGCAAGTAGATTTGCTCTCACTACTTCTATTCAATGGTGACTAGAGATCTTATGCAGAGCAATAAGGCAAGAAAATTAAATACCAGGCATACATACTGGAAACGAAGAAGTAAAACAGTCTTTAACAGATAGCATGATCATTTGCATAAAAAATTCTAAGGAATCTACAAAAAAGCTACTAAAATTAATATTATAAATGAATGTAACAAAGTCAAGGGATACAGCATCAATATACAAACATCAATATATAAAGGTTGAGCATCTCTCATCTGAAAATCTAAATCCAAAATGCCCTAATACCTGAAACTTTTTAAGGGTCAACACGATGATCAAAGGTCACACTCAAAGGGAATGCTCATTAGAATATTTCAGATTTTGGATTGTCAGATTGGGGATGCTTGACTGGTATGTATATCAAATATTCCAAAATCTTAAAAAAAAAAAAATCTAAAATCCAAAACACTTCTGGTCCCAAGCATTTCAAATAAAGAACACTGAACCTTTACTAGCCATAAACAAATAGAAATTATACTTTAAATTCTGTTTACCATAGCACTAAAAATATGAATTAGTAATAAATTTCACAAAATATGTACAAAACTTACCAACTGAAAGCTACAATAGAAACTCGTAGAACTTGCTAAGAAAAACTAAAGAAGATGTAAATAAATACAAAGATATACCATATTTATGGATTGAAAGGCTGTTATTCAGAGCTCTCCATACTGATCTATAGATTCAATGCAATCACAATCAAAATCCCAGCAGGTTTTTTGCAAAGAGTAAGAAGCTATCTCTAGAATTTGTATAAACATGCAAAGTACCTTGAATACCCAGAATGATTTGGAGAAAGAAGAATAAAGTTGGAGAACTTAAAGTATCTGATTTCAAGATTTGCTCTAAAGTTATAATAATCAAAACAGTGTGGCACTGGCATACAGACAGACTTAAAGATCAATAAGACAGAATAGAAATCCCAGAAATGAACCCACAGATATATGATCAATTGATTGTGAACAAAAGTGCCAAGATAATTCAATAAGGAAAGGACAGTTCTTTCAACAAATTTGTGCTAGAACAAATAGATATCTGTAAGGGAAAATATTAGCCTTGCCCTTTAACTCACACCCTATGTAAGAAATAACTTGCACTAGGCCAGGCGCAGTGGCTCACGCCTGTAATCCCAACATTTTGGGAGGCCGAGGTGGGTGGATCACTTGAGGTCAGGAGTTCAAGACCAGCCTGGTCAACATGGTGAAACCCTGTCTATATTAGAAATACAAAAATTAGCCAGGTGTGGTAGTGTGCACCTGTAATCCCAGCTACCTGGGAGGCTGAGGCAGAATTGCTTGACCTGGCAGGCGGAGGTTGCAGTGAGCCAAGATCACGCCACTGTACTCCGGCCTGGGCGACCCAGCGAGACTCTGTCTCAAAACAAAATAAAACAAAATCTTGAAGTGAATAAGTGAATCACAAACCTAAACAAAAAAGCTAAAAGTATACAACTTATAAAAGAAAATACAGGAGAAACTGCAACCCTGAAATACACAGAGATTTCTTAAACCAAAAAAAAAAAATTCTGAACCCAAAGAAAAAAATTATAATTTGGCCTTCATCGAAAGAAAATGAAAAGGCAAGCCATGTACTAGGAGTAAATATCATCTATATATACATAAACACACATGTATACACATATACACATCTTTATATGTATCTCATAAATAACATATATATAAAATAGGTAAAGAACACTTTCCACCTAATAATACAGAGACAACCCAATTAAGAAATACACAAAAAGCCCAGGCACTATGGCTCACATCTGTAATCCCAGCACTTTGGGAGACTGAGGTAAGAAGATTCTTGAAGCTAGGAATCTGAGACCAGCTTGAGCAACATAGTGAGACCTCATCTCTACAAAAAAATGTTTAAAGTTAGCCAGGTGTGGTGGTACACACCTGTAGTTCCAGCTACTCCGGAGGCTGAGGCAGGAAGATCACTTGAGTCCAGGAGGTTGAAGCTTCAGAGAGCCAAGACTGTGACACTGTACTCCAGGCCTGGGCAACAATGTAAGACCTTATCTCTAAAACAAATTAAATTAAATTTAAATTTAAAAAAGAAAAGAAAAGATGGATGAAATATTTAAATAGATATTGCACAAAAAAGATATACAACTGGTCAAAAGCACACAAAAACATGCTCAACACCATTCAATCTAGAGGAATCGACATGTTAAAATTATATCTAGATGGTGAAATTCAAGTTACAAATATAAGTATGAAATAACAATATATTTCTGGTTTTCTGGAAAACACAACAGTTGTGACAGACACTTATCACTTTGGCCAAATAAACAGAGAAGATGGGCAGAAGAGCCATAGAGCTAAGCAAAGATTAGATTAAACAGTTCAAATAAGCCTCAGCTTTTTTTTTTTTTTTTAAATACAGGCTCTTTCTGAAACCCTTAGCTCTTTTAAGAACTAAAAATAGGAAATGTGTAGTAAATACTTCTGAAATACAGTGATTTCAGTACATTAACAAATAATCATCACTGAATTCATGCATTCAAAGAAACTTGTTGGTTTTGATCACTAAACACTGGATTCAAATTAAGTTATAGCTGCTCAGCAACATAAGCAAGGTGGCAGAATAGGAGGTCCCCAGCTCTAGTCCCCCTTGCAGAAAAAGTAATTAGCAAATATCTAAATAGCCATGTTCAAGAACACCTCTGTGAGCAGTGAGCATCCTGGGCAAAGTAGCAAGACCTCGTCTCTACAAAAAAAAAAAAAAATTAATTAGTCAGGTGTGGTGATGTGTGCCTATGGTCCCAAATACTCAGGAGGCTGAAGTGGGAGGATTGCCTGAACCTGGGAGATCGAGACTGCAATGAACCACAATCGTACCATTGCACTCCAGCCTGGGTGACAGAGCAAGATCCTGTCTTAAAAAAAAAAAAAAAAAATCTCTGTACAAATCCCAGAACCTGGGGGTGAGACTTAATCCCCCTCTGGTAACACAAAAACTAAGAAAAGCCACATTTTACAATGTGGTAAGAAAGCCATTTTACTTCCATCATATCACCTCTCTGCTGGAAAAGCACAGCACCATACCAAGAGGTATCCCCTGGGTCTACAGTTTCTCCGAGGAGCAAAAGAGAGCCCGAGGCAGACATCCAGCTTCCAAAGTGTTCAGAGGTACTTCCCAGGAGGACCACTTCTGCCTTGTCTCATGGGAAACACTGTGGATATTAATAGGGCTAAACTACCTGGGGTCAGGTAGGAACAAAGAAGTGGAGTGACGCCCTTCTGGTGACCTTACATGAACATTAAGCCCAGACAGCAGCTCCACCCACCTGCGCAGCTGATCTAGCAGCCCCATCTGGCTAGGGAGCAGAGTCAGCAATTCTGCCAACCTGAGGTCTCTAGCCAGAGGTCTAGCTCAGCTGCAGAGCTCAATCTGTGGCCCCCACCTGACTGTAGAACACATCTTGTGGCCCTGCATGATTAAGAAGCCCAGCCAGAGACCCTGTCTCACTGTGCACCACAGCCTGAGGTCACGCCCCACCATAGAGGATAGCCAATGGCCCTGCCTGATCATGGAGCTCAGCTTGCTGTCCCACCCAACGGCAGGGCCAGGTCAGCAGCCCCACCCAAACAGGGAGCCTGACCAGCAACCCTACCCTACCAGATAGCACAGTTAACAACCATGTCCAATTGCAGAGTCCATCTTGCAACCAAACCCTCTGCGAGGTACATCCTGAGACCCCACCCAACCTGAAGCTTGGTCAGCAATTCAGATCCATAGTGGAACAAAGTCAGCAACTCCACCCAGGTGGGGAACCCAGCCAGTGACCCCATCGAACTACAGAGCCCAGTTGGCAGCCTTGCCCAATTGCAGAGTCCAACTAGCAGCATCACTCCTGCTGGAAAATGCAACCTGTGATCCCACCAGACTAGAGGCAATGATGGAGCCCAGATAGTTGCCCCATATGACCTCAGAGAATGGGCAACATCCTTGTCCAACCAGCAACCCCAGTAGCAAGTCCCAAGTGCTACTGGCAGTTCCTTGCTCCCAGAGCTCCCAAGATGGTGGCAGGCCACTTCCAAGATGGTGGTGGGCCACTTCCAAGATGGTGGCAAGCCTCGTGTTCTCTGACCTGGGGTTCTTGGCCTCACAGATTCCAAGGAATGGAATCTTGGGCCATGCGGTGAGTGTTATAGCTCTATTAGAAGCCATGGGTCATGGAAGAGAACCGTGGAACCCACTGACTGGTATTCAGCTCGATTAGGATGAACCCAGGCACTTCGCCGTGCAGGAACAATGGCAAGCCTTTAGCCCGATCCGGAGCAGCAATGGGTGCCTGGCTGGATCAGGAGCACAGCGGACACCCTGCCGGACCCAGAGGAATGGAAGTCAGTGGCGGGTCTGCAACAGCGGCAAACAGCAGTGGTGGATGGCGAGCGAAAGCTCAGCTAGAGCCATAACACGGACCAGAAGAGATTGCAGTTGCAAGATTTAATAGAGTGAAAACAGAGCTCCCATACAAAGGGAGGGGACCCAAAGCGGGTAAGCCATTGCCGGCTCGAATGCCTGGGTTTATATCCTGATCATTGTCCCTCCCACTGTGCTCTCAGGCAATAGACGATTGGCTATTTCTTTACCTCCTGTTTTTGCCAAACTAGCTTTTACTGAGCTGTCTTTACTACCTGATTGGTCGGGTGTGAGCTAAGTTGCAAGCCCCATGTTTAAAGGTGGATGTGATCACCTTCCCAGCTAGGCTTAGGGATTCTTAGTCGGCCTAGAAAATCCAGCTAATCCTGTGTCTCAGATCCCCCTCTCAACAGGAAAACCCAAGTGCTGTTGGGGAGGTTGGCCAATGACCACTCTAACTGCTTCCTGCTGAACTGGGGCATAGTAGGGGTTGTGCAGTTGAGATTTCCTCAGGAGGGGTGCCCTTGATGTCATTAACATCGGACCATGGGCTAGCAGGCTGGTCCAGGGGTCCGCGGCAGATTTTAGTCATGGACTGCATCTGAGGCTCAATTTGAAGAACCATTTGTAGCTTTACAGCTTCAATTCTGGAAGAGACAAACTTAACAAGGAGGTTAAAGTTACAGTGTCCAAAGAGGAGTGACAATATTATAGCTGCTAGAGGTCCTAAGAAGGGGAGAATCCACAGTGTTCATTGGCTGAAGAGGCCCCAGGGTCCAGTGTTTTGAAGCTCCTCTGCTCTATGTTGTATTCGATCTTGAATTACTTTAACTTCCTCGGTGATGATTCCAGATTGATTAACATAATAACAGCATTGTTCCCCTAAAAATAAACAGGTTCCCCCTCTTTTGGTGGTTAGCAAGTCTAAATCTCTTCGATTTTGAAGGCCTACTGCTGCTAGGGAGTTAAGTTGATCTTGCAAGGTGACCAGGGAGTTGGCAACCCATTCCATGTCACCATTTAGTTCTTGAGATAGTTGGTAGTAGAACTGAGTAGAGGTTGTGATACCGCCAATGCCAGTACCTAGTCCAGCTAACACTCCTGCTCCAATAACAAAAGGAAGAATGGGAACTCTTTTGTTGCGGGGCTTAGGTACAACATGATTGTATAAATCTCATTCAGTGTAGATGGTCATAGGGGGCACTAAGAATGAGAGGAAGCACATAGATACTGAAAAGCTATTCAAACAATGATAGGCTGAAGTACCACAGACAAAAAATATTCCTGAAGGTAGGCAGACTATTCGTGTGGGAGGAGTTACCCACCTGATGCATTGGGAGTTGGTTGTGTCTATAGTGTTGCTAAATTTTACACAGGTGAGGTTTGAGGTATGGATTATTTCCACATTGGAAGCAAGAGGTCCTACTAAAACGGAAGTGGTGATTATTTCTGTGCTGAAGTTGTTCCACTGTTCAGGTACAGGGGTTGAAATGTATGGCCTGAAGTGCAGGGGGAGGCACATCCAACTGTTAGTAGGGTTTTGGGCTGAGACCTCATGGAGCCCAGTGAGGGCTGTATTAAATAGACTTACCAGGCGAGTATGGGTACGGAGGTTTTCATGTAGTTTTGAGAGAATATAATCCTTTGTAGGGGCTAGGGGTGCTATGTACCCGGGCCAGTTGGGAGATTACTTCCTTTATGTGTTTTTCTCTTGCTTGATCTTGAACTCCACCCCCATCAGACATACTGGTATGGGTGAAGTAAGTCCAACAGACAGTGGCTCCAAGACCTCCAGGACAACTAGGATTAATCATTTTCCCTGTCCAATAATGAGTATTTGCAGGCATGCAAAGAGTGGCAGAGTTATAGCAGTTGTGGGGCATATGGGTGTGGGCAGTAAAGATGGGGGTTCCCTTAGATAAAGTCCTATACGATGGAGCATCAATATTTCCGGGAAGCCACATTCTCCATAGAAACTGTTGGTAAGGGGAGCTACTGGTCGTACAGCAACATGGAGGGGGTGCAGTGAAAGTAAAAGGGGGTAAGAGAACAGTAAAGAGAAAAATATGATAAGGGAGGGCCATGGTGATTTATGATTTTAGTTACTTTCCTCATGGTTGTTGCTCGAAGAGCAGGCACAGATCCTCTAGATGTTCACAGGAATAGCTAGCGTTGTCTCCTGGATTTTTCGGTTCCTTTGGCAGTATCCAGGATTTGGCTCGAGTGTGAGGTATCCAAGACTCCACTCCAGCCACTTTAACCGAGGTTGGGGTAGATAAAATGACTGGGTAGGGTCCATCCCAGGATGTATCTAGGGATGGGGAATTAAAGGGAAGGGACTTGGCTAATAGCATGTCACCAGGGTGGAATAATTCCTTTCCCTCTTCTCGGGGACAGGCTCCTTGTAATGTTTTAAGAACTTGTTGATATTTGGCTAAGCAGGTGACGTCTGCAACTAAGTTGGCCATCTCTCGGTCGAGCACAAGGTTATTGGTTAGGAAGGCCGTCCATACAGCATTTCGTATGGGCTAAGTCCCGCTTTTTGGGGAGAGTTTTGGATTCTTAGTAAGGCTATAGGCAACAGAGCAGGCCATGCGAGGTGGGTTTCCTGGGTTAGCTTTTTTAGATATCATTTGAGTGTTTCATCCATTTTCTTGACCTTCCCTGAGGACTGTGGCCTCCAGGCGCAGTGTAAGTGATATCGTATGCCTAATGCCTGGGATACTACCTGGGTTACTGCAGCCTTGAAAGCAGGGCCATTGTCACTCCGTAAGCCTCAGGGAAGTCCGAATCTGGGAATTATTTCATGAACTAGTGCCTTTATTACCTCTTGGAACTTTTCTGTCTTACAGGGGAAGGCCTCTGTCCAACCAGTGAAAGTATCTACCCAAACTAGTAGATACTGAAATCCCTGAGATTTGGGCATGTGGGTAAAATCTAGTTGCCAGCCTTCTCCTGGGTAATGGCCTGTTCTTTGTTCTCCTGAAGGAGCTTAGCAATAAGGCAGGGGATTATTTCTTTGGCACACTTCACAGGCCCTGACTATCTGCTTGATAGTTTTGACAAGGCCTGCTCCAGTAAATAATGATTTGGCCATCTTAATGGTGCTATCAATGCCTAAGTGAAAGGTTTGGTGAAGGATTTTAAGTAATATCCATTGGTTAGCTGTAGGCAAAAAAGTATTTTTCCTTCTTTGGTGGCTAGCCATCCTGAGGGGAGGAAACTATGTCCTCATGAGGTTCCCCATTCTATTTCTTCTTCTGAGTACTGGGGCTTGGTTTCCTGGAGGGGATTACCCCATACTAGGGGTCCTTCTATAAGCATTTCTAATGGAGGGTCCTGCCTTGCGGCTCTTTTGGCTTCAATATCTGCTTGGCAGTTCCCTTCTATTTCCCTTTCCTTTCCTTTCTGATGACCCCGGCAGTGTAAGACTGCCACCTCTTTAGGTTTCTGTACAGCCAATAATAATCTCCTAATGGCTTCCTGATGTTTTATAGGTGTTCCCTCGGAAGTTAGGAATTTCCTTTCTCTCCATATTGCTGCGTGGGCGTGGAGGACTAGGTAAGCATACTTACAGTCTGTATATATATTTACCCTTTTTCCTTCTCCTAATTCTAGTGCCCGAGTGAGGGCTATTAGTTCTGCCAGCACTGAGCACTAGTTCCTGGAGTGAGGGGATTACTTTCAAGTATTCCATTATCACTGACCACTGCATACCCTGCTTTTTGAAGTCCTTTTTCTACAAAAGGAACTTCCACCACTATACAAGTTGAGGTTGGGATCAGTCAAGGGAACCTCTAAAAGGTCCCCTCGAGCAGCACAGGTTTGAGCAATTACTTGTTGACAGTTATGTTCTATCTTTTCTTCATTGTCTGGAAGACATGTGGCTCAGTTAAGAGTTGCACAAGTGCACAGTCGCAGCACTGGCCCTTCAAGTAACAGAGCCTGATATTTAAGTAAATCGTTGTCTGACAGCCACAAGTCTCCTTTAGCAGTGAGTATGCCGTTCATATCATGAGATGTCCACACAGTAAGATCTCTTCCCTGTATCATTTTAACTGCTTCAGATACTAAGACTGCTGCTGCCGTCACTACCCATAAACAATGAGGACAACCTTTGCCACTACATCAATTTCCTTACTCAGGTATGCCACGGGTTGCAAGCTCATCCCTCGGACCTGTGTAAGGACTCCTAGAGCTATTCCTGTTTTTCTGTGACATATAAAGAAAATTCTTGCCCCATTGGCAAGCTTAACACTGGGACTTGGGTTAGGGCCTTCTTTAGGGCCTGGAAAGCCACTTCTGCTTCAGGTGTCCATCTTACTAAATAGGTATTGGCTTTCTGAGTTTCCTTAATTAGTGTATATATTGGTCTGGCTATTTTGCCATGCCTGGACATCCATATTTGGCAGAAACCTGTTATGCCAAGGAACCCTGTTAGTTGCTTTAGGGTTTTGGGATGAGGATAAGCCAGTATAGGCTAGATACATTCCTCACTGAGGGCTCTGTTGCCTTTGGATAATTTTAGCCCTAAGTATTTAACCTGCTGTGAGCAGAGCTGAGACTTTGTTTTGGAAACCATGTAGCCATTGGTAGCAAGAAAATTTAAGAGCTCTTGGGTGGCTTGATGGCACACGGTTTCTGAACGGGTGGCTAAAAGTAAATCATCCATGTACTGAAGGACAAGGGTGTCCAGGTATGAGAATTGGCTCAAGTCTTGGGCTAATGCCTGGCCAAATAGATGGGGGCTATCCCTGAACTCTTGGGGTAAAACAGTCCAGGGGAGTTGAGACGTTAGGTTCGAAGGATCTCTAAAGGCAAACAAGAATTGAGAGTCAGGATGTACAGGGATGCAGAAAAAGGCATCCTTAGGGTCCAGGACTGTAAACCACTCTGCTTCCTCTGGTATTTGGGAAAGCAGAGTATAAGGGTTAGGTACAGCTGGGTCTAGAGGAACAACAACCTCACTGAAAATCCTGAGATTTTGCACTAACCTTCACTGTCCATTGGGTTTCTGTACTCCTAAAATTGGAGTATTGCAGGGGCTACTGCATGGTTTTACTAGGCCTTGGGCTTTTAGGTCCTTAACAATCTTCTGGAGTCTTTGTTTGGCCTTGGGTCTGAGGGGGTACTGCCTTTGGTAGGGAAAGGAGGCAGAATCCTTTAGTTTAACTTGAACGGGATGGGCATTCTTTGCTCATCCATATTGTCCTTCTGTTGTCCAGACTTCAGGATTAATTCCTTCCTCAAGCAGAGGACAACAAACGGGTGTTCCTTCTCCTATGTTCAGGTGTATAATGGCCCCCACTTTTGCTTGAATGTCTCTCCCTAACAAGGGAGTGAGGCTCTCAGGCATAATTAGAAAAGCACATGAAAAGAGTAAAGTTCCCCAGTCACATCTTAGTGGCTGGGAGAAGTATCTAGTGACTGGCTGTCCTAAGACCCCTTGGATGGTGACAGATGTGAAGGACAGTTGTCCAGGACAGGAGAGTAAGACTGAGAAGGCCGCGCCAGTGTCCAGGAGACAGTTAACCTCCTGGCCCTCAATGGTTAGGCATACCCGGGGTTCTGTGAGGGTGATGGCATGGGCTGGCGCTTGCCCTGGGCACCCTCAGTCCTGCTGCTGGATCATCTGGTTAGTGGCTTCTGACTCAGAGGACCTTCATCCCCTGGGGCAGTGGACCTTCCAGTGATTCCCTTGACATAAGGGGCATGGACGACCAGGCGGCTTATTTCTACTTGGACAATCTTTTTTAAAGTGTCCTTGTAGACCACACTGGAAGCAAGCCCTATTAGGCATTCGATTTGCCCAGCTTTTCCCTTTTGCAGAGGTTCCAAAGTCCACTTGCCTGAGAGCCATGACTAAAGCTGTGGCCTTTTCTTTTTTTTTTATCCCATTTGTCCCATTCCGTCTGCTCCTCCTGATCTCTATTATAAAAAACCGAGGTTGCCAAGTTCAATAGGGTTTCTAAGTTTTGCTCTGGGCCTAAGGTGGACTTTTGAAGTTTTTTTCTAATATCTGCAGCTGACTGAGTGATAAACGTATCCTTTAAAATTAGTTGGCCTTCAATAGAGTCAAGTGACAGGGAGGTATGCTTCCTCAATGCCTCCCTTAGTCTCTCCAGAAAGGCAGTAGGATTTTCTTCCTTTCCCTGTGTTATAGTGGACATCATTGAATAATTCATAGGCTTCTTTCTAGTTTTCCTTAGTCCTTCTAGCATGCAAGTTAGCAAATGTCTGCAGCACCAATCTCCATGTTCTGATTCTGTGTCCCAATGAGAGCCTACACTGGGAACTGCCTGCTGGCCTGTGAGGAATTTTTCTCTTTTCTCTGCTGCAATCCTATCATTGACCTGACTGAGATACCAGAGATCGCCAAACTCTCGGGCTGCAGTTATGGTGGCACTTCTCTCATTTGGGGTTAGTGTCTGATTTAGCAGTAACATTATATTTCTCCATGTCAGATCAAAGGATTGTCCTAACCCTTGTAAAACATCAATATAGCCATCAGGGTTATCTGAGAATTTATCTAGGTCTATTTTAATTTGCTTTAAGTCTGAGAGAGAAAAAGGTACATGAACTCTGGCTGGGCCGAATTCTCCTCCTCCCACTGCTTGGAGGGGGCATAATCGGGGATACTGGCATTCTTTGGTTCATTGTTTACCCCTTTGTCTATCTCCTTTTGGACAGTTTGGGTTGAAGGGGGGTCCTTATTAGTTGGGGAGGGAGTCGGGGGGAAGCTGGGGTAGGGAGGTAGACTCTGAGGGCTTCCTGTAGGGCATAAATCACACTTTTTACATAATTGCGAGTTGCCTCTTAATGAAAAGAAAGTTTGTACATATGGCACTTCACTCCATTTGCCTTCTTTTCTACAAAAGAGGTCTAGTTGTAAGATAGTGTTATAATTTATACTTCCCTCAGGAGGCCAGGTTTCTCCACCTTGAAGAGGATATCGTGGCCAGGCAGTACTGCAGAAGAATATAAGTCATTTCTTTCCTAGCGTCTGAGTGTCAAATTGGTCCCAATTCTCCAGAATACATCTTAGGGGCGTTTTTGCCTTGGGGGAACAGTTCCCATTTGAAAAAAGAACATAGGGACGCCGGCACCCCTAGTCATTTTCCGATGACCGTTAGTCCTAGAGCGTCCTCTATGGTCCTAACGCTTATTCCTTTCCAGGGTGTGTAACCACCCATGGACCTCTGCTTATTGGATTAGTTATGCTCACCAATGTAGCAGTCCTGCACCCCTTTTCCCGCCTTTCTTGACCACAAAGAAAGGGGTCCAGGCTGCTGGATTCTAGCAGCATGCCCAACATTGCCTTTGTGCTCAGGGGTGAGTCCTAGAGCTGGGCTGGGTTCCTGAGTATTTCATAACAACCCAGCTGCCCCATCAAGATGCATTCTCATAAACAACAGTTCTTATGCAAATTCATTTAGAGAGGGTGTAGGTAAGCTTTTGAGTCAGGATATTGATAGTCTTTTTTGATTCTGTAAGTACTTTAAGGCTTGTCTGGGAGCAAACAGCTCGCACTTTTGAGGAGACCAATTATTAGGCAATTTTTCTAACTCTGCTTCCAAAAGAGTCTCCCTATCAATTACTGAATACCCATTGTGGTTTTTCCCTCAATCACCTGGGAGGAAACTTCTATCATCCTGTCCTGAAGGGAGTTCCTCCTAGGTCTGGCCGGACCTTTGTATGGTAATTAAGATTTAAATCCCCTGTTAGGAAATCTGCTGGGTTAAGGGAATTATCAGCCGTTGGTGTTAAATTACCTTTTTCTAACAGAATAGACCCATACTTTACGATTTTTTAGTTAGTAAGCTACCTTTTTGCTTTTTTGACTTAGAATAATTCTGAACTGGTGAGGTGTGCTCACAATGAGGTTTCCTTTAAAAGTTACTTTTCTACTTTCTTCTGTTAGCAAAGCAGTTGCCGCTACAGATTGAATGCATCCACGGGTTACTGGGTTAAGGATTTTTGATAGGAAAGCTACGGGTTGTCAGTGGTCTCAGTGTTTTCAGGCTATGCCCTTGTTTACACTGACAACAAGGTAGTATTGGAGTGTTATAGGGAAGACCTTCAATTATCAATTATAGGTTTTAAATTTACCCTGGCTTTTAAAGGAATAGGGCATACTGTTGTTGTTGTTGTTTTGTTTTGTTTTACTATTTCTATCTTTCTCTTTTTCTCTTTGACTCTTTCTCTCTCTCTCCTCTGTCTCTCTCTCTCTCTCTCTCCCCTCCATCTCTCTCTTCACTCCTCCGTCCCTCTCTCCTCCTCTTAGCCATTACAAACTTGGGTCCCTGGCAAGGGTGGTGGGGAAAGGGTCCCACATAACTGCCCATGTCGAGAACTGTATACCTAAATCGGGAGGGACACCAGGGATAAGACTTCCTGGGTTTATAGCCTAGATGCCTAAGGACACAGCATAGAGCTTTCTTAGATCCCTTTGGAGATACAACTTGCTAGAGGAAATGCAAGTCTGAACCATTGGTACCTAGGAGGCAGGGATCAGAGGAAGTAGATTCAGAGGTAACGAGAATTTTGGGGCTACACTTTCAAGAAAGTCGTGGTTGGGACCCAGGAGGTATGGGTCAGAAGAAAAGGTACGGGGGCATGCATGGGTGACTGTTGAACAGAGACTTCTGGCTGTGCCATGATCTCAATCGGCTAATGCTGGGAGTTTGGAATGACAGCTTTCTGTCTCTAGTCAGCCCTCGGCTTCCCCAAGAAAATTGAAAGCAGAAGCTGGTTCTAGGCAGATGAATGCTCCCAACCCAGAAGGGTTGGGTGTTGTTAGAAAGTCCTTCCCCAGACAGCCTCACACCTGAGTCTTAAGTCTGACAGCCATGCTAATCGTTTTTAACTGGCCGACAGGTGCCCGGTATTTTCCGCCAATTCTAAGGAAAGACAGGACAGAATAGCAAGCGAAAGTGGTCCAATATTACTCACTGCTTTGGAGGTCCCTTCGTGGTCACCAAATGTTAGTGGTGGGTCCTTTCTCCCAGAGCTCCCAAGATGGTGGTGGGCTGCTTCCAAAATGGCAGCAGGCCACTTCCAAGATGGTGGCAAGCCTTGTGTTCTCTGACCTGGGGTTTTCGCCTCACGGATTCCAAGGAATGGAATCTTGGGCCATGTGGTGAGTGTTATAGCTCTATTAGAAGCCGTGGGTCATGGAAGAGAACCGTGGAACCCAGTGACTAGTGTTCAGCTCAATTAGGATGCACCCAGGCTAAAGGGCACTTAGCCGTGCAGGAACAATGGTGAGCCTTTAGCCCGATCGGAAATGGCAATGGGCACCTGGCTGGATCAGGAGCACAGTGGACACCCTGCCAGATCCAGAGGGATGGAAGTCAGCAGTGGGTCTGTGATGGTGGAAAACAGCAGTGATGGACGGAGAGCGAAAGCTCAGCTTGAGCCATAAGAAACACAGATCAGAAGAGAGTGCAGTTGCAAGATTTAACAGAGTGAAAACAGAGCTCCCATACAAAGGGAGGGGACCTATCAGGGGAACCCGCCCCCAGTTAGAACTACTGATAAGGGTCTATGTTCAGCAGTGTACGTATTGTCTTGATAAACATATTAAACAACAGAAAACAGGGTTCAAGAGCAGAGAACCAGTCTGACCACAAATTACCAGGACAGGGTTTTTCCCCACCCTAGTAAGCCTGAGGGTACTGCAGGAGACCAGGGCGTATCTCAGTCCTTATCTCAACTGCATAAGACAGACATTCCCAGAGCAGCCGTTTATAGACCTCCCCCCCAGGAATGCATTCGTTTCCCAGGGTATTAATATTAATATTCCTTGCTAGGAAAATAATTTAGCAATGTCTTCCCTACTTGCACGTCCATTTATAGGCTCTCTACAAGAAGAAAAATATGGCTATTTTTGCCCAACCCCACAGGCAATCAGACCCTATGGTTGTCTTCCCTTGTTCCCTAAAAATTGCTGCCACTCTGTTCTTTTTCAAGGTGCACTGATTTCATATTGTTCAAACACACATGTTCTACAATCAATTTGTACAGTTAACACAATTATCACAGTGGTCCTGAGGTGACCTACATCCTCAGCTTACGAAGATAATAGGATTAAGAGATTACAGGCATAAGAAATTATAAAAGTATTATTTGGGAACTAATAAATGTCCATATTTAAATGAAATCTTCACAATTTATGTTCCTCTGCCTTGGCTTCAGCCGGTCCCTCTGTTCAGGGTCCCTGACTTCCCACAACAGTAACCCAAAGAGGGTAGTCATTGCCGGCTTGAATGCCTGGGTTTATATCCCGATCATTGTCCCTCCCGCTGTGCTGTCAGGCAACAGAAAATTGGCTATTTCTTTACCTCCTGTTTTTGCCTAATTAGCTTTTTAGTGAGCTCTCTTTACTACGTGATTGGTCGGGTGTGAGTTAAGTTGCAAGCCCCCTGTTTAAAGGTGGATGTGATCACCTTCCCAGCTAGGCCTAGGGATTCTTAGTTGGCCTAGAAAATCCAGCTAGTCCTGTCTCTTACAAGTACCTGCAGATGCTACCAACTGACTCATCCAGAACCCCAGGCTGGACTTACTGAAAAAGTCTTTCCCTGCCAAAGCTAACCTGTAAAGGCAGAAGAGGTGACTACTTCCTCAAAAACACAGACAGCAACACAAGGACATAAGAATCACAAAGAATCAGGGAAACATGACACCACCCAGAGTAAACTAATAAAGCTCCAATCACTAACCCTAAAGAAATGGAGATCTATGAAATGGCTGACAAAGAATTCAGAATAATCCTCTTAAACAAGTTCAGTGAACTACAAGAAAACAGAGATAGACAACTAAACAAAATAAGGAAAATACATGGAGAAAATAAGACGTTCAACAAAGAAATAAAAACAAAAAAAGAAAACCTATAGCTGAAGAAAAATGTAATAGAGATCTTCAACAGCAGACTCAAACAAGCAGAAGAACCTATGAACCCTAAGACAAGTCATTTGAAATTAAACAATCAGAGGAAAAAGAAATAAAAAAACAAAAGAGTGAAGAAAGTCTATGAAACATTTGGCTATCAAGTGAACCAATATACAAATTATAGAGGTACCAGGAGAAGAGATAGAGAAAATGGTAGAAAGTCTACTTAAAGAAATAATGGCTGAAAACTTCCCAAATTTAGGGAGAAATGGACATCTAGATACAGGAAGCCAAAGCTTCCCAAAAAGGTTCAATTAAAAGAGGTCTATGCCAGGTAAGGTGGCTCATGCCTGTAATCCCAACACTTTGGGAGTCCAAGGTGGGCAGATCATAAGGTCAGGAGTTTAAGACCAGCCTGGCCAGCATGGTGAAACCTCATCTCTACTAAAAATACAAAAAATTAGCTGCACATGGTGGCAAGCACCTGTGGTCTCAGCTACTTGGGAGGCTGAGACATGAGAATCACTTGAACCCAAGAAGCAGAGGTTGCAGTGAGCTGAGATCACTCCATTGCACTCCAGCCTGGGTGACAGAGTGAGATTCTGTCTCCAAAAAAAAAAATTATACCAACACACACTATAAATTGTCAAAAGTCAAAGAAAAAAAGTGAATTTTAAAAAATTTAGCTAGGCATGATGGTATATGTGCCCATAGTCTTATCTACTCAGGAGAGACTAGGGCAGTAGAATTGCTTGAGCCTGGGAGATTGAGGCTGCAGTGAGCTATGATTGTGCTTTCCCATAAAAGCCTTTGCATTTAACTGTAAAAATGGCAACCCTCTTCCAGGTCCCCTCTCCACAGCACAGAGCTTTCTTCTTTCTCTTATTAAACTTTTGCTCCAACCTCACCCTTGGTGTCTGCACTCCTTAACTTTCTTGGTGGTGAGACAAAGGACTCTAGGTACTACCTCAGGGACATTGTGATGCACCGGCAAGACTGTAACATTTTGGTTCCTTGACTGGGAGATATCAGAAGGGTGAGTAGGAGCAGATCTCCAAACTTTTTTTTTTTTTTTTTGAGACAGAATCTTGCTCTGTTGCCCAGGCTGGAGTGCAGTGGCACCATCTCAGTTCACTGCAAACTCTGCCTCCCAGGTTCACACCATTCTCCTGCCTCAGCCTCCTGGGTAGCTGGGACTACAGGCACCTCCCACCTCGCCTGGCTAATTTTTTGTATATCTAGTAGAGACAGGGTTTCACCGTGTTAGCCACAATGGTCTCAATCTCCTGACCTCATGATCCGCCCGCCTCAGCCTCCCAAAGTGCTAGGATTACAGGCGTGAGCCACCATGCCCTGCCACCTCCAAACTCTTTACTTTCATTTCTGAAGCTGCTTCTCAGTTTTTTTTTTTTTTTTTTTTTTTTTTCCCCCTGAAGACCAAACAAGACACTGGGCCCCTGCCAGCCAGTTAAAAGATTTTAGAGTGGCTGTCAGCCTTACAAGACTCAGGGGACAGGTTTGCTGGAGAGTCAATCCTGCATTGCCATCAGGTGGTGGGAATGTTGGCTCTGTTCTAATCTAGTTTCCTTTCACAGAGGACCTAGCCATCGCATGGGGCTAGAAGGAGGTCCTGGGGCAACTGAGGGTTTCTGGCTGAGGCTACTCCTTGGTGTTACCTGAAGAGCCCCTAGAATAACTTCAGCTTCTGAGAGCCCATCAATGGTGTCCACACCAGGACTTCCAGACTTTTCTATAGCATTTTCTTCCTTTCTTTTTCGTGGCTATCATGTCTCCTATCCTTTCTTTGTATGCTATGTTAAGGGAGTTTTTACAGCCTAGGCAGATAATCTTCTTGGGTAAAGTTAGTGAGTGCCTTAGTAACCAGGAATGTAACTTTAAAAATTGCTGCTTCTCTGATTTCCTTGAGATGGGGGGATTTCAAGATTTCAGTCTAAACTTTCACCTAGTGAGGGCCTTTTTGACCCCCAGTGATAGGCATTCATAGCACTATATGGGAGGATATTCCACCCTAAGTAAACACCCTCCTCTCCATTTGGGTTTTCTAAGAGCTCAGCATTGACAAACGAATTTTCTTCTGCTGGGTGGCATACTATGGGGGTAGCCTATTAAGACCCAGACCTCTCTTTCTAACCTCTGCCTAAAAAGAATTTGGAGTCAGAGTTTTTACCTAACATTTCAAACCCTACAACACCACCAAATGGGATGGGATTTTTCATGGGGAGTCTTGTCAGTTCTTTGCCCAAAATCTCTAGTTCCCCAATTCCTTTCATTGTTATATCCCTCTCTCAGTGCTCAGGCCCCATGCCCTATTTGTAGATAGTAAAACTCCCCTTTCAACATGTGGGAGGAAGCCACCCTGGTGAGACAGATTTTAGCCTCAGTGCTATCCCCATCAGATATTCTTACATTCTTTTGAGGCATCTGTTCTGCATCCAGCTATGTTGGCATCCAAGAAAGGAAGGGATCTTATGTTTAAAAGTCAATTGGTCCCATTCTCTAGGAATTCATTACTTTGCCTGGGCAGTAATAAGGAGATATAAGGGTAGGGTTAAACCACTCACTCCATTAAAGGGTCTTGCCCAAATTCAACTACTGCATAATCTCTCCCGGGCCCCTAGGGTACTTCTGGAAGCCTTATAGGCCAAGTGGGTCTAAGAAACCAGCAGGGTGGAGAGCTAGGGCCTCACTCAGATAAACATGACTCTTCCTGCTGACTAGCTTCTCCAGATCCATTGGTGAAGGTCATGCTTGCATCCATGGGTGGCACCTGTGATGTTCGCTGGGACCCAGAGGAGATGGGAGGAAAGAGAAGGGGGATACCCCTTCTATCTTTCTCTCCACACTGGGTCGCTCTGAAAGGAGGAGGGAGACTAAGGGACACATTCTCCCCTCTCTTTCCAGATGGGTAACAACCCATCTTTAGCCTGCACTTCCCTTGAGTACAGCCTGGATCAGTGGAATTTCTCTGACCCTCAGACTCTAAAAATAGTGCCTCATATTCTTTTGTACTTGGGCATGGCCATCTCACCAAGTGCAGAACTTGGGGAGGCCTGGTCTCTTCAGGAAAGTGCCTTTTTTTTTTGAACCAGAGTCTTGCTCTGTCACCTAGGCTGGAGTGCAATGGTGCAACCTCAGCTCACGGCAACCTCTGCCTCCTGGATTCAAGTGATTCTCCTGCCTCAGCCTCCCGAATAGCTGGGATTACTGGTGCCCGCTGCCATGCCCAGTGAATTTTTGTATCTTTGTAGAGACGGGGTTTCACCCTGTTGGGCAGGCTGGTCTTGAAATCCTGACCTCAGGTGATCTGCCCACCTTGGTCTCCCAAAGTGCTGGGATTACTGGCATAAGCCACAGCGCCTGGCTACTCATTTCAACACTATCCAGCAACTAGACCTTTTCTGCAGGCAGGAGGACAAATGGTCTGAAGTCCCCTATGTGCAAGCCTTCTTTGCCTTGAGAGGCAACCCAAATCTTTGTCAGCACTGCATAATTGACCCTCCTCTTTTAGCAGTCATATCAGACAAGCATGCAGGAGATAATTCCCCAAAGTCAAAGAAACAACCCCCTGGGGAACCCTTAAATGCAACTTCCAGATGCCCTGGCCCTTCTTCCCCCCAACATTCACATCATCAGCTCCTCCAGTTCTACCACCCAAACCCCCAGACTTTTTTTTTGAGACAGAGTCTTGCTCTGTCGCCCAGGCTGGAATGCAGTGGTGCCATCTCAGCTCACTGCAAGCTCCGCCTCCTGGGTTCACGCCATTCTCCTGAGTCAGTCTCCTGAGTAGCTGGGACTACAGATGCCCACCACCACGCCAGGCTAATTTTTTGTATTTTTAGTAGAGACAGGGTTTCACCGTGTTAGCCAGGATGGTCTCAATCTCCTGACCTCGTGATATGCCTGCCTCGGCCTCCCAAAGTGCTGGGATTACAGGTGTAAGCCACAGTGCCCGGCCCCAAACCCCCAGATTTTTCTATGGTATTTTTCCTTCCTTTTTTCATGGTTTGAAATGGCTCTTCTCTCTTTATGATATCCCTCCAAACTGGGAAAAGTTAATTTCTCAAACCTTAAACCTTAAAATTCTTGGCTTAGAATTGATTGTGGGGAGGGCACCCAGAAGCCTGCCATGCCATTCCAAAAAGGTAAAAGGGTTGTTTTTTGTTTGTTTGTTTTGTTTTTTTACCAGTTTAGCTTTTGGCTTCTCTCTCCCTGTGCAAACCAGTAAAAGGAATAATAAGGATCACTGTTTATATTCTCTGTAAAGCTTTGATTAATGAAAAAGGATTTATGAAGTTGGTCTTAAGCTGTAGCCAATCTGGTGTGCTTTGCATGTCTTTCTGTACGGTTCTGTCAGAAAGAGGGGTACCTTAGGATGGAATGTGGGTCTAGAGCTCCATAAGCCCACTGTTCAAGCCAGCCTGGTAAACTGGTCAATAACAAACTTTGCTATAGGCCTCCATCTTGTTTTACATCCTTGGAAGTGTGACCTGTAACCATGTGGCAATACTTTGTTTTAATCTCCACCATTTTACAACGATGGCCCGAGTTCAATCCTGGCTTGGAGAATGAGTACCTTTGGGTTAATGTCTGTATGACTTTTGCCATTTGCTGATTCTGTTCCCCTCCATGAACAACTTCTAGCTTCCCTTCTTAAATCTTCCTTTCTCTGAGTTGCCTTTAAAGGTTCTAGATTTTGTACAAGTGTGGCCACCCAGTAGGTTCACCTTGCCCACTGCCTCAAAAGAGCTGATTTATTGGGATGGGGGAATTGAAATGGAGAGGGGGTGATTCATGTGGGGCTGGCTGTGTGGGAGACCATAGTTTTGTTATTGCTCTGGTCAGTCTCCCTAAGCATTTGGGGAGCAGAGTTTTTGAGGCGGCTTGGTGGGTGGGGAAGGCCAGTGAGCCGGGAATGCTGATTGTTTAGGTTAGAGATGAAATCACAGGGAGTCGAGGCTGTCCTCTTGTGCTGAGTCAGTTCCTGGTAAGGGGCCACAAGATCAGATGAGCCAGTTTATCAGTCTAATCCATCCAGCTAATCCATCAAGTGCAGGGTCTGCAAAATATCTCAAGCACTGATCTTAGGAGCAGTTTAGGGAGGGCTAGAATCTTGTGGCCTCCAGCTGCATGATTCCTAAACCATAGTTCCTAATCTTGTGGTTGGTTTCTTGGTCTGACAAAGGCAGTCTGGTCCCCAGGAAAGGAGGTTTGTTTTGGGAAAGGGCTGTTATCATCTTCGTTTTGGACTATAAACTATAAGTTCTTCCCAGAGTTGGTTCAGCCTATGCCCAGGAATGAATAAGGGCAGCTTGGAGGCCAGAGGCAACATGGAGTTGGTTGGGTCAGATCTCTTTTACTGTCTCAGTTGCAGTTTCACAATGGTGGTTTCAAAAGCTGCTTACCACCCCTTTGAAAATACCTTGTACACTCATGGTTAAATCGTAACCTTAATTGAGGCTTGTTGGTTTCACCTGTGAGGTTGCTTTTGGTAAAGTTCAAATGCCAGAAATCTTAACCACTTAGTGTGACTAAAGTCAGGTAACAAGGGATTTAAAAGGATTTTCTTAAAGAGCACTCAGCTTAATTAAAAGTGGATATCCAAGTTATAGGTATATTTAAAAGGCCTTTATGTTTTTCTCTTCTTGGCTCTTGTTTTTGTAGAAAAGGTTTTTAACCAGTCACCTACATTCTTCTTTTCCATTTTGTCTTGCCACTCTTAATGCATGCACGAGAGGCCCCAAGATAACTTCTGATGGCCTAGGACTCCTTGGTAAAAACAGAAAAGGCTCCATGGATTCCATTTTGGGAGAAACCTCTGTTTTCCTCATGGAACCCCAGGAATTAGAGGCAGATAGATCCCTCTCAAAATCTGTTTTTGTCTTCCCCAGAAACTGCATGCTTTTGATATAGGAGTTAAGAAGAATTCACATAGGCAGATAGTAAGGGTATGGGAGTCCTCAAGTAAGGCTTTTCTCTTCAGTGAAATCAGCCCAATCATTTTCTAACAAGAACAGCCTGTAAAGTCAAGCTGCAGACATATAGACAAGCAAGCTGGGAGCTTGCACAGGTGAATGTCGGCAGGAACTACAAACCAGACATGTTCAAGAGGGTGGTTCCATCTTCCCTTCTCTTTGTCAGCCATGTGTCTAGTAAGGAGTAGACAAGATGGTACCGATCAACTAGAAAGCCCATTTGCGTTAGATTAGGATAGGGCAGCCAGGCTTCCCTGCACGCTATGTAGATGTCATACCTATCAAACCAATCCCCTACGTAAATCAGTCACCGCCTTCTCTAGCCTGCCTATAAAATCTGCTGCGGTCTACTACCTACCCACTTTTTTCAGATGTCTCTCTCAAGGAGCTGCTCTCCTCTCTCCTTTCTTTTATTAAGCTTTCCACTCTTTAACCCACCCACATGGGCCTGTGTCCTGAATTCTTTCTTGGCATGAGACAACGAACCCCAGGGTATATACCCCAGACAATGTAGCCATTTCACTCTCCCACCCCTGCTCTTAAAGGGCCCCACTTGGAGGCCAATAATCCAATTAGAAGATTGGCAAATGAAAAATCTTATAATGACTAGATCCTCTTCTGTTTGTCTGTGTAGCTATATATGTGTTGTGTATGATGTCTATAAAAAGAGTTCTGATTGGCTTAAAAAAAATAAGCACTTAAATATTTTTTAAAGAAAAAAGTTGTCTTTTAGTTCATGTGACTTTAAGAAATAAAAATAGTTTTAAAGATAATTGGTATAAATAAATGTCGTCAAAATGTAAATAGGTGGTCTAAATCATGCAAGTCAGATACTAGGTTTGCTTAATGTTTCAAGGTTGTAAACTGCCTGCTTTACAACTCTGTAAGGCCTAGGGATGTACAAAATTAACCACTCCCCTAACTATGCTGGAAAAAGTCAGACTTTATCTGCACCTAGTACATAATTAAAACAACTTACTAAATTTTAAAGTTAAAAATTGCTAAGAGTTACCATTATAACATGTAAATGAGACTACTGAAAATAGATTTACATACAAGGTGTGTAAGAACAGTAAAATGTTTTGTGGTAAAATATTATAAAAAGGCATGGAAATGTAAATATTGCCTAAGGATAAAGGATTGTTTTGAAACCAACTTAAGGGTAAAATCTTGCTTTCTCTCCCTTGTATACGATTGTCATGTAATAGTGAAGAATAATGAAAGATTTTCATTTGCATGGTGGATAGACTGCCAAGAAGAGGAAAGAAGACAGGAGACAAACTTTGGAAAGCTAAGTCTTCCCTCTTAATGAGTAAAGATTTTTGCCTTGTTTTAAAATTTTTGAGTCATCATTTAGGCAAAGTAAATAACTTATGGTAACCTGGAACTGTATTTCATAATATCAAGTGTTTTAAACCTCTAACATTTAACAGGCTTTTCAAAATCAAACTTCAGTTTCAAAATTGTCTTTCCTGACCCTCTAGCTTTTCAATGCTACAGAGGGCCCTGAAGCATCCAGAAGAGAGGTAAACAGGATTATTTAACATATTTAGGCACGTGGAATTGCCAAAATGATGTTTAATGTTCTTCAGGTTATATTTTAGTGAATAATACTGATATGTGTTCCAAAATTGTATGGGATGTCTAAAATTCCAATGTCTGAGTACATGTTATCAATCAAAATTAAGGTTATGTTAAACCATTGTCAACCACAGAAATAACCAGATTTGTCAATCGTGTTTTTAACTGTAACTACCCTAGAAATTTTGTCATTCACAGACAATTGTCGTCTTGTTTTAAGCTTTTTCAAGAGACAGCTTATAATCAGCTATAAGACTTTAACAGGTGCTTTCACATGCAGGTTTCTGATAACTTTGGAAATCGTGACATGGGAGTAAAGACATACATACTACCAGTTTAGATTCTTTAATGGTTAGTAGTTTAATCAGATATTCTATGTCTTCTTGAATCAATTATGGTATTTTCAATTTTGCAGAAAATTAATTTATCCAACTCTTCAAACATATTAGCATAAAGTTGTGCCTAGTATTCTCATATAAATTTTTCTATATTATCTGTACATGTGCCCTTTTATTCCTATTATGTCTTTTCTTGAAGTCTTATTACTTTTCATTGAGATAAATTTACATATAATTAAAGTGCAAAAACTTTAAGTGTACAGCTTGATAAATTTTTACATATATATGTGTGTATATATATATCTGTTTAACTTCCAACAAAATCAAAATATAGAACATTTCCAATATCCCTAGAAGGCACCTTTGTGGCCTCTAAGTCAATAACCCCAAAATGTCTATGTAAGTAAGTCTGCTTGAATTTCATGTAAATAAAATGCTACAGTATGTACTCTCTTCCTTTAATCTGTAAGATTAATTTTTGTTGTTGTATGTATCAGTAGTACATTTGTTTTGTAGGGCTTTTTGAAAATTAAGTATTCCATTATTTGAGTTGACCATTCAATTTCATTTTTATTTTTTATTTTTATTTTTTTGAGACAGTCTCATCTCACTCTGTCGCCCAGACTGGAGTGCACTGGCACAATCTCAGCTCACTGCAACCTCTACCTCCCAGCTTCAAGCAATTCTCATGCCTCAGCCAGGCTGGTCTCAAACTCCTGGCCTCAAGTGATCCGCCTGCTTGGCCTCCCAAAGTGCTGGGATTACAGGTGTGAGCCACGGCACCCAGCCTGATAATTCAATTTCATCTGTCTCAACTGGGCTTTGTGACCCAGGTATTGTCCTTTGCTAAGAGCCTCAGAATGCTGTTTTGTTTTCACAATTCTGAAAAACAGTTTCAGGAACAACATTCAGGCTATTTCCCTAAACAAAAACAAAAGATAAGTGCAAAAGAAAAAAAGAAAAGAGTGTGTCACCAGAAGGATAATGAGGTTGTCTGATTTGTAAAAGGAAATATCTATAGCTGGAGATAAATGGCAAAGTTGTCCAGCCAGGTAGGTTCCCAAAAGTATTTTAATTTTCTTAATGATTATGTCTGGGGTTACTTTGGTACTTTTCTTACAAGCAAACTTTGTGGCCATAGGCCTCTCCATTTTAAAAAGAATAATTAAATTCTCTACAAAATTACTTTCATTCTCCTTTGCTGAGGGCTTTAGAATCTTCCAGTCCTGTGGAGTTGCTCAGTTTCTTCCCTGGATCCTGTTTTCAAAAACAGACAGAAGGGCAACCCGCTCGGGTCCCCTTCCACACTGTGGAAGCTTTGTTCTTTCGCTCTTCACAATAAATCTTGCTGCTGCTCATTTAAAAAAAAAAAAAAGGAAAGGAAACAGGCCACAGACAGAAAACAGGCCACTGATTGCCTCAGGATTAGGAATGCAGAAGGGAGGATCACAATGGAGCAAGAGTAATCTTTTAGGGGTGATGGATATGTTCATTTATCTTGGCTGAAGTGATGGGTTCACAGGTATATAGATATGTCAAAACTTATCAAACTGTACACATTAAATATGTAAAGTTTATTATATGTCAATTCCACCTAAAAAAATCTGTTAAAAATGGAATAGATACAATATTTATAAAATACATGCAGGTTATAACAAATCATGAAACAACAGAACACTCCCTGTATCCATCACCCAGTTTTTTAAAGTAAATGTTTACTATTTTTAAAAAATTATTTTTTTCTGTGTTCCCTAGCCACCCTAAAGCTCAGGCCTTTTTCTTTTTCTTCTTTCTTTTTTTTTTTTTTTTTTTTAAAGAGATAGAGTCTCACTATGTTGCCCAGACAGGATTTGAATTCCTGGGCTCAAGGTATGCTTCTGTCTTAGCTCCTCAGTAGCTGAGACCATGGGCACCCACCACTGTGCCCAGATTCGGGCTTTCTTGTAAAAAGCGGATGGATGCTTGAAACTATTTTCTGAATCCCTTTGGCTCCCAAATGTGAATATTCTGGGAAATATTTTTATCCAAATTAGCTGAGTAATCGAGTAGTTAGGCACATTTTGAAGACTGAGGCTTGTCCTTTAAAAGAAGGGCAGCCCACAAACTGACTTCCTTGAGCCAAAAATTGTTTTAAAAGGGGAAGTACAGCCCAAAACAGTGATTTTAAAATATCAACAAAAAGAGTCAAATTCTGTAAAATATTTAAAGAGATTTATTCTGAGCCAAATATGAGTGACCATGTCCTGTGACACAGCCCTCGGGAAATCCTGAGAACATGTGCCCAAGGTGGTCAGGGTACAGCTTGGTTTTCTACATTTTAGGGAGACATGAGGCTTCAATCAAATACATTTAAGAAATACATTGGTTCAGTCCAGAAAGGCAGGACAACCCGACGCGAGGCAGGGAGCTTCCAGGTTATAGGTACGTTTTAAATTTTTCTGGTTGACAATTGGTTGAGTTTATCTAAAGACCTGGGATCAATAGAAAGGAAATGTCTGGGTTGCAATAAGAGTTGTGGAGACTGAAGTTTTATTATGCAGATGAAGCCTCCAAGTAGCAGGCTTCAGAGAGAATAGATTGTAAATGTACTTAAGGTCTGCGTTGATGTGAATGCCGGCTTGAGGTATAATGAGGCATATCTGACCCCCACTTCCCCTCATGGCCTGAAACAATCTCTCAAGTTAAATTTTAAAAGCGCCCTGGCCAAGGAGAAAGTCCATTCAGATGGTTAGAGGCCTTAGAACATTATTTTTGGTTTACAAAAACGTTGAGTTGTGAACACTGAGAGCCTCTGCCCAGAATGTAAAAGAGAGAATTCTTGCTGACTGTGGCCGGGCATGCATGTCCTTTCACTTCCTTTTTTTTTTTTTAAAAAAAAAAAAAAAAAAAAAAAAAACAGGGTTTGGGCGGGGGAAGTAAGGGGGATGTGTTATGATAAAGGGGCCTTGGCAGCACTCTTCTGGTGTGGTTTGACCAGGCTCCACCCACGAATTCTGTTTTCTTTTAGAGGTCACTGGAGAGCCCGGTGGGGTGTAAGTACACTGCGCTTATAAAACTCTAGCAGGAAGCTAGCAGCTGTCTCCAAACCCAGAGAAGGGGAAACAGGAATCGATTAGGAATAAAGGATTATAATCCACTTTCCTTCTGAGGAAAAGCTGGGAACCTTCTCATTTTGCCTTATGAAAACTAAGCTGAATCGACTGCTGCCAAACATCTATTAGGCAAAATTGGCCTCTTGCCCATGATTTGACTTTCCAGCACAGCCAGTTCTTTTTCTCCTCTGCAGCTGATTGGCTCTGGAGTGTGGCCAGAAGCCTCTCTCCTGCAATTAAAGGAGTCGGGTCTCTAACTGTTGATCTGTTTTTTTCCCTTCTGAGCAATGGAGCTTACCATCTTTATCCTGAGACTGGCCATTTACATCCTGACATTTCCCTTGTACCTGCTGAACTTTCTGGGCTTGTGGAGCTGGATATGCAAAAAATGGTTCCCCTACTTCTTGGTGAGGTTCACTGTGATATACAACGAACAGATGGCAAGCAAGAAGCGGGAGCTCTTCAGTAACCTGCAGGAGTTTGCGGGCCCCTCCGGGAAACTCTCCCTGCTGGAAGTGGGCTGTGGCACGGGGGCCAACTTCAAGTTCTACCCACCTGGGTGCAGGGTGACCTGTATTGACCCCAACCCCAACTTTGAGAAGTTTTTGATCAAGAGCATTGCAGAGAACCGACACCTGCAGTTTGAGCGCTTTGTGGTAGCTGCCGGGGAGAACATGCACCAGGTGGCTGATGGCTCTGTGGATGTGGTGGTCTGCACCCTGGTGCTGTGCTCTGTGAAGAACCAGGAGCGGATTCTCCGCGAGGTGTGCAGAGTGCTGAGACCGGTGAGTGAAAGGGTGTGAGGAGGACTAGTTAGTAGCAGCTATTATCATAGAGGGCAGGCCTGTCAATTTCAGGTGGCTGAAACATTTTAACATAAAAAGTAAACTACTAGAAAATACTGTAGAATTTTTTAAAATTTTAGCGTGGGAGAGAAGCTATAAAGAGAAAGATTGATAAATCTGAATATAAAAACTTAAAACTGCTATAAAGAAAAAACCTCCTGGCCGGGCACAGTGGTTCACGTCTGTAATCCCAGCATTTTGGGAGGCCAAGGCAGGCAGATCGCTTGAGGTCAGGAGTTCGAGACCAGACTGACCAATATGGTGAAACCCCATCTCTATTAAAAATACAAAAATTAGCCAGGCATGGTGGCAGGTGCCTGTAGGCAGGAGAATCGCTTGAACCTGGTGGGGCAGAGGTTAAAGTGAGCCAAGATTGCACCACAGCACTCCAGCCTAGGCAACAGAGTGAAACTCCATCTCAAAAAAAAAAAAAAAAAAAAAAAGAAAGAAAGAAAAAAAAGAATAAGAAAAAAAAACTCCCCAAAACAAAGTTAAACTACAAAACAAGCTTGGAAAAAATATTTGCCAGGGATGATAGACAAAGGGTTAACTTCCCTCATGTTAAAAGACATTACATGTCAATAAGATCAATATTTTTCAATAAGAAAAACAAAAGGGAAAATGGGCAAATAACAGGAACAGAAATGTAAACCAATTATAGGACAAAAGTGCTCAAACTTAAAGAGTTAATTAAAGGAGATACTAATTTTACCTATTATACTGTTAGGGACTTCTTTTAAGGTCAGTATAGGGTTGGGGTGGGTTTAGGGGACTGGACACCACCATACACATTAGAAGAGGTACCCTCTTTGGGTGGTATCTGATAATATCAAAATTTAAACCACACATACTCTTTTATCCACATGCAAAAACTTGTCCATACACAAGAATATTAAGTAGAATTTGTAATTGCACAAACTGGAAATAACTGAAATGTCTATCAATAGGATGCTATGTAAGTGAGTTGTCATATTGTATAAAGGAACACTGTGCAGCTGTCAGAAAGAACAAGAAGAGTTATCTGTGCTGATACTTAAAAATCCCCAAGGGATAATGTTTAATGAAAACAAAAAGCAATCAAGCCACAGAATGTTAGGTAGAGCGTAGGCCCACCACATGCCCATTGTGTGAGGCAGGGAGAGGAGATACATATATGTGTATAAGTTAATGGGAATGACAGACAAGTAACTATTAACAGTGGTTGCCTTTGGGGAATGGGATTGGATTCAGGGAAAGAATTACTTTTCATTTTAAACCTTTCCGTAAAGTCTGTAATTCTTTATACCTGTATGTAGTTTTCACATATTACCCTTATTATTTTTAGCTAGTTTAAAATCGTTTTATATTCTGAACAAAGTTGAAGATATGGATATCTTAACATTTGAATTTACTCTTCTGGGGGAAAGGCATGTTTTGTAATCCCCAGTTTTCATTTTTTGTTGAGACAGGGTTTCCCTCTGTCACCCAGGCTGGAGTGCAGTGGCATGATCACAGCTCACTGCAGCCTTGACCTGCTGGACTCAAGCAATCTTTCCGTCTCAGCCTCCCCACCCTCCCAGCAGCTGGGACTACAGGCATGCACCACCACACCCAGCTAGTTTTTGTATTTTTGTAGAGATGAGGTTTCGCCATGTTGCCCAGGCTGGTCTCAAACTCCTGGGCTCAAGTGGTCTGCCCACTTTGGCCTCTCAAAGTGTTGGGATTACAGGTGTGAGCCACCATGCCCAACCATCAGTTTTATTTTCTAATAGAGGAAGTTCCTCAGGAAGAAAAGAACTTGGAGATAGGGTTTAGGGAAAATCATACAATCCTGTCTTGGCTCAATATCAGAGTAGTAAATAAAAAAGGACTGATTCTTATACCCAAATGCTGGGTTCTTATATGCTAAGACTGGGCACCAACTGGCACATTAGTAGATGTTTTGCTTACAGTGTTACTAATCTCCCAACACCGCTGCAAGGCAGGTAATTATTATCTCAGTTTTCCAGTGCCAAAAATCAATTGAACTCTTAAAGTTATCACATTCGTGATAGTCTTCCTTAGCTCCTGCCAAGCACCCACTCTCTGCTGGATATAACAAGGGAACTTTATTACATTTTCATTTAACCCTGTCAACAGTCCTCTAAAGTACATATCTTCATGTTAGGACAAAGAAACAGACTCAGAGAGATTAAGGAATTTGCCCAAAGTTACACAGCTAGTAGACATGGCTCTCTTTAATGCAAATGCAAATATTCCTTTTTTTTGAAACAGAGTCTTGCTCTGTCGCCCAGGCTGGTGTACAGTGGCATGATCTTGGCTAACTGCAGCCTCCACCTCCCAGGTTCAGTGACTCTCCTTGCCTCAGCCTCCCGAGTAGCTGGGTTTACAGGCACATGCTACCACGCCTGGCTAACTTTTATATTTTTAGTAGGGATGGGGTTTCACCATGTTGGCCGGGCTGGTGTCCAACTTCTGGCCTCAAGTGATCCACCCACCTTGGCCTCCCAAAGTGGTGGGATTACAGGTGTGAGCCACCGCGCCCAGCCAAATGCAAATGCAAATATTCTTACCACTGTACCACAGTGCTTGTTATTGGGGTTTTCATCTTTCTGATTTCAACATTGCTATCACTCTTGCTGGCTCTTCTTCCTCTACCCATCTCCTACCACTGGGGTTCCTTTCTTGGTGACACAGGATTTTTGCTCCTTAGCTCAGCTAGGTCCAGGTTCTTGTCTCACATTCAGGAAGAAATAGGCACGTGAACATGGAAGAGTGAGTGGAGTAGAATTTATCAAGCGAAACAGAAAGCTCTCAGCAAAAAGAGGGGTCCTGAAAACAGGTTGCTGGTTGCCCCCTTCGCAACTGAAAAGCTGATGGAGCTGGATTCCCTGTTTGTAAAGGCATGAATTCCTGGTGGCTCCACCCCATTCCCCCAGCGTGCATGTGGGGCCTTAGTGGGCTGCAGGCATGTTTAGGCAAGCCCCTGTGCAAGTTCCCTTATCTGCACAAAACATCTCATGTAACCATTTGTGGGACTGGTCAGAAGTTCTTCCGGGACCCTTCCCTACTGTCTGCCTAAAGCAAGCTGGCTAACTCCTTTCATTGGTTCATTTCACTTATATACACTCCCCAGCAATCTCATATACCTCCACAGTTCTCAAATACCACATATATACAGATGTTTCCAAATCTAAACATCTATCCCAGGTCTCTCTTCTGACCCCAAACCTTCATATCCAGCCGTCTACTCAACAGTCTCCTGGATTGCTCAGAGGCACCTCTTAACATATGTAAACCAGAGGGCAACACTGACCTCCCCAAACCTGCCTCTCCTCCTTTATGCTGCCCTATCCTATGAAGATTTTTTTTAAAATCAGGGCCGGGCACGGTAGCTCACGCCTGTAATCCCAGCACTTTGGGAGGCCTAGACAGGAGGATCACTTGAGCTCAGGAGTTCGAGACCAGCCTGGGCAATGCGGCGAAACTCTGTCTCTATAAAAAAAAAAATTAGCTGGGTGTAGTGGTGTGCACCTGTTGTCCCAGCTACTTGGGGGGCTGAGGCAGTAGGATTGCTTGAGCCCAGGAGGCAGAGGTTGCAGTGAGCTGAGACTGTGCCACTGCATTCCATCCTGGGTGACAGAGCCAGGCCCTGTCTCAAGAAATAATAAATGAATAAATAAATCAGGAAATTCCAATTTTTCTATTCGTAACATAGGTCTTACACTGACCCATATAATTTGGGGAAACTCCATCACTAAACTGAATTCTCTCTCTAAACTCTGCCTGAGGAGCCAAGACTAGGATAACTAGAGGAGGCCAAGAAGAGTGGTGCAGTTACCACAATTTTGTGAGGTGACTGTCTGGTCCCTTGCTCCTTACTCCCCTCAGAGGTAGATATGTAGAAAACTTCTGAAGATGTCCCCACACATAACATGTAATAACATCTATTGTGCCTGTACTTGATCAACATTTATAAAACTCCTCAATGAAAGCAGCAGTTGCTAATTCCTACAAAGAGTAATTTACATTTAGCATCCACTGACTGAATAAAATACCTAATGACAAAATGTTACCTTGAATTCAGTAATGATTTTAGATGAATCAGAATTTTCATTAATCATATCACGTACATATTTGTGAAAATGGCACAAAAATTTAAAACATGGTTATTCAGTCTCAAGGGTGTGCTTAGTGTGGAGTGACCCTCCTGCTCAGAACTCTACGGTTCTCTCACAGGTTTGCAAGGCAGTGCCAGAGAACAATTTTCAAAAAATAAATTAAAAAAGCAGAAATGAAAAAATCCTTGAAATGTTTTTTTTTTTCTTTCTTTCTCAGGGAGGGGCTTTCTATTTCATGGAGCATGTGGCAGCTGAGTGTTCGACTTGGAATTACTTCTGGCAACAAGTCCTGGATCCTGCCTGGCACCTTCTGTTTGATGGGTGCAACCTGACCAGAGAGAGCTGGAAGGCCCTGGAGCGGGCCAGCTTCTCTAAGCTGAAGCTGCAGCACATCCAGGCCCCACTGTCCTGGGAGTTGGTGCGCCCTCATATCTATGGATATGCTGTGAAATAGTGTGAGCTGGCAGTTAAGAGCTGAATGGCTCAAAGAATTTAAAGCTTCAGTTTTACATTTAAAATGCTAAGTGGGAGAAGAGAAACCTTTTTTTTGGGGGGCGGTTTTTTTGGTTTGTTGTTGGTTTTTTTTTTTTTTTTGGCGGGAAGAAAGAGTTTTGCTCTTGTTGCCCAGGCTGGAGTGCAATGACGTGATCTCCGCTCACTGCAACCTCCACCTCGCGGGTTTAAGCGATTCTTCTGCCTCAGCCTCCCTAGTAGCTGGGATTACAGGTGCCCACCACCATGCCCAGCTAATTTGTATTTTTAGTTGAGACAGGGTTTCACTACGTTGGCCAGGCTGGTCTTGAACTCCTGATCTCAGGCAATCCACCCACCTCAGCCTCCCAAAGTGCTGGGATGACAGGCGTGAGCAACCGCACCCAGCTTAAGGTTTTTTTGTTTTGTTTTGAGACGGAGTTTTCGCTCTTGTTGCCCAGGCTGGAGTGCAATGCTGTGATCTCAGCTTACCACAACCTCCACCTCCCGGGTTCAAGTGATTCACCTGCCTCAGCCTCCTGAGTAGCTGGTATTACAGGCATGCGTCACCACGCCGGCTAATTTTGTACTTTTAGTAGAGATGGTGTTTCCCCACGTTGGTCAGTCTGGTCTCAAATTCCTGACCTCAGGTGATCTGCCTGCCTCGGCCTCCCAAAGTGCTGTGATTACAGACGTCAGCCACCATGCCTGGCCTGAAACCTTTTTTAGGTAAAGTTGAATTCCATCCTTAAAAGTTTCTGTTATATCCTATTTAGCCATTTTCTATTGTCTCCCAAAGAATTCACATCAAAAAAACAGCTTTGAACTCCCCCTTCAAAGGAAACAGTCGACTTTCATAATTAGCATCTACCATTATCCCCAAATCTTATTTTATTCATTGACTTGAAATTTTTTCCAATTGCTTTTTTTTTTTTTTTTTTAAGGTTAAGAGCAGAGGTTTACTAGGCCAAAGAAAGAGAATAGCTCTCTGTTGCAGAGAGGGGTCCTGGAGAAATGGGTTACCCCAGTTGTCTTATTTAAATGGTTACCCATCAGATTTTAATTTTATCTTCTCTTTGAGAGCTTGGTAATAAGAAGCACTTAAATCACTCCAAAGAAGACTTTAAAAAGGGAGCAGTGAAAAGGTCTTAATAATTTATTGATTGAATTAAGAAATACTAGCTAATTAAGAATCTGAGTCTAAACAGCACAGATTTTTTCTTTCTGCTTTTAAATTGTGTTTTAAAAAAAGAGACAGGGGGCTGGGCGTGGTGGCTCACGCCTGTAATCCTAGCACTTTGGGAGGCCGAGGCGGGTGGATCACGAGGTAGGAGTTAAAGACCAGCCTGGCCAACATGGCAAAACCCTACTAAAGATACAAAAAAAAAAAAAAATTAGCCAGGCGTGGTGGTGGGTGCCTGTAATCCCAGGTACTTGGAAGGCTGAGGCAGGAGAATCTCTTGAACCCAGAAGGCGAAGGTTGCAGTGAACCGAGATCATGCCATTGTACTCTAGCCTGGGTGACAAGAGCAAGACTCCGTCTCAAAAAAAAAAAAAAAAAAAAAAAGAAGTAGAGACAGGGAGACAGGGTCTCACTGTGTTGCCTAGGCCGGTCTTGAACTCCTGGGCTCAAGTGATTCTCCCACCTTGACCTCCTAAATTGTTGGGATTACAGGTGTGAGACAGTGCACCTGGCCGAAATAGCTCAAGTTTCTGAAAAACAAATCTGAATCTATTTGTTATTCTTAGCGTCACTGGTCTGGCTTTCAGAATTAACATACAAGGTTGCCACACCTAGTTCTGCCCAGCTTTATGTCTTTTATTCCAGTATTCCACCAAAGTTTGTTTTCCTGCATTCCAGTTCTCAAGTCTTAAGATAAAGATTGTACTTGACAGTTTAGTATATCCATAAAACTATTTGAGGTGGTTAAGGTTCTTGGGTTCATTTTCCTTAATACTTTGCTGAATATTGTAGATTGTAGGCAATGAAAAAGTCTACTAAATTAGGAAAACCTTGAATAATTAGGTATCCTAGGTAAGAGCCCCTAAACATCAAGCAATCTGTGAGTCTGTAAAGAAATAAATATTTTTTGGATTATTCTTATCTAATTCCACCCCTGTTGGAAGATGATTTCTTTGTTCTTTGCAACTATGGAAGCTGTGAAAATCATCACAAGTGCCTCTGAAAGCGAGTGTTAGGTTGGTTAGAGGGTTTAATATTTTCTGCAATGGTTTGTAGGAATTTTAATAAATGTAGTATATTTTCTGAGATGATTTTGTAAAAGTACTATTTTAAATATCAAATCAACCAATAAATTCACATTTGTGTTAGGAACAGAAATATGGTTTATATCTTTGCTGGCTTGGTTTCCTTTTTCTTAATGTCTCTGGGAGGCTTATTCCTTCATTGTGGAAATTTTAGCTATTTAAACATGTAAATTTTTCTTTCTACAGCCAGGTAACTATAAACACAGCCAATAGATTTTACACAAAGCAATCCTAGAAGTATCAGAATGGGTTTTGAAAAGTTCAAGTCCATCATGTGATCATGTTTGGCTACTTTAAAAAAGCAAAAAAGTTCAAGTCTAACGATCCCATTTGTGAAATCCACAGAGCAGAAAGAAAGGAAGCTTTTACTATTTTAACTATCTCTTGAACGTGAAAAGTTATTGATGCAGTGAGGTCGAATGCACACCTACTGCTTCCTAAGCTCTGGAACATGAATCTCCTTCCTCTGTCATCTCCCCAGAATTGGAACCTCCTTAATCCAACCATCTCACTATTGGTCAGTCTAGTGATTGAGAAATAGGAAAAGCCACAGGTTGAAATGATGAAATGTCATTACACTGAAAGATAATACCAAAGTACAAAGTCCTAGGCACAGTCTTGTCAATTCCCTCTTGTCTAAGTGGTGTGGCAAATATTATTGTCACTTTTCAGAGAAAACTGAGGTGTAGAGAAATAAATAAATGAAGTTTTTTACAGTCATTCCACAAGTTACTGAGCAAGTCTTAGAAGCCCTGACTCCCCAAACCACAAAATCTCCTTTGATAATCATTGCTGCCATAACACCTTCTTTTACTGCTTTCCTCCTTGAATCCAGAGAACACATATTTATAATCATTTTAAGAGCCTGAGGAAATGACTTCAGCCTGTGCAAAAGGGAGAAAGAAAAAAAGGCAAAACATGTCCAATGTCTTTTAGGTCCTATATTGGTTAGGAATCCTTTGATTCCAAGTGACAGAATCCCAATCCAAACAGACTTAAGCAGAAAAAGGACTATCAACTCAAATTAGTGAAAATCATACAGGCAGAAAGCCTCAGGCACAGCCTGAACAGGGCTCAGATAATGTTATCAGGAGCCAGACAATCTCTAGGGTCATGTCTGTCCTCCCCTCTGCTCTATTAGGTAGCAAGTTGGTAGAAATGGCTCTGACCTTCATGCTTCCAGGGCACAAGCCCAGTTAGAAAGAGCAAGCCTACTTTTTGTGGCCATACCAGACCAATCTGATTTAACCTTTATGTAACAAAGTTGTGAGTTGTTTTTCAGTTGCCAATGGACCCTCAGGTCATGTGCCCTGAGCACACCCAGATGAACCAAGCCTGCAACCACAGGGGGAACCTAAGCTAAGTGCTCAGTCCAAGGATGGGGACTGAATTAAGAAGCAGACACATGGGAGGATCCATGACCGATCAGATCAAGCTGTGGTATCACCCCATGGCAGGATCCAGTCAGATCATGCCTCCCGGCATCACCTCATTGCAAGATCCAATCAGATCATGCCTCATTACCCTATACTTACAAAACCTGACCAAGCCCCCAGCTCTGGGAGATACTGCTCTGGGAGATACAGCCCTGGCATTCTCCTTACTTGTTGCAAGTAATAAAATCCCCTTGCTAAATGCTCCTTGGTTGTGGTCATTGGGTTGAATTTGCAATGGATGCTAGGAAGGCACATAACAAATATACATTATAAACCCATTGCTGGATTTCACCGGATTTGGATCAGACCCTGTCTGTCTTCCTATGGGAGATCATATAGTACAATGCTTAGAACACTGGATTTTCAGTGGGATAACTGCTTGCAACAAAGAAAGTAAAAGACAAATTGAAACACTGGCTTTGGCATCAAAGTGACATGGTCAAGTCCTGGTTGTGTCATTGGTTGAGTCTGTGACCTTGAGCAAGTTATCTGTTTTTTCATCTGTAAATGGGGGTATCTACCTAAAAGGTTATGCTGAGGAGTAAATGAAGCAATGCACTTGGCACTTAATATAGGTTGACTTCATTCAACAGATATTTATTGAGTGTCTACTGTGTGCTCTGCTCTTAGTGCCTGGCTTAGAGCCCTGAATAACTAGACATATCCCTGCCTGCGTGGAGCATACAATGATGATAAATGTTTTCTATAGATGAGGAAGAAGCTCAGGGTGCCCAGCGAATGTAATCTGACCTATCCAAGAGGAGAAGCTCTGAGGCTTTCTTGAGGAAGTAACATCTGAGCTGAATTCCAAAGAATGAAAAAAGAATATTTCAGTCAACTAGAATAGCTCGTGCCACAGCCAAGTGAAAGGAGGAAACACACTATATTCAAGGAAATGAAAGAAACCAGACAGGGCTGGGCACCAGAGCCTCAAGGGCAGATTCTAGGATGGTTACTATTTCCATCAGTTTCTTCCTAAATCTTGTTAAGACCCTGGGACAATGAGCCAAATGCTTATTTTAATGGCTGACACACACACACACACACAAAGGTACATTAAAATGTCTTATATTCTGAAACATTTTTTATTCCCAAGTGTTCTAATATTCAAATTGTTTCATCTGAATTCCTACATAGTTCAAACTTGAATAGAAAGTAAAGCAGACATTGCCTAATAGTTCCTTTTGTACTCTTGATCGTACCATAAGCCTTCCCCTTTCGTCTTGGTTTAGAAAACACAGAACTTAACATAACTGAAATTCTTGTTTATCTGTTAAAGTAATTAAAAGTCTGATGAATCATAGCAAACCAGTACCAACAAAAGCAAAAAGGCAAACTGTTCAGTATCACTTTAACTCTCTCAATATTTAAAACCAGAAGCATTAGGCTACATTAAAAAATAAAAAGAATTCCCTGTTGAACTGTGGAGCCACTGGTTAATCCCAGTGCCAGAGAAACGGAGCAGAGGTCACCTGAACAAAGGGCAAAGTAAATAATGAACCAGCAATGTGCAAGGTATTATTTTGTTTCTAAAGGAAACCATCTTGGGAACCTGCAGAGAACTACATGGTAACATATATGTGAACTAGGAAAATTACCATTCAGAATTTACCGTTTTTTGTTTTGTTGTTTTTTGAGACACGGTCTCCCTCTGTGGCCCAGGCTGTAATGAGGTGGTGTGATCATGGCTCACTGCAGCTTCAATCTCCCAGGCCCAAGTGATCATCCTGCCTCAGGCTCCTAAGTAGCTGGGACCACAGGCATGCACCAGCACACCTGGTTAATTTTTTTATTTTTAGTAGAGATAGGGTCTCACCGTGTTGCCCAGGCTGGTCTCAAACACCTAGGCTTAAGTGATCCTCCCTCCTCAGCCTTCCAAAGTTCTGGGATTACAGGCATTAGCCACCACACCCAGCCCCAGAATTTAACATTCTTAAAAGTAAAAAGCATGATAGTCTTACTTGAGGCTGCATGTTTCTCAATCTTTAAACATGTATCTGACACTGCCGGGCACAGTGGCTCGTGCCTGTAATCCCTGCACTTTGGGAGGCCAAGGTGGGCAGATTACCTGAGGTCAAGAGTTCAAGACCAGCCTGGCCAACATGTTGAAACCTCATCTCTACTAAAAATACAAAAAGTTAGCCGGGCGTGGTGGAGGCCACCTGTAATCCCAGCTACTTGGGAGGCTGAGGCAGGAGAATTGCTTGAACCTGGGAGGCAGAGGTTGCAGTGAGCCAAGATCACACCATTGCACTCCAGCCTGGGCAACAAGAGCAAAACACCGTCTCAAAAAAAAAAAAAAAATGTACCTCACACTGATGTCAATCTTCTCTTTGGAATAATCCTTTTATTCCATGTCCCAAATATCTAATAATTTCCATTTCTTAAGTATCTTCTTTATGCAAGGCACTATTTATTTATAGAGACAGGATCTTGCTATGTTGCCCAGGCTGGTCTCAAACTCCTGGGCTCAAGCAATTCTCAAGTCTCAGCCTCCCAAAGTGCTGTGATTACAGGCATGAGCTATCACACTCAGCTGGCATTAACTTTTTAAACAATTATTTCACATAGTACTTATAACTCTACAAGACAGGGATAATTATCCCCATTTGACAAATGAGAAAACAGATTTGCATATTTCTTGTCCAAGGCCATGAAGTGAGTGTCCACACCAGTGTTCCCATGCAGTTTGCCTGACTCAGAAGCCCAGGCCTCCCCCACTACACTGTATAGCTTCCCAAGATCATCTTCTGAGTCCAAGATCTCCATATTTGTCTCTTCTCTCCTCCACCATTTCACTGTGATGGTCTCCTGAGACTCATTTGTTCTGTATTATTCTATGTTCAATCCCTTGACCCTTTCTTCCACTCTTAGGTCATGAAAAATCACCTGTGTGAAGATTCCTAAACCTCATACTTTTGCCAATCCTTTGATATTTAGAATTTAACACAGCAAAACCAGAATACACTGTCTCCTTTCCTAAATAAATAACACTGTCTAACTTCTCTACTACCTATGATTATTTCTGTATTATTTAAGGATCAGATAAAGTGATGCCCCTTCTACAAAGCATTCTCTGGCTATTTCAAGAAACTTCCTCTTTGAGAAATCTCTTATCACTAACACCCAGAGGTATGATTTCACACCAGCAATTTCTTCTTTGTTTCTTCTACATGTCAGACACATTGCTTATTACATAGCACGTGCTCAAAAAGTATTTACTGATTAAATCATCATAAGTACTGCCTGTTCTTCTGACAAGGATTTTTTTGGTGCTGCTTTGCCAGACGCAGACCTCCATGGCTAGTGACACCCCTGCCCAGGGCCTTACTCCACCCTGGGCTTGCCGCAGGAGACACCTGACCCCCTAAACCCAGCAGGGCTGCACTTGGCTTGTGCTCTGGCTCAGATCCTGCAACTTTCTGTGGGATCTGTACTCAGCCTGCAGCTGGGCCAGGTATGCCAAGACCTGCCTCCAGCTTGGGCGTGGCATCTGGACGAGGGGAATGTGGTGACATCACAAAAACTTGGAGGCACCATTGACCCCGAAGCCTCAAAGTGGTGTTACAGCATGTCACAGCCCTGGCTTGGGGAGCCCTTAGATCTGGACTCCCAGAAGGGCCGCAGCTTTTCTTTCCTTCTCATCGCCTGCAACGTGACGAGCAGGAAGGGTTGCAGAAGGGTGGTGTGTGCTTCAGTCCATTTGTGTTGCAGCTCTTTCAGTCCCACCATTCGGCGGGTCCCTCGGTGGGTCCCAAGTTCTTGTTCCGTGTCCTGGAACAATGAGGTACATAGACACTGGAGGGTGAAGAAGGCAGAAGAGAGCTTCACTGAGCCACAGAACAGCTCTCAGGAGACCTGAAGTGGGTAACTCCTTTCTGCAGGCAGGACATCCCATCAAGCATGCAGCCCTCAGCAGAGAGGAGACCCAGAGTGGGTAGCTGCTATCTGCAGGCAGGTTGTCTCATTGAGTGTGTGAGTCTGGCTGAGTCTGGGGACTTTATGTGCTCAGAATGGAGGAAGTGCATGCTGATGGGTCCATGGGCAGCCATGCATGGGCCTGGGAAAAGCATTATCTGATTGGCCAAACGGTCATCAATGAAATTCTCACTCTGAGTTGTGGACTGTACCTGGAACTGGCAGCCTGGCCCCCCAACCTTCTGGCCATCCCTGACTTGAAGATGGGGTTTCACTGGGTACCTGCCCCTTCCAGCCTAGGAAACTGAACTTCCTCCCTCCGCCATCAATATGCCCTCCACAGCGCCCAGGCTGTCTGTGCCAAGGGGTGCCTGCAGGCCCCTTCCAAGCTTCCCTCTGCACCCCTCCACCCCCCCACCCCCCTACACACCCCTCGGTGTCCAAAGTCTGGAAGGGGCCCAGGTGGCAGAGGGCTGGCAGGAGGCTGGCGTGTCAGCACCGCCCTGAGTGCATGCACCCCCTGCTAGGTTGTGACAGTGCTGGAGCTTGGGGCTACAACTTTGTTCCACACCAGAGCGAGTACTGGGAGTGGGTAGAGGCCAGGGAGCAGGCACTTCCAAGCCTGTTGGGGAAGGGGGTTTCCCAGACTTCCAAGAGCACAGGGATGCCCAGGTCCAGAACCGTGGCTGGCCAGCTGCAGCTGTGCCCAGGAGTGCAGGGCTGGTGCCCCACCAACTCAGTAGGGCACAGGGCTCCTTCCTGTTCCCAGCCCCTGTGGACTCTACAGAGTGTGCAGCCCTGGCCATGCCTCCCCTACTGTAGCTGGCATCCTTGTAGCAGCCGCTCCAGATGGCCCGCTACAACCATCACTTCTACATACCTCTCATTTGTCCCTTCCACTCCATTTCCACAGCTATCACCATCACCTTAGTTTGAGAACTAGTGCCTGGATAACTATTTGTATAAGTTGACCAGGGATGGCTGGAATGACAAACCATTTGTGTGAGAACTTGCCAGTTATTGCCTAGTTACTCAAAGGATATGACAGGAAAGTAGGGAAGACACTAAGTCTAGATAAAACAGTAGAAAAACACTCCTTTTGCAACTGACTCAATCTTCCTTGCCCTTCTTTGTCCAATTCACCCCACTAACATAGCATGGCAAAAAGAGAAGCTTAGCAAGCAATTTTCCTGGGGTACAAAGAAGTGGCTTCCTAGATAAGCACCAATATCTGATCTAAAGCATAGTGTCTAATACCTAACAATGCTACATGTTGGTCTCCATACCTCCACACCTTCACTCCTCCTGTCTTCCTACTCACCATTTCCAGAATGAGGACAATCTTTCTTAACAGTTTATTTGTATTTATTTATTTTGAGACGGAGTCTTGCTCTGTCACCCAGGGTAGAATGCAGTGGTGCGATCTTGGCTCACTGCAACTTCTACCTCCCAAGTTGAAGCAATTCTCCTGCCTCAGTCTCCTGGGTATCTGGAATTACAGGCATCTGCCACCACACCCAGCTAATTTTTGTATTTTTAGTAAAGACGGGGTTTTGCCATGTTAGCCAGGCTGGTCTCCAAAACCTGGCCTCAAGTGATCTGCCTACCTCGGCCTCCCTAAGTGCTGGGATTAGAGGCATGAGCCACTGCACCTGGCCTGAAGTAACAGTTTAATTTGGCTATTCTCACAACTCAAAATTATGAAAGTACCTACTAATGATAAAATCGAATTTAAGCCGCTCATCTCTGTATTTAGGGCTGTCAGTGCTGCCTCGACACTTTTACCTGCTTTGTGGTGCAGTGGAAAACCATGAGGTTTGGAGTCAGAATATTTGAATCCAGATCTCATCATTGCATCTAATATCATTATTAACTTAGTAAAAGAGGATACCACCACCTACATCTCCCAGGATTCTTATGAGGATGAAATGAGATAAACACAAAAGGTGCTTCATAAACCATAAAACTGCCAGTGTTGAGCACTGGAACTTCTCCACACAGTCTCTCACTCTGGTCAAGGCCTGCTTCCTTAAGCATTTGTAAGAGGAACAGAATGTTTATTTTTCTATCAGAAAAGATATTTTACTTCTATAAATGTAGCCTTGAAATTCCAATCATCTGGATTTTTTTTTTTTTTTTTAGCCTAGTCAATTGAAGCAGTGGGAGTGGAGGAGGAACAAAAATCTATAACTGGCTGTGATCAGTTCACTGTAAACACCACTGCACTCAAACCAACCCATCTGGATTATTATACATTATAATGTTTTCTGAAGATTTGGTATATTTTAAAGGCTTCTGTCGTAAAAAAAATAGTTTGCAAAATTCTTATTTTTGTACCTAACAAAAAGTTCAGCACCCTCATGAGAAGCACTTGCTTCAATTGCTACAAAAAAGTTCCAGACAGACTGCTTGTGGATATAAACATGGTTTTCTAAATCTCTCTAATCTTGGCTCCCATCTTATCTGTCAAGCTAAGCAGGTAGTATTAGAACTATAAAAGAAACACCATCTAATTAATTCTATCTTGCCTATCAGGTTATGGGAACAGATTACTAAATCTAATCCCAGAGGAAGAGCTTCTTTGATCTTATTGTCCACTGAAGTTTAGAAATAAATCTAAAATCCTTCCTAAAAAAGCAAAGGCTTGGCCAGGTTTAATGGCTCACACCTGAAAACCCAGCAGTATGGGAGGCCAAGGTGAGAAGATCACATGGTGCCCAGAAGATTAAGACCTAACTGGGCAACACGGTGAGATCTCATCTCTACAAAAAATTGTTTTCAAAAATTAGCCGGGTCTAGTGGCACATGTCCATAGTCTCGCTACTCAGGAGGCTGAGGTGGGAGGCTTGCTTGAACTTGGTAAGTCGAGGCTGCAGTGAGCCGTGATTGCACCACTGCAATCCAGCCTGGGCGACAGAGTGAGACCCCATCTCAAAAAAAAAAAAAAGACTGCAATATTAAAATAAACAGATGTACATCTATATATCTACAAATATAAATGATGCTGTATACCAAGTTGCTTGCCAATGCATACAATCCCATTTGCCCCAATTTTTCTTTTCTTTTTTTTCTGGAGATGGAGTCTCACTCTGTCACCCAGACTGGAGTGCAGTGATACGATCACAGCTCACTGCAGCCTCAACCTCCCAGGCTCAAGTGATCCTCCCACCTTAACTTCCCAAGTAGCTGGGACCACAGGCATGTGCCACCATGCCCGGCTAATTTATTTATTTTTATTTTTATTTTTTTACAAAAAACCGAGATGAGGTCTCACTGTATTGCCCAGGCTGGGCTTGCACTCCTGGCCCTCAAGCAATCCTCCCTCTTGGGCTTCCCAAAGTGCTGAGCCACCATACCCAGCTGAATTTTTTCATTTTTAGTAGAGATGGGGTCTCCCTATGTTACCCAGGCTGGTCGCAAACTCCTGGGCTCAAGTGATTCCTCCGCCTCGATCTCCCAAAGTGCTGAGATTACAACCATGAGCCACTGCACTCAGCCTGCCCCAATTTTTTAAATGGGAGGAAACATTGGAGAAAGTGAACTATTAATACATTGTTAACCTGTCAGCCCACGTTTTTGCCACTGTGCTTTTATTTTTTTCCTTTCATATTCTGGGCTCCTGAGTAAAATTCTATAAACATTGGCCTTACGTTTGCACAACATTTGGATGGCAGGTATGCCTAAAAACATGAGAATTAGGTAAAAATGGTGCCATCTAATGCCAATTCTTAACTTTTATGGTGGGAGGGGCGGTATGGTCATCAACAACCTTGAGAATCTGATGAAAGGTATAGGTCCTCTCTCTAGAAAAATGCTCCTACAAATAAACGTACCATTTCAGGAGGAAACAGATAAAACAAACACTTCCAAAGCACCACATATGAAATTTTAAACTCAAAAGTCCCATTCTCTAAACCCAGACTCCTAGCCTTTTACATCTCCCACTAAACCTGATCCTTAACTTAGAGACTTCCAATGCCTCCACTCTACCTGGTCTGTTTCTGGCTATCAACCAGGACTGATTCCCTTCTCCCACCAGGCTGAACTACAGAGTAAATCAATTCATTAACATTATCACTCTCCTATTCATGCTCCCTTGTTCCTTTTTTTCTTTTTTGAGACATAGTCTCACTCTGTCACTCAGACTGGAGTGCAGTGGTGCAATCTCGGCTCACTGCAACTACCACCCTCCAGGCTCAAGGGATGCTCCCACCTTAGCCTCCTGGGACCACAGATGTGCGCCACCATACCAGGCTAATTTTTTTGTATTTTTGGTAGAGATGGGTTTCGCCACATTGCCCAGGCTGGTCTCAAACTCCTGAGCTCAAGCAATCCGCCCACCTCAGCCTCCCAAAGTCCTGGGATTACAGGCGTGAGCCACCGCACCCGGCCCATGTTCCCTTGTTCTGTTGCCATACAAATCAGCCAATTTCTGAGTGAGGGGGACCTTTTACCCCAAATCTGCTTCTTACTCTATATTTTTTAACTTAGTGAATGGCAAAACCATTTCTGTTACTGGAACTCAAACTGGAAACCAGGACATCATCCTAGCTCTCCCCCTCTCACTTACTGCCCACAACCAGTCAGATGTGGTCTCATCCTTTCTTCCCCCATTGCTTCTGCACACATCACTCTTTACTTGGCTTAACTGGCCTCCAGTCTGACCCCTTCCAATCTATTTTTTATGCTGCTACCAGAACCTAAATAAAAAATCACTTCCTCCTTGAAATCCTTTGATGGCTTCCCATAGCTTTCAGGTTAATTTTCAAAATCCTTAGTTTAAAATGCAAAGCTTGGCTGGGTGTAGTGGCTCATGCCTGTAATCCCAGCACTTTGGGAGGCCAAGGCAGGAGGATTGCCTGAGTTTGGGAGTTAAGAGGCCAGCCTGGGCAACATGGCGAGACCTCATCTCTACAAATAAAAAATTAGCCGGGCATGGTGGCATGCACCTGTGGTCCCAGCTACTCAGGAGGCTGAGGTGGGTGGATCAATTGAGCCCAGGAGTTCGAGGCTGCAGTGAGCCCTGATTGTGCTACAGCACTCCATCCTAGACAGAGCCAAATGCAGTTTCTCTTCTCTTTTTTTTTTTTTTTGAGATGCAGTTTCACTCTTGTTGCCCAGGGCGGAGTGCAATGGCATGATCTCGGCTCACTGCAACCTCAGCCTCCCAGGTTCAAGCAATTCTCCTGCCTCAGCCTCCCAAGTAGCTGGGATTACAGGTGCCTGCCACCACGCCCAGCTAATTTTTGTATTTTTAGTAGAGACGGGGTTTCACCATGTTGGCCAGGCTGGTCTCGATCTCCTGACCTCAGGTGATCACCCACCTCAGCCTCCTAAAGTGCTGGGATTACAGACACGAGCCACCACGCCCAATCAAGATGCAGTTTCTAATACAAAATCAAATAAAATGCAAGTATCTTGTGATCTGGCCCTGTTGGTCCTCACGCTTTATCCTCCACATGCCTCCCTCATGCCTGGTTCTATACATGATAACATTTGTGCTGTTTGCCTCTGTGCAGTTCCACAACAGCTATGCCCTCTGCCTGGAGTACCCATATCCTCCCTTCATCTGAAGCTTACTAGTTCTCAAAAACATCCATAGTCTTCTCCAAAAATGCCTTTCTTAATTCTGCAGTTTAGGCCGGGTGTGGTGGCTCACACCTGTAATCCCAGCACTTTGGGAGACCAAGGCAGGTGGATCACAAGGTCAGGAGATCGAGACCATCCTGGCTAACATGGTGAAACCCCATCTCTACTAAAAATACAAAAAATTAGCCAGGTGAGGTGGCGGGCACCTGTAGTCCCAGCTACTCAGGAGGCTGAGGCAGGAGAATGGTGTGAACCCTGGGGGCGGAGCCTGCAGTGAGCCGAGATCGCGCCACTGCACTCCAGCCTGGGTGACAGCGAGACTCTGTCTCAAAAAAAAAAAAAAATCTGCAGTTTATTAAGTGCTCTAGGTATACTCCCACAGGCCCATGCTTCTATCCTCTCACCTTTCCAGTGGGCTCTAATGTTGGTTTACTCATTTGTCTCTCCTACTTAACTCTAAGTGTCCTGATGGCAACACACTTGTTTTATATCCTTATATCATATCTGTAGCACTCAATTAATCTTTGTTAAATGTACAAATAATACCAGGCATCTCTGTTCCTACCCTCAGGAGAAAGTAAAATACCCTAGTTAGACTTTCAACGATGCTTATAAATCTTGTAATTTACCTTTAGCAGCCCCAAAAGCCAAACCTTGACACTCTCAAGTCACCCTAGTCATGTCCATACTCCTCCCTCTCAGCAGAGGACTTCACTTCTCACTTCATAGAACAAAAAAATGAGCCACTGAGACTGGAAATGTAAGAACCTCACAGATCCCTTCTCCTGACCTAAGGATGAGGTCTCCTCCCAGGCTCTGCAACAATACCCCTGGGCTCTTGATTCCTCTCTCCCAGGTCTGTCTTTTGCTAAGTCACACTCATTTTGTATCTTCACTGTTCCCCTCTTCAGGAATTCCTTCCCCTATACTCAAATATTCTAAAATCCACACCTTCCTCCAGTAAAATCAAAACAAAATAACACACCAGGCCAGGCACGGTGGTTCACTCACATCTGTAATGAATCCCAGCACTTTGGGAAGACAAGGAGGGCAAATCACTTGAGGTTGGGAGTTCAAGATCAGCCTAGGCAACATGTCTCAAAAAGGGTGGGGGGAACACCCAAAAACCAAAATAACACACCACAGAAAACTTAGTTTTACCTTCCCCTCAAGTTACTGCTTTCTCATCCTCCCTTCACTGTCAAATCTTTAAAAATGTTAAATCTGGCCAGGTGCAGTGGCTCATGCCAGTAATCCCAGCACTTTGGGAAGCTGAGACAGGTGGATCACCTGAGGTCAGGAGTTTGAGACCAGCCTGGCCAACATGGTGAAATCCCATCTCTACTGAAAATATAAAAATTAGCTGGGCATGGTGGCGCACACCTGCAGTCCCAGCTACTCAGAAGGCTGAGGCAGGAGAATCGCTTGAACCTGGGAGGCAGAGGTTGCAATGAGTCGAGATTGCCCCACTGCACTCCAGCCTGGGTGACAGAGCAAGACTCTGTCTCAAAATAAATAAATAATTCATCCCTGGGATGCAAGGCTGGTTCAACATACACAAATCAATCAATGTAATCCAGCATATAAACAGAACCAAAGACAAAAACCACATGATTATCTCAATACATGCAGAAAAGGCCTTTGACAAAATTCAACAGCCCATCATGCTAAAAACTCTCAAACTAGGTGTTGATGGGACGTATCTCAAAATAATAAGAGCTATTTATGACAAACCCACAGCCAATATCATACTGAATGGGCAAAAACTGGAAGCATTCCCTTTGAAAACTGGCACAAGACAGGGATGCCCTTTCTCACCACTACTATTCAACATAGTGTTGGAAGTTCTGGCCAGGGCAATCAGGCAGGAGAAAGAAATAAAGGGTATTCAGTTAGGAAAAGAGGAAGTCAAATCGTCCCTGTTTGCAAATGACATGATTGGATATTTAGAAAATCCCATCGTCTCAGTCCAAAATCTCCTTAAGCTGATAAGCAACTTCAGCAAAGTCTCAGGATACAAAATCAATGTGCAAAAATCATAAGCATTCCTATACACCAATAACAGACAGAGAGCCAAATCATGAGTGAAATCCCATTCACAATTGCTTCAAAGAGAATAAAATACCTAGGAATCCAACTTACAAGGGATGTGAAGGACCTCTCCAAGGAGAACTACAAACCACTGCTCAACGAAATAAAAGAGGACACAAACAAATGGAAGAACATTCCATGCTCATGGGTAGGAAGAATCAATATCGTGAAAATGGCCATACTGCCCAAGGTAATTTATAGATTCAATGCCATCCCCATCAAGCTACCAATGACTTTCTTCACAGAATTGGGAAAAACTACTTTAAAGTTCATATGGAACCATAAAAGAGCCCACATTGCTAAGACAATCCTAAGCCAAAAGAACAAAGCTGGAGGCATCACACTACCTGACTTCAAACTATACTACAAGGCTACAGTAACCAAAACAGCATGGTACTGGTACCAAAACAGAGATATAGACCAATGGAACAGAACAGAGCCCTCAGAAATAATACCACACATCTACAACCATCTGATCTTTGACAAACCTGACAAAAACAAGAAATGGGGAAAGGATTCCCTATTTAATAAATGGTGCTGGGAAAACTGGCTAGCCATAGGTAGAAAGCTGAAACTGGATCCCTTCCTTACACCTTATACCAAAATTAATTCAAGATGGATTAAAGACTTACATGTTAGACATAAACCATAAAAACCCTAGAAGAAAACCTAGGCAATATCATTCAGGATATAGGCATGGGCAAGGACTTCATGTCTAAACCACCAAAAGCAATGGCAACAAAAGCCAAAATTGACAAATGGGATCTAATTAAACTAAAGAGCTTCTGCACAGCAAAAGAAACTACCATCAGAGTGAACAAGCAACCTACAGAATGGGAGAAAATTTTTGCAATCTACTCATCTGACAAAGGGTTAATATCCAGAATCTACAAAGAACTTAAACAAATTTACAAGAAAAAATCAAACAACCCCATCAACAAGTGGGCGAAGGATATGAACAGACACTTCTCAAAAGAAGACATTTATGCAGCCAACAGACACATGAAAAAATGCTCATCATCACTGGTCATCAGAGAAATGCAAATCAAAACCACAATGAGATACCATCTCACACCAGTTAGAATGGTGATCATTAAAAAGTCAGGAAACAACAGGTGCTGGAGAGGATGTGGAGAAATAGGAACACTTTTACACTGTTGGTGGGACTGTAAACTAGTTCAACCATTGTGGAAGACAGTGTGGCAATTCCTCAAGGATCTAGAACTAGAAATACCATTTGACCCAGCCATCCCATTACTGGGTATATACTCAAAGGATTATAAATCATGCTGCTATAAAGACACAGGGAGGGATAGCATTAGGAGATATACCTAATGTAAATGACAAGTTAATGGGTGCAGCACACCAGCATGGCACACGTATACATATGTAAAAAACCTGCATGTTGTGCACATGTACCATAGAACTTAAAGTATAATAAAAAATAAATAAATAAAAACAAAAAATAAAGCCTTCATTTTATGTCTGATCTGTGTAATATCTGATTCTCATGTTCCTTCTTAAGATGTTCTTCCATTCCTATGGCTTCTGGACACCATTCTCTCATGGGTCTTTCAACCCTCTACATCTGCTCCACTTCTACTTCACCAGTATTCCTTCCCTAGTCCTTATTATTCCTGCAGACTTATTTTTGTGGGAGTTCACTGGATCTGTGACACGTCCACCCTTTCCTACCCTGTGGAGCAGACTGACTACACAGAAAAATGTTGGGCACCTGTCACTTGTATTAGTTTCCTACTGCTGCTCTAATGTATTACCATAACCTAAGTGGCTTAAAACACCACAAACTTTTCATGTGACAACTCTGGAAGACAGAAGTCCAAAACGGGTCTCACTAGGCTACAGTCAAGGTGTCAGCAGGTCTGTGTTTCTTCTGGAGGCTCTGGGGGAGAATCTATTTCCTTTTCCAGTTTGTAGAGGCCACCTTCACTCCTTGGCACATGGTTCCTTCCTCCATTTTTAAAGTCAGCAGCATAACATCTTCAAATCTCTCAACCTGACTTGATTCTCCTACCTTCCACCTTCTTGTAAAATCCGTTGTAATTACACTGGCCCCACCCAGATAGTCCAGGACAATCTCTCAACTCAAGGTCAGTTGATTATTAGCAACCTTAATTCCATCCACAACCTTAATTTCCCTTTGCCATGTAATGTAACACATTCCCAGGTTCTGGAAATTAGGATGTGGACATTTCTGGGAGTGGTGAAGAGGCAATATTATTCTGCCTGCCACATCAGCGAAACCAGCAAATATATAAAAGATAATGGGACCTTCAGTGAGGCATCAAACTGGTCTAAAATAGACAAGATGAGCTTAGCATGGTGGCAGGTGCCTGTAATCTCAGCTACTTGGGAGGCCGAGGCAAGAGAATCATGTGAGCCTGAGAGGCGGAGGTTGCAGTGAGCCAAGACCACGTCACTGCACTCCAGCCTGGGCAACAGAGTGAGACTCCGTCTCAAATAAATATGAAAGACAAGATGAGAACAGTGTGAAATGGCAGAATAGTTGCAGGAAGAACTGAATGAGGACTACAAGGGAACAAAATACTGCCCTTACACTCTAGGTTTCAAAAAGAAAATTAGGCTGCATTTTATAGAATAGCTCACATTTGTCTCTGACACATCTCCCCATGCTAAAATTATAATTTCTATTTCTGGAACCTTCCCTACATGATCACTTGACTCAGAATCCTTTGATGACTCTAAGCATATCTTCTAATCCTCCCCCAATCTCTTCACAACTTTAAAATTATGAAACCTAACAAATAAGTTATTGAATATGCAAAATGACCATTATACACATGAAAATATGTTCAATTTCACTCATAATACAAGAAATGCTCATCAAAACTGCTGTAAGGTACCATTTCTTACACATCAGATTGGTGAAAACTTCTAAAGCCTGACAACACATTCTGTTGGGCAGGCTGTGGAGAAAGAGACACTTCTGTAGATTGCTGGTGGGAATGCCAATATATTAAAACCTTGTAGGGAAATCTGGCAATATCTAAAAAACTAAACTTTATTTTCCTTTGACCCAGCAATTCCACTTCTGGGAATTTACCCTGAAAATATACCTTCAATAATATAAAAACACCGCCGGGTGCAGTGACTCATGCCTGTAATCCCAGCACTTTGGGAGGCCGAGGAGGGTGGATCATGAGGTCAAGAGATTGAGACCATCCTGACCAACGTGGTGAAACCCTGTCTCTACTAAAAATACAAAAATTATCTGGGCATGGTGGCATGTGCCTGTAGTTCCTTCCAGCTACTTGGGAGGCTGAGGCAGGAGAATCGCTGGAACCCAGGAGATGGAGGTTGCAGTGAGCTGAGATTGCACCACTGCACTCCAGCCTGGCGACAGAGCGAGGAGGAGGGGGGAGGGGAGGGGGAGGGGAGGGGGAGGGGGAGGGGGGAGGGGGGGAGGGGGGGAGGGGGAGGGGAGGAGGAGGAGGAGGAGGAGACAACACATATGCACGAGGTTATTCCTTGCAGCATTGTTTGCTGTAATGTCTCCAGCCTACATGCTCACTCACATCTAGGAGAGCATTTAAACTATGCTATACCCACACAGTGGAGGACTATGCAGCTATAAAACAGAATGAAGAAAAGATCCCTAGAATGTGAAGTCCTCCACTCTCTGCTTGTAGATTTCGGATGCTTTCTTCAGGATCCTTTCCATTTGACACTTCTCTTGCATCTTTCTAAGGCCATCTGGGCTGGGGTCCACTTGTCCAGGCTGTGTCGCTTCTCCCCCTTGTTCTTTTTGCTCATTGCCATGGCTTTCAGGAAATTTGCCTTGCCTTTGTCCTTCTTTTTCTTCTTCTGCTTGATCACACTGAGCTCTGCAATGCCTTTCAGCTAAAGGGGTCCCTTCTGGACCTGCTCAGAGGCTGTCACGGCACCCGCCGCAGTTTGGTAGGCAGACTGCCCTGGTTATTCTAATGATCAAATTGTCCCAGATTTCGCTATTGGAAACCCCTTTAAGCTGGCTCCTGTTGTCTATTGACATGTCTCATTATTCTTTGAATGCTTCTTTTTTTTTTTTTTTTTTTTTTTTTGAGATGGAGTCTCACTCTGTCGTCCAGGCTGGAATGCAGTGGAGTGACCTCAGCTCACTGCAACCTTCGTCTCCCAGGTTCAAGCTATTCTCCTGCCTCAGCCTCCTCAGTAGCTGCGATTACAGGCATGTGCCACCTCACCTGGCTAATCTTTGTATTTTTAGTAGAGACAGGGTTTCACCATGTTGATCAGGCTGGTCTCAAACTCCTGGCCTCAAGTGATTGGCCTGCCTTAGCCTCCCAAAGTGCTGGGATTAAGGCGTGAGCAGTGAGACAACATAGCCTAGGTAGCAGAACCACCACCCAAGGCAGGAATGGAACATACACCTTGTCCCTTTCTGAGCTCATTCCCCCAAAACCCCACTTCCAGACACTTCTAATGTGTATTGCCAGGGCAGGTATTTATAATCAATCACGGTTTCTTTGTAATGGAACCCAGACACAGTCTGCCTCATAACCCTCATCTCTGGGCTCCAAGCAGCCTCTTGTATTTACTCAGAGTTAGCCCATCACCTGGAGCCTATTTGGCATTCCAGCCTTAAGGACACCTCACGGGTGACAGGACCAAGGCACAGCCCCAGTGTAAACAGACATGGGTGCAGTCAAATGGGAGGGTCCAGGTACCAGTGCTGATGGGCCAGCGTCTTCAAGGGCCTACTTAACCTAGATGAGGATCAAACTACATGTGCTGCTGGGAGAAACAGTCTCTGCTGATACAGATATTGAATGAATAACAAAGGCAGAAGAGAAAAATCAAGCATGGAGTTTGAGGTTGGCCCATGTAAACTACAGAATAAAGCAAAAACCAGTTATTTTAAAATAAAATAAAATAAAAATAATCATAGTGATGGATTATAAGCCACTGAATAAAATAGGAATGCAAGAGTCCAAACTGATAAAAGATTAAATAGAGAAGAAAGAAAAGCTATTCCTCATTAGAATGCCTACTAATAAATGGTTGTTTGTTTTTGAGATGGAATTTCCCTCTGTCACCCAGACTGAGTGCAGTGGCGCAATCTTGGCTCGTTGCAACCTCCACCTCCTGAGTTCAAGCAATTCTCCTGCCTCAGCCTCCCCAAGTAGCTGGGATTACAGGCACGCACCATCATGCCCAGCTAATTTTTTTTTTTTTTTTTTTTTTTTGAGATGGAGTCTCATTCTGTCACCCAGGCTGGAGTGCAGTGGTGCCATCTCAGCTCAGTGCAACCTCCGCCTCCCAGATTCATGCCATTCTCCTGCCTCAGCCTCCCGAGTAGCTGGGACTACAGGCGCCTGCCACCACGCCCAGCTAATTTTTTTTGTATTTTTAGTAGAGATGAGGTTTCACCATGTTAGCCCGGCTGGTCTTGAACTCTTGACTTCAGGTGATCCACCTGCCTTGCTTGGCTTCCCAAAGTGCTGGGATTACAGGCATGAGCCACCGCGCCCGGCCATAAGTTTTTTTTTAAGGTGATATATTTAGAAAAACCACCATTTAGCAAACTAAAATTAATGGATTCAAGCAAGGATCATCAACAGACACTGAAATTAATGGGTAAAAGTCTGACAAATAACAGGATATTTGTATAATATTAAAGTACCTGTTCAGAAACTACTTATTAATTAAAAGGGAGAAAAAAAAGTAACCACAGTGGAGAACCAGGCAGACACCACGTTAATCCACATGATGAAAGCAGTGGTGTGCTAGAGCCCATTCCTACCAACCCAGGAAAGGGACATTTCCCAACTTTGTGTTCCGTGATGACAGACTCTATTTAGAAATTGGGCATGGTGGGAATATTTACAACACAGAATGGGGCAATGGCAAATGCCACAGAACAGGGCAATATCTCCCCCTCCAGAGCCAGTTGAGTTGTTAAACATTTGTCAGCACCACACTGGATCAAAGTTAACTACCACCAGGCAATTCAACTTTCTGTGTCTCCTGATATTTCACACTAAGAAGAGCACAACATCATTTTTGTCATATTCTGCCCAAAATGTATGACCTCAATCTAGTGAGAAAACATGAGTTGGGGGAGGGGACGGGAACACAGGATTAGATTGAGAGGCATCCTACAAAATAACTGGCAAAACATCAAGGTCGGCTGGGCGCGGTGGCTCACACCTGTAATTTCAGCACTTTTGGGAGGCCAAGGTGGGTGGATCACCTGAGATCAGGGGTTTGAGACCAGCCCGACCAACATTGTGAAACAAAATCTCTACTAAAAATACAAAAAAATTAGCCGGGCGTGGTGTGGCGCTTCTATAGTCCTAGCTACTCGGGAGGCTGAGGCAGGAGAATTGCTTGAACCAAGGAGACAGAGGTTGCAGTGAGCCAAGATTGCGCCATCACACTCCAGCCAGGGTGACAAGAGCGAAACTCCATCTCAAAAAAAAAAAAAAAGAAAAAAAAATCAAGGTCAAGACAGACAAAGATGATTAGGAAGGTGTTTCAGACTAAAGGAGACTAAAGAAACAGGACAACTAAATGCAATATATGATCCTAATTGGATGCTAGACCAGAAATTTTTTTTTTTTTTTTTTTTTGCTATTAAGGACATAATTGGGACAACTGGTGAATATGAATAAAATCTTTAGATTGAAAAACAGAATTATATCAATGTTAAGTTTCTGATTTTGAACACTGTACTATGGTTATATAATAAAAGAATGCCCCAAATGCATACAAAAGTATATGGAAGAAAAGGCATAAGTCTGCTACTGTCAGGTGGTTCGCCAAAAATATTTTTTAAAGAAAGAAACATGTTAATAAAGGAAAATGCGGGTACCAGACACACAGTTCTTTGTACTATTCTGGGGACTTTTCTATAAGTCTGAAATTATTTAAACATTAAGTTACAAGGGAAAAACCATGAACGCTACCTGATCCTCTGCCCTCATCTCTAGGTCCACATGGCTGCAGTCGGAGGGAGGCGGTGAGCAAGGTGTTCTCCAAGGTCTCAAGGGGCCCCAAGGCTACAAGGTCAGAACAGAAGCAAAGGCCACGTCCACCACCGACCCACCTCAAGAGCCACAGCCTCTCGGGTCTCCACAGCCCCACTCAGGTCTCACACACAGGCGCAGGGACTAGCCACAGGTGCAGCAACGTCACGTCTTTCCCCTGGGCGCGTGTGCAGCTCGAGGCTTTGCAGGAGGCGCACCTGCGATGGCCTTACCGCCAGGTGAGCCCGGCGGGCTCTCATCGCCTCAGCCGGAGATTCCAACTGCAGGGAGCGCACCTCCTCTGGCTAGGGCGTGTTTCCGAAGGATGGCAAGAATCCTGGCCTCTGATGGCTATCTTCTCCCCTTCCCCTCCAAGCCCAGTGTTGTGACCCTGTGCCCTCTTTCCCCTCAATTTTGGGCCCAGGAGTCAGGTACTAAGACTCAACAGTCACAGAGGGAAGTCAGGAGCTCCCTTGTGAAGGCAGACTTAAGCAAATGCATCTTCTTCCAAAGCCTTCATGTTTTTCTTAATGTTGGCTTCAAAAGCCTAGTTTGTGGCCCAGGCTGCTACTGGTGAGTTTCTAGCAGGGTGCTGGAAATCTTGGCCAATACCAGCCGACCACTCCCCCAGTCCCCTGGGGCGTGTTTCTGGGCTTTCCCATTATCAATTAGTTGGAAATTGCACATCGTGTCCTGGCCTTACAACAAACACCTGTTCTGATCTACAGCCTCTTGCTGAAGGAACAACAGGAGACAGACAGCAGGTGGCGGGGTGTGCCACAGGTATTGTGCTTCTTACGCTTAAGTTTTCTGATGAAGTCTCATTCATAGGATGAAGCCGCTGTATTTGAATTCTGGGGTGAACACAATAAGCTGCACAGGGAACAGACTCAGGCGCTGCTAAATCTGTTGTGATTATAGTTGCTTTTGCAAGTTTCTTCATTCATCCTATGTAGACAAGCCAGGCTAGACAAGGAATCCATTGTCTAGCATAGCAACTGGCACACAGTAGGTGCTTGGTAAATATCTGAATGACTTTATAATGCCCTGCACATTCTGCAGAGTTGAAGTGATCATTCTCCCAATACCTGTAAATCTGGAAGTATTTTTGCCTATGTTGGCACTGCCATACTTCTTTAAAATGATACTTTAAAAAGAAAATGTGTTCTTCAAATACAGTGCTTGTGGAAGAAGTCCTGAGGTTCCCAGTGATCTCAAATGCTGAGCAGTGGAAAGGAGACTGAATAACAGCATTATGATCTGTGTTTTTACTCTGTATTCATGAAATCTGATTATCATTTCCTCTATGTATTTTTTTCTTATCCCCTTCCCCTGCAAAATGAAAAAATTCGGTAGTGAAAAGTGTGAAGGAAAGACAATTGTTTCAGTTGAGCAGATAGGCTTATCAAACAAATGAAAACAAAAAAACACATAATCAAGAGTATGATGGGAGAGGAAAAACAAATTATTTTTAATGATTCACGGCAACCACATTTATATCCTATTGTTACTAGAGAAAAAAATGTCTTCAGATAACCAGTGGTCAGCAGATGAGGATGAAGGCCAATTATCCCGACTAATCAGGAAATCTAGAGACTCCCCCTTTGTCCCTATAGGTAAGTACAAGCCTTGACTGGATGCAGAAAACTGTAATAACACAATGATGCCTTACCCAGTGCCTTTGCGGATTGAAATGTTTCTTATAATTGAATTTTTTCAGATAATTGAAGCTAACCTCCTCTAAGCATGTGTTGAACTTTCAGAATAGTTCCTAATACATGGTAAGCCCCCAGTAAATGTTAGCTGTTATTTGAGGCATCAAATTTTATTCTATTTTATCCATTTCATTAGAAGTCTACCTAAAATTATTAGTTCCTAGCCAGTCAAATGGAATAGATTGAATGAATATTAACATTTCAGTCATAACTCAGGACCATCAACAGCAGCATCAGTTTATTATATTTAAAGCCTATTAGGGACTATTGAGATGCATATGTCTCTTTGTCTTGTAAGTAATCTAAACTTTAAGTTCTTACATCTTCTGTTTATAGATTTTTCTGTTTCTATCTTACTATTGGGCACATTAAAAACTTCTGCTTCTAGGCCGGGCACGGTGGCTCATGCCTGTAATCCCAGCGCTTTGGGAGGCCGAGGTGGGAGGATTGCTTGAGCTCAGGAGGTGCAGGTTGCGGTGAGCCAAGATCACACCACTGCACTTCAGCCTGGGTGACATAGTGAGACCCTGTCTCAAAAACAAACAAACAAATAAACAAAAAACCAAAAACTTCTGCATCTAATGTTTTTAATGCTCTGTAGCACCAGAAGCTAGATAACCAAGCTTGAAAGAACTGTGGGTCAATTCAGAGGAAAGCTCTGAGTAAAAGCCTGGATCTATCTGAACACTTGTGAGCATGAACTTTGGAGTGGTCATTTTGGCTGCTCAGTGGCCCTCTGTGCTGGCTTCTTGGTGTGCTCCAGGTGTTGAGTTTGATGGCAAAATAAATTCTGGACTAAAGAAGTGATACTATAATTAGGCCGGGCACAGTGGCTCACTCCTGTAATCCCAGCACTTTGAGAGGCCGAGGCAGGTGGATCACTTGAGGTCAGGAATTCAAGACCAGCCTGGCCAATAGGGTGAAACCCCATCTCTACTAAAAATACAAAAAGTTGGCTGGGCATTGTGGCACACACCTGTAATCCCAGCTACTCAGGAGGCTGAGGCACCAGAATCACTTGAACCCGGGAGGTAGAGGTTGGGTGCAGAGCGAGACTCCATCTCAAAAAATAAAAAAGAGAGATACTATAATTAGATCACCTAATAATCTGGACCCTTAGCCTCTTTATCCTTTCCCCACACATATTTAGTATGTTTACATTTTCAACAAGTATTATGTGTATGTGGACTTTAAAAAACCCCACAAAACCTAAGCACCAATATTATGTTTTGAAGTCTGAGCTTTCTCTTTCTTCTCCATGGATGTATACTGCAGCCATGCCTGTTTCCTTGTGTTCATTTTGTCTGGAAACTATTAAAATAGTTTACTTAAATCAGACTGACATAAGTTTGCAAAAATATTAATTCCATAAAAACTTCTAAATAGGTATGTCAGATGTTCCCGTTAAGTGTTACTCTGACTCTAGCAACTTCCTAAGTGTCATTATTCACATATCAAGAAAGAATCAAATTTTACTTTACAGTAATATTCTGTTTAGAAGTTTTAAGACTTATAATAGCACCCATAAGAAATGGAAGCAAATAATTTAATAGTGATTTATCTTCCTTAGCATTTTTAGTTAAAAAAAATTCGAAAACTCAATGCTACTTGAACAGATCACTATAATGAACAGAAATTAATTAATAAACAGAGACAAAGAGACATACGCACCACTGTGCCTGTTGTATATTAAATTATTTTTCCAGAGACATTTAGGATGATTAAAGTGGAAAGATAAAAGTGTTTCCAGCTAAATTCAATTATAAACAAACTAGAGACACTATATGGAAAACAGTAAAGGTTCTGACTTTAATCTCCAAAAGAAACAAAACCAATTTAAGTAAGAACAGAACTTTCATTTGATTAAGGGAATAGAGATAAGTTTTTGCTAAAAAATAAATAATGATAAAATTTGGTAGGCTGGGCACAGTGGCTCATGCCTGTAATCCCAACACTTTGGCAGGCCAAGGTGGGTGGATCACTTGAAATCAGGAGTTTGAGACCAGCCTGGCTAATGTGGTGAAACCCTGTCTCTACTAAAAATACAAAAATTAGCTGGGTGTGGTGGCAGGCGCCTGTAGTCCCAGCTCCTCAGGAGGCTGAGGCGGGAGAATCACTTGAACTCAGGAAGTGGAGGTTGCAGTGAGCCAAGATTGCGCCACTGCACTCCAGCCTGGGCAACAGAGCGAGACTCCATCTTAGAAAAAAAAATTGGATATATATCATTGAATAATTTGTTTAGCTATTGTCATTTTAACAATATCTACTATGTATTTTCCTGCTACAGGATGGAGGGTCCTATGCAGGTAACTTACAAAACATTTTTTGTTGGTTATCTTAAGCAACTTCCATCATTATAAATATATTTACACTGTTCAAATCATCTTACAATCACTGTTAAGGTCTCTGCATGCATTATATCTATTTAAAGTATGTGTTGACAGATTATTTGGCTTTGCTTGTTTCACTTAACAGCTCATACGTGCATTTCTGTGTATTAATACTCCCTATTCTTATTTATTTTTATAGCAATGGCAGTTTTTCTTCTGTTTGGGTTATTTAGGTTTTCCTCAAACATAGTGTAGCCCTGAACATCTTTGTGTCATTTTCTTGATTTTTCTTTTGGTTATTTCCTTGGAGTATGTTCCCAGAAGTAGAATTTCCAGAGCAGGAAGCATGTTCAGTTTAATATCATTTGTTATATATTTCCAGAGTTCTTTCTAGAAGGACTTGGCCAAACTTACAGAGCTTTCAGGGTTTTACCTGTTTCCTCATATGTCTACCATCATCATTTTGTTATTTTTTTTTTTGCTGTTTTTATGTCTGTAGCACATTAGTCATTTTTATTTATTGTGGATCAGTGTATAAAATATACATGTAAATGTAATGATTTACTGATTCTTATTTCCATTTATTAAATGGATCATGAAAGAATAAATATATCCTTACCCACCCATAGACACACATATGCCAACATAGTTATTCCAAACATGCTATCCACATAAAAATTACTTGCTTTTTTTTCTTTTTTTTTTTAAAGACAGAGTTTCCCTCTGTCGCCCAGGCTGGAGCGCAATAGCACAATCCTGGCTCACTACAACCTCCACCTCCTGGGCTCAAGCGATTCTCGTGCTTCAGCTTCCTGAGTAAGCATGCGCCACCACACCTGGCTAATTTTTGTATTTTTAGTAGAGACAGGGTTTTACCATGTTGACCAGGCTGGTCTCAAACTCCTGACCTCAAGTGATCCATCAGTCTCAGCCTCCCAAAGTGCTGGGATTACAGGAATGAGCCACCATGCCCACCCAGCCTGCATTTCTTCTTTTAATCGATCCTTACATTTAGATTAAAATTTGCATTTCTATATACTAACAAGAAGCATCTGGAAACTGAAACTAAAAACATAATACCAACCAGGCATGGTGGCTCACGCCTATAATCCCAGCACTTTGGGAGGCCGAGGTGGGCAGACCACCTGAGGTAAGGAGTTCGAGACCAGCCTGGCCAACATGGCAAAACCCCATGTCTACTAAAAATACAAAAATTAGCCAGGTGTGGTGGCATGCACCTGTAATCCCAGCTACTCAAGAGGCTGAGACAGGAGAATCGCTTGAACCCTGGAGGTGGGGGTTGCAGTGAGCCGAGATCATGCCACTGCACTCCAGCCTTGGGCAACAGAGTGAGACCCTGTCTGAAGAAAAAAAACAAAACAAAAATGGAGAGACTACTGTATTCATGAATTGGAGGTGTGTGTGTGTGTGTGTGTGTGTGTGTGTGTGTGTGTGTGTGTGTGTAGTAGAGGCAGGGTTTTACCATTTTGGCCAGGCTGGTCCCGAACTTCTGACCTCAAGTGATATGCCTGCCTTGGCCTGCCAAAGTGCTGGCATTACAGGCATGAGCTACCATGCCTGATCCTGTGTTCCTGAATTGGAAGGCACTGTATATTGGTAAAGATGTCAATTCTCCCCAAGTTTATCTACAGGCTTAATGTAATTCCTGTCAAAACCCCAGCAAGGTTTTTGGTAGACATAGACAAACTTATTCTAAATCTTATATGGAAAGGCACAAGTCCTAGAAAAGCTAAAATAATCTTTTTTTTTTTTTTTTTTAGACGGAGTCTTGCTCTGTTGCCCAGGCTGGAGTGCAGTGGCACTATCTCGGCTCACTGCAAGCTCTGCCTCCCGGGTTCACACCATTCTCCTGTCTCAGCCTCCCGAGTAGCTGGGACTACAGGCACCCGCCACCACACCCGGCTAATTTTTTGTATTTTTAGTAGAGATGGGGTTTCTCTGTGTTAGCCAGGATGGTCTTCATCTCCTGACCTCGTGATCCGCCCGCCTCGGCCTCCCAAAGTGCTGGGATTACAGGCGTGAGCCACCGCGCCCGGCCTAAAATAATCTTTTTTAAAACAAGATAAAAGTGGAAAGAATCACTCTGGCTGATATTAAGGCTTACTATATTGCTACAGTAATCAACATGGTGTGGTACTGATGGAAGGTCAAATGCAGGGATTAATGGGAAAGAATAGAGAACCCAAAAAATAGGCCGGGCACAGTGGCTTACGCCTGTAATCCCAGCACTTCAGGAGGCTGTGGTGGGTGGATCACTTGGGGCCAGGAGTTCAAAGCCAGCCTGGCCAACATAGCGAGACATCATCTCTACTAAAAATACAAAAGTTGGCCAGGTGTGGTGGTGCATGCCTGTAATCCCAGCTACTAGGGAGGCTGAGGCACGAGAATCACTTAAACCCGGGAGGCAGAGGTTGCAGTGAGCTGAGATTGTACCACTTCACTGCAGCCTGGGTGACAGAGCAAGACTCTGTCTCAAAAGAAAAACAAACAAAAAAAAGATGCACACTTTTACTGTGCAAATGTTTTCTTACTGTGCATTTTGTCCTTGTCATATTCTATTACATCTACCATATCCTCTTTTTTATTTTTTTCCTGAGACGGAGTTTTGCTCTTGTTGCCCAGGCAAGAGTGCAATGGTGCAATCTCAGCTCACTGCAACCTCTGCCTCCCGGGTTCAAGCGATTCTCCTGCCTCAGCCTCCTGAGTAGCTGGGATTACAGGCATGCGCCACCACGCCTGGCTAATTTTGTATTTTTAGTAGAGATGGGGGTTTCTCCATGTTGGTCAGGCTGGTCTCGAACTCCTGACCTCAGGTGATCCACCTGCATTGGCCTCCCAAAGTGCTGGGATTATAGGTGTGAGCCACTGTGCCCGGCCCCATATCCTCTTATAGATGTTATAAATACACTATTCTATTTTCTTCAGTTTTTGTTGTTGTATTTTTGTTTTGTTTTGCATTTAACTCTTACTTATCCAAAAATTTTTTTTCAGGGTCTAGTGTGAAATACAAATCCAAGTTAGTTCTTCTCTATACCAATAAGTTATACTTATGGCATTTATTAAATTATTCCAGTATCTGGGTTTATTTTTGTCGTTGTTGGTTTTGTTTGTTTTTTGTTTTTTAAAACAAAGTCTTGCTCTGTCACCCAAGCTGGAGTGCAGTAGCATTATCTCAGCTCACTGCAACCTCCACCTCCTGGGTTCAAGTGATTCCCCTGCCTCAGCCTCCCAAGTAGCTGGGATTACAGGCATGTACCACCACGCCCGGCTAATTTTTTTGTATTTTTAGTGGAGATGGGATTTCACCGTGTTGGCCAGGCTGGTCTTGAACTCCTGACCTCAAGTGATCCACCCGCCTCAACCTCCCAAAGTGCTGGGATTACAGGCATGAGCCACTGCACCTGGCCCAGTATCTGTTATCTGGCTATTTTTGTTTTGTCATGGATTAAGTTCTCAGTGTTTTAAATCTTTTTCTAGAATCTTTCCTATTTAGTTGATGAGTTCTTTGTTTCAGAGCCAGTTACACAGAATCTTGGTTGTCACAGCAGTATATTCACCCCTTGACATTTGTAGGAAATACAGAAATATTTGTATAGGCTTCTGAACTTTTCTAGAATCACAGTTCTTGCCAGAGTTATGCTTCTTGTGCATATATTCATACCTTTTCATCTCTCACTAAAGTTTATTGTTTCACTTTATATAGAAGCACAAATTTTTTCTCACTCTACTGGGTTTACTCCTTATTTGGTAACAGGAAGAGAAGAGTAAAGCCAAACACTCAAAAGCTGTGGGCACTGAGATGCTGGGTTAGTTCACTTACTGGCTAAGTGACTTGCCACAGATAATAACTTTGTAGCATGCACAGTTTGAAATCATTCCTCAGGAAATTACAAATGACTAGACAAGTTACTACACTATATGGTTCTAATTTTTCTGGGAAGAGTCAAAACTGCAAATACTGGACTCAAGAATATTAAGGGCTCATTTTAAAGTCTGGTAGATCAAATCCAGCTTGGTTCTTTGAAAAATGTTCTTTGCTGGAGTCTTTCCTGCTTATCTTTCAGGTTCTTATCCTGTAGACATTCTTTCATTTAACTCTCTAAGCACTTGAAAATTCTTGCCTGCTGTGTATTTAACCCATACATTTTTTTTTTTCTAGAGACAGGGTCTCACTCTGTCAACCAGGCTGTAGTGCAGTGGTGCAATCACAGCTCACTGAAGCCCTGAACTCCTAGGCTCAAGGGATCCTCCTGCCTCAGCCTCCTGAGTAGCTGGGACTACAGACGTGTATCACCATGTGTGGCTAATTTTTTTTTTTTTAGAGATGGGGTCTTGCTATGTTGCCCAGGCTGTTTTCAAACTCCTGGTCTCACACGATGCTCCTGCCTCAGCCTTCCAAATAACCCATACTTTTAAAATTCACAGGTATAGCAGGCTTTGTGACTGTGGTGTCCTGTGGTCTTTACAAGCTAAAGTACAGAAGAGATCAGAAAATGTCAATTCATCTTATTCACATGAGAGTTGCTGCCCAAGGATTTGTTGTTGGAGCTGTGACTCTAGGTAACCCGCTTAATTTGTATCTTATGTTCAGCTGTCTTTGAGAGTACATTTATTTATTTTATTCATTCATAGTAGAAGATGAATGTTGGGTCACAATGATGTAATGAGAGAGGGGTAGGAAAGACTGATCTTCCCTTAGTTGAGGTTGTGGCCCAGTTGTGCGCTTAATTTTTTATGAATGCAGCTGACAAAAACTGACAAAACCTATGGTAGAAAACTAGGGCAATGGGCTGTTCTTCTCTTTAGTGAAGGGAGTGGTGAATAGTTCCTATCCTATAACTCAAGCGCAGCAGTTATGGATAGATCACAGCCTATATTGTGGCTGTGATCCCCATCTCATGGCTAAGAGCAGCGATCGTATTTCCCAGCCTATCTGAACAGCAAATGTAGTTATTAGCTTAGGAAGAAGACATTTTTAGAGTCCACAAATCTCATCTGCCTTCTTCTTTCCTTCCAAGTTTCAGCAATAGGCAAATCTTTTTTTATTAGTCCATAAATTAAGCAAGACCTACCAGTCAAATCCAAAGAAAAGGTATAAAATTGTCTTCATTAATTCAGGTTATACCCAGAGCTAAATCAGGTAGTTCTAACAAGAAGTCCATTTTAGGACCTAAATTAATCTAAATTTGTTTGGCCTACATTAATGAGAACAGGTCACAATACTCTTAAGTCCCCTTCATGACGTGCAGAGTGGAGTCATCCTGCGTAGGATGGAAATTACAGAATGATGGGCATGGGGCTTGCAAGGAAAGTTACGTGGTAATAATCTTATTACTGTGAGCTGTAATGTGCTCCAAATACAGGAAGCCTTACTACAAAGTTACAGTCCTCATTTTCATCATTCAGCAAACATTGATTGAATGCCTGCTATGTACCAGACACTGTTTAGAAATATGACTCAGTCCCTACCCTTAAACAGTTTAGTCTCCTTAGGAAGACAGACCAAGAAAGAAAGAAGACAATATAAAGTTATAGATGCCGTGACAGAAATAGCACAGGCTGGCTGGGCGCAGTGGCTTGCACCTGTGATCCCACCACTTTGGGATGCCGAGGCGGGCAGATCAACTGAGGTAAGGAGTTCGATACCAGCCTGGCCAACATGGCAAAACCCCATCTCTACTAAAAAAATTACACACACACACACACACACACACAAAATAGCTGGGTGTGGTGGCACATGCCTGTAATCCCAGCTACTTGGGGGAGGCTGAGGCAGGAGAATCGCTTGAATCTGGGAGGTGGAGGTTGCAGTGAGCCGAGATCATGCCTTTGCACTCCAGCCTGGGCAATAAGAGTGAAACTCCATCTAAAAAAAAGCCAGGCACGGTGGCTCATGCCTGTAATCCCAGCACTTTGGGAGGCCAAGGCAGGAGGATCACTTAGGGTCAGGAGTTCAAGACCAGCCTGGCCAACATGGTGAAACCCTATCTCTACTAAAAATACAAAAATTAGCCAGGTGTGGCATGCGCCTGTAGTCACAGCTACTTGGGAGGCTGAGGCAAGAGAATCGCTTGAACCTGGGAGGCAGAGGTTGCAGTGAGTCGAAATCATGCCACTGCACTTTAGCCTGGGCATCAGAGCAAGACTCCATCTCAAAAAAAGAAAAAAAAATTTTTTTGCTATGGAAGCACAAACACAAGGGAGTGGTATTTAACTAGGGCTGGGAGGCCAGAGGAGGCTTCTTTAAGGATGTAAACCATGTACTGAACCAAGAATAAGGAGGAATTAACTAAGCAGAGAAGGACCTCAGGATTCTAGGCAGAGGAAAAAACAAAGGCACAGAAGCATGGCATGTAAGTGGAACTCTACATAGCTTGGTAGGCGAATCAGTGTTTGAGGAGAAAAGCAACACTACTAGTAGTAATGTTTAATGAGGGATTTATTACAGGTATTTGAACTTATATAATTATGAGGCTCTTGCTTATGAAATCTGGAGCTGGGGCCTGAAGTGAGCCGGGAAAGGAATTAGAAAAGAAAGGAAAGTAGGCCAGGCATGGTGGTTTGCACCTGTAATCCCAGCACTTTGGGAGGCCGAGGCAGGGGTATCACTTGAGGTCAGGAGTTTGAGACAAGCCTGGTCAACATGGTGAAACCCCATCTCTACTTAAAATACAAAAATTGGCTGGGAGTAGTGGTGCATGCCTGTAATCCCAGCTACTCAGGAGGCTGAAGTAGGAGAATTGCTCGAACCTGGGAAGCGGAGGCTGCAGTGAACCAAAACCACGCCACTGCACTCCAGCCTGGGTGAAAGGGCAAGACTCCATCTCAAAAAAAAAAAAAAAAAAAAAAAAGAAAAGAAAAGAAAGGAAAGTAGAAGCAAGGAAAATCCAGAACCTGCAAAGATGAGCTAGAACAATACACAGGACAGACTGGAACCCTTGTGGGTTTTCAGCCATCTCCAAGCCTCCACATTCACTGACGGAGGTGAAATATAGAAAATGCCAATGCCTTTCATCCTGGGGCTAAACATGGAGCTGGCAAAGGGGTCAGAGAAGGTGAAGGAGAAAATTCAGCAGGAGCCATGGTGGCTGTGCTCATGATTGCTGAACCCTGCCAATAAAGTGAGCCAGCAGAGAAGCAAAACTGTACCGCAACAGTGTCTTCCAGACATAAGAAGAATTCGACTGCTGCATCATTTCCACCTTCTAAATCTCATACAGGATGTCTCTTTTGCACTAACCCTGGTAATAAAAGGAAAGGAATTCTGGAAAATGCAGTTACAGGCTACTTCAACTGACATAATATAAGCCTACCACTGTCCAGCCCTTGTCAACTTGACATCCATATATACCTCTATTAATTACTCTTAACTTCCAAATAAAGACAGTGTCAAAATCAGCCACCCCTTGTATATCCAAAAGCATGCTAGTTATCTCCCAAAAGAGGATACAGAATCCCTTCATACGTCTTTGGATGATGATGATTCCTCTTTGAGCTGAATCACATTCCCCTTTGATATCCTATGACTTAAATCCTGAGATATAAGGTTGAATCCTATTAACACTTCTTATGTTAGATGATAGGTAAATGGACGTGGGGAATAGAAAAAAATTGGGCTAATCTATACATAAATGCATTCATATCAAAATAAGGAAGAAACACTCCTAAATATCACAGTCTGTTTCTGCAGCTGGTCAGATGGTTATTGCTAGTATTATATCTATATTCATCCACTACACATTTCATATCCCCTTTGCTTTCAGCAAGTACCTTGGCTACTCATGGTTATTTGACTGGTGGGGTGACCCAAACCTTCATTCCTTCATGCCTAACCTGGATTATTAGGCATCCTGCCTGTGTTGGATTTAGTTTTCCATTGTCTTTAATCACAGGACATGGGAGTACCAAGAAGTGCCCTAAAAGATATAATGCATTCCAATTTCCCCTTGATGTTCAGAACAAATTAATATAATGAACTAAAGGGATGTCCTGTGTAATGAAGAGATGATCAAGGTCCCTGCAGACTAGATTATGACATACGGCTGGAGAGTTCACACAGCCCTGATATTAGGCAGTGAAAGCATACTGTGGGCCCTGCCAGGTGAAAGCAAATGCTTCTGATTATCTTTAGTAAAAGATATACAGAAAAAAGCATTCAACCAGATTAACAGCTGCATACCAAAAAGCAAATGTTATGTTGATTTGCTCCAGCAGCAAAACCACATCTGGATAGCAGAGTGACCACCTGATTAAGTTTATAGGAATAGTATCATTCTCCAAGATCCATCTGTCTTCTGCCAAATAGGCAAACTAAATGGGGATGTTTTAGGAATCACCACTCTGGTATCTTTTTTCAAAGACTTTTTGTAGAGGCAGAGTCTCACTATGTTGCCCAAGCTCAAACTCCTGACCTCAAGCAATCCTCCTGCCTTGGCCTCCCAAAGTGTTGGGATTACAGGCACGACCCATTGCATCTAGCCACTCTGGCATCTTTGAAGTCCTTGATGATGGCACTAATCTCTACAATCCCTCTAGGAGTAGGGTAATGCTTTTGTTTTATGTTTGTGGGTTTTTTTGTTTTTGTTTTTTGAGACAGGGTCTTGCTCTGTCACCCAAGTTGGAGTGTAGTGGTATGATCATGGCTCGCTACAGCCCCAAACTCCTGGGTTCAAGCAATCCACCCACCTCAGCCTCTTGAGTAGCTGGGACTACACGTGTGCACCACCATGCCTGGCTAATTTTTAATTTTTTTTTTTTTTTTGTAGAGGTGAAGTCTTGCTACATTGCCCAGGCTGATCTTCACCTGGTGGGCTCAAGCAATCCTCCCACCTCAGCCTCCCAAAGTGCTGGGATTACAGTTGTCAGCCACCGTGCCCAGCCACTGGTTTACTATTTTTCCTTCCACTTGGTATTTCCTACTATAATAGCCCTTACTTTGCAGGTCAGGGGACCAGTGTAAGAATTCTGACAGTTGATGAGTATGTCTATTCCAATTACACATTCCAGAACTGAGGAATAACAGAGAGTGGGTTCAGTGACCCACCAGGCTTGACTATGAAACAGACCCACAGCAAAACTCCATTAACCACCTGACCTCCACAAACCCCTACTTTGACTGGTAGGCCACACTCATTCTACCAAAGTATGGATTAGTGTCAATTTAGAACCAGGATTCAAAAATCCCCCATAAATGTGATTCTTTTCCCTTCCTTGGTGAACAGGTACCCTGGTAAATGAGCACAGGTCCCCTTTGGGAAAGGCTAGAAGGAAGACTTACATCTATTTTTGTCTGTCGAACATGGTCTTTCCTTAAGGGGATCTGGCTCCCTCTTCATTCAAGGGATTTCTGGGCCTGTGAAAATGACTCAATTCTAGGAATTGGTCAAGGAGCCCTGGCTCTTTATTGTGGTGATTCAAGTTAGACTTTTGTTCACCAAACCTAGAGCTTTTCTGCTTCTGCCCATAAGTTTCAGTTCTAGGGATACCATAATCAGTTAGCCAATGCCAAAGATCTCTGTGGCTTACTTAGACTATTCTGATGACCACTTAGGCTTTGCTGCCCATCACAACAATCATGCTTTCCTTGTCTTTGTCAATCAAATGCTACCACTTGACCCCCACAGCCTCAGGATCCCATCATCCCCATTGAATTTAGGGAGCCCAGCAGTTTGCACTGTCATTTCTGGCATACAGAGAACAGTCACCACAGGACTCTTGTCAGGGCTACCCTGACAAATGTCTTTCTCACAACCTTAGTTTAGGGAGTGGGTAAGCAGGATAAATTTACTCTAACATACCAATCTCCCTAATCCTTTGGATACCTACCTCTGTGGCAGTTTCTGAACCTCAGCACTACTGACATTTTGGGCTGGATTCTTCTTTGTTGTGGAGGATTGTCCCATGCATTGCAAGATGCCTAACAGCATCCCTGGTCTCCACCCAAGAGATGCCAGTAGAACTCCTTCCCACCTCCACACCCTCAGTTGTGACAACCAAAAACATCTCCAGACATTACCATATTTCCCTGGGGAACAAAACTGCCCCTGGTTGAGAACCATTACTCTACCAAGGAAGTTCTGGCATTTCAATTTCATTTAGTGGAGATTACCTTTTGGTCCAAGTTTCAGTCATTCTCAGACAGGATGGAAGGACTGCTTCTATTGGCAAAGGAGTCTCACTAAAATTTAAGTGTTCAAAGACCCATTTCATTTATGTCTGCCACATCTTCCCAATTTTCAGTGTCCCACTCCTTCTAAAGCAATGGTTTAACATAAGTGACTTTGTGAGGTTGGGGATTGAATTTGTATTGTGATGAGCCACTCACAGGATTCGGGAGGCCAAGGTGGGTAGATCATTTGAGGTCAGGAGTTCGAGAACAGCCTGGCCAACATGGTGAAACCCCCATCTCTGCTAAAAATCCAAAAATTAGCCAGGCATGGTGGCATGTGCCTGTAATCCCTGCTACTCGGGAGGCTGAGGTAGAATCACTTGAACCCAGGAGGCAGAGGTTGCAGTAGGCCAAGATCACACCACTGCACTTCAGCTTGGGTGATGGAGCAAGACTCAGTCTCAAAAAAAAAAAAAAGAAAGAGAAATAGGGTCTTGCTCTGTCACTCAGGCTGGAGTGCAGTGGTGCAATCATGGCTCACTGCAGCCTCAAACTCCTGGGCTCAAGATATCCTCCTGCCTCTTCTGGGCTTAAGAGATCCTCCTGCCTGCCTCATTCCCACAGAGCTGGGACTACAGGTATGCATCATCATGTCTGGCTAATTTTAAAATTTTTTCGTAGAGGTGGGATCTCCCTATGTTGCCCAGGCAAGTCTCAAATTCCTGGGCTCAAATGGTCCACTTGCCTCAGCCTCTCAAAGTGCTGGGATTACGGGCATGAGCTACCAGACCTGGCCTTTATTTTTTGTAGAAATGAGGGTCTCACTTCATTGCCCAAGCTGGTCTCGAACTCCTGACCTCAAGCGAACTCCCACCTCAGCTTCCCAAAGTGCTGGGATGACAGGTATAAGCCACCATGCCTGGCCTAATGGGTGATAATTTAAGAAACTATTTTGCTACTAAATGCCATGGACTGTTAGCATCCTCCTTATAACTGAAAACATGGCCATTAATGCCTTTAAATCTAAACGGATCAGAGAACCAATTCCGGATAACCCAGAACCATTTCAGAGAACCTATCATGCTGGTTCTGTTCCTCTGGAAGTACTTCTAATTCCAAACTGTATCAGTCAAGATTCAGACAAGCAAAACTACCAGTAGTGATATATAAAAAGTGATTTAGGCTGGGTGTATTGGGAGTCCAAGGCAGGAGAATCACTTGAGCCCAGGAGTTTGAGACCATTCTGGGCAACATGGCGAATACCCTATCTCTACAAAAAATTAAAAAGTTAGCCAGGCAAGCTGCATGCACCTGTGGTCCCAGCTACTCGGGAGGCTGAGATGAGAGGATGGCTTGAGCCCAGGAGGTCGAGGCTGCATGAGCCTTGCTCACGCCACTGCACTCCAGCCTTGGCCACAGAGCGAGGCATTGTCTCAAATAATAAGAAGAAGAAGGAGGAGGAGGAGGAGGAGGAGGAGAATGAGGAGGAGGAGGAGAAGGGATTTATTACAGAGATATGACCTTAAAACATTTTTGGAGTTGGCTAAACAGTTTATGCGAAGCTGTTGCTTATGTTTCTAATACTGGGGACTGAAGTCAGTAAGGCAGCAGTTGGGAAGGAAAGATAAACTGGAATCTGCAAGGATGAACTAGAACCCAAGAAGACAGATGAGAACTTGTCAGACTTACTGCCTCCCAACTTACCGTAATCTCCACTCCAGTTACACTGATTCTTTTTTTGTGTGTGTGTGGGGGGAGACAGGGTCTTGCTCTGTCATCCGGCTGGCGTGCAGTGGCGTGATCACGGTTCACAGCAACCTCAAACTCCTAGGCTCAAGTGATCCTCCCACCTCAGCTTCCCTAGCAGCTGGGACTACAGGCGTGTGCCACCATGCCCAGCTAATTTTTGTTTGTTTTGAGATGGAGTCTCACTCTGTTGCCCAGGCTGGAGTGCAATCTCAGCTCACTGCAACCTCCACCTCCCAGGTTCAAGTGATTCTCCTCACTTTGCCTCCTGAGTAGCTGGGATTACAGGCACCCGTCACCACACCTGGCTAATTTTTGTATTTTTAGTAGAGATGGGGTTTCGCCATGTTGGTCAGGCTGGTCTCAAACTCCTGACCTCAAGTGATCCACCCGCCTTGGCCTCCCAAAGTGCTGGGATTACAGGCATGAGCCACCACGCCTGACCCTAATTTTTTTATTTTTTTGTAGAAATGGGTCTCGCTATTTTGACTAGGCTGGTCTCTAACTCCTGGCCTCAAGTGATCCTCCTCCCTTGGCCTTCCAACGTGGTGGGATTACAGGCATGAGCCCCCACCACGCACCGCATTTATATTGTTTATAAATAAATGCACAGTTTAGCTGGGCACGGTGGCTCACGCCTATAATCCTAGCACTTTGGGAGGCAGAGGCGGGTGGATCACCTGAGGTCAGGAGTTCGAGACCAGCCTGGCCTACATGGTGAAACCCCATCTCTACTAAAAATACAAAATTAGCTGGGTGTGGTGGCGCACACCTATAGTCCCAGCTACTAGGGGGGCTGAGACAGGAGAATTGCTTGAATCTGGGAGGCGGAGGCTGCAGTGAGCCAAGATCACCCCACTGCACTCCAGCCTGGGCAAGACAGAGAGACCCCATCTCAAAAAAATAAAATAAGTAAATAAATAAATCCAGATTTTGAGAGGCATGCTCAACATATTTACTTAGATAAATCTGGAAAGTTTGGAGACCACCTACCTGTGCCATGTAGAAATCTCATACGTAAGGCCAGGCACAGTGGCTCATGCCTGTAATCCCAGCACTTTAGGAGGCCAAGGCAGGCAGACCACCTGAGGTCAGGAGTTCAAGACCGGCCTGGCCAACATGGCGAAACGCTGTCTGTACTAAAAATACAAAAATTAGCTGGGCATGGTGGTGGTGCCTGTAATCCCAGCTACTTGGGAGGCTGAGGCAGGAGAATCGCTTGAACCTGGGAAGCGGAGGTTGCAGTGAGCTGAGATCACGCCATTGTACCACTCCAGCCTGGGTGACAAGAGCAAGACTCCATCTCAAAAAAAAAAAAACAAAAACAAAACGTCATACTTACAATAATGAATATATGGGTTTCACACTCAGAAGAGGGATCTAATTTCAAGATCTGATGCCTTGATAACTGAGACAGGTATGGGCTGGTGGTGGTGGTATGTGAGTTGTAGTTTAAATCTGTGACTCCCTAACTTGCTTTTGGGTGAGAACATTTGCTGACATCCTTGGAACTCATTAAAGCAGCTCCTCTCTTCCTTACCCTATTCCTTCTGGCTACTTCCCCCTTTCTGCATGCCCCAGGACTCTGTGGAAGCCATACATATCATCCGCCTAAACTCACAGGCAATTCACCCACTAGATCATAAATCCCTAGAAGCAGGAATTAGATCCACTCACCATTTGTTTTCCTCGGGATACTGAGTACAAGTAGAGACTGAATAAATGTTTGCTAATTGAGATGACTACTATTTTTATCTTCACATCTGGTCAAATTTGCCCACTTTCCTAACATTTCACCAATATTTTGGTGGCACTAAAACATCATAAATTTAAGTTGATATTGATTTGAAAGGGCTCCTAGAGTTTTGTTTTTTGTTTTTTTCTAGAGTCACTTGTATGATCCAAACCAAAAACTAGTAAGAAGGAGGGCCTTTGTTTGTTTCTGTTTAAATTGTGGGCTAGTTTCATAAAAATACAACAAGTGGAAGAAATTCAGTGTTTGTTTCCCATGGATACTCAATTGATATACATCCTTCTTTTTCTAGGTGTTCTCTATTCTATGTATAAGGATTACATTAGACCACGATTCTTCAGTGAGTCCAAAAAATGAAGCTTACATGCTGGAAGCAAGAAAGACAAGAAGCTTCTGAAAACTATTTATTATGAAGAATAAATTTTCAATATGTAGCAAATTTTACTACACAAGTGTCACAGAATGCTCATAGCCTTTGTATTTCAAGTCTCAGTGTTTTAAGAAGTTGATTTCCAGATCAACAATCATAAACAGTCAACTCAGAAATATCCCGTGTTAATGTCTTTCAGAACCTAGGGCATGATTTTCTGACTTAATTTTTTCAAATTTTGTAGTTAGTGGCAGAAAATAATCTGCCACTAATCTGTCAAACTAATGATAATCTGCCAAACCAATCTGAAAAATTAATAATTATATAATGGTTACAGAAGACTTCTCTTTTCTTTATTTTATTTTATTTTATTTTTTGAGATGGAGTCTTACTCTGTTGCCCAGGCTGGAGAGCAGTGGTATAATCTCCGCTCACCGCAACCTCTGCCTCTCAGGTTCAAGTGATTCTCCTGACTCAGCCTCCCAAGTAGCTGGGATTACAAGCACCCACCACCACCCCTGGCTAATTTTTTGTATTTTTAGTAGAGATGGGGTTTCATCATGTTGGCCAGGCTGGTCTCGAACTCCTGACCTCAGGTGATTCACCCACATTGGCTTCCCAAAGTGCTGGGATTACAGGCGTGAGCCACGGCGCCGAGCCACAGACTTTTTATATCCATGTTAAATGTGACACCCTATCCATGTCTTAATTCTCCCCAAATAGGGCAAAGTAATTACGGTTTCATAAACTCCTTTTTAGAATGGGTAATAATGACATCAGAGGAGAATGGTCATGTTGTTATATAAAGTTGGTTCACCACTTTATATCTCATTCTTATACAGAAACTTGACTATTTTACCGCAAACACATGTTTAACATTTAATTATTTGTTTATTCATTTTTAGACTTTAAAGTAGTTCTAGGAATACAAAGGTAAACTGCAAACACATTTCTTTTTCCTGAGATGGCAAAAAGGATTTAGTCCAGAAGTGCTAATGCTAATGTGGTACGACACTGTAGAAAACACAAGAAACCAAAGCAGATGTTAAAGGTTAAGTTTACCTGTGGCCTTGGACTCCGCTCTAACTGCCCTCAGGGTCTAAAAAATTAACTAGGCTTTGCTGAAGACATAACTGCCTTGACTTAAGCTTAATCCCAAAGACTCCAAGCCTAGGAGAGAAAAAAATAGTCACTGAAATAAAATCAAGAATATATGCAATGTAAGATGATTTCTGGTGGGTACTTCCTTTTCCTCAGTGTTTCCTGTAATGGAGGTTTACACTGACAAGAAGGTGAAGTCCAGTATTTGGGGATAAGAAAGATGTAAGAATATATGAAAATATGTCTGCATTCTGGATATTAACCTAGTGTTCTGTGTATTATATACATTTTTCCCCATTGGGACAGACAATTATTTTAAAAGTTGTCAACTGTATCTATCATGAAGATCTTCTAGTGCTACCAACAAGTACATATTTTGGTCAACACTGTCCTCTTTGGAAAATAGGCAAGGAAAGAATCCAACTGCTTTATTCCATTAGAGTAAATATTCCAGCAGCTGGATCTAATATGTTCCATTAAGGTCAGGAAAACTGAGGACAGCTGGCATGGAAATAAGTCATCCTTTCATGTTGGTTGTGCAATGAAAAGTATTTCTAACCAGGCCACTGGAAATATTCTACCTTCTCAATATGTACTCAGCACTAAAAATAGATTAAGAGTTTAATTAGAAACTAGCTTTTCCTACAAAACCCAGTAAGTTCCACAATTTTGTAATCTTACTCTGAGAAAGCTAAAGTAATATATTTGTTGCTTGAAAAAAGCAATGCTAAGTATTCATTTGTTAAGAGTATCTATGCATGAGAACCTACAAACTATGTTTAAATTAAAATGTAAAATCATTTCCCAGAACCAGAACAGGAGCACTTAGAAGGAAAGTGGTCACAATCGAATCACTCGGTCTTACTTGTAGCCATTGCCATGTTCTGGGGTGGTTCCAAGATGGCCGAATAGGAACAGCTCCAGTCTACAGCTCCCAGCATGAGCGACACAGAAGATGGGTGATTTCTCCATTTCCAACTGAGGTACCGGGTTCATCTCACTGGGGATTGTCAGACAGTGGGTGCAGGACAGTGGGTGCAGAGCACCGAGCATGAGCCGAAGCAGGGCGAGGCATCGCCTCACCCGGGAACCACAAGGAGTCAGAGAATTCCCTTTCCTAGCCAAGGGAAGTGGGGACAAACAGCACCTGGAAAATCGGGTCACTCCCACCCTAATACTGCACTTTTCCGACAGTCTTAGCAAACAGCACACCAGGAGATTATATCCCGCGCATGGCTCACAGGGTCCTACACCCACGGAGCCTCACTGATTGCTAGCACAGCAGTCTGAGATCAAACTGCAACGTGGCAGCGAGGCTGGGGGAGGGGCGCCCACCATTGCGGAGGCTTGAGTAGGTAAACAAAGCGGCTGCAAAGCTCGAACTGGGTGGAGCTCACCGCAGCTCAAGGAGGCCTGCCTGCCTCTGTAGACTCCACCTCTGGGGGCAGGGCATAGCCAAACAAAAGGCAGCAGAAACCTCTGCAGACTTAAATGTCCCTGTCTGACAGCTTGGAAGACAGCAGTGGTTCTCCCAGCACGGAGCTTGAGATCTGAGAACGGACAGACTGCCTCCTCAAGTGGTTCCCTGACCCCCAAGTAGCCTAACTGGGAGGCACCCCCCAGTAGGGGCAGATTGACACCTCACACGGCCGGGTATCCCTCTGAGATGAAACTTCCAGAGGAACGATCAGGCAGCAACATTTGCTGTTCACCAATATTTGCTGTTCTGCAGCCTCCACTGCTGATACCCAGGCAAAAAGGGTCTGGAGTGGACCTCCAGAAAACTCTAACAGACCTGCAGCTGAGGGTCCTGACTGTTAGAAGGAAAACTAACAAACAGAGAGGACATCCACACCAAAACCCCATCTGTACATCACCATCATCAAAACCAAAGGTAGATAAAACCACAAAGAGGGGAAAAAACAGAGCAGAAAAACTGAAAATTCAAAAAATCAGAGCATCTCTCCTCCTCCAAAGGAATGCAGCTCCTCACCAGCAATGGAACAAAGCTGGATGGAGAATGACTTTGACAAGTTGAGAGAAGAAGGCTACAGATGATCGAATTTCTCCGAGCTAAAGGAGGAAGTTCAAACCCAACACAAAGAAGTTAAAAACCTTGAAAAAAGATTAGACGAATGGCTAACTAGAATCACCAATGCAGATAAGTCCTTAAAGGACCTGATGGAGCTGAAAACCATGGCACAAGAACTACGTGACGAATGCACAAGCTTCAGTAGCTGATTCGATCAACTAGAAGAAAGGGTATCAGTGATGGAAGATCAAATGAATGAAATGAAGTGAGAAGAGAAGTTTAGAGAAAAAAGAATAAAAAGAAATGAACAAAGCCTCCAAGAAATATGGGACTATGTGAAAAGACCAAATCTACGTCTGATTGGTGTACCTGAAAGTGACAGGGAGAATGGAACCAAGTTGGAAAACACTCTGCAGGATATTATCCAGGAGAACTTCCCCAACCTAGCAAGGCAGGCCAACATTCAAATTCAGGAAATACAGAGAATGCCACAAAGATACTCCTCGAGAAGAGCAACTCCAAGACACATAATTGTCAGATTCACCAAAGTTGAAATGAAGGCAAAAATGTTAAGGGCAGCCAGAGAGAAAGGTCGGGTTACCCACAAAGGGAAGCCCATCAGACTAACAGCTGATCTCTTGGCAGAAACTCTACAAGCCAGAAGAGAGTGGGGGCCAATATTCAGCATTCTTAAAGAAAAGAATGTTCAACCCAGAATTTCATATCCAGCCAAACTAAGCTTCATAAGTGAAGGAGAAATAAAATACTTTACAGACAAGCAAATGCTGAGAGATTCTGTCACCACCAGGCCTGCCCTACAAGAACTCCTGAAGGAAGCATTAAACATAGAAAGGAACAACTGGTACCAGCCACTGCAAAAACATGCCAAATTGTAAAGACCATCGATGCTAGGAAGAAACTGCATCAACTAACGAGCAAAATAACCAGCTAACATCATAATGACAGGATCAAATTCACACATAACAATATTAACCTTAAATGTAAATGGGCTGAATGCTCCAATTAAAAGACACAGACTGGCAAACTGGATGAAGAGTCAAGACCCGTCAGTGTGCTATATTCAGGAAACCCATCTCATGTGCAGAGACACACATAGGCTCAAAATAAAGGGATGGAGGAAGATCTACCAAGCAAATGGAAAACAAAAAGAGGCAGGGGTTGCAATCCTAGTCTCTGATAAAACAGACTTTAAACCAACAAAGATCAAAAGAGACAAAGAAGGCCATTACATAATGGTAAAGGGATCAATTCAACAAGAAGAGCTAACTATCTTAAATATACATGCACCCAATATAGGAGCACCCAGATTCATAAAGCAGGTCCTTAGAGACCTACAAAGAGACTTAGACTCCCACACAATAATAATGGGAGACTTTAACACCCGACTGTCAACATTAGACAGATCAATGAGACAGAAGGTTAACAAGGATATCCAGAAATTGAACTCAGCTCTGCACCAAGTGGACCTAATAGACATCTACAGAACTCTCCACCCCAAATCAACAGAATATACATTCTTCTCAGCACCACACTGCACTTACTCCAAAATTGGCCACATAGTTGGAAGTAAAGCACTCCTCAGCAAATGTAAAAGAACAGAAATTATAACAAACTGTCTCTCAGACCACAGTGCAATCAAACTAGAACTCAGGATTAAGAAACTCACTCAAAACCGCTCAACTACATGGAAACTGAACAACCTGCTCCTGAATGACTACTGGGTACATAATGAAATGAAGGCAGAAATAAAGATGTTCTTTGAAACCAATGAGAATAAAGGCACAATATACCAGAATCTCTGGGACACATTTAAAGCAGTGTGTAGAGGGAAATTTATAGCACTAAATGCCCACAAGAGAAAGCAGGAAAGATCTAAAATTGACACCCTAACATCACAATTAAAAGAACTAGAGAAGCAAGAGCAAACACATTCAAAAGCTAGCAGAAGGCAAGAAATAACTAAGATCAGAGCAGAACTGAAGAAGATAGAGACAGAAAAAACCCTTCAAAAAAATCAATGAATCCAGGAGCTGGTTTTTTGAAAAGATCAACAAAATTGATAGACCGCTAGCAAGAGTAAGAAAGAAGAAAAGAGAGAAGAATCAAATATACACAATAAAAATTGATAAAGGGGATATCACCACAGATCCCACAGAAATACAAACTACCATCAGAGAATACTATGAACACCCCTACGCAAATAAACTAGAAAATCTAGAAGAAATGGATAAATTCCTTGACATATACACTCTCCCAAGACTAAACCAGGAAGAAGTTGAATCTCTGAATAGACCAATAACAGGCTCTGAAATTGAGGCAATAATTAATAGCTTACCAACCAAAAAAAGTCCAGGACCAGACGGATTCACAGCCGAATTCTACCAGAGGTACAAGGAGGAGCTGGTACCATTCCTTCTGAAACTATTCCAATCAATAGAAAAAGAGGGAATCCTCCCTAACTCATTTTATGAGGCCAACATCATCCTGATACCAAAGCCTAGCAGAGACACAACAAAAAAAGAGAATTTTAGACCAATATCCCTGATGAACATTGATGCAAAAATCCTCAATAAAATACTGGCAAACTGAATCCAGCAGCACATCAAAAAGCTTATCCACCTTGATCAAGTGGGCTTCATCCCTGGGATGCAAGGCTGGTTCAACATACACAAATCAATAAATGTAATCCAGCATATAAACAGAACCAATGACAAAAACTAAATGATCATTTCAATAGATGCAGAAAAGGCCTTTGACAAAATTCAATAGCCCTTCATGCTAAAAACTCTCAATAAATTAGGTATTGATGGGATGTATCTCAAAACAATAAGAGCTATTTATGACAAACCCACAGCCAATATCATACTGAATGGGCAAAAACTGGAAGCATTCCCTTTGAAAACTGGCACAAGACAGGGATGCCCTCCCTCTCTCACCACTCCTATTCAACACAGTGTTGGAAGTTCTGGCCAGGGCAATTAGGCAGGAGAAAGAAATAAAGGGTATTCAGTTAGGAAAAGAAGAAGTCAAATTGTCCCTGTTTGCAGATAACATGATTGTATATCTAGAAAACCCCATCGTCTCAGCCCAGAATCTCAAGGTGATAAGCAACTTCAGCAAAGTCTCAGGATACAAAAATCAATGTGCAAAAATCACAAGCATTCTTATACACCAATAACAGACAAACAGAGAGCCAAATCATGAGTGAAATCCCATTCACAATTGCTTCAAAGAGAATAAAATACCTAGGAATCCAACTTACAAGGGAGGTGAAGGACCTCTCCAAGGAGAACTACAAACCACTGCTCAATGAAATAAAAGAGGATACAAACAAATGGAAGAACATTCCATGCTCATGGGTAGGAAGAATCAATATCGTGAAAACGGCCATACTGCCCAAGGTAATTTATAGATTCAATGCCATCCCCATCAAGCTACCAATGACTTTCTTCACAGAATTGGGAAAAACTACTTTAAAGTTCATATGGAACCAAAAAAGAGCCTGCATTGCCAAGTCAATCCTAAGCCAAAAGAACAAAGCTGGAAGCATCACGCTACCTGACTTCAAACTATACTACCAGGCTACAGTAACCAAAACAGCATGGTACTGGTGCCAAAACAGAGATATAGACCAATGGAACAGAACAGAGCCCTCAGAAATAATACCACACATCTACAACCATCTGACCTTTGACAAACCTGACAAAAACGAGAAATGGGGAAAGGATTCCCTATTTAACAAATGGTGCTGGGAAAACTGGTTAGCCATATGTAGAAAGCTGAAACTGGATCCCTTCCTTACACCTTATACAAAAATTAATTCAAGATGGATTAAAGACTTAAACGTTAGACCTAAAACCATAAAAACCCTAGAAGAAAACCTAGGCATTACCATTCAGGACATAGGCATGGGCAAGGACTTCATGTCTAAACCACCAAAAGCAATGGCAACAAAAGCCAAAATTGACAAATGGGATCTAATTAAACTAAAGAGCTTCTGCACAGCAAAAGAAACTACCATCAGAGTGAACAGGCAACCTACAGAATGGGAGAAAATTTCTGCAATCTACTCATCTGACAAAGGGCTAATATCCAGAATCTACAAAGAACTCAAACAATTTCACAAGAAAAAAAACAACCCCATCAACAAGTGGGTGAAGGATATGAACAGACACTTCTCAAAAGAAGACATTTATGCAGCCAACAGACACATGAAAAAATGCTCATCATCACTGGCCATCAGAGAAATGCAAATCAAAACCACAATGAGATACCATCTCACACCAGTTAGAATGGCGATCATTAAAAAGTCAGGAAACAACAGGTACTAGAGAGGATGCAGAGAAATAGGAACTTTTACACTGTTGGTGGGACTGTAAACTGGTTCAACCATTGTGGAAGACAGTGTGGCGATTCCTCAGGGATCTAGAACCAGAAATACCATTTGACCCAGCCATCCCATTACTGGGTATATACTCAAAGGATTATAAATCATGCTGCTATAAAGACACATGCACACGTATGTTTATTGCGGCACTATTCACAATAGCAAAGACCTGGAACCAACCCAAATGTCCAACAATGATAGACTGGATTAAGAAAATGTGGCACATACACACCATGGAATACTATGCAGCCATAAACAATGATGAGTTCATGTCCTTTCTAGGGACATGGATGAAGCCGGAAACCATCATTCTCAGCAAACCATCGCAAGGACAAAAAACCAAACGTCGCATGTTCTCACTCATAGGTGGGAATTGAACAATGAGAACACTTGGACACAGGAAGGGGAACATCACACACTGGGGCCTGTTTTGGGGTGGGGGGAGGGGGGAGGGATAGCATTAGGAGATATACCTAATGTAAATGACGAGTTAATGGGTGCAGCACACCAACATGGCACATGTATACATATGTAACAAACCTGCACGCTGTGCACATGTACCCTAGAACTTAAAGTATAATAATAAAAAAAAAAATGTAAAATCACATTTGAAGAAAAGTTAGGAAGTATGCAGGATGTGAATTTACCCACTTCAGCTTGGGTAAAGTTTGAGGGTCATTGCATGAAGACCCTATAAACAGATAACATAACAATACTTGAATTTGCAAAAGACTTCCTGGGCAAAATTTTAGTGGCCTCATGTTGTAATGTCTGAAATTGAGAAGGCTGTTTATATTAGCTACTAAAACCACTGCCTCTGTTACTAATGAAACTACTTCATATACCTGGATACACTCACCTGCCTTTTATATTAGGCTGGCACACAGTTATGTAGCAGTGACTGCTCAGTAACAATTAGGTAATTGCACTTTTTCTGACATTCTGTGTATACATTGTCAGAGCATCCTTTTACAGATTGACTCTATAGTGTTGAACCCCAGGAATTAAGTGAATGCACTCAGGTTATTCTTAAGATTGAATATATTAATATATGCACAAGTACACTTATAGTAATCCAGATTTATATACCACAAATTGGAGAGTGATTAAATATTCTTAACTTAGAAAAAAGCTTACCCAAGACTCACTCTTAGTTATCAACCTCCTCTACTGGCTTTGACATGATTCAGTTTGCTTTATTATGACATTTTCTGATTACAGGAGTTCTGTGACCTGAACGGTACACTTGTAAACCTGTATTCTCTGTTCCTAGTAACATATAGTTCAGGACTGGAAAAGAGCTATAGAAATTCCATAAGTACTTAACCAACCACCTCACCTTTCTATGAGTTTCACAACAGGATGTTTTTATTTTTTACCTTCGTTTCCCCAACACTCTCTGGTAATGAAACAACTGAGAAATAAAACCACCCAGGGAGGCGGGGAAAATCCAACACACTGGTTTCATCTAGAGTTGTTGTCCTGTATAAAGAAACCAAAAACACTTAAGAGTCTCTTTTTCAAGTAAAAGCGTAAAACTGATGTGAATTCAGTCTCAGTTTTAAGATCAGAAGGACTCTATAGCCTGAGTTGCAGGGTTGGCTGCTCTCATTATCTGAAGTTTCAAGAGGCCCTGAAGTAGAAATGAGGAAATTTTAAAGTGTCATTTTAGAAAAATCCCTGCCTCTTTAAGGGCCGATTATAAACGAACATAGGCAATGTCTGGATTTTTTAAAAAGTTTTATTGAAATGTAGTAAGTTCTAAAATAAGGCAGAGAGGTCATATATTTAATGCTGAAAGGGGAAAGTGATGCTCAAAGTCACACAAAGGCTGCAGGATTTGCTGACTCAACACCTTTGGGGCTAGAAAGAAATGAGGAGTGAGCTGGATGCAGTGGCTCACGCCTATAATCTCAGCACTTTGGGAGGCCAAGGCCAGCAGATTACTTGAGCTCATGAGTTCAACACCAGCCTGGGCAACATGGTGAAATCCCGTCTCTACAAAAAATACAAAAATTAGCTGGGTGTGGTGGTGTGTGCCTGCAGTCCCAGCTATTTGGGATGCTGAAGTGGGAGGATGGCTTAAGCCCAGGTGGCAGAAGTTGCAGTGAGCTGAGATCACACCACTGCACTCCAGCCTGGGCAACAGAGCAAGACCCTGTCTTAACAACAAAAAACGCTGGGTGCAGTGGCTCACACCTGTAATCCCAGCACTTTGGGAGGCTGAGGCAGGTAGATCACTTGAGGTCAAGAGTTTGAGACCAGCCTGGCCAACATGGTGAAACCCCATCTCCACTAAAAATGTGGTGCCTGTAATCCCAGCTATTCAGGAGGCTGAAGGAGGAGAATCGATTAAACCGGGGAGGTAGAGGTTACAGTGAACTGAGATCACGTCAATGCATTCCCACCTTGGCGACAGGGCAAGACTCTTCTCAAAAAAATAACAACAAACAACAACAACAACAACAACAAATTTAAGGAAACAAATTCCTGGTTAGGAAGGTGGGTGAAAAAAAAAATCTATACATGTAGGCAAGCAGTTTGTGATATGTGGACTAATATTCCAAATCTCACTCTAGTACTAATCTCATGCTACTTGGTATAAATAGGTATTTTAAAGTGAAACATTTAGCATTCCCTAGGAGATTCAACAATACAAATATTGGCCACTCCTAGAAATAGACTTTGGACCTAGAAACAGTGTTTGGTATGTTAATGGGAATAGTGGGAAGAAAATACATTGGCGGACTATACAAATATTAGAAAGAAGATAAATATCTTCACTATCTTATGTCAGGACTTACAAGCTAAATGTTAGAAGTTTCCTCTTTTTTTGCCTAAAACTTGAATGCCAGAATGAGCTGAGTTACAATGCAGCACGGAAAACTGATCACTGGTTAAAGTGTGGTTTCTGGATCTTGTTACTGGATATTAAAGCTCTTTGGCAATGCCTTCATATCTGTTTAATGACTAGAAAACAATTCAAGAAAAGTGACGACAAAGACAATAATTACAAAATAGGCTGATAACCAGAGTTAATTATGATTGCCAAACAGAAGAAATGTTTTTTTAAGAAATGATGTGTTAATATGATGTGTTAATATCAGTAGATACAAAGGATATAATCTGGTTGACTAAAATCAAACTGAAATTTCACTGACATAGTAAAGTATCACTTTACAAGATAGTCAATTTGACCAGTTCATTGTGAAAAAGAGCATTGTTCTCTTTTCTTTCTCACTTGTGATCCAGACAAAACAAATATCTGATATATCAAAACAATATTTAAAAAAAAAATACAAAAGTTCTATCAGTTTCATATAACCTTAAAACTCTACCCAAACTGAGATGCTCAGGTTTACATAAATATATATACATATATATCTTTTAAATCCCAGAGTCCAAGACACAAGCCCATAGGGGTGTGTGGCCATCAGAGGCCAATCGTTTAACTCTGGGAGTGTATGACTGTTATGAGGTGGGTGGGTCTCTGACCTACATTTATAGCTGTCAGTTTTGAACACCCTTCCCATGAGGAAATCTTTGCCTTTTGTTCAAAACGTCTGAACAAAACTCACCTCTGAACTAACAGAGACGTTAACGGGACACCTGGCACAAAAAGGGCTTAGAAAAACATGTTCTTATAGAGTCTCTCAGGCTGTCAGTCATCTAGACACAAGTGAGTCAGCGTCCATGGTGTTCAGAAGATAGAGTTCAGGCTGAGCTGTCAATCCCAGATGGCACTAAGGAAAAAAAGATGGAAGAGGGTTAGACTGATTTTCACGTATTTATTGAAATCAGCTTTTAAGTACCTATAATTAGCACATCAATTTAGGCCTTTTTTTCTGTACTGCTATATTGATTTTTATTTCAGAAAAGAAATGGCTTACAGATACATACATGAATGGCTTCTGATATGCAAAATAACAGGTAGGAGCTGAAATAGTTAAGGACTGAGATGGTACCAAATGTCCTTAGCAAAATTAGCACTCTGACTATTCTTGTGACACACTCTGCCTAAGGATGGGTGCTTCAAATCAGGATAAGAACAAACAAGCAGAATGCTTTTGTATTTTACTACTGTGTGAATTAGAAATCAAATTCCCAATGGTTTCAATCCTGAGCCCTATTATCCTTTGGCACTGGAGCAGAGAAAAGCCTTTCATTTAAAAAACAAAAACATGAAATGGCATGTACCAAGAGGGAGAAAGATGACCTGTGGGTCCCAAATGTTTGTCAGCCTGCATCAGAATCACCGAAGCTGCTTTTAAAACACAATTCCCAGCTGGGTGCGGTGGCTCACGCCTGTAAACCCAGCACTTTGGGAGGCCAAGGTGGGCGGATCATGAGGTCAGGAGATCGAGACCATCCTGGCCAACATGATGAAACTCCGTCTCTACTAAAAATACAAAAAAAATTAGCTGGGTGTGGTGGCACACACCTGTAATCCCAGCTAATCGGGAGGCTGAGGCAGGAGAATCACTTGAACCCAGGAGGCAGAGATTGCAGTGAGCCGAGATTGCACCACTGCACTCCAGCCTGGCGACAGAGTCAGACTCCGTCTCAAAAAACAAAACAGCAAACAAACAAAAAACAATTCCGACTGGGCACGGTGTCTCATGCCTGTAATCCCAGCACTGTGGGAGGCCGAGGCGCATGGATCACCTCAGGTCAGAAGTTCAAGACCAGCCTGACCAACATGGCGAAACCCCTCGACTAAAAATACAAAAATTAGCGGGGCATGGTGGCGCATGCCTGTAATCCCAGCTACTCACGAGGCTGAGGCAGGAGAAACACTTGAATCCAGGAGGCAGAGGCTGCAGTGAGCTGAGATCATGCCACTGCACTCCGGCCTGGGCAACACAGCGAGACTCCGTCAAAAAAAAAAAAAAAAAAACCCACAATTCCAGACTCCACTCCTAAAGAACTGAGTCTAGATGGTTTGTGTTGGGACCTGTGAAGTTGTTATTTTTTTTGTAGAGACAAGGCCTCACTATGTCACTCACGCTGGAGTGCCAATGACACAATCTTGGCTCACTGCCACCTCTACCTCCTGGGCTTCAGCCATCCTCCCATCTCAGCCTCCCAAGTAGCTAGGACTATAGGCGTGTGCCACCACACTCAGCTAATTTTTTTGTAGACAGGGTTTTGCCATGTTTCCTAGGCTGGCTATGAAGTTATTTCTTTTTACTTTTTCTCTTCTCGAATACACCTTGAGACAAGTTTGAGTCTCATTTTAGCCCTATTATTATTACGCAGAGCTTTTATTGTTATCCTTTGGCACCAACAGCCTCTAAGTTAATGCAGAATGCAGACTATAAATTTATTGGTAGCAACTATCCCTATTTTAGTGTAATATAAAGGCACTGGAGTTGGGTTCAAGCCCTTAACTCTGCCACTTTCTATGGCCTTCAGCATGTCACATATACTTTTGGAGCCTTATTCTACTCATTTGTAAAATGTGAATAAATGCTACATTTGAAAATGCCAAGTACAGCCAGGCACAGTGGCTCACACCTGTAATCCCAGCACTTTGAGAGGCCGAGGCAGGCAGATCACTTGAGGTCAGGAGTTCGAGAGCAGCCTGACCAACATGGTAAAACCCTGGCTTTACTGAAAATACAAAAATTAGCCAGGTGCAGTGGCTCACGTTTGTAATCCCAGCACTTAGGGAGGCTGAGGTGGGTGGATCATGAGGTCAGGGGTTTGAGACCAGCCTGGCCAACATGGTGAATCCCCATCTCTAAAAATACAAAAATTAGCTGGCCTTAGTGGTGTGTGCCTGTAGTCCCAGTTACTTGGGAGGCAGAGGCAGGAGAATTGCTTGAACCTGGGAAGGGAAGGTTGCAGTGAGCTGAGATCGCACCACTGCACTCCAGCCTGGGCAACAGAGTGAGACTCCATCTTAAAAAAAAAAAATTATCCAGGCATGGTGGTGGGCACCTGTAATCCCAGCTACTCGGGAGGCTGAGGCAGGAGAATTGCTTGAACCTGGGAGGCAGAGGTGGCAGTGAGCCGAGATCATAGCACTGCACTCCAGCCTGGGTGACAAAGCTCGACTCCATCTCAGAAAAAAAAAAAAAGAAAATGCCAAGTACACCAATATACTATCTCATGTGAGTCTTCGACACATATATTTAACACATTACAAACTGCAGTGTATAACCTCACAGGCTTGCAGTGATGACTGTGTGAAGACAGATTAGACCAAATGATGCCCAGGATAAAACTATTTCCAACTAGTGGGCTAGGAAAACACTGTATTACACTGGCTTTAGGACATGGAAACAGCTCTTCAGACATCAGCTTGCTTAATTTAGGCTTAAGTAAATAACAGCAATTAAATATATTGACAATTCATTGAAGCCTTTCCCAAGTGAGCAATGGTGGTAGACTTCTTCAATACGTAGTAAGCAAGGGTTGCAGTATTGGTCCTGTGATGCCCACAGAGTGTCACTTAGATGACTTAGTTGATAGACCACTTTCATTGGAGATGTTTGTTATATTGTTCTGAGACATTGAGAAATGAGACTAAATGGCCTGGAAATAGGCTAAAATACTTCCGGGGGCAGAGAGCTAATGCAAATGAGTGAACTTATTAACTAGTAACTCTTGGCTATTGCTGGGATAGGACCATAGAGGGCCCTGTCCATTCTCTACACTTGCCAAAAGCATTCAAACTTACTTTTAAAAATTCTGCACAGGGACCAAAATCTACCAGTTGGCAACTTCTGCCTAATGCATATTCTAGCACTAATCAGAGTATGAAACAAATGCTTCAGTGTGTTATGTTCCTTGTGCTGCTAAACAACAAAGCTTGGTGACAACCCAACATGAAGGGTATACTATATATTACACAGGATAGTTTGGGAATGAAAACATGGGTTCTGGAGTTAAGCTATGCGAGTTCAAATGCCAACTGCACATTTCATTAGTAATGTAAATGTGGGCAAGTTACTTTTGGCCTTCCAGTTGACTCATCTACATAGAGGCTGATCCTCTTGTTGTTACAAGGATTAAATGAGATAATACAACTGTTCAGGCCAGGCCTTAGAACACAGTACTGAGTTAGCCATTTTTAAATTCATAAGCTAAGGGACTTAGAGAAGCTGACAGATTTAGATTCATTGGTCCTACCAATGAAGGAGCAGAAGGTATTCCAGAGGGCAGAGCTAAAGGAAATGTTTCAAAACAGGATCCTCACATTGTTTTGAATCCTATTTTAGTTCTGAAATTAAATCCAAAGTAAAGAGAGAGCACTAAATGAGGAAGGACAACATGGAGAACAAAATTCTTCCTAGATGAATTCCACTGTGTTACTCACAGGGAAGCCTTGCAACAGAGAAAGGGAAAATGAAGTTCTGGTGACACTCCTGGGACAAATCAAGTGCTGACTCAAGTTTTCCTGTCATGTGCCTAGTAAAGTTCACTGTGCCTGAGCTCTGCCTTTGTTTTTAATAAATGGTGTCAATATTTCCATTTATATCAGGTCTGCCAAAATGCTCCTTGGTCTTTAAGCTAAATGAGTTTGGTTTCTCTTCAAATACTAATTTTTCATTGGCAGCACATATAGAATGTAAAAGTGAAACAGTGAAATAAGCTACAGGTAGAAAATAGTCAGCTTAGAGAAAAGCAGAATAAAATTTTTTTCCCAAGTTTCAACATGGTAATGATGTGACCTTTAGCTATGGTAAAACTATTTGACTAAGTGGGTAAATGGAAATTAATATCCTGGTATCTGCAATTAATCCAAGCTTTCTGAGGACTAAATCCATTTATTTCTCTATCCTTTCTAAGGAGAAAATCCTAACAGTGTGGACTTAGTGTGCCATTCCAGGTGGTAGTTGCTGTTTCAGTATTTTTTGTATCAAAGTTGTTGTAACCCTATTAATAAATTATTTCAAGGTTAAAAAAATACCCAGGAAACCAAATTGGAAAAAGAAATTTTTTTTTAATTAGAAACCAAGTTTACATACGGTTAAATGGTTACTAAAAGCTCAGTTGTAACCACTCCTAACACCACTAGCAGAACCTCAAGGGAGCCAAGAGCTCTTCCCTTTTCCCCTGTTAATTTCCAGTATAATGTAGCAGCACAATTATTTCATGTCACATTTAAGAAGAACAAGAACCAATTTATATAAAGTACAATTGTATATCCTTAAACATTCCACATAAACACACTGTCAAAACTCACTGGATATGCTGGAATTGGAGGACTTAAATTTCTACATATTATTTATTGCACCCAGAGTACTGGTTAAAATGCACTTTCTGTGAAGATCAAATGCAATAACGTATGAGGGTATTTTTAACACTGTGAAGTACACACATAATATTATAAAATGCCATTTAATTGGAAGGAGTTTTCTATCATTGCAAGTCATAAATATAACTTTTAAAAGAATACTAGCAGCTTTTACCTAGGCTCCTAAATGCTTGTAAATCTGAGACTGACTGGACCCACCCAGACCCAGGGCAAAGATACATGTTACCATATCATCTTTATAAAGAATTTTTTTTTTGTCGTCAGTTTGGCCTTTCCTACTGCAGCCAGGTGAGAGCTTAAGATGTCAGTCCCCAATATCTTCACAGAGTGCCTTTATGACCAGTTTGGAGAATTACGATGGTAAGGGGAAGAGGCAGATATGAAGAGGAATGGTTAGGGGAATTGTCATTCATAACTCTGTGCTATATTACTTGAGGGGCTAAGAAAAATGTATGGTCAGTGAAACACAGTAGTGTACCCTTAAATGCCTTATAAAAGACCATCCATCCAGTCTGCGCTTTTGACTGTGTGCAAGTATCAGTAATAATGCTTTTGGGGGCTCAGATGAACAGCGAACACCAATCAGCCAGGACTCTGGAAGGAAAGCTCCAAAAATGAGAAGTCCTTCAACACCATTTTCCATTACTGTTCTCACCAAATCAATGACTATAAAACAGTTTTGATTATTTATCTCCATCAAAGTGATTTGATTTGAGATAATCACACAATCTCAGGCTCGGTATGTAAAAATGTCAGAAGTGGCTGAAGTAAAAGCAGCAGCTTTGTGCTGAAGACACCCATTTCCTCTGACTCCAGAGCTCCACCATCTGGTCTCAAGATTTTTCCCTCTGAGGAAACAGCTGTAGAGAGGTAGCCCAGTTCAACTTTGCTGAGACAGTGAACTTTGCAACCATACTAACACCTACTGACTTGCAGAGAACGCTGAGAAAGACAGTGTGCTTTGCAACGGTTAAGTCCACAGCTCCTGAGATTGCCTCGCAAGTCATCTTGGGCATGAAGCAGAGCGGTGCATCAGAAAAACATGACGATTCTGCTGAGAGGTGGCTTTAGGAACAAAATAGATGGCTCTCCTCCCTTAAAGTCTTTTCTCCCCACCCTCAACATTTCACGAGAACATCAGTTCATAAATACTACCATCTGTTTCTATCACCACCCTCCTGGAGAAAGAAAGTTAAGGTTTTACAACCACATGTGCTCAAGAGTAAATATCATCAGGAAAGCTCTGTACTAACAGGCAGGTTATTAAGACTCCCAAGAAATCCTCATAAGCTTTTCAATCTGAGGAAAATCCTGAGAAGGTAATTAGTAAGCACCACCTAGCGATGTGGTGCTGGTTTTGTTAGTTGTCAGTTTTTCCCCTTCTTTGTTTTCTCACCCCTCTTAACTTCCACTGAGAAATTAAAGTGGAAATAAGTTCAAAGAATCCTAAGCCTGATAGAGCTAGGTGTCTCTTCATTTTATATTTCATATGGATGAAGCTATTCTAGTTGATAATTTGGTATAATTAAAATAACTGAAAAGGTAGGTATAAGGAAAATTTCTCAGCCTTTAAAAATCCATTACATTTTGATAAATAAAACTTGCATACTCATTCTGTAGTTTGTATAATAAAAAATGTATTGCATTTTCCAATTTTTTTTTAACATATAGCCTGGTTAAGAATCATGCATATCCTTGTCTCTCCGAAGGATAAACTGAGCTGGCCCTTGGGCAACTACTTAAGAATTTAGTGTTGGAATGATAGCAGCAAATGTCAGCTTTTCAAAGATCCCACCCTAATCCAGTTCTAAGGTTAGGTCAGGAAGGAAAAAATAATTCCATCTTTCAAATACACATGAAACAAAGTCTTTTCCAACCAACGGTTGAGTCATAAACACAGTCTGTGCAACGGCACATACTTTTGGCTATGTTCACACAGTAAACCATAGAAACACACTGGCTCTGATGGCTACCTGCAGAAGACAGACTAATCCAGTGTTATTTAACGTAGCCACGGGTGGCTTCTTCTGTCAGCAGGCCTTTAGAGATGCTTACCGTATGCCCACAGTCCAGGAAGGACATGCCCAGTGCAATCAAACATTGCCAACCCTGAAAGACAAAATATGGTCATCACTCACCAGGCTCTTTGAAGAGCCATGACTGCTCACACAGCACTTCTCAAATGCAAACCTGCTCCCTTCCTTGAACATCCAGCTGTGCCCATCTTCTACCACCAAGGGTTGCACAAGTCATTCTCTCAACCCCACTCCCCCTTCAAAAAATCAGCTGCCTTCCTCAACAAAGTTTGTCCATACTATTTTAAATATTGAATTTCTCTGTTCTTACTGCTTTGTGTCTGTGGTTTTCCTTTTTTTTAAAATCTTTATTATTATTTTACATTTTAGAGACAAGGTCTCCCTCTATTGCTCAGGCTGGAGTATAGTGGTGCAATCATAGCTCACTGAAGCCTCGAATTCCTGGGCTCAAGCAATCCTCTCTCCTCAGCCTCCTGAGTTGCCAGGATTACAGACGCACACCACCATGCCCAGCTAATTTATTTTTTTTTGTAGAGACAAGGTGTCTTGCTATATTTCTCAAGCTGGTCTGAAACTCCTAACCTCAAGCAATCCTCCTGGCTCGGCCTCCCAAAGCACTGAAATTACAAGCGTGAGCCACCTCGTCCAGCCTGTTGTTTGTTTCTTTTACCCAACTGTAAGTTCTCGGAAGTCCACTTTTCCTCAGTCCTCCCCATGATAAGAATGACTAACAGACTAATACAATTGGTGTAGTCTCCTAAGCTGCTCTATGAAGTTCCTGTTTTGAAGTTAAACAACAGTAACCCACTCTAGAATCAGCCCTCTCCTCTCAAAATGGGTCTTCAAGCCAGACACGGTGGCTCATGCCTGTAATCCCAACACTTCAGGAGGCTGAGGCAGGTGGATCACCTGAGGTCAAGAGTTTGAGACCAGCCTGGCCAACATGGCAAAACCCCATCTCTACTAAAAATACAAAAATTAGCCAGGCATGGTTAGCACATGGCTGTAGTCCCAACTACTCAGGAGGCTAAGGCAGGCGAATCACTTGAACCCAGGAGGCAGAGGTTGCAGTGAGCTAAGATCATGCCACTATACCCTAGCTTGGGCGATAGAGAAAAACTCTGTCTCAAAAATAATAATAATAATGGGTCTTCAACAAGCTCATTAGCCTTAGGCTGACTGAGGACAAACTGGCATCTTCATATCCAATTTGCATTCTGAAAGGATCCCCCTAACTTCTATAGTGAATTTTTAAAAACAATTCCTGTCAAGGACACATTCAGTTACTTGGTTTTCCTTGAAGTTAAGTTCCTAGATCATAGGGTCAGTACAGTCTTTGTGTGCACAAAGTTTATTGGGAAGAAAAAAAGAAGAGATCTAGGAAATAATTTTTCAACATTTACTGAAGTGATTTTCTTAATAAAGTATCTAATGTGTGGCACACTGGTGTGGGGAAGTGTTCTAGAGATTAACAGCAGGTTTCCAGCCTCCATCTGTAGCCATTCTCTGCAGCAAAAATGGTATAAATTCTACTATTCCTTATCCCTAACCCCTGTGTCTTTTCAAAGAAACCTGTATAGAACAGGGAAATGGATCTGTTGTTATTTTGGCTGTTTTTCATTAATATAAGCAATGCTAAAGAAGATTTGGAAAATAGAGAAGAATATATCTATAATCCTAGCTTCCTACAACAACTATATTGCCATTTTTATATAATTCTAGACTTCTTAAAAAATTTTTTATAATTGAAATATAAATTTTACATACCTTTTTCATGTAGCTATAGTTTTATAACCATGATTTTTAAAAAATGACTCTAGAATGAGAGAGTCAAGGGGAGACTATCACTATTTAATTATTTCCTTGGACAGCTAGTAAGTGATGGAGCTGAGTGGGGCTGTGTGCCACATGTGTCCCACCCCGAATCTCTAAATCACACTGCATGCCCTATTCTCCACCTCTGTTTTGTACCGTTCTCCACTCTCTGTACTGCTACCCTTCTTTTAGTTCCTCAAACATACTATACTCTCTTGTTAGGAATTACTAAGAATGGAAACTACAGAAGTGACAGAAATTGAAAAATGACAAATCTTAGTAACCAAAGTGAATTTTATGGTTAGAAATATTATTTTGTAAACAGCTGATTTGACAATTCCATATACATTGTCTCGATCACCTGGAGGTAGATTGTTATGTGCTCTTTTGGGTCTGTTCATTTCTCTTTTTTTGTAGAGATGGAGTCTTACTATGTTGCCCAGATTGGTCTCTAACTCCTGGATTCAAGCAATCCTCCCGCCTCAGCCTCCCAAAGTACTGGGATTATAGGCATGAGCCACTGTGCCCAGCCTGGGTCTGTTCATTTCTGAATGTCAGTGAACCCCACCTCAACCATCCCTGATACCTATGCCCCTGCTCTTCCAGGCTAGACTTACCAAGTAGAACACAAAGCCCAGATAAGCCACGCTGACCACAGCAGCCACCACATATAATGCCACATGCCCTAGGTCCCGGACATAAACCACTACAAAGTACATATTGATGGAACAGATGATAAGGACCAAGATTCCTCCTGCAATCCGCCAGCCTCTGTAAAAGAAATCAGCACAGTCACTGATGGAATAATCCAACTTGGCCACAGACAGAAAAGGAAACAGGATGGGAATTAGAGGCAGTTCAAAATGAATGGAAAAATTGTTCTTAATTTGAAAAAAAATGATTCTTCATAAGTCTAAGTTAAATCACCCAAAGTTAGATACTGGTAGACAGGGAGAAAGAGGGGGGAAAAGACACCAACAAATAATCCCTAATATTTAAGTCCCTAGAGATGCAACAAGGCCTAGAAACGCAATGAGCCATTTTATTAACGTTCCCAAAAATGCAACAAGTCACTTCAGATACCTCATATCCTTTAAAGATATATATAAAAGGTACTAACTTATGCCTTTTTTGTTAAGATCATTTAACAAAGAATTAAGGTGCCTCAAACTTCAGTGGCTGAAGCTGAAGAGTTATGCTGTAAAAGCTGAACTTTCTCTCCCCTTCATATGAAAGACGTGCTTTCTCTTCCTTTACTATATTCACAGTTTCCATTCTCTAAGCCAAAGAGGAAGCAGCTAGCAATCACCTCTCAAAGCATATCGCTTCCCTCTGTGTCTCACGTCTGACTGGCCTACTGCATGAAGATACCCTTTCCCCATATCAGCATCCCCTTTGGGAACGAAGAGGAGTACACTCACAGTCCATTGGCAAAGTCACTCATTACTGGCCGCAAGCTCGTAAATGTGAGGATGGGTATGAGAGCAAAGGGAAGCTGGAAAAGAAAGAAGATCAGATGGGATTACTATGGGTCCTTGTATCACCCTAGAGAACAGCACAATTAATGAAAGGGAAACATAAATGCTGCCTCAACTACTCCATGAGAAATAATTATTCCTATCATCCCAACATGCTTGGGCATTATGCTGAATTCTGCAGAGCTGTCATTAACCTAGCATACAAACCTTTGTATGTGACTTGTCTTCTTAACCTCCACAGGACCTAGCACAGTGTCCTATATGTTCATTTAATGTTTGCTTGCATTAATGAACTACAATTTTGTGTCCCATATGTAAGTAAAGTTCATAGTTCCCATTCAACAGGTTTAAAAAACCAACCATTTCTAAAATCCTTTTAGATGCCAAGGATTTCATATACATTTACTGCAGACCACAACCATGCCTCTGTCTTCCTCTCAATATCCCCCCAGCACTCAGCTAGGCTTGGTACCCAAGGGCAGTACATAATGCTACCTGAATAACTAGGATGTGTTTCCTCAGCTTCCTCCTCACCTGTAAGCTCTGTAGAACATTCAGAAAGTCATTCATCCCTGTTAGATGCTCTACATCTTGGAAGACAGCAACAAGCAGAGTGGGGATGATGGCAATAGAGCGAGTCAGAACCACTCGGGCAAAGCGTGACCACTTTAGGTTCAGGAATCCCTGGAAGAAAACATAGGAGCAGATGACTGTCTGCAACAGGAAACAAAAAAAAGTTTTGGGGAGGTTCAGGAGAGACCTCAGAAGAATGGGATTAAGAAGTGACAAAAGGGGCCAGGCGCAGTGGCTCACGCCTGTAATCCCAGCACTTTGAGAGGCCAAGGCGGGTAGATCACTTGAGGTCAGGAGTTCAAGACCTGCCTGGCCAACATGGTGAAACGCCATCTCTACTAAAAATACAAAAAATTAGCCGAGTATGGTGGCCAGAGCCTGTAATCCTAGCTACTCGGGAGGCTGAGTCAGGAGAATCACTTGAACCCGGGAGGTGGAGGTTGCAGTGAGCCGAGATCATGCCATTACACTCCAACTTGGGCGACGAGTGAGACTCCATCTCAAAAAAAAAAAAAAAAGAAGAAGAAGAAGAAGTAACAAAAGGGTTGTGTTATCTCCCTCTATCCTATACCAGCACGTACCTCCATGACAAACTGGCCAGAATAGGTTCCTGTCATGGTGGAGCTCTGTCCTGCAGCCAGGATCCCCACTGCCCAAATGTAGAGTGCAGCAGGCCCAAAGTAACATCCCAGCACAACACCCTGTGAGAGGCCAAGAGGAAGGATATGATTGTGGCAATAATCTGCTCAGACAATATCCAAAACAGCAGTTCCCTGTGGCATTTCTCCCTTCTTTGCTATGCACCACCAACACCAAGTGCTGTGCTGCGCACTGTGCCAGAAGCTAGGCTCAAGTCTGGACCTCATTCCAGAAGCTTTCAGTCTAAACTTTACTGGATGCTCCTTCGTTTCTCTGCCTAGTCCTTTCTCTTCTCCAAGCTCCTAAACCTCCATCTTAAATATTAAAAAAAAAAAAAAAAAAAAAGAGGTCTACACCACTTTCCCCAAATTATATTCCTTTACACACTATTCTGGAAAATGGCAATAGAAGTACAGGGAAATATCAAATAAATTGGTGAAATGCTACACACTATATATTCTACTGTTGGAGGATCACAATGTAACCAGCATAAAAGAACTGAGAGACTCCAGTAAAAACACTTTACTAAGAACACTTTCTTGGGGCTGGGTAGGGTGGCTCACGCTTGTAATCCCAGCACTTTGGGAGGCCAGGGTTGGAGAATCCCTTGAGCCCAGGAGTTTGAGACAAGCCTAGGCAACATGGCAAATACCCTGACTCTACAAAAAAAATACAAGGCCAGGCATGGTGGCTCACACCTGTAATCCCAGCACTTTGGGAGGCCGAGGGGGGGGTGGATCACCTGAGGTCAGGAGTTCGAGACCAGCCTGACCAACATGGAGAGACCCCCATCTCTACTAAAAATACAAAATTAGCCAGGTGTGGTGGTACACACCTGTAATCCTATCTACTTGGGAGGCTGAGGCAGGAGAAGCACTTGAACCCGGAAGGCAGAGATTGCAGTGAGCCAAGATCACGCCAGTGCACTCCAGCCTGGGCAACAAGAACAAAACTCCATCTCAAAAAGAAAAAAAAAATAGCCAAGCATGGTGGTGCTTGCCTGCAGTCCCATTACCCAAAAGACTGAGATGGGAAAATCACTTGGACCAGGTAGGTGGAGGCTGCAGTGAGCCATGATCGAGCCACTGTACCCCAGCCTGGGCAACAGAGCAAGACCTTGTCTCCAAAAAAAAAAAAAAAAAAAAAAAAAGCTGGGGTGTATACTGCATCTTTTTTTTCCTTTTTTTTTTAAAGACAGAGTCTTATTCTGTCGCCCAGGCTGGAGTGCAGTGGCCCAATCTCGGCTCACTGCAACCTCTGCCTTCCAGGTTCAAGCGATTCTCGTGTCTCAGCCTCCTGAGTAGCTGAGATTACAGGTGCCCACCACCACATCCAGCTAATTTTTGTATTTTTGTTTTTAGTAGAGACAGGGTTTCACCATGTTGGTCAGGCTGGTCTTGAACTCCTGAGCTCAAGTGATCCACCCGCCTCAGCCTCCCAAAGTGCTGGGATTACAGGCGTGAACCACCGCACCCGGCCTGTATTATATATCTTTTCAACTGATCCTCTATTCCTTCCCATTTAATCCAAAATGCTTGTCTGGTGTCTGGAACTCTGAAATAAATGACACTCCAGAGGAGATATGCTCATATCTGAAGTGAAGTCACAAAAAAGACCACATACTATGCTAAAAATACTGATTCAGGAACAAAGATCACAAATCCAAACATGCTTACCCCTTTGTAGATGTCCACAGCCAGTGTCGAGTTATCTTTAGGAAAGAGGCCAGCATGAGGACTGCTGGTATTTGTACAGACTTCAACCTAGAACCCAAAGCAATTCAACAGCAACTTTTGTTTCAGAAGCAAGGACCAAATAAGAGCTCTCCTACATATCATACACAATCATCTATAAGAGGTAGGCTGGAGGGAAAACACTGGACATATGCTGTGATGTGGGCAGAGACTAGCAGCAATGTTATCTAGGATCTTCCTCTATAATCCTTCTACACCCACAGGTCATCAAAAATCTTTACTGAGTTACAGTGTGCATGGTAATAATGTACAAACGCTGGGGTACTTTAAATGATGACAAGAGGAGAGGCTCTGAAGAAGGCTTCAGACATGAGAGAACACCCAGAATAGAATCCTCAGTCAAAGCAGACAGAGGAGTCAGAGGTTCCATAGACGGGAAACAAATGGTGATCAAAACTACACAGGCAGGCCAGGCACAGGAGCTCACGCCTGTAATCCCTGTACTTTGAGAGGCCGAGGCAGGTGGATCACTTGAGGTCAGGAGTTTGAGACCAGCCTGGCCAACATGGTGAAACCCCATCTCTACTAAAATTACAAAAAATTAGCTGGGTGTGGTGGCAGGCACCTGTAATCCCAGCTACTCAGGAGGCTGAGGCAGGAGAATCGCTTGAACCCAGGAGGTGGAGGCAGTGAGCCAAGACTGTGCCACTGCACTCCAGCTTGGATGACAGTGCAAGACTCCGTCTCAAAAAAAACACTACATAGGTAATCAGAAATCAAGATTGATACAGAATTCAAAATGACAAGACAAAGTCTGTCATCATCACAGTTTCTGTTTTCTGTTTGTTGACTACTCCCAAACAAAAGCTGAGAAAGAGGGTCCAGGCTTGGTCAGCCCCATACTGTAGACTCTGACTGGTGCACAGTGATTTTGGGGGGCAGACGAGAAGCTAGAGATTATTTCTCCTGAACATTAACACTAGGATGAGGTATTTTCCTTCCCCATCCCATTGCAGTCTTCACTTTACCCTCACATTCACTACCACCCATAACCCTGGCTTACTCACCACCTGCTCGTTGGTTTTCCCAAAAAATGCTTCAGCAAAGACTGAGACAACAAAGACATTGATGATGAAGGAAACAAAGAGTGCAATGCAGGATTCAATGAAAAAGTACTTATTGGCTTCTCGAACTTCCTGCTTATTGTTCCGGTTTACCTGTCTAGACTAGAAAGATAACAACAGCAGTCACTTTTTGACCAGTTAGAACAAGTTTCCTTGTGACATTTCAGGAGTTTGGAGTCAGCTGAGAGATTTAGGGGACAAAAGTTGACCAGACGAAAAGTGAGAGATCCAACACTCACCTACATCCTAGTTCACTGAGCAATTAAGAACTTCATATGGGGGGAGAAAAAAGAACTTCATGCCCTTTCGTTGAACTGTACATTCCCCAAATAGGGAACAGAGACTAAATGACTACTGAGCTCTCAGTTACTCTCAGTGGCTGGAAGGACCACTGACCTATAAAAACGACCTGATTTCAGTCCTAAGGTGTGCATATACCTATTTATAAAGGTTTCTAAAATCTCCCAGCAAACTATTACATAATACTGACAGTAAAAGCCTGTTTGGGCTCCTTTACTCCTGACCTCCATAAGGCCACTCGAGCTTTTGAAATTTAAACACAAGAGACTTGATGCACTTCCAACCTTTTATGAAGAACTTTAGTCCCAGCTGGGTGCAGTAGCTCACGCCTGTAATCCCAGCACTTTGGGAGGCCAAGGCGGGTGGATTGCTTGAGCTCAGGAGTTCGAGACCAGCCTGGCCAACATGGTGAAACCACATCTCTACTAAAAATAGAAAAATTAGCCAGGCATGGTGGTGCACGCCTATAATCCCAGGTACTCAAGAGGCTGAGGCACGAGAATCACTTGAACCCGGGAGGGAGAGGTTTGCAGTGAGTAGAGATCACGCCACTGCACTCCAGCCTGGGCAATAGAGTGAGACTCCATCTCAATTTAAAAAAAAAAAAAAAAAGAACTTTAGCCCCACCTGCTTTATGCAGTTAGTAATCTCTGGTCAATTTGGTGATAAAAACAGCATCTAAGTATATGGAGTTTATAAATGTCCAGGCTTGGAAAATACCTTGCTCCTTCATGGTCCTAATAATTGTAAACTAACTTTGTGTCCCTTGCAATTGAAGGAAAAGATCCCATGAACTGTCTAGGAGGTGAAGGAGATAAGGGCCTTGCTCACCTTGACTAAGGCAGAATGCAGGTACATGTTGTGTGGCATGATGACAGCTCCCACGATGCCCACAGCCTGTTCAATCTGTGGAGTGCGACAGCCTGAACAGGATGGTACGAACATGCCCTTGAGTACCTGGCTCTGGCTGGGTTTCACTGTAACATACTACATACCAACATAACAATGATTAGCCTTTACAGGAACGTGAAACGGGAGTAACATAGTACCAGGGAACAGTTAGCATCCTTTATCCCTTACAATGCCTTCTTCCTTATTTTTATATTTTTTGAGATAGGATCTTGCTCTGTCACCCAGGCTGGAATGCAGTGGCATGATCACAGCTCACTGAAACCTCAATCTCCCAAGAACAAGCAATCTTCCCACCTCAGCCACCCAAAGTGCTGGGATTACAGGCCACCACACCTGGCCAAAATCTTTTCTTCTGCAACTACCTAAGATAATGAGGAATACAGAATCATCATAGGACCAAGCAACATAAGGGGCTTACTATTAGGGGCCAGAGAATTCAAGACTGAGTATCCGGATAGTTTACAACACATCTTAGATATATGAAACAGATGTGTATGATACATAATTAATTTCTAAAGAAAGGGCTGGGTGCGGTGGCTCACGCCTATAATCCCAGCACTTTAGGAGACCAAGGCAGGCGCATTGCTTGAGCCCAGGAGTTCAAGAGCAGCCTGACAACACAACAAAACCTTATCTCTACAAAAATTACCTCGGTGTGGTGGTGCATACCTATAGTACTAGCTACTAGGGAGGCTGAGGTGGAAGGATCACTTGAGCCCAGGAGGTGAGCTGAGATCGTGCCACTGAACTCCAGCATAGGCAATAGTGTGAGACTCTGTCTCAAAAAAAAAAAAAAAAAAAAAAAAAAGGCCAGGCATGGTGGCTCACGCCTGTAATCCTAGCACTTTAGCAGGTCAAGGCGGGTGGATCACCTGAGGTCAGGAGTTCAAGACCAGCCTGGCAAACATAGTGAAACCCCGTCTCTACGAAAAATACAAAAATTAACCAGGCACGGTGGCGGGCACCCGTAATCCCAGCTACGTGGGAGGCTGAGGCAGGAGAATCGCTTGAACCTGGGGGTGGAAGTTGCAGTGAGCAGAGATCGCACCACTGCACTCCAGCCTGGGCGAAAGAGGGAGACTCCATCTCAAAAAAAAAAAAAGAAAAGAAAAAAGAAAAAGCTGCTAAGGGACTTGTGGTTATTAGTAATTCCACAAGGCTCAAAAATATACAACCAGGGCCAGGCACAGTGGCTCACAGCTGAAATCCTAGCACTTTGGGAGGCCAAGATGGGCAGATTACTTGAGGTCAGCAGTTCAAGACCAGCCTGGCCAACATAGAGAAACCCCATCTCTACTAAAAATACAAAAAGTTAGCCAGGCATGGTGGTACACGCCAATAATCCCAGCTACTTGGGAGGCTGAGGCACAAGAACCACTTGAACCTGGGAGGCGGAGGCTGCAAGTGAGCCAAGATCACACCCACTGCACTCTAGCCTACATGACAGAGCAACGCTCTGGCTCAAAAATAAATAAATAAATAAAAATCTAAAAATTAAAAAAGAATATAGAATCAATTTTTATTATCCATACTGAGCATACTTCTGTTCACCCATGTTCATTTAAAAATCATTTGCTGTTTGCCACTAGTACGTGTGTAATGAGAGACTCATCCTTAAACACTCTCATATATACTCTTCCCCGGTTCAGTATTTCTCTTGGAAGCCTTAGGCCAAGAGGCATAATCAACCCATAGATTACATATATTTTTTAAAGTTCAGCCAGACCAGTAAGCAGAAATCAGTTTATAAGAATTGTACAAAGAAAGGTGCTAGTACTGCAAATAATATTAGTGACTCTAAGGAGTTTCTGGGTTGGGGCACAAACCAGGAAATATCCAGTATATTTCATATAATTCATTAACTGTTTTAATATTGGGAAAGTTCAAGCTGCAATTAATATAAACCAGGATGAACAAAAGCAGAACTCCTGTAAGTTAACACCCAAGAATAACCCTGCAACCCCCTCCTTAATTAACACTATCCATGGCTGTTCTGTTGTCAGATGGTCAACTTGGGACCAAAGAATCTAGTCTGGAAAGCCCTAAAATATCTAGTCATTTTAAACCTGGGAGCCCCTGCAGGCCTTTCTGCATGCTAATCTTTGCTATAGATCATATTCCTTTAAAATTGGCCCAGGGAAAAATTGGCTTTTTGTTGATACACCCACTATAAGTGAATCATACTAGCATTATTACTGTCTTTTATAATAAAAGGCTAAAAAAAAAAACCACAAAAACTTATTTTAAGAAGCTAATGAATATCCTGTACCACTTGCCTCATATCCAAATGTGAGGGCCATAATAGTGATGAGAAAGCCAAAAAATGCTTCTAGCTTCCGCAAGCCTAAAGGAAAAAAGGCAGCAGTGAGCTCAGAGAAGGTAGACTTCCCCATCTGCCACATGACAGAGAGCAGCTCCTTTGACCCTCCCATTCCCGCTCTCCTTACCATATTTGTCCAAGAAGAGAAATACAAAAGTATCTGCAATGGTGATGAGAACGCCACCCCACAGAGGAATTCTAGGTCAGAGATGAGATATGGAAGTCAGAGAGACGGAAAGAAAGGAAACATTGAAAAACACTCTCTTCCCAACAGCTCTCCAGATAAAGAACACTTGGAGAAGCTAGGACTTGAGGGAGGAGGGACAATGGCAGAAAACTAGGCCTTGGGTAAAGTAGGGTAACAGCATCAACTTAATTACATTCATTTAAACTTTGAGAGTCTACTATGTCACTCTTAGGATACAAAGCTGAAAAGTTTGGGTCTTACCCTCATGGAGTTAGACAGATAGAATTTTATAGGATTAGATAGATAGTATCTAGTGGGGGCTGGGTGTAGTGGCTCACGCCTGTAATACCAGCACTTTGGGAGGCTGAGGCGGGCATTCCTAGACCTGAGGTCAGGAGTTAGAGACCAGCCTGGCCAACATGGTGAAATCCCGTCTCTACTAAAAACACAAAAATTAGCTGGACATGGTGGCAGGTGCCTGTAATCCCAGCTACTCAGGAGACTGAGGCACAAGAATTGCTTGAACCTGGGAGGCGGAGGTTGCAGTGAGCCAAGATCATACCACTGCACTCCAGCCTGGGTGACGGAGAAAGACTCTGTCTCAAAAAAATAAATAAATAAAATAAAATAAAAAGATAGTATCTAGCGGGATAAAATGACATACAAATCAATAATTGCGATACAAAACGCCACACATTCTAATAAAGGTAAGCATAACCCACCATGGGAAACGGAAGATGTAGAGTCTACATCTACCAGGGGAGAAGAAATTGTTTCCAGAAAGGTTCCACAGAAGAAATAACAATTGAGTTGAGTCTTCAAAATTAAAAATGAATTGGGTTTTTGTTTTTATCTCTGCTTGGAAATCCAGCAAAACACTGATGACTTTCTAGAGGAAAACCCCTCACCTTCCTACAGACAGAAGATTGATAGCAATGGCTGAGCCAATGACTTCTTGCATGTCTGAGCCGATGATAGCCAACTCCACCATCAGCCACAGGATGACTCGTGGGACCTAAACATCAAACAGTAGAAAGACACGGTTCTGATTAATCATTTCTAAAAAATTCCTCCACAATTTGGAATTCACATTTTGGCACTAAACCATAAACAGTCCTTTATAAGCCTCCAGACTAGAGAAGAAATACCAGAACGTGCCTCCACTTGGCCGATCACTGCACTGTGGCTCTCACCTGGAGAAGGAAAAGTGTGCTACCACGTGGCAGAACCTGTGAACGAAGGTCAAGGCAGTAATTGATCTTACTTTTTTCTTTTTCCTTTCTACTTGAGAAGAATATAATTGCCATTTACTAACTTCCACTTAATTTCCTAAAAACAATCCTAAAAAGTTTAGAGGAGAATAAGGATGCTAATACGGTCCAAATATGGGTCAAGAAAGAATATTAAATGATTGCAGAAGAACATATCTATCCTGACCATAGCTGGGAAGACAAAACAAACATGAAAAGGTTGGGGTCAGGCTGGGCGCGGTGGCTCACACCTGTAATCCCAGCACTTTGGGAGGCTGAGGCAGGTGGATCACCTGAGGACAGGGTTCAAGATCAGCCTGGCCAACATGGCGAAACCCCGTCTCTACTAAAAATACAAAAATTAGCTGGGCATGGTGGCACATGCCTGTAATCCCAGCTACTCAGGGGGCTGAGGCAGGAGAATTGCTTGAACCCGGGAGGCGAAGGTTGCAGTGAGCTGAGATTGCGCCACTGCACTCCAGCCTGGACAACAAAGCGAGACTCCATCTCAAAAAAAAAAAAAAAAGGTTGGGGTGGACCAGGCACAGTGGCTCATTCCTGTAATCTCAGCACTTTGGGATGCCAACGTAGATCCCTTAAGCCCAGGAGTTTGAGACCAGCCTGGGCAACATGGCAAAACCCCATCTCTACAAAAAGTATAAAAATTGGGAGCAAAATGATAAGAACTTATGAACACACAGACAGAAACAACAGACACTGGGGTCTACTTGATGGGGGAGGGTGGAAGGAGAGAGAGAAGCAGAAAAGTTAACTATTGTGTATTGGGCTTAATATCGGGGTGATGTAATAATATGTACAACAAACCCCCATGACACGTGTTTATCTATGTAACAAACCTTCACATGTGACTGCTCTGCCTACGGAATAGCCTTTCTTTATTCCTTTACGTTCTTAATAAACTTGCTTTCACAAAAAAAAAAAAAAAAAGAAAGAAAGAAAGAAAAAACCTTCACATGTATCCATCTCCAAACCTAAAATAAAAATTATAGGAAAAAAAAAAAGTACAAAAGTATCCAGGCATGATGGCATACACCTGTAGTCCCAACTACTTGGGAGGCTGAGGCAGGAGGACAGCCTAAGCCCCAGTGGTCAAGGCTGCAGTGAGCTATGATCATGCCACTGCACTCCAGAGTGGGCAACAAACAAGAGCAAGACTGTCTCAACAAACCACCACCACAACAACAGAAAAGGTTGGAGTCACCTTTAATGTAATAATAATGCCCACGTATGCAAAAGGACTCAAGGGAAGATGGTTGGAACTGGGTGGCATATAACAAAGTCAGAAACTTATCTGGCCAAACAATACAGCTGAAAATCAGATTTAGTTATGCTGACTCACTGAAGCCAGAAAAAAACACCTCCAGATAGCTAGCATCCAAAAAATTTGTCAGGTCACCCATGGTAGTTCACACCTATAATCCCTGAACTTTGGGAGGCAGAGGTGGGAGGATTACTTGAGCCCAGGAGTTCAAGCCCAGCCTTGGCAACATGGCAAAACCCTGTCTCTACAAAAAATTTTAAAAATAGCTGGGTATCATGGTGCACACCTGTGGTCCCAACTATTCAAGAGACAGAGGTAGGAAGGCTGCTTGCGCCTGGGAGGTCAAGGGTATAGTGAGCCATGATTGTGCCACTGAACTCTAGTCTGGGTAATAGAGCAAGATCCTATCTCAAAAAAACAGGCCAGGCACAGTATCTCACATCTGTAATCCCAGCACTTTGAGAGGCTAAGGCAAGTGGATCACTTGAGGTCTGGAGTTTGAGATCAGCCTGGCCAACATGGTGAAACCCTGTCTCTACTAAAAATACAAAAATTAGCTGGGTGTGGTGGTGCGCACCTGTAATCCCAGCTACTCGGGAAGCTGAGACAGGAGAATCGCTTGAACCTGGGAGGTTGAGGTTATAGTAAGCCAAGATCACACCACTGTACCCGAGCCTGGGTGACAAAGCGAGACTTGGTCTCAAAAAAAAAAAAAAAGGGCAGAGCCAGGCGCAGTAGCTCACGCCTGTAATCCCAGCACTTTGGGAGGCCAAGGCGGGCAGATCACGAGGTCAGGAGTTTGAGACCAGTCTGGCCAACATAGTGAAACCTCATCTCTACTAAAAATACAAAAATTGGCCAGGCGTGGTGATGCACGCCTGTAGTCCCAGCTACTCAGGAGGCTGAGGCAGGAGAATAGCTTGAACCCAAGAGGCGGAGGTTGTGGTGAGCTGAGATCACGCCACTGTACTCCAGGCTGGGCAACAGAGTGAGACTCCATCTCAAAAATACCAAAACAAGGCCAGGCGCAGTGGCTCACGTCTGTAATCCCAGCACTTTGGAAGGCCGAGGTGGGCAGATCACAAGGTCAGGAGTTCGAGACCAGCCTGGCCAACATGGTGAAACCCCGTCTCTACTAAAAATACAAAAATTAGCCAGGCATGGTGGCAGGCACCTGTAATCCCAGCTACTCGGGAGGCTGAGGCAGGAGAATCACTTGAAACTGAAGGCGGAGGTTGCAGTGAGCTGAGATCACGCCACTGCACTCCAGCCTGGGTGAAAGAGTGAAACTCCGTCTCAAACAAACAAACAAAAAAGCAGGCTGGGCACGGTGGCTCATGCCTGTAATCCCAGCACTTTGGGAGGCGAAGGCTGGCAGATCACCTAAGGCCAGGAGTTCAAGACCAGCCTGACCAACATGGTAAAACCTCATCTCTACTAAAAATACAAAAATTAGCCAGATGGTGGCACGTGGCTGTAATCCAAGCTAGTCAGGAGGCTGAGGCAGGAGAATCCCTGGAATCGCCTCACTGCAAGAAGCAGAGGCTGTAGTGAGCTGAGATCACACCACTGAACTCTGAACTCCAGCCTGGGCAACAGAGTGAGATTCTGTCTCAAAAAAAAAAACAAAACAAACAAACAAACAAATATATATATATATAATTATTATTACAAAATAACTATTAACGTGTATGAAGAAAGAGAAGCTAGGCTTGGTGCAGTGGCTCATGCCTGTCGTCCCAGCACTTTGAGAAGCTGTGGTGGGAGGACTGCCTGAGCCCAGGAGTTTGAGACCAGCCTAGACAACATAGCAATACCTCATCTCCACAAAAAAAAAAAAAAAAAAAATTTTAATTAGCTGGGTGTGGTCGTGCTCGCCTGTGGTCCCAGCTACTTGGGAGGCTGAGATGGGAGAATCGCTTGAGCCTGGGAGGTCAAGGCTGCAGTGAGCCATGATCACATCACTGCACTCCACCATGGGTGACAGAGTGAGACTCCGTCTCAAAAAATAAGAAGAAAGAAAGAAAAAGAAGCTAGAAGGATTATAAATTACCAAGGTTTTGTTTGTTTTTTAAAAATTTTATGGGTACATAGTAGGTGTATATATTATGGGGCATATGGGATATTTTGATATAGGCATAAAATGTGTAATAATCACATCAGAGTAAATGGGGATATTATCAAGATTTTTTTATTTTTTTGAAAAGCAGATAAGGATACTTTTTGCTCACACCCAGGAAAAGAAACAAAACAAGAGACAAAACTAAGTTAAAAATATCTTCCAGACATAGTGTTCATTCTTGCCTTAGGCAACGGTAAGAAAGGCCCAAAATGTCCAGAAGAAGCTGCAGAGGACAGTGTAGCCCCCGGTGGGAGGGGAAACTGAAAAATAATTATTAGCAAATCCAAAGATCTTGCCACATATAGTTTGTACTAAAAAGAAAAAAAATTACTTTTTCAAAGTGATGGCAAAGTCAAACAAAAAAAGAACATATATAAAATGCAAACTGATGGAGTAACATGGAGGTATGAATAAAAGTGCTTAGAGAGAGCATCCTCCTCCCCTTGGGCTGGGCATTGCTAGATACTGGAAGCCAGAGTGAATGGTAACACAGTTTTTCTAAGAAAACCTTCTAGGAAATGCGAGTCTCAAGTTAGATTTTGAAAGAGGGGGAAAACATGGCCTGGCAGCAGGAGGAGCTACAGTATTTCCGTTGGTACCGTCTGTCTTCAGGGCCACTGACCCCCAAGTCCTTGACTGTCTCACTATAGAATGAGGCCAGCACATACCGCCAGACACACAGATTCCTATGGCATGGGTGAGAGACAAACAGGACAATACATTGCTCACCTTGGGATACTGACGGTGACATACTTCAGCAAGATGCAGCCCAGTAACCACTCCCAGTCTAGCTGCAAGCCGCTGGAGCAGCAGCCCCACAAGGGTGGCCAACAGAAGGATCCAGAGCAACTAAGAAGAACAAAATCTCCTGTAACACTCATTGAACAACTGAGTTTTTGTCTGTTTGTTTGTTTAGTTGTTTGGCAACATGAGTGGTAAATACTGCATTCAGAAAAGAGCCCAGGTCAAGAATCAAATGACTTGAGTTCTATAACAGATTTTGCACATGACCTGCTAAGTCACCTTGTACCTTTCTGAGCCTCAGTTTCTCCTATATGTAGTTTCTCCTTTGTTCAAGGAAACTATGTGGATAAAAATAAGACCAAATGGAAAGTACTTTACACATAAGAGCCACTGCCAATGAAGTATCTGCATGTAGCCCCTGAGGCTACTATCCAACATGCAGGGTGGAGAAAAGGATGTGAGAGTGTATTATGTGCTTAAAAGGACAGGGGTAGGACTAGATGTTCACCTTAAATCCAGCCACTGCTCCAGACTGCAAATCGGATTCAATATTTCCTGGATCCAGGTAGGCAATGCTCATAAGAAAACCTGGTCCGGTGAAAGCCCAGAGTTTACGAAAGCTAAAACAAGAGTACTGTACAAGAGAGGAAAAGAGATTAAACTGAACATCACCATTGAACTACTGATATAATTGGTCTGTTATCACATATGAAGCAACAAAATCCAGCCTCACAAGAAAAAAGGATTTACAATGTCAGATATTGCATGTGTCCAAGTTTCACCTCCATCTTACCCACTTTTTATTAAGAAGCTGGCCACTTCTCTGTCCAAGTCAAAGCTCTTCCCTTACCTGCAGGTTCCATCAGCCTCTTATTCTAAAACCAGAATAACAGTATCAGTACCTCTGTGCCCAAACACTTCCCAAAAAGGACAAGAGCCACCATTTTAAAAAGGAAACAAGCCAGGTGTGGTGCTGTGTGGTGTGTGCCTATAGTCCAACTACTTGGGACACTGAGGAGAGCAAACAAAAATAAAATTCTAAGCTCCCCCAACCAACTGAACGGATCCTCTTCTTGACCAAGGGCATTCCAAAGAAAACCTGAAAAACTAGTTCAGGCCATGATGGGAGGGAGGGGTCAGACAAACCTCATTATACTCCCGTCCCTTTGGAATTCAGACACAAATGACCAGCATTAAAACAGAGATCTTGGCCAGGCACAGTGGTTCCTGCATGTAATCCCAGCACTTTGGGAGGCCAAGGCGGGCAGATCACCTGAGGTTGGGAGTTCGAGACCAGTCTGACCAACACTTTAGTAGAGAAACCCTGTCTCTACTAAAAATACAAAAACAGGTGGGCGTAACGGCACATGCCTGTAATCCCAGCTACTCGGGAGGCTGAGGCAGGAGAATCACTTGAATGCGGGAGGAGGAGGTTGCGGTGAGCCAGGATTGCACCATTGCACTCTAGCCTGGGCGACAAGAGTGAAACTCCGTCTCAAAAACAAACAAACAAACAAACAAACAAAAACCAGAGATCTTAAAACTGACAAAACAGATTCCTTGTAGCAATAACATGCTAAATTCCAACCTGACTCTAGCATAGCATCACATGACAGATAACAGGCCCTGAAAGAAATCAAAGTATTTTACTCCAAGATATATTTCTTTGTATATTTTGAAATGACCCTGCAAAGCTGTCTCTTATGAGCAAAACCTAGAATATATAGAATCTCCTTCCCTTTTCAGGTCTTTTCCTGATCCCGGAGAGAATTAACTAGGAGTCCGGTACCTTTTTAAGTCTGATAAAAGACATTTACATCTATTTTCTCTGAAGCTTGTTACCTAGAGGCTTCACCTACATAATAAAAACCTTGGTCTTCACAACCCCTCATTTTAGACACTCCACAGCCCCTCATTTTAGACCAGGTCTTTAGAAAATAACTCTTTCAACCAATTTCTTTTTTTATTTATTTTTATTTTTGTAGAGACAGGGTTTTGCCATGTTGCCCAGGCTGGTCTTGAACTCCTGGGCTTAAGCAATCCTCCCACTTCAGCCTCCAAAGTAGCTGGGACCACAGGTGTGCACCACCACACCCAACTAATTTTATTTTATTTTTTTTACTTGGAGACAAGGTCTTGTCACATTGCCCAAGCTGGTTGGTCTCGAACTCCTGGGCTCAAGCGATCCACCCGCCTCAGCCTCCCAAAGTGCTGGGATTACATGCATGAGCCACTGCACCCAGTGTCAATCAATTTCCAATCAGAAAATCTTTAAATCCACCTTTGACCTGAAAGGTGCCCCCTCCCCACTTCAAGTTGTCCCACCTTTCCTGATGGAACCAATGTACATCTTAAATATATTGGCTGATGTCTGCCTGTAACTTCTGACCCCTAAAACGTATAAAATCAAGCTGTAACCCAACCACCTTGGGCACATGTTCTCGGGACTTCCTGGGGCTGTGTCACGGGCCTTGGTCACTCATATTTGGCTCAGAATAAACCTCTTTAAACATTTTACAGAGTTTGACTCTTGTTTGTTTGTTTGGTTTTGAGACAGAGTCTCACTCTGTCACTCAGGCCGGAGTGCAGTGGCGCGATCTTGGCTCACTGCAGCCTCTGCCTCCTAGGTTCAAGTGATTCTCCTGCCTCAGTCTCCCGAGTAGCTGGGATTACAGGCACCCACCACTACGCCCAGCTAACTTTTGTATCTTTAGTAAAGACAGGGTTTCACCATGTTAACCAAGCTGGTCTTGAACTCCTAACCTCAGGTGATCTGCCCATCTCGGCCTCCCAAAGTGCTGGGATTACAGGTGTGAGCCACCGCGCCTGGCCTGTTTTGTTTTGGTTTTCGTTTTTGAGAGGAGGTCTCATTCTGTTACCCAGAGTGGAGTACCATAGCATGATCTTGGCTCACTGCAACTTCTGCCTCCTAGGCTCAAGTGATCCTTCCACCTCAGCCTCCCGAGTAGCTGGGACTACAGGTGCATACCACCATGCCCAGCTAATTTTTGTATTTTTTGTAGAGACAGGGTTTCGCCATATTGGCCAGGCGGGTCTTAAACTCCTGGGCTCAAGTGATCCTCCTGCCTTAGCCTCCCAAAGTGCTGGGATTACAGGTGTGAGCCTGGGCTCAGCCAGAGTTTGACTCTTTTTCATCAACAAACAAGAGGAAGGATAGCTTGAGGCCAGGAGTTCAAGACCAGCCTGGGCAACATAGTGAGACCCTGTCTCTAAAAATAAAAATAAAAATAATGAGCCTGGCATGGTGGCATGCCATCTATAGTCCCAGCTACTGGGGAGGCTGAAGTGGGAGAATCACTTGACCCCAGGAATTCAAGGCTACAGTGGGCTATGGTTGTGCCACTGCACTGGAGCCTAGATGACAGAGCAAGACCCTGTCTGTAAAAAAGATTAGATAGACAGATAGATAGATAGATAGATAGATAGATAGATAGATAGACGGACAGACAGACAGACAGAGATAGATAGATATAGATGGGGTGTGTGTGTGTGTGTGTGTGTGTATATATATATATAGATATATAGATATAGTCTTCAGAGATTGCCAGCCAAAATTAAACCTGAGGCTGCTGAACTTGAGCCATCCAGCAGATCTTTCACTCACAGGTTTTCCCCAGACAATAGTGTTCTCCTCCAAGGACCTGATACTAACCTCCTCCTCAGGAATGGAGATCTTCTCATTAAAGTAAGTGGCGAAGTACTCCTCTGAGTCCCCAGGGGACTGTGAAAGAGAGGGATTACTATAGGCAGGGTTGATGTTACCAAGACTGGCAGACTCCCCATGATCTCCAGAAACACTGTCTGAATTAACAGATTTGAAAATAAATTAGTAAAAAATGAACAAAATACACTAACAATTCATCCTTAGTATACTGAAATTAAATAGTTTAATATCTAAATGCACAAGAGACCAACCTGACTCTAGCTCAATTTATTTTGAATAGTTTATTTTTAATGTACATTTTAGAATAAGTAATACATTCACATGGTTAAAAATTCAGGAAGTAAAAAATTTAGCCTACACTAAAAAAGTTATCTCCCTCCCCCTCCCCCAGTCACTCAATTCTCTAGATCAGTTTTAACTCACAATGGTTTTCCTACTTCCACACTTCTACTCCTACTTGGGAATTTTTAGAGCCATTTCATTTTCCTCTAAAAACACTGACATATGGGCTCAAAATATCATATTCCCAGACCAGCTCCTGGTAACCTAAAATCCTAGCTTTTAAAAGAAAAGAACTAGGCCTGTCTAGCGAAATGTCCTCCCCACCTCCTATATTTGGTAGGACTTACTCAAATAATCGACCGTGGACATTATACCTCCATCAGACTTCTCAAAAAATGTGCAAGTTACAAAATCCTGCCACAGTTCAGGCTAAACTCTGAAGCTGCAGCAAAACCACCAAGCAGGAACCCTTTGTACTCTGACTAAGGCTTGCAGTAAAGTGCCGCCGGTCACGGGGTACTGGCACCCTCGTGATGGCAGGGCTCATCTCAGACTGATATCAGCGTTTCCCTGAGTTCTGCATTTTGCAGTCAATCTTAAATATTGGGAAGCAGAAGGTCTGGGAGAAAAGGGATACCCTGCCAGAAATACACAGAGCCTAGTTTGCTTCAGCCATCAAATGGCTATTTTGAATCACAAAGCTCTAATCTCTGTGTTTGCAATAAATCCTTACAACCTCTAATTTAAACAAATAAGAGCTTTCTTTCCATAGGGAGCTGACTCATATCATCTTAATTAAGCAGCTTTAAATTAATGAAGAAATTTATAGAAAAGGAACAGAAATTCCAAAGAAGCTCAGATTTAGGAAGGAATAGTCAAAGCACTCAAGAAGCTCCAATCAAATACAGAGCGTAAGGTACTCGCCCTGTATTTTACTGCTCCATACACATCTGAAACACCAGGAAGCATCATGAGTAGCCAAAACACTCCAGAGGTTTTTATCCTGGGTCTGGGAATAACATTGCCCTTGCAAGCATTACTGCCAGAAACCAAATTTCAGCTAATCTTGGCTCAACTCAGAATTGTAAAAAAGATACGAAGCAGGTCTCTGGTTAAAAATCTGTTTTCAGGGCCGGGCACAGTGGCTCATGCCTGTAATCCCAGCATTTTGGGAGGCCGAGACGGGTGGACCACCTGAGGTCAGGAGTTCAAGACCACCCTGACCAACATAGCAAAACCCCATCTCTACTAAAAATACAAAAACATTAGCCGGGCGTGGCGGCAGGTGCCTGTAATCCCAGGTGCTCGTGATGCTGAGGCAGGAGAATCCATTGAACCGGGGAGGCGGAGGTTGCAGTGAGCCGACACAGTGCCACTGAACACTAACTAGCCTGGGCAACTAGAGCAAAACTCCGCCTCAAAAAAAAAACCAAACAAACAAACAAAAAAAAAACATTCTGTTTTCAGGATGGGCGCGGTAGCTCATGCTTGTAATCCCAGCACTTTGGGAGGCTGAGACGGGCGGATCACTTGAGGTCAGGCATTTGCGAACAGCCTGGCCAACATGGCGAAACCCTGTCTCTACTAAAAATACAAAAATTAGCCGGGCATTGTGGCGTGTGCCTTTAGTCACAGCTACTCGGGAGGCTGAAGCAGGAGCATCACTTGAACCCATGAGGCGGAGGTTGCAGTGAGCCGAGATTGTGCCACTGCACTCCAACCTGGGTGACAGAGACTCCACCTCAAAAAAAAAAAAAAAATCCATTTTCATTTACAGCCTAAGTCACCAGATGGTGACTTTTGAATGGAGTTGTTAGAATAGATGATGACAGATGATGACAAGAGGAAAAATATGATAAATTTCTGTTACCAACATAAACCTAATTACAAATAAAATTAGACAATAACACAAAGCGGTAAATTACCATCTGACATCTTCTGTTCAGGACCCAGCACCATGGTGGATACCTGAGTGGCTGAGTTCTTAGAATATGATTCTGGAAAGGAGAAAAGTGAGGGAGAAGAATTAGGAAGAACAAACTAACAAGTTCAGAACCAGCAGTTTGTTACTCTGTATGACTGAATCCTTACTATGAAAAGAGTAATTTTTCTACTGAATTAGGTAACCTTGAAAATAATTACAGTTTTCAGAATATGACTGACAGATATTTAACAAAAAAAGAAAAGTCTTAGTCAAGATTTTGCTGGCAAGACTTCAAAACCAAATTGAAGTGTTACAGCTCTTTTAGAATGTGTCTAGCAGGCTTTCTGGCTTTCACTGTGAAACCCTTCACGGATGGCAGGGGGTGGTGGACAAATTGAACAGGAGGTATTTTAGTGAGACAGCAAATACCATTTTTTTTTTTTTTGAGTCTTTGAGTCGGAGTCTTGCTCTGTCGCCCAGGCTGGAGTGCAGTGGTGCAATCTCAGCTCACTGCAACCTCTGCCTCCTGGGTTCAAGTGATTCTCCTGCCTCAGCCTCCCGAGTAGCTGGGATTACAGGTGCCCGCCACCACGCCCAGCCAATTTTTTGTATTTTTAGTAGAGACAGGGTTTCACCGTGTTAGCCAGGATGGTCTCGATCTGCTGACCTCGTGATCCGCCCGCCTCAGCCTCCCATAGTGCTGGGATTATAGGCATGAGCCAACGCACCTGGCCAGGCAAATACTTTTTTAATAAGCATCTACACAGAGGCTGCTAGGCAAGTATCCATTCTCTGCCTTTGCCTCCAAATTATCCCAAGTGTCTAAAGCCAGACACATTTCCCCCTATTTTATGAGTTGTTTTTTTTTGTTTTTTTTTTAGTTTTTTTAGACGGAGTCTCACTCTGTTGTCCAGGCTGGAGTGCAGTGGCACGATCTCAGCTCGCTGCAACCTCTGCCTCCTGGGTTCAAGCGATTCCCCTGCCTCAGCCTCCAGAATAGCTGAGATTACAGGCGTGTGCCACCATGCCTGGCTAATTTTTGTATTTTTAGTAGAGACACGGTTTGACCATGTTGGCCACGCTGGTCTCAAAGTCCTGACCTCATGATCCGCCCACCCCACTTCCCAAAGTGCTGGGATTACAGGCATGAGCCACCACGCCCAGCCTATTTTATGAGTTTTTAAGGACAGAAATCTGTAATTCTCTTTGGTCTAAAATATGTAATTTAAGCTCATGGTTCAATCTTCTAGAAAGGGTAGGAAAAAGCACCATACAAGCATACTGGTAGTGGAAGGCCACTATTTGGCAGCCTCAAATCTTCCTAAGAAAGTAAAGTCTGCAGCCATAATGTTCTAGACCTCATTCCTCAACCCTCTGACAACTAGAAGAAACTAGTCACCCGTGGCCCAGCCCCTCCCAAGCTCTCCAAGAGAGCTGAAGCACCAGCAGGATTAAGCATAGCGTGTGGGATGCCAGCCTTTGTCTACAGGTCCTGTACTAAGCAACCCGCAGTGGGGCGGGTGGAGTCAGGGGTGGGGTGGAAGTTCCAGATGTCCATCATCCTGTTAAGTTTAATTGGGAGGGAGGATTTTAGCAAGCTCACTTGGGAACAGATCTATGGCATATTCTCCATTGAGCCTTACCAATAAGGCTATTAAAAAAAAAATGTTTCAATCTTCTTATCTACTTCTCAGTTGATTTCAAATTTAGAAGGGGAAGGACAACATAGTATTCATTGATAAGCCCCTCTTTGAATCCCAATAATAACTGTCCTACTGAAGAAGTGATGAAGCCTCGCTTAATGATCTTTTACTGCTTAAATCTAGTCTTTTTTCCACCCTTGTCCCTTATATGTTGTTCCTACATGAACAATCTTCTACTTGCTGTTTCAGGTTTTGGGTAATCTTTCTATCTACCAACATATTCTGTACTTATAGAATTACAGAATTCAGACCAGAAAGGAGCTTTTCTTTTCTTTTTAGGTTTCATCTGTCTTCTGGGGCATATATACCACCACCTGCTAATTTGGAAAACATAATCCTTCCTCTCTAGAGTCACCAATGCCAAGTATTATATTACAACGGACAACTAGCCATGTGTCTCCTGTCAGGTTTTAAGCCACCAGATGACTAAACATCAGCCAACAGCCCCCAATAATACTGACTAAATTCAACCCCTCTTTCAGTCAATGACAATAGCACCTCACCTAAATGGGATTTAAATATTTGACCACTCAGAGTAGCAGTACTCACTTGGATTCCAATCACAGCACAGCCCCGACGTTCCCGGCAAAGCCTTTTTACTTTTGTTTTACATATAATTGTAACAAACTAATGTTATCAGATTGTCTTAACCCACAATAAATTGGAAACCACAAATCAGATCTGGAACTATGCATAGCTCTTCCAGGAAAAGAGGAACTTGGCACACTGAGGAATCAAAAAACTCAAGTACATCAATTAGTCTTGGGCTATTTGATATGAGGCAAACAGTCCTTCCTTATGCGTCAATCAGTTCTGAGAATATTACTGCAAGTATAATAACTCAAGTTTCCAATTGTGGCCCTGATCAAAATGAGCTGAATGAATTAAATTGCTTTTTTTTTTTTTTTTTTGAGACAGAGTTTCACTCTTGTCACCTAGGCTGGAGTGCAATGGCATGATCTCAGCTCGCTACAACCTCTGCTTCCTAGGTTCAAGTGATTCTCCTGCCTCAGCCTCCGAAGTAGCTAGGATTACAGGCGCCCACCACCGAGCCCGGCTAATTTTTGTATTTTTTTTTTTCAGTACAGACAGGGTTTCATCATGTTGGCCAGGCTGTAAATCACTTTTGTAATGATGATTAATATCATTAAGGCACTGGAAAATCAGCTGGGCACTGTTTAAGGCACTGGAAAATCACCTGGGCGTGGTAGTGCATGTCTGTGGTGCCAGCTACTTGGGAGACTGAACTAGGAGAACTGCTTGAGCCCTGGGGTCAAGGCTGCGGTGAGCCATGATCGCACCACTGCACTCCAGCCTGGGTGACACAGCGAGGCCTTGTCTAAAAAAGAAGAAAAAGAAGACACAGAAATGTCTCGTCTACATCTGAGGAAGATTTTTATCCAGAATAGGCAAAACAGGCCTTAAAAGTTTTTATTTTTTTTTGAGATGGAGTCTCACTCCGTCACTCAGGCTGGAGTGTAGTGGTGCGATCTTGGCTCACTGCAACCTCCGCCTCCCGGGTTCAAGCGATTCTCCTACCTCAGCCTCCCGAGTAGCTGGGATTACAGGCACGTGCCACCACACCCAGCTAATTTTTCTATTTTTAGTAGAGATGGGGTTTTGCCATGTTGGCCAGGCTGGTCTGAAACTCCTGACCTCAGGTGATCCACCCACCACGGCCTCCCAAAGTGCTGGGATTACAGGCATGAGCCACTGCCCCTGGACAAAAATTTTTCTTTTAATATGGAACACTTCACAAATTTGCGTGTCATCCTTGTGCAGAGAGGCCATGCTAATCTTCTCTTGATTGTTCCAATTTAGTATACGTGCTGCCGAAGCAAGCACCAAAATAGGCTTTTAAGTTATATTTTAAAAGCAAACAATTAAGGTAATAGCGTGATCTTCCCAGGACTGTAGTCTGCAAATATTTTTAGACAGAAATATTTCATGATAAAATTTTAAATAATTATTAGTGATATTCTAAGTTCATTCCTATACCAAGTACATACAGAGCCGTTCAAATACAAAAAGTTTCGTCTTCTATCTGAAATCTCAAGAATGAATTATTTCAAGAAAGAAAACAAATTCTAGATTCCAGTCTCCAGCCTTTTCAACAAAGCTTTTAGTCAACAAACTACATGTTTCATTACAGTGCCTACAGAATAAAACTTGGGGCCGGAGGCGGTGGCTCACGTCTCTAATCCCACCACTTTGGGAGGCTGAAGTGGGCGGATCACCTGAGGTCAGAAATTCAATACCAGCCTGGCCAACATGGGTGAAACCCCGTCTCTACTAAAAATACAAACATTAGCCAGGCGTGGTGGTAGGTGCCTGTAATTCCAACTACTAGGGTGGCAGAAGCAGGAGAATCGTTTGAACCCAGGAGGTAGAGGTTGCAGTGAGCCGAGATCATGCCACTGAACTCCAGCCTGGGCGACAGAGTAAAACTCTGTCTCAAAATAAAATAAAATAAAATAAAAGAGGTCAGGCGTGGTGGCTCACGCCTGTAATCTCATCACTTCGGGAGGCTGAGGCAGGCAGATCACCTGAGGTCAGGAGTTCGAGACCAGCCTGGCCAACATGGTGAAACCCCATCTCTACTAAAAATACAAAAGTTAGCCAGCGTGGTGGCGCATGCCTGTAATCCCAGCTACTCGGAACGCTAAAGCGGGAGAATCGCTTGAACCCGGGAGGTGGAGGTTGCGGTGAGCCAATATTGCACCACTGCACTCCAGCCTGGGCAACAGAGCAAGACTCCGTCTCATTAAAAAAAAAAAAATTAATAAAACTAGGGAGGGGCCGGGCGCAGTGGCTCACACCTGTAATCCCAGCACTTTGGGAGGCTGAGGCAGGCGGATCACCTGAGGTCGGGAGTTCAAGACAAGCCTGACCAACATGGAGAAACCCTGCCTCTACTAAAAATACAAAATTAGCCAGGCATCATGGTGCATGCCTGTAATCCCAGCTACTCAGGAGGCTGAGGCGGGAGAATCGCTTAAACCTGGGAGGTGGAGGTTGCAGTGAGCTGAGATTGCGCCACTGCACTCCAGCCTGGGCAACAGAGCAAGACTCCATCTTATAAAAAATAAATAATTAAATAGTTAAAAAAAAAAAAAACTAGGGAGGAATAGAAAGGGCCAGGCCAGTTATGCACAGCATTCAAGTCTCCATGAAAATTTATGACCCATATGGAAGCAGTAAGTTAATATTAAGACAGTTTTGCTCTCCAGGGCTGTAGCACCAGGTTGTTTCAGTTACTTCGTCACATTAAGGAAAAGATCCAGAGTTAGGACACAAACAACTAGAATCAACCCAGCAATACTTTGATAAGTAACCATCACAATTATGATTAACATTGCTTTGATATTCCAGCTTACCCCTAACCATAAAGTGTCACCTTCTCTTAAACCCATTAAGTTTCTTCCTATCGAACAGCAATTGACAGAAAAAAAATGGCACTCATGGTTAAATGTAATATGACTATTTTATCCCATTCTCCTGCCTCAGCCTCCCTAGTAGCTGGGATTACAGGCGCATGCCACCATGCCCGGCTAATTTTTGTATTTTTAGTAAAGACGGGGTTTCACCGTGTTGGCCAGGATGGTCTCGATCTCCTGACCTTGTGATCTGCCCACCTCAGCCTCCCAAAGTGCTGGGATTACAGGCGTGAGCCACCATGCCCAGCCTATTTTATCCCATTCTCTAACAAAAGTTGTAAGACTGGCTGGCTGTAGTGGCTCATGCCTGTAATCCTAACACTTCGGGAGGCCAAGGCAGGCAGATTGCTTAAGCCCAGGAGTTCAAGACCAGCCTGGGCAACATAGAGAAACCCCATCTCTACAAAATATACAAAAATTAGCTAGGTGGAGGCCGGACACGGTGGCTCACACCTGTAATCCCAGCACTTTCGGAGGCTGAGGCAGGTAGATCACCTGAGGTCAGGAGTTCGAGACCAGCCTGGCCAATATGGTGAAACCCCATCTCTACTAATAATACAAAAATTAAAGCTAGGTGCAGTGGCTCACGCCTGTAATCCCAGCACTTTGGGAGGCTGAGGCGGGCAGATCGTGAGGTCGAGAGCTTGAGACCAGCCTGGCCAACATGGTGAGACCCCATCTTTACTTAAGATACAAAAAATTAGCCAGTGTAGTGGCGCATGCCTGTAATCCCAGCTACTCAGGAGGCTGAGGCAGGAGATTCACTGGAACCTGAGAGGCAGAGGTTGCAGTGGGTTGAGATCGCACCATTGCACTCCAGCCTGGGTGGCAGGGGGAGACTCCATCTCAAAAAAAAAAAAAAAGTTAGCCGGGTGTGGTGGTGAACACCTGTAATCCCAGCTACTGGGGAGGCTGAGGCAGGAGAATTGCTTGAACCTGGGAGGCGGAGGTTGCAATAAGCCGAGATCGCGCCACTGCACTCCAGCCTGGGTGACAAGAGCAAAACTCTGTCTCAAAAAAAAAAAAAAAAAAAAAAAATTAGTTGGGTGTGGTGGTGGGCGTCTGTAGTCCCGGGAGGCTAAGGTGGGAGGATCACCTGAGTCTGGGAGGTCAAGGCTGCAGTGAGTGTTGATCAGGCCACTGCATTCCAGCCTGGGTGACAAAGCAAGACCCTGTCTCAAAAAAAAAGTGTTGTAAGACTGTTTTACAAGATAAAAATGCTAACAAAATTTTATTTTCTGTCTAAAATTTCAAAAGTCTACATATTCTTTGATCTAGCAATTTTACTCCTAAAAATGTATTCTTTAAAAAAAAAAAGCAAAAAGTACTCATCAAGGAAATATGTACAAGGATATTTCCCACAGCATTGTTTGTAGTATGAAAAGACTGTAAACAACCTTGATATTAGTAGAGGACTGGTTGAATAAACTGTGCACATTCATTGGACAGAATACCATGCAACCACTATAAATAAGACGATCTATCATGTATAGATAGGATACAATCTCTAAAATATTACATGTTGTCAAGTCAAAAGACCAATTTGTTGAGCAGCATGCTATCATGTATGTAGCAAAAAGAAAAAAGAGAAAACACACACGTACACGTACAATCTCCAAAGGACACACCAAAAACTGGTAATAAAGGCCATCCCTGAGAGAAGGAAGGAGTAGGAGAGCCCAAATGAGGTCATGTGAAGGGAAAACCTCTCACTGAATATACACTGTATACCTTTTGCACATAAAAAGAAGTTTTACCAGATACATGTATTATTTGCCTTATAAAAAATGTCAAGGTCATATAGATTCACTCAGCTTCTCAACAAACATTTTAGGGATGTTCAGTTGAACTCTCTGATAAAGCTTCTGCAATAGATAATCAGAAGTCTACAGCTGTCTAATTGGCAGGTATTTATTGCCTTCAGCCTAACTTACTACTAGTTTGTCTTAGTGCCACCTAAATGCAAAATATTAAAAATCCCCTCTCAGGAAAGCATTCCTGACTCCCTAATTTGGCTTAAGTGGCTTCTCCGTGTTCCCTCAAGGCACCCACTGCTTACCACTGTCATTTTCTTGAAAATTGTCCATTCCCTGGTACTACTCTTACAACTTTTCTGCAAGTTTGAAATTATATGAAAATTAAGTTACCCCCCAAAACACATACTAGCTATAATAAATTCTAACATCTAATTAACAGTAATTCTGTATATTCTCTTAGCATTTATAAGAACTCTGGAAGAACAATTTGGATAGCCCAAACCTGTTTTAAAAACTGCCCCTGGCTGGGTGGGGTGGTTCACACCTGTAATCCCAGCACTTTGGGAAGCCAAGGTGGGTGGATCACTTGAGGTCAGGAGGTCGAGACCAGCCTGGCCAACATGACAAAACCCCGTCTCTACTAAAAATACAAAAATTAGCCGGGCGTGGTTGTGGGTGCCTGTAATCCCAGCTATTGGGAGGCTGAGGCAGGAGAAACGCTTGAACCTGGGAAGTGGAGGTTGCAGTGAGCCGAGATCATGCCACTGCACTCCAGCCTGGGCAACCAAGCAAGACCCCATCTCAAAAAAAAAACAAAAAACACAAAACAGAAAACTGCCCCTAAGAAAGTTTGAAATACTGAGTATTAATATATACAACTTCAACTTTTTTTTTTTTAATCTACGGTTAAAACAAAAGTTTGGGCCGAGTGCGGTGGCTCAAGCCTGTAATCCTAGCATTTTGGAAGGCCAAGGCGAGCAGAGTTCAATGCCAGCCTGGGCAACAGGGCAAAACCCCATCCCTACAAAAAATATACAAAAATTAGCTGGGTGTGGTAGTGCGTGCTACTTGGGAGACTGAGGTGGGCAGACTGCTTGAGCCTGGGAGGTTGTGGCTGCAGTGAGCCGTGATCAGGGCACCCCAGCCTGGGCTACAGAGCAAGACCCTGTCTGTCATAAACAAATAAATAAATAAATAAATAGTTTGGGTTTGAAATAATTCGTTTTCATATAAAATTCCCCTATAGAGAATAAAGGTACTCAAAACCATTTCACTAGTCTTACAGCTGAAAAGGTCTCCCTAAAATTAATTGTAGGTTTAGAGAGGAATGTTTTTAAATACAGTCCCTTAATTCTTTCCTCCTTTTTTTTCATCACCTTCCTCATCTCAATAAAATCAAAGACAACATTAAATAGGAAAAAACTTTCATAGAAGCAGCCAGAAAGGTGTCTTCATGGAAGTAACTGATGAAATAAATGCTAGCAAGAATGCGTTCAAGCTACATGGCAAAGCCACCTCTTCCTCTTGACACTGTTCAGTTCATTCTTCCTCAGGCACTGTTCAGTGCCAGAGACATGCTAGTGACAAAAGAGAAACTGCTAGGTGCACAGATCAAGGCTTAGCGACACCCAAAGTGTTTATTAGAGAATAACAAAGAATTCTCATTTTTTAAAAAAATTATATTTGTCCTAAAGAAAATGAAAAGGTTTCTAGATTCTTCTAAAATTCTCTTTTCCCTAATGGTCTACTTCAAGGCCAAAGTACTTGACAGTTCTACTAAACCATTACTGTATTATTAACACAACACCTTGTTGTACCAGGTGCTCTTCATGAAGGTGGGCTCCTGCCATTTGGATGACTGACAGTCAACAAAACTTTCTGAAATATTCTAGCAGCTCAAACAGAGCTAATTATTTTCTGAACCCTATGTATTTTAATGAGGAAGGTTATTAATCACTTTTTTAAAATAAGAGATTATTACTCTCCCTCTATTTTTCCATTCTAGGTCATGAAGAAGCAGCATTTTCTGAGTCTATCAAAAATATCCATCCAACTTTTTTTTTTTTTTTTTTTTTGAGATAGTGTCTTGCTCTGTCACCCAGGCTGGAGTGCAGTGGCGTGGTCTCAGCTCACTGTAGCTTCAACCTCCTGGGCTCAAGTGATCCTCCCGCCTCAGCCTCCCAAGTAGCTGGGACTAGAGGCGTGTGCCATGCCCTGCCAATTTTTGTATTTGTTGTAGAGACATGGTTTCACCATGTTGCCCAGGCTGGTCTTGAACTCCTGGGGTCAAAGGATCCATCCACCTCAGCCTTCCAAAGTGCTGGGATTACAGGTATGAGCTACCATGCCCAGCCCAATTAGTTCTAAAACTCAATCTGCTCCCATTCGAGGTGTGGGGAAAGAAACAGCTTAGAATAGACATGTGAATTTCCAAATTGTTCTTGAAGGTATAAAGTCTGGTATTGTTTTTTATTTTATTTTTTGAGACAGGGTCTTACAGAACAATTATTTACATATTTCTAGCCTCCCAGGCTACAGTGCAGTTGCACAATCCCAGGCTCAAGTGATCCTCCCACCTCAGCCTCCCAAGTTCCCAAGTAGCTGAGACTACAGGCACGTACCACCACAGCTGGCTTTTTTTTTTTTTTGTAAAGGTGGGGTCTTGCTATGTTACTCAGGCTGGTCTCAAACTCCTGGGCTCAAGTGAGGTATTATTTTTTACACTGGAGTAAGTTTATCCTGTTTTCCTCTTATTAAAATGAATTTGATATAAAATGATACACAGAAAAAAAAAGTCAGGTTGAAGACTGATTATGTGTACTTCATGGTAAACAGTGAAAAGCCCCTGTGGTAAGTATTCATTTTAGAAAAAGGCCTCAAAACTCTAATCCCCTCTACTCAAGTGGGTAATATTAGAATGTCTTCAACCAAAAGCCACACAAACACACTCAGTTTATAAAGTACAAACAGAGCTGCTATTATACAATGCGCTTAACATGAACCAGTCTCTCTCTCTCTCTCTGGCATAATGGCCACTGAGATACAGTCAGGCCTCTGTAACCCTGGGTTCCACATTTGTGGTTTCAAACAACTGCAGATCAAAAAGATTTGGGGGAAAAAACGGTTGCTTGTGCCTGTACTGAACATATACACCATTTTTTTCTTGGTATTATTCCCTAAACAATACAGAACAATTATTTACATAGCAATTACATTGTATTAAGTATTATAGACCCAGTGCAGTTGCTCACACCTGTAATCCCAGCACTTTGGGAGGCTGAGGCAGCCCAGAAATTTGAGACCAGCCTGGGCGACATAGTGAGACATTGTCTCTACAAAAAATTTAAGAATTAGCCATGTGTGATGGCCACACTCCTGTAGTCCCAACTACTCAGGAGGCTAAGGTGGGAGGATCCCTTGAGCCCAGGAAGTCAAAGCTGCAGCGAACCATGATTGCACCACTACGCTCCAGGCTGGATGACAAAGCGAGACCCTGTCTAGAAGAAAAAGAGGGGGATTATAATTGATATAACTAATCTAGAGGTGATTTTAAGTACATGGGACGATGTACATAAGTTAAATGCAAATACTACACCATTTTATAGGGACTTAAGCATCATCCCAGGATTTTGGTATGCATGTGAGTGAGGTCCTGGAACCAATCCCCTACAGACACCAAACCATACTTTGCATGCCCTAGTAATAATCTCAAAATTGGAGACATCCTATTTAACTTACAAAACCACAATTTCGGGCCAGGCGCGGTGGCTCACACCCATAATGCCAGCACTTTGGGAGGCAGAGGCAGGTGGATCATTTGAGGTCAGGAGTTCAAGACCAGCCTTGCCAACATGGCAAAACCCCATCTCTACTAAAAATACAATAATTAGCCAGGCAGTAGTGGCACGTGCCTGTAATCCCAGCTACTTGGGAGGCTGAGGCAGGAGAATCGCTTGAGCCTGGGAGGCAGAGGTTGCGGTGAGCTGAGATCACACCACTGCTCTCCAGCCTGGGTGACATAGTGAGACCCTGTCTCAAAAAAAAAAAAAGACAACCACAACTTCAACTCAACACCAAGTTTGCTGTTTCTCACCTGAGCTGGACTTTTAAGTGTTTTGTAGTTGAATGAAAAACCTGACATTGAGACCATCTTAAGATAAAGAAAAAAGAAAAAGAGAAAGTGGAGAAAATGTTAGGAAGCAAGAAGAGGAGGGGGGAGGAAGATGTAAGGAGGAAGAGTACAGCTGATAATGAAACCAGCTGCCTGGGTGTCAAAAACGATAACAGTTGGGAGAAATGTGGCCAGGCTGTCAAGGAGTACTTATCTTTTAAACAAAAATATCACACATCAACCAGAGACATCAGAATTAGAAGGGGCTGGTACCCATTAAATACAACTCTTCACCTTCTCCCATCAGCACTCTTGAGGCTTAACCAGCTTCCAAATCTCCCTGAATGCTCACAAGTCAGGGTCACTAAAGTCTTACTTCCAGTGACTATAGCTTCGTCTTTGTTCTTCCCAACTCTGTGTGAGCTTCCTCTAAACTTCCTCCTAACCAGAAGTTTACAGCAGTGTGTTTCCTTTTGGGGGACAAACCTGGCCTCCTGATCTGACACCTCTATCATGGAACACAATGCCAAGCTCTGTGAACAATTTCAAAGACCCCTTTCTATTGGAATAAGAAAATTCCCTATTAGACTGGCCATGGTGGCTCACATCTGTAATCCCTTAGCACTTTGGGAGGCTGAGGCGGGAGGATTGCGTGAGCCCAAAAGCTTGAGACCAGCCTGGGCAACATAGCAAGAAACCCAGTCTCCATTAAAAAAAAAAAAAAATTACTTTTTTCCAAAAAAAAAAAAAAAAAAATCCCCTATTAAACCAGCCTATACCTACTTCTTGCCTCAGAAAATATGTTTTGTCCTCACACTTAAGTAGCTTTTCTCTGGCAAATATGAAGAATTTTCATTAGATTACATTCAACCCATTTTTCCTAATGATGGATATTGGCTCCCAAATGATGTAGATTGACCTTAACAACTTTAAGTAAATATTGTCCTCCAAGTTTCTTTTCCTAAAAGCAAAGAAAAATTAAGACAATATATACTACAAGATTCTCCAGCCTTTAACAAGCCTCTTTCTGCTCTTTGAAACCTGGTAAAGTTTTAATAATTAACTTGTAGCTTTCTTCTTTCATTTCCTAGGAGTTTTAACAGCTATCAGCTTAGTAGAGATGAGACCAAAACAAACACAAACCTGACACAAAATGACTTATCGGCAATAAGCACCAAAACAAGACTAAAAACCCTAATTTGTTCCTTATGCCAAAAAATATAAATTACTTTAACCTGAAATTAAAAGTGGAAGAGAAGTTAGGCCATTTTGATCATTGCTGGCCAATTGTTTTATATTCCATTATGATTTCATTAAAATATACCTTATTATATACATGTCATTTTATTGTATCTAGAATATTCCTGATGATGCCTTGAAGGCTCTTCTTTGTGTCTCAAGGGGCCAATTAATGTAAATTGCTCCATAAATATTTGTTAAATTATAAAAAGAATAAATGGCAAGGCTGGGCGCAGTGGCTCATGCCTGTAATCCCAGCACTTTGGGAGGCCAAGGCAGGAAGATTGCTTGAACCTAGGAGTTCAAGACCAGCCTGGGCAATATAGTGAGAACTCAACTCTACAAAAAAATTAAAAATTAGCTGAGCATGGTGGCGCAAGCCTGTAGTCCCAGCAACTCAGGAGGCTCTAGTGGGAGGATCGCTTAAGCCTGGAATGTGGAGGTTGCAGTGAACCAAGACTGAACCACTGCACTCCAGCCTGGGCAAGAGAGCGAGACCCTGTCTCAAAAATATAAAAATAAAGAATAAATGGCAGCAAGTAAGTGAGACATGGTCTGCATCTTCTAATTCATTATATTCCGCTCATTCAAATGCCCCTACCTTTTTTCCCAGAATGTTTTACTCAAACTACAGAGCCTCAGAGAGATGATAATAATGACAATATTAGGGCAGCAGACTTCCCTTTCTGCCTCAAACACACTCAGTTCTTTAAAGGTGTCATTCCCATGCCTCTCAGGGAAAAACAGATTACAAAGACATTGTCCTTCACTCTTACCAGGCCAACTTCCAACTTTAAATCCTAAAGAAGTATTAAACTGGTTGGGCACGGTGGCTGGCACCCAGGGGCTCAAGACAACCTGGGCAACCTAGTAAGACTCCATCTCCACAAAAAAATTTTTAAAAATTAGGGGTGGTGGCATGCACTTGTACTCCCAGCTACTAGGGAGGCTGTGGCAGGAGAATCACTTGAGCCTGGGAGGTCAACCCTGCAGTGAGCTGTGATCATGCCACTGCACTCCAACCTGGGTTACAGAGCCAGACCTTGTCTTGTGGGGGGTGGGAGGGGAAGTCTTGAACTCTCTTATTCCAAAACTAAACAACTAAACTTATACCAACTGCACTTCAACTAAATTTGGCCAGCATGCAGCTGAAGTAAGCAATGTTTTTTTTCATAAACTTAAAGTTTCTCATTTTCTGACTAGTTCCTAATAATGCTATGTGTATAAATAGCCGCTTCTTTGAAGGGAAGAATTAGAAGACAAAGCAGTCTTCCACTGGTGTATCCCAGATAGCACCACGAGAATATGAGAAGGCTTTTTAAGGCCATAGGAAGGGCAGATATCTGTCAGCAGACATTTGTACGTATGTGCATGGTGAGGAGGCAGAGAATAAAGATGTCTTTGATTCAACAACACTCACCCAAATTCTTAGCAATGAAAGTCAAACAAGAAAGATCTGGCAGGGCGCGGTGGCTCACACCACCCCAGCACTTCGGAAGGCCGATACAGGTGGATCACTTGAGGTCAGGAGTTCCAGACCAGCCTGGCCAACATGGTGAAACCCCGTCACTACTAAAAATACAAAAAAAATTCGCCAGGCATCAAGAGGCTGAGGCAGGAGAATCGCTTGAACCCGGGAGGCAGAGGTTGCAGTGAGCCGAGATCGCGCTATTACATTCCAGCCTGGGCAACAAGAGCGAAACTCCGTATCAAAAAACGAAAGAAAGAAAGAAAAAGATCCTACTTTGTAGATATAATTCTCTAACCTTCACTGAGTCATAACTGAACCAAAGCTGCCTACTAGCTTTGTAGAGTAATCCAAGGGACCACTGCTGATTTCCTAACATTAGAGTAAGATTAGATTCATAAGAAGCTTCCCCATTCCTTAACAAGAAGTGCTGCCAGGCTACCCAGAAATTCCCCTCCCGAGTCCCACTGCCATTCCGGAAACATGAGAAACCAAGTATGCTGCAATCATGGCCTTTTTAGTACTGGCTCCAAAATAAACTGAGTAGGCCAAGCAAGACTGTCAATGAAATACTGTCCAATGAAAAAATAAACAGCCGAAGGTTTCAGGTTTCATTTACCCAACACAGGTATCACAATAAATGACCTAGTATAATGATAGTTTCCAACCGTATTTAATAAAACAAACACGCAGCAGAAATCCTCTAGTCACATATAACTACACTATACCCTCAGATCAAAGTTAATGATGTCAATGGAAAGTATAGGCCGGCGGGTTCACTGGTGATAAGTCATGAGACTCTGAGCAAAGAATAAGTAATAAGGTTAGAATTCTTTAGAAGTGTTAAGGGGAAAGAAGGTAACAACAACAAAAACTCCTCCACATCAAGAGTTCTAAGTACTTTGTTGTTTATTAACTAATTTCATACCAACAACCCTGTAAGACTGATATTATCAATCCCCATTTTAAGTACGTGGAACAAAAGAAGAAAGAGGCAAACAACATGCTCAAAGATTTACAAAGCCAAGAAATCATGCGAACTGGTGGGGCTTCGGGTTCCAGAAGTCAGTGTAAACATAGCTTCTCCATTTTTCACCAACAGTCACTAAAATTGAGGCCAGCAAGTTTTTAGAAGCCTATCTCCCCTTGCAAACTCTCCTTCCATATAATTTTTGCTTTTGCAAGAGATGTCACATTTAAGCGGTAGCTTTAAAAGTGGGGACACATGAAACGCACAGCTGGGAGAGCCATCCAGCCCACTTACATATGTGCAATATCCCCCTGTAGAAAAACCCTGCTCATTGGAGCCTGGAATCCAGAGGGTCCCTGAGAGCTACACAAACAGCCTTAAAACCAATCTACCCACAATTACTGAGCCGCGTATGCAGGCTATTCACACAGAAGGCGCTCCCTGAAGTCGGTTAGGTTATAATGAGTCTTTTGTTGAAGCGGGGCGGCGGGAGGCCCCGGAGAGCAGCCCGGCCCCCTGCGGCGCCGACGAAGAGGCCACGAAAGACCTTGCCCTGTGCCCGTCGGCCTCTTTCGAGGCGTCGAAGCAGGTCAGCGCACCCCGACACAGGCCGGGCGCGCCATCCGGTGCAGCTGGGAGCTGGGCCATGTGTCCTAGGCCGCGGCGGGGAAGGGGCGAGACCCCCGCGACCTCCGGCGTTCCCTCCCTGCCCCCATCTTTGGGTCTTTCTCTGAATGGCGCGACTCCATCAGTCCTGGACTCTGGGCCTGAGGCCCTCCCTGGCCACACCTCCCCTCACAGCCCCGCACGGCGAGCCGGTGTCGCATCCTAGCCCCGGAGCCTGACCCCCGACACAGGCCCTCGAGCCGCCCCGCGCCCCTCCCTGCCAGCGAGCGGAATGCCGTGACCCCTGACCTTGCCTTCCCCTCACCTTACCAGCTCCGCAACCACCTGACACGCCGCCCCCGCGCCCAGGGCTCCATATTCCGGGAGCCAGCGCCACGCTGGCTAACGCCCTCCCCTCCCCGCGATTGGTCGACAGGACGGCAGCCGCACATCCCTATTGGCTGGAGTCCCTGCAGCGGCCGGGATGCGTGGCCCGCAGACCAGGGACCTAGGCTCCGCCCACGCGGAGTCTGGATGCGGCGGCCCCTGGGGCACGCGGCGGCCCCTGGGGCACCCGGCGGGAGCTGCATGCTGCCTAGTTGCTGCTTGCGTTGGCCAGACCCACACAGCCCCTGGACTGGGGAGCTCCAGTCCGCTAGCAGTCTGGGGACAGATAAGATTCCTGCCCTAGTTCGCCGTGGCGCCACGTTAGGTACTGACAATCAAGCTACGAGGTATAGCTCTATCCTGTAAAGGGTAGCCAGGCCAGGCGCGGAGGCTCACACTTGTAATGCCCAGCACTTTGGGAGACCGAGGCGGGAGGATCACTTGAGTCCAGGAGTTCGATACCAGCCTGGGCAACATAGTGAGACCCGGTCTCTACAAAAAATTTTAAAATTAGCCAAGCAAAGGCCGGGCGCGGTGGCTCACGCCTGTACTCCCAGCACTTTGGAGGGCCCAGGCGGGCGAATCACCTGAGATCGGGAGTTTGAGACCAGCCTGACCAACATGGAGAAACCCCGTCTTTACTAAAAATACAAAATTAGCCGGGCGTGGTGGCGCATGCCTGTAATCCCAGCTACTCGGGAGGCTGAGGCAAGAGAATCGCTTGAACCCGGGAGGCGGAGGTGCAGTGAGCCGAGATCGCGCCATTGCACTCCAGCCTTGGAAACAAGAGCGAAAACTCCGTCTAAAAAAAAAAAAAAATTAGCCAGGCATCACGGCGCCCGCCTGTGGTCCCAGCTACTCGGGGGCTGAGGTGGGAGAATCACTTGGGCCTGGGAGGTGGAGGCTGCGGTGAGACAAGATCGTGCCACTGCACTCCAGCCTGGGTGGCAGAGCAAAACCCTGTCTCAAAAAAAAAGGATAGCCACCTGGAAGGAACATTTCCTCGCGCCCCCAGAGCCACATCATAGTATCTGCTGCCCCACCAAGAGCACCCCACACCTGGGAGGAACCGAGAAACATCAGCTAGTGCAGCCAGTTTGACCGCCTTAGGTGTCCTCCCAAGCCTCCGTAGTGAATTGTTTTCCTCCTCGCCCAGCTGACTCGATTCTCCCCAGACTTCATCCTACCTACCCAAAAGCAATCCCACTCTATCGCCAGTTTCAGCCTCACACCGTATCTTTTGCTCTGAAGATGAGACTGCCAAACTGGTGAAGAGGGAATAAATGGCCTAACAAATTACCGTAATTTTCTGCAATGTCGTTTACAGCCACCAAAAACATTAGATCCTCCCGCCACCCTCACTCCCCGACCCCTCGCACTGCTTACAGCATTAAAGGTAATTGAGCTTCTTTATTCACGTAAAAACAGCTAGGAGAAAATTTCATTAGTAAGAGAGACCAAGAAATGAGGAAAGGAGCGTGAACTGCAAAGAGAAAAATCCAAATAAAGTGCGAAGTAAAAACAAACTCGGGGACCAAAAAAAAGTGGGGGGGGGGGGCTTGGCTTCCTGGAGCAGGTTGGTTTTCATACAGAATTTCTCCTGGAGAAAAAAGAAAATGCACAAATTAGTTCTGAGATTCTCGCTACAGTACATCTGTGGAGTTTCAGAAAGGTTTGATGAAGTTCCTCCAGATCGGAACCTTTCCTTTGGCAACTTCTATTATAACTAGAAAATAAAATTGCTAGAGCTGTACTTGTCACCCTTTCAGGTCTGCTCAGCTGGGCAGCTTCCCTGGGCTACTTACTTAGTTCACAGTGTGGAGCTGCCTCCGTCTTCAGCTGCTTCTTCCTCATGGTGCAGAACTAGTTTGACTTTCCCAATGCCAGCTCCTGCCTCTATATATGAAGACAAGTGCGCCTCCCTCAGTTAGATAAAGGGCACTTTTGGGTGCTCTAAGCAACACAGCTTTCTAAAGACGAGCAAGGAATTTCAAGAGGCAAACCACGCCCTCCAAAGCCTAATCAGATTTCATCTTTGACCTGTCGTGAAAAGAGAAGCATTATATATCTGCCACTCCTAGATATTAATTAACAATTTATTGAGTTCAAAAATTTTATTCTAAGATTTCATCTCTGTACCATTTGGCAGGAGCAAGAGTAGGTGGCAAGCCTGTGAGTGCCAGTGGTTGAAAGGGGTGGAGTAAGAAATTGCTTCCCTTCTCTGCTCCTCTTGGAGTGCAGCTGGTTCAGGCTCCACAGGTGCACTAGGACTCTGCTCCTCTGAGACGTGAGGTGAAACCATTAACCCCAAGCCTGACAGTGCACTTGTATTTTCCATATAGGTACGTGCAGCACTGAGGCAATTATGAGGAGTCTCAGAACGTGGGTGGAAATGCTGCCTGCTCTATTATCCCTCGGGATCTAAAGGACCCTCTGGCTTCAGCCTGGTCAATCAGTGATCCACGAGCAGACATCAGAGCCACGCAAACTCCGGACTTGGTGCCTGATGGAAAAGAAAAAGAAAGGAAAAAAACCCAGAGACTACAAGACAGAAGTCCAGGGCAAGCCTAGAATTTCTCAATCTGGGAGGAGGGGAGCTGAAAGAATGGGGAAATTTTGCCTCAGGGAAATAACTTAGACGACAAAGCTGCATAGGAGAAGCATTGGGGTGGCGTAAAATACAGGAGAGAAGAAAACAGTTTCTTGCAGGTAGCAGGCAGTTTTCTAGAAGTTTTCAAGAAAATCTGCTTAGTACCATAAAAACATAATAGCTTAGAATGGAAAAGAAAGAAAAGCAGTAATCGATTCAAATAAGTCAATGCAGGCTTCCAGCAAGTGGTTCTGGTTCCTACCTAGAACAACCATTGAGTCAGGAGAAAGAATTATGGATCTCCTGCCCAGGGATCCAGATGAAAGGTCTCTTTGCTTCAGGGCTCTCTTAATCACGAAAGTCAAATAACTACAACTTGACCTGTCTCCTGTCCTTGTTCTACATCAGGTAACTTCCCCAAGGCAAAGCTGTCTCTGCAGATTGGACTGGGGGCCAATTTGTTCCACTTGAAGGGAAAATAGAAGCACCTGTAAAATCACCCACGAACTAAAGTCTTGGCAGGAAAAAGCCTATTTGAGTTTAGGAATTCTTACCCTGGGCAACATAAGGAGACCCCCTCTCTACAAAAAATTTTAAAATTACCTGAGTGTAGTGGAACGTGCCTGTGGAACATCCCAGCTTCTTGGGAGGCTGAGGTGGGAGGATCATTTGAGGCTAGGAGGTCAAGGCTGCAGTGCGTCGTGATCACACCAGAGCACTCCAGCCTCTGCGACAGAGCAAGACCCTGTCTCAAAAAAGTGGGAGTGTAGAAGGGACAAAGAAATCTGTAACTGTTATGAGTGTCAGGTTTAGACTACGCCAAAGGTCATGTTGAGGTCCGGAGGTAGTGGGTGGATGAGCAGAAAGAACACTTGGGGAGCTGTAGACAGGTGAAAGATGATTTTATTCAGCAGCAGCTCTCATCAACAGCTTTCTCACACTGTCTGCCCTGTCTCGACTGCTTAGTCTGGCTCCCACATACAGTTGTGTGCCCCCTGCCTTCAGGGTCAGCAGCTTAACTCTCTGAGCATGAGCAAGCTGAGCTGTGTCCTGGCTCCCCTCCGTCCATCTGCAAAAAACACACTCCATTTTTGCCTTCTTGGTCCCCAATTTATACTTAAGAGTAACTGACAACCTTAATTGAATTTTTATTGTGTACCAAACGCTATATTTAACACTTCACAAGCATTAATCCTTGTAGTAGGCTGGCACAAAAATTCACGCCTGCAATCCCAGCACTTTGGGAGGCCGAGGCAGGCAGATCACTTGAGGCCAGGAGTTTGAAAACAGCCTGGGCAACATAGCGAGACCATGACTCTACCAAAAAAACAATCCTCATAATAAACTAATGGGGCAGGAAGTATTATTTATTATTATTCTCATTTTGCAAATTAGGAATCTGAGACTTGGAGTATAATTTGCCTAAGGACACAGCTAGTTAGTGGCAAAGCCAGGCTTTGAACACAAATCTGTTAGACCCACGAGCCAAGACTCAACCACCACACCATATTGGGACCTCCATCTTGTACACCTTAAACAATTCCCTTCCATTAAAAAATTGAGACAAGAATAACATAGGGTAGTCACAGAAGAACAGAAAACTCCAGGAGTTCAAGACTGCAGTGAACTGTGATCATGCAAATGCACTCCAACTTGGGCAACAGAGCAAGACCCTGTCTCTGAAAAAAAAAATTAAAAAAAAAAACAAAAAAAACCACTGTGGATTGCGGCCAGGCACAGTGGTTCACGCCTGTAATCCCAGCACTTTGGGAGGCCAAGGCGGGAAGATCCCTTGAGCTCAGGAGTTTGGGACCAGCCTGGCCAACATGGTGAAACCCTGTTTCTAATAAAAATACAAAAGTTAGCTGGGTGTGGTGGTAGGTGCCTGTAGTCCCAGCCACTTGGGAGGCTCAGGCAGGAGAATTGCTTGAACCCAGGAGGCAGAGGTTGCAGTGAGCTGAGATGGCACCACTTCATTCCAGCGAAAAAAAAAAAACTGTAGGTTGCAACCAGAATATTTTTTCTTTTCTTTTTTTTATTAAGAGAGCCCTGAAGCAAAGAGACCTTTCATCTGGGTCCCTGGGCAGGAGATCCATAATTCTTTCTCCTGACTCAATGGTTGTTCTAGGTAGTTGGACACAGCAAGAAAACAGGGTCTCCCTATATTGCCCAGGCTGGTTTCAAACTTCAGGACTCAAGGGATCCACCTGCCTTGGCCTTCCAAAGTGCTGAAATAAAACAGAATTTTTTTTTTTTTTTTTTCTGAGACAGAGTCTTGCTCTGTCACCCAGGCTAAAATGCAGTGGCGCAATCTTGGCTCACTGCAACCTCTGCCTCCCAGGTTCAAGCAATTCTCCTGCCTCAGCCTCCCAAGTAGCTGGTATTACAGGCATCCGTCACCACACCCAGCTAATTTTTGTATTATTAGTAGAGTCGGGGGGTTTCACCATGTTGGCCAGGCTGGTCTCGAACTCCTGACCTTGTGATCTGCCCGCCTCAGCCTCCCAAAGTGCTGGCATGACAGGCGTGAGCCACTGCGCCCAGCCAGAATTTTTAAAAAATAGAATAGAAAATATCAGAGAATGTCACAGGCACTAAGGTAGGTATTGTTTTGTGCAACTTTAAGAGTGTGTGCGTGTGTGTGTATGTATGTACGGGGTTACTGTAAAATATATTTCTTGGCTGGACACGGTGGCTCTCACCTATAATCTCAGCACTTTGGGAGGCCAAGGCAGAAGGATCACTTGAGCCCAGGAGTTCAAAACCAGCCAGGGCAACATAATGAGATCCTATCTTTACAAAAAATAAAAAATTAGGCCAGGCGCAGTGGCTCACACCTGTAATTCCAGCATTTTGGGAGGCTGAGGTGGGCCGATCACTTGAGCTCAGGAGTTTGAGACCAAGTGGGCAACATGGCAAGACCTCATCTCTAAAAAAAATACAAAAATTAGCTGGGAGCGGTGGCACATGCCTATAGTCCCAGCTACTGGGGAGGCTGAGGCAGGATAATCACTTGAGCCCGGGAGGCAGAGGTTGCAATGAGCTGAGATCACACCACTGCACTCCAGCCTGGGCAATGGGAGTGAAACCCTGTCTCAAAAAAGAAATAAATAAAAATAAAACTTAGCCAGGCATGGTGGTGCAAGACTGTAATCCCAGCTACTCAGGAGGCTGAGGGAGGAAAATTGCTTGAACCCAGGAGGTGGAGGTTGCAGTGAGCCGAGATCACACCACTGCACTCCAGCCTGGGCGACAGAGCGAGATGGATCTCAAAAAAAAAAAAAAATCAGCCAGGCATGGTAGCCTGCTCCTGTAGTCCCAGCTACTCTGGAGGCTGAGGCAGGAGGATCCCTTGAGCCCAGGAGTTCAAGGCTGCAGTGTGCTATGATTGTGTACTTCACTCCAGCCTGGGTGACAGGGTGAGACCCCATCTCTTTTTTTTTTTTTTGAGACAGAGTCTCACTCTGTCACCCAGGCTGGGGTGCAGTGGCGCAATCTCGGCTCACTGCAACCTCCATCTCCCGGGTTCAAGCAATTCTCCTGCCTCAGCCTCCTGAGTAGCTGGGACTACAGTCTTGCACCACCACGCCTGGCTAATTTTTGTATTTTTAGTAGAGATAGGATTTCACCATATTGGCCAGGCTGGTCTCAAACTCCTGACCTTGTGATCCACCCTCCTTGGCCTTCCAAAGTGCTGGGATTATAGGCGTGAGCCACCGCGCCTGGCCTGAGACCCCATCTCTTAAAAAAAAAAAATTAGCCAGGCTCAGTGGCTCACACCTATAATCTGAGCACTTTGGGAAGCTGAGGCAGGAGGATCCTTTGAGCCCAGGAATTCAAGGTTGCAGTGAGCTATGATTATACCTCTGCACTCCAGCCTGGGTAGCAGAGTGAGACTGTGTTTCAAAAAAAAAAAAATTACTAAATAAAAAAAAATGTATGCCCTACCTCACATAATTGTGTTAAAATTAAGTGATATGTAAATACAAGATTATTTTATAAACTATAAAAATGTTCATAAGTCTTAGGTAAAAACCTGTATATAATATTAAGTAAACAAGTGAAATTCGACGTAGTAGAAATTATACAGCTAAATGTGCATTAGGTATGGTTTTGTTTTGTTGTGTTTTGTGATTGTCAATGACAGAAACCCAATTCAAACTGCTTGTGCTCAAAAGGAGCTGAATCACTCACATAAACTGGGAAACCCAACAACACAGCTCACTGTAGGCAGGACTGAAGCTGGGGACCCAGATATCACCAAGTCACTGTCCACCTGTCCGTTTCCTTTTTTCCCTCCCCCACCCCTCCTCCTTCTTTTTTTTTTTTTTTTTGTAATAGGGACAGGGTCTCATTTTGTTGCCCAGGCTGATCTCACACTTCTGGTTTCAAGCGATCCTCCTGCCTCAACATCCCAAAATTCTGGGATTACAGGCTAGGGCCACTGCACCAGGCCCTGTCTCTTTCTTTCTATTTCTCACTCTCTAGTCTCTGCTTTAGAATCAGTGTGGTTTTGTTCTCAGGCAGGTTTCCCTGCATGATAGAACAGTGACCACCATCTGCACTGGGCTGACTTGGTCCTTTTTCCTATAGTTCCAGCAAAAGTCCCAGGGAAACTTACTCAGGAGGCTGAGGCAGGAGGAACACATGGGCCCAGGAGGCAGAGGTTGCAGTGAGATTGCACCACTGCACTCCAGCCTGGGCAACAGAGCAAGACTCTGTCTCAAAACAAAAACAAAAACAAAACAAAACAAAACAAAAAAGATGAGTAGTGTCCTAGCCTAGACTCCAAGAAGTCTTTCCAGACTAACACAGAAAGCTCTGCCTGCTACCTAGCTTGGGTCATGAGCCAGTCCCAAACCAAAAACAGTGACCATGGGGTGCCTGGGACACAAGCTGATCCTTGGAGGCAGGGGGTGGGGTCAGCCCTGCTTGAGTCACCTGAACTGAAAAAGAGGTTGGTGGCGGAGTCTTCTCAAGGGGTAGAGTGAGAGATTCAGAATGATTGCGCTTTTTTTTTTATTTGAGACAGAGTCTCGTTCTATCACCCAGGCTGGAGTGCAGTGGCACGACCTAGGCTCACTGCAACCTCCACCTCCCAGATTCAAGCAATTCTCCTGCCTCAGCCTCCCAAGTAGCTGGGATTACAGGTGCCTGCCATCACGCCTGGCTAATTTTTGTATTTGTTTTGTTTTGTTTTGTTTTTTGAGACAGAGTTTCACTCTTTCGCCCAGGCTGGAGTGCAGTGGCACTATCTCGGCTCACTGCAACCTCTGCCTTCTGGTTTCAAGTGATTCTCCTGCCTCAGCCTCCCAAGAAGCTGGGATTACAGGTGCCCACAACCTCGCCTGTCTAATTTTTGTATTTTTAGGAGAGACAGGGCTTCACCATGTTGGCCAGGCTGGTCTCGAACTTCTGACCTCGTGATCCACCCACCTTGGCCTCCCAAAGTGCTGGGATGACAGGCGTGAGCCACCGTGCTGGGCCTAATTTTTGTATTTTTTTGGTAGAGACAGGGTTTCACCATGTTGGCCAGGCTGGTCTCGAACTCCTGACCTCAGGTGATCCGCCCACCTTGGCCTCCCAAAGTGCAGGCGAAAGCCACCCCGCCCGGCCTATGACTGTACTTCTAATGCTGAATAGGATTAGTCTAGAAAGACTTCTTGGAGTCTAGGACACTACTGATCTTGCTGTTAGTTTCTTCTGTTTAATTTTCTCATATGCCAATCAATGCAGTAAGGATACACAACATATATGTTCATTTAATTTAGTTTCATTCATTTAACAAGTGCACTATTTGTAGATAATCTACTATGTTCCAGGCACTGATTCTGGGCAGTGGGATATAGCAATGATAAAGACATAAAAAGTTCCTGTTCTCTGAAAACGTATATTCTGTGGGGCAGACAGATAACAACCAGTCAATAAGTATACATCGATAAGTACAGATCATTAAATTTTATTAAAAACAAATTTAAAAATCAGGAAATGGAGCAGGGAGATCAGGACTATTTCAGAAGAGATGGTTAAATACCTCGCTCAGTGACTTTTGCTTTTTTTTTAAATTTATTTATCTTATTTTTTGAGACAGAGTCTAGCTCTGTCACCCAGGCTGGAGTGCAGTGGCGCAATCTTGGCTCACTGCAACCTCCACCTCCTAGGTTCAAGCGATTCTCCTGCCTCAGCCTCCTGAGTAGCTGGGATTACAGGTGTGGGCCACCACACCCGACTAATTTTTATATATTTTTTATTTTAGTAGAGATGGGGTTTCACCATGTTGGCCAGGCTGGTCTCGAACTCCTGACCTCGTGATCCGCCCGCCTCAGCCTCCCAAAGTGCTGGGATTACAGGCGTGAGCCACCGCGCCCGGCCACTTTTCGTTTTGGTTTTTTGAGAGAGAGTCTCACTCTTACCCAGGCTGGAGGGCAGTGGTGCGATCTCAGCTCACTGCAACCTCTGCCTCCTGGGTTCAAGCAATTCTCCTGCCTCCCTGAGTAGCTGGGATTACAGGCACATGCCACCACGCCTGGGTAACTTTTGTATTTTTAGTAGAGATGGGGTTTCACCATGTTGCCCAGGGTGGTCTCAAACTCCTTACCTCAAGTGATCCACCCACCCTGGCCTCCTAAAGTGCTGGAATTACAGGTGTGAGCCACTGCATCCAGCCCATGTACATTTCTTAATGAATATATATGAAATATGTTAACCTTTTTTTCTACATTGAAACAATTTTTATGACAGTGATATCAAACTGCAAAATCCTTGAGGCCTTTCTAATATTGATTCAGCTAGGTAAGACATTTATGAGTCTTGCTGAATGTGCAAATGCATTTAAATTGAGAGCACAGCCGGGTGCAGTAGCTCACGCCTGTAATCCCAGCACTTTGGGAGGCCGAGGTGGGGGATCACCTGAGGTCAGGAGTTGGAGACCAGCCTGACCAACATGGTGAAACCCCATCTCTACTAAAAATACAAAAATTAGCTGGGCGTGATGGCGGGCCCCTGTAATCCCGGCTTCTAGGGAGGCTGAGGCAGGAGAATCTCTTGAACCTGGGAGGTGGAGGTTGTGGTAAGCCGAGATCACACCATTGCACTCCAGCCTGGGGGACAGAGTGAGACTCCATCTCAAAAATTAAAAAATAGTAAAAATAAATAAATAAATTGAGAGCACTTTGAGGCAAGGGCTTCCTTTCTTTTATAGGAACTGAACACAGAGGAAGCTCAGTAAATGGTGCTAGTGGAACAACGGGGGTACCACAGTGAATATCAATACTGATGAGAGGGCCCCCAGGTGACCCTGCCAAAGCTGGGTGGGGAAAATTTTCCTCAAAGAGTTTCCTTAACTCTGTCCTTTTGCTCTAATTGCTGTGGACGTGCCAGGCAGCACAAAGTGACTCCTGAGGGTGGTTCCTGCTGATGCTGGGTAAAGGTCCACTTATTGAGAGCTAAGTGCTAACACAAAGTAAAAACTCCTCTGATTTCAAGCGTTAGTGAGGCTTATGTTGCTTGGAGGAGAAAAAGCTTGGAGTGGGGCACATGTGTGGAGGATGGAAAAGGAGAGGATGGGAGAAGTCAGAAGAGACCCACCCTACCTAGTTGATTGATGACAGTTTCCCTGAACTTGGAACCCCTATAGCAAATACATACTAGGCACTGCTTGTCACCCAGTGATGCCTTTATCCTTGAATTGCACCGACTTTGATGTGTTTGATGTTAATTCTTTACTATATACAGTAGTTCTAGATTGCTCTTTTTTATTGTTATATGGTTTGTCCTTTGCTTATCTGTTTTATTAATTTTCAGAGTATAAATTCTTAGACTATATTTGTGAATAATACATTCTAAATTTAGTTCAGTGTCTACCTTAATTGCCCATTGCAAGCAATCACTGATAAAAACTTTTCTGTTTTTTGTTTGTTTGTTTTTAAGACAAAGTCTCACTCTGTCACCCAGGATGGAATACAGTGGCATGATCTTGGCTAACTGCAACCTCCCGGGTTCAAGCAATTCTCCTGCCTCAGCCTCCCAAGTAGCTGGGATTACAGGTGCATGCCACCATGCCCGGCTAATTTTTGTATTTTTAGTAGAGACGGGGTTTCACCATGTTGGCCAGGCTGGTCTTGAACTCCTGACCTCGTAATCCACCTGCCTCAGCCTCCCAAAGTGCTGGGATTACAGGCATAAGCCACTGCGCCCGGCCCCCCCACTTGCTTCTTTAAAGGCCTTCAGTGAACCAAGATCACCACTGCACTCCAGCCTGGTGACAGAGCGAGACTCTGTCTCAAAAAAAAAATAAGGCCTTTGAAGAGCTATTCTAAGCCTGGGGCCTTTTATATTCCCATTCTCTTCAAGAAAAAGACTCTGAGGGAGGAGATTAGAAGCAGAGAGTCCCAAAGATGGTGAAGAATCACATAATGAGGCGCTGAAGTATCAGAAGACAGAAAAGGAATAGGCAAAAATAAACTCCAGGGCAATTAAATATCTAAAGTTGTAAAAACAAAACAAAACAAAACACCAACCAACTTCAAAATTATCTGGTGCTCACTTTGGCAGCACATATGCTACAACTGGAATGATACAGAGATTAGCATGGACCCTGTGCAAGGATGACACGCAAATTCATGAAGCATTCCATATATATTTTTTAAAATTTATTTTTAAAGGCTGAGCACAGTGGTTCACACCTGTAATCCCAGCACTTTGGGAGGCTGAGGCAGGCAGATCACTTGAGTCCAGGAGTGTGAGACCAGCCTGAGCAACATGGTGAAACCCCGTCTCTACAAAAAATACAAAAATTAGCCAGGCATGGTGGTGCATGCCTGTAGTCCCAGCTACCTGGGAGGCTGAGGCAGGAGGGCCGTTTGAGCCCAGGATGTGGAGGTTGCAGTGGGTTGAGATTGCACCATTGCAGTCCAGCTTAGGTGACAGAGTGAGACCTTGTCTCAAAAACAACAACAAAATTATTTGAAAAAATATATAGTATTTTTATAATCAAGATAAAATTTTAACAATAAAATTATGAAAAAGCAGAAGTAAAAATGGACCATTCTGATTCAATTGACTATTAAAAATATTTAAAACTCCCATCTAAAAAACTTTTTTTTCTTTTCTTTTTTTTTTTTTTTTTTGACACAAATTCTCACCCTGTCGCCCAGGCTGGAGTGCAGTGGTCCAATCACAGCTCACTGCAGCCTTGACCTCCTGGGCTCAGGTGATCCTCCCACCTCAGCCTCCCAAGTAGCTGGGACTACAGGCACATGCCACGACGCCTGGCTAATTTTTTCCAAATTAAACTGACAATGATATTTGTTTCACATCTACAGGACCATCAATAATCTAAAATTCTGACCATTTCAAGTGTCAGTGAGGATATGGAAAAACTAGGACTCTGATATCCTGTAAAACTGATACACCCACTTTGGAGAGCAACTTGATAATATCTACTCAAGTTGAAAATGCACTTATTCTTTGATCTAGAGAGTCTACTTCCAGATAAATGCCTTACAGCATTGTTTTTCAATCCATTAGTGAGTCATAAAATCAATGTAGTGAGTCATGTCCAGCATTTTACAAAAATGAAATAGGACAGAATGCAATAGAGTAGGAAACAGAGTGCATATAGCAAGGGCAGGTATTATTTTGTTAAATTTTTATTTCATCTATGAACTGGGTCTCAATATAAAACATATTTCCATAGTGGTTTCAAAAAAAAAAACCTCTAAAAACATTCCTTCATAGAAACTCTCATCCATTAGCACTAGGAGACCTGTTGGAGGATATTCCCTGAAATGTAGTGTTTGTAATAATGAAACACTAAAAACAATGTAAATGTCAATCAGTAGCAAATGGATAAGCAAATTGGGGTGTATTCATGTGATGGAACACCATTCAGCAAGCTAAATGAATGAACTTGCTGGGCCAGTGGCTCACACATGTAATCCCAGCACTTTGGGAGGCTGAGGTGGGTGGATCACCTGAGGTCAGGAGTTTGAGACCAGCCAGGTCAACATGGCAAAACCCTGTCTCTAATAAAAATACAAAAATTAGCCTGGTGTGGTGGCATGTGCCTGTAATCCCAGCTACCCAGGAGGCTGAGGCAGAAGAATCGCTTGAACCCGGGAGGTGGAGGTTGCAGTGAGCGAAGATCATGCCACTGCACTCCAGCCTGGGTGACAGAGCAAGACTCCATCTCAAAAGAAAAGAATAAAAATTTAAAAAATTGAGAAAATAAAATAAATCAATGAACTTAATCTAGATGAACAAATTATGAAAACAAAGTTAAGGAAACAAAACAAGATGCAGGAAAATAAGTGCCACATGAAACAAATTACATGAATTTTTAAAACATTAAGAAATACCATATATATGTAAATGTTCATATGTATGTATATGTATGTGTATAGATGTATGTATGTATATATGTATGTGTGTGTAAATACATCATAGATAGATAGATAGACATTCAAAGAATTAAAAGCAGACTAGGCTGGGCACAGTGGCTCATGCTTGTAATCCCAGCACTTTGAGAGGCCGAGGTGGGCGGACCACTTGAGGTCAGGAGTTCGAGACCAGACTGGCCAACATGGCGAAACCCCGTCTCTACTAAAAATACAAAAATTAGCCAGGCATTGTGGTACAGGCCTGTAGTCCCAGCTACTCAGAGGCTAAGGCAGGAAAATCGCTGAAACCCAGGAGGTGGAGGTTGCAGTTAGCCGAGATTGTGCCACTGCACTGCAGCCTGAGAGACAGAGTGAGACTCTGTCTCAAAAAATAAAACAATTAAAAATTTTTAAAAAATGAAAGTAGGCTAATATAAAAGTGATGCCTAAAGGGAAGGAGAAAAGGAAGAGAATTGGACTTGGAAGGCGAAAATAGGTATGATACTATTTATTCATTTTGGGTAGTGGATACATAGAGAAATGTTATAGTATTCTTTCTTATTATCCTTTTAAAACATTTTTAATACATACAAAAGAAATAGGATTAGGTGGGTTTTTGGGAATTAGGTTTTACTCTTGCTCAGAGAGTATCATAAAACTGTATTAACCATTGGTTATTAAGACCCTTGGCCAGGGCTGGGCGCGGTGGCTCATGCCTGTAATCCCTGCACTTTGGGAGGCCAAGGTGAGTGGCTCACCTGAGGTCAGAAGTTTGAAACCAGCCTGGCCAACATGATGAAACACTATCTCTACTAAAAATACAAAAAATTAGCTGGGTGTGGTGGTGGGTGCCTGTAATCCCAGCTACTCAAGAGGCTGAGGCAGAAGAATTGCTTGAGCCCAGAGGGCGGAAGTTGCAGTGAGCCAAGATGGTGTCACTGCACCCAGCCTGGGCAACAAGAGTGAAACTGTCTCAAACAAAACAAAACAAAACAAAACCCTTGGCAGGGCTGGGCGCAGCGGCTCACGCCTGTAATCCCAGCACTTTGGGAGGCCGAGGCAGGTGGATCACTTGAGTTCAACACCAGCCTGGGCAACAGGCCAGGCTAGAAACCCTGTCTCTACTAAAACAAAATTAGCCAGTCGGGCATGGTGGTACATGACCTGTAGTCCCAGCTACTTGGGAGGCTGAGGCACCAGAATCACTTGAACTCAGGAGGTGCAGGTTGCAGTGAGCTGATATTCAGACACTGCGCTCCAGCCTGAGCAACAGAGCAAGACGCTGTCTCAATAAATAAATAAATAAATAAAACCCTTGGCCGGGTTCGGTGTGGTTCATGCCTGTAATCCTGGCAATTTGGGAGACTGAGGTAGGAGGGTTGCTTGAGGCCAGGAGTTTGAGACTGACCTGGGCAACATAGTGAGGCCTTGTCTCTACAAAAAAATTAAAACTCACTTAAAAAAAAAAATCCCTCTTTAAGACTGGGCCCAGTGGTTCACACCTGTAATCCTAGTCCTCTGGGAGATCAAGGTAGAAGAATCCCTTGAGGCCAGGAGTTTAAGACCAGCCTGGACAACATGGCAAGACCACCTCTCTATAAACAGATTAAAATACAAACAAAAACTCTTTCATTCTGGTATTTCCCCCCCAGTTCCTTGGGAAGAATAACTGTCCCGAATCAGCTTGTCAAATTTAGTGAATTAGTAACTAAAAGTGGCAAATCACTGCAGTTATTACCTCTGCTACAAAAAGAAACTTTACCTTTCCCTAAGGTTGCATTCTTCCATATCTTTGCACATATTGTTCCTTCTTTCTTCCTAGAAATGATACTCCCAGTGATACTTGGGTTTGGGGGCTCCAATCTTGTGCCATTTATTCCTACTACTTGTCTGCCAAGCAATCTCCAATTGACTCTCCACAACCTACTTCAAATCTGATGTTTCTTCACCTGGAAGCACCACTACTGCCACCACCATCAGAATTTATAAATTTACAGCCAGGCACAGTGGCTCACACCTGTCATCCCAGCTACTCAAGAGGCTGAGGCAGGGAGAAGTGCTTGAACCCAGGAGGCAGAGGTTGCAGTGAGCCGAGATCACACCATTGCACTCCAGCCTGGGTGACAGAGCGAGACTCTGTCTAAAAAAAAAAAAAAATTATGAATTTACTACTCCTTCAACTTTTTTTTTTTTTTTGAGACAGAGTCTCACTCTGTTGCCCAGGCTGGAGTGAAGTGGTGTGATCTTGGCTCACTATAATCTCCACCTCCCGGGTTCAAGCGATCCTCCCACCTCAGCCTCTAGGGTAGCTGGGATTATGGGCAAGCACCACCACGCCTGGCTAATATTTGTATTTTTGGTAGAGACGGGGTTTCACCACGTTGGTCAGGCTGGTCTCAAAGTCCTGACCTCAAAGATCTTCCCCCCTTGGCCTCCCAAAGTGCTGAGATTACAGGTGTGAACCACTGCACCCAGCTGCACATTTTAATGTAAGGCAATGCCTTACGTTTCCCAAGGAGAAGAACTAAAAGATAGTTTTTGGCCAACCTTTTATGAAGTAGTCAGATGTCTACTTTAAACATCTACTTAGTGGAAAATGTAAGTCTAATATTATTTAGCAACACATATTTTAAACCACATATAAAACATTTATTTAGAAATAATGCTTTTTCAGTCAAATTTTATATCATAATTTTATTCAAATCATCAATGTCATCATCATTCACGCCACTTTTATCGTTAACTAGCCCAATTTGCAGAGCAAGACATCCTTACATGTATCTAAGTTGAGGACAGTTTTTTTTTTTTTTAGTTCATGCTATGTTTGTATGTTCTTGGCTTATACAATATAATTTCTGTTTGTTTGTTTGTTTTTGAGATGGAGTTTTGCTCTTGTTGCCCAGGCTGGAGTGCAATGGCGTGATCTTGGCTTACTGCAACCTCCACCTCCTGGGTACAAGTGATTCTCCTGCCTCAGCCTCCCGAGTAGCTGGAATTACAGGCATGCACCACCACGCCTGGCTAATTTTGTATTTTTAGTAGAGATGGGGGTTTCTCCTTGTTGGTCAGGCTGGTCCCAAACTCCTGACCTCAGGTGATCCACCCGCCTCAGCCTCCCAAAGTGCTGAGATTACAGGTATGAGCCACTGCGCCCGGCATGTTTTTTGTTTTTTGGGTTTTACTGAAATAGATTCTGGGTTTGTCACCCAGGCTGGAGTGCAGTGGTGCAATCTCAGCTCACTGCAACCTCCGTCTCCCAGGTTCAAGCGATTCTCCTGCCTCAGCCTCCCGAGTAGCCAGGATTACAGGTGCTTGCCACCTCACCCAGCTAATTTTTGTATTTTTAGTAGAGACAGGGTTTCACCATATTGGCCAGGCTGGTCTCGATCCGCCTGCCTTGGCTTTTCAAAGTGCTGGTATTACAGCATGATCCACTGTGCCTAACCCTTTCTGGTTTTTTGTTTTGTTTTCTTGAGATGGAGTCTCCCTCTGTCACCCAGGCTGGAGTGCAGTGGCATGATCTCGGCTCACTGCAACCTCCCCCTCCCGGGTTCAAGTGATTCTCCTGCCTCAGTCTCCTGAGTAGCTGGGATTACAGGTGCACACCACCACGCCTGGCTAATTTTTGTATTTTTAGTAGAGACGGGATTTCACCATGTTGGTCAGGCTGGTCTCAAACTCCTGACTTCGTGATCCGCCCACCTTGGCCTCCCAAAGTGCTGGGATTACAGGCATGAGCCACTGTGCTCAGCCTCTGTAGTTTTTATTTTATTTTTGAGATGAAGTCTCACTCTGTCACCCAGGCTGGAGTACAGTGGCATGATCTCAGCTCACTGCAACCTCCACCTCCCGGGTTCAAGTGATTCTCCTGCTTCAGCCTCCAGAGTAGCTGGGATTACAGGCGTGTGCCACCACGCCCAGCTAATTTTTGTATTTTTGGTAGAGACGTGGTTTCACTATCTTGCCCAGGCTGGTCTCGAACTCCTGACCTCAAGTGATCATCCTCCTCAGCCTCCCAAAGTGCTGGGATTACAAATATGAGCCACTGCGCTTGGCCATATTCATTTAATAAATATTTAATAAGCCCCCCTTGTGTGCCAGGGACTGGAATACAGTGAGCTTAGACTCCTGTGGGGAAGATAGCCATGAAATGTATAATGACACAGCTAATTAATTATGATGTTAAGTACTATGAAAAATAAGTATAGCTAGCTACAAAGTGAGTAACAGGAACCTCAGTCTGTGGGGTTAAGAGTTTCCTGTAACAGAGCTGTTTATATACAGTGCAGCACTAACTCATATGCCCAGCCTGCCTGGGTTCAAATTCTGACTCAATCTTGAGCAGATTATTGAACCTCATTTTCCTCATGTATAAAGTGGAGCTAGGTCTGGCTTAGTGACTCACACCTATGTGAACCCAAAATATCTGAGACAGGTCTCAATCAATTTAGAAAGTTTATTTTGCCAAGGTCAAGGACATGACACAGCCTTAGGAGGTCCTGATGACACGTGCCCAAGGTGGTTGTGGCACAGCTTGGTTTTTCTTTTTTTTTTTTTTTTTGAGACAGAGTTTCGCTCTTGTTGCTCAGGCTGGAGGCAATGGCGTGATCTCGGCTCACCGCAACCTCTGCCTCCCGGGTTCAAGCAATTTTCCTCTCTCAGCCTCCTGAATAGCTGGGATTACAGGTGTATGTCACCATGCCCAGCTAATTTTTGTTTTTTTTTTTCTTTTTGAGATGGAGTTCCGTTCTTGTTGCCCAGGCTGGAGTGCAGTGGCGCAATCTCAGCTCACCACAACCTCCGCCTCCCGGGTTCAAGCGATTCTTCTCCCTTGGCCTCCTGAGTAGTTGGGATTACTGGTATACGCCACCAAGTCTGGCTAATTTTGTATTTTTAGTAGAGACGGGGTTTCTCCATGTTGGTCAGGCTGGTCTTGAACTCCCGACCTCAGGTGATCCACCTGCCTTGGCCTCCCAAAGTGCTGGGATTACAGGCATGGACCACTGCGCCAAGCCTAAGTTTTATATTTTTAGTAGAGACGGGGTTTCATCATATTGGTCAGGCTAGTCTTGAACTCCTGACCTCAGGTGATTTGCCTGCCTCAGCTTCCCAAAGTGCTGGGATTACAGGTGTGAGTCACTGTGCCCAGCCCACAGCCTTTTGTTTGTTTGTTTTTTGAGACACAGTCTCACTCTGTTGCCCAGGCTGGAGTGCAATGGTGTGATCTCAGCTCACTGCAACCTCCGCCTCCCAAGTTAAAGTGATTCTCCTGCCTCAGCCTCCTGAGTAGCTGCAGCTGGGATTATAGGCACGCACCACCATGCCCGGCTAATTTTTGTATTTTTAGAAGAGATGGGGTTTCACCATGTTGGCCAGGATGGTCTTGATCTCCTGACCTCGTGATTCGCCCGCCTCGGCCTCCCAAAGTGCTGGGATTACAGGCGTGAGCCACCGCGCCCAGTCGGAAACCTGAAAGGTTTTATAAAGAGAAATGACAAGCTTAGATTTGCAATTTTAAAAGCTCTCTCTGGTTACATACAACATGGAGAACTGGTTGGAGGGAGGACAAAACATATGGCAGGGAAACCAGTAAAGAGGCTGCTGTAGAAGTGGGGACCAGAGGCTTGCAGCTTAGCCTAGGGTGGTGGCAGAGAAGATAGAAGGAAGCTGGCTGATTGAAGAACAGCTAGAAGATAGAACCAACAAGATGCATGTGTGTGTGTGTGTGTGTGTGCGTGTGCACGCGCGTGTGTGTGTGTGTGTGTGTGTGTGTGTGTGTGTGTAGCGGGGGAAAGGGGGAAGAGGCCTAAACACTAAATAAATATCTCAGGAAAGGGCTGGGTGCAGTGGCTCAAGTCTGTAATCCCAGCACTTTGGGAGATCAAGGCAGGGGAATTGCTTGAGTCTAGGAGTTCAAGATCAGCCTGGCTAACGTGGCAAATCTCTATCTCTACTAAAAACACAAAAATTAGCTGGGCGTGGCGGCATGCGCCTGTAATCCCAGCTACTTGGGAGGCTGAGGTGAGAGGACCACTTGAGCCCAGGAGATCAAGGCTGCAGTGAGCCATGATGGGGCCACTGCACTCTAGCCTGGGCGACACAGCGAGACCCTATGAAAGAAAGAAAGAGAGAAAGAGAAAGAAAGAGAGGAAGGAAAGAAAGAAAAGGAAGGAAAGGAAGGAAGAGAAAGAAAGAAAAGTCTGAGGAATGACCTGTGTTCCTGCCACATTCTTTCATTGCATGAAATGCCTTCCCCTCTACTCCATCCTTTCAGACACAGTTCCTTCCTATTTTCTCCACAAAATTCTGATTTTGTCTCCTTTCCAAGAGAGTTCCAGAATTTTAGAGCTGAACATTCTTGAGTAGTTGACATGACTCAGAAGCTACCTGAAGATGGCTGGGCACGTTGGCTCACGCCTGTAATCCCAGCACTTTGCGAAGCTGAGGTGGGCAGATCACCTGAGTTCAGGAGTTCGAGACTAGCCTGGCCAACATGGTGAAACCGCGTCTCTACTAAGAATACAAAAATTGGACTGGGTGTGATGGCTCACACCTCTAATCCCAGCACTTTGGGAGGCCGAGGTGGGAGGATCACGAGGTCAGGAGATCAAGACCATCCTGGCTAACATGGTGAAACCCCGTTTCTACTGAAAATACAAAAAATTAGCCAGGTGTGGTGGTGGGCACCTGCAGTCCCAGCTACTCGGGAGGCTGATGCAGGAGAATGGTGTGAATCCGGGAGGCGGAAGTTGCAGTGAGCCGAGATTGCGCCACTGCACTCCAGCCTGGGCAACAGAGCGAGACTCCGTGTCAAAAAAAAAAAAAAAGAATACAAAAGTTGTCTGGGCATGGTGGCGGGCGCCTGTAAACCCAGCTACTTGGGAGGCTGAGGCAGGAGAATCACTTGAATCCGGGAGATGAAGGTTGCAGTGAGCTGAAATTGCGCCACTGCACTCCAGCCTGGGTGACAGAGTGAGACTCTGTCTCCAAAAAAAAAAAAAACAAAAAAAAAAACTACCTGAATATGAAGACCATGTCTTAGTCAACTTTTTTTTTTTTTTTTTTTTTTTTGAGACAGTCTCACTCTGTTGCCCAGGCTGGAGTGCAGTGGTGCGATCTTGGCTCACCTCAACCTCCGCCTCCTGGGTTAAAGCGATTCTCCTGCCTCAGCCTCCCGAGTAGCTGGGATTACAGGCGCCCACCACCACATCCGGCTAATTTTTGTATTCTTAGTAGAGATGAGGTTTCACCATGTTGTCCAGGCTGGTCTCGAACTCCTGACCTCGGGTAATCAGCCCGCTTCGGCCTCCCAAAGTGCTGGGATTACAGGCATGAGCCACGGCGCCCAGCCGTCTTAGTCAACTTTCTATCCCGTCCACCCCATCTACCCAACACTTGTGAAGATCCAGGGCCATCTTTTAAAACTTTTCCTCTGACTGCACGAGTGGTACAGTCATTAATAACCTGTGCTAATATAAAGCTCTGTGACCCATAAAGCATTATACAGATGTGGGAGCTTTCACAGCTGTATTCTCTTTGGATCCTCAAAGATTTCTTATAAAGTAGGTACTATTATAAGGGAAATAAACTCAGAGCTAAAGTGACATATCCAAGGTAACATTCACTAAAACAAACGTCAATGCCAAGATTGAACCTATATCCAGGGAACCCACATGGGATGCTCTACCACCTTCCATGAAGAATAAATATTCATATATATCCAAGAGGACTGTTAATTCTTGGAGGCAGTTAAGTACCACTTCTGGGAATCCTTCTTAGTTTCAAGTATGAATCTATTCAAACATGTTTACTGAACACCTACTATGTGCTAAGTAAGGCACCTAGTGTTGGAGGTGCAGCAATGAACAAGGCAGAGAAGATGCTTACCCTCATTCTAGTTCAGGGAGCTGTCAAACAAGGACACAAATACATAAACACTGTAAGTGACAGATGCTACAAAGAAAATACAAGGCCGGGTGCAGTGGCTCACGCCTGTAATCCCAGCACTTTGGGAGGCCAAGGCTGGCGGATCACTTGAGGCCAGGAGTTGAAGACCAGCCTGACCAACATAGTGAGATCCCGTCTCTACTAAAAATACAAAAATTAGCCGGGCGTGGTGGCGGACGCCTGTAATCCCAGATACTCGGGAGGCTGAGGCAGGAGAATCGCTTGAACCCGGGAGGCGGAGGCTGCAGTGAGCCAAGATCGCGCCACTGCACTCCAGCCGGGGCGACAGAGCAAAACTGTCACAAAAACAAAACAACAAAACAAAACAAAACAGAGTAACATGAGAATAAGTGTGAAGTGTGTCCTTTTCGCCGGCACTGCTTCAGATAGGGTGGTCACAGAAATCCTCTCAGAATAGTAACATTTAAGTTGAGACAGAGCTTGGTCTTCGGTAGGTGCTTAACGAAAACCATTTTCCCACAAACTTAGTTCTGGAAACGACAAAGAGAGGAAAAAGTGTACTCAGTCCGCACAGGGGCCGCTCCCAGGCCTCCAACCTTCGCCGCCAGACTGACTGGAAAGTGGACAGTTCCCGGCCTATCCACGCCGGCACCATTAGAGGGCGCCGCGGGTCCTCCTAGCCCCAGGCACTGGCAAACTGACATCTGCTACCTAACAGTCGAGGCTCCGACGCCCCGAGTCCAGGCAGAGGGCAAGGGCGGCGCTGGGAAGCCCTGAGGCCCTAAGGAATCGCGGAGGGTCACTGGGCGCCTCAAGGACAGGGTGCCCTCCGCGTCGCAAACCCACACCAGTGGCATAAGAACTCGCTCCCTCTGGGACACCCTGTTTCCGGCGCCTTTAAACCTGGAAGTACTGCTGTGTCCAATCCTGGCCCTCCTTCCGCACTTAGTCTTTGAGTCCTTCCCTCTCCTGGCTTGTGCTGGAGCCAAGCAGGCTATGGCTACCAATCAGCGCTCAGAAAAGACGCATGCGTCTTCGAACGAACGCGACGTACGGTTAACTTTGACCCAAAGACAACCTCTTCTCTCCCGCTTCTCTCGCTGTGAAGATGGCGCTCTCCAGGGTGTGCTGGGCTCGGTCGGCTGTGTGGGGCTCGGCAGTCACCCCTGGACATTTTGTCACCCGGAGGCTGCAACTTGGTCGCTCTGGCCTGGCTTGGGGGGCCCCTCGGTGAGGGACCTGTAGCGAGAAAAGCATTTTTGACGTCCAGGCTCTTTCAGTGTCTCAACCTTGCTTGCATTCTGTCTCTTAATTCTCAGAGTTCCACGCCTTGGCCCTGGAATTTTTATTCTTCTGTTCAGGATTCAAACTCCGATCCCCACTAGTGACCCGGCTTCCTGACCCTCTGTACTCTCAGTGCCCCATATTGTCTGGTTTCCCCGCGTGTCCTGAGCTCATCTTTCAGCCTCACTTTTTCGGCTCAGGTTTTACCGCTGCTATCTCGATTCCACCTCTTTCTGACTTAGCCTGCAGTTCAAATTGTCCCACAGGCATTGCGCTCTCTCCAGAGGCATACCCTGAGTTACTTTCCTGCCTGGCCTTTGCCTGATTTGTGTTTCACAGTCTGATTGCCTATCTCTTCTTGACCCCAAGACCTTCCTTGGATTTCAGAAGTGTCAAGCCTTGGGATACAATCTCCGAGACTCCTGCTTTACATTAGGGACTCAAGGCGTGAGGGAGCTTCTAGGACTGATTCCCAGATAGTCTCTTTGATCTTCCTTGTAGGTCTTCAAAGCTTCACCTTTCTCCAAAGGCAGATGTGAAGAACTTGATGTCTTATGTGGTAACCAAGACAAAAGCGATTAATGGGAAATACCATCGTTTCTTGGGTCGTCATTTCCCCCGCTTCTATGTCCTGTACACAATCTTCATGAAAGGTAAAAACGAAACTACAATAGAAATTCCGGAATCAGCTCTTGGGCAGGGTCAAAGAGTTAGCATAAATAAGATCATTTGCAGGTTCTGCTATGGGGATGTGAGCCGAGATATCTTATATTTCATAAATGCCTGCGCCTTAAACTAATTCCTATAAATTAGCACTTCTTGAGAATGTTTCTAGAAAGATGTTATGAGAAACAACTTATGACAGCAACATGAGGGAGGGAGAATATAGGTATGTTCTCGTACTTTCTTAACCACACACCTGGCTATAGTAGAAATTTTTTGCCTTGCACACGGCAGGGATCTGTGGCTGTATAGACCTGCCCTGTGATGTATCAGTTGACTTACCCATAGGAAAATGAGGTCTAACCCTTGTTATGAATCTATATTAGGTAGTATGTTGTAGTGGCAATAGCCCTACATAATACTTGGTTTCTAAATGTTTTGTTTCAAATCAGAGATCCTTAGTTACTAGGAGAAGATATGTATCGTGTCAAGTGTCTACTCTGGAGCCAGATTGCCTGATTCAAATCCCAGTTCGTCACTGTGCGATTGGACTAATTAATTAACCCCTCTTTCCTTGGTTTTCTTATGTGTAAAATGGGAGTAATGGAACCTACCTATTTATCACATGATTGTGAAGACTTTAAAAATTGATACATGTAAAGTACCTAGAACAGGTCCTGATCCCTAGTAAGTGCCAAGTAAATGTTAACTTATTTTCATCTAAATGTTACCTAACAGTATTATAAGTTGGTGCAAAAGTAATTGCGGCTTTTGGCTTTCAGTGGCAAAAACCACAATTGCTTTTGCACCAAATCTATAATATGCTCTATGCTTTTATCATAACACTATAATAAACTACATTGTCAAATCTGAACATTATCATAATTATTACTAGCTTCATGGACTTGAAAAATTACTTATCCTTAATTTGTAGAGATAAAATTGGCTGCTTTTTCTGTTTTCATGTAGATAAATAGGATCAAATGAGAGAAAGGGATGAAAGCATTTGTGTTTGTTTTTAAACTTTTTATTATGAATTTTTTTTTTTTTTGAGTCTCACCGTGTCGCCCAGGCTGGAGTGCAATGGCATGATCTCGGTTCACTGCAACCTCTGCTTCCCGGATTCAAGCAATTCTCCTGCCTTAGCCTCCCAAGTAGCTGGGAATACAGGCGCCTGCCACCACACCAGGCTAATTTTTTTATTTTTAGTAGAGGTGGGGTTTCACCATATTGGCCAGGCTGGTCTCTAACTCCTGACCTCGTGATCCGCCTGCCTCGGCTTCCCAAAGTGCTGGGATTACAGGCTTGAGCCACCGCGCCCGGCCAACTATTATGGAAATTTTTAAACACACACAGATGTAGAGAGAGTAGTGTAACAAACTTCCATGTATTAACCTCACTTCATTATCATAACTCATGGCTGCCAATCCTATTTATATACTTGCCTTATGTATTATTTTGAAGACAATCGAGACATCATATAATGACATGTAAATCATTGATAAATATGAAAGCATTAAAGAAATAGATGCAAGAAGCCGGGCGCGGTGGCTCATGCCTGTAACCCCAGCACTTTGGGAGGCCGGGGCGGGCGGATCATCTGAGGTCGGGCGTTTGAGACCAGCCTGACCAACATAGAGAAGCACCGTCTCTACTAAAAATACAAAATCAGCCAGGTATAGTGGCACATGCCTGTAATCCCAGCTACTAGGGAGGCTGAGGCAGGAGAATCTCTTGAACCTGGGAGACGGAGGTTGTGGTGAGCCAAGATCGCACCATTGCACTCCAGCCTGGGCAACAACAGTGAAACTCCCATCTCAAAAAAAAAAAGAAAAGAAAAAAATTAGATGCAAGAATTTTCATAAAATGAAAATTTAAAATGTAATCATAAAAATATATTGAACTAAACTACTTTAAAAAGTGTTCCAGGCTGGGCACGGTGGCTCACGCCTGTAATCCTAGCACTTTGGGAGGCCAAGGCGGGCGGATCATGAGGTCAGGAGTTTGAGACCAGCCTGGCCAACATGGTGAAACCCAGTCTCTATTAAAAATACAAAAATTAGCCAGGTGTGGTGATGGGCACCTATAATCCCAGCTACTCGGAAGGCTGAGGCAGGAGAATTGCTTGAACTCAGGAGGTGGACGTTGCAGTGAGCCGAGATTGCGCCACTGCACTCCAGCCTGGGCGACAGAGCAAAACTCCATCTCAAAAACAAAAATAAGTGTTCCAGGCCGGGCGCAGTGACTCATGCCTGTAATCCCAGCACTTTGGGAGGCCGAGGCAGGTGGATTGCTTGAGGTCAGGAGTTAAAGACGAGCCTGTCCACATGGTGAAACCCCATCTCTACTAAAAATGCAAAAATTAGCCAGGCATGGTGGCACACGCCTGTAATCCTAGCTACTTGGGATTCTGAGGTGGGAGAATTATATAAACCTGGGAGGTGGAGGTTGCAGTCAGCCGAAATCGCACCACTGCACTCCAGCCTGGGCAACAAAGTGAGATTCCATCTCAAAAAAAAGAAAAAAAAAGTTCCAGAAAGGAGATTAAATTAATATCTGGCTGGGGAATACATAGGGTTAATTTAGCAAGACTTTCTGAAGTTAGGGAGCTTGATTTTTAAAAAGGAGTGACCAGTGAAACAGAAGAGGGAGACCATTCCATAGCAGATTACAGAAGCCAAATGTAGCTAGAAGAGAGGCGATGTGCTAGGGGAAAAAATGTTGAGAAAAGAGATTCGAGTTGACCTCAGGAGTTTCAAGTTACCTAGTTTAAAGCTTTGAGTATCGTTGGGGAGGGGTGAGAGTGTTTGCATGTGATTGAACATGGAGTAGGAAGCTGTGGTTAAGATTTAAACTGGGATAACATCACACTCTGTCCTCTACTTTAATGAGGCAGGATTGCAGATGTTATGGGCTGATGCCAAAAAGGCTAGAAGAATAAAGACAAATATGTGGAAGCACAATATAAAGTTTCATCAACTTCCATACCGGGAGATGGAGCATTTGAGACAGGTATGGGCCAGGGGCAGATATCCAGAAGTTCATGGTGAGGTAATTACATTTAATCAAGATCTCAAGGTTTTTTCTTTCATTTGTTGTTCACCATTGATCAAGCTTTTGCCCTTTGCCGTGAGAACAAAATATTGAACTGAATGAGGCATCAGATTATTTGTAAGAATTGGGTTCATCCAGAGTTGTAGCCCTCCATAGCAAGAGCTCCATAGAATTTCTGGCACACTTTCTGAATGAAAGTTGTAAATACTAAAATCTAATTAGTTTCTGAACATAACAAAAGTCTGCAAGGGGGCTGGGCGCGGTGGCTCACGCCTGTAATCCCAGCACTTTGGGAAGCCGAGGCAGGCAGATCACGAAGTCAGGAATTCGAGACCAGCCTGGCCCACAAGGTCAAACCCCATCTCTACTGAAAATACAAAAATTAGCTGAGTGTGGTGGCGGGCGCCTGTAATCCCAGCTACTCGGGAGGCTGAGGCAGGAGAATCGTTTGAACCCGGGAGGCAGAGGTTGCAGTGAGCCAAAATCATGCCATTGCACTCCAGCCTGGGTGACAGGGCAAGACTCCATCTCAAAAAAAAATAATAATAAAATGAAAATAGAAGTCTGCAAGGGCAGCCAGGCACAGTGGCTCTCGCCTATAATCTCAGCATTTTGGGAGACTGAGGTGGGCGGATCACCTGAGGTCAGGAGCTTGAGACCAGCCTGGCCAACATGGTGAAACCCCATCTCTACTAAAAATTCAAAAATTAGCTGGGCATGATGGCAGGCGCCTGTAGTCCTAGTCCCAGCTACTCGGGAGGCTGAGGCAGGAGAATTGCTTGAACCTGGGAGGCGGAGGTTGCAGTGAGTGAAGATCGCGCCACTGCACTCCAGCCTGGGTGATAAGAGCAAAACTCTGTCTCAAAAAAAAAAAAGTCTGCAAGGATCCAAAGGGCAGCATGAAAGTAGTATTTGGTGGTGACTTGATGGGTCGTTTTGAAGCTGAGAGTAAGAATCTAGGACCCATTCCGCAGATCAGGAAGAGTTCACTGAAGGATTTGGTATAATGTCAGGCTCTGTACTAGACATTATTTGGGATACAAAAGTAAATAAGTCAGAGGTTTTGTCCTCAAGGAACTAACCATCCAGAAGTAAATAGAAATAAACTTGGGGACCACATGCAGTGCTCATGCCTGTAATCCTAGCACTTTGGGAAGCCAAGGCGGGCAGATCACTGGAGGTCAGGAGATTGATACCAGCTTGTCCAACATGGTGAAACCCTGTCTCGACTAAAAATACAAAAGTTAGCCTAGAGTGGCGGCTTATGCCAATAATCCCAGCTACTCGGGTGGCTGAGGCAGGAGGATCACTTGAACCCAGGAGGCAGAGGTTGCAGTGAGCTAGGATTGCACCACTGCACTCCAGCCTAGGTGACAGAGCAAGACTCCATCTCAAAAAGAAAAAGAAAGAAATTTGGTCCTTTTTCTGGGCTGTAATAGAAGTTTACTGTACAGTGGGGTGGATGGATTGTCTATTGTATTAACAACTTATTTGGGTTAAAACTGCATCTGTGTTTATTTCTGCTTAGTTCCGCCAAGACGTCACCAAGTGTCTTTTCCTAGGTATTATTTCCATTCCACCTTTTGCCAACTACCTGGTCTTCTTGCTAATGTGAGTACAGACTTCCATCTCCCCAACATCTTGAAGATGTATCAATTTTTTTAAATTAAGAATTACTTTAAACAGCACTCATTTCAGAAGATAGGCAGAGGTTATCAAACTTCTGCTCCAATCTTCTCATTATTCCAAGGTTCATAAAAACCACTTAGGAAGACCTTGGTTACTGTGACACATCACAGCTATAAGTGTAGGTGGCCTAGACTCTCCCTATCTCTTAGCTGCCCTGAGTCATGTGAAATAAGATAGTGACCTTCTCCATCATCCCTAGAGGCTCTCTCCCCGAGAGAGAGTACTTTTAGACTAATTTCTTTAGGAAAAGTACATTTCGTATTCTGATAACATTTTTATTACTTCATATCCAAAAATGACATTTCTTAACTGTGATCTTGCATGTCATTCATTATCTATTGCTGTATAACAAATAACTTCAAAGCTTAATAGCATAAAACAATCGTATAAATCATTTTCATGATTTTGTAGCTCAAGAATTAGGGCAGTGCTCAGGTGGGCAGTTGATTTCTCTCTTCCATATAGGGTTGACAGAGGTCCCTTAGTGATATTTAGCTGCTGAATGGACTAGTCTGGAAAGTCCAATATCACTCTTATGTCTGGTGCCCTGGCAGGGATGGCTACACGGCTAGAACTGTCAACCAGAGTGCCCAGATGTGGCTTCTTCAGTATGGCAGCCTCAAGATAGTGGGACTTCTAACTTGGGAGCTCAGGGCTCCAAGAGTGAGGGGTTCTAGTAAGAATCTACATGACTTTATAACCTTGTCTTGAAGGTCACATAGAGTCACTGCTGCTCTGTCCTATTGATTGAATCAGTCACCTAGAATGAAAAAAGGGCAGGATGTAGACCTCAGCTCTCCATGAGACAAGTGCCAGAGAATTTGAGGTCATGTTTTAAAACCACCAAACACGTAGATAAATAAATTAAAAAACAAATCGTGGCCAGGTGCAGTGGCTCACGCCTGTAATCCCAGCACTTTGGGAGGCCGAGGCGGGCAGATCACAAGGTCAGGAGATTGAGACCATCCTGGCTAACACAGTGAAACCCTGTCTCTACTAAAAATACAAAATACTAGCTAGGCGTGGTGGCGGGTGCCTGTAATCCCAGCTACTTGGGAGGCTGAGGCAGTAGAATCGCATGAACCCAGGAGGCAGAGGTTGCAGTGAGCCGAGATCGCGCCACTGCAGTCCAGCTTGGGTGACAGAGCGAGACTCTGTCTCAAAAAAAAAACAACAAATCAGTTGCCTTTTACATACTGGGTCCACATAAGGACTGTGCTATAGTTAGATTGTCAACATCACATATAGTGTCCTGGTCAGGCTGCAACTCTCTCCAAAGCATGCTCTTCACATGCTTTAGTTCAAAATGAGTCATTATATCTGATTGCTGCGTGGCAGGCTATTCTGCTAGTCCTTCCTTTCACATCCCATTTCAGTAATGGTGCTTGAAATTGTGCTTCAGTGTGTCTTATAAACTTTGGTCTGAGAGTCACTTAAGAGAAAGGGCTGACTGTAGTGGCTCTCACCAGTAATCCCAGCACTTGGGGAGACTGAAGCAGGAAGATTGCTTGAGACCAGGAGTTTGAGACCACCCTGGGCAATATAGCAAGACCCGTCTCTGCAAAAAAATTAAAAACTTAGCCAGGCATAGTGGCCTGTGCCTGTAGTCCCAGCTACTCAGTAGGCTGTGGTGGGAGGATTGCTTGAGCCTAGGAGGTCGAGGCTGCAGTGAGCTGTGATCTTGCCACTGTACTCCAGCCTGGGTGAGAGAGGGGACCCTGTCTCTTAAAAAAAAAAAAAAAAAAAAAAAAACTGAAAAAGAAAAAGAACACTGAGGTAGGGAAATAGTGTCTCCATCTCTTCTTCCTAGTATTCATGTCTACCAAATGCTTTCTTTGGCTTCCTCTGAAAGAAGCCAGTTTCAGCAAGTGAGTTTGTGATTCTTTCTCCTTTCAGGTACCTGTTTCCCAGGCAACTACTGATCAGGCATTTCTGGACCCCAAAACAACAAACTGATTTCTTAGATATCTATCATGCTTTCCGGAAGCAGTCCCACCCAGAAATTATTAGTTATTTAGAAAAGGTCATCCCTCTCATTTCTGATGCAGGACTCCGGTGGCGTCTGACAGATCTGTGCACCAAGGTATTCCTGCAGTTAACCCTTCCTACAAATGTGGAATCTTGTTAGATTCAGTGTGCACTAAACTAGGTAAGAGGAGTAGTCAGGACTTTCCTAACATCTACAAATCTCTTACCTCTTCCAAGATACAGCGTGGTACCCACCCAGCAATACATGATATCTTGGCTCTGAGAGAGTGTTTCTCTAACCATCCTCTGGGCATGAACCAACTCCAGGCTTTGCACGTGGTGAGCACTTTGAGGGCTTCTCTTTTCCATAGCATCACCATGTTTCAGGTGTTTGCTTGAGCTCATACTATTTGCCTTTCCCCTCCTATGTGGTTGTGTTACAGAAAGCCTTGAGCCGGGCCATGCTTCTCACATCTTACCTGCCTCCTCCCTTGTTGAGACATCGTTTGAAGACTCATACAACTGTGATTCACCAACTGGACAAGGCTTTGGCAAAGCTGGGGATTGGCCAGCTGACTGCTCAGGAAGTAAAATCGGTAAGAGCTTGATTGCAACATCAACCCTCAACCCTTGGTGTGCTTTTGAGCCTATGGCAGGCCGGAGGTTTACAGGGGCTCCTTGTCTTGTTTGTTTATAGAACCCAGCTTCTTTATTCTCTCACTTCATTTATTTATTTATGATTTATTTTTATTTATTTATTTATTTTGAGACAGAGTCTCATTCTGTTGCCCAGGCTAGAGTACAGTGGCACAGTCTTGGCTCACTGCAACCTCTGCCTCCCGGTTCAAGTGATCCTCCTACCTCAGCCTCCCAAGTAGCTGGATTACAGGTGTGCACCACCACGCCCAGCTAATTTTTTGTATTTTTAGTAGAGATGGTTTCACCATGTTTGCCAGGCTGATCTCAAACCCCTGGCCTCAAGAGATCCATCAACCCAAAGTGCCGAGACTACAGGTGTGAGCTACCGCACCCAGCATATTTATTTATTTTTCAGTCTCACTATTTTAACCAAGCTGGTCTTGAACTCCTGGCCTCAAGCAATCCTCCCATCTTGGCCTCCTAAAGTGCTGGGAATACAGCCGTGAACCACTGTGCCCGGCCTTTTTAAAAATTATTTTTTAATTAGCCAGGAGTGGTGGCACATGCCTGTAATCCCAGGTACTTGGGAGGCTGAGACATGAGAATTGCTTGAACCCAGGAGGTGGATTGCAGTGAGCCAAGATCGCACCACTGCACTCCAGCCTGGGTGATAGAGTGAGACTCTGTCTCAAAAAAAACCCAAAAAATAAAATAAAATTATTTTTTATTTTTGTAGAGACAGGGTCTCACTATGTTGCCCAGGCTGGTCTTGAACTCCTGGGCTCAAGTGATCCTCCCGCCTTGGCCTTTCAAAGTGTTGGGATTACAGGCATGAGCCACTGCGCCCAGCTCCTCACCTCATTTCTGTGTCTTTTTTCTCAAGAAACTTAGCTAGGGGGAAGGAATTGCCCACAGAAATTTTGGTTTGTATTTCTTTTCTTCTGGCACTTCAGAAAGCAAGGATACTGCAGTTTAGACCTACTATTTTAGCTTATATAGGACTCTTTGCTTTTGTCATCTTGTCCATCACTAGTTTTCAAATTGCCATGAGGAAAGGCTTCATGTGGGAATGAGATTGTAACTTTTTTTTTTTTTTTTGAGACAGAGTCTCGCTCTGTTGCCCAGGCTGGAGTGCAGTGGCATGATCTTGGCTCACTGCAACCTCCGCCTCCCAGGTTCCAGTGATTCTCCTGCCTCAGCCTCCCGAGTAGCTGGGACTGCAGGTGCATGCCACCACGCCTGGCTAATTTTTGTATTTTTTAGTAGAGATGGTGTTTCACCATATTGGCCAGGCTGGTCTCCAACTCCTGACCTCGTGATCCGCCTACCTCGGCCTCCCAAAGTGCTGGGATTACAGGCACGAGCCACCGTGCCCGGTGAGATTGTAACTTATTTAAAGGAGATTTAGGATTGTTTGTGGATTTCCATTTCCTTGGCATAATCATTCTATGATTATTAAGGACCATTTCTGTTCTGAGTGGTATAGGCTTGTTATCTCCGTGGCCTGAATTCTACGCATATTGGTGAAGATAGGTGTCGAACTTGGCTGGGAGAATGGCTGCAGATTTCCTGCAGCCTGAAAGGTAAAACACATTTCTGTGGTTATACCACTAAAATCCAAGTCACTTTTGTATTTTATTCTGAGGTCATTTTGGAGTTAATTATTGAGTACTGTGAGACATATATATACATACATCTAATTGAAAGGGCACAAACTCACATGCCTACTGCATGCCCGGCAGGTAACGAAGTAGGCCATAAGACAAGAGGGAGTAGTGGGGACTGTGGAAACCTAAGAGTGAATGCATGCTAGTGTGAATTTTCCAACCTTGGCACTTCCTTATGGGGGGAATATCCTGTGCTTTATTTATTTATTTATTTATTTATTTTGAGACGGGGTTTCGCTCTTGTTGCCCAGGCTGGAGTGCAATGGTGCGATCTCGGCTCACCGTAACCTCTGCCTCCTGGGTTCAAGTGATTCTCCTGTCTCAGCCTCCCAAGTAGCTGGGATTACAGGCATGCACCACCACGCCCAGCTAATTTCGTATTTTTTTTTAGTAGAGACCAGGTTTCTCCATGTTGGTCAGGCTGATCTCGAACTCCCGACCTCAGGTGATCCGCTGGCCTCGGCCTCCCAAAGTTTTGGGATCACTGGCGTGAGCCACCATGTCCAGCCTATCCTGTTCTTTATAGGTATTTATTATAGCAGTATCCCTAGCCTCTACCCACTAGATGCCAGTAGCACCCCTTCACCCACAGTTGTCTCAACCAAAAATGTCTCTAGACATTGCCAAATGTCCTAGGGGTGGGGAGGAGAGAGGCAGGATTGTCCCCGTTGAGAAGTACTGGTCTAAAGGCATTCAAACTCAGAAAAAAAACAGTCTGCTGACCAAACACAAAGCATCTGAGGGTATGTATTAGGCTTGTTTGCCCCCTGTTTAGGCTAGGTCTTGATGTTTTGTGGGCCTTTGGATGTTAGGGTAGGCCTACTAATCTTGAAGCTGAGAAATGTCCCTAGAGCACCAACTTCTACCAGAAGAATCCCAACGCGACTGGTGTTTAGTACCATTACCATCTCTGAATTTTCTACTGCAATCACATGAGAAATAGAGGATGAGTTGATACGAATATATAGTAGAAGGAAAGGAAGGCATGCATACAGGGGCTGAAACAAAGAAGGGGAACTTTGAGAAAAACAGCTTCTTCATTCCACCCCTCCCTGCACTTGGCTTCCTGCCTCCAGGCTTAAGCCATATATAACAAGGCAGTTATAAGGCAGTGTTCCCAAGCCAAACCACTAACACTGTGTTTTCAGAAGCTGAGCTGTCTCTCTTGCTGCACAACGTGGTCCTGCTCTCCACCAACTACCTTGGGACAAGGCGCTGAATGAACCATGGAGCGGATGGCATTGTCCTGCAGTCGTATAGTATAGCAGTGCAGGAACAAACAGCACTTGCCAGCAAAGTCTGTGTGTACTGTTAAGTGTGTGGGAGGCAGAGAGAGGAGCAGGGGCCATGGGCTTCACAGCATGGCACACATGTGGGAACTGCAGACATTCCTCTCACAGCTAGAACTGAAACAAACCCTCTTGCTAGGGGTGGTCCGTGTGAGGTGTCATCCTGTCCCCCTCATAATTACTAATAGCTGGAACTGGCAGCAGCCTCTACTGGGCTTTTACTGTGATGTGTTCAGTTCATGTCCTAGGAAGTCAGCTTTTGCCCCAGGTGGGAATCCTTATTTGGCTTAGGACTGATCCACTTCCATGTTACTTACATCTGTGGGTTTTTGTTGTTGCTGTTAGAAAATTTGTGGCTGGTGAAAACAGCACTCCTTTGGCTGGAGCACATGTGTCCGTGCATGTACTTGGGTGTTTCCCTCCATCCTTTCTGATATGACCAAAAATCAAGTTGTTTTGTTTTTTGTCACCTTCACTGGCATGGGCTAACCACTTCTTTTTCAAACCCTCTGAACACCTTTTTCTGATGGGTAACTTGCAGGAATATTCTATTGGAAAAGATAACAGGAAGTACAAGTGCTTCTTGACCCCTTCCTCAATGTTTCTAGCCTTCACTCTCCATTGTCTTTTCTGGGCTGTATTACAGCCCTCTGTGGATCTTCAACTCTGCTGCCTCCACTGTGATGCAGCAGTCCAACTGTAACTGACAGTGGCTGCCTTCTCTGGGCCATGGATCACACCTGTAAGGTACTAATTACTGCCCAGCCTGGGGAGATCAGGAGAGGTCTGCATAGTTAGTAAGTTGGGTTTAGCTTTTGTGTGTGCATCAGTGACTTAGAGTTCTGTAATAACTTATTGTAAATGCATGAAGCACTGTTTTTAAACCCAAGTAAAGACTGCTTGAAACCTGTTGATGGAAATGACTTATGCATACTCTAATCATTTTGCTGTCTCCTTTTACAAGACTGACATAATCTAACAAATGGGGATTTAATTGGTTGGCATAGAACCTTCTGATGGGATGGAAGTTTTGCAGAAACTGATTTGAAGTTGATCTCCTTGCTGGACACTTTAAGGTGATAACAAGGAAAAGAGAATTTCATAAAGTTAATGGAATGAGGCCGGGCGCGGCGGCTCACGCCTGTAATCCCAGCACTTTGGGAGGCTGAGGCGAGCGGATCACAAGGTCAGGAGATCAAGACCATCCTGGCTAACACGGTGAAACCCCGTCTCAACTAAAATAGCAAAAAATTAGCCAGGCGTGGTGGTGGGCGCCTGTAGTCCCAGCTACTCAGGAGGCTGAGGCAGGAGAATGGCGTGAACCCGGGAGGCGGAGCTTGCAGTGAGCCGAGATTACGACACTGCACTCCAGTCTGGGCGACAGAATGAGATTCTGTCTCAAAAAAAAAAAAAAAAAAAAAGTTAATGGAATGAGAAAATGGGAGCCCAGAGTAGGGACAGGGCTAAGCTCCAACAGAGCAGGAGCAAGGCCTGCTTCAGCTGAACAGGTACACAAGGGCATATGAACCAAGTCCAGCTCTTGGTACTCCAAAGAGAATATTCTATTTTTCCATCACAAAATGTTTCTATTGTTAACATTAATTCCTAACTGACCTAATTAGTTTTATAACGAAGCTAGAGAAGCATCCTTTTTCTAACAAGTAACTGAACTGTGGCCTGCCGAGACAAAGAGTAACACATCATTCTTTTGAATATTTCTTTAATATTACATTTAAATATTCTCTTTAAATACAGCATTATCACAATGTAAAGAACCTAAAGGGGAAAAAATTATTTTCAGAGAACCAGACAAGCTTTGGATTCACATTGAAAATACTACCTGTGTACAGTATGTGAGAAAGGAAATTGGAAAATAATAAGGGTTGTGGTAATAAGAGTCATTTATCTAGGCCTAGACTGGGACTGAAGCTATCTGCTTCTATGATCAGAGGCCTAGCTTTCCTAGCAACCATGAGCTAGAATTCTGTCCAACTCAGGTAGCACCAGAAGTGAGATGGACTAGGTTGTAGAGAAGGCCTTTCGCTTGACAAGACAGTTAATGCTAAATGTTAATATTTAGCACTTAAAAGTTTGGGATCAGTGTGAGTCACAACTGTAGCGTTAATGAAGGGGATGGACTTAAATTAAGAAACTACAGGTTTTCAGAAACATATCTTGTGGGTTGGCAATGAGCTTAATAATTACAGATTCATATTCCTGGTTTGATCCCAAAAGCTAATGTGTTCCTCATCGTGCAGCTGGAATCTACTTCCTAGATTAAGCCGGAGCCTTCCTGCAGAGACAGTGGGCAAACCTCACCCTCCCCTTCCGACACAAACTTTGAAAAAGATTCTTTTCTCCATAAAGCCAAATTCCCAATTAAGCTTCAGTCCTGTGTTTGAGGGTACCAGTCTAAGGTAGGGGAGTCTAGTTCAGTTCTGGGTAGCTTCGAGAGCTCAGGTACTTAAAAGACTCTCAACTGTGTTTTGTGAGGCTAGGGGATGGGGAGAGATAAGGATCTGTGTACTTAAGTTCCCCTCCAAACTAAAACCAAGCAAAAACTGGAACAAATAGGAAAGGCAGAATGAACTAAAAAATGTTATGTGTATTAAATACAAATCTTTTCAGGCTCAGAGTTTAGAGACTTCAGGGGTGAAATGCTGCTGCGACATACGTGATGGTTTCTGTAAGACACCAGGGCCTTAATATCCCACCAGAAAAGGCTTTATGAGCAAGATAAGTAGGAGTAGTGTCTCCCCCCCAACACAGTTTTTCACTTTTGTGTGTGTGTGTGGTTAATAAACCATACCAGAAGTAAAGTATGGTGTAAAGGATGCTTGAGAAGAATAGTTTTGCTCCCTACTGCCTCCATTTTAGAACAGAGACAAAGATCACTTTGCTAATGAAAGGAAATCAGTGCTGTTCAATGGAGATCTTAGAACACAGGATGAACAGGAACTGTATTCCTCCTGACAGAGGTAAGAACTGAATCAAACTGAATGAGTTCCATTCTATACGCTTCAAAGGTTATAATTAGAACTTGAATCCTTTGGAATCTGGGAGTTGCATGTAGCATTTAAGAACTGGTTTGGCTTCCAATTTTTATATATCATCAAGATGGAGGGGTCCAATAAACATTTGCAATTCTTGGAATTGAACTGGAACAGTATAAGAACTCTAACCCGCTATGTTGAAAACGACCATGAGGGTAGATCCAGGAAAAAAGAACAAAAACTGATTGGTGACCTTAAGATTGCCACATTCTACATTCCACTAAAGCTCAGATCTCACAAAGAGGGAAAAACCTGGGTGAAAAAACAAGCATGGCACAAATATGTCATCTTTCCAGATAGCAAGCAGCCTGTTCCCGCTGCCTCCTTTGGCCACAGTTAATGCTCCACATAGGCCTCCTATGGGATGGGTGAGCCCCAGCCGAAAGCTGCCTGACAGTGCTAGTGTCAGACACGTACAGAAGGCTCAGGCTCGTTATACCATATCCCCAGCCAATCCAGCTCTTTCTCCGAAGGAAAAAGGATGGAGAGAAAAAAGACACATAGACAAGTTTAACTCTAGTACTTAAGAACATGTGGAAGAAACAATTCAAGTTACAGACCAGGAATCCCCAGTGTGGGGAACAGGTCAGAGAACACCAAACATGTCAAATATTAACTTATTTACCAAATATGGGATTGAAGGAAGGCAGGTTACATTTTTGTAAATCCTGGAGATTTTGTACAGAAGCAGAGACCCTTCCACTCCCTCCTCCCTAGACTCGACCAGGTGACTTTCCAGTTTGAAGTATTATGACACACCAAAATGGGATATCAGAATAACCACCGAGAAAAATGAGCTTGTACTCTGCCTGGGGCTTGGGAGAGAAAGGGCTTTGCCATGCTCTTCAAATTCTCGTGTTCTGGTCCCTACAGAAAGAATAGCTGCTTGAGTTACCCAGCTTTTCCTGTGAGATCCTAGTTCTTTGTTCCAGTGGCCCAGAAAGCTTAATGTTCAGCACTACGCAGCTTTCTTTGCCCCAAGACTATCCCCAGATCAAGGTAGGGCTGGTCTCCTTGGTACTGTTTCCCTTTTAAAAAATACTCAAACAATCCTTTCCCACCCATTCCCCAAAGACCCCAATAAAATAACATGGGAGCAGCAGCTGCTTCTACAGTTTTGTTTTGAAATGGTGTTAGATAAAATAAGGGAATAAATAGAGAATGGGTAAGAGGCAGGACCTCTAGCGCCTGTCACACTGCCAGAGGGAGTTCTAAGGAAGAATCTTCAGGGGGCCGATCCTCATTCTGCTGGGAGGTCTTCACCATCCCACAGCCCTCTTCATTGTCCGTGCGGAAGGGGAGGCTTGAGGGGGACCAGGAAGGGTGGAAGTCTTCATTTTCAGGCTCCTCAGGGTTACAATCTTCGGGCAATAGAGCTTCTAGGGTGGGTGTTTTCCCCACCTCTGATTTACAGAGGGCAGCTGGGTCTGTGGAGCTACAAGCCACGAGTGAGGTAACAGGGAGAGAGAAGACATTCAGATCCTTCTCCTTTGGGAAAGAGGCTGAGCCTTCTTCCGTACCAGGCTCTCCTTTCACTCCCAAGACTGGCCTCTGCTCCACTTGATAATAGACCAGGGGCCCACTGTTCAAGTAGGATGGGCTGTTCACCGTTGAGGCAGTTGGGTGGTCTGAGTTCTCGGTAAAACACAGGACAGAGGAGCCTGGGGGCAGCTGAGCCTGGATGAGAATGGGGGCTGTAAGGCCTGGGCACAGCTCTTCGGGGACAGCCAGAGGCTCCTCTAGGATGCACACACCCAGGCTCTCGATGCTCGAGTCCAGGCTGGCACTAGAGCCGCTGGAATCTTCTTCTGCCTTGAGCCGCTCCAGTTCCTCTGCACTCTGCAGGTGCATCACTGCTGTCTCATTCTCAGCAATGAACTCCTGGAAGTCCTGGGTCTCAGAGCCCTGTGCTCCTGTCAGGCTGCAACTGGCAGTCGGGGAGGGCTCCTCATCTGGGGCTGCTGGGCGGCTCACCTGCCGCTTGCTCTCCAGCTCCAGCTTCATAATGGTGTGGAGGTAATGAGTCCGGACCCGGATTGGATTAAATTCAATGCGTCCTGCCATGTTCCCACAGCCATCCCGGGAGCAGCCACATGGAAAGGACATGCGATCCACCTGAGCGGGGACAAGAAGGTTGGGGCAAGATGAGACCTACAATCCTAACAATGGAGACAGGAGACATGAGCTGGCAAACAGGCAGTTGGGATTTGAGGTCTCCTTGTAAGAAGAAAAGCAACCAATTCAAAGCATAGCATGCAGTGTGAGCTAACAGAACACTAGATGGTAGTTATCAGACCACTTGCATTTCAATCCCAGCTCAGCCATTAATTAGTGGTGTGACCTCAAGAGAATCATTTATCTCTCTAGGGCTTTGTTTCCTCTTCTAAATAACAAGTAGACAAAATCACAGCACAGGGTCCTTCCAGTTAAGAGTCCAGAGATACTTCTCTGAATGCTGATAGTTTTCACAGAGGAAATTTACGAGCCTCAGAGACTTTTTCAGAACTTACCTGGTTCACTGAGACAACAAAAGGCTGGAACCAAGCCTATGGCCTGCAATGACAGGCATGGGAGAGTGAGTGGAAGATCTTGCTACTTCAAAAAAAATACATTCTGGGGAAACTAAGCAAATGTGCCTTAGTTTGCTAAGGTGCTAGAACGCAGGTTCACACAGTGGCCAATTTTTTAGCTACCTGCTTTATTTTCCCTGAGGGTTGACTAGTTTAGTTCTGAAGCAGTTACCAAGATAATTAACTTACAGACCAGGAATATCTGGAAAGGAGATGCTTTCTACCTCCTTATCACTTTCATATTCCAACAGGAAAAACACATAAACCAAAAATAAAAGGAAAAATTAAAACCACAAGTAAGCAAATAAGCATGTACAAATCACAATGTCTTTCTATGATACTGACTTATAGAAATCTCCACTCCAGTTATACCATTTTTTTTTCCTTTGGAGATAGGGTCTTGCTCTGTCGTCCAGGCTGGAGTGCAGTGGTGCCATCATGGCTCACTGCAGCCTGGAGCCATGCTGGGATTACAGGTGTGAGCCACCGCGCCCGGCCCTAATTTTAAAATTTTTTGTAGAGATGGGGTCTCGCTATGTTGCCCAGGCTGGCCTCAAACTCCTGGGCTCAAGCAGTCCTTCCACCCCAGCCTCCCAAAGTGCTAGTTACAGGTGTGAGCCAACATGCCAGGCCCAGCTGCATCAATTCTTAGGACTGTTCTCAGGTGTGTGTGTAACAGAATGACTCATTATGGGACTTTGGTCTGAAAAGCAGTATTTGGCCAGATATACCACAGTTATTTGTTACCCAGCTAAAAATAAAGAAAGAGTGAGTTAGGAGAAATCCAACCACAAGGACTCAGCATCTACACCCTCAATAATTAAGTTCCAGATAAATTTCATTCTTAGGGATGGTATTGCTGTTTTCAACTGAAATGTGTCTTAAACTGTCCCCCATCAGAGGGCCAACAAGGGGCCAGGCACGGTGGCTCATGCCTGTAATCCCAGTACTTCGGGAGGCTGAGGCAGGCAGATCACCTGAGGTCAGGCGTTTGAGACCTGCCCGGCCAACATGATGAAACCCTGTCTCTACTAAAAATACAAAAGCTGGCCAGGTGCGGTGGCTCACGCCTGTAATCCCAGCACTTTGGGAGGCTGAGGCAGGCGGATCACGAGGTCAAGAGATCGAGACCATCCTGGCCTACATGGTGAAACGCCGTCTCTACTAAAAATACAAAAATTAGCTGGGTGTGGTGGTGTGTGCCTATAGTCCCAGCTACTCGGGAGGCTGAGGCAGGAGAATTGCTTGAACCCGGGAGGCAGAGGTTGCAGCGAGCCGAGATCACGCGCTACGGCACTCCAGCCTGGCAACAGAGCAAGACTCCGTCTCAAAAAAAAAAAAAAAAAAGAATTACAACAATACAACAATTAGCCGGGCATAGTGGTGCACACCTGTAATCCCAGCTACTTGGGAGGCTGAGGCGGGAGAATCACTTGAACCCAGGAGGTGGAGGTAGCAGTGAGCCAAGATCGCGCCACTGCACTCCAGCCTGGGCGACAGAACGAGACTCCGTCTCAAAAAAAAAAAAGGGCAGCCAACAAGAGATGATACTTTCTCTTTCAGATAACTATGGTTTTAAGCTCTGCTAGGCCAGGTCTGATCCTGAATTATAAAGCTCTGAATACTATTTTGATTTTTTCAAAATTGGAGTAGAGGTACTGAACAATAAGTGTTTGCAGATAGAATCTACAGGCCCACACCATTCCTCTGCTAACTTTTTGAGACAGGGTCTTGCTCTGTCGCCCGGGCTGGAGTGCAGTGGCACAATCATAGCTTACTGCAACCTATGCCTCCCAGGCTCAAGTGATCCTCCTCCCATCTCAGCCTCTTGAGTACCTGGGACTACAGGCCCATGCTACCATGTCCAGCTAATTTTTGTATTTTTTGTAAAGATGGGGCTTAGCCATGTTGCCCAGGCTGGTCTCGAACTCCTGGGAAGCAATCTGCCTGCCTGCCTCGGCCTCCCAAAGTGCTGGGATTACAGATGTGAGCCACCATGCCCAGTCCTGCTTCCTTTTATCTCAAGGAATCAGTATTTAGGAAACAGTATTTAGGAAATACTGTTTAGGAATCAGTATTTAGGAAACATTTACTAAATGTTAAATGTACTAACTCCTCTTCATCCCTTTCCTAACAGCTGCTTCTTATCACCTCTGAGAAATGAAACAAAAAAAGATGAGATACCTCCACAGCCTAAGAATCCTGTCATGCTTGTTTTCTTTGCAAAAATTTTAAGAGACAGGGTCTCACTCTGTGACCCAGGCTGGCGTGCACTGGTGTGAACTCAGCTCACTGCAGCCTTGACCTCCTGGACTCAAGAGATCCTCCTACCTCAGCCTCCCACATAGCTAGGATTAGAGGTGTGAGCCACCATGCCTGGCCGTGTGCTGTTTGCTTACTCTGTTGACGGAGGAGGGTTGTGGAACTGGAGAGTGTTCACAACCATAGGGAATCCACCCCTGAATGGGCCTCCCATGTTCAGTGGCACCCACACCTCACCCCGCTGACCCTGGTGTAGATATACTATCTCAGGCCAACTTGGACTGACCTGGCATTTAATCCCAGCCTGGCTGCAGGCACACGCTTCTGGGTCACAATACAGTCGGCAGTCACAACCACATTCTTCCCGTGACAGGCGGATGGCTCGAAGTTCTTGCTTCTCTTCAGCATCAATACGGTGGACCCCAGAAGCCCTCAGCAGGGCCCGTCGCCGTTTGGTGGGCAGAGGCTGCAGGAAGAAGTAATCATCCACCTCCACATTTTCCACATCAATATCTTCATCTGACACATCATCCAGCGTCAGGCCATCAGCCTCCACCGACTCCACTGTCCCATTCTTGGTCAGCTGCCAAGAGACAGGAAAGGTTAGCCTCATAGACATGAGCGGCATGCACCTCCTCAGTGACCATCCCAGAGCAGCACTGTCCCTTGAACCTTCTGCAATCATGGGAATATCTGTGCTGTCCAAAATGATGGCAGCTACTAGCACATGTGGCTACTGAGCACTAGAAATGCAGCAATTGGAAAACTGTCATTTTATTTATTTTTTTGAGACAAAAGTCTCATTCTGTCGTCCAGGCGGGAGTGCAGTGGTGCAGTCTTGGCTCACTACAACCTCCGCCTCCCGGGTTCAAGCGATTCTCCTGCCTCCCAAGTAGTTGGGATTACAGGCGTGAGTCACCAGCCTGGCTAATTTTTTCTATTTTCAGTAAAGACAGGGTTTCACTGTGTTGGCCAGGCTAGTCTTGAACTGCTGGCCTCAAGTGATCCACACACCTCGGCCTCCCAAAGTGCTGGGGTCCACTGTGCCAGCCCAATTTACATAATTTTAATTGAATAGCCGTATGTGACTACTGGCTGCTATATTCACTAGCACAAGTCAAAAGAATAAATCCAGAGTGGGAAGATGGGAAATCTTACGTACCATCACCTTTCTGGGTCCAAGCTTCTCAAAAACCCGTCTCATCTTCCCTCCTACACGAAAATCTATTTCCACAAACATACCGTCTATTTCCAGACATGTATCCCCTAATTTACACTCACTTGCCTTCTAACACAGAGAGGAAAAGGTATGTGAATGACTGGATGATCCTTGGATATACAGAAAAATGTGAAACACCCTTCAACTTGCACCCACTGAATGCAAAACTACCTTCTTGAAAAAAAAAGGGCAAATTAAAGTGTAGTAAAAGGCTACCAGGTCTTAATCAATGAACCCAAATCCCCACAGTGTGAACAATTATCTGTGCATGCACTAAAGAGCTTCATTCTACTGTAAGGAGAAAAAGCAAATATATTAACAGGTATTAAAGAAAGCCCTTGGCCGAGAAAAAATGTATTTCTTCTCCTTTCTTTTTTCATTTTTTTTTGAGACGGAGTCTCGCTCTGTCGCCCAGGCTGGAGTGCAGTGGCGTGATCTCAGCTCGCTGCAAGCTCCACCTCCTGGGTTCACGCCATTCTCCTGCCTCAGTCTCCCGAGTAGCTGGGACTACAGGCACCTGCCACCACGCCCGGCTAACTTTTTGTATTTTTAGTAGACATGGGGTTTCACCGTGTTAGCCAGGATGGTCTCAATCTCCTGACCTTGTAATCTGCCCACCTCGGCCTCCCAAAGTGATGGGATTACAGGCATGAGCCACCGTGCCCGGCTTCCTTCTCCTTTCTTTTTTTTTTTTTTTTTTTTGAGACAGGGTCTCACTGTCGCTCAGGATGGAATGCAGTGCATGATCTCGGCTCACTGCAATCTCTGCCTCCTGGGTTCAAGTGATTCTCCTGCCTCAGCCTTCCAAGTAGCTGGAATTACAGGCTCCTGCCACCATGCTCAGCTAATTTTTGTATTTTTAGTAGAGACAGGGTTTCACAATGTTGCCCAGGCTGGTCTCGAACTCCCGACCTCAACTGATACACCCAACTCCACCTCCCTAAGTGCTATAATTACAGGCCTGAGCCACTGCACCAGGCCTAATCCTTTTTTATTTGACTTCAAAGAAAAGCTGTATGTGAGGAAAGGTGGTATCAATAATACTGAGCGTACTATGTACAGGCAGAAATCTGGGTTTTTTTTTTTCTTTTTTTTCTTTTTTTTTGAGACTGAGTCTCACTCTGTCACCCAGGCTGGAGTGCAGTGCTGCAATCTCGGCTCACTGCAAGCTCCGCCTCCTGGGTTCACGCCATTCTCCTGCCTTAGCCTCCCGAGTAGTTGGGACTACAGGCGCCTGCCACCACGCCTCGCTAATTTTTTGTATTTTTGTATTTTTAGTAGAGACGGGGTTTCACTGTGTTAGCCAGGATGGTCTTGATCTCCTGTCCTCATGATCCGCCCGCCTCAGCCTCCCAAAGTGCTGGGATTACAGGCGTGAGCCACCGAGAAATCTGGGTTTTCTGGGCTGAGATGGATAGAGAGCCAAGAAAGGGAGTCTTGGTGGAAGGACAGATTGAAGACAAGCCGTGGCTGAAAGAGTTCTGAAAACTCACTAGAGAACTCAAGAAAATGAGGCCTCATAATCCCTGGGGCTCTGGAAGCTGCTAGCAGGATGAAAGCCACGTGACTGGAGCCTTTGGTTGATTTCATCAGACAACCAGAGTAGAGCTGCTAAAGGAACAACTCCTGGGAGAGATGTGATGCAATGGGCTTGGGTAATCAGCTACACACCTGGTTTTCTTGTTTGTGGGGGAGGTGGTAGAGAAATGAAGAGAAGTAAAGTGGGGCTTCTGGAGGTTTCCTAGTCAGTGATTTCGGTACTAGGCAGGCCAACTACAAAGGGCCTTTCTGTTTATCTCAGGATTGCTCCTGTCTACATCTCCAGGGTTGACCTCCCCCTAAGCATACCCCCTCCTGCTGTCCTCTCATAGGCAAGGGATTAGAGATGTAACACGAGGACACTCATATAGATGTGAGAATTTAAATATCGAGATAGAAGTGGCATTTCAAATCAGTGAGAAAAGAGTCTTCTAGTTATTAAATCGTATTGGAACAAGTGGATATTTTCTGGGGGAAAAAAGATTCCCAATGTATACTATTCATGATAATGAGTTCCATATGGATAACAGGCCAAAATACAAAAAATGAAATAAAAATATTAGAAAAATTATAGTTAACTAAAGTTGCGGAACACCAAGCAGCTGCTGGAACAACCCCAAAGGAAGACAAACATTAGATGGTACATGAGAGATGCAGAATGTACATTTTTTGAAACCAACTGCCTCCCTTATAGAGAGCTAAAAAACAGGCCTGGTGCAGTGGCGCATGACTGTTATCCCAGCACCTCTGAGAGACTAAGGTGGAAGAATCGCTTAAGACCAGGAGTTCGAGACCAGCTTGGGCAACAGAACAAGACCCCATCTCTACAAAAACTGGCCGGACATGGTGGCTCACTCCTGTAATCCCAGCACTTTGGGAGGCCGAGGCGGGTGGATCACTTGAGGCCAGGACTTCGAGACTAGCCTGGCCAACGTGGCAAAACTTCGTCTCTACTAAAAATAAAAAAATTAGCCCAGCATGGTGGTACATGCCTATAATCTCAGTTGAGGGAGGCTGAGGCACAAGAATCGCTTGAACCTGGGAGGCGGAGGTTGCAGTTAACCGAGATTGCGCCACTGCACTCCAGCCTGGGCAACGGAGTGAGACCCTGCATCAAAAAAAAAAAAAAAAACCTACAAAAATTAACCAAGCATGGTGGTGGGTGCAGCTGCAGTCCCAGCTATTTGGGAGGCTAAGGCAGGAGGATCGCTTGAGGATTGCCTCTGTGCTCCAGCCTGGATGACAGAGTGAGACCCTGTTTCAAGAGAAAAAAAAAATCTAAGCAAAGAATAAACTAGGTAAGGTAAAGCAAGGGATTCCTCTTGACATATAAAGATAAGCCTGGTGCAGTGGCCCACACCTGTAGTCCCAACTACTTGGGAGGCTGAGGTGGGAGGATCACTTGAGCCCAGGAGTTTGAGACTAGCCTGGGCAACAAAATGAGACCCCATCTTTAAAAAAACAAAGTGCTGTATTAGATGTCATCACTGCTGGTGCTCACTAAACATCCTGCTAACAAGTAGAGCTCCTGTATCTGTCTTGGGTTTGCCTGGCTTCGTCCCTAGAATTCCTGTAAGTGGAGAACACAGAACAGGATGGTATACTGTTTTGACAGATCATTCCTCTGCCAGATTTAGGAGAGTGGAGTTTTCTTCTAGGGAAAGGAAGGAATGCCTTCACTGCAATTGATGAGAACAGTGTTTATTTGCCCAGCTGTTGCTACGGCAGCTGGAAGGTGACAGGGTCAGTGATGGAATTCCTCAGACAGAGGAAAGGGAAGCCTGAATGTCATTCTAGAGTGAGAAAAACAGGTGTAGGGCTTTAGGAATAGTCTGAGGGAAGTAGACATACAGCTCTCAGAGAAAGAAAGGAATGAGATGCTCTGGTTAGCCTACATCCTCTGCCACCAGTCTCCAACTCCACCACATTCTAACGTGTCTCTCTCATGACTCTGGAAATAATGGAGCTACCTGTTTTAATATGGGTCAGCATGCTTTGGGCTTCAAAGAAACCTGGCCAGGCTTAAACTGGTGTTCTTCAAATTTGGAATCAGGATCTCTGGGAGAAATTTTTGAGAGGTAGTAGCAACTATGGCTGTGGGAATACCAAACAGTACTAAGATGAAAAATGGGTGGCCAAGTGCGGTGGCTCACGCCTATAATCCCAGCACTTTGTGAGGCTGAGGTGGGCAGATCACGAGGTCAGGAGACCGAACCCATCCTGGCTAACATGGTGAAACCCCGTCTCTATTAAAAATACAAAAAAAAAAATAGCCGGGTGTGGTGTTGGGCACCTGTAGTCCCAGCTATTCAGGAGGCTGAGGCAGGAGAATGGTGTGAACCCGGGAGGTGGAGCTTGCAGTGAGCCGAGATCGCACCACTGCACTCCAGCCTGGGCAACAGAGCTAGGCTCCGTCTCAAAAAAAAAAAAAAAAAAAAAAAAAAAAAAGAGTGGCTATGAAGAGCCATGTAAGGTGGGTCTTTTCCCAGCCTCTCTCTCTCGAAGAAGAGGTGGTGCTGTATCAGGTGGCAGGCACAGTATTATACAAATCTAAATAACTATTTGATAATGCTGTTTGTATCTACAAGATTATCACGTAAGGGTGATGGGGATTATAGAAACAGCAGGATCCTTTCAGAGACTGTGAAATATCCAAAACCTGTTCTGTGCATCCGGCCAAGGGACAATTATTTGACCAGAAATTGAAAATTGTGCTTCCTTGAGTTCCAGGGTGACAGACCTGAACGCCTTCACGTATTCATATTTTAAACTTAAAAATAAATTGGGGGCGGGGGTGTTGGGCATGGTGGCTCATGCCTGTAATCCCAGCACTTTGGGAGGTCAAGAGGGAAGGACCACTTGAGCCCAGGAATTGAGACCAACCTGGGCAACGTTGCAAGATCCCACTACTATTAAAAAAAATACTAGCCAGGCATGGTGGCATGAGCCTGTGGTTCCCAGATACTTGGGAGGCTGAGATTGGCAGATGGCTTGAGGCCAGGAGTTCAAGGCTGCAATGAGCTGTGATTGAGCCACTGCACTCCAGCCTGGGTGACAGAGAGAGACCCTGTCTCAAAAGAAAACATACATACATACATACATACATACATAAAATTGAGGGAGGCAGTGGGGGTTTGGGAGGGGGAAATTCTAGGGAAGCCATTTTGCTATATCTGGTAGACTCCCCTGCCAGATGCAAAGACGGGAGTCTTGGACTGAGATTTGATTTCAAATCTGAGATTTTTCATTAGAAAGAGTTGAAATCTCTATACCCCAAGGACAACAGTCAAATAAAAAAAAAAATCAGCTGGGTGCAGTGGCTCACACCTGTAGTCTCAGCACTTTGGGAGGCCGAGGCAGGTAGATCACTTGAGACCAGGAGTTCGAGACCAGCCTGGGCAACATGGCAAAACCCTGTCTCTACTAAAAATACAAAAACAAGACGGATGCACACCTGTAATCCCAACTACTCGGGAGGCTGAGGCACAAGAAATCGCTTGAACCTGGGGAGGCCGAGGTTGCAGTGAGCTAATATCATGCCAGTGCACTCCAGCCCGGGCGACAGAGCAAGACTCTGTCCCAGAAAAAAAAAAAAAAAAAAAATCAATCAACCAACCAACCAATGAACCTAAATGGTTTCCTACATGGACAGCAGTAGATCCCAGAACACTTAGGCACCTTCATTTTCTTGGCATGGAGTTTCTCTTCCTTCAGGTGCTCACGCAGAATCTCTCGATGGTTCACCTCCTGTTCCTGGGCAAACTCACAGAGTGTATAGCTCCGTACAGAGTTATGGCGCTGGGCCATGCCCAGAGAGCTACCACCCTGGCTGGGCACACTGGTAAAACCTTGGCGCCGGGCAAAGTAGTATACAGTCACCTGGTCAAAGCGTACATTCTTCCTCCGCAGCTGCTTCTGCCGCTTCAGGATGGATGTGGCTGAGAAGGGAGCACAGAGAGATGTTTTATTTATTTTTCTATTTATTTATTTAGAGATGGAGTCTCGCTCTGTTGCCCAGGCTGGAGTGCTGTGGCACTGTCTCGGCTCACTGCAGCCTCCACCTCCCGGGTTCAAGCAATTCTCCTGCCTCAGCCTCCTGAGAAGCTGGGATTACAGGCGTGTGTCACCACGCCCAGCTAATTTTTGTATTTTAGTAGAGATGGGGTTTCGCCATGTTGACTAGGCTGGTCTTGAACTCCTGACCTCAGGTGATCCGCCCGCCCCGGCCTCCCAAAGTGCTGGGATTACAGGTGTGAGCCACCATGCCTGGCCGAGAGATGCTTTATTAACTCAGGGATGACCTGTTTGGGGAGCTTGCTCTTTCTCATCCATCTAGGCTCTCAACTCTTCTTCTCTAAACGTGCTCTCTATATCTAGAGAACTGTCTAATATCTTCAAATCCTAAATGCTCTGTCAGAAGGGACCTTGAACTTCAGCTGGTTCATACAACTGCCTCCAGACTGACTATACCTAAACAGATGACCACAAAATCCATTTTTAGACATCAGCTGGGAAGAGGATCTCTAGTTAATCTTTTCTGGATATAAGAATCTACAGCTTTACTGTCCAATACAGCAGCTACTAGCCATGTGTGGCAATTTAAGCTAATTAAAATTAAATAAAATTTAAAATTCAGCTCAGGCCGGGCATGGTGGCTCATGCCTGTAATCCCAGCACTTTGGGAAGCCGAGGCAGGCAGATCATGAGGTCAAGAGATCAAGACCATCCTGGCCTACAGGATGAAACCCCATCTCTACTAAAAATACAAAAATTAGCTGGGCATGGTGGCACATGCCTGTAGTCCCAGCTACTCAGGAAGCTGAGGCAGGAGAATCACTTGAACCTGGGAGACGGAGGTTGCAGTGAGCCGAGATTGTGCCACTGCACTTCAGCCTGACGACAGAGCAAGACTCCATCTCAAAAACAAACAAACAAAAATTCAGCTCAATTATACTAACCATATTTCTTTATTTTCTTTTTTCCTTTGAGACAGGCTCTTGCTCTGTCACCCAGGCTAGAGTGCATGGCACAATCACGGCTCACTGCAGCCCCAACCTCCCAGGCCCAAGTAATCCTCCCACCTCAGCCTCCAGAGTAGCTGGGACTACAGTTGCACACCACCACACCCAGCTAATTTTTGTATTTTTTGTAGAGACGAGGTTTCGCCATGTTGCCCAGGCTGGTCTTGAACTCCTGAGTTCAAGTGATCCACCCATATCAGCCTCCCAAAGTGCTGAGATTACAGGCGTGAGCCACTGCGCCCAGCCACTAACCACATTTCAAGTGCTCAATAGCCACATATGGCAACTGGCTACTGTTGGACAATGCAGATACAGAACATTTCTATCATAACAGAAAATTCCATTGGATAGCATTGATCTGTAGCAGGGGACAGCAAACTGTCAAGAGCCAGACAGTAACTATTTTAGGCTCTACAGGCCATGAGGTCTCTGTTGCAATAATTCAACTCTGCCACTGTAGCATGAAAGCAATCATACACAATGGGTATAACTGTGTTCCAACAAAACAGGCATTGGGCCAGATTTGGCCCATGGGCAACCCCTCATATATAGTATCAGTTCTTTCCAAGAACTAATAGAGCCGTAAGAATTAAGAAAGCTTGGCCGGGCACAGTGGCTCACGCCTGTAATCCCTGCACTTTGGGAGGCCGAGGCGGGTGGGTCACCTGTGGTCAGGAGTTCAAGACCAACCTGGCCAACATGATGAAACCTTGTCTCTACTAAAAACACAAAAAATTAGGCGGGCGTGGTGGCAGGTGCCTATAATCCCAGCTACTGGGGAGGCCTGAAGCAGGAGAATCACTTGAACCCGGCAGGCAGAGGTTGCAGTGAGCTGAGATCTCGCCACTGCACTCCAGCCTGGGCAACAAGAGCAAAACGAGAAAAAAAAAGAATTAAGAAATCTGGATTTGCCCCAGTTGTCCAAGCAGCAAGCATTTATATCCTGCTACAGCTACAATTTCCTGGAACTCTCTGGGACTCTGGTGGGGGCAGGGTAGAGTCCTAGACTCCTTTTTCAATCTAATTTAACCCATTCTGGGAACCAGCAACCCACAAGACAAGTAAAATCAGCTAGAATAAATCAGACTTTAGTCTACGGTATGAGAGAAATGAGGTCCTCCAAAGAGCAAGGAAAGATGATGATTAAGGGCAAATCCCCAAGCCACACAGACGCTGTCTCGAGCTGCCATGGGTTCTGCTGCTTGGGGAATGTGGGTATAGGCAGGGACGGAGCAGCTTACTCACGTGTGAAGCTGGCAGTGGTAGGAGGATTGAGGCTGTCGCAGCTGTCAGCACTATCACTGCTGGAGATCTCATCATCTGAGTTGGAAACTGATGAGCCCACATCCACATCATCAAACTTCCTCTTGAGACCCGAGCCCGTGAATGCATCCATTGGTTTCAAAGGGGTTTCCTTGGGGAGCCCACCAAGTTGGCCCCAAAGCCCCTACTCACCACCAGCTAGCCAGGTACATTAGGATTCTGCCCAGGGAAAAAAAGGAATCAGCATTCCTGTCCCCAGACAGACTCCTCCCCAGTCTATACACACAGCTCTCTAAAGAAAGCACCTCACCTAGCACTGATGTCTGCTTTCTCAATATTACGTTCTTTCTCTACTAGCTCTGGCCAACATTCTCCTACTTTCGTTTCCCTTCAGCCCCTCTATTCTCAATCACTCTTAGAATAATGAGATGGGTAGCAGCAGCACCTTTCCCAGTGAAGGAAAGGCCTTTGCTTCCAATCCAGCTGGGGTCTAGGCTTCATTAGCCCAGGAATCACAGTAGCTGCTCTTCTGATCATATAGAAAAGCTCTCCAAGGCACCAGTGAGAAGAACTTGAAATCAAAAACACAATTATCACTGCTGCTTGTTTGGTTGGCAAAAAAAAAAAAAAAAGGAAAAAAAGAAAAGCAGAATTAGGCTTTGCCTAAACCAAGACTAGACCCAACTATTTATCTGTTTTAGAAACAGGGTCTCACTATGTTGCCCAGGCTGGTCTTGAACACCTGGGCTCGAGCAATCCTCCTGCCTCAGCCTCCAGAGTAGCTGGGACTACAAGGCACACACCACTGAACCCGGCTAGACCCACTTATTTTTCCTAGTGATAATACAGCCCGGCATTTCCCAAAGTGCGTGTCTTATGGTATTAATAGCTTTTACATAGAAATACGACTGCTGTGTCAAAAGGGTTTTAAAAATTGCCTATAGTGGAACTTCTTAGAGGCTTTTAATATACTAATAAGGATGGTGAAGGCTGAGAGAACACAGAATGCAGTGTTTCTACAAACGTGATTAAGGAACCCACTGTTTCCAAGGTATTTTAGAGTGCAAATAATGCTTGGAATACACTTTGGGAAATACTGCTCCAGGCACTCAATTTTGAAGGACATTAGCAGTCAGGAAAACCCTTTACCCAGATCTTCATAAGTGTAAAGTGTTTCACCAGGCTTCTATAAAGGTCAAATTTGGTACCAAAGAATGGACCCAAGATTAGAATCTGCATGGCTTCAAAACCCAGAATCTTTCCCAATCTCATACTGCTCCATAAAATAGGGCTCATCTGGTCTGTCACCATCCTCTGTGCAAGGACATTGTAGCTTTACAATCTTTGCCCTCTATAAAGAAATCAGCAAGGGGAAAACAAATAGCAAGAGAAGTAACTATTTATTCTGGTTATATCAATATGGCATGCAGTGTTGTTTTCAACACACTTTCATACAACCAAGGAGTCTGAGATAGTCCATTTCCCTAGGTACAAATCTTTTTCCTCCATCTTTGGATTTAAGTTCCAGAAGGACACGAATCTGCTCAGCAGAAATGCTGTCAAAGCGGGAGCCATGTGTGATGAGACACGAACCCTCCCTTGCCTCAGTAATGCCAGAATCTCCCCAGACTATGATCTCACTAGTTGCTAATTATGCAGCAGGAATAACAACACTGCCCAGAACGACAGGGCTGCATTACTGCAGAGCAGCTACCCAGAATATACTGTGGTGTCAAGAGATGCCTGCTACAGAGCTGCTTTTCTGGACTGTGTCTGTTGGAAGCAATTTGCCTGCTCTTGGATCAGCTCTACAAAGTCAACCAGACGTAATAAGTACCTTAGAGAAGGTATTTCCTAATCTATCCAGATTGCATCAAATTCTGCATTCAAGTCACAAGATGTACCTAAGAAACCTCAGCCATCAGAAGTCTCAGACAAGCACATTCCTGAAATAAATTTGCCAGGGAAGAAAAAAAAAAATCAAGTATTTGATAAAAACTGTAATTAAATTAAAAAACGAGCCCAAAGTATCAGTTTAGTTCTTCATGTTACTGATCTTATCAGAGGTCACATTCTTAGGGCATGGTAAGAAAGGAGCGAGCCAAGGGCTTTTTATGGGTTAAGATTTTAGCTGGGTTTAAAGATACCGATCAACAAGAAGACATTTATGCATCCAACAGACACATGAAAAAATGCTCATCATCACTGGCCATCAGAGATACGCAAATCAAAACCACAATGAGATACCATCTCACACCAGTTAGAATGGCGATCATTAAGAAGTCAGGAAACAACAGGTGCTGGAGAGGATGTGCAGAAATAGGAACACTTTTACACTGTTGGTGGGACTGAAAACTAGTTCAACCATTGTGGAAGACAGTGTGGCGATTCCTCAAGGATCTAGAACTAGAAATACCATTTGACCCAGCCATCCCATTACTGGGTATATACCCAAAGGATTATAAATCATGCTGCTATAAAGACACATGCACACGTTATGTTTATTGAGGCACTATTCACAATAGCAAAGACTTGGAACCAACCCAAATGTCCATCAATGATAGACTGGATTAAGAAAATGTGGCACATATACACCATGGAATACTATGCAGCCATAAAAAAGGATGAGTTCATGTCCTTTGTATGGACATGGATGAAGCTGGAAACCATCATTCTGAACAAACTATCTCAAGGACAGAAAACCAAACACCGCACGTTCTCACTCATAGGTGGGAATTGAACAATGAGAACACATGGACACAGGATGGGGAACATCACACACCGGGGCCTGTCGTGGGGTGGGGGAAGCGGGGAGGGATTATACCTAATGTAAATGACAAGTTAACGGGTGCAGCACACCAACATGACACATGTATACATATGTAACAAACCTGCATGTTGTGCACATATACCCTAGAACTTAAAGTATTAAAAAAAAAAAAAGATACCGATCGACAAACAAATTTCTCATTCCATTCTATTGTAGCGGGGAGGGGGAGCCCCTTGTGATTGAATGCTTATGTGGGTGGAATTTTTTAAGGAGACAGAATAAAGCTGGGCACAGTGGCTCATGTCTGTCATCCCAGCACTTTGGGAGGCCGAGGCGGGCAGATCACCTGAGGCTGGAGTTCGAGACCAGCCTGACCAACATGGAGAAACCCCATCTCCACTAAAAATCCAAAAAAAAAAAAAAAATTAGCCAGGCGTGGTGGCACATGCCTGTAATCCAGCTACTCAGGAGGCTGTGGCAGGAGAATCGCTTGAACCCGGGAGGTGGAGGTTGTGGTGAGCCAAGATCGTGCCATTGCACTCTAGCCTGGGCAACAGAGGGAGACCTTGTCAAAAAAAAAAAAAAAAAAAAAAAAGCTGGGTGTGGTGGCTCACGCCTCTAATCTCAGCACTTTGGGAGGCCAAGGCGGGTGGATCACAAGGTCAAGAGATCGAGACCATCCTGGCCAATATGGTGAAACCCCGTCTCTACCAAAAATACAATGATTAGCCAGGTGTGGTGGCGAGTGCCTGTAATCTCAGCTACTCAGGAGGCTGAGGCAGGAGAATCGCTTGAACCCAGGAGGCGGAAGTTGCAGTGAGCTGGGATCACGCCATTGCACTCCAGCCTGGGCGGCAGAGTAAGACTCTGTCTCAAAAAAAAAAAAAAAAAAAAAAAAAAAGAGGGAGGGAGGGAAGAGAAGAAGGCAAGCAGGCAGGCAGGCAGGCAGGCAGGCAGGCAGGCAGGCAGGCAGGCAGGCGGTCTTTTTCCTTAGCCTGGAAACACTCAAGGATTTATGACTGGAAGTAACTGTCCACTCCTGTTCTTTCCTCAGGTGTCCCCAGGCTTCTGGTAGTATCTCCGGTGAATATTTCTCTTTAAGCCCCATATGAACTTGGGTCTGATCCAAAATCATCTTTATTACTACAATTCTCCACGGTCTTAACCCAGCTGCCCGCAGGAGTATCAGTTATCTTTAGGTTACTTTTTGTGAACTTGGATGCAGCAAGGATTGCTGGCTGCTTGTTCTATTCTCCTCTTTTTCTGTGTTTTCTCTACTTCTGGAATAGTGGTTTCTGGGCAATGATAGGAGATAGGTAAGAAAGAAGGAAAAAGATGTGACACCTAGGAGAAAAGTATTTTCCTTAAGCTGTCTGAGAATAACTGGAACCTATGGCTATGTGTGTAAATAACATGTATACTGACTTATGGTCAAACTCTTCCATTCACATGGATGGCACTCAGGGAAATCCTCAAGGACTCCTCTCTTCACCCTACCCAGGCTCTGTTAGCAGCATTTTCTCTGACATTAGCTCCACCATTTTTTTAAAAAGAAAAAAGATTATGTCCCAACAACAATGTAAGATTAAATTTCAACCCAGCTCCCCTTGTCCAACTCTCTGATATGAACTCGACTTTTAGATGAAGATGTTCACTGGGCACCAAGAACAAACCTCCTGTTCACTTCCATGGTGCCCTGAAGAAATCCTTCTTTGGGAGGCTGAGGCAGGAGAATTGCTTGAGGCCAGGAGTGCAAAACCAACTTGGCCAACATAGCAAGACCCTGTCTCTGTATTTTCAAAAAATTGGCCCGGCATGGTGGCACATGCCTGTAATCCTAGCACTTTGGGAGGCCAAGGCGGGCAGATCACTTGAGGCCAGGAGTTCAAGACCAGCCTGGCCAACATGGCAAAACCCCACCTCTATTAAAAATACAAAAACTAGCTGGGCATGGTGGTGTGAGCCTGTCGTCTCAGCTACTTGGGAGGCTAAGGCGGGAGGATTGCTTGAACCCAGGAGGCAGAGGTTGCAGTGAGCTGAGATTGTGCCACTGCACTCCAGCCTGGGTGACAGAGCCAGACCTGCCTAAAAAAATAAAATAAAATAAATAAAAATAAATTTTTTAAAAAAATAAATCTTTCTTTGCAATAGTAACAGAATAGTTTCCATACTTTCCAATTCATCAAATTAATCTTTCAAACTACAACTAGAAAAATCAGTCATTCCTACCTCTCTCAATTATTCATTGGTAGAGGATCAATGCCTGTGTTCAAGAGATACACTTGTAAGTTTTAGCACCTAGGAATGCAGGTAAAAACCGACAGTTAACTGTCAAAATGACCAACTCAACAAATGCTTTTGGAGAAAATAATGCAACTCTCTTTAAAGCTTTTAAATGCCAGTGAAATGAAAGGTCAGCTGACACTTTCTGGCTACATGTCTAATGGTCTTTTCTCAAGAGTTTCTAGCTGAACATTTTCCAAAGTTATATGAAATAGTTAAGATCCAGAGCACAGAATACATCAGGCTAGCACCTAATAAACAGTTCCACCAGAATATGTATATTTTAGTACTAGATCTAAGTTTTTTTCAGGCCTAAAAGGATTCCTATAACCACCAAAACAAACAAACAAACAAACAACAACAACAACAAAAAAAAACAGCATATGTGAGAGCAGCAAGAGGGACTGCCCAGGCAAAATTTTCTGGAAGAATCTATTTGCAAAGTTTAGGTAATATAAGTCTCTTTCTTAAATGAGTCCAAAGTAATAAGCTACATCTCACAGGAGAAAGCCTCTTCACTTGACTGGAACCCAACCTTCTGCTAAAGGTCAAGGAATCAAAACCTCCAGTAAGATGGTCAGGGCTACCATCTGTAGCTGGGTTGGAAGGAAGGCTTGCTGCTGTGTTACCATAAACCTGAATAAAATGACCTGCCCTGTTTCTCCTTTTACAAGATACTGTGGTTGTTTCTCATATACCATGAATTTCATGGATCCATGTGTCTTTGTGATCACCAGGATCATGAACTTACAAAGCACCCAAGTGAAAACCCCCCGCTTAAGTTAGGTGTTTAAAGAAAGCCGTGCACTCACCACCCCCACTCCCCGATTTTTACCCATTCACTAACACAAGGTTAGAATTTTCCATGCCTAAACTACCATCGTGTGGAAGACAGATCTTTGTGGGAACTGGAACATGATGCTGCATTAACTCTCAAGGATATCCAGTCATTTATAACACCGGCACAACCAACATCCTGGCTTTGTGGATTTGCAAGACAGAAAGCCAGTGAAGAAAAAAATCTGAACTATGAATTTACCTTGAACTGAAAACTGCAGGACAAGGGGACAGTGTTGTCTTGTGGGGATAACTTCTAGCATTTCATTCTGAAGAACAGTTTGTGTGTCACACTGCCACTCTCAACCCCTTTAAAAGGATGAATCAAGACCACAGCACTAAAAGGGACGGGTGGCAGTTGGCTGCGTAATTGGGCCTATGAAAAAAGATCAAGCTAGCAACCAGGGCAATTGATGCTTTCATTTTCCCACACGACGCCAGAAATATGGGAGACATCAGGAACCGGAGCGAAGGGACATGTCAAGTCACCAGTTCCTTTTAATGAACACTCCTGCCGAACCCTTCAGCTCTCGGCCCACTTCCCTCTGATTCCTGCTAACCTTCCCGCTCATTCCAATCCTCTGCAGCCCCTACCCAGCCTTCCGCATCCCTTCCTGCCTGCTACTCACAAATTCCCAACCACTCCTCCCACATTTTCCTCTGTTCCCCCTCCCCTTCCTTCACTTTCCTCCATCCTACATCATTCTCCACTCCATTCCGAACTCAATCCTCATCTGCAATCCTGCAGGCTTCCAAGCCGCCCATCGGTCTCCCGCGAGCTGCCCCCGCAGTCCGGGCCAGCGTCCTCGGTGCCCCTCGCTCCCACGCCTCTTCCCGACTCGGTTCCTTCCCAACGGCACCCGACCTCCCCGCCCCCCGACCGCTCCCGTCCGAGCCTCTCATTTCTGACCCCTCCATCCGCACGGCTCTGGGCTTGACCACTCCTCCACGGCCGCCCGAGGGCCGATCCCGAGAAAGGACGAGGCGGCACCCTCCGCCCCGCACCCCTAGGCCCATTACCGGCCCCGCCGCAGCTGCCTCCTCCCGTGATGGTCTCTGCCGCCCCCGCTGCCGCCGCCGCCCTAGCCCGGTGGGAAGGAGGGAGGAGCGAGCGAGTCCCGGGCCCCGCGGCGACGGCCGGGGAGCTCCCAGGGCGGCAGGGCGGGGAGGGAGGGCGGTGGGCAGCCCAGCCGGCAGGCAGAGAGGGCCGGGCGTCTCCGGCAACTCGGGCGCCCCCGGCAGCAGACGCCCAGAACCGCCCCGGCTCCGGCTAACAATAGGATCCGGCCGCAGCGCACTGGCTCTTATAGGCGCCGGCACGTCCTGACCGAGACCCGGGGCTGGCTGGGAAATGGAGTCTACGGGCCGGCCCACACCCAGCAGCATGCCGGGAGTTGTAGGCGGTAACTGCTGCAAAGCCGAAGCCGGCGCGCAAACCGGCTCCCGAGGCGGCAGCTCTGCTGCAACCTTTTAATGGGGGAAGAGAGGAGACTCAGCTACAGATCTTAAATAAACGAATTCTCCTCCAAAGCTCCCTTTTTCTTTCGTGTCCTGACCACACGCCATTAGGAACATGATCCCCCCTTCTCCTCGCTCATGGGGTCTTAGTCTTCAGCAATATGACTTATTGCAGCCTGCGCAGGTTATAAAGAATACAAGCAATATCTTGAGTTATCTACTTATATGAGGGAGTGCTTTGAGTGTTTTCTTTAAAAAAAAAAAAATTGCTGCCGGGCGCGGTGGCTCACGCCTGTAATCCCAGCACTTTGGGAGGCCGAGGTGGGCGGATCACGAGGTCAGGAGATCGAGACCAACCTGGCTAACAAGGTGAAACCCCGTCTCTACTAAAAAATACAAAAATTAGCCGGGCGTGGTGGCGGGCGCCTGTAGTCCCAGCTACTCGGGAGGCTGAGGCAGGAGAATGGCGTGAACCCGGGAGGCGGAGCTTGCAGTGAGCCGAGATCGCGCCACTGCACTGCAGACTGGGCGAAAGAGCGAGACTCCGTCTCAAAAAAAAAAAAAAAAAAATCTTCTCAACTTTGCAAACTAATTTATTTATTTAAATAGAAAAGGGGTTTTCGCCATGTTGCCCCGGCTGGTCTTGCACTCCTGGGCCCAGGCGATCCGCCCGCCTCGGCCTCCCAAAGTGCTGGGATTATACGCATGAGCCACCGCGCCCTTCCGCAACCTATTTTTAAGAAAGGGCGCCAGGCGCGGTGGCTCATGCCTGTAATCCCAGCACTTTGGGAGGCCGAGGCGGGCGGGTCATGAGGTCAGGAGTTCGAGACCAGCCTGACCAACATGGTGAAACCCTGTCTCTACTAAAAATACAAAAATTAGCCGAGGGTGGTAGCACGTGCCTTTAATCCCAGCTCCTCGGGAGGCCGACCCAGGAGAATGGCTTGAACCCGGGAGGCGGAGGTTGCAGTGAGCCAAGACTGCACCATTGCCCTCCAGCACGGTCAACAAGAGCGAAACTCCGTCTCAAAAAAAAAAAGAAAAAGAAAAAGAAAAAAAAGGGGAAAACCAAGATTAAGAAGTCAAAAGTTGTATGTGATTTGCCAAGGACACATAGCCTTGGTTTCTTCTTTGTTGTCTTTCCCTTGAACTATAAGGCTCGGCAAGCTCGAGCTGCATTCTCTTGTCCCCCGACCCCCACCCCGCCCCCTCATTTTGTTCTGTCATCTTGTTTGCTTCTACTTTCCCCCTTCCATACTCTGCTTGAATACACTGGCCTCATTGCAGCTCCTTCAACTGGGCAATCATTCTCTTACCTCAGGGCCTTTTGTCTGGCTTCCACCAGCTAGCCACATACTTACTCCCTCACATAATATCTGCTCGAATGTCCCCATATCCGAGATCTTCCCTAACCATATTTCTTTTTCCCTGCATTAAGAGACAGGATTTCACTCTGTCACCCAGGCTGGAGTGCAGTGGCGCAATCACGGCTCACAGCAGCCTCAAACTCCCGGGCACAAATGCCTAACCATATTTCTAAAATGGTGCTTCTCCTTAGTTTCTATCCCTGTGCCTTATATTTCTTCTTAGCATCCACGTATTTGTTTTTGTCTTGTCTCACTTGACTAAATTCGGTGAGAGCAAGGAATTGTTTTGTTTACTGTATCCTCAACACACAGTACAAAGCCTAGTAGTTGACATTTAAGAGTATGATAGATATTTATTGGATAGATGGATGGACAGCAGGATTTAAACTCACGTTAGGCTGGTTCCAAAACCTGGTACATTTTTCACTGCAACCAAGAAACTATGAAGCCAGATCCACTAGCTACCAAGCCATCTCAGCTTTAGAAGTGAGAGGCTGGATGGCTTGGGAAAACATGCTAAGAATTTCAGTTCTCTCCCCTAGGTGACATCAGAGACTCCAAGAAGCTAGGACACTACACTGCAAAATAAAAAAGCAGTAGATCAGAAAAAAGCAATCTTTTGGTAACATGCACTTGTCATCTCTCTTTGCTGAAATTCAGAGGCAATATAATGAGTGATCAAGAGCATGGATCCTGGAGTGATCGAGAGCATTGATCCTGGAGCCAGACTGCCTGAATATAAACCCCACTTCCTCTACTTACTAGTGGCATGACCCCGGGCAAGGGACATAAGTTTTCTGCCTTAGCTTCCTCATTTGCAAGCCAGGAATAACGATGTCTATCTCATTGGGTTTTGTGAAGATTAAACAGCTGATATATTGGAAAATGTTTACAACAGTCAGTGCTGTGTAAATGTTAGCTATTTTTAATCATAAGCTTTCTATTCAGTTGTGTAGAAGGTTTGGTTCATGATCCCATTCTTCCTGTGCATACAGAAGACAAAAGGGAAGAGAAAACTATCCTAGACCACTCTATAGAATCAGTAGGCTGAGTAACAAAAAACCAGCCTGATGCCCATGTTGAGGATGCTAAAAAAGTGTCTCATATGCCTACACATCCAGTGTTCCAGCAGTCATGGAAATTCATCAGGGTACCATCAGCCCCAGTGCCCAATGCATTAACCTCAATTGGTTAATGCCACCAAACTAGAAGATAGCCAAACCAATGTTAGTACATCCTTTGAGAAGACGGCAGAATTCAATTTGGCAATAAGCTCTTGATCAGTCAGAAGATCATCTGGGCCAGGCATGGTGGCTCACACCTGTAATCCCAGCACTTTAGGAGGCTGAGGAGGGAAGATTGCTCGAGCCCAGGAGTTTGAGACCAGCCTGGGCAACATGGAGGGAGACTCTGTCTCACAAGAAATTTTTAAAAATTAGCCAGGTGCAGTGGCATGCACCTGTGATCCCAGTTACTTGGGAGGCTGAGGTGGGAGAATCACTTGAGCACAGGAGGTCAAGCTGCAGTGACAGCTGTGTTCATGCCACTGCACTCCAGCCTGAGTGACAGAACAAGACCCTCTCTTTTTTAATTAAAAAAAATAATAAAATAGAGATGGGGGTTCTCCCTGTGTTGCCCAGGCTGGTCACGAACTCCTGTGCTCAAGCAATCCACCAGCCTCAGCCTCCCCAAGTGCTGGGATTACAGGCCTGAGCCACCACACCCGGCAGAGACTCTGTCTCTAAAAATAAAAATAATAGGCTGGGTGCGGTGGCTCAGGCCTGTAATCCCAGCACTTGGGGAGGCCAAGGTGGGTGGATCACTTGATGCCAGGAGTTCAAGACCAGTCCAGCCAACATGGCGAAACCCCATCTCTACTAAAAATAGCTGGGAATGATGGCACGAGCCTGTACTCCCAGCTACTTGGAAGGTTGAGGCATGAGAATCGCTTGAACCCAGGAAGGCGGAGGTTGCAGTGAGCCGAGATTGCGCAACTGAACTCCAGCCTGGACAACAGAACGAGACTCTGTCTAAAACAAAAAACAACAACAACGAAAAAAATCATGACCCGAGCAGTGTTTTCTTTTCTTTCTTCCTTTTTTTTTCTTTTCTAATAGAGAGAGGGGTCTCACGTTCCCCAGGCTGGCCTTGGACTCCTGGGTTCAAACAATCCTCCTGCCTTTGCCTCCCAAAGTGCAAGGATTACAGGCATGAGCCACCACGCCTGGCCCTGGGAAGTGTTTTATACTTTGGTCTTGCAGCTATGACTGTGTGTGAAGGTGATCTTATAGTCAGTAGTATCCTTAGATTATTGAGCTAATGAACAGGTGTATAGTATTCAGTATAAACTGTTTTACACTCATAATCCCTTTAAAACTCTCAAATAACTCTATGAATTAAGTATTACCTCCTTTTTAATACTTAATTCATAGGGTTAAGATGATAAAATTGAGGCTTGAAAGATTACTCTGTCCAAAGTCATATCCAGGAAGAGAAGGATCTGGGATTTGAATGCAGGCCTATCTGACACCAAAATATATACTGTATCAACTACCTCTTACCACCAAAAGATAAACGAGAACACATTCCCCAGAGAGGTGAAAATAAATAGGACAGAGGATATAATATGTTGAAATTCTTAGAGAAAAAGAGTTAAAATAAAAATCTAAGGCATTGTGTTTGTTTTTCTGAAAAGGTATCTGTAGACTTAGCCCTAAAGTTGTTATGCTACTTCACTAATTGACATTTAATTATATTATATTCCAGATCTAGAGAGACAGGCACCTCTTTGTGACTAATTCCACACTAACAAAAAGAGAACAGTATGTGTAAATCTGAGAAAAAGAGTGCCACAGCAAACTGAAAGCACAAACACCAAAGAAGTCATATGCGCCATTGCACTCCAGCCTGGGCGACAAAAGTGAAACTCTGTCCTCCCACCACACAAAAAAAGGAAAAGAAAACAAGAATCTACATTAATTAAAATGTGCACCTCATCTTAAACATATCTAATACATGAAAACAGAGATTCGCATAATAGGTAAACCAGTTATAACTCATGTCCCAAAATACCATATCAGTAAAAAATAGTACAATAAGACAACAAATAATACAATAATATTAGTTTAAATAGCAAGTTCCCTTATAATTGATATTAATCCAATTGAAAACTTTAATTCATATAAACTTTTCAGTGTCTGAATTTGAAAATGCAAATGCTAGACTTACTTGAAATTTTTGGCCAGGCGCGGTGGTTCATGCCTGTAATCCCAGCACTTTGGGAGGCGCAGGTGGGTGGATCACAAGGTCAAGAGTTCGAGACCAGCCTGGCCAATATGGTGAAACCCTGTCTCTACTAAAAATACAAAAATCAGCCGGGCATGGTGGCAGGCGCCTGTAATCTCAGCTACTTGGGAGTCTGAGGCAGGAGAATCACTTGAACTCGGGAGGCAGAGCTTGCAGTGAGCCGAGATAGTGCCACTGCACTCCAGTCTGAGTGACAAAGCAAGACCCCACCTCAAGAAAAATAAATAAATAAATAAATTTTCAAGCAAGATAGATTTTAGCTTAGGCCTATGTTCACAAGGAACACTACAGGGGAAATGCTGTAGAGAATGTGTGAACAAAGACGTGAAAAGAAGAAGGAAGAAGTGGAAATAGATGAAAATTCAAGGTTGAAGATAAAATACAAGGTCACTAAAAGAACCAGGAAGGAGAAATAAAGTATGCAGAAAAAACAGTGCTGGTGGCATTACTCCCATGTCACAAAGGGCATCTTTCCCAACTCACTCCATTTTGCAGTGGTAGGATATTCTTCCTCATTTAAGTTTTGGAGTTGGTATAATGAAACAAAAATTAATCACAAACTAAAAGCAAGCATTCTAGCAGGGAAAGCCTTAACTCACAACTAAGAAAGTAGAGCATTTGCAGGAGAAGCAGAATGATGTAGGATTACTCCTAATGACATAATATATAGGCTGGGTGTGGTGGCTCACGCCTATAATCCCAGCACTTTGGAAGGCTAAGGTGGGAGGCTCGCTTGAAGCCAGGAGTTCAGATCAGCAAGGACCACATGGCAAGATCCTGTCTCTACGAAAAATAAAAATTAGAGCTGGGCACAGTGGCACATACCTGTAATCCCAGCACTTTGGATGGCTGAGGTGGGAGAATCGCTTGAGCCCAGGAGGTCAAGGCTGCAGTGAGCTATGATGGTGCCACTGCCCTCCAGCCTAGGCAGCAAAGTGAGATCCTGCCTCAAACAAAACAAAACAAATTTGTTGGGTGTGGTGGCACATGCCTGTAGTCCTACCTACTCAGGAGACAGGCGAGAGGATCACTTGAGCCTAGGAGTTCAAGGCTACAGTGTGCTATGATCACACCACAGCCTGGGCAACAGAGCAGGACCCTGTCTCTTAAAAACAAAAAAAGAAGCTAAGAAAGAAATAGGCTGGGCGCAGTGGCTCATGCCTGTAATCCGAACACTTTGGGAGGTCAAGGCTGGTGGATCACTTGAGGTCAGAAGTTTGAGACCAGCTTGTCCAACCCGGTGAAACCCCGTCTCTACTAAAAATATAAAAATTAGCTGGGCGTGGTGGCACATACCTGTAATCCCAGCTACTGAGGAGGCTCAGGCAGGAGGATCGCTTGAACCCAGGAGGCAGAGGTTGCAGTGAGCTGAGGTCGCGCCACTGCACTCCAGCCTGGGTGACAGAGACTCTGTCTCAAAAAAAAAAAAAAGGAAAAAAAGAAAAAAAAAGAAATATATATATATATATATAAATGGGGCAGCTAGGTGGGACAATTGTGCCATTCCTACTGAGACTGGAGTTCTCATAAGACCCATGGCGGCCATAACAGATCAAATTCCTGTAGAGGAACCATCCGTGACCAAGGAAGCAGACCAATAATTCAGTAAAATGATAAAATGGTTCTTCAATTTCAGTTCTCCTGTCCCCCCAAATCTGGAATTGTTAGGTTTGGCCAGAGAAAAAAGCTACAAGAGGGAGAAGCTCAATCCTGACTTCAAATATTTGGACTCTAAATTGCTTTCAAGACTGAATACCGAAGCTCTGCTCAGCCCTTCATGGTGATTTGCAAGACAGTTCAAATCTCTGCGGTAACCCTATACAAAACACTTTCTCAGAATATGTGGGGATACACAGGGTTTTGAGAACACTCCTCCATTATGCATACATTAGAAATGGTTGGTGCCATTATCTCACACCTTCTTTACTTGCCAAGCTTCCCCCGGAACCTCCAGCTCAGAGATCATACTCTGCCCGCACAACATACCCAGTACCTGGACTTCCAGGAATCAGAACTTCAGCCCCTTCATGTGGACCTTACTTTTTTGTCACGTCTTGGGTTGTCTTTTTAAAATTTCTTTTTTTAGATAGAGTCAGTTTCTTTTTCTCTCTCTCTTTTCTCTCTTCTCTCTCTCATACAGGCTGGAGTGCAGTGGCACAACCTCCGCTCACTGCAACCTCCACCTCCTGGGTTCAAGCAATTCTTGTGCCTCAGCCTCCTGAGTAGCTGGGATTCCAGGCACCCACTACCACGCCCGGCTAATTTTTTTTTTTTTTTTGTATTTTTAGCAGAGACGGAGTTTCACCATGTTGGCCAGGCTGATCTCAAACTCCTGACCTCAGGTGATCTGTCCGCCTCAGCCTCCCAAAGCGCTAGGATTACAGGGGTGAGCCACCACGCCCAGCCATGTTTCCTCCATTTATATGACTTCTTAAATAAATCATTTACGTGGGCAAACATTCTCATTGGGCCATAACATTGAACAGTCAATCTCATTACTCAACAGCCACATTTCACGTACTGACTACTCAATCCTTAGAGTCCTGCAACAACTTCCCTCCCCTTTTATTAATATTTCGCAATAACTCCCTTTTAATTATCAAGTCTTTATACAGCAGATTTTTCTACATGGAACCTATTATACTTCAAAGGAGTACAGGCAATGGTAAGTCAAATAGGATGCTACGCCTCTTCTCTAAATGGCCTAGGCCGGTATGGTGGGTGGCTCACACTTGTAATCCCAGCATTTTGGGAGGCTGAGGCAGGAGGATGCTTGAGCCCAGGAGGTCAAGACCAGTATGGGCAATATAGGGAGACCCTGTCTCTACAAAAAAATACAAAATTAGCCAAGTGTGGTGGCACACACCTGTAGCCCCAGGTACTTGGGAGGCTGAGGTAGGAGGATCGCTTGAGCCTGGGAGGCAGAGGCTGCAGTGAGCTGAGATGGTGCCACTGCGCTCCAGCCTGGGTGACACGCACACACAAAAAAAGATGCATGTTCAAATATATGTGACCTAAATGGCATCCATACAGAATAACCAGTTTTTAAAAAGAATGATGTAGAACTAAAAATTCTAGTATAGTAAGATATTCAAGATATGCTAAATACAAAAATCAAATTGCAGGTCATTAGTATAACATGAGCCCATCTGTGTGTGTGTGTGTGTGTGTGTGTGTGTGTGTATGTGTGTGCATGTGTGATGGGGGAAATTCTTTGCAATGATTACCTCTACAGAGTGGGACTAAGAGGTAAGGGGGAAAGTTATATGATACCATTCTTTATTGTTTGAATTTATCATTCTGTGTATTACTTTCATAATGAAAAAGCTAGTATAAAATTTTCACTTAATTGAAAGGATTATTAGTGAACATATGCAATGTTTTAAAGCAAACTGAATAATTACAGTGTTCTAGCACTATGCCAATTCTTACCAATTATACATCACTGGCACAATAAAAATTTTTTGTAGCTAAAGAAAGCCTAAGAGATTTTCTGGTAAATTTAAGGATCTATAATTTCAAAGTTGTATAAGTTCATTTCCATAAATTCGAAGACTACTCTAAAAAACCCTGACTTCAGGTAAAAATAGTTAAGTGTAATTTATAGTCAATATATTAATAAAGGCCAGGCGTGGTGGCTCATGCCTGTAATCTCAACACTTTGGGAGGCCAAGGCAGGAGGACTGCTTGAGGCCAGGAGTTCAAGACTAGGTTGGCAACATGGTAAGATCCTGTCTCTACAAAAAAACATTAGCAGGGCTTCGTGGTGTGTGCCTGTAGTCCTAGCTACTTGGGAGGCTGAGGCAGGAGGATCACTTGAGCCTGGGAGTTTGAGGCTGCAGTGAGCTATAACTGGCACTGCACTCCAGCCTGGGTGACAGAGGGAGATATAATTCTTGTTTTGTTTTCTTTGAGATGGGGGTCTTACTTCGTCACTTAAGCTACAGTGCAGTGGCATGATCACAGCTCACTGCAGCCTCCAACCCTAGGCTCAAGTAATCACTGCCATACCTGGCTAATTTTTTTAACTTTTTGTAGAGATGGGGGGGCGGGTCTCACTTTGTTGCCCAGGCTGGTCTTGAACTCCTGACCTGGCTTAAAGTGATCCTCCCATTTTGGCCTCCTAAAGTGCTGGGCTTACAGGCATGAGCCACTGTGCCTCATCTATATATTTAATTTTATGCATCATTTGCAGTAAGAGTCACAAATGCAAAGATTTGGAAGAAACCTTAAAAGTCACCTAGCCTTGGGCCAGGTGCGGTGGCTCACACCTGTAATCCCAGCACTTTGGGAGGCCGAGGTGGGTGGATCATGAGGTCAGGAGTTCAAGACCAGCCTGGCCAACATAGTAAAACCCCATCTCTACTAAAAATAGAAAAATTAGCATGGCATGGTGGTCCGTGCCTGTAGTCCCAGCTACTCAGGAGGCTGAGGCAGGAGAATTGCTTGAACCCGGGAGGCAGAGGTTGCAAGTGAGCTGAGATCAGGCCATTTAACTCCAGCCTGGGCAACAGAGTGAGACTCCGTCTCAAAACAAAAAAGTCACCTAGTCTTGGCCAGGCACGGTGGCTCACACCTGTACTCCCAGCACTTTGGAAGATGAGACGGGGGATCACTTGAGCCCAGGAGTTCAAGACCAACCTGGCAGGCAACACAGTGAGACCTCATTTCTATATTTTATTTTATTAAAAAAAATTTTTTTGAGACAGTCTTGCTCTGTCACCCAGCCTGGAGTGCAGCAGCCTGATCTCAACTCATTGCAACCCCACCTCCCAGGTTTAAGCAATTCTCATGTCTTAGACTCCCAAGTAGCTGGGATTACAGGTGTGTGCCACCACGCCCAGCTAATTTTGTATTTTTAGTAGAGACAGGGTTTCACCATGTTGGCCAGGCTGGTCTTAATCTCCAGGCCTCAAGTGATCTGCTTGCCTCAGCCTCCCAAATTGTTGGGATTACAGGCATAAGCCACGGTGCCCAGACTCATTTCTATATTAAAAAAAAAAAAAAAGAAAAAGGCATCTAGTCCAACTTTCCTACCCAAACACCTAGACATAAAAAAAAAAAAAAAAAAAAAAAAAAAAATCCAAACCAATAGCAGCCTGCTGAGGAAAGAACTGAGGTTGAGAACCAGTACTAGGAATATAAGACAACCAGATACGTCTCCTCCTCAAAATGGAGACACCTGGTAATCATTCACTAAGAAGCATTTTGGTGTAATATAACAAGTTGCTCAGGTCAGTTTTAAACAAGTCATTGACTTAATTTTTTGGTTTCAAAGTTTTCAATTTGTTTCAAACCAAGAGAAATTAGACCATGATGCAGATTGAGTTTAATGAACAAAAATCTCTGTATAAAAAACATTTAAACCTTATCAAATGCTTTAAACACACACACACACACACACACACACAAATCCAAATCCAATACACAATCTTAGAACATTATCTTTGTGTACCTCAACATAACCTGTAAAAGTATTTCTAGATAAAACTTTACAAGTGAAGAAAGAAAACCCATGATGTTACACTTACACACTTACACACACACACACACACACACACAATCATTCTTAAGGAAGAACAAAAACATGGTAAGAGTGTGAACAGGAAGGGAATGCATCTTTTTTTGTAAAGCTTCTATTAAAAAACATAGCATGAGTAAAATAACTTCCTATGCCAAGAGAAGATGCAGAGAGAGGAAACAGAAAGCAGGGATGAGACTAACTCATTAATAAATAGTTTGAGAATGTCATTCAAGAACAGTAAATTTGGGGAGTTACAGATAATCCCCAGTTGTCACCACCTCAAATTCTTTGATTCCGATAACTAATGACACTTAAAAAGCATCTATGTGTTCATTTCTTGTAGGTCTTGATTTGTTCATCATTATTTAGGTGTGCTTTGTCTCTTTCAGTGGTTAATTCCTCAGTTCATACTCAGTGTTATGTTGTAGTCACCAGAAGGGCCACAGTAATAAGCGAAGTGAACACAGGTTATAATGGGTAGCACTGGTGGTATGAGAGGGTGAATAAGGAGGGCCAGATTGCCTGGTTTGGATTTCAGCATCACTGCCTGCCAGCTCCTGGCACCTAGCAAGCTACTTAGCCACTGTGTGTCTCCATTTCCTCATCTTCGGTTGGGGGTCACTATAGCACCTACTTCAGATAGTGTGATTAGGGGGTTAAACAAGATGGTCATTCAAAAAATTTATCACACTGCCTGGTCAATAAATGTTAGCTGAAAATACTATTAGTTGTGGTATTACAGGGGAACCAAAAGGAAAATTCTGTATTTCTCCTCACTGATAAAGTTTTCAGGGACAAACTGTGGCAAAAAGCAGAGATACCAGTACATTTGAGACCAGTACAAAGAGATTGAAGACCTAGTCTTATGAATATAGATACCCATTTTTATATAAGAAAAAAATTACAGGGCTCCATATCACAAAATTTAAGATCTTCCTGTTAAACATCACACAATTCCCATCATCATTATGCCCTACATACACTCTAAATTATGTAGAGTTTCTACTGATATTTAACAACAACAAGGTCCAGAAATTTAACTAAAACAGCTGCAGAACTGCATATTGGGCAGTAATCTGTGTGTACCACAAGAGCTTGGGCCAACACAGAGGGCCAGGATTCTGCCTCCATGGCCTGGACTCCTCCACACACAGTCAGACGAGTCAGGTTCTTGCAGACCTTCAAATCTCCATTCATATCCCCCTTCAAGAGGGCCGTTTTCAGAGGTGAAGGAAGGAGCAGCCACTGGGCACGAAACGCCGCACTCCTACTTCAGTATGATATGATAGCTATCATTGGTTTCTGCTGTTAAAAAAAAGAGAGAGAGAGAATCATCTTTAGTCACCTCTAAAACACAGCAGGAGAAAAAAAGTATGGTAAGATTCTCGTGAGAAGGGGAGAAAAGGGAGGTGGAGGTTGCAGTGAGCTGAGATCACGCCACTGGACTCCAGCTTGGGCAACAAGAGCGAAATTCTGTCTCAAAAAAAATGCATTATAAAAACAACATGCCTCAATTTCCTCATCTGTAATGGAAGATGGAAGAGAATGGCAAAAAGCTGGGCCAGGCACAGTGGCTCATGTCTGTAATCCCAGCACTTTGGGAGGCCAAGGTGGGTGGATCGCTTGAGGTCAGGAGTTCGAGACCAGCCTGGCCAACAAGGTGAAACCCATCTCTACTAAAAATACAAAAATTAGCCAGACATGGTGGCACGTGCCTGTAATCCCAGCTACTTGGGAGGCAGAGGGAGGAGAATCACTTGAACTTGGGAAGCGAAGGTTGTAGTGAGCCGAGATCATGCCACTGCACTCCAGCCTGGGCAACAGATCGAGACTCTGTTTCAAAAAAAAAAAAAAAAAAAAAAGCCAACTTAAAAAAAGGAACAATCTCTAATATTGTCACTTTCTTTACCCAAATATGGTTACTTTTCCTATCTCTCCTCAAAGAAGTATGTACTTTGCCTAGTAGTAGTAAAGCTGTTAAACTGCTTAGAGAAAGATGTTTGTCTTACTATTACCTTTCATTGTGTCCAGAATAAAACATGCTTCTTCCTGAAAGTTCTGTATCATCTGAAAAATGCAAGAAAATTTGTGATTATTTAAATGAAAAACAACCCCTTTATATTCCTGTGTCCCTAAGGACTACCCCACATCCAGAGGGATTTATATGGGAGGCTTTACAGGTCACAAATAATGTATTTCTTGAATATCTAGGATCATAAAAGTTTTTTCCTCCCCTCCCATTTGGTTTTTAAATATTAAAAAACTAAGCAGATTGGAAGAGTTGTTTTAAAGCCTGGTATGCATTTCCCTGGGTTAACCCCAAGACTCTCCAAGGAGCACACGGACACAAATATGTGCATACAGGAGAACTGACTTCCGTGTCTTCAACTCCCATATGTGCTCTTTCCTAAAACCTCTTTAATTTTCCTTCCCCACTTTCCCTTCTCAAACTCCCTTCTCCCAGGGATAAACTCCCTTCTCCCAAGATAAAGGCATGAGTTTCACCCTCCCAGGATCCTAATAAGGTGGCCCATGATGTGAAAGCTTCAGGTGGCAAAGTGGAATGGCGAAGGTGAACGCTAATAACTGAGCAATAGACCCTTTTATGAGCCACATGGTTTCTAACTCTTTCCTTTCACCAGAATTAAAGAGTAACCTAATCACAAATTGTCGTAAGACAGAGGATTCAAAATGATTTTTTGGTAATATCACTATGTAATTTCTGGTATATAATTCTGAAGTATAATCTAATGACATTGTCATTACAAAATTCCATCCATTCCTATCAATTTATGGGAATCAAGTCCCTCAGCATTTATATCTAGAGGAAAAAAACAGAATGGAATTGATGCTGAAATCCTGTGTCATTCTAGCAATCAATAGGCAGTATTCAGCTACAAAGGAAATAATTATGTGCAAGGGTACAGGTAGGGAACGAAACAATTTCATCGAACTCATTCATAGATATACCTGTAATAATTTTTTCTTAATTTTTTTTTTTTTTTCTGAGACAGAGTTTTGCTCTTGTTGCCCAGGCTGGAGCGCAATGCCCCCATCTCGGCTCACGCAACCTCCGCCTCCTGGGTTCAAGGGATTCTCCTGCCTCAGCCTCCTGAGTAGGTGGGATTATAGGCACGTGCCACCACACCCGGCTAATTTTGTATTTTAGTAGAGACAGGGTTTCTCTATGTTGGTCAAACTCCTGACCTCAGGTGATCTGCTTGCCTCGGCCTCCCAAAGTGCTGGGATTACAGGTGTGAGCCACTGTGCCTGGCCTTCTTTTTTTCTTTTTTTGGATGAAGTCTCGCTCTGTCGCCTAGGCTGGAGTGCGGTGGCGCAATCTTGGCTCACCGCAACCTCTGCCTCTCGGGTTCAAGCAGTTCTCTGCCTCAGCCTCCCAAGTAGCTGGGATTATAGGCACCTGCCATCATGCCCAGCTAATTTTTGTATTTTTAGTAGAGATGGGGTTTCACCATCTTGGACACGATGGTCTTGAACTTCTGACCTTGTGATCCACCCGTCTCAGCCTCCCAAAGTGCTGGGTTTACAGGCATGAGCCATTGCGCCTGGGCAGCCTTCTTAATCTTTAATAATTACTTATTAAAACATGTAGCATATTTACATTATTTTAATCAATTGTATAATTATGATAATTCCATTATAATAATTTTTAAATTTTTATTTAAAAACTTTATTTCAAACAAATATAGTAGGATAATCAATAAAAGATGTTTGTGCATAAAAATATGTTATGGTAAGATGGCCAGGCGTGGTGGTTCACATCTGTAATCCCAGCACTTCGGGAGGCTGAGGCGGGTTGATCACTTGAGGCCAGGAGTTCGAGACCAGACTGGCCACATGGTGAAACCCAGCCTCTACTAAAAATACAAAAATTAGCCAGGCATGGTGGTGGGTGCCTGTAATACCAGCTACTTGGGAGGCTGAGGCAGGAGAATTGCTTGAACCTAGGAGGCGGGGTTGCAGTGAGCCGAGATCACACCACCGCACAACAGCCTGGGCGACAGAGTGAGACTCTGTCTCAAAAAAAAAAAGTTACAGTAAGATAAAATTCACCGGGGGAAGTAAATGAAAATAAGAGTTCAAGGAAACAGAGGAATAGTATAAGAATTCTAACTGTTAAAGAAAAGCACAATCATGTATTTTTTTTTAATGGATGGTGGTGGTATTAAATCATTTTTGTATTAAGGTTACATGGGATGCAATTAGAATAATGATGTAACCATTTCACTTAAAAATGTCATTATATATGCCCAGAAATGACATCTTTTACAACTATTTAAACTTTAACAAAAAATTTTAAGTCAACCTAAAAATGTGCATGGGAATATGTGGTTTTTAAAATATTTTAGGACCAGGCGCAGTGGCTCACATCTGGAATCCCACCACTTTGGGAGGCCGAGGCGGGTGGATCACTTGAGGCCAGGAGTTTGAGACCAACCTGGCCAACATGGCAAAACCCCATCTCTACTAAAAATACAAAAATTAGCCAGGCGTGGTGGCGCACGCCTGTAATTCCCACTATTCGGGAAGCTGAGACAGGAGAATCACTTGAATCCAGGAGGAGGAGGTCGCAGTGACCTGAGATTGGGCCACTGCACTCCGGCCTGGGCAACAGAGAGAGACTGTTTCAAAAAAAAAAAAAATTAGGAGGAAAGCAAGCAAAAAAGTATGAAACCCTCTGATCTAGAAAACAGAACACTCTGCCCCAGGAGAACTGCTCTTGCTCCATGCGCTGACAAATTAATCATCATCTGGTAATTCAACTGTACTGAAAAATCTACCTCATCACTGATGAGCACATGAATTCCTGTTGGCCCCTGCTTGTAAATCTGGCTGATCTGGCAAGGGGAAATGCTGAAAAGCTGAGCAATTTTTTCTGTCAATTCAACAGCTGTTAGTTCTTCTAGATAGATAGCATGGTAAACTGCAAAAGGGAGAGAGCAACAGCAGTCAGTACAAAGTTTGTCCACTCTTACAGGTAACTTGATCACTAGGAATGCCCACTTTTCTGAAGGACTCAGAAATCACACTGCCTAAGTTCAAATCCTGGCTCAACCACTTGCAGCTGTGTGACCTAGGGCAAGTTATTTAACATTCCTAGGCCTGATTTTTCTTGCATAAATACCGGAGATAACAGTAAAATCCTCCGCAAAGAGGAGATATTAGTTGTAAATATTAAAGCATATAAAAAGTGTTAAGAATAGTACCTGGCTGGGTGTAGTGGTTTACACCTATAGTCCCAGCAATTTGGGAGGCTGAGGCAGGGAGATCGCTTGAGCCCAGGAGTTCAAGACCAGCCTGGGCAACATAGGGAGATCCCATCTCTACAATAAATAAAACAATTAGGCAAATGAGTAGCTTTAGTTCTAGCTACTCGGTAGGCTGAGGGGAGAGAATCACTTGAGCCCAGGTGGTCAAGGCTGCAATGAGTCATGATTGTGCCACTGTACTTCAGCCTGGGTAACTGAGTGAGACTCTGTCTCAAAAAAAAAAAAAAAGAATGGCACCTGCCATGTATTAGGAACTTAATAAATGCTAGTGATTATTGTTACTTCTAGCAAATACTAAATCTGCTGTTTGATAGTTTCCCATCACACATGCCCATAAGTTATCTCTTCACCTTTCTTCATATCTGTCCTAGTGTGTCCAGAACAACCTACCGAAGAAAGTACCATTTGAGTCTCCATCCTCATGCTTCTGCTGCTGTTGCTGCTGCTGTTGTTGCTGCTCCCTCAACTGCAGTGATTCCTGACAAACATAAATGGTTAACCTTGGACGCACCATCCTAAGGGGAGGAAAAAGGCTAATTAGTCTTACATTCTTTATGGTAAGCACAATAAAAAGAAGGGAGAAATTGTGTTTCTACATTAATCGTATAGAGCAGATGAAAATTGGAAGCTCATTGGCCAAATGCAATTAATTTGCTATGTTTTATTAGTTCCCCAGTAGTAGGGTTTTTTTTTTCCTTAAGTGGAATTAGTTCCAATATGAGACATCATATAAACCTCTGAACTTTTGGCTTTTCCTGAAGACTCAGATCTAGCAATCTTAGGCCTGCATTCTCACATGAAAACAATCAGCCGTTCTTCTTACATGATGCATATATTCTTCACTATACCCCAGTCTTGACTGCCATTCACTTACATTACCTGTATGTACTCTATAGTCATTTGAGTTTGTGGCCTTTGGTGTAAAAGTTAGAAATAGTCAAAATATAAAAGCCACCGTCTAATGGGTCAGGTTCAAGATATACTTTTTACTAAAAAATGCCAACACAGTAAACTAGATCATCTTATTTCTCTCATTACCTTCTCCTAACTAGCCTAAGTCCTTTCTCTGTTCTTCTTAGAGAAAGGTATTCAACTACCTCTTGATCTGATCATCTTACTCCTTCCAATTTCTAAACACCCTTTAGATAATATGCTTGAAAAAATGAAAGATCAATTATTTTTCCACAAGTCATCAACCCCTGATTTCACTTCCTTCCTTAAAATTTTCCAAGATTCAACATCCCTTATGATGTAGACAAAAACAAATATGACCAGGCACGGTGGCTCACATCTGTAATCCCAGCACTTTAGGAAGGCGAGTCAGAAGGATTGCTTGAGCTCAGGAGTTTGAGACCAGCCAGGGGAACACGGCAAAACCCCGCCTCTACAAAAAGTACAAAATTAGGCGGGCGTGGTGGTGCGTGCCTGTAGTCCCAGCTGCTCAGGGATCTAGGCAGGAGGATGGCTTGAGCCCAGGAAATCGAGGCTGCAGTGAGCCATGATTGCATTGCTGCACTCCAGGCTGGGTGACAGAGCAAGACCCTGTCTGAAGAAAAAAACCCCAAAACAAAAGCAAACCAAAAATAAATACTGCACACTCTGTTTTACTATGTAGTCACTGATTTAGTTCTGTTGCCATTGACCTAAATGCTTTTTTCATCAGTTACTACTACCTATTTAAAATTGTAAATCCCAAAAAAGGACCACAAATTACTATGTATTTTAACAATTGCAGGCAGACACTTCCTACCCACATTTGCCGGGTGCGGTGGCTCACGCCTGTAATCCCAGCACTTTGGGAGGCCAAGGCGGGTGGATCACGAGATCAGGAGATCGAGACCATCCTGGCTAACACGGTGAAACCCTGTCTCTACTAAAAAAATACAAAAAATTAGCTGGGCATGGTGGCAGGCGCCTGTAGTCCCAGCTACTCGGGAGGCTGAGGCAGGAGAATGGCGTGAACCCGGGAGGTGGAGCTTGCAGTGAGCCAAGATTGCTCCACTGTACTCCAGTCTGGGCGAAAGAGTGAGACTCTGTTTTCAAAAAAATTAAAAAAAAGTAATTCCCACCCACATTTAAGAATGACCACTTCTCCAGTTAAAACCAACTTGGGACCTTTGCACCTGTTGTTCCTTCTGCCTAGAACAGTCTCCCTTCCTGTGACTCCAGAGCTGCATCTTTCTCAGAACTCAGCTTAAGTATCCCCTCCTTGGAGAGGCCCTTCCTGACCATATTCTGGGCACCCTATAGCCCACAACCTTGTTTTTTGCTTATTTGTTTTGTTTTCCTTCAAAGCTCTTATCACTATCCACAATATTTATTATCTTACTCCCCATTAGAAAGTAAACTCCCTAACAATGGGCACCCTGTTTTGCTCACCAATATATTAATATTCCCAGAGCCTACAATAGTACCTGGCTCATGAAAAGGATGATGAATTTTCATTGGAAAATTCATTCACCTGGAAATGAAAAATGGAATATCATGGGGAATTCCTTGGACAAAGTGCAAGAAAACATTTTTCTAAAATCTTTATTTGGTACATAGCTGACATTTAAAACAAATGTTTTGAGAAGGTGTATTTAGCTGTGTAGAGTATTGTGAAGAATTCCTGAATCCAAATCCATTTGGAATCCCAACCTTATTGATATTTTAACACTAATTACATACCGGCCTTTTAATGCATTAAAAAGTCTGATTCCATCTGCAGGGCCACAGATTTGGATCACATCATCTCTAGTTAATTTCAATAAATCTGCCCCTGGAATAAATATAAGAAAATGGATGATAAAGGCAAAGATTCTCTTTGTTAATGACTATTAAAATGGGCTGTATTATAAGGACACCTCATTACCAGAATGTTACAATCCATAATTTTCTTCATGGCATATAAGGCCCTTCATGACCTGGCTCCTAGCTCCTCTCCCGTCTCAATTCCCCCCAATTAACCTCCCCACTTAACCCTATGCTTTCATCATACTGATGATGTCTAATGAGCAAGTTGTTCTTTCTGCCTGAAATAACCTTCCACTATCTAAGCTGGGCACAACATGCCTGTAGTCCCAGCTACTCGAGAAGCTGAGGTAGGAGGATTGTTGAGGCCAATCGACTGTTAGGAGTTCAAGACTGTTAGGCGTGGGCAACATAGCAAGACCCCATCTCTTAAAAAAAAAATCCTGGGCCAGGAGCAGTGACTCACGCCTGTAATCCCAGCACTTTGGGATGTCGAGGAGGGTGGATCATTTGAGGTCAGGAGTTCGAGACCAGCCTGGCCAACATGGTGAGACCCTGTCTCTATTAAAAATACAAAAATTAGTCGGGTGTGGTGGTGGGTGCCTGTAATCCCAGCTACTCGGGGGCTGAGGCAGGAGAATCGCTTGAACCCAGGAGGTAGAGGTTGCAGTGAGCTAAGATTGTGCTTCTGCACTCCAGCCTGGGTGACAGTGAGACTCCGTCTCAAAAAATAAATATATAAATAAATCCTGGATTCACCTCATGTGTCACACATGTTCCCTAACACCAATCCTCCCATGAACGTCTTACTGTCACTATCAGAACACTTATCTACAAAATCACAACTATTTATCATTTTTTCAGAGTTTTATTTTGATTCGATTAGTTGTGTTTTGTTTCGGTGCTTTTTTTTTTTTGGATACCAGATGATTAATGGGCTATTTGATCAGGAAGTATGCCTCATCCATTTGTGTATTCCTACCACATCAAAAAGTGCTAAATAGGCCAGATGCCGCAGCTCATACCTGTAATCCCAGCACTTTGGGAGGCCAAGAAGGGTGGATCACTTGAGGTCAGGAGTTCGAGACCAGCCTGGCCAATATGGTGAAACCCTGTCTCTACTAAAAATACATAAATTAGCTGGGTGTGATGGTAGGTGCCTATAATCCCAGCTAATCAGGAGGCTAAGGCAGGAGAATCACTTGAACCTGGGAGACGGAGGGTGCAGTGAGCCGAGATCATGCAACTGCACTCCAGCCTGGGTGACAGAGTGAGATTCCATCTCAAAGAAAAAGAAAAAAAAAGCTAAATAAAAGTGTATTGTGTAAATGAAATAAATTATAGTGATATCAAGGGGAAAATTTCAGACTACCTGCAAATGCCCCCTTGATAAAACTCTACGAAATATACATTTTAAAAAGCGTTGTATGAAATAAGCATTTTTAAATTAAATTGAATTTAAACTAAAAAGTGTTTGTTTTTAAGTATTTCACAGCACAGCTGCAGCTAGTGAGAAAGTCTTAAGGGTTCTATGAAATTCATTTCATCAGAAAAATGCAGTAAGATCTCTCATACACATATACACACACAACTCTCCCATGGATACCAGGAGGCCCTAGAATGCAAAGGAAAATTTCATGCTAGGGAAAACAAAAGAAAAAGAAAATTTAACCTGAGAAGTTTGTGAAAAGCCTTGTGAATGTAGAAAAACGATTTCGATGCAACCACTGCTGAGCTTCCTGAGGTGTGGTTGTTGGTAAGAGGTTCTGAAAGGGAGAGCACGTTTTTTAGATAACCAAATAGATTTGTCTGTTACCCCATTAGGTAACACATAGCCAAACACCCCACACAACCCCATACTCAGGCCTAGTTTGTGAAAGTTGTTTTCTCTTTCTCCAACCATGCAAGATGCTCAAGGAGTTCCATCCTTTTCTTCCCCACTAGACTATAAGCTGCTCAAATGGAAAGGTCCTGCATTACTTGTTTCATATCTTTAGTCCCTAGCACAGTATCTGGTTCATAGTCAAAATTCAATAAATGTTTGTTTAATGAATGAATGAATAATACTCCCTAAAAGTTGGGCATTTCTACTGAATTGGACAGTCATCAAAGTATTACCAGACATTGCAAGTAACTGACATTCAACTTTAGACTTACATCTGTGACTGGAGGGGGTGGCTCTGGCTGGTGGTTTGGTGAACCATTTCTAAAGAAACATTTAAAATGAAAGGATGAGTCCATGACACATGCTGGGGCTCATTATTTCATTCCTCAGCTTCACAATAAATCTCATGCTAGAGATTAAAAAAAAATCTGTGCTCTCTCATAACACATTCTTATTCTTTGACCCAATACTTTAATTTTCTATTAGTTTAACCTAAAGACTTTATGAGGAGGGGGAGAAACTATGTCATTAGCAATATTTTCTTATTATTGAGGAAACTGAAGAAAATATCAACATTTCAATAAATTGGGACTGATGAGATAAATTATGGCATAAAAATATTTAACCATAAATTTACTAAGATGAAAAATTATGAAAGAATAATTATCAAGAAAAAAATTTAAAAATAAAATGAAAAATATCAGGATAAAAAATTTTATCAATACATTACTACTGTAGGAAATACATAAATATGCACACATATACAAGAAAAATATTGGAAGAAAATTTATGCAATGCAATATCATCACACAGATTTAAAATAAAAAACAATTTTTTTTTTTTTTTTGAGACGGAGTCTCGCTCTCTTGCCCAGGCCGGAGTGCAGCGGCATGATCTCGGCTCACTGCAACCTCTGCCTCCCGGGTTCATGCCATTCTCCTGCCTCAGCCTACCGAGTAGCTGGGACTACAGGCGCCTGCCACTACACCCGGCTAATTTTTTTATATTTTTAGTAGAGACAGGGTTTCACTGTGTTAGCCAGGATGGTCTCGATCTCCTGACCTTGTGATCCGCCCGCCTCCGCCTCCCAAAGTGCTGGGATTACAGGCGTGAGCCACCGCGCCCGGCAAAAAAAATTATTTTTAAAGTAGCCCCAAAAATTAGTGCTGCCTAATTTATGATCCAAGGGTTATCTCCACACTCCAGTTTTTCTTTTTCTTTTTTTTTTTGAGACGGAGTTTCACTCGTTTGCCCAGGCTGGAGCGCAGTGGCATGATGTCAGCTCACTGCAACCTCTGCCCTCTGGTTTCAAGCGATTCTCCTGCCTCAGCCTCCCAAGTAGCTGGGATTACAGGCGCCCGCCGCCACACCTGGCTAATTTTTTTATTTTTAGTAGAGACGGGGTTTCACCATGTTGGCCAGGCTGGTCTCGAACTCCTGACATCGTAATCTGCCCACCTTGGCTTCCCAAAGTGCTGGGATTGCAGGTGTGAGCCACCGCGCCCAGCCTGTTTTTCTTTATACGTTCTTTGTCTATGAATTGTCCCTCTTCCCTAATGCCTACTTTTATGGAAGAAAAAGTTTAACTAGTATGAAGTACACGACAAAGAGAAGAGAAAAATTTTTAAACACAGCTCTTAAACCCTATATCATATTTGGAATTACCTATAAGTAGAATGTATCATCTATGTGGATGTTAAGATTTTTTTTTCTTTTAAAAAAAGATCTTTTTCCTTTTTTAGCCTTAGCTGCAAAATTCAAATTTGGTATTCGAACTTAGTAATTAACTTATCTTAGGGCCCTACTTATATGTATTCCCTCTACAACTAATACCTACTTTTATTCTTAATTGTTACGTTTTAAATATTTAAGCTACCTTAATTAAATCCTTTAAAAAGTAGGTCAGACATAGAGCCTAAATAAATCCAAAACCACAAACATTGCAACCAAACAATATACTCGCACATTTGGTAGCCTAACTATTTCAAGTTTCAATATGGCTATGTGAAATACATGTTAAATGCTTGGACTATAATACAGCTACTTTTTAAAATTGGAGTAGGCATCTGTACCAACTTTCAATTATCTCTTATGGTAAAAGATAATAAGGCAAGATTAAATGTATCCCATAAATAATTCCAAAACTTCATTTTAGCCATCATCTTCAAACTTATTTCCCCAATTATCAAAGATTCATAATAATTAGGTGTTAGAAGTATTCCTAACAAGTAACAAAACAAATTTTAGTGTTTGTACAATTGTTTCCAGTTCCCAAAGACCACTGTCTGGTGCAAGTATGATCAGGAAATGAAATAACCACAAGATGTGCAGTAATAGGGAGAGGCAAAAAGCCCAGATCATCAGTCCCTGAACCACTAAAAATTGACCATAAATGCTACTTTCTAGTGGGGGGAAAAAAGACGAGGAGGAGGGAGAGGGGAGAACACAAAGAGAAGAAAGGGCTATATAAAACTCTTTCGATCTCTTTTGAAGCTACTCCAAATCTCAGTTAATATATAAATCCATCAAAGAACGACCAAATAGATATACTTATTGATTTAAAAAAGATCTTGTTTATGAACAGGTAATGAAAGAATATATATTTTGGACAAATATAAGCCAATTTTATTTCCCAGACTTACCCTTCCCCAAGAGAAAAACTGCTATGGGAACTGTTGAAGCCAGGTGATGGGGAGTTATTGACATACGTGATCTCGGGCCATGGAGAACACTAAAAACAAAGGATAAGTTAGATAATGAACGAGCACATATGACCCCAGGATTTGACTAAAACATTGTTACTTGAATAGCACATCTTGATTAGTAAATCTTAATTCCTCAGAGACTCCCATAAGCAATAGAGAACACTGCTTCTCTTTCCGCCATCTTGGAGCCTGTGGGGAGGCCTGCTGAGAATAGGACTTCTAAAAAGAAATAAGTCTAGAAAACTACGGTCCCAGGCCATTTTTGTTGGTTATAAGTGGGTTCCAGAACCAAAGGCAGCACACAGCTCTTCCTAAAATTGAAGGTGGTTTATGCCCAAGATGAAACTGAATTCTATTTGGGCAAGAGATGTGCTTATGTATACAAAGCAAAGAACACCACAATAGCTCCTGCAGCAAACCAAACCAAACCAGAGTAATTTGGGGAAAGATAACTTGGACACAGAGACAGTGGCATGGTTCGTGCCAAATTCTAAAGCAATCTTCCTGTTAAGGCCGCTGGACACAGAATCCATGTGATACTGTGTCCCTCAAGGCTTAGGAGAAGTAAATTCTGACCAGTTTGGAAGTGATGAATTTTTAAGATTAAAAATTATGAACTGAAATTGTCACCAAAAGAAATCTTTTTACCTCTGTGAGTATGGTTGTCTCATAGGAAGGCTGATATTTCTCCTTTTCATGAGGTGTTCGTTTCTCCATTTTTTCCCTATCCGTTTTTTGCTTTCTGTCTGCACCTTTGGGCTGAAATGAGAAATATTTTGTTTTAAATTCAGGTACTCACCTTTTAACCCAAAATATTGCTTCCAAAAACTTAAATATTCATGTATGAAACAAAATTGTATGTGCAGTGATGTAAAGGCAAGACACATCACTTTAAGTTTGAAAATAGGAAATTTAAATGTTTATATTCGATGGAGTTGAAAAGAATCAGATCTATAGCTACTGACATGGAAAGATCTCTAAAGCACATAGTTCACTGAAAAAAATCAAGTCTCAAAACATTTCTTTCTTTTTTTTTTGAGACGGAGTCTCATCCTGTCACACAAGCTGGAATGCGGTGGCGAGATCTTGGCTCACTGCAACCTCCGCCTCCAGGGTTCAAATTATTCTCCTGCCTCAGCCTCCCCAGTAGCTGGGACTACAGGCGTCCGCCACCACACCCAGCTAATTTTTTATCTTTAGTAGAGACGGGGTTTCACCATTTTGGTCAGGCTGGTCTTAAACTCCTGACCTTGTGATCCGCCCACCTCGGCCTCCCAAAGTGCTGGGATTACAGGCATGAGCCACCGTGCCTAGCCTCAAAACATTTCAAATAGTATAATCCCATTTATGTGTCAAAGAAAATATGTATATAGCTATGTATGTGTGTGTATAAAAGCATAGGAAGGAACTAGAAGAGCTGGGCGCAGTGGCTCATGCCTGTAATCCCAGCACTTTGGGAGGCCGAGGCAGGCGGATTGCCTGAGGTCAGGAGTTCGAGACCAGCCTGGCCAACATGGCGAAACCCTGTCTCTACTAAAAATACAAAAAATTAGCTGGGCATGGTGGTGTGTGCCTGTAGTCCTAGGTGCTGGGGAGGCTGAGGCGTGAGAACAGCTTGAACCCAGGAGACGGAGGTTGCAGTGAGCTGGCACTGCACCACTGCATTCCAGCCTGGGTGACAGAGTGAAACTCCGACTCAAAAAAAAAAAAGAAGAGGGAAGTAGAAGAACACATACGAAATTATGAAATTATGACAGTGGTTTCCTCTGGGAAGAGGTTGTGGAGGGGGTCAGTGTAAGAGTAGTAAAGGGAGAATTTCAGTGTTGCTATGAATACCTCTGTATTATTCAATCTCTTACAATGAGAACATATTTATTCATGTGATAAAAATAAACAGGACCCTGGCTGGGGCACAGTGGCTTACACCTGTAATCCCAGTACTTTGGGAGGCCAAGGAGGGCAGATAACTTAAGCCCGGGAGTTCAAGGCCAGCCTGGGCAACATGGCAAGACCCCCTCTCTATAAAAAATACAAAAATTAGCCCGGTGTGGTGGCACATGCCTGTAGTCCCACTTACTGGGGAAGCTGAGGCAGGAAGATCAATTGAGCCCAGGAGGTTAAACTATGATTGCGTCACTGCACTCCAGCCTGGGTGACAAAATGAAACCCAGTCTCAAAAATAAATAAATAAATAAATAAGACCAAATAAGAAAAGATCAAGTATGAAAATAACCATAACTAGTCAATTTTTGTGAGCTTTACAAGAGCTTGTAACTTCAATAGGCTTTAAGAGCTTTCAATGAGAATCCATGTTCTTGCCTCTAGCCCTCTTTTCCAAGTTCCTATTATCCTACGACCATGTAAATTTCTTTACCAGGCATCTTGGTAATTATTTCAATGACTCTAGCTTAGACTTTTTGCGTGTGTGTGAGTTTTCAAAAAAAGACAAGTTGATTTTCTGACTTGGTAACTAATGTTAAAATAGAATGATAAGGTAAAAGAATCCAAGGGCCAGCACATTGCCCAGGAATACCTTGAAAACTTTGATCTGGCAGCTGGCCGAGTGTAAGTGCTCAGTATATTCCCCGTTTTCATTCTCCTTGAAGGTATCTATTTGTACTCGGAATGGCACCCCCTTTTCTCCACCATGTTTCCTCATAGTGAACTCTGTGCTAATACAGTGCACCTGAAAAGAATACAACAGCAAGGCTTCAGTACCGCTAGCTAGCCAAACCAGTTGGCAGTATTTTTTTAGCAACTATTAACAGCAAAACCTTTACCAGGCATTATGAATACCTACAAAAAACACTTTTCCTCTTTTTGATCTTGAAGAACTTACAATCTGATAGAGGAAATAGAAAAATGCTTTACAAATGCAAACAAAATAAAAGTACAGATCTAATGCTAACAAAAGCTACTGTGAGGAACTAAATTCATTAACTGCTTCAAAGAACACAGAGCTAGCAAAAGAGAAATGATTTATGTTAGTTAAAGTTTCCTCAATTTTAAGGAAGATTGTAGAAAGAGGAGTCACTACCCAGTCTGGGAACATAGTAAATATGAAAGTTCACAGCAATAGTGGAGAAAAAGGTTTGCTTGGCTACTGCATAAAGTCTAAGATTGGTGAATTTTTTTTTTTTTTTTTTTTGAGACTAAGTTTTGCTCTTGTCACCCAGGCTGGAATGCAATGGCACAATCTCGGCTCACCGCAACCTCCACCTCCCCGGTTCAAGCAATTCTCCTGCCTCAGCCTCCCAAATAGCTGGGATTACAGGCACACACCACCACGCCCTGCTAATTTTTGCATTTTTAGTAGAGACAGGTTTTCGCCATGTTGGCCAGGCTGGTCTCGAACTCCTGACCTCAGGTGATCTGCCTGCCTCGGCCTCCCAAAGTGCTGGGATTACAGGTGTGAGCCACGGCACCCAGCCTGGTGAATCTTAATAGAAGAACCTTGTCTGACTGACTACTCCACAAGATTATAGCTGAAAGTCTTAAAATCATATATATAAAGTGTTTACTTAACATAGTGACTATTTCATGTGAAGTATTAATAAACTAGTGGTTACTATAATTACTACAAATAAGGATTTTCAAGGACTCTACCCAAAGAACATAATCAGATACGCAAATCAAATTTTAAGTATAAATATGTTCAAAATAACATCACAGATAATAGTAAAAAATCAGGCCAATCAAGGCCGGGCATGGTGGCTCACACCTATAATCCCAGCACTTTGGGAGGCCAAGGTGGGTGGGTCACCTGAGGTCAGGAGTTCAAGACCAGCCTGGCTAGCATGGCGAAATCCCACCTCTACCAAAAATACAAAAATTAGCCAGGCATGGTGACATGCGCCTCTAGTCCCAGCTACTGGTGAGGCTGAGGCAAGAGAATCGCTTGAACTGGGAGGCAGAGGTTGTAGTGAGCCGAGATTGCACCACTCCACTCCAGATTGGGAGACAAAGCCTAGACACTGTCCCCCCCCAAAAAAATTATGCCAATCTAACTGCCAAATAATTGTTATGTAAATTATGGTACAACCAAGAAATGAAATATTATGCAGCCATTACCAAGCAATTTTGGGAGACACAAATAAATAAACTGGGGTATTAGAAGAGCAATTCAGAAACTCCTCAATGCTCTCAGGCACAGGTTAAAGAGCCTGGGCTTGACAGTCAGGCTAGAACCCTGTAAAGATTTCAAAGTTAACATGTTTTATCCTTTAAGAAATAAACTGATAGTAAGAGAGATACTCTTCAAAACTGGAACCCTATCTGCAACGCCTTACCTGAATAAACACAGATGTCCTCTTTGCAGGGTCCCACAGGAACTCCACTGTATTTAGTTGAGTTGGATTAGCCCTAGGATCGATTATACCCACAGACATCGGGATATCTGAGAAACAAAATGGTAATCATTGAACAATTTTGAGGGCCACTCAGTTTTAAATAAGAAAGCATTGATTCTTATATTACTCAATGTAGCTACCAAGATTTTTGTATATCACATCCTAAATTTCTTTGTTTTTTTTTTTTGTCGTTGTTGTTGTTTTTTATGGAGTCTTGTTCTGTTGCCCAAGCTGGAGTGCAGTGGTAACAGGCCTGGAGTGCAGTGGCACCATCTCAGCTCACTGCAACCTCTGCCTCCTGGGTTCAAACGATCCTCCTGCCTCTGCCTCCTGAGTAGCTGGGATTACAGGCCCGTGCCACCACGCCCGGCTAATTTTTTTGTATCTTTAGTAGAGATGGGGTTTCACCATGTTGGCCATGCTGCTCTCAAACTCCTGACCTCAGGTTATCCACCCACCTTGGCCTCCTAAAGTGCTGGGATTACAGGCTTGAGCCACTGTGCCCAGCCCACACCTTAAATTTCTTTTTTGTCAATGAAAATATTTGATTAGAGTAAAATTGACTTAAGTACTTTGCTTGAGCACCTTTTTTCCTCTTTAAAAAGTTTTTAAAATACGGCAATTAAAAAAATTATTTGGCCAGGCACGGTGGCTCACACCTGTAATCCCAGCACTTTGGGAGCCCAAGGCAGGCGGATCATGATGTCAGGAGTTCGAGACCAGCCTGACCAACATGACGTAACCTCATCTCTACTAAAAATACAAAAATTAGCCGGCCGTGGTGGCCCACACCTGTAATCCCAGCTACTCAGGAGGCTGAAGCAGGAGAATTGCTTGAACCTGGGAGGTGGAGGTTGCAGTGAGCCGGAGATCGAGCCACTGCACTCCAGCCTGGGTGACAAAGCAAGACTTCATCTCAAAAAAAAAAATTATTTTTAGGCCAGGCGTGGTGGCTTACACCTGTTATCCCAGCACTTTGGGAGGCCAAGGTGAGCGGATCACCTGAAGTCAAGAGTTCAAGACCAGCCTGGCCAACATGGCGAAACCCCGTCTCTACTAAAAAATACAAAAATTAGCCAGGCATGGTAGTGGGCATCTGTAATCCCAGCTACCTGAGAGGCTGAGGCAGAGAGAACTGCTTGAACCAGGGAGGCGGAGGTTGCAGTGAGCCAGTATTGCGCCACTGTGCTCCAGCCTGGGTGACAGAGCAAGACTGTCTCGAAAAACAAAAAAATCATTTTTAAATTGAGAAATAATAATTGTACATATTCATGGGCTATATAGTGATGTTTCAATACATATAATGCATAGTGATCAGATCAGGGTAATCAGCATATTCATTGTCTCAAACATCTGTCATTTCTTTGTGTTGGGAATGTTTAGTATCCTCCTTCTAGCTTAAAATATGGCAATTTAAAGGCAGTTTCCTTTTAATTTGTTAAAATCCTATTTAAGGTGGATTAAGTCTACACTATCATGAAAACTGTAATTTATAATCTATTTCAACTACAGTTTGAAAATTAGTTTCATTGCCAAAAGCACATTAAGAGTATTGCTATTGAAGGGGTGCAGCAGAGTGTCTATATGAAGGTAGAAAGCATTATATCATGAATGAAAGTGGGAAAATTTTAACATAAAGATTGATGCAGGCCAAGCGTGGTGGCTCACGCCTGCAATCCCAGTACTTTGGGAGGCCAAGGCGGGTGGATCATTTGAGGTCAGGAGTTCGAGACCAGCCTGGCCAACATGGTGAAAACTTGTCTCTACTACAAATATAAAAATTAGCTGGGCGTGGTTGTGGATGCCTATAATCCCAGCTACTCAGGAGTCTGAGGCATGAGAATGGCTTGAACCCGGGAGACAGAGGTTGCAGTGAGCCGAGATCATGCCATTGTACTCCAGCCTGGATGACAGAGCAAGACTCTGTCTCAAAAAAAAAAAAAAAAAGATGGTTGATGCTGACTTACCAAGTCATCAAATAATCCTATAACAGAGTGACAAATCTTTACTTAAAAGGGAAGCAAGAATTAATGGGTTTGAGTAGAACTTTTCTTTCCATTCCACACAGCAGATATTCAAATAGCATTCCCTGATTTCTCCTATTAATGATCAAACTGGGGAGTTAAGGCCAGGTAATATGTATTATCAGAACTGTGGTATTAACTATACTACTGTTTTGGTATCAATGATTCAAACAATAGAGCATCAAGTGGGTCCCACTCCACAATATTAGTTGTGTTAGATTCATCTTAAGGTCAACTTATCATACAGATATCAGGATCACTGCATGAGAACCAATGTTTTCTCAGGTAAAATTAGTAGCAGTTAAATTTTTCTTAACAACTATGTTTACCAAAAGGAAATTTTAACCAATTAGAAATCAGAGAGGCAGACACCATGAAAAGTGACTGCATGTGTATTTGTGAAGATCTTTCCTTTATACCCTATGACTTAGGAAAAACAAATTCTACTCTGTGTAGCAACGTGGGAAGACACAACTTAACTGCAAACCAAGTGACATAGCTTCTAATACCAGAACTCCCACTTTATAGTGCCTGGTTCTCAGGCACTAGTAAAATGAAGGAACTTTCAGCATGCTGGGGAAAAAAGTCTGCCCCTCTTTACAAACGCAAAACAAAATATCAGATCCTGAGCAGCCAAAACAATCGTGAAATAGAACAAAGTTGGAGTTCTCATGCTTCACGACTTCCAAACTGACTATAAAGCTACACTTAGCAAAATAGTGAGGTATAGGCATAAAGACAGACATTTAAACAAATGGAATAGAATAGACAGCCTACAAATAAGTATTCAAATATATGGTCAAATGAGTTTTGACAAGGGTGCAAGACCATTCAGTGGGGGAAAGAACAGTCTTTTCAACAAACGGTGTGGAGAAAACTGGGTATCCACATGCAAAAGAATGAAGTTGGGCCCTTCTTTCTGTATATGGTTTACCATACAACCTTTTTTGTATATGGTTGTACCATATACAAACACGAACTCAAAATGGACCTGTGACCTGAATATAAGACCTAAAACTATAAAACTCTTAGGAGAAAACATATGGGAAAAGCTTCTTGGCACTGAATTTGGCAATGATTTCTTGGATGTGGCACCAAAAGCACAGGGAATTAAAAAAAATTAGATAAATTGGACCACCTCAATGTAAAACTTTAGTGCATCAAAGGATAGTATCAACACAGTAAAAAAGCAACCCACACAATAACAGAAAAGATTTGCATGTGATATATCTGCTATGGGGTTAATATCCAGAATATTTTAAAAATTCTTTCAACTCAATAACAAAAAAAACAAAACAATCCAATTCGATAGTGGGCAAAAGACTTGAACAGACATTTCTCCAAAGAAAATATATAAATGATGGGCCGGGAGCCTTGGCTCACACCTGTAATCCCAGCGCTTTGGGAGGCCAAGGCGGGTGGATCACCTGAGGTCAGGAGTTCAAGACCAGCCTGGCCAACATGGCAAAACCCTGTCTCTACTAAAACACAAAAATTAGCTGGGTGTGGTGGCGGGCACCTGTAATCCCAGCTACTCAGGAGGCTGAGGCAGGAAAATCGCTTGAACCCGGGAGGTGGAAGTTGTAGTAAGCCAAGATCATGCCACTGCACTCCAGCCTGGGCGACAGAGGGAGACTCCATCTCAAAAATAAATAAATAAATAAATAAAAATAAAGAAAGAAAGAAAATATATAAATGGCCAATAAGCACATGCAAAGATGCTTGACATCACTTATCACCAGGGAAATGCAAATCAAAACCACAATGAGATACTACTTCACAACCATCAGGATGGATATTATCAAAAAATAGAAAGCAACAGGCCAGGTGTGGTGGCTCACGCTTGTAATCCCAGCACTTTGGGAGGCCGAGGCGGGCAGATCAAGAGGTCAAGAGATTGAGACTACCCTGGCCAACATGGTGAAACCCCGTCTCTACCAAAAATACAAAAATTAGCTAGGTGTGGTGGTGCATGCCTGTAATCCCAGCTACTTGGAGGCTGAGGCAGGAGAATCACTTGAACCTGGGAGGGAGAGGTTGTGGTGAGTTGATATCGCGCCATTGCACTCCAGCCTGGGCAACAAGAGCGAAACTCCATCTCAGGAAAAAAAAAAAAAGGAAAGCAACAAGTGTTGACAAGGATTGGAGAAATTGGAACCTTTTTTTTTTTTTTTTTTTTGAGAGAGTCTCGCTCTGTCACCCAGGCTGGAGTGCAGTGGCGTGGTCTTGGCTCACTGCAAGCTCCGCCTCCCGGGTTCACACCATTCTCCTGCCTCAGCCTCCTGGGTAGCTGGGACTACAGGCGCCCGCCACCACGCCCAGCTAATTTCTTTGTATTTTGAGTGGAGACGGGGTTTCACCATGTTAGCCAGGATGGTCTCGATTTCCTGACCTCATGTTCTGCCCACCTTGGCCTCCCAAAGTTTTGGGATTACAGGCGTGAGCCATCGCGCCCGGCCGAAATTGGAACCTTTGAGTACCGCTGGTAGAAATGTAAAATGTGTAGTCACTGTGGAAAACAATATAGTGGTTTCTAAAAAAAATCTAAGATAGAGTTACCATATGACCCAGCAATTCCATTTCTGGATATGTATCCAAAAGAATTAAAAGCAGAGACTCAAACACATATTTGTACATCCATGTTCATAGCAGCATTATTCACAATAGCCAGGAAATGGAATCAAATTAAGTGCCTATCATGGGATGAATGGATAAACAAAGTGTGATATATACACACAATGGAGTATTATTCAGCCTTGCATGGGAAGGAAATGCTAATGTATGCTATACCATGAACCTTGAAAACATTATGCTAAGTGAAAAATGCCAGTCACAAAAGGACAAATACTGTATGATTTCATTTATGCAGTACTTAGTAGTCCAATTCATAGAGACAGAAAGGAGAATAGTGGTTACCAGGGGCTGTGAAGAAGGGAGAATGGGGAGTTGTTGTTTAACAGGTACAGACTTCTGGTTTTGCAGATGAGAAAAGTTCTGGAGATGGATGATAGTGATGGTTACACAATAATGTGAATGTACCTAATGTTACTGAACTATCCACTTAAAAATGGTTAAAATGATAACTTTTATGTAATGTATATTTTACCACAACTTAAAAAACAACAAAATCAACCTATAGTTGCTATGGAACTAAAGTGTTTACACTTCCAACTTCAATTTTGATATCATTTTAACTTGTATTACTTAAAATTTTTTATGCTTAGTAAATAATTTCAAGGTTTATACTAATTGAGCCTCTCAAGCATATGAATCAAGGTAAATGTCAAATAAAGAAAACCAACTCTGGGTCCATAGCTAAAGGCATTTCCTAGGCAATAGATTCTCTTAACTCACCTATGTCAAGAATTCTGTCTCCAGGTCGGTTCCACCTCCAGCCCTCTAGCTGCTGATGCTCAGTGTACTGAAGCCTTCTGTCATGGAACACCACACGGAATATACTCTAAAAGGATACAACAAAATCAGATGATAACAAGACCTCTTGAAAATCAGTGCTGACAAAGAAAAACTAGCAGGATTCACTGCCAGTTTGTTTCTAAACGCAATCTAAAATTATTTTTCTTAAGATCTGTTTCACTCTAAAACCCATACCATACTAAGTGCTATTTCAGGATAAAATTTTATAATTTCTCAGATATAATCTTTTTTTTTTTTTTTGAAACAGATTTTGCTCTTGTTGCCCAGGTTGGAGTGCAATGGTGTGATCTCGGCTCACCGCAACCTCCACCTCCCGGGTTCAAGGAATTCTCCTGCCTCAGCCTCCTGAGTAGCTGGGATTACAGGCATGTGCTACCACGCCTGACTAATTTTGTATTTTTTGTAGAGACAGGGTTTCTCCATGTTGGTCAGGCTGGTCTCAAACTCCCAACCTCAGGCGACCCGCCCGCCTCAGCCTCTCAAAGTGCTGGGACTATAGGCGTGAGCCACCGGGTCCAGCCAATTTCTCAGATAGAATCTTTATAGTTAACTGGTACCATATTTAAAACTTGGCTTAAACTTCAGTCCGATGGTAACTAGGAATAAAGTACTCCTGTCTGAAGCGTTTCTGCACACCTCTTCTGTTATACCACGGCCTATCTGGCTTAGCTCTTCAGATGTATATGAAAAACTCACCAACTCCCCCGCTTGCTAACCCACCATACAACCTGTAAACACTGAGGGTAGGTAGAGCCTGTTTCCATCAACTTTCCTTTTGTTACTCTTACTTTGTAGAAGTGCCTATTAATTCCTCCCACCACCTTTTGACAAAACTCCTCTGTTTCAACTGTGCTGTGAATTATCAAAATCCTAACTGTTAATCTAGACTAAGAGAACTGCTCTTCATCAAAGTAGCTTCTGTTTTCCTTGCTATAAGACTAAGTATCAAAAAAGACACTGAGGCTTCTCTAAAGATCTCAAGGAGGTTACTTTACTCCACCCAAAAGAACTTCACTGAGCCAGGGGTGATTACCCTGGACAGGGAGTGGTAAGCGTTCTATTTCTGCAGCTCTGAAAAATTCATGTGAATACTGGGGCTTACTCTGACCCCAAAGAAATAACACATCAGCTTACTACTCTGCCAACAAATTACTGCAGGCAAGAGATACCATTAAGCCATTGGAAGCAAAAGAACATTAACAACAACAACAAAATTTAAAATCCCAAAAGGATTAGTAAAAAATATTGTACAGAAGAATGATTTATTCGTTTTACCTTCACCAATTTGCCATTAATTTCTGGAAGTTCTCCAAGTTTCCTATTGTCTAGCATTCGAATTTCATAAGACTGTCCTAGAAGAAAAAGTAATTACATATTATATTCACCACAAATTAACTTTGCTAGATTCGGAAAGAATAAAATTCAGTTGGTTGAATATACAACAGTATAATAATATTATTAGTATTAGTAACAACAATCAGAAGCCTTTACAAGATGCTCAGCACTGTGCTAAGTATTGTCACATTATCTCATTTAACTGATATACTTTTCTAAGGTATTATCAATCCCATTTTACAGACAAAGAAATTGAAACTTAAAAGAGTTTTAGCAACTTGTCCAAGGCCACACAATTGGTAAATAATAGAGCCAGGTAGAGTAATACTTCTCAGACAGTAACCAATGGGAGTGTCTAGGGAATATGATTAGGAAGAGGAAGCTGGACACTAAAAATGGACAGCTAAGCAAAAGAAGCTAGTAATAGATATCAAGTATGACATTAGAACTCAAATCTCTGAAGTAGGACTTCTAGTTTGATAGGCCACACTAGAAAGATCTAAGTTTTTACATATAAGTGTACCTAATAAAACATCATAAATGGCCGGGCACGGTGGCTCACGCCTGTAATCCCAGCACTTTGGGAGGCCAAGGCAGGCGGATCATGAGGTCAGGAGATCGAGACCATCCTGGCTAACACGATGAAACCCTATCTCTACTAAAAATACAAAAAAATTAGCCGGGTGTGGTGGCGGGTGCCTGTGGTCCCAGCTACTCAGGAGGCTGAGGCAGGAGAATGGTGTGAACCCGGGAGGCAGAGCTTGCAGTGAGCCAAGATGGCGCCACTACACTCCAGCCTGGGTGACGCCGTCTCAAAACAAACAAACAAACAAAAAAATCATAAATACAGTAGGTCTGCAATAGTACTAATGAATGAGGAAGCATCTAACCTTGATTGAGATACGTTAGGGTTTCATCATGGAGTTTCACTGCTGGAGAGGTAGCAGCACAAAGCACATATTGAAAAGGCAGGATTTTATTCTCATTATCAGGAGGCAAACTCGACTCTTCTTGCTTAAAAATGGGCAATGCAAGGACATCACTAAAATAAAACAAATGACTCACATTAATACCTGGCAATGGTGCAAACGCAGGTTTATTGCTGAATGATTTAACTGCAATGCTTTGGAAAGCCATAAACATTACTCACCTTGGTGGAGTTTCATCCCAAGAATTCCATTTAGATTACCTGCTGTGATATCCCCCTGACCACAACAGTGTGGGTGATGACAGATATTCACTGCTAAAACCACTAAGTGTTAAAGAGAATGTTTCTAGGAATCATAGACAGGGGTTCCTAAAAGGACTGTGGAAATTATAAACAGAGTTCTAAAATGTATAAATCTAGGACATTCAGTAACGTCTTCATTCTCAGAAAGGCAACAACTATACTATCTATATAACCATATCAGCTGATTTACTATAAGGACTAAAATAACTTCTACAATTCCTTAGAAGCCACGTGAAAAGGACAAATCAATAACGAGTATATATTTCAAGGTCATCTTACATTCTGTGGAATAACAACTAATATTGAGATGTTCCTACAAGCCATTTCCTCTAAGAAAAAGCTTTTTGTATCTATCAGTTTATCTAAACTTGCAAACCAAAGACACATACCCATCCTTTGTCAGTGGGAATGTAAAACCACACTCTCATCCTTTTGTCAGTAGCAATGTACAATGACATAAAACAGTTTAGGAAAAGGTTTGGCAGTTTTTTATAAAATTAAACATGCAGTCAGGCACAGTGGCTCATGCCTGTAATCCCAGCAATTTGGGAGGCCGAGGTGGGCGGATCACCTGAGGTCCGGAGGTGGAAACCCGCCTGACCAACATGGCGAAACCCTGTCTCTACTAAAAATACAAACCTAGCTGGGAGTGGTGGCGCATGCCTGTAATCCCAGCTACTCAAGAGGCTGAGGCAGGAGAACTGCTTGAACCCGGGAGGTGGAGGTTGTAGTGAGCCGAGATGGTGCCACTGCACTCCAGCCTGGGCAACAAAGGCGAAACTCCATCTCAAAAAAAAAAAATTAATTAAAAAAATTAAATTAAATTAACCATGCATCTATTGACCCAGCAATTCCACCCATTGGTACTTATCCAAGAAAAATGAAAATGTAAGTCCACCCAAGACTTGTTATAAATGTTCACAGCATAAAAGCAAAAACTAGGCCAGGTGCTCACGCCTGTAATCCCAGCACTTCGGGAGGCCGAGGCGGGTGGATCACCTGAGGTCAGGAGTTTGAGACCAGCCTGGCCAACATGGTGAAACCCTGTCTCTACCAAAATTACAAAAATTAGCTGGGTGTGGTGGCGCATGCCTGTGGTCCCAGATACTTGGGAGGCTGAGGCAGGAGAATCACTTGACCTCAGGAGGCAGAGGTGCAGTGAGCCGAGATCGTGGCACTGCACTCCAGCCTGGGCAACAAAGCAAGACTCTGTCTCAAAAAAAAAAAAAAAAAAAAAAAAGAACAACAACAACAACAAAAAAATAAAAACTGGAAAGAACCTAAATGTTCATGAGTAAGAGAACGGATGTACAAACCATGGTATATCCATACAATGGACTACTCAGTGAAACAAAGGAATGCAACACGGATGAATCTCACAGATATAATGCTCGACAAAAAAAGCCGGACACAAAGAATGTGTAATGCATGGTTCTGTTTATATGACAGTCTAAAACAGGCAGAGCCAAAGAGAACAATGGTTTCCTGGTGGGGCAGGGGATGACTTGGAAGGTATATAAGGGAACTTTGTAGGGAGATAAAAATGTATTATACTATGATAGGTCTGCTACGTGGTTGTAACTGTAACAGCTTATTTTTGCATCTCATTGTATATGAATTTTACCTAAAAAAAAAATTATTGATTAGAGGATGGGGAATAGGTAGAAGTAAAAATAATAAAAGAGGGCTAGGTGTGGTGGCTCACGGCTGTAATTCCAGCACTTTGGGAGGCCAAGGCAGGCAGATCACTTGAGGCCAGGAGTTCAAGACCAGCTTGGCCAACATGGTGAAACCCCATCTCTACTATTAATAAAAATACAAAAATTAGATGGGTGTGGAGACACACATCTGTAATCCCAGCTATGTCAGAGGCTGAGGCACGAGAATCACTTGAGCCGAGATTGTGCCACTGCACTCCAGCCTGGGCGACATAGCGAGACTGTGTCTCAAAAAAAAAAAAAAAAAAAAGGTAAAAAGAGTAGTAACATGTTAAAGCAAGGTGATGAGTACAAGAGGGTTCATCATATTATTCTGTTTACTTTGTATATGTTTGAAATTTTCCACAGTAAAGTTTTTTTTAAAAAAGAAAAAATATATATAGGCCACAGAGTACTTCTGGGTACAAAAGAAAAGGAACAGGGTACATGAAATAAAAGAAACAATTAAGATTCCCTTGGCTAGGCACGGTATGGCTCATGCCTGTAATCCCAGCACTTTGGGAGGCCAAGGGGGGCAGATCACTTGAGGTCAGGAGTTTGAGACCAGCCTGGCTAGCATGGTAAAACCCCGTCTCCACTAAAAGTACAAAAATTAGCCGGGCGCGTTGGCGCGCGCCTAGTCCCAGCTACTTGGGAGGCTGAGGCAGGAGAATTGCTTGAACCTGGGAGGTGGAGGTTGCAGTGAGCCAAGATCGTACCACTGCACTGAAGCCCGGGAGACAGAGCGAGACTCCATCTCAAAAGAAAAAAAAATATTCCCCCAAAAGATCAGAAGTCAGGAATCCAGTGATTTTTTTTTTTTTTTTAAGACAGTCTCACTCTGTCTCCCAGGCTTGAGTGCAGTGGCACGATCTCGGCTCACTGCAACCTCCACCTCCCGGGTTCAAGTGACTCTCCTGCCTCAGACTCCCAAGTAGCTGGGACTACATGCACACGCCACCACACCCGACTAACTTTTGTATTTTTAGTAGAGACGAGGTCTCACCATGTTGGCCAGGCTGGTCTCAAACTCCTGACCTCAAGTGATCTGCCCACCTCAGCCTCCCAAAGTACTATGATTATAGGCATGAGCCACCACACCCAGCCCAATGATTCTTGTTAACATTCCCCATGTTCAAAATGAAATACATTGAAATCTTTACCTATAATTTAAATATTAAGCTTCTAAAGAGACAAAAATGCTTTTGTTTTAACCATTCACAGATGAAAAAGCAATTCTTTATATGTACCTATATATCTCACCTGTATACACATTTTCCCCAATACATCAGATTACAGGGTCACTACCTTCAGGCAAAGACACTATTGACAGAAAGTTGACTACACTCTTGTGAATTTTACAGACAATATTATAAATTATTACTGGAAAATAAAACAAGTAGCAAATGTTCTGATTATTGACTTCACACACAGGTATAATACAAATTTACTGGCATGAACACTAAAAAACAGAGGGGTGGAAGAGAAGAAAATTTTTCTTTCTGTTGATGTCTGAATAACAATGTTATTATTTGAATCCAGAAAGATTAGATGCAAACCAGTTTTCATGAAACAGTTTTATTTTTTTTCTTTTCTTTTTTTTTTTTTTTTTTTTTTTGAGATAGAGTCTCCCTCTGTTACCCAGGCTGGAGTGCAGTGACACCATCTTGGCTCACTGCAACCCCTGCCTCCTGGGTTCAAGTGATTCTCCTGCCTCAGCTTCCCGGGTAGCTGGGATTACAGGCACCTGCTACCACACTCAGCTAATTTTTATATTTTTAGTAGAGACAGGGTTTCACCATGTTGGCCATGCTGGTCTCGAACTCCTGACCTCAGGTAATCTGCCCATCTCGGCCTCCCAAAGTGCTGGGATTACAGGTGTGAGCCACCACACCCAGCCTATGAAACAATTTTCTAATCGTTAAAAAATATTTCAAAGGCCAGAAACACAAAAGGCACTTTCTTTTGCTTAGGCTTTGCTCATATGAGTTAAGAGTGGAGAATGTTGAGGGAATCCTTCTTCCTGTCCATATTAATTTTTTTCCACATGAAACATATTATTGTTCCCTTCAGACTATTTACAACTGTAGAAACATAGAGTTTTCTAAAAAATTACTCTGTTCTAGTCCTTTTATTTCTCAAGATCAGGAAGTTACCAGTGCTCTCCTAACAAAAAGTATAGAAAATAAAGTAAAACACCACAAAACTTAACACAGTGTTAGCATTTCTAAGCCTTTACTACCTTATCATTCTCAAATACATCACATCTGATGATTCCTTAAAAGATTAGTAAAGATTACCAGATTTCAAGGCAAACAGAATTTTGAAACATAGCAACAGTTCAACCTCTATGAATGTAGGGTGGTTATTTTTTCTTCTCAAGTATCACTACCAACCAAGGTTAATAAATAGCAACCATTCCTAGTCTTCTCAGGATCATGTGGCATTACACCTAACCCATGACTAAGCAAAGGACTGTCATCTGGGGCTGGAATTCTAAAACTGATTCTCAAAGTTACCCCTAAAATTAACTCAAAACAGTACAGCCAAACCAAATACACAAGACTGTATTTCCTCATCAAAGAGTTTAAGATCTATAAACCCCAAACATATTTCAATTATTCATATTCTTGCTACACCGCATTTCTTTTAGTCTGCTGCGGGAGCAAAAGTATCATCCAGTTCCACATTCCTAGAGATAGAGGTTAAAGGTCACTGTAAATATAATTCTAGGCCCCTATTTATACCAAAACAAAAACAAGTGCATCCAGAAAGAAACAATTTTGGAAATACAAAAGTCTGCTCTTCCTCAGAGGTGAGTTTAGAAAAGGAAAACCCAAACCCATTCTGGTAGATTCTAAGTAGTTGCTGCCAATGTATAATTTAACATTTTATTATATTTTCTGATTGCTTTATGTATTTAATTCATTTTTTTATTTTTATTTTTTGTAGAAATGGAGGTCTTGCTATGTTGCCCAGAGTAGTCTCAAACTCCAAGCCTCAAGTAATCCTCCCACCTCTTCTCCCAAAGTGTTGGGATCACAGGCATGAGCCACTGTGCCTAGATTAATTCATTCCAATGAACAATAAGCTATTTGAAAGGAAGACTTCTCTTTCCTGTTCTTAGCAAATATTCACTGATATGATGTATACTTTTGTTTTGTGAAATAAAAATTATAGGAGGCCACTAAACTCCTATACTAGGCCCCAACAGGGCAGACTAAAAATAAAAATGGAGTCATTCACCTTAAGGTCTACATCGCTAAACCTAAACTAAGCTATGTTATCTTCTAAGAAATCAGGAGAGAGAGGACACCTAATTTCCCAAACAGGACAGTTTAAATCTTCAAACAGCATGATAATGAAGTTCCCTCTGCTTTAATCCTCACACAAAAACAGTAGCCTGAAGTAACCTGATGTTAACCAACCAGCTACTTTTCTTTTTTTTTTCTTTTTTGAGGGGGTCTCACTCTGTCACCCAGGATGGGGTACAGTGGCGTGATCAAAGCTCACTGCTGCCTTCAATTCCTGGGTTCAAGGGATCCTCCAGCCTCAGCCTCCCAAGTAGCTGGGACTACAGGTATGCACCACCATGTCTGGCTAATTCTTAAATTTTTTGTAGAGATGGGGTCTCATCATGTTGCTCAGACTGGTCTTGAACTCCTGAGCTCAAGCTCTTCTCTCTTAGCCTCCCAAAGTGCTAGAATTACAGGCATGAGCCACCTGGCCCAACTAATTGGTTATTTTTTTCTTTTCTTCTTCTTCTTTTTTTTTTAAGAGTTCTGAAGTGATTTTACTTTTATTTCCTTCACTTTAAGCCAATTATGAAATTTCAGTGATTTCTGGGGTAGGGGGGTAAGGCAGTGTTAAGAATCATTGGGGCTGTGGCCCAGTCAGCCTGCGGAGGTGCAGGCAGGGTGGGCCCTCATGGGGCAGCCGGAGGAGCGGACTGCCCCGCCGGCAGGTAGGTCATGTTCCGAGAGCCTCCGCGGCTTCCAACTTGCACAGCTCCATCAGGCCGTCCCCCGCGGTGGCCAGTGAGTTGGCAATCAGCTCGGTTGCCTTGGAGTCGCCCTCAGCAGAGATCACGGCTGCCTTTTTCTGCTGCTCAACCTTTTTCTGCTGCTCAGCCTTTTTCTGCTGCTCAGCCTTTTCCTTCACAAATCTGGCCCTCTCTGCTTCCTGCTGAGCCACCTGTTTGGCTTCCACTGCTTCTGTGAACTCCTTTCCAAAGGTCAGATATGTCAAGGACACGTCGTCCAGGATGAGCCCAAATGTGGCTGCTTGCTCCGTAAGGTCGTTGCTCACCTGCCTGGAGACCAGCTCTCTCTGAGTGATAACTTCTCCAGCATCAAAGCGAGCCACCACTGACTTGAGGATCTCGGTCGTGATGTACGTCAGCACAGGCTCATCATAGTCCTCTCCGATGCTGGTGAAGATGCGAGGAAGCTGGCTAGCAACAGGCTGGAAGATGATGCGCAGTGTGATATTGACATTCTGTAAATCTTTGCTACCAGTGATGATTGGTACATTACGTGGTGGAGAAAGGCAAAGATAATTGGTTTCTGTACCCATGGGATGAGAAAGTGAGTCCCCTACCACAATGTCCTGTCATTTTTGTCCTGGAATCAGTCAAAGATGACAGCTCTGTGCCCAACATCCACATTATATAAGGCAGAGTTCACAGGTCTCCTGCAACAGCTAAGGCCAAGCCAAACTTACCGTGGACTCAAACACTTTGGCTGCCATGTTTTCTTCTGTGGGACCCTCTCACACCTGCTTCCACTCTGACCTCCATATGAATCAACCAGTTATTTTTCTATTGTTCTGTCTCCCTCTCCCAGCCTTGTAAGAAAAAGTAACTAATTGAAAAGTAACTAATATACTCTGTTCTTTGCTTCTGCTTTCTTTAGCCCTTCTGTCTAACCTCTTCTGCTCAGCTCACTGGAACAATTACTGTATTTTATGGAATGATGTCTTGCTCAATTCCAGAATCATAAAGAAAGCCAATTGAGATCTTTTAAATTTGCTGTAATTCTGTCCTTTGACAGGTTGTTTGCATTCACCAGAATACTCAGCACTATATACACTATGATCATTTTGGAATTTTTTATCTTACCCTATCTCTGATCAAAATATAAAGATACAGAAATCACAGGCTGGGCGTGGTGGCTCATGCCTGTAATCCCAGCACTTTGGGAGGCTAAGATGGGCGGATCATGAGGTCAGCAGATCAAGACCATCCTGGTCAACATGGTGAAACCCCGCCTCTACTAAAAATGCAAAAATTGGCCAGGCACGGTGGCTCACGCCTGTAATCCCAGCACTTTGGGAGGCTGAGGCAGGTGGATCACGAGGTCAGGAGATCGAGACCATCCTGGCTAACATGGTGAAACCCCATCTCTACTAAAAAAGACAACAAAAATTAGCCGGGCGTGGTGTTGGGCGCCTGTAGTCCCAGCTACTTGGGAAGCTGAGGCAGGAGAATGGCGTGAACCCGGGAGGCGGAGCTTGTAGTGAGCCGAGATTGCGCTACTGCACTCCAGCCTGGGTGACAGAGTGAGACTCTGTCTCAAAAAAAAAAAAAAAAAAAGAAAAGAAAAGATATAGAAATCATACCTGTTAAAAGGATAAGTTGAGTGTATGTTAAAAATGTATACCCCTAAATGGAAATCCACACCTCAGCATGGAGGTATAGCAGAAAGCAATTGAGTGAAAGAGGAACAGAAGCAATATCAGGAGTGATCTTTCTTGAATGTAACTAGGATTCCACAAAGAGCTGCTTCATGGTCCCCCGAGGTATAAATTACCCTTTTGAGAAAAGGCAGCCCTGAATGGTCTCTAATTCATAACTGTGGTTTAGCTTTCTTCCTTCAGGCCTACCAGCTGTTCGAGATGCTCTGTTCTAGAAAGAGCCTAGAAAAGGGAGAAGGAGAGGGTTGAAGAGTGTTACCTTGAGTAAGAAAGGCAGTAGATAGCATCTAAGGAACTTAGAAACTAACTTGGGACAATAAGATGTCATGAACTTCAACTTTCCTATTTGTAACCCTCATTTAGCCTCCACTAAATAAGAATAAGGCATTTGAAACAAAAGCATGCTAACATCCCTGTGTTAGCTACAGCATGAAAGGGCAACAGCTGAAGAGACTACACTCTACTCTGAGGCCAGCTTCAAAAGAAAAAAAATCTCCAGCAAACAATTGGCCATAACAACTGTAAGAAAATAGATTGATTTTCTGGGATTTGTGGGAAGGATGTAAGGTCAGATCAGGGAGGAGACCTGGCAAGAAGAGATGGCCCTGTGGTTTTACCATAAAGCCAGTGATGATACAAGATTTCTGCTACTGAAAAATCTCATTCAACTAAAAAGCAGCATATATGATTTTTAAAATTTGCCTTGCTAATTATTCTATCATCCAGAAGGTAGAAGAAATGAGTAGAATTATAATTTGGAACCTAATCTGAATAAGAAGAAACTGATCAGAAAAGAAGTAGTGGATGCCTCAAAAGAAAACAACCAAGACAGATAGGCAGGCAGAAGGGCAAGGGGCACAGCTAGATGTAGCAACTAGACTCTGAGAACAGGCTTCAACCAGACCTAAGGCTGAGGTGCTAAAGACAGGACCGAAGTCTGAGGTGCTAAAAGGGAAGACAACAGGATTGAGGTTCTCAAAAATGAAATTCTGGCAATCTCACATTATTTAACATAGAGGGGGAAAAAAGAGGGGGCTTATCTAAAGAGACTAGCTGGAAAGCTCACCAATCAACTCAGAATTAGACAGACATACACAATATACATATAAAGAAAGAAACTATTTTTAAAAATTGCACTGATGTGTCATCAAGAAGGAAGCTGAAGCTGAAGCCCAGAATGTGCTGAGACTTGCAACAAAGGTAAGGAAGGCACAGGCCCACTCTTTGATGTAAAAGGCGTATTACTAATTAATATAAAGCAGAGACAGAACATCTCAATTCCTGTTTTTCCTCTATCTTTTCTGTCAAGAAAAATCATCTTGAAAGTAGAAAGAAAAGAAGAAATATTAGGAAAAGTGGATTAGTGACCAAGATAAATAAGGAGACTGTCAAAGGGTGCCTATCTCTCTAAATGAATAAAAAATTCCTGGATGAATTCTACACTAGAGAACTTGAAGAGTCTCTGCAGATGAGACCCATGAGTGACACTGAGGAAACCCAGACAAATCTCATGATTCTAATAATCCCAAATATCACATTAGCTTTGTGTGTCTGAAGAAGCAATTTTCTTTTCTTTTTTTTTTTTGAGACGGAGTTTCACTCTGTTGTCCAAGAGGGAGTGCAGTGGTGCGATCTCGGCTCACCGCAACCTCTGCCTCCTGGGTTCAAGCAATTCTGCTGCCTCAGCCTCCTGAGTAGCTGGGATTACATGTGTGCACCACCATGCCCAGCTAATTTTTGTATTTTAGTAGAGATGGGGTTTCACCATGTTGGCCAGGCTGGTCTCGAACTCCTGACCTCAAGTGATCCACCCAACTCAGCCTCCCAAAGTGCTGGGATTGCAGGCATGAGCCACCATGCCCAGCCTGCAGAAACAATTTTCAAAAAGAAGGGAGAATATATTCCCCGTACCTTATACCAGAGTTGATGTGACGTGCAGGACAAGCAAGACTGAAGAATAGGTTACTAAAAGAATAGTTCATTAAAAAAACTAGTATTGGCATTAGGAGATATACCTAATGCTAAATGACGACTTAATGGGTGCAGCACACCAGCATGGCACTTGTATACATATGTAACAACCTGCACATTGTGCACATGTACCCTAAAACTTAAAGTATAATAATAAAAAAAAAAAAAACAAAAAAAACAAACTAGTATTGGGAACATCTAGAAACCATAACCAAACTCCATTTTCCTTTTTTTATATGGTTAGGCCAGCAAATGCTAGAGGCATAAATATAGTATCTGGATTTCAGCAAGGCATAAAATAAAGTCTCTCTTGATATCACTGTGCAAGGTGAAAAAATATGAATTTTTTAACTTAAAAGTTAAGTGGCTTCACAGACAACTATACAACTGTACCTAAAGAGTGCAGATAAATCTGGAAGAAGGCTCAGTAGTATGCAACAGGGGCCCAGAGCAACCTGTCCTTTGTAACATTTTTTTATAAATGACTTGGATGAGAATATGGAAAGGAGGACGATCAAATGTGCAAATGACAGGTATCTGGGATGGGAAAAGTAAATACCCTGTATGACATAATCAACTTTTTAAGTAATTCTAAGTGGCTGGAACAGGAGGCTAAATTTAAGGGGATCATATTTAATAAGGATAAATATAAAGTCATAAGCTTAGAACAAAAAAATCAACAATAACAACAAAATGGCACAGGACAGTGAGAAACAACTAGGCTTTTAAAAAAGTCTATTTCAAAGAGACATACAGCCTGTTACAGCTGCCAAAATCACTGGTATCAGGTTTCATTAAAAACAAAGTCTGAATGAAGAAAATGTCATTCTCTATGCAAATCAGACTACATTTGAATATACTTAGTTCTGAGTGTACAAATTTGAGAGGACTTAAAAAATCTAAGGAGAGGCCAGGCACGGTAGCTCATGCCTGTAATCCCAGCACTTTGGGAGGCTGAGGTGGGCGGATCACGAGGTCAGGAGTTTGAGACCAGCCCGGCCAACATGGTGAAACCCCATCTCTACTAAAAATACAAAAAATTAGCTGGTCATTTTGGCAGGCGCCTGTAATCCCAGCTACTCAGGAGGCTCAGGCAGGAGAATCTCTTGAACCCAGGAGGCGGAGGTTGCAGTGAGCCGAGATCGTGCCACTGTGCACTCCAGCTCGGGCGACAGTGAAAGACCCCGTCTCAAAAAAAAAAAAAAAAAAAAAATCTAAGGAGAGAGATAAGAATAAGTGAGGTGACCTAAAGTCATGTCACATGTAGAGTAACTAAAGGGAAAGAGGATCGCTGAAGCAAAGAAGTCTTTTTAGTTCTGTTCTGTAAAGAGATTTCAATAGCTCAGGGTTGGATGAGTTGACCTCTTTAAGAGGGCCTCCTAATCAGTTCTATGATTTTATTATTCTAAAAAGACTAAATGTTGTGAGACTGTTCAGGTATTAGAAGCTGCACTGGAAGGAAAATGGGCACTGGGAATCTTTTTGGCAGGATAAAAATGTTCTAAAACTGGGGGAAAAAAAAAAGCAGCAGCAGCTTCATTGGGGCCAGGCACAGTGGCTCACACCTACAATCCCAGCAATTTGGGAGGCTGAGGCAGGAGGACTGCTTGAGACCAGTAGTTTGAGACCAGCCTGGGTAAAAAATAAGACCCCATCTCTACAAAAAAAAATTGTTAAATTAGCTGGGCATGGTTCTGTGCATCTGTAATCCCAGTTAATTGGGAGGCTGAGGTAGGAGGATCGCTTGAGCCTGGGAGGTCACAGTGAGCCATGATTGTGCCATTGCACTCCAGCCTGGGCAACAGAATGAGACCCCTTCACAAAAACCCTACAAACAGAAAAATAACATTAAAAAAAGAAGCTGTTGGCCGGGCGCAGTGGCTCACGCCTATAATCCCAGCACTTTGGGAGAACGAGGTGGGTGGATCACCTGAGGTCAGGAGTTCAAGTCCAGCCTGGCCAACATGGTGAAACCCCGTCTCTCCTAAAAATACAAAAATTAGCTGGGCATAGTGGTGTGCGTCTGTGATCTCAGCTACTCAGGAGGCTGAGGCAGGAGAATCGCTTGAACCTGGGAGGCAGAGGCTGTAGCGAGCCAAGATCATGCTACTACACTCCAGCCTGGGTGATAGAACGAGACTCCGTCTCAAAAAAAAAAAGAAGCTGCATTGGACTGTGTTTAGGGATCCTATTTATTATTAGAAAATGCTAACTGGCATATAGTGTCCTCTGATAGGAAATACCACCAGTTCACTGCTATTACAAAGTCCAAAGCATATTTTCCATCTGCTATAGAAGGCAGAGCCAAATGATAACTATAAAAGCCTATATACTGGCTAAACTAACTGGCTTATAAATCTGTCTATACTTAAAAAAAAACTGGCCAGGCACGATGGCTCACGCCTGTATTCCTAGTACTTTGGGAAGCCGAGGCAGGTGAATCACCTGAGGTCAGGAGTTTAAGACCAGCCTGGCCAACATGGCAAAACCCCATCTCTACTGAAAATATAAAAACTAGCCGGGCATGGTGGCAGGTGCCTGTAATCCCAGCTACTCGAGAGGCTGAGGCAGGAGAATCATTTGAACCCCGGGAGGCAGGGGTTGCAGTGAGCCGAGATTGCGCCACTGCACTCCAGCCTGGGTGACAGAATGAGACTCCATCTCAAAAAAAAAAATTATTTGTACATTTGTGTACTTGCCTTGACAAAACAAGGACTAGACGCAGTTCGGGCGCGGTGGCTCACGCCTGTAATCCCAGCACTTTGAGAGGCCGAGGCGGGCGGATCACGGGGTCAGGAGATCGAGACCATCCTGGCCAACATGGTGAAACCCCATCTCTACTAAAAAAAAAAAAACAAAAAATTAGCTGGGTGTGGTGGCGGGCGCCTGTAGTCCCAGCTACTAGGGAGACTGAGGCAGGAGAATGGTGTGAACCCGGGAGGTGGAGCTTGCAGTGAGCCAAGATCGCACCACTGCACCCCAGCCTGGGTGACAGAGCAAGACTGTCTCAAAAAAAAAAAAAAAACAAGGATTAGACAAATTGACAAATTATATTAAAGGTATAGATAACATCTAGGCATACTAAATCTTCTGTATACCAAATATAACAGGCCCATCGGTATAGTTTTTTTCTATCATAAACAATTCCTAAAAATGGTATTCTTGGTTGAAGTTAAGATATAAAAGGTTTTCAGTTCTCAGAGAATGTCTACATCTTATGAACATCCACTTGGCCAAAGATGAACTATGCTCTCAGTATAATGAATGATACTCTCAGATCTTCTAAACTGTCTATGAACAAGCTGAGTAAAATATGTATTTCCTGAAATACCAATAACTCCCTTTAAAAATAATTTTTTTCACTCAAGGTGGCCTTGAATAACTCCTCTTTTGAAAAGAAAACTTCAGTCATTCAAAGATTTATTACCTACTAAGTACCAGCTACTATTCTAAGTTTGAAAAACCACACACTGATTTTTAAAAATAAAATTATTTTATTTTCCTTCTTTCCTCTCCTTTTTCTGTTCTTTTGGTCTTCAGTGTTTCAGCAGCAGTAAATAATTGGTATATCTTTTTAAGTTCTTACTACTTATTTAAACACAAAGTTTATGACATCATCTATTCTCTATTTTGTACTCACTTCTCCCTAACCAATTTACAACTAAGTTATTTTTCATTTATGCCTAACTTTCAGCTAAACACTTGCTAGACAGTTCCTATCTAACTGTAATAGAACAAATGCTAAAATAGAGGAACAACTGCTTGTGGGGGAAATGAATATAAATGAAGTCTAAATAATCCAAATGTAGTCTTAAGTTTTAAACATCATAAAAACCACTTGAGATTTCATCACTAGGCTGCTAAATGTGCCTTTGGTAGCTAATCTCCAAAGACGGTCTCAGATGACCCACAGTTCTCTGTATTCACACCCTTTCGCAGCACTCCTTCCACACTGGATCTGGGCTGGTAACTTGCTTTAACAACAAGAATGTGGAAGAATTAGCAGTGTGCAAGTTCTGGTTTAGGGATTAGTCTTTTTTTTTTTTTTTTTTTTTTTTTTTTTTAGACAGAGTCTCGCTCTATCACCCAGGCTAAAGTGCAGTGGTGCCATCTCGGCTCACTGGAACCTCCATCTCCTGGGTTCAAGTGATTATCTTGCCTCAGTCTCCCGAGCAGCTGGGATTACAGGCATGTACCACCATGTCTGGCTAATTTTTTGTATTTTTAGTAGAGATGGGGGTTTCACCATGCTGGCCACGCTGGTCTCGAACTCCTGACCTTGTGATCCACCTGCCTCTGCCTCCCAAAGAGCTGGGATTACAGGCATGAGCCACCGTGCCCGGCCGGGTCTAGTCTTTAAGAAGTATCGCTAGCTTTTACCTTTGCACTTTTGGGAACCCTGAACTGCTAGTAAGAAGTCTGGCTACTCTGTTGAAGCAACCACATGGAGTGGCTCAGTGGAGAGGGGAAGACCCTGAGGCCACACGGAAAGAGAGCGAGCTCCAGCCAACCCAGTGTCCCAGCAGAGCCCAGCATCAAACATGTAAGTGAGCCATCTTGAACGTCCCAGCCTAGGCCTCAGAATGACTGCAGCCTCAGCCTGCTGATACCACATGAAGAAGAACTGCACGGTCAATCCACAGATTCATGAGATGTCATTGTTGTTTGAGCCACTAAGTTTTTGTGCGTGGTTTGTTATGCAATAAGATAACAAAGCTTCTAAAAAATTTCTTTGTTCTAAAACAAAACTTAATAGTAATGGTGAATATGCAAAGGAAAATATTAAGTCAACCTTAATTAGAACAGTTCTACTAAAAAAAGAAAGGTACATTCCAAAAGCCATTGTATGACATTTAAGAAAAAATAACAGAGCACAAAACCACCTCAGATTACAATATAACTCATCTGAACTTAAATTACCCTTTAAAACAAGTTAATGCTATAAAACCTTTTACTACACTGCCAATAAAATATACCTATTTTCACTCTCTCTTTTTTTTTTCAGACGGTCTTGCTCTGTTGCCCAGGTGGGGTACAGTGGCGTAATCACCACTCACTGTAGCCTCAGCCTCTTGGGCTCAAGCCATCCTCCCACCTCAGCCTCCCAAAAAGCTGGAACTACAGGTGTGTGCCACCATGCCCAGCTAATTTTTGTATTTTTTTGTAGAGATGAGGCCTTGCGATGCTGCCCAGACTGAGACTGGTCTCAAATTCCTGGGCTCAAGCAATCTGCCGCCTTGGCCCCACAAAGTGCTGGGATTACAGGCGTGAGTCATCATGCCCAGCCTTTGTTTTCACTCTTTGGGTAAAGAAACAGTGTTGGCTGGGCACAGTGGCTCACGCCTGTAATCCCAGCACTTTGGGAGGCTGAGGCGGGCAGATCACTTAAGGTCAGGAGTTTGAGACCAGCCTGGCCAACATGGTAAAACCCTGTCTCTACTAAAAATACAAAAATTAGCCAGGCATGGTGGCAGGTGCCTGTAGGTTACTTGGGAGGCTGAGGCACAAGAATCACTTGAACTCGGGAGGTGGAGGTTGCAGTGACCTGTGATTGCACCACTGCACTCCAGCCTAGGCAACAGGGCGAGACCCTGTCTCAAAAAAAAAAAAAAAAACGAAAGAAAGAAACAGTGTTAAAGAATTTGAACAATATGGCCAGATCCAAAAATTAAGCAACTGGATAAGAAAACAAACAAAAAATGTCTAAGAAACAGAGAAAAAAGGAGAAAATAAATGTGTGTAACAATCAGTGTAGCCCCATTAAAGGAATGATGGGATGACTATCTTCTTTCCTCCATCTTGTCACATGTTCTTTAGTTTTGTGGTTTTCAACATCTTGAAACACCATTCGTATTAGGTAAGCCATTTTATATTCAGACCCAGTACACACATACATATGTTTGTGCGTCTACAGAACTGAAAAGTTTCACGAAACAATACTTACTAATTTTGGTATTTTTTCTTTTTTCTTTCTTTTTTGAGACAAGGTCTGGCTCTATTGCCCAGGCTGGAGTCCGGTGGTGCAATCTTGGCTGACTGCAACCTTCACCTCCCGGGCTGAAGCCATTCTCCCACCTCAGCCTCCTGAGTAGCTGGGACTACAGGCATGCACCACCATGCCCACCTATTTTTTTGTATTTTTAGTAGAAATGGGGTCTCACCATGTTGCCCACGCTGGTCTTAAACTTGTGAGCTCAAGCGATCCGCCAGCCTCAGCCTCCCAAACTCCTGGAATTACAGGCATGAGCCACCCCGCCTGGCCTTGGTATTTTCTATTTGACCTCATTTTAAATTTTTACTACAACCTGAAGTTTGGAAAAAATACTGTTCTAGTCTTTTGTGCCCCTTAGAACTTTGTACCAATTAAATCAAGTTTATTTACAGTTCCTTTAACAGTATTTTAAAAACAAACATAATAAAAGACAAGTCTAAAAGATCATACTGTAATTCAGCTACTTAAGTACAGGAATAATATCTACTTAAATAGATAATCAAACAAATACAGGTTGGGCACTGTGCCTCATGCCTATAATCCCAGCACTTGGGAGGCCAAGGCAGGAGGATCACTTGAGCCCTGGGGTTCAAAACCAGTCTGGGCAACATAGTGGGACCTTGTCTCTAAAAAAAATTTTAAAAATTAGCCAGGCATAGTGGTGTGCACCTGTAGTCCCAGCTACTCAGGAGGCTGAGGTGGGAGGATCACTTGAGCCCTGGAGGTTGAGGCTGCAGTGAGCCGTGACTGTGCCACGGCATTCCAGCCTGGGCAACAGAGTGAGACTGTCTCAAAAAGAAAAAAAAAAAACAAAAAACCTACAATTCAGGGCCAGGCACAGTGGCTCACACCTGTAATCCCAGCACTTTGGGAGGCCGAGGCGGGCGGATCACTTGAGGCCAGGAGTTCGAGACCAGCCTGACCAACGTAGTGAAACCCCATCTCTACTAAAAATATAAAAATTAGCCAGGGGTTGTGGTGGGCACCTGTAGTCCCAGCTACTCGGGAGGCTGAAGCAGGAGAATTGCTTGAACCTGGGAGGCAGAGGTTGAGGTGAGCCGAGATCGTGCCACTGCACTCCAGCCTGGGTGACAGAGTGAGACTGTCACACACACACACACAAAAAAAACAACTACGATCAGATCCTGCTTTTTAAGTCAGAAAGTATTTAGAAATAAAATAGTTTTCAAGTCATCTTCTGCTGTATTTGTATATTATATTACTAAATTCAAGTCAGGTCTGTATGAAAGGCATATAAATAGCAGTGGCTCTCAATCTTAGCAGCTGAACATCAGAATCACCTGGGGAGCTTTAGGCCATATCCCATGTCAACTAAATCCAAATGAGGAGGAGGGATTGGTGAGCTTAATTACTCAGTGCTATGTATTAATAAACTAAGATAATGAATGGATTTGATCTCTATGTCATCTAGGATGACCATCTTTTTATAGCAAGACTTGACTTTACAGAGGTCCTCAGTGAGCTATCTTGAAACATTACCACAAAGGGTGAGGGAATTTGTTCCGGTCTACACATACTCATCACCACTACTGGGGTGAAAACACTCAGTCTGACACTGTCTCAGTAAATCCCTTCAAACCTTTTTTTCTTTTTTGAATTCATCAAATAGTCTTTGAGCACTTGCTATGTTCTAGGCCCTGTTTTAGGTAGCAGGAATATAGCAATAAACAAGTTAAAGAAGGTTCCCTGGCCGGGCGCGGTGGCTCATGCCTGTAATCCCAACACTTTGGGAGGCTGAGGTGGGCGGATCATGTGGTCAGGAGTTCGAGACCAGCCTGGCCAACATAGTGAAACCCCGTCTCTACTAAAAATACAAAAAAATTTTAGCCAGGTGTGGTGGCAGGTGCCTGTAGTCCCAGCTACTCAGGAGGCTGAGGCAGGAGAATCTCTTGAACTTGGGAGGTGGAGGTTGCAGTGAGCTGAGATCGCGCCATTGCACTCCAGCCAACAGTGTGAGACTCTAAATAAAAAAAAAAAAAAAGAAAAAGAAAAAGAAGGTTCCCTGACGGAGCATAACATCACTGTCATCTAAATTTCTATCTCTTCACAGCAATACCATACTAAATTATTCTGCAAACCCCTCATGTTTTCTTCCTCTCCAGTCTTTACAGTATTACTGATAATAAAGGAAGCAGTATTACTGATAATAAAGGAATTATTTTAAAACATATAGTAAAAATGATGTAACTTGAAAGGGCCTAGTATGTTTATAGCAGGTGTTTTATGCAACTGCCCTGAGTAGCTTACCTGTATTCCCCTCCAGTTTCAAAGCAGGAACATGGAAACACAAGTGAGCAGTAGATAAAAACTACACATAGGCTGGGCACTGTGGTTCACGCCTATAATCCCAGCACTTTGGGAGGCCAAGGCAAGTCGATCACTTGAGGTCAGGAGTTTGAAACTAGTCTAGCTGACATGGTAAAACCCCATCTCTACTAAAAGTATAAAAAATAATTAGCCGGCATGGTGGCATGCACCTGTAGCCCGTAGTCCCAGCTAGTTGAGAGGCTGAGGCAGGAGAATTGCTTGAACCCAGAAGAGGAGGTTGCAGTGAGCTGACACTATGCCACTGCATTTCAGCCCGGACGACAGAGGAGACTCTGTCTCAAAAACAAACAGCAACAAAAAAAACTATACCATATCTGGATTTTATGCTGTCCCTGAGAGAGATACCTGTCATTTGATAGTCTTTCTCTGGGAATACTGGTTCTGGAACTGTTTCCCACATGTCAAAACTGGGCTTAATGTTCTTTAAGCACTTTAAGAAGTGCTTCTGGACTACAAATCTATTTCTTCAGCACGATTATGAGATCAGTTTAGATCACTTGCGAGATACCAGATGTACATTTCATTATGTACATCTCAAAGTTTACCAAAAAATGGAGCTGATTTCCCTTTTTTTGCCTCAAGTCTTTCAGTCTCTCACATTTCCACTCTGCTGAATTATTTGCCAACTACCAATTATTTATACCTACCAGAAATGTGCTTTTATTTTCCTTTAGCTTATAAAGTCACTAAACACATCTAATTTTTGCTAACCTTATTTATTTTGGAAGCTGAAAAGTATCTGTGTCAGATACAAATTTACTTCCAGGGAGCTTGTAAGATATTAAAAGTTTAATCAAAGAAATCTGAATCAGCAAAGCCCTACCTCAGGAGATTTACTAGATATAGGCCTACCTTCTTAGTTTTTTTCATACATTATAGGATTAGCATTTACCAGCCTACAGATCTCATTAAAACACTGCTAATTGAAAACATCACCTGTGGCATCATTAGTACTAGGCTCTTTTATTAAATTTCTGAAATCACTGACTCTTTCCAGTTAGGCAAAAAATGGCAACTCGCAGCAATATTCATAGGCTATATGTTGAAGGGAATCTGACTATTTTGATACAGAAAATAGAACTCCCATTTCAGTATTCAAAGATCAAATGTATATCATCATAGTATGGCATAACTGGGAAAACACCAACAGTTTTGTTTTGTTTTGTTTTCTTGGGACTAAGGGAATCCACACTTAGCCCTTTATAGTGCTGAGCCTCAAAGCTTCTTTTCCGATCCAAAATGTCTACCAGCTCATGCTTTCTTCCCTCTTGCAGTCAGGCTTCCATCTTCACTGGCAAGCATCACTATTACCTCTCTATACTTGAGAGTTCTTATGTCTTGCTCATCCTGTACTCCCTACCATGCCTGGCTTCAAAGTAGGACAATCTCTCTAGTCCCTCATTCCTCCCCTTAATGAAAGGCAAGCACAGACACTTTTCTGTGTATTTATTTATTTTCTATTTTTCTCTGTGTGTGTTTTGTTTGTTTGTTTTTTGAGATGGAGTAGCACTCTGTCGCCCAGGCTGTAGTGCAATGGCACTATCTCGGCTCACTACAACCTACGACTTCCACGTTCAAGTGATTCTCCCGCCTCGGCCTGTCGAGTAGCTGGGATTACAGGCGCACTCCTATAATCCCATGTAAACCATGCCTGGCTAATTTTTGTATTTTTAGTAGAAATGGGGTTTCACCACATTGGCCAAGCTGGTCTCAAACTCCTGGCCTTAAGTGATCCAACCGCCTCGGCCTCCCAAATTGTTGGGATTACAGGTGTGAACCACTGTGCCTGGCCTAGTTTTCTGTGTTTTAAGGCTTTAATTGCCGATGACTTTCAGGAAAATCCTGAAAGTACCAGAATAGTTAGTCCTATGAAATGGTAAATAGGCTCTAACCATCTCTCCTCTTTTATGCTAAAAGTGATAGGACTTACGAACATTTCTCCTCCTTCAGACCACATTTCTTTTTTCTTTTGAGACCAAGTTTCGCTCTGTTGCCCAGGCTGGAGTGCAATGGTGAGAGGCTGGAGTGCAATGGCATGATCTTGGCTCACCACAACATCCGCCTCCCGGGTCCAAGCGATTCTCCTGCCTCAGCCTCCTGAGTAGCTGGGATCACAGGTGTGCGCCACCACACCTGGCTAACTTTCTATTTTCACTAGAGACGGGGTTTCTCCATGTTGGTCAGGCTGTTCTCGAACTCCCAACCTCAGGTGATCCACCAGCCTCGGCCTCCCAAAGTGCTGGGATTACAGGTGTGAGCCACCATGCCCGGCCAGACCACATTTCTGATGAAGGAAGGCCTTTTCTTCTAAAATGGCCAGCAAATTCCCTAGAGATGTAACCAGTTAGACCTGATGATGCAATCAAAGCAGAAATGTTATTTGCCCCTTGTCTTTTATAGACAGAGAGTAAATTTGTATTTCTAAGGATATGCAGAGCAGAAGACACCCAGTTTACTAAGCCTCAACCCTCCTCAGGCATGATAACTAGCTTTTTATCATTATCCTCTAACCTGCAGCCAGAGTAACTTTTTAAAAAGGTAAATCTAGAAATGTCCCTTCTCTGTTTATAAAGCTTCAGTGGTTTCCCAACGCAATCATGATAAAGTGCTAACTCTTCAACATGGCTCCCAAAACTCTTCAAAACTGGGCCCAGTTTACCTTTTCAGTCTCATCTCTCACCATACTTCCCATCTCTCTTTTCCCTTTATCTACATATGTATAGTGAGACGGCGTCTTGCTCTGTTGCCCAGGCTGGAGAGCAGTGGCGTGATCATAGCTCACTGCAAGTCTCAAACTCCTGGGCCCAATCAATCCACCCACCTCAGCCTCAGCCTCCCAAGTAGCTAGGACTATAGGCACACACCACCACACCTGGCTCATCTTTTAATTTTTTGTACAGACAGGGCCTCACTATGTTGCCCAGACTGGTGCTGAACTCCTGGCCTCTCAGGATCCTCCTGCCTCAGCCTCCTAAAGTGCTGACATGACAGACAGGAGACACTGCACCTGGCCTCTTTGACTTTTTTAAAAGATTCAGCAGACAAACTGCAGTTCTTTCCCTTGCCCCCAGGCCTTGGGGTCCACCTGCTCTCTTCTACCTCAACTCAATTGCTATGATTCATTTTTTGCACATAAATTTCCATTTAATTCATACAATAATGCTGTGAGGTAGGAGGAATTGTCTCCTCCTCACCATTTTCCAACTGAAGGAACTGAGGCTACAGTAATTAGAAATGTTAAATGATGTGCCCAAGGTTACACAGCTATTAAATACTGGATTTACAAATGAGTTTATTCATTCATTCAATAAATACATTATGAACACTGATATGCCTGGAACTATTTCAGGCAGTAGGGAAATAGTAAGCAAATAAACTCATTTTATCCAAGTTTTATCCTTGTTTATCAACACTCAATGCCTCATATTAAGTAGCAACTGTTCAAAACATTCCTGAGGGGAAAAATAAATAATCAAAAGCTCCCACTGATGCTCCAAAGATATTTCTAAAGGTGTTGCACTCTAACACTTATGCATGGATATTTGCACAACTCATACTAATAAAATGATAGTATTGATTAACTATGATTTCACTAAAAGAACCTGAAAAGGACTCAAAGGCCAGGCATGGTGGCTCCCATTTATAATCCCAATACTTTGGGAGGCTGAGGCGGAGGATCACTTGAGCCCAGTAATTCAACACCAGCCTGAGTAATATAGTGAGACTCTGTCTTTCTTCCTTTTTTCTTCCTTCCTTCTTTTCTATCTTTCTTTTCTTTTTCTTTTTTTTTTTTTTTTTTTTTGTAGAGGTGGGGTCTCAAAATGTTGCCCCGGCTAGTCTCAAAATCCTGGGCTCAAGTGATCCTCCCACCTCAGCCTCCCAAAGTGCTGGGATTATAGGTGTGAGCCACTGCACCTCGGCCCTCCCTTCTTTCCTTCATTTTTTAGAGACAGGGTCTTACACTGTCACCCAGGCTGGAGTGTAGTGGTGCTATCATAGCTCACTGCCACCTCAAACTCCTAGGCTCAAGGGATCCTCCTGCCATAGCCTCCTGAATAGCTGGGACCACAGAGACACACTACTGCAACCATCTAATTTTTAAATTTTTTGGTTGGGCACAGTGGCTCATACCTGTAATCGCAGCATTTTGGGAGGCCAAGGCAGGTGAATCATCTGAGGTCAAGAGTTTGAGACCAGCCTGGCTAGCATGGTGAAACGCTGTCTCTACTAAAAATACAAAAATTAGCCAGGCGTGGTGGCAGGCGCCTGTAATCCCAGCTACTTGGGAGGCTGAGGCAGGTGAATCGCTTGAACCGGGGAGGCAGAGGTTGCAGTGCGCTGAGATCACACCACTGGACTCCAGCCTGGGCAACAGAGTGAGACTCTGTCTAAAAAATACAAATAATGATAATAATAATAAAAAAATAATATTTTTTACATTTTTTTTGGTAGAGATGGGGTCTCACCATCTTGCCTAGGATGGTCTTGAATTTCTGGGTCTAAGCAATCCTCTCACCTCAGCCTCCTGAGTAGCTGGGACCAAAAAAAAAAGCAGGGGGAAGTGGGGGAAGAACTAAAAGATTCTGCAATATAGCTGATCTTTCTGCCCAGAAGGCTAAATAAATTTCCAGATTTCTGTGTGGTTCTTTTTATTATTTAGGTCTGTGTTCAAGTGTGTACCTCTGCAGAGAGACATTCACTCATCATTCTACCTAAAGAAGACTCCATATATTTTCATTATGGCACTTCTTTCTGAAATTTCCTTATCTATCTGTTTATAGTTTCTTCTCTGTACTTCTTCCATAGGAATGCAAGCTCTACTCTTGCAAGGATCTTCTTTGTCTTGTCACCCTATTATCAACAAGACCTGGCCATCCTAGGTACTTAATAAACACTATTTTTTTAAATAACTAAAATAATAAGAATATGCCCATATAAAAAATAGGGGTCTTTAGCTGGGCAGGGTGGCTCACACTTGTAATCCCAGCACTTTGGGAGGCCGATGTGGGCAGATCACTTGAGGCCAGGAGCTAGAGACAAGCCTGGACAACATAGTGAAAACTCATCTCTACTAAAAATACAAAAAAAAAAAATAGCTGGGCATGGTGGCGCACGCCTGTAATCACACCTACTCGGGAGGCTGAGGTACAAGCATCGTTTGAACCTGGGAGGCAGAGGTTGCAGTGAGCCGAGATGGCGCCACTGCACTCCAGCCTGAGTGACAGAGTGAGACTCTGTCTCAAAAAAAAAAAAAAAAAAACCAGGCACAGTGGCTCACGCCTGTAATCCCAGCAGTTTGGGAGGCCGAGGCGGGTGGATCACGAGGTCAGGAGTTTGAGACCAGCCTGACTGACACGGTGAAACCCCGTCTCTACTAAAAATACAAAAATTAGCCAGGCGTGGTGGTGCACACCTGTAATCCCAGCTACTCAGGAGGCTGAAGCAGAAGAACTGCTTGAAATCCCCAAGGCGGAGATTGCAGTGAGCCGAGATTGTGCCACGGCACTCCAGCCTGGGTGACAGAGCAAGACTCTGTCGCAAAAAAAAAAAAAAAAAAAAAAAAAGTCTTTATAATTAGGCTACTTGGCAAACATGATTGGGATATACTGTGGATGAATAGTCAAGACAATGCTGCTACCATTTATTATCAAATCTGTATTGAGTACCTGGCTGTCTATGATCCCTGTGAAGATCTCCTGAATATTCTTCTTTACGGGTCTGCATGTTACTGCAATTACTTCTTCATGTACAATTTAATTAATTAAATCTCTCATACATTTTTAAGCATCTTCTTTCCCTACCAAACCTACAAACCTATATGCCCTTGAAACCATCTTCTCTTTTGCTCCTGATGCAACGAAGGCTAAGTTCCTCCTCCTGGGAAAGGCTAATCCTTACCCACAGACTTGGATCCCATCCCTTCTCAATTCTCAAGAACCTTTTTCCTCTGATTATCCCAATACATGTACCATCAATCTTCCTCCATGGATCATTCCCATTAGCATACCATCACATTTGAGTATTTCCCATCTTTTAAAAAGAAAGTCTTCCCACATCCGCCTTCAACTACTGCTATACTTCTCTGTACCTTTCATAACTAAAAGTCTTTATACACAGAATCTCTATTTCCTCACTTCCAATTCATTCCTTCAACCAAGACAGTTCAGCTTTCACTACAACACACCATGGCAAGTACTTGTCATGGTCACCAATGACTTCCATGTAGCCAAACTCAGTGGTCACTTCTCAGGGCTCATCTTACTTCTGTTTTCAGGAGCACTCAACCCAACTGTAACTCCTAAATTTACCACTCTCTTCTCTGGATCCTGAATACTCTTACCTGATTTTCTTCCTACCTCACTGGCAACATCTTCTCAACTCCCTTGTGGCAACCCTCCCCCTCTACAAAATCTCTGGACTTGATTTTTGGCTCTTCTCTTTCTACACTTTCAGAAGATCTCATTAACTCCCATACATTTAAGTATCTCTTTATTCTGATGACTCCCAAATGTGTCTACTAGGCCTAGACTTGTATATTGATTTGCATATTTAATACCTACCTAACACTGCCTTTTGGATGTCTCTCAGAGATACCAAATGGACCAAGTCCAATATAAAACTCTTGATCTTATTCTAAACATAACTAGCCTATCCCCCTTTCTCAGCAAATGGCAACACCATCCAACAAAATATTCAAACCAGAACTATTGAAGGCATCCTAGATTGATCCTTTCCCTTATCCTCATGTCCCTTAGCAAGTCCTATACATTTTTATCTATAAAATATATCTTGAGTTCATGTTCTCTTCAGTAGAGGATAGAAATTTAGAGGACAGGCTCTGGAGGTAAGCTACTAGAATTTATATGACAGTAATAATTGCTAGCATTTATTGAGCACTTACTAGTTGCCTGACACTACCCTAATTATTTTACATATATAAACTCATTTAATCTTCATAACAATCTCACAAGGTAAGTACTATTATTATTACCTCCATTTTAAAGAGAAGCATGGAGGTGTTAAGCAATTTGCCCAATCCTGTTGGGGCCAGAATTCAAACCCCTAAGTTTGGTTTCAGATGTCACTATGCTAGGCTGTCTCTTGGAAAAGATAGACCAAAGATGGGGAGTTGAAAGCTATTCAACAGTCCAGGTAAGAAACAATGAGAATTTGACCCAGCAACAAAAGTACAGATACAAAGCAGACAAATTCAAGAAATATTCAGATAAGACCTAAATAGAGGGTTACATTATGTTCAAAGATTGAAAGGCTGGATACATATGCCGATGATGTCAATTTATCCCAAATTCATCTATAGGTTCAATTCCAATAAATATTGCAATAGATTCAACTTGACAAGATGATTCTTAAAAAAAATTTTTTTTTGAGACAGGGTCTCATTGCTGCCCAGGCCAAGTGCAGTGGCATAATCATGGCTCACTGCAGCTTCAACTGCCGAGGCTCAAGCAATCCTCCCCCAACCTCAGCCTCTTGAGTAGCTGGGACTACAGGTGTGCACCACCACACCTGGCTAATTTTTCAATTTTTTTGTAGAGATAGGGTCTGTTTATGTTGCCTAGCCTGGTCTCAAACTCCTGGGCTCAAGCAATCCTTCCACCTTAGCCTTCCAAAATGCTGAGATTACAGGTGTGTGCCACTGCACCCAGCCATTCTAAAATTTCTATCAATAAGCGAACCAAGAAAGGCCACATACTCCTGAAAAAGAATGAGATGAGGGCTATGCCCTGCCAGATACCAACAATTACTTAAAAACTTGAGTAATTAAGACAGCATGGTATTGAAACAGATAGACAAATTAACCTATAGAAGAGAACACAGAACCCATAAACTGACCCCACATATATAGAAATTTGATTTATGACAGCTAGTATAGTTGATCAGTGGCAAAAGATGGACTTTTCAATAAATTATGCTGGAAAAATTAGACATTTGTAGGTGAAAAAAATGGAATTGGAGCCTTAGCAACACCCAATACAAAATCAACTTTAAGTAGATTAAAGACTAAAGTGTGAAAAGCAAACATAGAAAACTTTAAAAAGACAATACAGGAGAATATCTTGACAGCCTCAGCATAAGCAAGAATTTCTTAGACAACACTGGACACGGTGACTCATGCCTGCAATCCCAACACTTTGGGAGGCTGAGGCGGGAGGATCACTTGAGGTCAAGGGTTTGAGACCAGCCTGGCCAACATGGCAAAATGCCGTCTGTACTAAAAATACATAAATTAGGCCAGGTGCAGTGGCTCACGCCTATAATAATCCCAACGTTTTGGGAGGCCGAGGTGGGCGGATCACTTGAGGTCAGGAGTTCGAGACCAGCCTGGCTAACATGGTGAAACCCTGTCTCTACTAAAAATACAAAAATTAGCTGGGCATGGTGGTGGGCGCCTGTATTCCTAGCTACTTGGGAGGCTGAGGCAGGAGAATCGCTTGAACCTGGGAGGCAGAGGTTGCAGTGAGCCGAGATCACATCACTGCACTCCAGCCTCGGGGACAGAGTGAGACTTCATCTCAAAAAAAAAAAAAAAAAAACTAAATACAAAAATTAGCTGCGTATGGTGGTGCACACCTGTAATTCCAGCTACCTGGGAGGCTGAAGCAGGAGAATCGCTTGAACCTGGGGGGTGGAAGTTGCAGTGAGCTGAGATCACACCACTGGACTCCAGCCTGGGGGACAGAGTGAGACTCTGTCTCAGAAAAAAAAAAAAATACAAATACAAATACAAAAATTAGCCGGGTGTGGTGGTACACACCTGTAATTCCAGCTACTTGGGAGGCTGAGACAGGAGAATTGCTTGAACCCAGGAGGTGAAGGTTGCAGTGAGCCAAGATCACACCACTCACTGCATTCCAGCCTGGGTGATGGAGTAAGACTATCTCAAAAAAAAAAAAAAAAAAAAAAAAAAGATTTTCTTAGACAAGACTCAAAAATCATATACCATAAAAGATTCATAAATTATACTAAGTTAAGAACTTTAGGCCAGGCATGGTGGCTAATGCCTGTAATCCCAACACTTTGAGGTAGGTCAAGGTGGGAGAACTGCCTGAGCCCAGGAGTTTGAGACTAGCCTCAGCAACATAAGGAGACCCCCGTCTCCACAAAAAATACAAAAAATTAGCCAGGCATGGTGGTGCATACCTGTGGTCCCAGCTCCTTGACAGGCAGAGGCAGGAGGATCACTTGAGCCCAGGAGTTCGAGGCTGCAGTGAGCTGTGATTGCCACTGCACTCCAGCCTGGTCGACAGAGCAAGACCCTGTCCCTTCCCCCTCCCCACCAAAAAAAGAACCTTAGAACCAAAGACACATAAAGAGAGGGAAATGACAAGCCACAAACTGGCAGAATATACTGACTACATACAAAACTGACAAAAGATAAGTATCTAAAATATTTTTGAGGCTGGCCATAATGGCTCACACCTGTAATCTTAACACTTTTGTAGATTACTCCGTCTCTACAAAAATAAAAAATTAGCCAGGCATGGTGGCATGCTCAGCTGTTGTCTCAGCTACTCGGGAGGCTAAGGTAGGAGGACTGCCTGAGCCCAGTAGTTTGAGGCTGCAGTGAGTCAAGCTTGTGCCACTACACTCCAGCCTGGGTGACACGGCGAGATCCTATCTCAAAAAAAAAATTAATAAAATATATTTAAGATTCCTATAAATTAATATGAAAAAGGCCAAACCTCCCTCCCCCACCCCATACCCCCAAAAAACTCAAATACTTACTTCTTAGGAGAAAACATCAGTGGCCCACAAACATATGAAAAGGTGCTGGCCTCATAAGAAATTAGGAAAATACAAATTAAAACCACAATAAAATACTATTCCACACAAAAATTACAACAGTGAACAATTAAAATAATGGCTAGGATGCAGAACCGAAACACCTGACCTCTAAGTATACTAGAACAATAATTTAGCATTATCTTGTAGGAAGATACAGCAAGCTCATAATCCAACAATTCCATTGCTCCTATAATCCCTCTGCCTGGAATATATTTCTCCTCCACCTTTGCAGGGCCAAATCTTACCCTTCTTTCAGATACCACCTTAGGAGGCAGAAGTAGTATTTCTGTGTTCTGAATTCCTATAGCACTTCAAGTGCTTTTAGCATATTTATTTCCAGCCTGTATCACATTTATTTATATACATGTCTTATCTTCTCCATCAAATTGTAAGCAAATGAAAGACAGAAACCTGTTTATTTAGATTCAGCACCTGCATATGGGAGCATATGGTGAAGACAAAGCTACAGAATCAAGTTGTACAAAACCAAGTACATAGTAGGCACTCAAGTGTTTGCTGAATGATAGAGTAAAAATCTGCTTAGTGACTGAGGGAATAAACCAGGATTTGCTGTGCATATAAAACATTAGGCCGGGCACAGTGGCTCACGCCTGTAATCCCAGCACTTTGGGAGCCCAAAGCAGGCAGATCACCTGAGGTCGGAAGTGCGAGACCAGCCTGGCCAATATAGTGAAACTCCATCTCTACTAAAAATACAAAAATTAGCCAGGTGTGGTGACACATGCCTGTAATCCCAGCTACTCGGGAGGCTGAGGCAGGAGAATCACCTGAACCCAGGAGGCAGAGGTTGTAGTGAGCCGAGATTGCGCCACTGCACTCCAGCCTCAGCAAGACTTCATCTCAAAAAAGAAAGAAAGAAAGAAAGAAAGAAAATTAAACCATTGGTGAAAGGAAAACTGGAACACCAATTTGTGTACACAAAGTCCCAAGTTTATTCTGTTAGGTTCTACTTGAGGCATAGTGAGAGTCGACTATCAGCAACAAATGGAAACTACTATGAACAAGGCAGATAAAGGGAGACCAGGATAGGAAGAGGTGGGGGGGGAAAGAGAGAAGGTGACAAAGTAGAGGGAAGGCTGGGATAACTGGCAAGCCACATGTAGGAGAATGAAACTGGATCCTCATCTCTCACCTTATACAAAAATCAACTTAAGGTAGAGCAAAGACTTAAATCTAAGACTTGAAACCATAAAAATTCTAGAAGATAACATTGGAAAAAACCCTTCTAGACACTGACTTAGGCAAAGACCTCATGACCAAGAACCCAAAAGTAAATGCAACAAAAACAAAGATAAACAGATGAGACTTAATTAAACTAAAAAGCTTCTGCACAGCAGAAATAATCAGCAGAGTAAAGAGACAACCCACAGAGTGGGAGAAAATCACAATCTATACATCTGACAAAGGACTAATATCCAGAATCCACAAGGAACTCAAACAAATCAGCTAGAAAAAAAACAAACAATCCCATCAAAAAGTGGCTAAGGATATGAATAGACAATTCTCAAAAGAAGACATACAAATAGCCAACAAGCATATGGAAAAATGCTCAACATCACTATCAGGGAAATGAAAATCAAAACCTCCATGCAATACCACCTTACTTCTGCAAGAATAGCCATAATCAAAAAATTAAAAAAAAATAGATGTTGGCATGGATGTGGTAAAAAGGGAACACTTTTATACTGTTGCTGGGAATGTAAATAGTACAACCACTAGGAAGAACAGTGTGGAGATTCCTTAAAAAACTAAAAGTTTATCTACCATTTGATCCAGCAATCCCACTGCTGGGTATCTACCCAGAGGAAAAGAAGTCATTATATGAAAAAGATACTTGCACACGCATGTTTATAGCAGGACAATTTGCAATTGCAAAAATATGGAACCAGCCCAAATGCCCATCAACAAGTGGATAAAGAAAATGTGGTGGCCGGGCGTGGTGGCCCACACCTGTAATCCCAGCACTTTGGGAGGCGAGGCGGGCGGATCACAAGGTCAGGAGTTTAAGACCAGCCTAGCCAATATGGTGAAACTCCATTTCTACTAAAAATACAAAAATCAGCCAGGCGTGGTGGCGGGCGCCTGTAGTCCAGGCTACTTGGGAGGCTGAGGCAGGAGAATCACTTGAACCCAGGAGGAAGAGGTTGCAGTGAGCCGAGATTGCACCACTGCACTCCAGCCTAGGCAACAGAGTGAGACTCTGTCTCAAAAAAAAAAAAAAAAGAAAAAGAAAAGAAAATGTGGTATATAGGCCAGGTGCAGTGGCTCACATCTGTAATCCCAGCACTTTGGAAAGCCGAGGTGGGCGGATCACCTGAGGTCAGGACTTTGAGGCCAGCCTGACCAATATGGCGAAACCCTGTCTCTACTAAAAATACAAAAATTAGCCTGGAGTGGTGTCAGGCACCTGTAATTCCAGCTACTCAGGAGGCTGAGGCAGGAGAATCTCTTGAACCCAGGAGGTGATGGCTGCAGTGTGCCAAGACTGCGCTGCTGCACTCCAGCCTGAGCAACAGAGCAAGACTCCATCTCAAAAAAAAAAAAAAAAACAGAAAGAAAGAAAATGTGGTATATATACACCATAGAATATTACTCAGCCATAAAAGGAACGAAACAATGGCATTTGCGGCAAGCTGGATGGAACTAGAGCCCATTACTCTAAGTGAAGTAACTCAGGAATGGAAAACCAAACATCGTATGTTTTCATTCATAAGTGGGAGCTAAGCTATGAGGTACAAATGTTTAAGTATAATACAATGGACTTTGGGGACTCAAGGGGAAAGCATGGGAAGAGGTGAGGGGTAAAAGACTATACATTGGGTACACTGTACACTGCTCAGGTGATAGGTGCACTACAATCTCAGAAATCACCACTAAAGAACTTATTAATGTAACCAAACACTACCTGTTCCCCAAAAACCTTAAAAAAAAAAGTAGAAGGAAGGAATGGCAGCACTGCTGCTTTGTAGGTTGTTTTCCATAATAAGAGGAGGACAAGAAAAGTGTAGGAAAGCAAAGAAAATTTATGAACTTACAGTAAAAAGGAGTAACAGCATAACTTAAAAGAATGAAGAAATAGATTACGTGTTAGATAAATTTTTTCTTAATTTTTTTTCTTTTTTTTCGAGATGGAGGCTCGCTCTGTCACCCAGGCCAGAGTGCAGTGGCACGATCTTTGCTCACTGCAATCTCTGCCTCCCAGGTTCAAGCGATTCTCGTGCCACATCCTCCTGAGTAGCTGGGACTACAGGCATGCATCACCACGCTCAGCTAATTTTTTGCATTTTTAGTAGAGACGGGGTTTCGCCATGTTGGCCAGGCTGGTCTAGAACTCCTGGCCTCAGGTGATCCACCTGCCTCAACTTCCCAAAGTGCTGGGATTACAGGGTGAGCCACCGCACCTAGCCTTTAATTTGTTATAAGGTATTTTAGACATAAAAAAGATAAAACAGTGTAACAAATGACTGTGTACACTCTAGGCAGCTTAAGATACAGCATTAACAGTTGAAGCCCCCTATATTTTTCCTCAGTTACATCCCCTCCAACTCCCAGAGGCAACATTATCCTGAATTTGCACTTAATCATTCTCAGCATGTCTTTATATTTTTACAGCAGTGCCATCTTTTAAAAAGTAGTGAAGTATGGCTGAGTGCAGTGGCTCACGCCTGTAATCCCAGCACTTTGAGAGGCCAAGGCAGGCGGATCACCTGAGGTCAGGAGTTTGAGACCAGCCTGGCCAACATGGCGAAACCTCTTCTCTACTGAAAATACAAAAATTAGCTGGGCGTGGTGGCAGGCACCTGGAATCCCAGCTACTTGGGAGGCTGAGGCATGAGAATCGTTTGAACTCGGGAGGCGGAGGTTGCAGTGAGCCGAGATTGTGCCACTGCACTCCAGCCTGGGCGACAGAGCGAGCCTCCATCTCGAAAAAAAAAGAAAAAAAATTTTTTTTAAAAAGTAATGAATTAAAAATTCTTTTTAATTTTAAAATTTAAAAAGTAATGGATAACGTTTGCAGCAAAACAGGGCGAATCTCATCTAAATACACTGTCCATCATAACAGACTTAGAATGAAAGGGAAAGTAAAGAACAGTAACAACTGACCAACTCTGAGACAAAGAGAGAAGATTTGGAAGATGGACAGATGATAATTGAAGTGGGGAGAAATGAAGAAAAAAAGTACTGAAAAATCACAGCAAACAACAACAACAAAAGGGCAAAAATCAGTCTCAATAAAGAGACTTAGGTCTCAATGAAGAGAGATAGTTGCCTCAGGAACTGCTATAGTACTTGCCTTTTTTAAGAAAATGGAGATAGTGAATTCATTCATTCAACACATCAGCGCAAACTACTTATTAGGCACTATTCTAACAGTAGGCAGAGGGTAGAGAACAAAAGAAAATCCCTTCTTTTATGAAGCATGAAGTTGGGGAGAGAAGCCAACAAATGAATTACACATCAGATGTTAGGGAAGAAATAAAGCAGAGGGGGTAAAGAAAGCAAGGAGTGCTGGTGAGGGGGAGGAGGCTCTTGCTATTTTACGTGAAGGACATTAGAAGGCCTCTCTGATAAAAAGACATGTGAGCAGAAACCTAAAGGAAGTAAGGAACATACAGGAATGTTTCGGGAAGAGTAACTGCAAATGCAAAGACACTGAGGTGAGACTGGAGCCCTAAGACCAGGTGCGGCTGCAGCAGAGCAAGCCAGGGGAAGAGTATATTCAATGGCTGGAGGAGCAGACCATATGGATCCTTGACAGACCTGTGGCTTTTATTCAGTGAGATGTGAAGCCACTGGACAGTTTTTAGGAGAAAAGTAGCATGATCTGATGAACATTTTAAAGAAAGTGATCATATAATTTATCACTAAAACAGGTACACCTTGGTGAGTGAGGAAGGGTGATATTAACAGTTACCTTAGGACAGTATTAATAAGACCTAATTTTTTGTTGTTATTGTTGTTGAGACAGAGTCTCTCCCTGTCGCCCAGGCTGGAGTGCAGTGGCGCGATCTCGGCTCACTGCAAGCTCTGCCTCCCGGGTTCACGCCATTCTCCTGCCTCAGCCTCTCAAGTAGCTAGGACTACAGGCGCCCGCCACCACGCCCGGCTAATTTTTTGTATTTTTAGTAGAGACTGGGTTTCACCGTGTTAGCCAGGATGCTCTCGATCTCCTGACCTTGTGATCCGCCCGCCTCGGCCTCCCAAAGTGCTGGGATTACAGGCGTGAGCCACCACGCCCGGCCAATACCTAATTTTAAAAGGCTTCTCTGAGTGCAAGTCATTTTGAAGGGATTCCTGCTGGCCAAACCTGGAACACTGTCATCAAAATATATAGTGATAGAAGATTACATTGTATTCAATAAAGTAAGAATCTATGAGTCTACATTGATAAAAAATAATAGGAACAGAAAGCTCTTTCTTACAGTAGAAAGCCAACTAATAAATGTAGAGGGAAGGCAAAAAGAGAAAATCACTTGGCAACGATCATAAAGATAACTGATTAGGGCAAGAATCATCTGAATGCTAAAATTAACAGGTGAAAAGTTTGAGAACAGGATATTTACATAGTCTCAAAACATCTCCCAAGACATTATTACAAAAGGCAAATGAATAACTTTATGATGGAGAAAACTGGACCCTACCACTCAAGTAACACTGCCAGTAATAGAAGCAATAAATAGCATGTGCATCCTAATATGATACGCAGAGAACTCAGCATCACTTCTTAGGTATTAATGCCCAACGTGCATAACCTGAATCTAACCACGAGGAAACAACAGACAAAAACAAATTGAAGGATGCTCTACAAAATAACTACCCTGCACTTATCAAATTGTCAGTGTCATAAAAATACAAGGAACAAGAACTGTTCCAGATTAAAGGAGATGAAAGAGACAAGGTCACTGAATCAACACATCATATTGGATATTCTTTTACTATAATGGATATTATTAGGACAACTGACAAAATCTGAATAAGGTCTATAGATTATAGCATTGTGTCAGCGTTAAGTTCCCGATTTTGATCATTATACCATAGTTATGTAAGAGAATTTGTTTTTAAAAAATACAAACTGAAGTATTTAGGTGTTTGGGGCGCCACATCTGCCTTTTACCTTTAAATCATTCAGAAAAAAATAATTCTGAGTGTGTAAGAAATTCTGAGAAAGAGAAGGATAAAGCAAATATATTAAAATATTATCCTTTGGGGAATCCAGGTGAAAGGTTTTCACAAATTCTTTGTAGTATTCATGCAAATATTATACAAGTCTGAAATTATTTTTTCCCAACTGCTTTTTATTGTGATAAAATACACATAACAAAATTTACTATCTTAATCACTTTTAAGTGGACAGTTCAGTGGTATTAAGTACAATCATATTGTTGTACAACCATCACCATCATCCATCTCCAGAACTCTTTTCATCTTGCAAGGCTGAAACTCTTATAGCCACTGAACAGTAACTAGCCCCTGGCAACCATCATTGGTGGTGATACTTTCGCAGCTAGCTGAGGGATCAGGACTTGGGCAAAGGAGAACTATTTGCATTCTTTTTGTTTTCCATTTTTAAAATCTGTAGTAAAATATACATAATACAGTGTTGGCTGGGCACAGCAGCTCATGTTTGTAATTCCAGCACTTTGGCAGGCCAAGGCAGGGGGATGGCTTGAGGCCAATTCTAGACCAGCCTGGGCAACATAGCAAGACCCCATCTCTCTAAAATTTTTAAAAAATTAGCTAGGTGTGGTGGTGCACACCTGTAGTCCCAGCTACTCAGGAGGCTAAGGCAGGGGAATAACTTGGGCCCAGGAGTTTGAGGTTGCAGTGAATTGTGATTGTGCCACTGCACTGCAGCCTGGGTGACAGAGCAAGACCCTGTCTCAAAAAAAAAGTTATCATTTAACCTTTTTTTTTTTTGTTTTTTGTTGTCTATATCAATGCTTCAATCTGTAATATTTTAACCATTTTTAAGTATACACGTCAGTGCTATTAAGTACGTTCACCACTATCCATTTTCAGAACTTTTCATCATCCCAATCTAAAATTCTGTGCCCATTAAACAAGAACTACTCACTCCCCTCTCCTGGTTAACCACTATTCAACATTCTATCATTATGAATTTGACTACTTGAGGTATTTCATGGCAGTGGAATCATATATTTATCATTTCGTGTCTGACATTTCACACACCATAATGTCCCAAAGTTTATCCATATTATATTACACATCAGAATCTCCTTCCTTTTCAAGCCTGAATAATATTCCATCATATGTATACATTATATACATTTTGTTTATCTAGGTTCCTTCCACCTTTTGGCTGTTGTGAATAATGTTGTTAAACATGGGTGTACAAATAGCTGCTCAAGTCGCTGCTGTCAATTGTCTTGAATATACACTCAGAAGTGAAACAGTTGTATCATAATTCTACATTTAATTTTTTTGAGGAACCACCATACTGTTTTCCACAGTGAATGCACCATTTTACATTGCCACCAGCAATACATAAAGGTTCCAATTCCTCTACATTCTTGCCAACACCTGTTACTTTGATTTTTTTACTAGCAGCCATCCTAAAGGCTGAATAATATTCCATTGTATGTACTTACAACATTTTGCTTATACATTCATCCCTTGATCAATGGGCTATACCTATGAACACTAAGTACACAAATATCTCTTAGAGACCCTGCTTTCAATTATTTTGAGTATACATTAGGTCATCCTTATCTGATGGGGGGGATCCAAGACTCCCATGGATGTGTGAAACCAGGGAGAGTATCAAACCCCGTATAGTGTGTTTTTTCCTATATATGTATATCCATGGTAAAGTTAATTTATAAATTAGGCAGAGTAAGAGATTAACAACAACTAAAAATAAAACTATAACAATATATGGTAATAAATTATATAAATGTGGCTGGGCACAGTGGCTCACGCCGGTAATCCCAGCATTTTGGGAGGCCGAGGCGGGTGGATCACTTGAGATCAGGAGTTCGAGACCAGCCTGGCCAATATGATAAAATCTCATCTCTATTAAAAATACAGAAATTAGCCAGGCGTGGTGGCAGGTGCCTGTAATCTCAGCTACTCAGGAGGCTGAGGCACAAGAATTGCTTGAACCTGGGAGGTGGAGGTTGCAGTGAGCTAAGATGGTGCCACTGCACTCCAGCCTAGGTGACACAGTGAGAGTCCATCTCTAAATAAATAAATAAATGTGGTCTCTCTCTTTCTCTCAAAATATCTTATTGTACTATACTCACCTATTTTTTTACAGGCCACAGTTGACCTTGGGTAACTGATATCTCAGAAAGTGAAACCTAGGATAAGGGGGAACTACTAAACCCCCACAAGTAGAATTACAGGATGATATGGTGTGATGATTTTTAGGTGTCAACTTGACCGGATTAAAGGATACTTAAAAAGCGGGTAAAGCATGATTTCTGACTGTATCTGTGAGAGTGTTTCCAGAGAAGACTGGTGTGTGAGTAGGTTGATTGAGGGAGTAAGATCCATCCTCAATGTGGGAGGGCAACATCTAAAGGGCTGGGTGCCCAGATAGAACAAAAAGGCAGAGTAAAGGTAAATTCATTTTTTCTCCTGGGGCTGGGACATCCTTCTCCTGCCCTTTGATATCAGTACTCCAAGTTCTCCAGCCTTTGGACCCCAGGACTTACACCAGTAGCCTCTCAGGTTTTCAGGCCTTCAGCCTCGGTCTGAGAGTTATGCCATTGGTTTCCCTGGTTCTGAGGCTTTGAGACTTAGATTGAGCCATGCTACTGGCATCCCTGGTTCTCTAGTTGCAGATGGCCTATCACAGCCTTCTTAGTTTCCATAATTGAGTAAGCCAATTCCCCTAATAAATCCCCTCTCATTCACCCATCCATCCATCTATATCCTATTGGTTTTGTCTCTCTGGAAAATCCTGATACATATGGTAATTTTATTTTTAATTTTTGGAAGAACCACCAGTTTTTCACATAGGCTATGCCATTTGACACGACTAACAACAGTGTACAGTGGTTCCAATTTTTCCATGTCCTTCCCAACAATTATTTTCTGCTGTTCTTGATAGCAGCCATCCTAATGGGTGTGAGGTAGCATCTTGGAGTTTTGACTTGCATTTCCTTAATTAGCAACATTGAGTATCTTTTCATGTGCTTATTGGTCATGGTGTATAATCCTTTTAATATGCTGTTAAATCTGGTTTGCTGGTATTTTGTTGATGATTTTTACATCAATGTTTCTAAGAAATGTTAGTCTATAGGCCAGGCGCAGTGGCTCACGCCTGTAAAGCCAGCACTTTGGGAGGCCAAGGTGGGTGGATCACTTAAGGCCAGGAGTTTGAGACCAGCCTGGCCAACATGGCAAAGCCCCGTCTCCACTAAAAATTTAAAAATTAGCTGGGCATGGTGGCACATGCCTGTAATCCCAGCTACTTGGGAGGCTTTGGCACGAGATTCATTTGAACCCAGGAGGCCCAGGCTGCAGTGAGCCAAGATTGCACCACTGCACTCCAGCCTCAGTGATAGAGTGAGACTCTTTTTGTCTCAAAAAAAAAAAAAAAAAAAAAAAAAAGAAAGAACTATTAGTCCATAGATTTCTTATAGCATCTTTGTAGGGCTTTGGCATCAAGACTATTCATCCATTTTGCATTGCTATAAAGGAATACCTGAGGCTGGGTAATTTACAAAGTAAAGAGGTTTATTTGGCTTATGGTTCTGCAGGCTGTACAAGAAGCAGATACTTATGGTGCCAGTATCTGCTTCTGATAAGTACCTCAGGAAACTTTCAATCATGGCAGAAGGTGAAGGAAGAGCAGGTATGTCACATGGCAACAGAGGAAGCAAGGGGGGGGGAGGTGCCACACTTAAACAACCAGCTCTTGAGTAAACTAATAGAGCAAAAATGCACTCATTACCATAGGGACCACACCAAGCCATTCCTGAGGGATAAACCCCCATGACCCAAACACTTCCCACTAGGCCCCACCCACCTCCAACACTGCAGATCAAATCTCAACTTGCGATTTGGAGGGACACATATCCAAACTATGTCAAAGATAATGCTGACTTCACAGAATGAATTAGTGAGTGTTCTTTCCTCTTCAATGTTTTGAAAAGTCTGAGATGGATTGGTGTTAGTTCTTCTTGAAATGTTGATAGAATTCACCAGCGAAGTCATCAGGTCCAGAGATTTCTTTGTTGGGACATTTTCGATTACAAATGCAATCTCCCTATGAGTTATGAGACTATTTACATTTTCTATTTCTTAGTAGTTTAGTCTTGGTAGGTTTTGTGTTTCTAGGATGTGACCATTTCATCTAGGTTACCCAATTTGTTGGTGTACAATTGGTTTATTAATCTTTTTCCCCAAAAAACTAGTCAAGTGCAGTAGTAAGGATAGGGGAAAGAGTAGAACAAGTTCTATCTGTAACTGACTGTCAACAATCAATTAAGACAATTCACTATCTCCAGACCAGCCTACAATTGCTTATCGTAGTCTATTATAATCTCTTTTTTTTCTTTTTTTTTTTTTTGAGATAGAGTTTCACTCTTGTTGTCCAGGCTGGAGTGCAATGGTGCAATCTCAGCTCACTACAACCTCTACCTCCCAGGTTCAAGTGATTCTCCTGCCTCAGCCTCCTAAGTAGCTAGGATTACAGGCATGTGCCACTACGGCCGGCTAATTTTCTTATTTGTATTTTTAGTGGAGACGGGGTTTCACTATGTTGGCCAGGCTGGTCTCAAACTCCTGACCTCAAGTGATCCGCCCACCTCAGCCTCCCAAAGTGCTGGGATTACAGGCGTGAGACACTGTGCCCGGCCCATGATCTCTCTTTTTAAGAGACAGGCTCTGTTACCCTAGGTAGAATGCCGTGGAACAATCATGGTTAACTGCAGCCTTGAATTCCTGGACTAAAGCAATCCTTCTGCCTCAGCCTTCCGAGTAGCTAGGACTACAGGAATGTGTTATTTTTTTGTATAGACAGGGTCTCAGTATGTTGTCCAGGCTGGTTTGAGCTCGTGGGCTCAAGTGATACTCCCATTTCAGCCTTCAAAAGCATAGAGATTACACATGTGAGCTGCCATGCCCAGCCTACCCTTTCCATTTCTGTGGAATTGAGGGTAATATTCCCACTTTCATTTTTATCTTTAGTATTTCAGTAATTTGAGTTTTTTCTTTTCTTTTCTTTTTTTTTTTTTTTTTTGAGACAGAGTCTCGCTCTATTGCCCAGGCTGGAGTACAGTGGCATGATCCTGGCTCACTGCAACCACCGCCTGCCTCCTGGGTTCATGCGATTCTCCTGCCTCAGCCTCCCAAGTAGCTGGGATCATAGGCGTGTACTAATTTTTGTATTTTTAGTACAGACAGGATTTTGCCATGTTGGCCACGCTGGTCTCGAACTCCTGACCTCAGGTGATCCTCCCACTTTGAACTCCCAAAGTGCTGGGATTACAGGCATAAACCACTGCACCCGACCCATTTTAATTTTTTTTTCCACTATAATCTTAATTTTTTTTTAGAAACAGAGTCTTGTTCTGTCACCAAGGCTGGAGTGATGTGGCACAATCATAGCTCACTGCAGCCTCAAACTCCTGGGCTCAAGCAATCCTCTCACCTCAGCCTCCTGAGTAGCTAGTAGCTAGGACTACAGGAATATATCACCATGCCCAGCTAATTTTCCTTCTTTTATTATTTTTTGTAGAGACGAGGTCTTGCTATGTTGCCCAGGCCAGTCTTGAACTCTGACCTCAAGAGAGCCCCCCCATTCCTAAAGCACTGGTATTACAGGTATAAGCCACCATGCCTGGCCTCCATTATAATCTTATAGGACCACTGTTATCTATTCGGTCTGTCACTGACCAAAACATCATTATTCAGTACATGACTTTACTGAGGCTTCCACCCACCCCTGGGCATACATAATGACTTCTTAATTTCTCCCATCTATTTGGTTCCTTTTGATCATCCTAGTCATCAGTATCTGTTTTTTTGTTTGTTTGTTTTTTAAGATAGAGTCTTGCTCTGTCGCCCAGGCTGAAGTGCAGTGGCACGATCTCGGCTCACTGCAACCTCTGCCTCCCAGGTTCATGTGATTCTCCTGCCTCGGCCTCCCGAGTAGCTGGGACTACAGGCATGAGCCACCATGCCCAGCTAATTTTTATATTTTTAGTAAAGACAGGGTCTCACCATGTTAGCCAGGCTGGTCTCAAACTCCTGACCTCAAGTGATCCACCAGCCTTGGCCTCCCAAAGTGCTGAGATTACAGGCGTGACCCACCACACCCAGCCCCTAGTCATCAATATCTGGCTCTCAAAAGGGAAAAAAGAAAAAAAAATGGAGACGGGGAGTATGGTGCCAGTCCTTTAAATCTCCTGGACATCGGCCAGGTGCGGTGGCTCAAGCCTGTAATCACAGCACTTTGGGAGGCCGAGGCGGGAGAATCACAAGGTCAGGAGTTCAAGACCAGCCTGGCCAACATGGTGAAACCCTCTCTCTACTAAAAATCCAAAAAAAAAAAAAAAAAAAAAATTAGCCAGGCGTGGTGGTAGGCGCCTTTAATCACAGCTACTCAGGAGGCTGAGGCAGGGGAAACGTTTGAACTCAGGAGGCGGAGGTTGCAGTGAGCCAAGATCATGCCACTGCACTCCAGCCTGGGCATCATTGTGAGACTCTGTCTCAAAAAAAAAAGAAAAAGAAAAAAAAAAAGAAATCTACTGGACATCACTTCAGTGGTGGTAGTGGGGGAATTTGCAACAAAGTGGTGAGATGCAACAATAACCATTGCCTCTTTGCAACTCTGTGATCAAAACCAGCAATTCTTTCTTTTATTTTTAATTTATTTTTTATTTTTTTTTGAGACCGAGTCTCGCTCTGTCACCCAGGCTGGAGTGCAATGGCGTGATCTTGGCTCACTGCAAACTCCCGCCTCCCAGGTTCAAGCGATTCTCATGCCTCAGCCGCCCAAGTAGCTGGGATTACAGGCGCCCACCACCATGCCCAGCTAATTTTTGTATTTTTAGTAGAGACGGGGTTTCACCACATTGGCGAGGCTGGTCTCGAACCCACCTCAGCCTCCCAAAGCGCTGGGATTGCAGGCGTGAGCCACCGTGCCTGGCCAGAAGCATCAATTCCGACCGGAGCACAGATTTCTGAAATTTGGGTTTGTTTTTAGAGACAGGGTATCACTATGTTGCCCAGGCTGGCCTCAAACTCCCAGGCTCAAGCAATCCTCTCGCCTCAGCCTCCCAAAGTCCTGGGGACCAGCCACTGCACTTGATCCAGATTCCTCATATTTGGAAGAGATGGTCCTTTCTGCCCACCTTAGGTTCCACAAACTACATGCAAGCTGCTCCAGGAACATGTGCACAGCTGCCTGCCATGGGGCTGAGGGATGTGGATGGGCAGCTGCTATTGTGCTAAGCGCTGAAACTGACTGAAATTAACCAAAATTTACCATCCAGGATTGGATGGTAAATTGCAGTTAATTCCTCACAGTTGTAAGATTTCAATAAACTCCAGAGTTCCAAAGGAGATGCATCAGACAGATTCTGCCAAAGCAACTGTTATCTTGGTGGTGGGGAGACAGATTTCTGGTACCTCCTACTTTATCAACTTCCCAGAATCCTCTCTGAATTTTTTTTTTTTTTTTTTTTGAGACGGAGTCTCACCCTGTCACCCAGGCTGGAGTGCATTGGCACAATTTACGCTCACTGCAACCTCCGCCTCCAGGGTTCAAGCGATTCTCCTGCCTCAGCCTCCCGAGTGGCTGGGATTACAGGTGCCCACCACCATGCCCAGCTAATTTTTTGTATCTTTAGCAGAGATGAGGTTTCACCCTGTTGGCCAAGCTGGTTTCAAACTCCTGACCTCGTGATCCACCTGCCTTGGCCTCCCAAAGGGCTGGGATTATAGGCGTGAGCCACCGCGCCCAGCTGTGAATTTTTTTTTTTTTACTCCGCTTTTTCCATGTTAAGAATGAAATTATCTTTTAAGTGAAAAAAACATAGGCACTGGCACTTACAAAGGGTTCTTTCTGTGTAGAGAACAGATTGGATGAGTGTGTGTGCGCGCATACACTGAGAAGGAGGGTTGGATCAACTAAATCGGTGCTGAAAATTAAGGACATAGGTCAAGATGACAGAGTAGGAACTTCAGGAGTTAGTATCTTCACCAAAGTAACTATTGAGATGGCAAGAACTGCTTGAGGTGATATTTTAGGACTCTGGGGTCTAATGAAACACTTGCAGTGTCCAGAAGAGTGCTTGATGAAGAAAAAAGTTGGTAAATTTTAGTGAATTTTGGCATTTGGAATAGCATCTTATCATTCTCTAGCTCCCATCCCTGTGGTAACCAACTGTTGGGATGGCAGTTTCTGCTGCAGCTTGCTGGTGCTAGGGCAGGAAATAGGGGCTTTGTCCTCCAAAAATTGAAGTTATGTGTTTCGTTCACTACTTTTGATTGCTGAGGAGCTGCCAGAGCGCTGGCCACTGTTTCACACATGCACACCCCCGACTGAAGTTGCCTACCTAGTGGCACTAGACAAGTGAACTTAAAGGGAGAGAACACTCTTTTTTTCTTTCTGTTTTCTTTTCTTATTGGATCTAAGCATTTAAGGAACTCTCTGTCAAGTCATTGAAAGACCACAGAGATAAAAGAACAGAGACTTCAGTGACCGCATGCAACCAGATATACACTCTTTGCAAAGACAGTTTGGAAAAGTCACTAAACAAATGCAGCTTTCGTAAGTAACAACAGTAATCCCTAGGGAGGCAGTGGAATCTGACTTTCAGAGTTACCATATTACAACACACAAAATGTCCACTTCCCAACAAAAATTTGCAAAGCAAACAAAGAAACAGGACTATACGGCCCATTCACAGGAAAAAAAAAAAGAAATTGGCTGGGCACAGTGGCTCACGCCTGCAATCCCAGCACTTTGGGAGGCCGAGGTGGGTGGATCACGAGGTCAGGAGATCGAGACCATCCTGGCTAACACGGTGAAACCCCATGTCTACTAAAAATACAAAAAATTAGCCGGGCATGGTGGTGCATGCCTGTAATCCCAGCTATTCAGGAGGCTGAGACAGGAGAATAGCTTGGACCCGGGAGGCAGAGGTTGCGGTGAGCCAAGATCATGCCACTGTACTCCAGCCCAGGCAACAGAGTGAGACTCTGTCTCAAAAAAAATAATAATAATAATAATAATTTTTTTTCTTCGCACCACTGCACTCCAGCCTGGGAGACAGCAAGACTCCATATCAAAAAAAAAAAAAAAAAAAAAAAGAAATTGACAGAAACCACCCCATAGCAAGCCCAGACAATGGACCTACTAGACAAAGATTTTAACTGTCTTAAATATGCTCAGAGAGTTGAAGGAAACCACGAAAAACAAAAACAAACAAACAAACAAAAAAACTAAAGGAAATCAGGAGAACAATGTATAAACAAGTAAGGAATATCAATAAAAATATTTTAAAAATATAAAAATGAATCAAATAGCAATTCTGGACATAAAGATACAAGAGCCAAAATAAAGATTTCACTAAAGGATTCAACAGCAGAGTTGAACAGGCAGAAGAAAGAATCAATGAACATGAAGATAGAATTGAAATTACTTAAGCTAAGGAGCAGGAAAAAAAAACGAACAAAGAAAAAGGAACAGAGGCTGGGCACAGTGGCTCACACCTGTAATCCCAGCACTTTGGGAGGCTGAGGCGGGTGGATCACCTGAGGTCAGGAGTTCAAGACCAGCCTGGCCAACATGGCAAATCCCCATTTGTACTAAAAATACAAAAATTCGCCAGGCGTGGTAGCCCATGGCTGTAGTCCCCGCTACGCAGGAGGCTGACGCAGGAGACTTGCCTGAACCCAGGAGGTGGAGGTTGCAGTGAGCCAAAATGGCGCCACTGCACTTGAGCCTGGGTGATAGAGCTAGACTCCATCTCAAAAAAAAAAAAAAAGAAAAGAAAAAGGAAAGAGCCATGGGGCCTACTGGGGTACCATCAAATGTATCAATGGCTAAACCAACCTAATTAATACATGCATTACCTCATATGCTTCTCTTTTTTGTGGTGAAAACACTTAAAATCAACTCTACTCTCTTAGCAATGTTCAAGTATACAATATATCGTTTTAACTATAGTCCCCATGATGTACAAGAGCTCTTGAACGAAATCCTGATTTTTTTTGTGGTTGGGTCTCACTCTGTCACCCAGGCTGGAGTGCAGTGGCACAATCACAGTTCACTGAAGCATTTACAACCCTAAATTTCCCTCTGAGTTTTTACTACATCCCATGAGTTTTGGTATGTATGTTTTCCTTTTAATTTGTCTCAATATATTTTCTTATCTCCCTAATGATTTCCTCTTTTTATTCATTTGGTGTTTAAGTGTGTTGTTTAATGCTCACTTCAGCAGCACATATACTAAAGTTGGAATGATTCAGAGAAGATTAGCATGGCCTCTGAGCAAGGATGACATGCAAATTTGTGAAGCATTCCATATTTTAAACATTTCAGGGCTGGGTATGGTGGCTCATGCTTGTAATCTCAGCACTTTGAGAGGCCAAGGCAGGAGGATCACTTGATCCCAGGAATTTGAGACCAGCCTGAGCAACATGATGAAACCCTGTCTCTTCAAAAAATACAAAAATTAGCTAGGCATGGTGGCACGAGCCTATGGTCCCAGCTACTTGGGAGACTGAGGTGGGAGGATTGCCTGAATCTGGAAAGTGAAAGCTGTGATGGTGCCACTGCACCCCAGCCTGGGCAACAGAGCAAGACCCTGTCTTAAAAAATAATAGTAATAAGGCCGGGCGCGGTGGCTCACGCCTATAATCCCAGCACTTTGGGAGGCCAAGGCGGACAGATCACCTGAAGTTGGGAGTTCAAGACCAGCCTGACCAATGTGGCAAAACCCTGTCTCTACTAAAAATACAAAAATTAGCTGGGTGTGGTGGTGTATGTCTGTAATCCCAGCTACTTGGGAGGCTGAGGCAGGAGAATCGCTTGAACTTGGGAGGCAGAGGTTGCAGTGAGCCAAGATCACGCCACTGTACTCCAGCCCAGGCAACAGAGCGAGACTCTGTCTCAAAAAATAAATAAATAAATAATAATAACAATAATAAAATATTAGAAAGAAGGCAGGGTATGGTGGCTCATGCCTTTAATCCCAACACTTTGGGAAGCTGAGGTGGGAGAATCGCTTGAGCCCATGAGCTCAAGACAAGCCTGGGCACCATAGTGAAACCCCCATCTCTACAAAAAATAAAAATAAAAACAGAGATAAAAAAAAGAAAGACCTTAAGTCAATACTCTAACTTCAGACCTTAAGGAACTAGAAAAAGAAGCACAAACTGGACCCAACCAAAGGGAGGGAATAACAATGTTTAGAGCAGAGATAAGTGAAATAAAGAATAAAAATAAGGCAGGTGCAGTACCTCACACCTGTAATCCCAGCGCTTTGGGAGGCTGAGGCAGGAGGATCGCTTGAGGCCAGGAGTTCAAGGCCTGGGCAAGACAGTGAGACCCCATCTCTATGAAATTAAAAAAAAAATTAGCTGGGTTTGGTGATGCATGCCTGTAGTCTCAGTTACTCAGGAGGCTGAGGTAGGAGGATCACTTGAGCCCAGCAGTTTGAGGTTGCAGTGCATATGATCACACCACTGCATCATTCCAGCCTGGGTAACAGAGCACGGCCCCATTTCTCAAAAACAAACAAACAACAACAACCACAAAAACCAAGAAGAATAAAAATAGTAGAATCAACGAAACCAAAAATTTGTTATTTAAAAAGATCAACAGAATTTACAAACTCTTGGCCGGGTATGGTGGCTCACGCCTGTAATCCCAGCACTTTGGGAGGCCGAGGCGGGCAGATCACAAGGTCAGGAGTTCAAGACCAGCCTGGTCAACATGGTAAAACCCTGTCTCTACTAAAAATACAAAAATTAGCTGGGCACGGTGGCAGGCACCTGTAATCCCAGCTACTGGAGAGGCTGAGGCAGGAGAATTGCTTGAACCTGGGAGGTGGAGGTTGCAGTGAGCTGAGATCATGCCACTGCACTCCAGCCTGGGTGACACAGCAAGACTCCATCTCGAAAAAAAAAAAAAAAAAGTAATTAACAAACTCTTGTCAGACTGACTGGGAGAAAAAGAAAGAAGATGAAATGAAAATAAATAAAATCAGAAATGAAGCTGGGGATATTACTACTAATTTTATATAAATGAAAGGATTATAAGAGAATACTGTGAATGACTAAACCAGCATATTAGATAATTTAGATAAAAGAGACAAATTTTTAGAAACATTAAAGTACCAAAACTGACTCAGAAAAAATTAAAAGTCTCAACAAACCTATAATAAGAGATTGAATTGATAAACAAAAACCTCCCAACAAAGAAAAGTCCAGTATCACATGGCTGCATTGGCAAATTCTACCAAATATTCAAAGAATTAACACCAATCCTACTCGAACTCCTTCAAAAAACAGAAAAGAATGGAACACTTCCTAACGTTCTATGAGGCCAACATCACCCTGACACCAAAGCCAGAAAAAGATACGATAAAATTCAGGCTGGGCATGGTGGCTCACACCTGTAATCCTAGCACTTTGGGAGGCTGAGGCAGGAAGATCCCTTGAGTCCAGGAGTTCAAGACCAGCCTGGGCAACATAGGGAGACTTGGTCTCTTAAAAAAAAGACATGATAAGAAAACTATAAACCAATATCCCATATGAATATAGAAATAAAAATCCTCAAGAAAATAACAGCAAACTGCAAACTGGATCCAACAGTACATTAAAAAGATTATATACCATGACCAACATTTATCCCAGGAATGCAAGAGTGGTTCAACATAAGGAAATCAATCAATGTGATACACCACATTATCATCTCAACAGACACAGAAAAGATATTTGAAAAAATTCAATACCCTTTTAAGATTAAAAAAAAAAACACTCAGCAAAAGTTCAAAGACATTATGCTAAGTGAATAAGTCAGTCACAAAAGGACAAATATATGATCCCACGTATATGAGGTTTTTAGAGTAGTCAAATTCATAGACACAGAAAGTAGAATGGTGGTTGCCAGAGGCTGGAGTGGGGGGAGATGGGAAGTTAGTGTTTAATAGGTACAGCATTTCACTTTGGGATGAAAAAGTTCTGAAGACAGATCATGGTGACAGTTGTACAACAACGTAAATGTACTTAATTACACTGATCTGGACATTTTTAAAGGGTTAAAATGATAGAATTTTATGTTATGTGTATTTTACCACAATAAACACACACATACACACATATTCAGCAAACTAGGAATAGAAGGAAACTTATTTAACACTAAAACGGCATTTATGAAAAACTCTGAGTAGGGCATGGTGGCACATGCCTGTAGTCCCAGCTACTCAGGAGGCTGAGGCAGGACTGCTTGATCCCCGGGAGTTCGAAGCTGCAGTGAGCCATGAACATGCCACTGCACTCCAGCCTGGGCAACAGAGTGAGACCCCATCTCAAACAAACAAACAAAGAAGTTGGCCAGGCATGGTGGCTCACATCTGTAATCCCAGCACTTTGGGAGGCCAAGGCAGGTGGATCACCTGAGGTCAGGAGTTTGAGACCAGCCTGGCTAACATGGTGAAACCCCGTCTCTACTAAAAATACAAAAATTAGCTGGGTGTGGTGGTATGTGCCTGTAATCCCAGCTACTTGGGAGGCTGAGGCAGGAGAATCGCTTGAAGCTGGGAGGCAGTTGCAGTGAGCTGAGACCATGCCATTGCACTCCAGCCTGGGCAACAAGATCGAAAACTCCATCTCAAAAAATAATAATAATAATAAATAATAAATAAATAAAAGTTAACATCTGTGAACAGCCTGGGCAACATAGCATGACCCTGCCTCAAAAGAAAAAAAAAGGAAAGAAAAAAAAGATGACATCTCTGACTGTGGGTCACTATATTAACAGATGCTTAAAGTTGTTTTTCAGGAATTAGGGGACAGCTCTTACCCAGTTGAGACCACCAATCCCTCAACTGGACCTGCATGAGTGCCCAAAAAGTGACCTTTTCATGTCAGAGGGACAAAAACTCCACACTTAGATCATGTTAACACTGCCATTTTCTGCACATGGCCTATGAAGAGCAATGTAGCTCAATTACGCTTGTGCAGAAACCTTGATTACCTCACCTTTCCTACCTGCCAATCACCTTTCCCCATGCTTTAGACCACCCTGCGTCCTACCCCACAAATACTGCCAAGCCCTATTTTCAGGGTGCCAGATTTGGGATTTGCTCTCCTGTCTCCTCATTCAGCAGCCCTATGAATAAAATCTTGTCTCTTTTGCAAAACCCATCATCATAGTGATTGGCTTGCTGCACGTGGGCAGGACGAACCTAGTTTGATATCATAACCATCATCACAAACAATTTTAGAACATTTTTAACACCCTGAAAAGAAACTCCATTCCCACTAGTAGTCCCTCTCCATTCCCTCCTCCTCCATAGTTCTAGTCAACCACTAATTTATTTTCTCTACAGATCTGCCCATTCTAGAAATGTCATAGAAATGGAATCATATGTATGTGGTCTTTTGTGACTGGCTCCTTCACTTATCATGTATTCACAATGAATCTCCTTTTCCTTTTAGTATAAAGTTTGTGCCACAATAAAAATATAAGAAAAAAAGAATAATAAAAGGACCACTAATAAGGATTAAATAAATCTAATTAAGATGACTCTTTATAAAATACAAATTAATAGATTTGAAGATGAAACCATCATAAGATGCAACAGAAAATAAACTAGGGTAAAACAAATGTGTCAGAGAAGATATTTTATAAAACAAATTGCTTGTCAAAGAGAGTATTTTCCCTAATAAAGATGTAGAACGTCAGACTGATTGACATTTTTTTTTTTTGAGACAGTCTCGCTTTTGTCCCCTAGGCTGGAGTGCAGTGGCTCGATCTTGGCTCACTGCAACCTCCGCCTCCCAGGTTTAAGTCATTCTCTTGCCTCAGCCTCCCGAGTAGCTGAGATTACAGGTGTGCACCATCATGCCCAGCTAATTTTTGTATTTTCAGTAGAGACAGGGTTTTACCATGTTGGCCAGGCTGGTCTTGAACTCCTGACCTCAAGGTGATCTGCCTGCCTCAGCCTCCCAAAGTGCTGGGATTACAGGTGTGCACCACCATGCCTGGCCTGATTGACTCTTAGAACCAGTTGGCAAAGATTATTGCTGGAGGGTGGCACACTAAGATCCAAGGTCTTATTAAAAGGAGAAATAGGCCTGGGAACCGCGGCTGACATGTGTAATTACAGCAATTTGGGAGGCCAAGGTGGGAGGATCTCTTAAGGTCGGGAGTTAGAGATCAGCCTGAGCAACACAGCAAGATCTAGTCTCTACAAAAAGTAGAAAAACTGGCCAGGTGTGGTGGTGTGACCCTGTAGTCCTAGCCAGTCAGGAGGCTGCAGCAGGAAGATCACTTGAGCCCAGGAGTTTGAGGCTGCAATGAGCTACAATCACGCCACTGCACTCTAGCTTGGGTGACAAGAGTGAGATGTCGCCTCCAAAAACATAAATAATAAGACAAAATTAAAATTAAAAAAAAATAAAAATCAGGGCTGGGCACAGTGGCTCACACCTATAATCCCGGCACTTTGGGAGGCCAAGGGGGAAGAACTGTTTGAGCCCAGGAGTTCCAGAACAGCCTGGTCAACATAGGGAGACCCTGTCTCTGCAAAACATTTAAAAATCAGCCAGACATGGTATCTCATGACTGTACCCCCAGGTGCACTCCAGCCTAGGGGACAGCTACTTGGGAGGACTGCTTGAGCTCAGGAATTCGAGGCAGCAGTGAGCTGTGATTGAGCCACTACACTCCAGCCTTGGCGACAAAGCAAGACCTCAACTCTAATGAATAAATAATCAGATTTCTAGTCTGTGCCCCAATCACTGGAGATGGGACCCTGTAAACTGGTGTTTTGTTTTGGTTTGGTTTTTGTTTTTTTGAGACAGGGTCTCACCCTGTCACCCAAGCTGGAGTGCAGAGGCACAATCACAGCTCACTGCAGCCTTGACCTCCTGGGCTCAAACGATCCTCCCATCTCAGCCTCTGGAGTAGCTGGGACTAGGGGCAGGCACCACCATACTCAGCTAATTTTTTTATTTTTAGTAGAGAGAGGGTCTCCCTATGTTGCCCAGGCTGATGAAAACTCTTGAGCTCAAGCAGTCCTCCCACCTTGGCCTCCCAAAGTGCTGGGATTACAGGCACGAGCCACCATGCCTATCCCCAACTGTATTTTTATTTTTATTTCATTTTTTTTTTGAGATGCAGTCTGGCTCTGTTGCCCAGGCTGTAGTGCAGTGGCACAGTCTCAGCTCATTGCAACTTCCGCCTCCCGGGTTCATGCAAGTCTCCTGCCTCAGCCTCCCAAGTAGCTGGGATTACAGGCATGCACCACCACGCCCAACTAATTTTTGTATTGTTGGTAGAGACAGGGTTTCACCACGTTGGCCAGGCTGGTCTCAAACTCCTGACCTCAGGGGATCCACCCACCTCAGTCTCCCAAAGTGTTTGGATTACAGGCGTGAGCCACCACACCTGGTCCCCAAGTGTATTTTTAATAAGCTGTCCAGGTGACTCTTATGAATACTAAAATTTGAAGACCAATATCTAATTAACACAAATTAATAGAATAGATTAAATGTGTATAAGTCAAGAGAGCTGGGTGCAGTGGCTCACGCCTGTAATCCCCCAGCACTTTGGGAGGCTGAGACGGGTGGATCACCTGAGGTCAGGAGTTCAAGACCAGCCTGGCCAATATGGTGAAACCCCATCTCTACTAAAATTACAAAAATTAGCCGGGCATGATGGCGTGCGCCTGTAGTGCCAGCTACTCGGGAGGCTGAGGCAGGAGAATCGCTTGAACCCGGGAGACAGAGGTTGCAGTGAGCTAAGATCACACCACTGAATTCCAGCCTGGGCAACAGAGCGAGACTCCATCTCAAAAAGAAAAAAAAAAAGTCAAGAGAATAGTGACAAGTACCTAACACATGAAAAAAAGGATGAAAAAAACAAAAAAGCCAGGCGTAGTGTTATATGCCTATAGTCTCAGCTACTCGGAAGGCTGAAGTGAGAGGATCACTTGAGCCCGGGAGATGGAAGTTCTACTGAGCCGAGATGGTGCCACTGCACCCCAGCCTGAGTGACAGAACAGGACCCGTCTCAAAAAGAAAAGAAAAGAAGAAAGTACTTAAAATGTTGGCACACTATACTCTCAAGAACTCAAAGTGATGTTTGAAACTTGTGCATTTGATTTTGATGTTGAAAAAACTAAATGTGTAAATATGCAAGCCATTCTAATGTCTGTGAAAAACACAGAGTATGATTTGTAAAGAACTCTTAATTAAATGTAAGATGGCATAGTATCAAGAGCATATGGTATTGCACCTAGTAGATTAACAAATGTTTGCTGGTGATGTTAACTATTTTTATAATGAGTACAGTTATATTTAATTATTTCCAGCCTAACCTCTGGTAACCTAAACAAAATCAAACTTTTTGCTGTGAATATCTTTACACAAGTAACAGCATAAAAAATTGTCAAATATTATGTCAGACGCTCATGTGTAAGTTCAGGGTCAGGGCACTTACTTTCAGACCAAATTAACCTCTGTTTTTATGCTCAGACTTACATAAACAAGGATAGGTAAAACCAAAGTTAAATTTCTCATGACTAAGAACACTGCATGATAGAACATATGGAACTCAAGTTTCCCTGAAAATCACTAAAATATTTATATAACGATAGTATTTTTTTCCAATTTTTCTTAATTTTTAAAATCTTTCTTTTTTTTTAATTTTAAGAGATGAGGTCTCACTCTGTCACCAGGCTGGAGTACAGTGGTGCAATCACAACTCACTGCAGACTCAAACTCCTGGGCTCAAGCAATCCTCCCACCTCAGTCTCCTGAGTAGCTGGGGCTACAGGAACATGCCACCAGGCCTGGGTAATTTATTTGTTGATTTATTTGTGGAGAGCGGGTCTTGAACTCCTTGGCTTCAAGAGATCCTCCAGTCTCCACCCCCCAAAGTGCTGGGATTACAGGCATGATTATTATTTAGAATAATAGTCTTTATTATTCTAAGTAAAGATTCCTGAAGATGCTGAAGTATTAAATTCTCTCCCCCTTTTTTTTTTTGAGACGGAGTTTTACTCTTGTTGCCTAAGCTGGAGTGCAATGATGCGATCTCTGCTCACTGCAACCTCCGCCTCCCGGTTCAAGCAATTCTCCTGCCTCAGCCTCCCAAGTAGCTGGGATTACAGGCGTGCGCCACCACACCCGTCTAATTTTTTGAATTTTTAGTAGAGACGGGGTTTCACCATGTTGGCCAGGCTGTTCTCGAACTCCTGACCTCGTGATCCGCCCACCTCAGCCTACCAAAGTGCTGGGATTACAGGCATGAGCCACCGTGCCCGGCCTGAAGTATTAAATTCTAACTCATAATTTTACTTCAGTGAGGTAAGTCTACTTTGAATTGGCAGGAATAAAGGAACTTTATATAACTCTTAAAAGATCTCATTATCAGAATGAAAAATGCATCTACTTTCCCCCTAAAAAGCATCTTTCCCCTATGAACTCATAAACCCAATGAAAATGTTAAGTTCTAGTCTCTTGACTCACTTATTTAGATTAAGTCTTAATAATGCATTAGGAAACCCAATTATAGTCCATCTACCCCTAAGATGCAGCTGTTTCAACATTTCCATACAGGATTCTTACACATCTATAAATGAAATAAACTATACTGGAGGAATGAAGCAGCCAATGCATGCAACAAGTTATATAGGCAATAATGTTGCTTTCAAAGGAGTTTTTGTTTTGTTTTGCTTTGTTTTTCAAATGGAGTCTCACTTTGTTGCCCAGGCTGGAGTGCAATGACACCATCTCTGCTCACTGCAACCTCCGCCTCCCGGGTTCAAGCGATTCTCCTGCCTCAGCCTCCCGAGTGGCTGGGATTACAGGCCCGCGCCACCACACCCGGCTAATTTTTGTATTTTTAGTAGAGACGGGGTTTCACCACGTTGGCCACGATGGTCTCGAACTCCTGAGCTCAAGTGATCCGCCCGCCTCAGCCTCCCAAAGCGCTGGGATTACAGGCGTGAGCCACCGCACCCGGCCGAAAGGAGATTTTTCATCTGTTATCAACAACTGGCTTGATACATAAAGATCCAGAAGCATCTTAAGTTTTCTTCGTCACTTTTTCATTTCACAGCTTATGTTTTAAAAGTCAGAAATCCCAGAATTAAGTAAAGTCTTAAAGCAAGCTAGTGGTAAGATAGAGCTGTACGGACTTCTTCATCAAGGACTTCCATATCTTTCCAACAAGAAACGAACCAATATTCATCATTAAGCACCAGCTCCCAATTTCCCAACTTCCTAGATACCATTCCTATGCTATATGTAACCCTTCTTCACACAACGTCAGACTTACCCACACATACACCATCAGTCCCCAAGTCTCCCACATTGGCACAAAAGCCTCTCAACATTCATCTGGTTACTAATCAGGGACCACTTCCTTCTTCCACTGATTCTGCACAGGCTTCATATCGCCTACAATCGCTTTTTCCATTTCTTCCACAACACTAACTACTCAAAGCGACAAAAGAACAAGTCCCTTTTCCCCAATCGTAAACAGCTTTTTAAAACTCTATACACCTCCTTCCCACTCAACCCCTTTTCTTAGTGTCTATCCGCCTTTGTTATTCAGAAGGTGTAGGGTCTGGGAAAATCTCACTCACCTCATGCTATAGGCACCAGCACCCAGTTCCTGGCCGATCCCGGACAGGCTAGCATCAAAGTCCTGCACCAACCCGGATTCAATCACTTCGTCGGCCAGAGGCAGCTTCAGAGCCCAGGCCATCCTGGCTCCTTCCTTGCCCCAGGAGACACCGTGTCTTGTACAAAGGCGCGGAGGGTAATTCTACCCAACAGGAGTAACGCAAACCAAGAAAACTACAAACCAAGGTTTCCCACGCAGTGCCCACCAGCCACCCCCAAGCCCGACCAGCACTGCTCTGTGCACAACTAATCTCCCGTACCCTTGGCTGCTCGTTCTTGGCTGCCCCAGGTTCCAAAATCCCCCCTGCCCAGCTCTCAGGAACGTGAGGACCCCTTTGCTCAACTACTGCAGACTTCCCAGAGGCAGCTCTGGACTCCCGCACTCCCACTCCTCTTGAGAGTTCGTAGTGGTGGCTTGCTGCTTCCCAGTCAGACCAGCAGCAGCCGCAGGAAGCCAGCCCGGCGCTCCCACGCTGCTTTTGCACCTTTTCCCCCGCCCCTTTCTGCTGGAGGCCCCCTCCCTCCCAGGTCTCGCTCTCTCTTTCCCCTCCAGGCCTCGCTTCCGGTCAGTCCCACGATCACTTCCGGTCACCCCTTCTCAACCCCACGGCTTAGAACCAAATCCAGGTTTCCGCTGAGCCGACTTCTCGCCCTCTGTAGCCCCCCACGGCCTGGAAACATGGAAGGAGAAAGTCCAGCACAGGCGTAAAACCTAGACTCGCCAGGCCCTTCCACCGTCCGCCGCCCCAGCGCCAACCAATCATGGCGTCCTCTTTCCTCGCCTGCCCGGCGAACATGACGTCACGCTGTCGTTCGCCTATAAAGAAGAGACCGCGTCAGTCTCGGCAGCGATGATAGGCGGGCTGCGCCACGGCTCTGCCCCCGAGATGGGCTGGGCGATCACGGGGAGGACCCGGCGTGCAAGTGTCCGGGTTTAAACGTGTATCCGTGTAGTTACCAGAGTTCTGGTATTCGCTACCCATCAAGTCGTCACCCTGAGCCATGGAAGGAGCCCTTCTTCTAGCCTTATGAACCCACTCCACCCCTGGCGGACTCTTGACGGCTTCCCAAACGCTCCTTACGTGTGTGCGCTTGCTCCTGCCCATACTCCTGTCTCCTTAAACTCACCTCTCCGGAGGTCAAGACCCTGCATAAGTCCCACTTCCCTGTATATTCATTTTATCTTCGGCATCCTCTCTAATGCATTTGAACAGAAAAGCATGAGATCAGTAAAAATGTGGTTTTTAGGCCGGGCGCGGTGGCTCACGCCTGTAATCCCAGCACTTTGGGAGGCCGAGGCGGGCGGATCACCTGAGGTCGGGAGTTCAAGACCAGCCTGACCAACATGGAGAAACCCCGTCTCTACTAAAAATACAAAAATTAGCTAGGTGTGGTGGCGCGGGCCTGTAATCCCAGCTACTCGGGAGGCTGAGGCAGGAGAATCTCTTGAACCCAGGAGGCGGAGGTTGCAGTGAGCCGAGATCGCGCCATTGCACTCCAGCCTGGGCAACAAAAGTGAAACTCCGTCTCAAAAAAAAAAAAAAAAAAAAAAAAAAAAAAAAAAAAAACAGTGGTTTTTAAAAGGTTGTTGTGCTGGTATGGGGTGTTGGAATTTAAAAGATCTGAAAATCAGAGTTTAGGCTGGCGTCTTCATTTGCTACTTTGGTGTCTTCAGAACAATTGCTTAATGTCACAGATTTAGCTTCCTCGTTTGTAAACGGGAGTGGGAGTAACTTTATCTGCTCCACCTTCCTCCTTTGAGGATTGAGTAATAATGGCCATTGTTTATTAAGTATCAACTACTGCTAGGAACTTTATTACACTATGAGTAGTCCTCAAAGCGATCTTGGAATTAGAATTATAAAGCTAAATTTAATGACTCTTATTTTATCAGTAAGAAACCAAGGCTAAGCCCTTAAATTGGCCGGAGCTAAATTGACATGCCAGCTTCAGAGCTGATTCCAAAGCCTGGCATTTTTCGTTACAAGACATTGCCTTTATGTGAAAGTCTTGGTTCATTGTTGTATTCCGTTGCTGAATTTTTTAAAATCTGCCTTGACTTATACTTTTGTATATATCTGCCTCTCTCACTAGATTGATCTAAAGAATAAGGAATAGGTCTTTTTCAGGCTTGCGTTCTAAATATCTCCTACTATAGTTCCTGCTTTCAACAGGACTTTTAAACATGTTTATTGAATTTAAAAAGGAATGAAAAAGGAATAAGAGAACCAAGAAAAAGAGAGAAGTTGACATGAAGATGGCAACATGTTGTGCTGGTATGGGGTGTTTCAGCCACAGGCATCTCTCTGAAGGCTCCAGGCTTAAACCTGCCGTCTTACCTTGGTAAGCCCTAGGATCAAAGTCTTAGCTCATTCTGGAGACATTCAGTATCTCTTTAAGCCATCTTTTCTTCCCATGAGCCAGTTCTATCTCAAAATGTGTGACTGTGGATAAAGGAATGGGTCCTGGGCTCATAGACAAAAAGAGAGATGTCACATGGAGATCTGAGGGCTCAAAGTTTTTGGGTTTTGTTTTTGTTTTTGAGATAGAGTCTTGGTCTCTCGAACAGGCTGGAGTGCAGTGGCGCAATCTCAGCTCACTGCAACCTCCATCTCCCAGGTTCAAGCAATTCTCCTGCCTCAGCCTCCCGAGTAGCTGGGATTACAGGTGTGTACCACCACACCCGGCTAATTTTTGTATTTTTAGTAGCGACGGGGTTTCACCATGTTGGCCAGGCTGGTTCTGAACTGACCTCAAATGATCCACCTGGCGCAGCCTCCCAAAGTGCTGGGATTACAGGCGTGAGCCACCGTGCCCGGTGGTCAAAATCCTTTGTAAACCAGCATTGTACTTAGGGTATTTTTAAACCTCTCTTAGATAGAGCCATGCCTTGTTTGACCATCAGCTCCATCTCTAGCTGTGTAATCTCAGGCAAGTAACTTTACATCTCTGAGCCTCAGTATTTTAATGCATAAATTAGTGAAAATAATACCTCCCCCTAAAATTGTTGTGAGTATTTTTTTTTTGAGACGGAGTCTCGCTCTGTCACCCAGGCTGGAGTGCTGGAGTGCAGTGGCGCGATCTCAGCTCACTGCAAGCTCCGCCTCCCGGGTTCACACCATTCTCCTGCCTCAGCCTCTCCGAGTAGCTGGGATTACAGGCGCCCGCCACCATGCCCAGCTAATTTTTTTAATATTTTTAGTAGAGATGGGGTTTCACCGTGGTCTCCATCTCCTGACCTCGTGATCCGCCCGCCTCGGCCTCCCAAAATGCTGGGATTACAAGCGTGAGCCACCGCGCCCAGCCTGTTGTGAGTATTAAATAAGGTACCAAAATGCCGCAAAAATAGTAATGATTCAATAAATGTTATCTCCAGTCTCCCACTGGTAGTACACTTCTGCTTCTCTGTTAAGATTGGGTTGATTTTGTTATCCTATTTTAATAACATTAATTTACATTGTATAGTATGTTATGGGCTTGGGATTTTTTTGTTTCTTTTAGAGACAGGGTCTCCCTCTGTCACCCAGACTGGAGTGCAGTGGCCTGATCATAGCTCACTGTAACCTTAAACTCCTGGGCTCAAGCAATCCTCTTGCCTCTGCCTCCCAAGTAGCTGGGACTACAGGTGCACACCACTATGCCCTTTGAGACTGAGTCGCGCTGTGTTGCCAGGCTGTAGTCAGTGGTGCGATCTGCAACCTCTGCCTCCTGGGTTCAAGCGATTCTTATGCCTCGGCCTCCCAAGTAGCTGGGACTACAGGCACATGCCATCACGCCCAGCTAATTTTTGTATTTTTAGTAGAGACAGGGTTTCACCATGTTGGCCAGGATGGTCTTGATCTCTTGATCTGCGCGCCTCGGTCTCCCAAAGTACTGGGATTACAGGCATGAGCCACAGTGCCCGGCCATGTTTTCTTTTTTTAAGTTTTGGTTTTGGTGTTTTTGAGACAGGGTCTCACTCTGTTGCCCAGGCTGGAATGCAGTGGCATGATCACAGCTCATTGCATCTTGCACCTCCCAGGCTCAAGCAATTCTCCTACCTAAGCCTTCCGAGTAGCTGGGACTAAAGGCATACACCACGACACTCAGCTAATTTTTTATTTTTAGTAGAAATGGAATCTTACTATGTTGCCCAAGTGAGTGTCAAACTCCTGGGCTCAAGCGATCCTCCCACCTCAGCCCCCCAAAGTACTGGGATTACCGTGGCATGAGCCACGGTACCGAGACTGTTATGGTTTTAATAGCATTTATTTATTTATTTATTTATTTATTTATTCATTTATGAGACGGAGTCTCCCTCTGTCGCCCAGGCTGCAGTGTAGTGACGCGATCTCGGCTCACTGCAACCTCCGCCTTCTGGGTTCAAGCAATTTTCCTGCCTCAGCCTCCCGAGTAGCTGGGACTACAGGCACACGCCACCATGCCTGGCTAATTTTTATATTTTTAGTTGAGACGGGGTTTCCATGTTGGCCAGGCTGGTCTTGAACTCCTGACCTCATGAGATCTGCCTGCCTCTGCCTCTCAAAGTGCTGGAATTACAGGTATGAGCCACTGTGTCAGCCACCGTGTCCAGCCTTAATAGCACTTTAAAATACATTGTCTTGGCCTGGCACCATGGTTCATACCTGTAATCTCAGCATTTTGGGAGGCTGAGGCAGGAGGATCACTTGAGCCCAGGAGTTAAAGATCAGCCTAGGCAATATAGTGAGACCCCCTTCTCTACAAGAAATTTAAAAATTAGGCATGGTGGTGTGCACCTGTAGTCCCAGCTACTCAGGAGGCTGAGGTGGGAGGATGGTTTGAGCCCAGGAGTTCGAGGCTACAGTGAGCCATGATTGGGCCTTTACACCCAGCCTGGACAACAGAGCAAGACACTGTCTCTATTAAAAATAAATAAATCAAATACATCATATCATTTAATCTTCATAGAAGTTTTTGTTTTGTTTTTCAATATGAGGAAGCTGAGACTCAGGACAGAGTGGTCAGGATCAAGCAGAACTCTTTAAAAATTATCCTGAAAATTATTTTGTGATTCAGCAACTCCTTTCTACATATATACCCTAGAGAAACTCTTCTACATACATACCAGGAGACTTGTATGAGAATGTTGATGGCAGCACTCTTTTTGGTAACAAAATGGAATAAAAAAATTCTCCACCAGCAAAAGAATGGATAAATTAGACTGGAATATAATATTATTGAGCAGTGAAAATGAATAAAGCTATACTGAACTGCATGAATAAATCAATCTTAGAATTGAGGGGGAAATTCAGAAGTCCTCATACTGTGTAATATCACCTTATAAAGCTCAAAAGCCAGTAAAATTAAGCAATTATCATTTAGGACAGTATGCAGTTGACCTTTCAACAGCACAGGTTTGAACTGCACAGGTCTACTTATTTGTGGGTTTTCTTTTTTTTTTTAATTTTTCATTTTTGTTGTTTGTTGATATCTTCTAATATTCATGGATTGTCTTTCACCTCTGACACTCCTGAGAGATTAAGACCAACCCCTCCTCTTCCTCCTCCTCTTCAGCCTACTCAATGTGAAGATGAGGAGGAAAGACCTTTTTGATGATCCATTTCCATTTAATGAATAGTAAGTATATTTCCTCTTCCTTGTGATTTTTAAAATATTTTCTTTTCTCTAGCCTACTTTATTGTAAGAATACAATATATAATACATAAAACATAAAATATATGTCCATTGACTATGTTATCAGTAAGCTTTCGGATCAACAGTAGGCTGTTAGTAATAAAGTTTTAGGTGAGTCAGAAGTTACACTTGAACCTTCAACTGTGTGGGGATCACCCTCACATTGTTTAAGGGTCAACTTTACATAAGTCCTTTCAAAAGAAATGAAATAAATACAATTATAGTGATGGCCACATCTAAGGAGAGGCAGGGGAATAGGTGAGGGAAGGAACTAGAAAATAGCTTCAGCGTGGCCAGGCACCGTGGCTCACACCTGTAATCCCAGCACTTTGGGAGGCTGAGGTGGGCGGATCACATGAGGTCAGGAGTTTCACACCAGCCTGACCAACATGGAGAAACCCAGTCTCTACTAAAAATACAAAACTTAGCTGGGAGTGGTGGTGCGTGCCTATAATCCCAGCTACTTGGGAGGCTGAGGCAGGAGAATCTCTTGAACCCAGCAGGCAGAGGTCACAGTGAGCCAAGATCAGGCCACTGCACTCCAGCCTGGAAGACAGAGTGAGACTCCGTCTCAAAAAAAAGAAAAGAAAAGAAAAGAAAATAGCTTCAGGCTAGGCGTGGTGGCTCACACCTGTAATCCCAGCACTTTGGGAGGCCAAGGAGGGCAGATCACCTGAGATCGGGAGTTTGAGACCAGCCTGACCAACATGGAGAAACCCCATCTCTATTAAAAATACAAAATTAGCCGGGTGTGGTGGAATGCGGCTGTAATCCCAGCTACTCAGGAGGCTGAGGCAGGAGAATAGCTTAAACCCAGGACGCAGAGGTTGCAATGAGCTGAGATCACACCATTGCACTTCTGCCTGGATAACAAGAGGAGCGATACTCTGTCTCAAAAAAAAAAAACAGATAAAAAGAAAAAGAAAAAAAGATAGCTTCAACAGTTCTTTTTTTTTTTTTTTTTTTTTTTTTGAGACAGAGTCTCACTCTGTCGCCCAGGCTGGAGTGCAGTGGTGCAATCTTGGCTCACTGCAAGCTCCGCCTCCCGGGTTCACGCCATTCTCCTGCCTCAGCCTCCCGAGTAGCTGGGACTACATGTGCCCGCCACCACACCCAGCTAATTTTTTGTATTTTTAGTAGAGACGGGGTTTCACCGTGTTAGCCAGGATGGTCTCGATCTCCTGAACTTGTGATCCACCCACCTCGACCTCCCAAAGTGCTGGGATTACAGGCGTGAGCCACCACGCCCAGCCTCAACAGTTCTTAATAGTTTACGTAAGTGGAGTAGTGGGTGCATGAGTGATTGTTTCATCATTATGCTTCATAAATTACCAAAAAATTGTACTCTTGAATAAGTAACAAATATATATAAATTAGCAGCTAGTTCCTGATTCTCTTAGCTGGGATTTGCCTATGGTGATGCCTCCCTGCCAATGGAAACTGCACACACACACAGCAAAAAATAATAGCTAATATGGCTGGATGTGGTGGCTCACACCTCTACTCCTGGCACTCTGGGAGGCTGAGGCAGGTGGATTGCTTGAGCCGAGGAGTTCAAGACCAACCTGGGCAACATGGCAAAACCTCATCTCTACAAAAAAATTAGCTGACTGTGGTGGTGTGCCCCTGTAGTCCCAGCTACTGGGGAGGCTGAGGCAAGAGGATCCATTGAGCCTAGAAGGTAGAGGATGCAGTGAGCAAAGATCGCATCACTGCACTCCAGCCTGAGCAATAGAGTGAGACCCTGTTTCAAAAAATAAATAAATAGATAAAAATTAATAATATTGATAGGCTTATATTTACTGAGCTCTTCCTAAGTGCCAGGGCCTGACTAGGTGCATTAGGTTTATTATCTCATTTCATCTTCACTCACCCCTACAAGAAAGGTATCCTTATTCAATTCATCTCATAGATAAGGAAACTGAGGCTTAGAAAAATTAAATGGCTTGTCCAGGGTCACCCAGCATGAGAGCAGTAACCCCACAGTCTAGGCATCTAACCTTCATGTTACACTCTCTCTGTGAGTGGTTATAACTTTAAAAAGGGCCAGGTGTGATGGCTCATGCCTGTAATCCCAGCACTTTGGGAGACGGAGGTGGGTGGATAATCTGAGGTCAGGAGTTTGAGACCAGCCTGGCCAACATGGCAAAACCCTATCTCTACTAAAAATACAAAAATTAGTCGGGTGTGGTGGTGGGCACCTGTAGTCCCAGCTACTTGGGAGGCTGAGGCAGGAGAACCGCTTGAACCTGGGATGCAGAGGTTTCAGTGAGCCGAGATTACGCCACTGCACTCCAGCCTGGGCCATAGAGTGAGGCTCCGTCTCAAAAATAAATAAATAAATAGCCGGGCGCGGTGGCTTACTCCTGTAATCCCAGCACTTTGGGAGGCCGAAGCGGGTGGATCACTTGAGGTCAGGAGTTCGAGACCAGCCTGGCCAACATGGTGAAACTCTGTCTCTACTAAAAATACAAAAATTAGCTGAGTATGGTGGCTCATGCCTGTAATCCCACCTACTTGGGAGGCTGAGGCAGGAGAATCGCTTGAACCCGGGAGGTGGAGGTTGTAGTGAGCCGAGATTGTGCCATTGCACTACAGCCTGGGCGACGAGCAAAACTCCATCTCAAAAAAATAATAATAATAAATTAAATAAATAAATAAATAAACTTTAAAAAGATCTGCTTTGCCGGGCGCAGTGGCTAACGCCTGTAATCCCAGCACTTTGGGAGGCCTAGGCAGGTGGATCATCTGAGGTCAGGAGTTCAAGACCAGCCTGGCCAACATGGTGAAACCCCATCTCTACTAAAAATACAAATTTTAGCCAGGTGTGGTGGCAGGTGCCTATAATCCCAGCTACTCAGGAGGCTAAGGCAGGAGAATCCCTTGAACCCGGGAGGCGGAGGTTGCAGTGAGCCAAGACCACACCATTGCACTCCAGCTTGGGTGACATAGCGAGACTCCATCTCAAAAAAAAAATTAAAAATTAAAAATAAATAGGCCGGGCGCGGTGGCTCACGCTTGTAATCCCAGCACTTTGGGAGGTCGGGGCGGGCAGATCACGAGGTCAGGAGATCGAGACCACGGTGAAACCCCGTCTCTACTAAAAATACAAAAAAAAAATTAGCCGGGCGTGGTGGCAGGCGCCTGTAGTCCCAGCTACTCGGAGAGGCTGAGGCAGGAGAATGGCGTGAACCCGGGAGGCAGAGCTTGCAGTGAGCCGAGATCGCGCCACTGCACTCCAGCCTGAGTGACAGAGCAAGACTCCGTCTCAAAAAAAAAAAAAAATTTAAAAATAAATAAATAAATAAAAAAGATCTGCTTCTTACCTATTTTTCCTTTCAGAGATGAGTTTTGAAACTTGTGGAGGTGAGAATATTGAATTTTTAGAACATTGTTCCCATGAAGGAATATTGGATGAAGCATGTTTTCTCATTCACGGAAGAATAGTTCAAAGGGAATGGACTTTAAAAAAAACAAAGAGTAATCATATTAGATGTTTCGAAGAGATGACTGTGCCACATCCAGGAATATCAGGGAGCCCTGTGCCCTGGAAAATATTTAGGAAAAGACACACATGTACTCCTTGGAAATGTTTGGGACTAAGTTTAATATCTGAACCAAAATAAACACTGCACGGAAGTCCTCCTTGCCACTTATTAATTCTAAAACACACTGAGGTGAAATAAGAGGAGACTCCTAAGCCTCAGCCCCTCCCAAGTAGAGTGTAGGTCAGCCTGGAGTCATGCCCTTGACTGCGGTTCCCCCTTGGGAAAGAAGACTTCACACACTGTTTACCCCTGGAATTCTGTGACTCGGAAAGTGAACTTTTCCCATACTCTTCCCCTCCCCAACGTAACTAAGAATGAAATTGGAGTGCCACGATAGGAGAGATTCTAGGAGCAGCCCAGAAGGCTCTGCCTCCAAGAAAAGACCACTAGATGTTCCCTTAGAAATCTGGCAACACTGGGCTGGGTGAGGTGGTTCACGCCTGTAATCCCAGCACTTTGGGAGGCAGAGGTAGGTGGATCACCTGAGGTCAAGAGTTCGAGACCAGCCGGGCCAACATGGTGAAACCACGTCTCTACTAAAAATCTAAAAATTAGCTGGGCCTGGTGGCGTGCATCTGTAATCCCAGCTACTTGGGAGGCTGAGGGAGGGGAATCACTTGAACCTGGGAGGTGGAGGTTGCAATGAGCCAAGATCGTGCCATTGCACTCCAGCCTGGGCAACAAGAGCAAAACTCTTTTCAAAGGAGAAGAAAGAAATCCAGCGACACCTATCAATAGATCAAATTTTTGTACCCATAAATTAATCCCACAATAAAAATCCTGGCTTCTATTACACATAATAAATCAGAGTACCGGCCGGGCATGGTGGCTAACGCCTGTAATCCCAGCACTTTGGGAGGCCGAGGTGGGCAGATCACGAGGTCAGGAGATCGAGACCATCCTGGCTAACACGGTGAAAACCCATCTCTACTAAAAATATTTTAAAAATTAGCCGGACGTGGTGGCGGGCACCTGTAGTCCCAGCTACTTGGGAGGCCGAGGCAAGAGAATGGCGTGAACCCGGGAGGTGGAGATTGCAGTGAGCCGAGATCGAGCCACTGCACTCCCACCTGGGTGACAGAGCGAGACTCCGTCTCAAAATAAAAATAAAAATAAATCAGAGTACCTGTGGCACAGAGCTCCAAATTCAGTGTTCTGGATTGTTTAAGTTAAGGCTCATCATGGAGGGTTCATTTCTCAAGATTGGATCCTAAAACTGGACACCATCAATATGGGACATAGCAGGGTCTACCCTGGTAGGTAGAAACATGTGGAAACTCTACCAAAAAGATCACTTTGGGCACGGTGGTTCACACCTGTAATCTCAGCACTTTGGGAGGCTGAAGTGGGCAGATCATGAGGTCAGGAGTTTGAGACCAGCCTGGCCAACATAGTGAAACCCCGTCTCTACTACAAATACAAAAAATTAGCTGGGTGTGGTGGCGGGCACTTGTAATCCCAGCTACCTGGGAGGCTGGGGCAGGAGAATCATTTGCACCCAGGAGGCAGAGGTTGCAGTGAGCCGATATTGCACCACTGTACTCCAGCCTGGGCAACAGTGTGAGACTCCATCTCAAAAAAAAAAAAAGATCAGAACACACAAACACACCGCAACCTCAAGGTCCCACCCACCTCTCAGAGCCTGTATGAGGTAAAGTCAAGCACAAAAGCTTTACAGACAGCCTACCTGGGTTCAAATCCTGGTTTTGCTGTTCACAAAGCAGCACTGAGTAGATTGCTCATGCTCCGAGTACCTCAATTCCCTATCTGCAAAGTGGACATAATAATATTTCTTACTTTATAGAATTACTGTGAGAATTAACTGAGATGGTGCATGTTAAGTGCTTACAAGAGTGCCTAGCACTCTGACTAGTGATCAGTAAAGGCTAGCTATTGTTATTATTGACAAGGAGGGCACCCTAGCAGCTGTCTTGCCTATCTCATAAGACAAATCAGTTCTCTCAGAAGCTTGAGGGTTTGCATGCCTTGGGTCGGTACCCATTCATCCCCTAGCCTTCCCTTTTCACTCGAGTAATCAAGTCAGTCAATGTCATTGGGTTTCCCAGTTAATCAGTGGACATTTTCCTCCAGGTACAAGAAGAAACCATTCCCCAGGCAGGCTTTTTTAGGGACTGACCATCTCGTTTTAACTCTTCACCTCTTCCTGCCACCCACCTGTGAGACCTAGTGTGGCTTCTCTGAAGGACCCTGCAGTTGAAAGGAAAGGAAATCAGAAGTTTTCACAGCCCCACAGTTCTACCTCAGGCTCTTCTCCTCTAGAGAAGACTAGAGAAGTCCAGAAACCAGCCCATATCCATAAAACATCAGTTCCCCCATCAGAGCCATCCACAACACAATAGACTTCCCAGGCCTGGGAATAAAGACTGCAGTCCCTTCATCCTCTAAAGCCTTCCTGGGCCAAATGCCAAGAGCCACCCTCAGCTGGTCTGAGCCAGAGCTATCAGCTCCAACCGACCTTGCTGGTGGGAGCTGCTGGGAGCTGTCTGTCTCAGGTCACAGCCAGCTGCTGCCCAGATTCTATTCACTCTCATATTTCACACACCCAACCCGGCATAGCTAAGCTGAATCTCATAGTCCTGCTTTCTCCCAGGAACCTGAAGTCAGGGACTCAGCTGTCATTATTTCCGTGAAGGAGAGGGTATGAAATGCATTCAGTCAATCATCTGCCATTTATCAAGCACCTACTGTAGGCCCCTAGCCTGTGTAATGAGGAGTCACAGCCCAGCGTGGATAGCTAATATCTATGTAAGATCTATGTAATATCTACGTAAAATCTATGCAAAAGGTAAGTGCTGGCTTCTGTTTGAATTTTTGCCCCATTGTTTCAGAGTACTGTAAAGCTCCTCTGATCCCTAAGCTTTGCATCAGAGGCTTAGACATTCATTATCTCCCTGGGTAGGGGTGAAGAGGTGAGGCATGGTCCAGAATCCAGCACAGTGCCCAGCTCAGGAATGTTGGTTGGGTAGAATCAAAGGTGCTGTCTTGCTCTCACCGGTTTATTTTTATTTGTTTGTTTATTTTTTTGAGACAGGGTCTCACTCTGTCATCCAGGCTGGAGTGCAGTGGCTTGATCTCGGTTCACTGTAGCCTCTGCCTCCCAGGCTCAAGCGATTCTCATGCCTCAGCCACCCAAGTAGTTGGGATTACAGTCTTGTGCCCCCACGCCTGGCCAGTTTTTGTATTTTTAGTAGAGACAGGGTTTTGCCACGTTGGCCAGGCTGGTCTCAAACTCCTGACCTCAGGTGAGCCACCCGCCTCGGCCTCCCAAAGTGCTGGGATTACAGGCATGAGCCACTGCTCCCGGCTGCTCTCACCAGTTTGGATTAGGTAGCCCAGACGTCATCAATACCAGCTGAGTGTCAGGGGAGAGGGACCTGAGAGACAGATGTCATGAACCCTGCTCCTAGGAAGTAGACAAGCCAAGAGAGACCCTCATGACAGGTGTGCTCTCAGCTCTAAGCTCAGGTGACAGTCCTGGGGAATAATACAAAGTCTTGCTTACCATATAGTCACCCTTTTGTAAAGTATAAGTCAAACTAATTATTAAAGTTCTGGCTTCCTATCCTGAAGAGTATACCTTTATAGTGACCTGGGAGGCCAGGTTTGGATTTAGAACTCCTTGAAGTCCCATGCTAGAATGTGCCCCAGTCCTGGCCCTCAGCCCGTTGGCTGCCTTCTCTTCCCTCTCCCCATCTTGCACTGCAAAGAGCCTGACGTACATGTGTAGACACCGTAGTCTACATATCCAAGCTCTGTCACCCTACTGTCTGACAAACAGCTGCCCTTTGGCCACGGCAGGGCTGAATGTTTGTGTTTCCCAAAAATTCCTATAATGAAACTGAATCCCCAATGTGATAGTACAGTTGTCCTTCCATATCTGTCGGGGATTGGTTTCAGGATGCCTGAGGATACCAAAATCCACAGGTGCTCAAGCCTCTCATATAAAATGGTGTACTCCAGCCTGGGCAACATAGTGAGACCCCATCTCTAAAAACAAAAATAAAAAAATTAGCCAGGTGTGGTGGCACATGCCTGTAGACCCAGCCACTTGGGAGGCTGAGGTGGGAGGATCACTTGAGCCAGGGAAATCTAGTGAGCTGTGATCACGCCACTGCACTCCAGCCTGGGCCAACAAGTGAGACTCTGTCTCTAGAAACAAAACAAAACCCACCAAAAACAGTGTAGTATTTCCACATAACCTCCTGTGCACATCCTCTTGCATAAAATTATCACTGGGTTACTTATAATACCTACTAATATAATGTAAATGCTATGTAAATAGTTGTTATACGATATTGACATTTTTTGTTTGTTTTGTTTTTTACTGTTGTATTAGGGGGGTTGGGTTGTTTGTTTGTTTGGAGGCAGAGTCTTGCTCTGTTACCCAGGCTGGAGTGCAGTGGTACGATCTCGGCTCACTGCAACCTCCATCTCCTGGGTTCAAGCAATTCTTGTGCCTCAGCCTCCCAAATAGCTGGGATTACAGGCATGTACCACCACACCTGTTTAATTTTTGGATTTTTAGTAGAGACGGGGTTTTACCATGTTGCCCAAGCTGGTTGCGAACTCCTGAGCTCAGGCAATCCGCCTGCCTTGGCCTCCCAAAGTGCTGGGATTACAGGCAATAGCCACCACACCCGGCCTGTTGTTGTTTTTGAATATTGTATTTTCCATCTGAGGTTGTATCTGAGGACACAGACCCCAGGGATATGGAGGGCTGACTAGATTAAGGTGGGGCCTTTTGGGGTGTGATTAGTCAAGTAAGATTAATGGGATTAGCTCCCTTATAAAAGAGGCCAAGGGAGCTTGCTTGCCCTTCCACCATGTGAGGTTACAGTGAAAAGATACCTGTTTATGAGGAAGAGGGCTCTTATCAGACATCGACCTTGATCTTGACCTTGATCTTGGACTTTCCAGTCTCCAAAACTGTGAGCAATAAATTTCTCTTGTCTGTAAGGCACTGAGTCTAAGGTACTTTGTTGTAGCAACCAGAGCAGACTAAGGCAGCCACCTCTTAGACCTACAAGTGTGCACACCAACGGCACAGCTCCTGGAACCCAGAGAGGAGGGGTCCAGGAAGTGGGCTTGGCAGAGAATTCTGGGGCTCTAGGTATAAGAAGGGTGTTCTAAAAGGAGACCCTGTGCCCTTCTGTCTCTAGAACTGAATCCCCAATGTGATGGGAGGGTCGTGGTGGCAGGAGGGCCCAAGCAGGGACTTCTGAAATGGGAATCCAGAGTACTGACCCCTGCTTTCTTGCAATGGGATTTTCCAGGCTGCAAGCTGACAGCAAAGACTGTCACTTCCCTGTCCTCTGACACTGTTTCACTAATATTTCTACCCTGAAGAGTGAACAGGAAACAAGCAGACCAGTACAAAAGAAAAAATACTGTTTATTCCACACAACTACATCAAGCGCTTCTTCCCCATTCTCCTCTCCCCTTGCTGCCCCTCCAGCCCTCAGGAAGCTTTGTCTGTGTTGGGAACAGTGAGAACCTCAGTGCCAGAGCCTGGTCCAAGAGGCAGGAAGGAAATCTGGGCATGGGAAGGTAATTGGATTTCCAAGAACACAAAAATGTCAGAGTCTCGCATTCCAAACTCGTGTGTTCCTTAGTCCATTTGGCTGAGTTCTTTCCCTGGACTTCACCTGGATAAAATGCCGTGGTAATGCAGGGTCAAAGGCCCTAGCTGATCCACCAGGAAAGTTTTGGTCTTTCTTCCATTTAAAACAAAACAAACAAAACTCCACACAGTTAAACCATTTCTGTCCATTCTCCTCTCTTTCCATAGTAAAGACGACACTAAGCTCTGGTGTAAGTCCAGAAGATGTTTTCAAAACAAAATGTATACCAACTCCTTCAGAGCCTGATGCTAACAAAAAATAAAATAAACCTACCTCCTAGGTGAGAGGTTCAGGCCCCAGCTGCTTCCTGGGGGGTCTTACACTGTGGGAGGAAGGGCAGAGGTCACAGGCCAGCGAGCTGTGCTTTGGGTAAACCTCAGGGACACCCTGCACCCCCATGCCTGGGGAACTCAGCCTGCAAACCTCCCACCCCTGGTATTGTTCCTCTGAATGACCAATCCATCATTCCAGCAGAGGAGAAATGGTTTAGTTTTAGCTCAGCTTTGGGAAGACAAATTTAAATGAGGGAGGGGCTGAGAAAGCATGGCCAGGCCTAATTTAGACCAGTGGTTCATGATTGTTTTCCCATCATGACACAGGACAGATGGTGTTCCCCTGCACGTCCACCACCACAGACACACCCTGGATTATGTGCTATTCCCAGGGTGCCAGCTGTGACCCATTTGTCTCTCTCAAAAAAGAAAGCATACCTGAATGCAAGCGTCTGAGCATGAAAACCTGCATCGCCATAAGTTTTTGTTTGTTTGAGACCGAGTCTTGCTCTGTCACCCAGGCTGGAGTGAAGTAGTGTGATCTCAGCTCATTGCAACCTCCAGGGTTCAAGCAATTCTCCTGCCTCCACCTCCCAAGTAGCTGGGATTACAGATGTGCACTACCACACCTGGCTAATTTTTGTATTTTTAGTAGAGACGGGGTTTCACCATGTTGGTCAGGCTGGTCTCGAACTCCAGACCTCAAATGATCCGCCCACCTCGGCCTTCCAAAGTGTTGGAATTACAGGCATAAGCCAATGTGCCTGGCCTAATTTACTGAAGTGTCAGTCACTGAATCCTTTACAAGCTCTGGAACTTAACTATTCTCACTGAAAACTTGTTTGCAACACCCCTCCCAAATGAGTCTGTCATCTCATTGAGGCAGGTCGATAACCCTGAACTAGAGTGTGGAGACTCTCTGTTGGAGACACGCTCTCCTGAAAAGCTGGGTCAGGCAAGCTGCCCACCTGCTTCCTCACCTCTGCTACACTCTGGCAGGCATGGTTTGTCCAAATGCAGCAGAGCGTGTATGTGTGTGTGTGTGCGCGCGTCTGTGCGCGCTGCACGTGCGTGTGCTAATTCAGCACACAACTGTCCTCCTCTTACTGGCCAGGCTACCAAGAGGGTGGCCACGCTGGCACTGCAGGGCCTGGGAGGCACCAACAGTAAGTGGGAAAGGAAACAGGACACCAGAGGAAGCTAGGCTAGGAGGTGGCTCTGCACCAGTGACTGACAGAGGTGGTGATGTGTCCCCAGCTGACGGTCCTTCCCTCAGGGTGGATCATGGGAGGTCCACTGGAGGCAGCTGTTAGAGACCAGCCTCTGTAAGGATAAGAGTACTGAAGACAGGGGTGGTTGACCCCCGTGACTTGGGGCCCTTTAGGGATAATCTACACCGCAAGCCTGTGGTCATCTAGGCAAATCTCAGTTCTCTCCTGACTTCCTGGAGTTACATACTGAATTTTAGGGGCTTTCCAGCCACAGTGAGGCTGGAAACTCACTTAACAGCTTGGATGAGAGCTAACCCCCAAGGTACCATAGCTACCCCGTCTAGAAGCAAAACTCAATCTGATCTGGGGGTGTCCTTGGCTCAGAGGACACTGTGGGGATTGCTTACACACAGACATGGTCTGAGACTCGACAAAATGAGATTTCTCCTCCCGTATCCAAGGCTTAAAGTTACAAAGAAAATTAGAGTTAAGTCAACTTCCACAAGAGACCTTCCTGGGCTCCATCATTTATTTCAGGATGTTGTCCTTTCCCCCAGGGCCTTGCTGTCTGGTTTATTGTTTAATTTGCTCCTTTTGAGAAGGCCCCAGTATTGGGTTGGGAATGGGTGTGGGGACAAGAGAAAGAAAGAGAAAGTCAGCATTCCTTTCCTTATTTTTCTCCAGAGTTGCCCGTTTGCTTGCATATCCAGTCTGCAAGTTCTCTTAACCCACGTTTTTTTGTGGGAGGGATGGCCATTGACAGAGATTAAATTAAAATATGAAAGAACAGCCTTATTTTCTAAATTCCCAACCTTCTGCAGACCCAGGAGAACTCCAGAACAGGTAGAGTTCACTGTTGCTTCCTTCCAACATGGATTAAGAAAAGGTTCTGTTTTAGTGCAATTTTCCCCGCAAAGGAACCAGGAAGAGGTGGAAGAGGAGATCCCATGTTCCAGCCCCAGGGGTTTGGGAACCTTCTGACCTTGAGGTCAAGGCAGACATGGAGTCTGACCTTCTGAGCAGCACATCACACTTTTTTGAATTTTATCTCCCAGGTCCTTTCGGTGCACCTGCAGGCAAAGTGTGGGGGGCGGAAGGGCAGTGTGAGGCTGTGTTTCCACTGGATGAGTTGTCATACCTGCCACACTAACACAGAGGAGCAAAGGAGAAGACAAGGTGGAAAGAGAATGCCATCAAAAGCAAGAGCTAATGGCCAGTGGTCCTTAGGAGCTGCTTTAGCCCTGCCCCAAAGACAGGGAGTTTCTGGTTCCCCACCAGAATTCACCCTTCAGAAACCATGCTAGCAAGGTGCTTCTCTAAGTGACGTCACAAATCCTCTTCTTCGGAGTGACCAGCCCAGAGCCTGGAGCTCTCGTGTGGCCCCCTCTGGCCTCCCCATGATGTGAGATGTGTGGGAGAAAAGAGGGACATTGATGCACATGCACACGGTGGAGTCTGATGACCTGGGGTGAGCACAGCTGCACGTGGCAAAATGACAGGTGCTGTCATGGCAGTGGCTGCAGCCGGATGCCACGGGAAATGGACAAAGTGCTAGAACACAGGGCCAGGGGCTGAGCCCTAAGGGATCTGAAAGACGTTCAGCTTGCTGGTGTTCTTGAGCGTCTGGCGCCGATTGCAGAACCAGACCCGCACTACCTCACGGTCGTAGTTGAGCTCCTTAGCAATTTCAGTGATCTCCTGGCCTGTGGGCAGTGGGTTCTTCTCAAAATAGGCATTGAGAGCCTCTATGGCCTGGGGGGTGAAGGAGGTGCGGCGTTTGCGTTTCTTGGAGGGCTCGCCTCCCACAAACTCCATCAGGTTCTGCTGGCCTTCCTGGTTCCGCAGTTCAGCTTCGTTTAGCCACTTTTCCAGCACCGGCTTTAGCTTCTGGGCACTCTTGGGTGTGATGTCTAGCTTCTCGAACCTGTGGGCAACCCATACCCAGGAAGAGGCAGTGAGAGCATGTTGGTCTCTTTGGCACACCCCGCACCTAGGTGCAGGCTCCATCCTCAAGGGGCCGCTCCTCTAGGGGCTGGTGAGACTGTACCCAGTGCTCCCCTCACCACCTCCACCAAGACCCCTCTAGTTTGGCCAAGCCCAGACTCCTCAGACCCTCTGATGTGCCCGGTCCTAACAGGGAAACCATTCCCACGGCCTCGGCTCAGTCAGTAGTGGAATAATAATAGTGCAACTGCCTTACAAACAACCATTCTAGAACGTTCCCCTAAATGAATGAAGTCCTTTTGAGGAGTCACCTTGGGAGGCCTCCAGTCACACTCCCATAGCAGCATCACTAACAAGTCAGGCTGCTCTTTCTGGCTGAGCTGGATGTGGTGACAGGATTCTCCACAGGATGCTGGAGGCACTCTAAAGGTCACTCTAGCCTGACCTATGGAGCTGGCAGGCAGATGAAACCTTTTGGCCATCCCTGAGCCATGCGCTTATTCTTGTTTGAAACTCTATCCCTCCTGGCACCAAAACTAGTTTGTAGGCTGCTTACAGAAAACTCAGCTATGTTACTTTACAGTCATTCCTTGTTAGAGGGGAGATGGGAGCATGATGAGGTATGGTGGGTTACAGTTAAGGGCCAACATAGAATGGAAGTTCCCACTTTGGTGACTAATTTTATAAGCTGTACTCCTTTCCTGCTAGAATTCCTCAGTGGATTAGGGTCTTGGGTTCCCCAAAGAAGACCCATATTAATGCCCAGGATTGGAGGATAATCTTCAGAGGACCTCAGAAGGACAGGGTCAGCCTTTGACTGCCCCAGGTGTTCATATCTACCCTTAAGATGGTCTTCCTTATCTGGAAAAAGGCTGGAGCAAGGGGGCATATGGAAAAGGGGCCGGTGCTCAGGTTCCCATGAGTGCCCGGTGGCACCAGGCAGCTGAGCAGGCCCTAATCCTGTCTAGGGCAGCCTTACTCACCGGCAGATGGCTGACTGGCTGTAGGCTGGACCTTCCGTTGCAGTCAGAGCCTGACCCACCTGGGTCTGTGTAAGGCCCAGCGAGAGCCGCCGGATCTTAAAGTTCTTGGCAAACTCCCGGATCTCTTCTAAGTTGATCCCATCCTCATCCAGACTTGGAGTATGTGGCTCTAGGCCAGAGGGAGGGAGCAGGGATGAGTGTGTAACATGGGAACCATCCCTGCTTATCTGGCTCATTGGTCTGAACTGACGCAGTAGTGAGAGGTGAGGACACCTGGGAAAAGGCTCACGCACCTTCAAGACTCTTATCACCTTTGTCCCCAAGACAAGCAAGAGTTGAAGGGGCCTAAACTAACCTCTCCAGGGGTAAGGAGCTATTTTCAAGTTCTTCCAGCTCTAACTGCTCACCCTCCCCCATTCTCCCTAGGCCTGGCCCCAAACACACTTGTTGGTCACCCACATTCCTCAAATACTGGGTGAGAGACCATAGCGGAGACAGCCCATGGCTCGGCCTCTCCAAAAAGCAGCCAGCCAGCCAGCTTGACAGCCTCCACTGTCATCGTGCCCAAACTCCACCTCAACAGGAATGGGAATAAAAAAGCCAGCCCCTCATATTGGGCCTCTGCCCTTCCCCTCTGGACCCCAGGATATCAAGGAAAGCAGCATCTGAAGAGATTGGGTGCCCACATAAATGCCTCCCCACTTCTCCACACTACTTCTCCAGGAGCCACTTACTGGACACCAACTGGCTGACGGTGGGGGTCTCTGAGCAGGTAATTGGGATAGGAGCAGAGGCAGATGGCTTGGCGGCTGGAGCTGGGCTGGCAATGACCACAGCAGGCTGGGGCACGGTTGGTGTGGGCTGGATGGGCTGCACCTGTGAAAGGACAGACAACAAGCCTTTGCTGCCCTCTGCCAGGCTCAGGGAGTTAAAATCCCTGGGTGGACCAGAGGCAGGGCAAAAACAGACATGAAATCCTCACGCATGCAGGACATTCCCGCCTGGGCTCTATCATAAAACAAGACTAGGCAGGGCATGGTGGCTGATGCCTGTAATCCCAACACTTTGGGAAGCCAAGGCGGGAGGATCACTTGAGGTTGGGAGTTTGATATCAGCCTGGGCAATGTGGCAAAACCCTGTCTCTACTAAAAATACAAAAATTAGCTGGGCATGGTGGTGGGTGCCTATAATTCCAGCTACTCAGGAGACTGAAGCAGGAGAATTGCTTGAACCTGGGAGGCGGAGGTTGCAATGAGCCAAGATCGCGCCACTGCACTCCAGACTGGGCGACAGAGTGAGACTCCGTCTCAAAAAAAAAAAAAAGCAAGACTAAGAAACACCTTATTAATACCCACCCAACAATAGTGACTGAATTATACTAAATAAGCACAGCAACCTGCCCTACCAACCTGGAGCTTCACACCCAACTGTGACACAGGCAGGCGAGAGGCTCAGAAAGGTTCAGTACACTTGGCCAAAGCCCCAACAAGTGCTCACCCTTGGGATAACTGCTTCCAAATCTCTGCCCTCAAAGCAGCAGCCTCAACCTGATTTTAGAGCCTCTCAGGCACCAAATGCGCATTGAACAGGGAAACTGGCAGATGGCTTTTGGTATCTCTCTACCAAGACAGACTGTGCAGCCATTAAAAGGGAGAAGGTATACCTCTTAACTACTCTGATGTCTGAGTCATAGCCCTAAGTGAAAAATGTGGTCGGGCGCGGTGGCTCACGCACTTTGGGAAGCCAAAGGGGGCGGATCACCTGAAGTCAGGAGTTCAAGACCAGCCTGGCTAACATAGTGAGACCCCGACTCTTACTAAAAATACAAAAATTAGCCAGGCGTGGTGGCACGCACCTATAATCCCGGCTACTGGGGAGGCTGAGGCAGGAGAATCGCTTGAACACGGGAGGCAGAGATTGCAGTAAGCCGAGAGATCATGCCACTGCACTTCAGCCTGGGCAACAGAGTGAGACTCCATCTCAAGAAATAAAAAATAATTTAAAAAAAAAGAAAATCAGTTTTTATGGAATAATGCCTTTAAGAAATACATATGAATTTCCAGAAAAACAAAATCTTGCACATAAAGTGAGCTATCAAAAGAAGTTGTCTCTGGAGTTGGAATTAGAAGGAATTTTTACTTTTTACATTACACAAAATATTAGAATTTTTGTAAAAACCACATATCCTATTTGTAATCAGAAGAAACTATAAATATATGAAAGTATTTGGTATGATTAAAAAGAAAAAAAGCTTTCTAGGAAGTACAGATTTCTCCAGGATGGTCCTGTTTCCTGGATTCTACCCCTGGTACGTCTCAAGTCCATTGCTTCTTCATCCCCAGGGCCTTTGACTTAGTTCAGAGCTCCTTGACTCTCCCTAGAGCTGTTTAAACTGCCTCACCACAGTCCAGTTCTTGACACCATGTGAATAACGGGGATTTTTTTTTTTGAGACGGAGTCTCACTTTGTTGCCCAGGCTGGAGTGCAGTAGCATGATCTCGGCTCATCACAACCTCTGCCTCCCGGGTTCAAGCAATTCTCCTACCTCGGCCTCCCAAGTAGCTAGGATTACAGGTGCCCGCCACCACACCTGGCTAATTTTTGTATTTTTAGTAGAGACGAGGTTTCACCATGTTGGGCAGGCTGGTCTTGAACTCCTGGCCTCAGGTGATCCACCCGCCTCGGCCTACCAAAGTGCTGGGATTACAGGCCTGAGCCACTGTGCCCAGCCTATAACAGGGATTTTTAAAAAATGCATCTCTCAGCTGGGCACGGTGTCACATGCCTGTAATACCAGCACTTTGGGAGGCTGAGGTGGGCTGATCACTTGAGTTCAGGAGTTTGAGACCAGCCTGGGCAATGTGGCAAAACCCTGTCTCTACAAAACATACAAAAATTAGCCAGGTGTGGTGGTGCACACCTGTAGTCCCAGCTACCGGGGAGGCTGAAGTGGGAGGATTGATTGAGTCTAGGAGCAGAGGTTGCAGTGAGCCAAGGTCACATCACTGCACACCAGCCTGGGCAACAGAGCAAGACCCTGGTCTCAAAAAAAAAAAAAAAAAAGCTCATCTGGTCAGCCATTTCCTTGCTAACGCCCTTCAGCATCAGCAGTTCCCTACTACCTTACCTGATAATGGTAATAACAAGAACTACTGCTTGTTTTTCAAGTGCTTTCTGTGCGCCAGTGTTCATTGCCTATGTATAATATATCCTTTAGCATTCATAACCTTCTGAAGTTGGTACCCTTATGATCCCTGTTCACAGATAAAGCTAAGAGGTTATTTACAAAACTTGGAAGTGCATGCTGCATTTGCGAACCACTGGCCATATTGTGACCTGGGAACTTAGGAATGCAAACTCTTGGACCCCACTTCAGATCTACTGAATAAGAAACTCTGAGGTGGGACCCAGGAATCTTCATTCCAGCAAGGCCTCCAGGGGATTCTGATGCACAGGCTTGAGAACTGCTGCTCTAGCATGTGATACTTGTTGCAGTTCCCTGAAGGTAGAACACTCTCACATCCAACTCATCCCTTTTTATTTTTAGAGATGGGGTCTTGCTATGTCGTCCAGGCTGGAGTGCAGTGGCTATTCACAGCCATGATCATTGTACACTGCAGCCTTGAACTCTTGGCCTCAAGCGATCCTCCGCCTTAGCCTCCTGAGTAGCTGGGACTACAGGTGAGCACCACTACACCTGGCTTTATCCCTTTATGATAGTCCAATGTCCCTTATCTATGAAGTCTTGCCTAACCCCCAAGTTTGTCAAGAGCTCTTTTCTCTAGGGCCCCAAACCACCTTATTTGTGTGTCCCTGTGATAGTTTTGTCCCACTGACTTGTAATGGTCTCCAATGCCAAGCTACCTAAGGCTAAGAAGGCATCTTATTCATCTTTGTGTCTTCAGCACTTGGAATAATAGTAGGCACTAAATAAATACTCCTAGAATGAGCAATGAGTAAATCAAAGCCACGGTGCAGAGTGGAGGGGTGGAGGGATGGAGGGGTAGAGGAATGGGGTACAGAACTGACTTCCCAGGGCTTTTCAGGAAGTTTGTTCACCCTAAAGCTGATTCTGGCCCAGTCTACTTTGACCATCACCTACCTCCCTGACCTTCTTAGAACAGCACTGGCATCTGAGGGCACCTATACATATTTTGGGTGCGTGTGAGTAGGGGGTCTCGTGGTGCTGTTTCCCTGGGCAGAACCTGTGTGGACACATGTGGGCCTTCTACTCTGGGACCTCCCCCACTTTAGGAAGCGCCCTGCACTCCCAGGAGTTTCAGAAGATGCTGTCCTGCCTGGCAGTCTGGAGGGAAGCAGCCGGTGCCAGATAGCAGAGCCTGCCCCACCCCCCACCCCCCCCAGCCCCTGTACCTCACTCTTAGCAGGGGACTCAGGTGTGCTTGGCTTCCGGACAGCCACAGGTGGAGGCAGGGGGCTGCTAGCCAGGGTCGCAATCACCTGGCCCTGGGCGTTCAACAACAGCTGGGGGGTCACGGCCTGGACCTGCAGGCTTTGGGCTGGTGCTGGGGCCGCCACACTAGCTGAGTTCACTACCCATGGAAGGGTTCCAATAACCTGGGAGGAAATAAGGCAGGGACCCCAGGTGTGAGGGTAGCATCCAGCTCCACCCCAAACCCAGATCCCCACACCACCAGGGGAACAGACTAATGGACAAATCCCTCAACCTGCTCTGGCCTCAGCTTCTGCATGAGTAAAATGCAGGATTCACACTCTAAGGGCTACTTCCTTTATTCCATCCTCAGAGCTATGGTGGAGCAGGAATAGGTCTGGATGTGGATTCAGAGACCTGCCTTGTTCTGCCACATTTTAGCTGTGTAGCTTTCATTGCTCTGAACCTCAGCCTTCTGTCTTGTAAGATGGGAATAAAAATCTCCATCTAATAGATTTGTACTCCAAAGAAAGTGAGATGATGTATGAGAAAGCACCTAGCATAAAGCCTGACCACAGCATGGGTGCTCCATAAATGAAAACTCCCACGTAATGTGAGCACCTCCAGGACAGGGTGGTGGCTACACCCCTGCCCAGCTTCAGCATCGGCAGAAAGCCGCCGCAGAGGAGATAGGAACAACAGCTTGACGTCTGTTCGAGTTTCTATGACCCACAGCCCAAGACCTGGCCGCCATCCCCTGGCCAGCCTCTCCACAGTCCCCACCCTCCAGCCCTGTCTTTGGCCACTTGCCTGTCCCTGAGCATTGGTGAGGATCTGACTGCTGATCCCTGGCATGCTGGGAATGGCGCTGGTAATGACTGGAGCTGTAGTGAGGGACCCCAGGATCTGGGTCTGTCCCCCGAGGGAAGCAGCACTGATCTGTGGGTGGAGGAAGAGCCTTGCTCAGAAGCCAAGGGGTGAGAAGAACCCCGGGCAGAGGGAAGAGGACAGAGGGCATTGGGGTGGGTAGATGTGAATGTGGGCTTCAGGCCCATGTCTACCGGCTGGATGGTTTCCAGGGCTAGGGGTCTACCGGCTGGATGGTTTCCAGGGCTAGGGGTCTACCTGCTGGATGGTTTCCAGGGCTAGGGGTCTACCGGCTGGATGGTTTCCAGGGCTAGGGGTCTACCGGCTGGATGGTTTCCAGGGCTAGGGGTCTACCGGCTGGATGGTTTCCAGGGCTAGGGGTCTACCGGCTGGATGGTTTCCAGGGCTAGGGGCTGCAGGGGTCAGCAGGGAAGGGCAGGGCCACAGTCATGGAAAAGTAACTCGGGTTAATCTTTCAGGCCAGGCCTGGGAGGGTAGAAGGGCCACACTGGAGAGGCTGATGTGATCCTAGTCATATCTAACGCCTCCCACTGCCAAGCCAGGAGCTACACTGGACAGACACCAGCATAGAGCTGTAAGCTCTGACTGCACCGTAGGGACAGCTCACAAGTTTTCAACCCCCAGACGTCATCCCACCCTCCAAGCCTGGTCCAGTGGTTCAGGTTCTGGAGAATGTGCCCAGCCCTCTTGGCAGAGGTTGTCTGCTTTTATCTGGGATGGACGGGCTGGCAGCTGCAAGGAGAAGGCCTCAGAGGGAGCCCATCTCTGCTGATGTGTTGGAAAAGGGCTGTTTTCGGGGGGGGCTCGTCCTCCACTGTGGGAAGGGTCAGTTCCACCCTTGGCCCATGATTCCGTCCATCCCTGGTCAGCCCTGGGTGAGGGCAGCAGCTTACGATTCCTGGGCTAAATGCGAAGCCTGCAGGCTGGACGGTGATCTGTGGGGGGGTGTCCACTGGCTTGGGGGTAGGGGCAGCAGCGGTGGCAGCAGTGGGCTGCGGGAGGATGGCAGGTGTGGTCTGCAGCAGCGGCTGGGTCTGGAACAGCGTCTGGGGCTGGGCTGGTGGCCGGGGTTGGGCCGTCGAGGAGGCCTGTACTGGTGCGGCAGCTTGTACCGGTGCCGGAAGAGCGGTGTTCAGCACAGCAGCTGCTATGGAGCAAGGCAGAGACAGAGGTGCTCAAATGCCTAGCCACTGCTCACAGCGGCTCCAATCCCAAGGGATCTGGCACAAGAAGGAGAGGGGGTTGGGGCAGTGGGCTCAGTGGGGCAGGCAGCCACGATTCCCTTGATCCTTGAAGGGCTGGCGCACGCCAGCATCTCTTATCCCCCCTCCCTGGGGCCAGGAGATGTGTAGGTTCAAGAACCAGACGTTGAATCTTCTTGTAGTCCTTCCCAGGAGGCCGGTCATGGGGTGAGTTCTGGCGTGGGGGGAGAGGGGCAGTCTCAGACAGCTGGCCGAAGTACGGCAGGCCTGCGGGGCCAGCGTGGCGTCACGGCCTACAGTCCCGAGGTGGTGCAGCAGCTCTGCGGCCGGATGCCCAAGACACCGGATCCAGACTCCAGGGCGGTTGCCCTGGGTGGGCCGTGGGTTCTGAGTCCGACATGGCAAGCACACGTGCGGGGGTGTAGTAGAGGGTGGGGGGCCTGGTGCAGTCCTGGGAAGAGTTGCCGTTACCTTGGAGACCGGCTAAAGGTGGCTTGAACACTCCCCCCGTAGGAGAAGCAGCGGTCAGTCCTGGGAGGGCAGCCACAGTTGCTGTAGGAATTGTCCACACGGCCAGCCCCTGCTGACCAGCCACTTGACCTGCAATACTGATGGGGATAAGAAGAGGTTGAGTAACTGCCCCTGCTGGAACCATAACTCCTGTCAGAACTGTGGCTAAGTTTTCCTGAGTCAAGACCTGCAAAAGCAAACAAGATTTCAAAAAGAAAAGAAAAAATAAAAAATCAACATTGACAGCGCAAACACTGGGTCTCTGAGACCCAGCTGAGCACAAACAAAGCATTCTGAGGGCGATGGGCCGAAGGCCACATGAGGATGGGGAAGAGCCAAACCCTAGCTGGAGGCCCAAACCTGAGGGGGTGCCTGGACCGACTATCCTGCCTTCAGAGAAGTCGCCTAAATCCAGGGCAAGGCGGCCCTGCTCACAGGATGGGAAGGGGGCACAGGCCTCCCCCACCACAGCCTGCTGCCTGCCAGGCCTTCCGCGAGCCCTTGCTGACAGGCCCCGTGCTTAGTGGCCAGGGAACAGGGAGCAGAGGCTGATGGAACCAAGTGGTCAAGGCCCCGCAGAGGCTAATGGAACCAAGTGGTCAAGGCCCCGCAGAGGCTAATGGAACCAAGTGGTCAAGGCCCCACAGAGGCCTCCGAGAAGTTTCTGAAGGACCATACCCTTGGCTGGATGCCTTGGAGTCAGGGAATGTAGCGAAAGGGACAGGGAGCTCTGCCTGCCTGCAGGATCCTGAAGGCAGCCTCTCATGGTGCTGGGGCCACTCCCTGGCTCTAAATGAGGACTCTGAACAATCCATTAACTCTTACAGGCATCCACTGGAGGGCCGGCAAGGGTATTCATTCATTTAGTCATTTGATAAACAGAAACTCTGGCTGCGTGAAAGAGTTAATGTTATTTCTGCAATCCTGGCAGGCCCAAGGAGATGATTCTGCAAATGTAGATCCCCTTTTCCAAATGGGCCTGATCTAGGCAGGGGTGAGGCTGGATGTGCCTAGTGGGAGAGTCCCTCCCTCAAGCCATAGCCCCTTCCCTGTCCTGCCCCCATGAAGTTCCCAGATTCCATGGCTTCCCCATGCTGGCTGTCCCATGCCTCGCTCCTGCCCCCGGCCTTCTGTCCAGCTCCCGAGGGCAGCCCTTACCTGGGGGGCAGCTTGTACAGCCAGTGGCGTCAGGGTCTGCGATGCCTGAGGCTGGCTTGGGGCTTGGCTGAAGGTGGCAATGGCAGTGGCAGGGCTCGGAGGGATCCCCGGGGGTGACTTCACTTCACAAGGCATTGAGAGAAAGAAGGACAAGGAGTGAGCCTGACGTGAGTGGAGGGGTCACCACAGCAGTACATGACATCCCATCTGCAGCCTGAAGCGGGGACCCTCAGCCCCATGCTGCATTGCTACATAGCCCAAGACCAATTGTTGGTCTTCCCTGGCCCATGAGGCAGCTTCCTGAATGCTACGGTGGTGAGGACAGGAGGCTGGGGAGCCCTGTGCCAGCTCTGGGAGGTAGGCCACCCCTTCTCACATCTAGCTGAAGAAGATACCCAGGTGAGTGTTAGCCCTCATTTCCTGGCCCTGTAAGGACTGTCACATCATCAACAGAGGAGTCTGAAGCACACGTGTGTCAGGGAGGGCCGGAGCTAGAAATGATGGGAGCGGCTGTCCTTGGTTCATCCTGCCACTGAATCGCTGTTCATCCACCTCCAGGGTACTTTTGGATGCAGCTGCTGAAAGGGCAGGAGTTCCTGAAGGGCAAAGTCCTGGAAGCAACAGTCCCTGAAAATTGGACAGGTCTGTGCTGCACTACAGGATCACAGGGGCTCTCCAGGACAGCCAGCTTTTCTCTGCTATTCCCGGAGGTCTAAAGTCATGTGAGCAGCTTCAGTGAGCTTCTAAATGAATTTCCCGTGACCTGCAGCTTTTTGCCTTCTCTTGGTACCTTAGCCTACACACGTACTGGGGTACCCCACCAGGAAACTTCTTCACAGCCATACAACGAGGAGAAGGGTTATTATTTAATATATGGTTAGTTAAAAGGAGCCTAGGAGTTGAGTGATGGATATAGGACCAGATCACTGGCTTCTTTTTATTTTAATTTAATTTTTTTTGAGATGGAGTCTTGCTCTGTCACCCATGCTGGAGTGCAGTGGTGTGACTTCTGCTCACTGCAATCTCTGCCTCCGGGGCTCAAGGGGTTCTTCTGCTTCAGCCTCCCAAGCAGTTGAGATTACAGGCGCATACCACCACGCCTGGCTAATTTTTTTCTTGTATTTTTAGGAGAGATGGGTTTTCACCATGTTGGTCAGGCTAGTCTCGAACTCCTGACCTCAAGTGATGTGCCCGCCTCAGCCTCCCGAAGTGCTGGGATTACAGGCATGAGTCACCGCGCCTGGCCAGATCAATGGCTTCTTAAAACTGCTGGGCATATATTTCTAGGCTTTAATCCAGGCCTACTGAATCAGAATGTCCAGTAGTGGAGGCTAGTTACCTCACCTCTCTTTTTTCCTTCAAAGCTCCCCCTGCGATATGGCCAAGAGTGGGAACCACTGAATCAGATAACCGCAAAGGTTCTGTCCAACCCTGCAGTACTAGTCCATGTTTCAACTTGGGAAGGCGTCAACCTCAACTCAGGACTATACTGTTCACAGCATGCAATAATAAAACCCAGGTAGTTTAAGGAATTCAAGAGACAAGCACACACCAACAAAGGCCTTATGAAATAGTAAAAGAAAACAAAATGACAGGTTTATCTCCTCTGTGGAGGGAAGATACATTTCTAACTCCAGAAAAAAAATCAGGCTGGGTGCAGTAGCCCACGCCTGTAATCCCAGCACTTTGGGAGGCTGAGGTGGTAGCATCACTTGAAGCCAGGAGTTACCAGACCAGCCTGGGCAACAAAACAAGATGCTATCTCTACAGAAAAAATAAAAATGAGTTAAAAAAAAAACAAAAAAATTAGCAAACATAAGGAGAGTCTGAACATGTGAAAATTTTAAAAACATTTTGTTGGACAAAATGTGACAAAGCATAACAAGTAAGTGAGAAAATGGGAAAGTGACAAACATAAATGATGAAAGCTTACCCTCTAAAGAAGCAAAATATTCATTTTATTAGGGCATATTTAGTAGGACCATGGAGTCCAAGGTTTTACATACATTAGGGCTGCTATTGCTTCCTGCAAGACTGTACAGAAAGACTAAATGAACTCACAGAAACATCAACAATGTACCTGTTTCTCCACAGCACCACTCAATATAGTTGTTTTTTTTTTTTTTTTTCTGAGACAAGGTCTCACTCTATCACCCAGGCTGGAGTGCAGTGGCGCAATCTCGCCTCACTGTAACCTCCACTTCCCAAGCTCAAGTGATCCTCCCACATCAGCCTCCAGAGTAGCTGGAACTACAGGCATGTGCCACCACACCTGGCTAATTTTTGTATTTTTTTGTAGAGACAGAGTTTTGCCATGTTGCCCAGGCTGGTCTCGAACTCCTGAGCTCGAGCAATCCACATGCCTCAGCTTCCCAAAGTGCTGGGATTACAGTCGTGAGCCACCATGCCTGGCCACCAATATAGGTTTTATCATTGCTTATTTATTTTCTGGCTTAACAGGCAACTCATACCTTAAAGTCAATTACTTTTCTTCTCATTGATAGCAAGATTTTATATTTTTCCATGAAATGACTTCCTCCTATGTTAATAATTAATTTCCCTCCAAAGGGAATTTTATTTTATTTTATTTTAATTTGAGACGGAGTCTCACTCTGTTGCCCAGGCTGGAGTGTAATGGCGCGATCTCTGCTCACTGCAACCTCTGCCTCCCGGGTTCAAGCGATTCTCCTGCCTCAGACTCCTGAGTAGCCGGGATTACAGGCGTGTGCCACCACGCCCGGCTAATTTATTTATTTATTTTTTTAGTAAAGACGGGGTTTTGCCATGTTGGCCAGGCTGATTTCGAACTCCTGATCTCAGGTGATCTGCCCATCTAGGCCTCCCAAAGTGCTGGGATTATAGGCATGAGCCACCGCGCCTGGCCTCAAAGGGAATTTAGTAGACTATCACACACAGAATTTTTTAAAGGACCAATACAAAAACATTCAAAGCAGCACTGTTTATGAAAAATGAAAACCCAGACAATTTGACAATGGCCAAAACCAGAAGCAGGTGCGTGACTCTATGTCAATAAAAGACATAGGTACATGAAATTACGTGGTGGTGTCATACTACTTAGTCTACCCTCAGCGGCCACAACAATGAAAATATGCATGTGTGACAAAGACTGGATAGTAATTTAGAGTGACACAAACCAATAGATTCTGTTTTCATCCTGGAAAAGTTTCCTGTTACTCAGTTTTGTTTTAAAAACAGGAAACCCTTCTTAATACTGCACACCTAGGAAGTTTCCACCGCTCTAAGCTGGCAGCTTAGGTGGTGCCATCAAAATACCTCCCTTACCTGCTTGATGGTGACTAAAATTCCTTTATAGAGGAGGAGGCGTTTGTGAAAGGCTTAGACACACAAACCCCTGGAAGAAGATGCACACTACACAAACACTCACGAAAACCATTGATTTAAGATCCATTTCTGAGAGCGAATTTGGATAAGGAGCAGAATTAAGGCACCAGAGGAAATGAGATATGAAGATGGATAAATGGGTGAAAAGCGAAGTGAGGGCATGATGAATAAACCTGAGAAACCTCCCCTGTTTTCTGAAAAGGGGCTCCACTGCACAATGGCTATGCTGAATGGAAGGAGTGGCAGAGATGCAGGGTCCTTGTCTTCCCTGCCTGGTCCCCAGGGCACTGCCCCTTGGGAACAGGTGATGACCCATCCTGGCCTCAACATAGAAGCAGAGCATTTCCAGGCTAGGGAAAAATGGTCATGTCTCTTGTCATTCCTTTATCCAAAAAGAAAAGAAAATGACTAAGGTTACTAGGGTTCCAAAGAATTTGCATACTGATGTGAAGGTAGAGCAAGTAATGTGTGGCCATGCAGTTTCTTGTTAAGGAGCTGTTGCTTTTCGGAAGTTTGCGTGTTCTCATGTGCTCTCTTCTTGCCTCCTCTTCTTGGCCCACCCCCACCAGTCCAGATCTCCAGTCAAGGGAAGGGGGAATATACAGCAGAAGTCAAGGGGAAATGAATTGGGGTGTTCTGGGGAAACTGAAAAAGGAGGCCCAAGGCTTCCTGCAGAAGGAGATGACTACTCTGCAAGGTGTTAATGAGGAAGACTGATGAGAGGGTGCCCCAAGGCCAGGGAGCAGTGCCTGATCTCCCACAGCTCAGCGGGTTCAACTCCCAGGTGCAACCCCCTAAGCGGAGCGCTACCAGTCTCTTCCCACCTCACCCTGATCCATCCTAGTTTAGGCCTGGAAGTGACACAGACTAGAACTAAAGCTCCAGAAACAAAGAGTGTAGAGTAGCCCTCGCAGCTGACCAGAGGCACAGGCTGTCCAGTGGGCAGGCAGACAAGACCCTAAAACCACCTGAGCCCCAGGGATTCATGCTGGCTCCCCAGGGACCACAGGAGGGACTTGGCACTCAGGTGGAGCAGTACCAGGTGGGGGTGATGGCCTCGTACCAGTTGCCTCTGCAGAGGAGCCCAGGTTGTCTGGCCCAGCTTCACCAGCAGCTTGACTGGCTTCAGCAGGGTCTCCGCTCTGGGAGCCCTCGGCGGCCACACCCTCCAGTCCTTTGCTCTCTTCCTCAGCAGGGAGTTGGGCATCCACTCCGACTTCCAGCACTCGGATGGTCTCATGACCTGACATCACGATGACCTGCAAGCAGAGGACAGGGGCACTGTTGGGATAGGGGCCAGTATAGCCGCAGGGTCCAAAGCTCTGGGTATGGTTTGGGGAGAGAGGGGAGGGCACCTCTGGATGCAGACCTCCTGTCCAGAGGGCTGTGTGCTCTGTGAGAATTCCAGAGCCTGGCGCAGGTTGCAGCTCCCTGATTCCAGGGAAGGAGCTGCTGGAAGAAAGCAGGCCCTGGTGACAGGGAGAAGGGCCTGACGCAAGCTAGAAAAATGTCCCCCAGAGCCAAACCATTTGGGAGCTAATTTCTCTTTGTTCCATCTCTTGGACTCAGTGCAGGGAGCGGCGGATGGCCTATCCTACAACTTGCAAGGATGTCCTCTTGGCAGCTAGGATCTTCGAACGTGGGTATGAGGGCTCCTAACATGGTATCCACAGCTTAAGTCGGGCCAGGAACCAAATCCCTCTTCACTTCCCTTGAAACCATCTGAAAGTTCCCCAAAGATAAAGGGATGGAAAATGAATGCTCCACAATGCTGAGTAACTTCTATCGCCCATGATTCCTTTATTTCGAAAACTCTGGAGTAAAGGCTCAGGATTTCCCTGCAAGCTAAATTCCTGAAACAAGGGTCAAGAATCCTGAAGATGCATCCTCTCCCTCTCTGCCTGGCACCGCTCCTGGACTGCAGCTTTTTTTTTTTTTTTTTTTTTTGAGACAGAGTCTCGCTCTGTCACCCAGGCTGGAATGCAGTGGCGCAATCTCGGCTCACTGCCAGCTCCACCCCCCCGGGTTCACGCCATTCTCCTGCCTCAGCCTCCCGAGTAGCTGGGACTACAGGTGCCCACCACCACGCCCGGCTAATTTTTTTGTATTTTTAGTAGAGATGGGGTTTCACTGTGTTGGCCAGGATGGTCTCGATCTCCTGATCTCGTGATCCGCCCACCTCGGCCTCCCAAAGTGCTGGGATTACAGGTGTGAGCCACCACGCCCGGCCTGACTGCAGCTTTTTATCCTGTGGCCCTGTGGCTCCAGTCCTGCCACCTGCTGTGGGCATGCTCAGACTTCAAGGGCAATCTCCATGCATGAGCGATGCAGGCGGACCCTGAGCCTCCTCAGAACACTCAGTCTCCCTCCCCTGCCCAGACGACACACACTAGCTCTTCATCACCAGCACGGAAACCCTGCCAATTGGGCCATTCAAGAATCAGAGACAAAGTCTGTAAATTAAACAGCTTTGTGTCAGGCCTCTGTGCATTTGGCCTGTGCCTGAAATCACTCTCACAACACACTCTTTGAGCCTGAAAGTGGATCCAGTCGGAGGCTGTGCTGGAAAAAGTGACGATGTGACCCATCAGCAGAATATGAGATGAGTGAAATACATCCCCAAAGCAGCTCTTGTGCTGCCCCAGCTTGCCCTATGAGGGGCTTCACTCCAATTACATTTTCAGAGAAATTCATCTTTTCTTTTCTTTCTTTTTTTTTTTTTTTTTGTAGACAGAGTCTCGCCCTGTCACCCAGGCTGGAGTTCAGTGGCGCGATCTCGGCTCACTGCAAGCTCCACCTCCTGGGCTCACGCAATTCTCCTGCCTCAGCCACCCAAGTAGCTGGGATTACAGGTGCCCACCACCACGCCCGGCTAATTTTTGTATTTTTTGTAGAGACAGGGTTTCACCATGTTGGCCAGGCTGGTCTCGAACTCCTGACCTCAGGTGATCCACCCACCTCGGCCTCCCAAAGTGCTGGGATTATAGGTGTGAGCCACCGTGCCTGGCCTTTTTTTCTCCTTTTAAAAAATGGGCCGGGCGCGGTGGCTCACGCCTGTAATTCCAGCACTTTGGGAGGCCGAGGTGGGCAGATCACGAGGTCAGGAGATCGAGACCATCCTGGCTAACACGGTGAAACCCCATCTCTACTAAAAATACAAAAAATTAGCCGGGTGTGGTGGTGGGTGCCTGTAGTCCCAGCTACTCGGGAGGCTGAGGCAGAAGAATGGTGTGAACCCGGGAGGCGGAGCTTGCAGTGAGCCGAGATTGCGCCACTGCACTCCAGCCTGGGTGACAGAGTGAGACTCCATCTCAAAACAAACAAACAAACAAACAAACAAAAAAGATATAAGTAATAGTAATTTGCAAAAAAAAAAAAAAATTAGAAAATATGTGTAAGCAAGAAGAAAAACTAAGGAGTAAATTACCTGATGTTCAAACCTTTCCCCATGTAAACTTAAACATATTATGTACACTTTGATTTTACATCTTAAAGTCACAGCTTAACTCCCCAAACCCAGGCCCTGAGAAATCCTAAATGGCAAGTACCTCTGGACAGGTGAAGTGATGGTGAACCCTGGTAAGAAACAGAGAGTGAAGGGCCCTGTGGAGTCCTCCTCTGTTGCCCACACCCCTCACTCCATCACCCTTACCCCCCCACTTCCCACCCCAGAAGATACCTGCTCATTGACAGTCAGAGATGTCTCTGACCCGGCTCCAGGATCCATGGTCACTTGTCAGGGTCGGGTGGGGGCCGGCCCACACCTAGCACATCCTGGGTAAGATGGGATTGGAAAGGCAAAGGGTGATGTGACACAGTAATACAATTTCTATACCATCTAGAAAAGTCAGAATAGAATCACAGAAGACAGAGAAGTTAGGTTCTCCCAAGTATCTGTAGAGGTTAAAAAAAAAAAAAAGGATTCTTTTTTTTTGAGACAGTTTCACTCTGTCGCCCAGGCTGGAGTGCAGTGGCACGATCTGTGCTCACTGCAGCCTCTGCCCCTCGGGTTAAACCAATTCTCCTGCCTCAGCCACTCGAGTAGCTGGGATTACAGGCATGTGCCACCACGCCAGGCTAATTTTTGTATTTTTAGTAGAGACAGGGTTTCACCATGTTGGCCAGGCTGGTCTTGAATTCCTGACCTCAAGTGATCCACCCGCCTCGGCCTCCCAAAGTGCTGGGATAACAGGCATGAGCCACTGCACCTGGCCAAAAAAAAAAGATTATGTTGCATTTCCTACAGCATCCTAGGAGAATCTACACTCAGTAGTACCAGGAACATCTGGGCTTAGGGTGAGGAGAGTAAAGAAAGGGCAAGATATCTGTCCCTGGGGCCTCCCCAGTCCGGTGGGAGAGCACACCCAGCAGAACCCAATGGGAATCTGACCCTGACCCTCAGAACCTTAGACTTAGGTAAGGAGCAAGGGAGAAATCTGGGCAGACTTCCTGGAATAGATGGTAAAAACATAAATTAAAGTGCTCTCCAACTTTAATATGCATGATCATCACCTGGAGCACTTAGTAAAAATGTTAGTATTTATATCAATTAAAGTACAGAGTAGAGTGGGACTCAGTCTCACTAAATAAATAAAATACAGAGTAATAATTTAAAAATAAAAATGTAAATGCAGACCCTTAGACCTTTTCACCCAACTACTCTCAGAGAGTCTGATTCAGTGGGTGAACATCACAGAATCAGCTCTCAGGTGACTCTGTGACAGTGGCCCAAAGACCACAGTGGCCTGTAACAGAGGAGGTGGGACATCCCAGATGGTGGAACAGCCTGCCCTGTGCAGTGAGGAGTGGGTGAAGCCCTCATGTGAGGACAGGTTGTCTGACTAGAGCCACAAACTACAGTCGTAAGAAATAAAGAAAATAGGTTGGGCGCAGAGGCTCACGCCTGTAATCCCAGAACTTTGGGAGGCCAAGGCAGGAGGATCACCTGAGTCCAGGAGTTCCAGACCAGCTTGGGCAACATAGTGAGGCCCTGTCTGTACCAAAAAAAAAAAAAAAAAAATTAGCTGGGCATGATGGCGCATGCCTATAGTCCCAGCTACTCAGGAGGCTGAGGTGGGAAGATCGCTTGAGCCTGGGAGGTGGGAAGATCGCTTGAGCCTGGGAGGCAGAGGTTGCAGTGAGCAGTGAGTGGTGCACTCCAGCCTGGGTTACAGAACCAGACCCTGTCTCAAAAAAGAGAGAGAGAGAGAGACAGAGAATCAGGCAAATAGCTTTAGACACTTTTAAAGGAAAAAAAGCAATTGACATTTATTTCGAGTGCATATTGTATGCTAGACATTTTATATAACACAATTGCTTGCTGTATTACTCATGCCAACCCTGGGGGCGTGGGGAATGGGAGGCATTATTATCCGCATGTTACAGATGGTGAAACAAAGCCCAGAGGGGTGTTCTGGATTCACCTTTCCTTTCTGCTATGGTCTGAATGTGTCCTTCCCCGCAAATTCATGTGTTGAAATGCTAATCCCCAAGGTGGATAGTATTAAGAGATAGGGCCTCTGGAAGGTAATTAGGAATGGGATTAGTGCCCATATAAAAAAGAACCAAGGCTCATGCCTGTAATCCCAGGACTTAGGCAGGTGGACTGCTTGAGCCCAGGAGTTCGAGACTAGCCTGGACAACATGGTGAAACCCCGTCTCTACAAAAAGTACAAAAAGTAGCTGAGCGTAGTGGTGCATACCTGTAGTCCCAGCTACTCAGGAGATTGAGGCAGGAGGATCACTTGAGCCCAGGAGGTTGAGGCTGTGGTGAGCAGTGATTTCGCCACTGCACTCCAGCCTGGGCAACAGAGAGACCCCAGTGTGAGAGAGATACTTTCACCCTTTCGACTATGTGAGGACACAGCAATAAGGCTCTGTCAGTGAGGAAGTGGGTCCTCACCAGACAACACCACCTTGATCTTGGACTTCCCACCTTCAGTACTATGAGAAATAAATTTCTGTTGTTTAAAAGCTACCCAGTTTATGGTATTTTGTTATAGCAGCCCAAACAGACTACGATAAATTCACATCCCATACAATTAACCATTTTAGCCACTTTAAAGTGCTCCGTACAGTGGAATCTGGTGGGTTCACACTTGTGCCACCATCACCACTGTCTAGTCCCAGAACATTTTCATCAACCCAAAAGGAAACTCCATATCCACTAACAGTCATTCACCTTCCACTGCCACCGCCCAAGCCCTGGCAACTACTGATGTGCTTTCTCTATGGGGTTCCCTATTCTGGATATTTCATGTAAATGGAATGATAGAATATGTCGCTTTGTGTGTCTAGCTTCTTTTACTTGGCATGTTTCCAAGGTTCATCCACATTGTAGCATGTGTCAGAACTTCATTCCTTTTCATGGCTGAATAGTATTCTATTGTATGGATACACTATATTTTGTTTATCCATTCATTAGTTGGTGGACATTTGGGTTGTTCTACCTTTTGGCTATTGCAAATAGTGTATTATGACTATTGGGTATAATTTTTTTTGAACACCTGCTTCCAATTCTTTGGGTATATACCTAGGAATGGAATTGCTGGATCACCCCTGGGGTTTTAGCATCTTCATTGCTTGGCAGAATGTTCCCTGATCAACCAGGTAAGGAGAACCATGAGGTTCTTTCCCTCCTCTTCCTTCCTTAACCCCTCTAGAGTGGGATTCAAGAGAGGGCAAGCAATTCCAGGTACCTAACAATTTGAAAAAAGAGGAAATGAGCCTTCCCCTTTCAGGTAGGATGAGGGGGTGCAGGAGGGGCAGAGGAATTTGCTGAAAGAACTGGTGAGCATCTAACTACCTCAATGGGGCTCTAGCCTCCTTCTTAGGTGATGTCTCCCCTCAGATTTTTTTTTTGTTTTGAGATAGGGTCTTGCTCTGTTGCCCAGGCTGTAATGCAGTGGCATGACCATGGCTCATTGCAGCCTCAAACTCCCAGCCTCAAGTGATCCTTCCACCTTAACCACCAGAGTAGCTGGGACTACCCATGGCCAGCTAATTTTTTTTATTTTTTA